>NC_000017.11:60685980-61935980 GCF_000001405.40 Homo sapiens | reverse complement strand
TGCACAGTATTCCATGGTATATATGTACACATTTTCTTTATCCAATCTGTCATTGGTGGGCATTTAGATTTAATTCTATGTCTTTGCTACTGTGAATTGTGCTGCAATGAACATGCACGTGCATGTGTCTTTATGGTAGAATGGTTTATATTCCTCTGGATATATAACCAGTAATGACATCGATGGGTCAAATGGTATTTCGAGCTCTTTGAGGAATTGCCACACTACTTTTCACATTGTTGAACTAATTTATACTCCTACCAACAGTGTGTAAGTGTTGCCTTTTCTCTGCAACCTTGCCAGCATCTGTTCTTCTTTGGCATTAAAAAAAAAAAAAAAAATTGCAACCGGGCACAGTGGCTCATGCCTCTAATCCCAGCACTTTGGGAAACCAAGACGGGTGGATCACTGGGAGTTGGAGACCAGCCCGCCCAATATGGTGAAACCCTGTATTTACTAAAAATACAAAAAAAAATTAGCCGGGCATGGTGGTGAGCGCCTGTAATCCCAGCTACTCAGGAGGCTGAGGCAGAAGAATTGCTTGAACCCGGGAGGTGGAGGTTGCAGCAATCTGAGATTGCGCCACTGCACTCCAGCCTGGGTGACAGAGCGAGACTCCATCTCAAAAAAAAAAAAAAAAAAAAAAAAAAAAGGCTGGGCGCGGTGGCTCACGCCTGGACTCCCAGCACTTTGGGAGGCCGAGGCGGGCGGATCACGAGGTCAGGAGATCGAGTCCATCCTGGCCAACATGGTAAAACCCCGTCTCTACTAAAAATACAAAAAATTAGCCGGTCGTGGTGGCAGGCGCCTGTAGTCCCAGCTACTTGAGAGGCTGAAGCAGGAGAATGGCGTGAATGCCGGAGGTGGAGCTTGCCAGTGAGTCGAGATCGTGCCACTGCACTCCATCCTGGGCGACAGAGCGAGACTCCATCTCAAAAAAAAAAAAATTTGATAGTCTTCTTTGTATGTTTCTGATTGTAGTATATGTGCTGCCAAAGCGAGCACTATTTTTTTGACTTTTTAAAAATACTCATTCTGACTGGTGTGAGATATCTCATTGTGGTTTTGATTTGCATTTTTCTAATACTCAGAGATATTTACCTGTTTTTCATACACTTGTTGGCCGCCTGTATGTCTTCTTTTGAAAAGTGGATGTTTATGTTCTTTGCCCACTTTTTTTTTTTTTTTTTTGAGACGGCGTCTCGCTCTGTCACCCAGGGTGGAGTGCAGTGGCGTGATCTTGGCTCACTGAAACCTCCGCCTCCCGGGTTCAAGCAATTCTCCTGCCTCAACCTCCCGAGTAGCTGGGATTACAGGTGCACGCCACCATGCTATTTTTTTTTTTTTTTTTTTTTTTGGATTTTTAGTAGAGACGGGGCTTCACCATGTTGGCCAGGCTTGTGTCAAACTGCTGACCTTGTGATCCACCTGCCTCGACCTCCCAAAGTGCTGGGATTACAGGCGTGAGCCACAGTGCCCGGCCTCTTTGCCCACTTTTTAATGGGGCTGTCTTTTTTTTTTTTTTTTTGATGGAGTTTCGCTCTTGTTGCCCAGGCTGGAGTTCAATGGCACAATCTCGGCTCACCACAACCTCTCCCTCCCGGGTTCAAGCGATTTTCCTGCCTCAGCCTCCTGAGTAGCTGGAATTACAGGCATGCGCCACTATACCCGACTAATTTTGTATTTTTAGTAGAGACAGGATTTCTCCATGTTGGTCAGGCTGGTCTTGAACTCTCGACCTCAGGTGATCCGCCCGCCTTGGCCTCCCAAAGTGCTGGGATTACAGCCATGAGCCACTGTGCCTGGCCAGGGCTGTCTTTCTCTTCTACATTTTTTTAAAGTTTCTTATAGATGCCGGATGTTACACATTTGTCAGAAGTCACAGAAGACACAAATGGAAAAACATCCCATGCTGATGGATGGGAAGAATCAATATCATTAAAATAGCCATACTTTCCAAAGCAATTTACAGATTCAGTGCTATTCCTATCAAACTACCAATGACATTCTTCACAGAACTAGAAAAAGCTATTGTAAAATTTGTATGGAACCAAAAAAGAGCCCGTATAGCTGAGGTAATCCTAAGCAAAAAGAACAAAGCTGGAGGCCTCATGTTACCCAACTTCAAACTATGCTACGGGGCTACAGTAACCAAAATAGCATGGTACTGGTACAAAGACAGCCACATAGACCAATGGAACAGAATAGAGAGCCCAGAAAAAAGGCCACACATCTACGACCATCTGATCTTTAACAAAGCTGACAAAAATAAGCAATGGGGAAAAGACTCCCTATTCAATAAATGGTGCTGGGATAATTGGCTAGTCCTATGCAGAAGATTGAAGCTGGACCCATTCCTTACACCATATAAAAAATCAACTCAAGTTGGATTAAAGACTTAAATGTAAACCCCCAAATTGTAAAAATCCTGGAACACAACCTAGGCAATACCATTCTGGACATAGGAACAGGAAAAGATTTTATAACAAAGACACAAAAACCAATTGTAACAAAAGCAAAAATTGACAAATGGGATCTAATTAAACTTAAGAGCTTCTGCACAGCAAAAGAAACTATCAACAGAGTAAACAGACAACCTGCAGAATGGGAGAATATTTGCAAACTATGCATCGTGGTATCTTTATGCTTGAATCATTAATTCAACAAAGTAAGTTAAGTGTCGTACTGTGCCTTTGGCAAGGAACTAAAATATGGTCCCTGCTCTCAAAATACTTCCTTTTTTTTTTTTCTTTTGAGACGGAGTCTCACTCTGTCCCCCAGGCTGGAATGCAGTGACACGATCTCAGCTCACTGCAAGCTCCGCCTCCTGGGTTCATGCCATTCTCCTGCCTCAGCCTCCCGAGTAGCTGGGACTACAGGCGCCCGCCACCACACCCGGCTAATTTTTTGTATTTTTAGTAGAGACAGGGTTTCACTGTGTTAGCCAGGATGGTCTTGATCTCCTGACCTCATGATCCACCCATCTCGGCCTCCCAAAGTGCTGGGATTACAGGGGTGAACCACCGTGCCCGGCCCTCTCAAAATACTTTTTAGTGGGAGAGACAGAGAAGTTCTAACAATTACAATATAATGTGTTAAGTAGTATAGCTGAAAGAAGCAAAAGGTGCCTTGAGAGCATAGAATAGGGATACCTGATAAGTTAAAGGGTAGGTGGTTTGTCAGGGAAAGGTCTCTTAGCAAGGGAACACTGGAGGTGAGACTTAAAGGACACTTAGGAGTTTGCATTAAAAAAGAGAATGAAAAGCATTCTAGACAGGAGGAACTGTGATGAGAAGGTCCAAGAATATTGAGAAGGATTTGAGACATAAACAGTTCCAACTGACTAAAATGACACCATGGTGGGATACGGCAGGACTCCAAGCTAGAGTTTTAAGTCAGACCATAAAAATCTGTTTTTGGGTTGGGCGCAGTGGCTCAAGCCTGTAATCTCAGCACTTTGGGAGGCTGAGGTGGGCAAATCACCTGAGGTCAAGAGTTTGAGACCAGCCTGGTCAACATGGTGAAAACCCATCTCTACTGAAAATACCCCAAAAAATTTAGCCAGGCATGGTGGTGGGTGCCTGTAATCCCAGTTACGCAGGAGGCTGAGGCAGGAGAATCGCTTGAACCCAAGAGGCAGAGGTTGCAATGAGCTGAGATTGTGCCACTGCACTCCAACCTGGGCGACAGACTGAGACTCCACCTCAAAAAAAAAAAATCTGTCTTAGGGCTTGGCACAGTGGCTCACGCCTGTAATCTCAGCACTTTGGGAGGCCAAGCCGTGCAGATCACTTGAGGTCAGGAGACTGACACAAGCCCGGCCAACATGGTGAAACCCCGTCTCTCCTAAAAATACACAAAAATTTAGTTGGGCATGGTGGCAGGTGCCTGTAATCCCAGCTACTTGGGAGGTTGAGGCAGGAGAATTGCTTGAACCTGGGAGGCGGAGGTTGCAGTGAGCCAAGATTGAGCCACTGCACTCCATCCAGGGTGACAGAGCGAGACTCTGTCTCAAAAAAATATAATCAATCAATCTGTCTTTTTAGTTCCATCCTAAAGAAATTCAACTTTATCCCAAAGCAGGGTAGTGTTTTAGTAGTTGGGCTGATTTATAAAACAGTCTCATACTTGAGCCTTGATTGGTGGAGCTATGTCAACCTGGAGGGATGTCTCTAATGCTGAACTAGAAGTCTTGGCTGGACCCAATTCTATTCAATGTTTTATCCATAATATTAATGAAGATATGATCTGCTAAGCTAAAACAGATAGCCAGTGTAAAAGAGTCAAAGATCTTTACAGGCTGAAACATGAAAGAATATATATATTTTTTGAGATGGAGTCTCACTCTGTTGCCCAGGCTAGAGTGCAGTGGCGCAATCTCGGCTCAATGCAACCTCCACCTCTCGGGTTCAAGCGATTCTCCTGCCTCAGCCTCCCAAGCAGCTGGGACTACAGGTGCACACCACCACACCCAACTAATTTTTGTATTTTTAGTAGAGACAGGGTTTCATCATATTGGCCAGGCTGGTCTAGAACTCCTGACCTCGTGATCCACCCGCCTCGGCCTCCCAAAGTGCTGGGATTACAGGCATGAGCCATCGTGCCCTCCTGAAAGACATCTTACAAGATAAAATAGTCACACTATAAAGAGCATCATGTTGAGCAAAATGGAGCTAGATGTCTTCTGAGATCCTTGTGCTTCTGGAATTCTATGACTATTTCTGAAGGACATTGGTCCTCACCTTTGTATAGTTAGGTCTTCTAACTGCTGGAAGCTCAATTACTCTGCAACCTACATTAAGCACCTAGTATACATGAAACATAATAGATATTCTAATGTGTTTTTCTGTTTTTCTCATTTTTTCATTACTTGTGTTTCTCTCTTCCTCCAGTCTGATTGAAAAATAAAGTAGAAGAATAAAAGCAAGCTGGTCAAGCCAGGTGCAGTGGCTTGCACCTGTAATCCTAGCACTTTGGTGGACTGAGGGGGGACAGATGGCTTGAGTCCAGGAGTTCAAGACCAGCCTGGCCACATAATGAAACCCTGTCTCTACAAAAAAATAGAAAAATTAGCCAGGTGTGGTGATGCATGACCATAGTCTCAGTTACTTGGGAGGCTGAAGTGGGAGGATCACCTGAGCCCAGGAGGTTGAGGTTGTAGTGAGCCAAGATCGCCCAACTGCACTGCCGCTCTTTTCTTGAGAACTTGTGTCGAAAAGGAAAAAAAAAGAGAGGCTGGGTACAGGGACTCATGCCTGAAATCCCAGCATTTTGGGAGGCCAAGGTGGGTGGATCAGCTGAGGTCAGGAGTTTGAGACCAGCCTGGCCAACATGGTGAAACCCTGTCTCTACTAAAAATACAAAAAATTAGCCAGGCATGGTGGCAGGCACCTGTAATCCCACCTACTCAGGAGGCTGAGGCAGGAGAATCGCTTGACCCTGGGAGGCGGAGGTTGCAGTGAGCCAAGATCGCACCACTGCACTCCAGCCTGGGTGACACAGCGAGACTCTGTCTCAAAAAAAAAAAAAAAAAAATTAGCCAAGTGTGGTGGTGCACACCTATTGTCCCAGCTACTCAGGAGGCTGAGGTGGGAGGATTGCTTCAGCTTGGGAGGCAGAGGTTGTAGTGAGCCGAGATCGTGCCACTGCACTCCAGCTTGGGCAACAGAACGAGACTCTGTCTCAAAAAAAAAAAAGTTTTATTGGCAAACATTACAATGTTTCAATGATTATAAAGATTTTTGCTAAATTAATACAAGGGGGAGAGATTAGAGTCTAGGATGACTTTTAGGTTTCTGGCTTGAGCAACTCAAGGTCAAGTTGGTGAACTGGAAGAAAAGGAGAGGGGGACTTGGAGGAAGTGTCAGCACTCATTATGTGACACTGCAGCCATCTCATTCAGTGATTTTTCTGTTTCTCCATAGATCAAGATGGAGATACTGAATCTGCATGATGTTTCTCCATTAGTGAACAGAGGATCATAATTAGAGTTGGAAAGGATCTTTAAAATCACTTAGTTCATACCCACATCTTCCTCTCATTCGTCCCTCAAACCAATGTTTGCACTGCCTTCACACTTTTCCTGTGAAATGACCATCCATGGAGATGAAATTGCTTACCCTCTCTCAGTTTCCACAATTGCAAAAGGCGAATATTACCTACGTCACAAGATTGAATCAGATAATATATATAAAGCATTTATTACAGTGCCTAGCAAGTGTTCAATAAATAAATCCCAAATATTAGCTTAAAAATGCTAGGACAGTACAGTGTGCAACCCATTAATAGAGTGTGAAATCAGTTTTAGTGTGCAGTGACCAGCAGTTTTTTAAAGAGAAGTAGAAACATGTAGTGTGTGTGTTATTATACGAAATATTTGTTTCCATGTAAATGTGGGTTTATATGTTATATATTTATATGTTTATATAGCATATAAATTTATACACTTACACTTATTTTTGTATGTGGATATATACATATGTTTTTTCTGGGTCACAATGTGAAATGTATTATTGTGGGTCAGGTGGAAAAAATTTTCAGAAGCATTGCAACACACAATTCTTTTCTTCCTTTGCTGATCTATGTTGAAAGTCATATATATATATATATTTTTGAGATGGAGTCTGGCTCTGTTGCCCAGGCTGGAGTGCGGTGGCATGATCTCTGCTCACTGAAACATCTGCCTCCTAGGTTCAAGTGATTTTCCTGTCTCAGCCTCCGAAGTAGCTGGGACTACAGGTGCTCCATCACCACGCTGGGGTAATTTTTTTTTTTTTTTTTTTTTTTTGAGACGGAGTTTCGCTCTTATTGCCTAGGCTGGAGTGCAATGGCACGATCTCAGCTCACCACAACCTCCGCCTCCCAGGTTCAAGCAATGCTCCCGCCTCAGCCTCCCAAGTAGCTGAGATTACAGGCGCACACCACCACGCCTGGCTAATTTTTGCATTTTTAGTAGAGGCGGAGTTTCACCATGTTGGTCAGGCTGGTCTCGAACTCCTGGCCTCGTGATCTGCCTGCCTCGGCCTCCCAAAGTGCTAGGATTACAGGCATGAGCCATCGTGCTCGGCCTAATTTTTATATTTTTTGTAGAGTTGGGGTTTAGTCATGTTGCGTCAGGCTGGTCTCGAACTCCTGACCTCAGGTGATCCGCCCGCCTCGGCTTCCCAAAGCGCTGGGATTACAGGCATGAGACACCACGCCCGGCTCTGACTTTATTTTTAAAGAGGTTATAAAGTGCTATATCTTTGTAAAATATTTTTATTTCCAGCTCCTAGCACAATATCTGGTAAATAGAAGTTGCCAAATAAACGTTGATCGAACTAGGAACAATAAATAGTATGAAGACATATGGACTAGCGGTTCTTCATATATAGACTAGTGGTTCTTTTCTGAGTGATCAGACTTCCTTTGAGAAGTTGTTGAAAGTTTTGGACCCTCTTCCCAGAAGAAGTGCCGAGCACTCAGTTCTGAACGGATTCCAGAGAATTCCTGAATCCCCGTGCATTGCCTCTCTAAGGTTCTATGGGTCCCCCAAGTTAAGAACCTGAAAGGAAGGTGTTTAACTTCTGACAGCGGAGGTGTGAGGTCAAGAGCGGAAGAAAGTTTGGGGTTAGATCACTTTTAAAATTCTCCCACAAATCCTGGGATTCTAGAATTTTGGTTCTGGGAAGGCACAGGCAAAGATTTAAAGAGTACAGTTTGGTACCACTAGTGTCAAAGAATAGTGGGAACGATTTTAACACACGTTATGCCATTTGAATGCCATGGCAATCCTGTGATGATGAAATTTAAGTTCTGAGGGGCTCAGTGGCTTGCTTGTCTAAAAGGAAGGAGCTGGTAGGCTCTGGAAATCAGAGCCTACCAGAATCACATTTCTAAATTTTTGGCGAACAAGTAGGGCAGGGCAAATAAAGTGGAGAAAGGGGCGGGGCCGCGCACGCGCACAGTTGCATTGGCGCCGACGTCTCTGCCTTTCCTCTCGCAGCCACCCTTCCTCTCAGACCAGTACGGTGGCCGACGGGAGTCAGACGCTGGGGATGAATGAAGGTGCTGGGTGCAGGTTGAAAAAGTCTCCCGCTTTTCCGTTCCTACAGTCCCGGTTCTGCCTTTGTGTGGTGCCCCCATCCTTCCCACTTTGTATCGACAACCCGGTTGGTCCCGGCGTCTGAGTTCTTGGTGTCCGAGTCGACTCGAGGCACAACTAGGGTTTGGGGTTCCGGATATCGCCTAGGCCCAACATCGGACCGCGCTCTCGATTTCTGCCGCGTCCCGCCTCTAGGACGCGGAGTCCGTGTGCGGTTCCGTGAGGCTGGAGGGTAGATCTTAAGGTATGAAGCGTCCGCTTCTCTGGCCTCAGCGCGTTCCTAGGTCCGTGTCGGAGCCTGGCCAGACTTTGCTCAGCCTGAGGGACTTATTGGTTCTAGTTGCGCCCGGGGCGAGACGGAGGAGCACGCAGGTCTTGGCTCCTCTGCTCCAGTCAGCCCGCCCCTCTGTTAAAAGAGCAGCCCCTCCCTGAAAGCAAAGCAGTTTTTACCCACGACTTTTACCCACGCTGCTGCTAGTCGGTCGGCCTTGAGAGGGGACTGCTTTGGCTGCCAGCTCACTGCCTTTTTGTTTACTTTTTGTGCCTTGGATGATTCCTGGAGACAGAGAAGTGCGCTAATGAGACGCGTCTTTCTCACATAGCACCCACACATCTGCTTTTTACCCGGTAACACAGGGGACATAGGATAGTGTTGTGGCCTCCAGAGCCTTGAATCTGGCATTGGTTCTGCCCAGTGATTTGCTAGTTTTTCCACCGACTCATGGAGGGTGAGAAAGAGAAGCCCAATAGTTCTTGATGTATATCGGGGTAGGCATGTGAAACTATCGGGGTATGAAAGAAAGCACTTAACTATGACCATTCACTTTTGTTTACATTTTGTGGAGCTCATGTGACTGATATAGTGGAGAAAGTCTTGGACTGGGATTTTAGTAGATGAGGATTCAGCCTTGGATTGTGCCTCTAACTAGTAATACTATTTTGGGCGTGTTACTTCATCTCTCTGGGCTTCATATTCCTTCTTTGTAAAATATGAGTATTAGAGCAGAAGATTCCTGAGGCTGGAAGAGACATTAATATACTCTGTTTTCTTTCCCATTTCCCAGGTGACAGTATAAACCTAGGGAGACAGAGAAGCCTTGTCTTGATTGTGCCAGGAACATTGCCAACATAGGGACCTATTAAAGATACACCACATTTTTCAGGGTTTTTAGAAAGTTGGGTGTTCATACATGTGAAAGTTAAACTCCTACTTTCATTTGTATTTTTACCATTAGGATCAACAAACAGTAATAATGACTGAATGTACAAGTCTTCAGTTTGTCAGCCCTTTTGCTTTTGAGGCAATGCAGAAGGTGGATGTTGTTTGCCTGGCATCTTTAAGTGATCCAGAATTAAGACTTCTTCTGCCCTGTTTGGTACGGATGGCACTTTGTGCACCTGCTGACCAGAGCCAAAGCTGGGCTCAGGATAAGAAACTCATCCTTCGCCTTCTTTCTGGAGTGGAAGCTGTCAACTCCATTGTTGCATTGTTGTCCGTGGACTTTCATGCTTTAGAACAAGATGCCAGCAAAGAACAGCAGCTTAGGTAATGTTATGTTATATTATATGTGGATTTGGATTTGACAAAGAACAGGGAATCAGATATTTTTTAGAGCTCTCCAGAAAAGAGAGAATGAGAATCTAAATTCTGGAGAGCATTTTACTTAGGTCTTTTCTGTATATAGTTACAGTTCCAGAATCTTTTGACTTCCATGTTATAAAATGTTATCTAGAGAAATATGGCAATGTGCTGTTGTATGTGGGCTAAACTCATTAGGCCAATTACTTTCAGTGGGAAGTAGGTAGGGTAACTTCCCCTAGATTAGAGGGATTTATTGGAATCACTTGGGAGGCTTTTTTTTTTCTTTTTTGAGACAGAGTTTCGCTCTTGTTGCCCAGGCTGGAGTGCAATGGCGTGATCTTGGCTCACTGCAACCTCAGCCTCCCAGGTTCAAGCGATCCTCCTGCCTCAGCCTCCCGAGTAGCTGGGATTACAGGCACCTGCCACCATGCCCGGCTAATTTTTTGTATTTTTAGTAGAGATGGGGTTTCATCATGTTGGCCAGGCTGGTCTCCAACTCCTGGCCTCAGGTGATCCACCTGCCTTGGCCTCCCAAAGTGCTGGGATTACAAGTGTGAGCCACTGGGCCCAGCCTCTTGGGAGGCTTTTAAAGCTTAGATATTCCCAAAGATTCTGGGCAGGTGCTATGTCCTTCCCTGCCCATTGTGAATCTAGTAGCAAGCCACCATCAGTGGAAGTGAGTGTTAATTGTCAGTTGTGGTAGAGTATTTATTTATTTATTTTTATTTTTATTTTTTTTTAGACCGAGTCTTGCCCTGTTGCCCAGGCTGGAGTGCGGTGGCGTGATCTCGGCTCACTGCAACCTCCACCTCCTGGGTTCAAGTGATTCTTCTGCCTCAGTCTCCCGAGTAGATGGGACTACAGGCACGCGCCACCATGCCCGGCTTTTTTGTATTATTAGTAGAGACGAGGTTTCACCATATTGGCCAGGCTGGTCTCGAACTCCCAACCTTGTGATCCACCTGCCTCAGCCTCCCAAAGTACTGGGATTACCGGCGTGAGCCACTGTGCCTGGCCTATGTGGTGGAGTATTTATTATACGTAGGATGTGAATCCCTGAAATACACAGGCAAACTAAATAGCATTTCAGAAGTAACAGAACATTTTAGAACACTTTATACATCCTTTTATAGCTTATTTCAATAAAAGATAATTTTTATGCAATTATTTCCATATCAGTGTTTTCATAATTGTTACATGTTTTGTACTTCATTAGGCATAAACTTGGAGGAGGCAGTGGAGAGAGCATCCTGGTATCACAGCTTCAGCATGGACTGACGTTAGAGTTTGAACACAGTGATTCACCTCGTCGATTGCGTCTTGTGCTTAGTGAACTGTTGGCAATTATGAACAAGGTGCATTTCTTTTAACCACAGCTCAAAGTATGCATGATTTGATGTCTATGTATAGGGAGGTAGACAGAAAAAGAGACAAGAAGTCAGGCAGGTTGAATTCTCCTCTACTCTTATTTTGTTCTTTTTTTTTGGAGACGGAGTTTCATTCTTATTGCCCAAGCTGGAATGCAGTGGTGTGATCTCAGCTCACTGTAATCTCTGTCTCCCAGATTCAAACGGTTCTCCTGCCTCAGCTTCATGAGTAGCTGGGATTACAGGTGCCCGCCACCACGCCCAGCTAATTTTTTGTATTTTTAGTAGAAATGGGGTTTCACCATGTTGACCAGGCTGGCCAGGCTGGTCTCGAACTCCTGAACTCAGGTGATCCACCCGCCTCAGCCTCCCAAAGTGTTGGGATTACAGGCATGGGTCACCGTGCCCGGCCTTCTCTACTTTTATTTCTATATATTTGTTTTCCTTTCAAAGCCTGAAAGGATATTATAAGTCTGCCTTAAAGTCCTTCTCTTAATTATCATTTTCTCTCATTTATACTTGTTCTGCATTTTCTATGAGAGGGATTTTTTTCCGTATGGAATCCATACACAGTGGCTTCTTGACATTTAGAAAGGGATTTATCTCAAGGCTTGTACAGATTATCAAATTTATTAGCAGATAATACCTTTATGGGATACAATTTCTCCCATAAAGTGTAATGAAGTAACATTTTCAATAACTGAATGTGAATAACTGAAAAATGTATGTGATTCATTTAGACACTGGATGAGCAGTAACAGCCTCATATATGACAGCAGAGGGGAGTATCAATGCTGAATTGAATGTAGGATGATTGGCTAGTCTCAATCACTAAATGACCAAAGTGCTTCTTTACACTAATGAAAGCTATTCAAGTTATCTTCTTTGTAAAATTATAGATTACTTAGGTCATAGACCTTTGGGTAATATAGTTAATTGAAACTCTGAATTTAAAATTTTTGAATGTCAAAGTTCTATCATATAAATAACTAAATTAGCTGGGCGTGGTGGTGCACGCCTGTAATCCCAGCACTTTGGGAGGCCGAGGTGGGCGGATCACCTGAGGTTGGGAGTTCAAGACCAGCCTGACCAACATGGAGAAACCCCGTTTCTACTAAAAAATACAAAATTAGCCAGGAGTGGTGGTGCATGCCTGTAAAAGAATTGCTTGAACCTGGGAGGTGGAGGTTGTGGTGAGCCGAGATTGTGCCATTGCACTCCAGCCTAGGCAACAAGAGTAAAACTGCCTCAAAAACAACAACCACCACCACCACAAAAACCCACTAAATTAGATCTTTATGTTTATTTACTGTTATAATTTTGGGGAGTCAGTTAATTTATAGTAAATAAAGTTTAGTTTTATAAATTGTGGACAAAAAGAGAAAGGACTAAATTCTGTTTTCATAGAAAATACTGGTAGAGAGGATTTTGGTGAGTTTTAGATAGTTTTTTTTTTTTTTTTTTTTTTTTTGGAGACAGAGTCTCACTCTGTCGCCCAGGCTGGAGTGCAGTGGCACAATCTCGGCTCACTGCAAGCTCCGCCTCCCGGGTTCACACCATTCTCCTGTCTCAGCCTCCCGAGTAGCTGGGACTACAGGTGCCCGCCACCATGCCTGGCTAATCTTTTGTATTTTTAGTAGAGACGGGGTTTCACCGTGTTAGCCAGGATGGTCTCGATCTCCTGATCTCGTGATCCGCCCTCCTTGGCCTCCCAAAGTGCTGGGATTACAGGCACGAGCCACTGCGCCCGGCCGAGTTTTAGACAGTTTTTAAGGTATGTTAAAAAATTTTTCTAAAATTTCCATCACCAATTATAATTTCCTTCTCTTTTTTACTATTTTGATACTTTTATTTATTTTTGTTTGTTTTTTTGAGACAGAGTTTCGCTCTTGTTGCCCAGGTTGGAGTGCAATGGTGTGATCTTGCTCACTGCAACCTTTGCCTCCTGGGTTAAAGCGATTCTCCTGCCTCAGCCTCCTGAGTAGCTAGAATTACAGGCACCCGCCACCATGCCTGCTAATTTTTGTATTTTTAGTAGAGACGGGGTTTCACCATGTTAGCCAGGCTGGTCTCGAACTCCTGACCTCAGGTGATCCTCCCACCTCGGCCTCCCAAAGTTCTGAGATTACAGGCATGAGCCACCATGCCCAGCCTATTTTGATACTTTTAAATTTCAGCCAAGAGTTTTCCTTCATCTTTTCCGTAATACCTCACTTGGTGACTCTAATAAATAAGTGACCTTTCTCCTCTGGGAGATTTCCAATTTTTTAGTTTGGCACTCTTCATTATATAGGAAATATGGTTATGAAACTATTGTGCAGAATTTCCAAAAAGCTTAGTAGATTTTGTTATCTAAACTTTAATTCTTTGTTTTTCCAACAGTTTATTCAGAATTGAACACGTATATATATATATATATATATATATATATATATATGTTTGTTTGTTTTCTTTTTTCTTTTTCTTTTTTTTTTTTTTTTTGAGACGGAGTCTCATTCTGTCTCCCAGTGTGGAGTGCAGTGGTGCTATCTCGGCTCACTGCAGCCTCCACCTCCCGGGTTCAAGCGATTCTCCTGCCTCAGCCTCCTGAGTAGCTAAGATTACAGATGGCCACCATGCTTGGCTAATTTTTATATTTTTAGTAGAGACAGGGTTTCACCATGTTGGCCAGGCTGGTCTCGAACTCCTGACCTCAGTTGATCCACCCATCTTGGCCTTCCAAAGTGCTGGGATTACAGGCGTCAGCCACTGCACCTGGCCATGAATTTATATTTGTTAAACTGCTTTAGGTTGACTGTTCTTGGCTTTTTTAAAGCAGTTTATGTAGGCTGCATTTGTAGTTCATTTCTTTGGCTTGCCTTATCCTTTAATTCCAGTTGTCTCCAAATATTTAGATAGAAATCAGTTCTTGAGATTGATACTGCTATATCTGAATAATAATTAACATGACTGCTGTGTGTGGTTAAATTGGTTGAAATTGATTGAATACTGCATATTCTGCTGTGGTATATTAGTGATACATTAAGAGACATAATCTGTGAGCTCAAGAAATAATTATAAAAATAGGGATTTAATTATCTGAAATTAATAGAGTTTATATCTTTTTTTTTTCTTTTTTAAGGTGTCTGAGTCCAACGGAGAATTTTTTTTCAAGTCTTCTGAACTTTTTGAGAGTCCAGTATATTTGGAGGAAGCTGCAGATGTACTTTGTATTTTACAAGCAGGTACTGTACTGAGTGCTAAGATGGATTTCATATATAGTTTCTTGTTAAATGATACTGTGTAACTTCTTAGCCTGGTATGCTGTGTTATTTTAGGGATCATATAACAAACATGTTATGTGATTTTAAGTCAAAAGTGACTAATAGTTGGACAATGATTAAGTAAATTATATTATTTTCATAGTGTGACATATTATGCAGACATTAACATGGTATCTTTGATTTAATGACTTTAATGCTCGTTAATGATTTTGGAAAATGTTTACAATATGTTAAGTGAAAAAAGCAAAGGGCAAAGTGTTAAGTAGACTATAATCCCAGTTTTGTTAAAAGTTCAAGAACAATACCCTTGATGAATTAAAATAAAATACTTATTTTTTTTTAGAGACAGAGTCTTGCTCTGTTGCTCAGGCTGGAGTACAGTGGCAGGATCATAGCCCACTGGCTTGAATTCCTGGACTCAAGGGATCCTCCCACTTCAGCCTTCTGAGTAGCTGGGACTACAGGCCTGTGAAAACATTTTTTATTAACTTTGAATTCTGGGATTAGGGCAGATTTTAATTTTCTTCTTCGTACCTTTTTGTATTTTCCAGATTGTATATAATAGGTGTGAATGATAGAAATAAAAGAGGACAGAAAAATGTAAAGAAGGCTGTCGCTCATGCCTGTAATCCCAGCACTTTGGGAGGCCGAGGCAGGAGGATCACTTGAGCTCAAGAGTTCAAGACCAGTCTGGGCAACATAGTGAGACCTTGTCTCTACCAAAATGAAAAAAATTAGCCTAGTGTGGTGGTGTATACCTGTAGTCCCAGCTGCATGGGAAGCTGAGGCAGGAGGATGGCTTGAGCCTGGGAGATTGAGGCTGTAGTGAGCCATGATTGTGCCATTGCACTCTGTCCAGAGTGAGACCTTGTCTTTTTTTTTTGAGATGGAGTCTCACTCTGTCACCCAGGCTGGAGTGCAGTGGTGTGATCTCGGCTCACTGCAACCTCCGCCTCCGGGGTTCAAGTGATTCTCCTTCCTTAGCCTCCTGAGTAGCTGGGATTACAGGCATGCGGCACCATGCCCAGCTAATTTTGTATTTTTAGTGGCGACGAGGTTTCACCATGTTGGCCAGGCTGGTCTCGAATTCTTAACCTTGTGATCTGCCTGCCTCAGCTTCCCAAAATGCTGGGATTATAGGCATAAGCCACTGTGCCTGGCTGCAGACCTTTTCTTAAAAAAAAAAAAAAAAAAAAAAAGTATAGGCCAGGCACGGTGGCTCACGCCTGTAATCCCAGCATTTTGGGAGGCCGAGGTGGGTGGATCACCTGAGGTCAGGAGTTGGAGACCAGCCAGGTCAACATGGTGAAACCCTGTCTCTACTAAAAATACAAAAATTAGCCTGGTGTGGTGGCAGGCTTCTGTAATCCCAGGTATTCGGGCGGCTGAGGCAGGAGAATCGCTTGAACTCTGGAGGCGGAGGTTGCGGTGAGCTGAGATTGCGCCATTGCATTCCAGCCTGGGGGACAAAAGCGAGACTTCGTCGCAAAAAAAAAAAAAAAAAAGCAAATAAGATTTTCGTGAAAATAACTCTTTAGACCAGTTCTATAAAATAAAATTTCCTGTACTGTTCTATGCTATGCTGTCCAGTGTTCTTTGTGGCTGTGGATTACTTGAAATGTGGCTAGTGTGATTGAGGAACTGAACTGTTTTTAATATAAGTATCCTTATGTTGCTAGTGGGTATCCTACTGGACAGCTTGGTTCTAGACTATGAAAAGAAAGTACTTTATTTTAGATGACATTTGTGAAATGTCAAAAGATATTTAATAATACAATGAAATGTCATTTTTGGTTGGGCATGGTGGCTCATGCCTGTAATTCTAGGAGTTTAGGAGGCTGAGGCAGGAGGATTGCTTGAGCCCAGGAGGTTGAGGCTGCAGTGAGCTATAATCACACCACTGCACTGTAGCCTGGGCAACAAAGCAAGACCCTGTCTTAAAGAAGAAAAAAAGAAATATCACTCTTTAACACTGGGTCCAGGCATGGTGGCTTATGCCTGTAATCTTAGCACTTTGGGAGGCTGAGGCTGGAGGATCACTTGAGGCCAAAGTTTGAGACCCACCTGGGCAACACAGTGAGATTCAGTCTCCACAGAAAATAAAAAAAATTAGCTGGGTGTGGTGGAGTGCACCTGTTAACAAAGACTAACACTGACTTTGTTTTCTTGTAGAGCTCCCTTCCTTGCTCCCTATAGTTGATGTAGCTGAAGCTTTGCTACATGTTAGAAATGGTGCCTGGTTCTTGTGTCTCTTGGTGGCCAATGTTCCTGATAGTTTTAATGAAGGTAAATATGATTCTAATATGGTATATTGAAAAGACTTGCTTGGACATGTACAGGACCTATCTTTTTGACCTAAGAAGAAACATTAATGGGATTTTATTTGAGATTTTATCTTTTGAAAGTTTGTTAGTATGTATAAAGAAATATTGAGTTCACAAATTGTATTGAGTTTAAAGATCAGGCTGGGCGCAGTGGCTCACACCTGTAATCCCAGCACTTTGGGAGGCCGAGGCGGGCAGATCACAAGGTCAGAAGTTTGAGACCAGCCTGGCCACTATGGTGAAACCCCATCTCTACTAAAAATACAAAAATTAGCTGGATGTGGTGGTGGGTGCCTGTAGTCCCAGCTACTGGGGAGGCTGAGGCAGAAGAATCGCTTGAACCTGGGAGGTGGAGGTTGCAGTGAGTCGAGATCGCACCACTGCACTCCGGCCTGGGCGACAGGGCGAGACTCCGTCTCAAAAAAAAAAAAAAAAAAACCCCAAGGAACTAGAAGATGTAATATCTATAATCAGGGATCAAAGAAGATACATGTATCAGTGAAATATCAAGAGAGCAATACGGGATATGTATAATGAGAAATGCTAGGAATCAGACCTTTGTTTTTTAGCCCTACTGCTGTCAGTTTACAGAGAAGTATAAAGTAGAAATTGAGAAAAATCGACTACATTTTTTCACCTCTATTTAAAACTTACAGTGATTGAAGGTTGTTGTTTGGGTATGAGTGATATAAAAATAAAAACATTTTGTTGAGCAAGGTAGTTTGTGAATTAGGAGCCTGGGAGGAAAAAGTACTGGAGTTATAATTCCTGATTTTGTCATTCACTTATTGTGTGAGCTCTATCAAAATACTTCTCATCTGGCTGGGCACGGTGGCTCATGCCTGTAATCCCAGCACTTGGGGAGGCCGAGGTGGGTGCATCATTTCAGGCCAGGAGTTTGAGACCAGCCTGGCCAACATAGTGAAACCCCGTCTCTACTAAAAATACAAAAATTAGCTGGGCTTGGTGGTGGATGCCTGTAATCTCAGCTACTCAGGAGGCTGAGACAGGAGAATTGCTTCAATCTGTGAGGTGGAGGTTGCAGCGAGCCGATATGTGCCACTGCACTCCAGCCTGGGCAACAGAGTGAGACTCTGTCTTAAACAAACAAACAAACCAAAATACTTCTCATCTGTAAAATGGAGATATTGATAGTGTAATAGTTCCCTGACTTTTTTAAGAGATTTATTGAATATCAGATGATATGTAAAAACTCTTTGTAAACTGTGTCCTTGCCGATTTTTTGTCAACTTGTTCTGTCAATTACTGAGAGAGGAGTTTTGATGTCTCCAGACATAATTGTGGATTTGCCTATTTCTTCTTTTTGTTCTGTCAGTTTTTGCTTCATGTATTTCAAAGCTCTTTTGTTGGGTTTATATGCATTTAGGATGATTATATCTTTATGATGAATTGAGCCTTTTTTTCATTATAAAATATACTTTTTTCCCCAAGTCAAATTTGATTTCTTTATTCTTAGTTTTCACATTTATAGTTATATCCCCCTTTCTAAACATTATTTACATATTATTCAATTTGTTGTCACCTTTGTTTTAATTTTTCTTTTTAAAAAAATTCGAAGTTTTATTTTAGATTCAGGGGGGTACATGTGCAGGTTTGTTACATGGGTATATTGTATGACACTGAGGTTTGGAGTTTGAATGATCCCGTCACCCAGGTTATGAGCATAGTACCCAATAGGTAGTTTCTCAGCCCTTGTCCCCTTTCTTCCTCCCCACTGGTAGTCCCAGTGTCCATTGTTCCCATCTTTATGTCCATGTGTACCCAATGTTTAACTCCCACTTATAGTGAGAACATGTGGTATTTGGTTTTCTGTTTCTGTGTTAATTTGCCTAGGATGGGATGGCTTCCAGCTTTATCCTTGTTGCGGCAAAGGACATGATTTCATTCTTTTTAATGGCTGCATAGTATTTCATGGTATATATGTACATTTTATTTAATCCACTGTTGATGGGCACCAAGGTTGATTCCATGTCTTTGCTATTGTGAATAGTATTGGGATGAACATACAAGCGCATGTGTCTTTGGTAGAACAATTTGTTGTCCTTTGAGTATATATCCAGCAGTGAGACTGCTGGGTCGAATGGTAGTTCTGTTTTAAGTTCTTTGAGAAATCTCCAAACTGCTTTCCACAGTGGCTGAACTAATTTACATTCCCACCAACAATGTGTAAGTGTTCTCTTTTCTCCACAGCCTCGCTAGCACCTATTATTTTTTGACTTTTTAATAGCCATTCTCACTGGTGTGAGATGGCATTTCATGATTGTTTTGATTTGTGTTTCTCTGATGATTAGTGATATGGAGCATTTTTTTTCATGTTTTTTGGTTGCTTATATGTCTTCTTTTGAGAAGTATCTGTTCGTGTTCTTTCCTCACTTTTAATGGGGTGGTTTTTTGCTTGTTGAATTGTTTATGTCCTTATAGATTCTGCACATTAGGCCTTTGTCAGATACATTTTTGTCAATATTTTCTCCCATTCTGTAGATTGTTTGCTCTGTTGATAGTTTCTTTTGTGTGCAGAATATCTTTAATTTAAATAGGTCACACTTGTCAATTTTTGTTTTCATTGCAATTGCTTTTGAGGACTTGGCTATAAATTCTTTGCCAAGGCCAGTGTCCAGAATAGTATTTCCTAGTGTTTCTTCTAGGATTTTTATAGTTTGAGGTTTTACATCTAAATCTTTAATCTAACTTGAGTTAATTTTTGTATATGATAAAAGATAGGGTCTAGTTTCATTCTTCTGCATATGGCTAGCCAGCTATCCCAACACCATTTGTTAAATAGGGAGTCCTTTCCCTGTCATTTATTTTTGTCAACTTTGTTGAAGATCAGATGATTGTAGGTGTGTGGCTTTATTTCTGGGTTTTCTATTCTGTTGCATTGGTCCGTGTGTCTGTTTATTTTTATTTATTAATTTTTTGTTACTCTGTTACCCAGACTGGAGTCCAGGGGTGCGACCTTGGCTCACTGCAGCTCTGCCTGCTGGGTTCACGCCATTCTCCTGCCTCAGCCTCCTGAGTAGCTGGGACTACAGGCACCCACTACCATGCCTGGCTAATTTTTTGTATTTTTAGTAGAGATGGGGTTTCACTGTGTTAGCCAGGATGGTCTCGATCTCCTGACCTCGTGGTCTGCCCGCCTCAGCCTACCAAAGTGCTGGGATTACAGGTGTGAGCCACCGTGCCTGGCCTGTGTGTCTGTTTTTATACCAGTGCCATGTTATTTTGGTTACTGTAGCCATGTAGTATAGTTTGAAGTTAGATAATGTGATGCTTCTGGCTTTGTTCTTTTTGTTAGGATTGCTTTGGCTATTCAGGCTCTTTTTTGCTGTGTGAACTTTAGTATCCTAAAGTTTCTAATTTTGTGGAAAATCATGTTGGTAGTTTGATATGAAGAGTGTTGAATCTGTAGATTGCTTTGGGCAATATGGCCATTTTAAAGATAATGATTCTTCCAATCCATGAGCTTGGAATGTTTTTCCATTTGTTTGTGTCTTATATGATTTTTTTTTTTTTTTTTTTTTTTTAGACAGAGTCTTGCTCTGTCGCCCAGTGGCACAATCTCGGCTCACTGCAAGCTCTGCCTCCTGGGTTCAGCCATTCTCCTGCCTCAGCCTCCCGAGTAGCTGGGACTACAGGCACCCGCCACCACGCCCGGCTAATTTTTTGTATTTTTTTTTTTTTTTTTAATTAGAGACAGGGTTTCACCGTGTTAGCCAGGATGGTCTTGATCTCCTGACCTAGTTATCCACCCTTCTCGGCCTCCCAAAGTGCTGGGATTGCAGGCGTGAGCCACCGCGCCCGGACTTTTTTTTTTTGAAACAGAGTTTCACTCTGTTTCACAGGCTGGAGTGCAGTGGCGCAATCTCGGCGCACTGCAACCTCTACCTCCTGGGTTTAAGCGATTCTCCTGCATCAGCCTCCCAAGTTCATGGGATTACAGGCATGGGCCACCACACCTGGCTTATTTATTTATTTATTTATTTATTTATTTATTTATTTTTTTGAGACGGAGTCTTGCTCTGTCACCCAGGCTGGAGTGCAGTGGAGTGATCTCGGCTCACTGCAACCTCTGCCTCCCCAGTTCAAGCGATTCTCCTGTCTCAGCCTCCCGAGTAGCTGGGACTACAGGCGCCTGCCACCATGCCCGGCTAATTTTTTGTGTTTTTAGTAGAGACGGGGTTTCACTGTGTTAACCAGGATGGTCTTGATCTCCTGACCTTGTGAATCGCCTGCCTTGGCCTCCCAAAGTGCTGGGATTATAGGCGTGAGCCACCGCGCCCGGCTAATTTTTGTATTTTTAGTAGAGACGGAGTTTCACCATGTTGGCCAGGCTGGTCTTGAACTCCTGACCTCAAGTGATCTGTCCTCCTCGGCCTTCCAAAGTGCTGGGATTACAGACATGAGCCACTGTCCTTGGCCTCTTTGTAGAGATTTTTAACCTCCAAAATACGCTTTTTTTTTTTTTTTGAGATAGTGTCTCGCTCTGTCACGCATGCTGGAGTGCAGTGGTGTGGTCATGATTCACTGCAGCATTGATCTCCCAGGCTCGAGTGATCCTTCTGCCTCAGCCTCTTGAGTGAGTGAGGCTACCAGCCGATACCACTGGGCCCAGATAATTTTTTTTTTTTTTTTTTTTTTGAGACGGAGTCTCACTCTGTCGCCCAGGCTGGAATGCAGTGGCGCAATCTCGGCTCACTGCAAGCTCCGCCTCCTGTGTTCACGCCATTCTCCCGCCTCAGCCTCCCGAGTAGCTGGGACTACAGGCGCCCGCCACCACCACGCCCGGCTAATTTTTTTGTATTTTTAGTAGTAACACGGTTTCACCGTGTTAGCCAGGATGGTCTGGATCTCCTGACCTCGTGATGCGCCCTCTGTGGCCTCCCAAAGTGCTGGGATTATAGGCGTGAGCCACTGCACCTGGCGCGCCCAGCTAATTTTTTGTATTTTTGTGGATATGGGGTTTCACCATGTTACCCGTGCTGTCTCAGACTCCTGGGCTAAAGTGGTCCGCTTGCCTCAATCTCCCAAAGTGCTGGGATTTACAGGCGTGACAAAATAGACTTCTTTATTGCTGATAATATTCCTTCTTTTCAAGTCTACTTTGTCTGAATAATACAGCCATGTCATCTTTCTTATAATTAGTTTTTCCATGGTGTATATATTTCTTCATCTCTTTAATCTGTCCATATCTTAAGGTCGATTTCTTGTGGACAGGTATAGTTCGGTCTTCATTTTTTTTAATCTAGTGGCAGTCTCTGTCTTTTAATTGGAGTGTTTAGACTGTATACATAGACCATTTAAATGTGATTATTATAGTGGTTAGGTTTGAATCTTCTTGTTATTTGTTTTCTATTTATTTTCTTTTTCCTCTTGTACTTTGTGCCATTGTTGTCATGGATTTTACTTTTACATGAATTATAAACCTTAGAGCAAATTGTTATTACTTTTGTTTTAAACAGTTAATTATATTTTAAAGACTAAAAATATAGAGGAAAATACTATTTATCCACACATTTACCATTTTTGGTGCTCTTAATTCCTTTCTGTAGTTCCATATTTCCATCTGGCATAATTTCCCCTTAACTTGAAGAATTTTCCTTATTTTTTGTAGGGTGGGTTTGTTGGCAACAAATTTTACTGGCTTTTTTGGTCTGGAAAAATATATTTTCAAAGGGTATAAAATTTTAGGTTGACGTCATCTTTTAGCTATTTAAAGATGTCATTCTGGCTGGGTATGTGGCTCACACCTGTAATCCCAGCACTTTGGGAGGCCAAAACGGGAGGATTGTTTGAAGCCAGGAGTTTGAGACTAGTATGGTGGCAAAGCAAGAAAGCAAGATCCCATCTCTAGGAAAAAAGAAAACAAAGAACAAAGATGTCATTCTCTTTTCTGCAGTAAATTTTATCTTTGTTCCTCTGTAAAGTTTCTTTTTCCCTCTGGCTACTTTTTTTTTTTTTCTTTAATTTCTTCTGGCTCCTTTTTTTTTGTTTTTTTTTTGGGAGACGGAGTCTTGCTCTGTCACCCAGGCTGGAGTGCAGTGGCATGAGCTCGGCTCACGGCAACCTCCGCCTCCCCTGGGGTTAAAGCAGTTCTCCTGCCTCAGCCTCCCGGGTAGCTGGGACTATAGTCATGTGCCCCCATGCCTGGCTAATTTTTGTATTTTTAATAGAGATGGGGTTTCACTATGTTGGCTAGGCTGATCTTGAACTCCTGGCCTCAGGTGATGCGCCTATCCTCTGCTCTAGTTACTTTTTCTCTTTTTTGGAGATGGAGTCTTGCTGTGTCACCCAGGCTGAAGTGCAGTGGTGTGATCTCGGCTCACTGCAACTTCCACCTCCCGGGTTCAAGTGATTCTGCTGCCTCAGCCTCCTGAGCAGCTGGGACTATAGGTGCGCATTACCACACCCAGCTAATTTTTGTATTTTTAGTAGAGACAGGGTTTCACCATATTGGCCAGGCTGGTCTCGAGCTCTTAACCTAGTGATCCACTCACCTCGGCCTCCCAAAGTGCTGGGATTGCAGGTGTGAGCCACTGCACCCGGCCCTGGTTACTTTTAAGATTTTCTTTTTATTACTGGTTTCAGAAAGTTGACGTATGATGTTTCTTGGTATGATTTTCTTTGCATTTGTTCCACTTAGGGCTCATTGAACTGGGTTTAGAGTTTTCATTCAACTTGGGAAAATTTCTTCAAATTAATTAATTAATTAATTTATTTGAGAAGGAGTTTCGCTTTTGTCGCCCCAGGCTGGAGTGTAATGATGCGATCTTGGCTCACTGCAACCTCCACCTCCCAGTTCAAGCGATTCTCCTGCCTCAGCGTCCTGAGTAGCTCGGATTACAGGTGCCTGCCACCACGCCCAGCTAATTTTTGTATTTTTAGTAGAGATGGGGTTTCACCATGTTGGCCAGGCTAGTCTCGAACTCCTGACCTCAGGTGATCCATGCCCCGCACCCCCCCCCCCCCCGCCCCCACCTTGGCCTCCCAGAGTTCTGGGATTACAGGTGTGAGCCACTGTCCGTGGCCCTCAAATGTATTTTTGTCTCGTACTTTCTTTGTCTCTCTGGGACCGTAATTGCAAGTGTGTTTGAATGTGTAATATTGTCCCAGAGTTTACTATTCTTTTTTAAGTCTCTTTTCATTTTTTGCTTCATTTTGGCCAATTTCTGTTGTTGTGCTTTCAAATACCCTGATCCTTTTCTTCTGTCATGTGAAATCTTCATGAACAATTAATTCTGAAGGCTGAAGAAGATGGTTTCTATCATGTTAGTTTGTAGGGGCCTGATAAAAAATGGAGAACGACAAGATGAAGAAAGTCTTGGAGGAAGGCGCAGGACAGATGCCTTACGCTTCTTGTGTAAAATGAATCCTTCTCAGGCCCTCAAGGTCCGAGGCATGGTGGTAAGTGATCCTGTGTTTTATTAGACAAAGGCCTTTATATTAGGTCCAAGAACTCTTCTCAAGATGGTTTTAGAGTCCTGTAGAGGTGGGGAATTTTATTTATATACTGGATATGTTACCTTCCTCTCTGGGTTTTTATGTTTTGTAGGAGTTCTTCCTCTAAACTTTAGATACTTTAGATTTGGAAGCATCACTGGCCTTTTTGCTTATGATACTGAATTCAGTTTGTTTTCTTTTCTGTGCTAGGTGGAAGAATGTCACTTGCCAGGCCTTGGTGTGGCTTTGACATTGGATCATACTAAAAATGAAGCTTGTGAGGATGGAGTGAGTGACTTGGTTTGTTTTGTAAGTGGTTTGCTTCTTGGAACAAATGCGAAAGTCCGGACTTGGTTTGGAACTTTTATCCGAAATGGACAGCAGGTGAGGGTTAAATATCTGTATAGGCTAAGGATCAGAATACTTTAGCAGCTGCTAAAAGAGAAAGAAACATTTTTTGAATGATGTCATTAGACAAGTGGTTCTCACACTTTCTAGTTTCAGGGACCTCCTTATATTTTAAAAAATCACTAAGGATACCAAAGAGCTTTTGTTTATGTGGCTTTTTTTCTGTTGATATTTACCATATTAGAAATTAACACTTAAATATTTGAAATATTTATTTAGTTCTTTTAAAAATAGGAACAGCTGGTGTGTTGGTATGTGCCTATAGTCCTAGCTACTTAGGAGGCTGAAGCAGGAAGATTGCTTAAGCCAGGGGGTTCTAGGGTATAGTGTGTGATAATTGTGCCTGTGAATAGCGACTGTACTTTAGCCTGGGCAACATAGCGAGACCTCATCTCTTAAAAAAAAACCAAAACCAAACAACAATAACCCTATTAAATGTGAACATAACATATTTTAAATGAAAACTAACTGTGTTTTCCCAAACAAAATTTAATGAGAAGAATGATAGTTTTATTTTATTGTATTTTTTTCAAATATCTTCAATGTCTGGCTTGGTAGAAGCCTTTGGAAACTGCACCGTACCCTTGTGAGTGAATGAGAAAGAAAAAGACAGATAATGTCTTGAGTATTATTAACACCTTTCCAGACCCCCTGAAAGCATATATCTCCAGGGTTCTGGGCCAGACTCATGAGAACTGGTGCATTAGATCACTGAAATAAGTTATTATATTTTTAAATTTTAATACATATGTGTATATATGTTTTTATTATGGTAAAATATACATAACATAAAATTTTGCCATTTAATCATTTTTAAGTATATAATTCAGTGGCATTAAGTATATTTACAGTGTGCAACCATTATCACTCTTCGTTTCCAGAACTATTTTTTTTTTTTTTTTTTGAGACGGCGTCTCACTCTGTCACCCAGGCTGGAGTACAATGGCGCAATCTCGGCTCACTGCAAGCTCTACCTCCTGGGTTCGAGGATTCTCCTGCCTCAGCCTCCTGAGTAGTTGGGATTACAGGTGCCCACCACCACACTTGGCTACTTTTATTTTGAGTAGAGGCTGGGTTTCGCCATGTTGGTCAGGCTGGTCTAGAACTCTTGACATCAGGTGATCCACCCACCTGGGCCTCCCAGAGTACTGGGATTACAGGCGTGAGCCACCACTGGGCCTGGCCCATTTCCAGAACTTTTTCATCATCCCAAACAGAAACTCTGTATCCATTAAATAACTCCCCATTCCCCCTATCATCCCATCCTCTGGTAACCTCTATTCAACTTTCTGTCTGTATGAATTTACCCTTTCTGGCTACCTGAAGTAAATGGAATTATACAATATTTCTCCTTTTGTATGTTGCTTATTTCACTTAGCATAATGTTTTCAAGGTTCATCTATGTTGTAACATGTGTCAGGATTTCCTTTTTAAAGGCTGAATAATATTCCATTGTGAACTTAGAGTAGAACTGCCATTCTGTCCAGCAATCCTACTGCTGGGTAGAGAAATCATTATATAAAAAATGTACCTACACTTGTATGTTTATTTCAGCACTATTCACAGTAGCAATGTTATGGAATCAACCTAAGCATCTATCAACGGATGGTTGCTTAAAGAAAATGTGATATATGCACACACACACACACACACACACACACACACACACACATACACACATGTACACACACACGTATATATGTATACACACACACAAACACACACACCATGGAATACAACTCAACCATAAAAAAGAATAAAATCATGTCTGACAGTAACATGGATGGAACTGGAGGCCATTATATTAAGTGAAATAACGCATAAACAAAGTCAAATATTGCATATTCTCAATTATGAGTGGGTGCTAATCATGTGTACACATGGACATAAGCGAGTGGGATAATACACATCATAGACTCCAAATGTTGGGAGGGTGGGAAGGGGGTGAGGGTTGAGAAGTTACCTATATTGGGTACAGGGTATACTATCAGGGTGATGACTACACCAACAGCCCAGACTTCTATGCAATAGATTCATGTAACAAAACTGCACTTGTACCCCCTAAATCTATAAAAATAAGAAGTAAGGGCTGGGTGGGGTGGCTTACGCCTGTAATCCCAGCACTTTGGGAGGCTGAGGCGGGCGGATCACAAGGTCAAGAGAGGGAGACCATCCTGGCCAACATGGTGAAACCCTGTCTCTACTAAAAATACAAAAATTAGCTGAGCGTGATGTGCGTGCCTGTAGTCCCAGCTACTCGGGAGGCTGAGGCAGGAGAATCGCTTGAACATGGGAGGCAGAGGTTGCAGTGAGCCGAGATCACGCCACTGCACTCCAGCCTGGTGACAGAGCAGGACTCGGTCTCAAAAAAAAAGAAAAATAATATTCCATTGTGTGTATATACCACATTTTATTTTATACGTTCACCTGCTTATGCATATGTATTTTGCAACAGTTTTTAACTTGCAAAATGTTTTAATTTTTCAAAAACTAATTTATATTAACTATGTGAATAGAGTTCCTATGAAGGAGCTAATGCAGATTGCGATTTAACTCGTTGAGGTCACTTAGCTAGACAACATGTATACTGCTTAGATCCTGTAGTCTATTTTTAAGCTACTGAATCATAGTTTTTTAAAATATTCAAGTTCTATTTTATAGCCCATTTGAAAACTGATTTTAAGCTCTGCTTTTTAAAACAAAGTTAACATTTATTTATTGGATGCTTCATATATGTCAGGTACTGCCTTAAGCACTTGGCATGCTCATCTTGTTTGTAGTTGTCTTTTGTATTCAATAAACCTTTATTCTTTGAACTTACTGTTATTATTAAAGCAGGTCTATCATATTTTACTTAGAGACACTCAAAAGATAATAATTAACATTTGTCTAGCCCTGTATAGTTTAGAACTGCTTTCATACATGTATTATCTCTGTTCATTCATCTACTTAACAGACTTTGAGTGCTTGCTGTATGTTAGGCACAATGTTCGACTGTGCAGAGTGAGAGAAGACTAAGGCATTGTCCCTGCCTGAAGAACTGTAGTGGTTATAGAATTGTAAACTCTTTTGTTTTTTTTGAGACGAGAGTATCACTCTGTTGCCCAGGCTGGAGTGCAGTGGCGCCATCTTGACTCATTGTAACCTCCGCCTCCTGGGTTCAAGCGATTCTTGTGCTTCAGCCTCCCAAGTAGCTGGGATTACAGGCATGCACCACCACACCCAGCTAATTTTTATATTTTTAGTAGAGATGGGGTTTCACCATGTTGGCCAGGCTGGTCTCGAACTCCTGACCTCAAGTGATCCGTCCGCCTTGGCCTCCCAAAGTGCTGGGATTACAGGCGTGAACCACTGCATCAGGCCAAGAATTGTAAACTCTTAATTATAGGAGTTCTATAAGGTAAATATTGTTGATAAAATATTTCCTTGTCATTAAGGAAATTGGGGTTCAGAGAGGCTAACCAATGTGCCTAAAGGTATATAATCGTCTAATAGTAGAGCTGGCATTTAAACCCCAAGAACTTACGTCTTCAAAATCTGAGCATTTTCTCCTATACCACATATCACTTTGTTAGTCTTTATGTATTTGAAAGTACCATTGAAATAATATTCCACAATTCAAATTGTCACTAATTTAGTCTTTCCTCTGCAACCAATCCAAATTATGGTGAATATTCATTCTTCAGACAAACTAGTGGATTTTGAGTTTGCTTGATTGGTTAAAATGAGATTCTGTAGTCACGACAATCTCTTCAAATAGGCCAATTTGAAAGTGTTTAAGTGGGGTGCTATGTTTTAGCTCCCTTTTAGTTTAGTAAATGCTTCATGCTTTCTTCCTTTTGTGATCCATATTTCTTTCAGAGAAAAAGAGAGACCAGCAGTTCTGTCCTTTGGCAGATGAGAAGGCAGCTTCTTCTGGAGTTGATGGGCATTCTTCCCACAGTAAGAAGCACCCGAATTGTGGAAGAAGCTGATGTGGATATGGAGCCCAATGTGTCTGTGTATTCGGGGCTGAAAGAAG
This sequence comes from Homo sapiens, assembly GCF_000001405.40. Classification (NCBI taxonomy): domain Eukaryota; kingdom Metazoa; phylum Chordata; class Mammalia; order Primates; family Hominidae; genus Homo; species Homo sapiens. The sequence continues at coordinate 61,907,474 of NC_000017.11, read as the reverse complement.
AGCATGTTGTGAAAGCCAGTGCACTCTTACGTCTGTACTGTGCTTTGATGGGGATCGCTGGACTCAAGTATTCAATAGTTTGATATTTTACCTTTTTGTCATTTTACCTTCTTGTTTCTATTCTCAAGAAAGTGAGCCAAAGGCCTTTTATTCAGAGGATTAAAGTTTTCTGTTGGACTCAGGTAGTGGGCTGGCCTGTAAGAAGAATGAAATCCTAAGGCCAAGAATTTCTAGCAGAGATGTATTCATCTATTTTGTTCTGATTGTAAACAGAACTATATAAATATGGGAGGAGCCAGAGCAGTTTATCAATTTCCAATCACAGTTTAAAGAAACCTGTGATTTCAACACAGCTTGACAAAACTATAGTGAATGATCTGTGAGTGATCTTTTACCATTGACTAGTTGAAGTAAATCTCTCCTTTGTTTCCTTTTACAGCTGATATCATAATTGTTTAAAATTAATATGATGTGATTAATAAGTACAATGTTTTTTTTTTTTTTTTTTTTTGAGATGGAATCTCCGTCTGTCGCCCAGGCTGGAGTGCAGTGGTGTGATCTCGGCTCACTGTAACCTCTGCCTCCCGGATTCAAGCGATTCTCCTGCCTCACCACACCCGGCTAATTTTTTTTTTTTTTTTTTTGTATTTTTAGTAGAGACGGGGTTTCACCATGTTGGCCAGGCTTGTCTTGAACTCCTTACCTCAGGTGTTCTGCCTGCCTCAGCCTCCCAAAGTGCTGGGATTACAGGCATGAGCCACTGTGCCTGGCCAGTACAATGTTTCTTAGTCACCATACAAAATCCTTTTGAATAGTGTTCTTAATAATTGTACATACAGTCCTCATTTGCATGTCTCCAATATGCATGAGTTTCAGTTACGCCAGTTTATTTAAATAATGCTGGTCTCTCAACACAGTTGCCATTTCAGTTGCCATGATACATTAACCAGTTAATTGTATAGAGTTTGTGAGCTCCTCAGGACACAGATCACTAAGTAAATAACAGATGTACATCATGGTTAGTGACCAATGGCCTCACTTCTTTCAAAGTCTGTCGGTAGCTGGTTACTGCACACCTGTTATTTGATTCATGTACATATAGCAGAGGAGGTAGTTGTAAAGGTTGAATATCCCTTATCTGAAATGCTTGAGACCAGAAGCGTTTGGGATTTTAGAACTTTTCGGATTTTGGAATGTTTATATTTACCGATTTAGCATCCCTAACAGAAATTCAAAATCCTTAATGCTCCAATGAGCATTTCCTTTGAGCTCATTACCTCATATTGGCACTCAGAATGTTTTGGAGTTTGGGGGCATTTCAGATTTTAGGTTTTTTGGATTGGGGTTACTCAACCTGTATTGCTTCCTTTCTCTCCATAATGAACTCATGTTCCAAAACATGGAAACAGTTTTTGGAACATTATATTCCAAAAACAGATAATTGGAAGAGACAGTTGGCCAATAAAGATGAAAGCATAGGCCAGGCGCGGTGGCTCACGCCTGTAATCCCAGCACTTTGGGGGGCCAAGGTGGACAGATCACCTGAGGTTGGGAGTTCGAGACCAGCCTGACCAACATGGAGAAACCCTGTCTCTACTAAAAATACAAAATTAGCTGGGTGTGGTGGCACATGCCTGTAATCCCAGCTACTTGGGAGGCTGAGGCAGGAGAATCACTGGAACCCAGGAGGTGGAGGTTGCGGTGAGCTAAGATTGCACCATTGCAGTCCGGCCTGGGCAATAAGAGTGAAACTCCATCTCTACAAAAACAAAAAACATAAAAAAAAGGAGGCAAAGGCTGTTTAAACTACTCTTGATAAAGTCTTTACGAAGAAATAAAAAAACTTTAAGACCGGGCACAGTGGCTCACGCCCATAATCCGAGCGCTCTGGGAGGCCAAGGCTTGTGGATCAGTGAGGTCAGGAGTTCGAGGACAACCTATTCAAGATGGTGAAACCCTCTCTCTACTAAAAATACAAAAATTAGCTGGGAATGATGGCGTGTGCCTGTAGTCCCAGCTACTCAGGAGTCTGAGGCAGGAGAATTGCTTGAACTTAGGAGGTAGAGTTTGCAGTGAGCCGAGATTGTGCCACTGCGCTCCCGCCTGGGCGACAGGGTGAGACTCTGTCTCAAAAAAAAGAAAGAAAGAAAACAGTTTAATTCCCAATGTTTCTAATATTTTCAATTAGAGTACTATAAAAATATTAGTTTTACCATTTAAAAAAAAAAATTCCTGGCTGGGTACAGTGACTTACACCTGTAATCCCAGCATTTTAGGAGACCAAGGGAGGTGGATTTTTTGAGCCCAGGAGTCTGAGACCAGCCTGGGGAACGTGGCAAAACCCTGTCTCTACTAAAAAAAATAAGCTGGGCATGGTGGCGCATACCTGTGGTCCTAGCTACATGAGGACTGACGTGGGAGGATTACCTGAGCCTGGAAGGTCAAAGCTGAAGTGAGCTCTGATCCTGCCACTACACTCCAGCCTGGGCGATGGAGCAAGACCTTGTCTCAAAAAAAAAAAAAAAAAATTATGCATTATAATCAACAGAGTTTTTAATGTTTTGACAAAAATTTTAAAGGCTACAGTACAACCATACTTTTCACCATTGATTATTAAGATTGTGTTGCATGATTTCAGCTTGCATGGTCATTTTTATGGTCTCACACTACAGGGCAAAGGGAGGACCTGCCTGTATTTGTGTCCACAGTAAAACACTGTAGTTGTAATTTCTCAACAGTTTTGCATTTGGCAACTTGAGATGTTAAAGATTTTATAAATAGCAAGATACCATTATAAAGTTTAAAATTTGTAACTAAAAGGTTAAAAATTCACTTTTTCTTCTTCATCCCAACTAAAAATGTAAAGCCTAATGATGTATTCCTTTTTAGACCAACTGAAGAAGAAGCTGAGCAATTACTGCAGTTGATGACGAGCCGTCCTCCTGCTACGCCAGCTGGGGTTCGCTTTGTTTCACTTTCCTTTTGTATGCTACTGGCCTTTTCTACACTTGTCAGGTACCTAACTATATAAGTTGCTCCATTTTCTCAAGGTTTACTTTTATTTACTCAATAAAATTGTATAGCATTAGATAAGAGTTTTCTACAAAAGCTGGTCTAGGTATGGACAGTCGTAGTTTTGTTTTGTTTTTTCCAATTTTTAAGAGAAGGGGTCTAGCTTTGTTGCCCAGGCTGGAGTACAGTGGCTGTTCATGGGTATGATCATAGCACAGTGCAGCCTTGAACTCCTGGCCTCAAATAATCCTCCTGACTCAGCCTCCCAAGTAGCTGGGACTGCAGGTGTATGCCACTGGCCCAGCTTATTTGTATTTTTTTAAAATAAGGATATCAGTAGCATCTGATTCATTTTATTTATCTTATATATGTACATTGTTTAAATAAGTCGAAATAGTTCTTCAGGATTTGTTAAGGCAAATAGCAGTCCTTCCTTCTCTCCTTCCTATTTTATCTTTCTTAGAAGCAGTGTCTTTCAATTCTTTTAGCTGTTTATTTTGTGTTTTACTGCTACATCTGTAATAATATGTTTGTATTTGATACCTCTTGATTTTTGCTTTTAGGTATTTTTTATTGAGTTCCCAGTATGAAAGATGAGAAATTAGTTCTCTGTCTTTTTTCTCCCTGTCCTAAACACATCCATACATGTCCTTCCTATCCTCTCATTCTCCTAGTATGGTTATAATTTAGATTAGATCAATATATAGTTGTTATGATTATGTAAGCACTACTGAGAACTCAACCATGCAGTATATGATTATTTTTTACTTCCTTGTAAAACTTGTTTTTTTTTTTTTGGATTAATATTTATCCTGTGTTTTTGTTTTTTGCTTTTAACTTTCTTGGTGTTATATGTACCATTCATGTAACCTCAAACTCTCTGCCAGCCTAAATCTTCTCTCCAGATGTTTTGACTCATTAGACAGTCTGTGAGTTTCATCTTCTTGAGGAGATTTCTTCAGGAGCATTTTGGTCTGGAATGGTTACCAGGTATACCTGGTAGTATAAAGCTCTCATCCTGGGATTGACCTTCACCATCATTTTGGAGACTTGCTTCATCTCTCCTTTGTTGGATCTTCTGTTTCTTATATCTCATATCATCATATTACCCAGGCGTGGTGGCTCACACCTGTAGTCCCAGCTACTCAGGAGGCTGAGGCGGGAGGGTTGCTTGAGGCTATGAGTTCGAGGCCAGCTGGGGCAACATAGTGCGACTCCTGTCTTTGTTTAAAAAAAAAAAAATTAAAAAGAAAACCTATCCTTTCTTTCTTTTTTTTTTTTTTTTTTTCCTTTTTTGAGACGGAGTCTAGCTTTGTCGCCCAGGCTGGAGTGCAGTGGTGCGATATCTTGGCTCACTGCAAGCTCCACCTCCCAGGTTCACGCCATTCTCCTGCCTCAGCCTCCCGAGTAGCTGGGACTACAGGAGCCTGCCACCACGCCCGGCTAATTTTTGTATTTTTAGTAGAGACGGGGTTTCACCATGTTAGCCACGATGGTCTCGATCTCCTGACCTCGCGATCCACCCGCCTCGGCCTCCCAAAGTGCTGGGATTACAGGCGTGAGCCACCGTGCCCAGCCTCTGTTTTTTTTTTTTTTTTTTTTTTAAGCTCTTTCACCCAGGCTGTAGTGCTATGGCACAATCATAGCTCACTGTAATCTTGAACTCCTGGGTTGAAGTGATCCTTCTCCTTGAACCTCCCAAATAGCTGGGACTAAGGCACGTTCCACTACCCCTGGAGAATTTTTTTTTTTTAAGAGACAGTGTTTCGCTGTGTTGCCCAGGCTAGTCTGAAACTCATGGCCTGAAACAGTCCTCCCACCTCAGTCTCTCAAACCACTGGGTTTACAGGGGTGAGCCACTGTACCTGGTCTTAGAATGAGCAAGTTATTTTTAGAGTGCTGAACAGGTTCTAAAATTCTGTTGTGTTGGTGGTTGCATAACTCTGTATATACACTAAAAACCACTCAATTGTACACTTTGGGTAAATCTTATGGTATGTATATTACATCTCAATAAAGCTGTTTTCTAAAAAGTAGAACAAGATTGAGGGGAAGGAAAAGAGGAAAGGATAAGAAAATACGACAATCATTTCAAAAAGTCCAATTCCAAATAAAAGGAGGTTTTAGACAGAACACCCAAGAAGAAAACATTACCAACAAATTTATTCAGGAAAATTTCCTAGAACTGAGAGACATGAGTTTCCAGGTTCAAAGGGCTTACTGAATGCCTAGGACAATAGTCAAAAAGAGACTCAGGCTAAGGCATATCATCCAGAAATTTCAAAACCCTAGGGATAAAAAACTAATCCTACGAGTTTCTATATTAAAAACAAATAGGCCACACAAAGGACCAGGAATCAGAATGTCAGACTTCCTGACAACACTGGAAGTTAGAAGACAATGAAGCAACACCTTCAAAGTCCTGAAAGGAAATTATTTCCAACTTAGAATTCCATACCCCATCAAACTATCAATCAGATGTCAAAGTAGGACAAAGATATTTTCAGAAATACCCAGTCTCAAAAAGAATTTACTTCACACATACCCATTCTGAAGGAGCAAAATGGCCAGGCACACTGGCTCACGCCTGTAATCCCAGCACTTTGGGAGGCTGAGGCAGGTGGATCACCTGAGGTCAGGAGATCGAGACCATCCTGGCTAACACGGTGAAACCCCGTCTCTACTAAAAAAAATACAAAAAAATATTAGCCGGTCATGGTGGCGGGCGCCTGCAGTCCTGTAGGCTGAGGCAGGAGAATGGCGTGAACCTGGGAGGCAGAGCTTGCAGTGAGCCGAGATTGCGCCACTGCACTCCAGCCTGGGCTACAGAGCGGGACTGCATCTCAGAAAAAAAAAAAAAAAAAAAAAAAAAAAAAAAAAAAAAAGAAATCATTCTGCCTTTTAGGATTTGTCTTTAACTTTATCTTCAATTCCTATTCAGTCTTTAATTTCTAAGAGTGCTTTTTTGGCTCTCTGAATGTTTCTTCTTTGTAGTGTCTATTGGTTCATTATAGCATAATTTCTTTGATATTAGTCATACTGATTTTGAAGAGATTTTATTATTTGTATTGCTTCTTTTCTCTAAGCTGCTTTTTTTCCCTGCCTTTTTTGGGTCTCTATTTTTAAAGTTAGAAGCTTTTCTCAGATACTTAATATTTATTATTATTTTTAAATTTCTATTTATTTATTTATTTAGAGATGGGGGCTCTCTCTGTTGCTCGGGGCAAACTCAGTGGTACAGTCATAACTCATTGCAGCTTTGAACTTCTGGGGTCAACAGATCCTTCCACCTCAGCCTCCCAAGTGGCCAGTGTGGGCCACCACACCTGGCTTATTTTTAAAAGTTTTTTGTAGGGATGGGGTCTCACTTTTGTTGCCCAGGCTGATTTTGAACTCCTGGCCTAAGGTGATCCTCCTGCCTTTGCCTCCCAGAGTGCTGTAACTACAGGTGTGAGCCACCACACCCAGCCAATATTAATTGTTCATATACATATATAAATATAATTTTTGAGACAGAGTTTTGCTCTTGTTGCCCATGGTGCAATGGTGTGATCTCGGCTCACCGCAACCTCTGCCTCCCGGGTTCAAGTGATTGTCCTGTGTTAGCCTCCCGAGTAGCTGGGATTATAGGCATGTGCCACCACCCTCAGCTAAGTTTTGTATTTTTAGTGGAGATGGGGTTTCTCCATGTTGGTCAGGCTGGTCTCGAACTCCTGACCTCAGGTGATCTGCCTGCCTTGGCCTCCCAAAGTGCTGGGATTACAGGTGTGAGCCACCACGTCTGGCCGATTGTTCATATTTAAGACTAGGAAATGAAAAAGCATATTAGAACCTCTAATGCATAAGTGGGTCTTTGGGAAACTCTTGGGCTGATCAGAGTTCTAAAGATTATTGTCTGGCCTGGAGAGGGAAGACCTATACAGAAACCCATAAACAAAGTTAAAGAGTGAGGGTTAAGGGCTGGTAGATATCAGCCTGCAGTATAATCGTTTACTTAATTCTCCTACTTTCAGAATGGTGCTCCAGATATACCTGGTTGTCCCTTAATTCAGATGCATGATTTTACCACCTCCAGACAATAAATCTCCAGTCTTCTCTCTGCTGAGGGAAGGGTATTCTTCTAGTTGTGCAGAATGCAGGAGGTGATTTGGAGGTCTACTACTTATATAGAATGTCAACCTCTTAATTTTAGTCTGTCTTCACTCTCAGTCCTGGAACTGCCTGGAGTAGCCTGAGCCCTTTGGGAATTCCGTGGTATAAAATGGATGGGTTTTCTCTTCTACCAGTTTAGCATTTTGCTTCCTCAGGTCTGCTGAGTCCGTTTCCATTTATCTATATATTCTCTAGCTTCCAGTATTTTGTGGTGTTGTCCCTCCTCAATATCTTATGCGTTTATGCCTTTTAAGAAAATCCCTTTAATGTAGCTTTAATGGAGTTTCAGGATGGTGTAAAATTAGGTACATGAATTCTTTCTTTTCTTTTTACTTGAAGTACTTTCTAAACATTATCTCAAATCCTCATTACTCTTATAAGGTATTTTTTTTTTTTTTTTAGATAGGATCTTGCTTTGTTTCGCAGGCTGGAGTCCAGTGGCACGATCAGGGCTCGCTGCAGCCTTGGCCTCTTGGGCTCAAGAGATCCTCCCATCTTAGCCTCCCGTGTAGCTGGGACTACAAACATGCGCCACCATGCCTGTCTAATTTTTAAATTTTTTTGTAGAGATGGGATCTCACTTTGTTGCTCAGGCTGGTCTTGAACTGCTGGGCTCAAGCTATCCTCCTGTCTTGTCCTCCCAAATTGCTGGGATTACAGGCAAGAGCCACTGTGCCCAGCCTTATAAGGTATTTTTGTCTATATCTTATAGATAGAAAAACTAATGTTTAGAAAGATACTTAAAAGTCCTTAAGATAGGCCAGGCACAGTGGCTCATGCCTGTAATCCCAGCACTTTGGGAGGCCAAGGTGGGTGGATCACCTAAAGGTCAGGAGTTCGAGACCAGCCTGGCCAACATGGTGAAACCCCGTCTCTACTAAAAATATAAAAAATTAGCTGGGTGTGTTGGTGGGCACCTGTAATCCCAGCTGCTCGGGAGGCTGAGGCAGGAGAATCTCTTGAATCCGGGAGGTGGAGGTTGCAGTGAGCCAAGATTGTGTCATTGCACTCCAGCCTGGGCAACAAGAGCGAAACTTCTCAAAAACAAAAAAAAAGTTCTTAACATTTGAGAGCTACAGTGAAAAAGGAAAAGAAAGATTATTTGTGTTTCTTCTTCAAGATCACACTACCAGTAATTAGCAGAGATGGGATTCTCACTCAGATGTGGTAGGCTGTAAAGGCTGTAATCTTTCTACTACATAACACTTTATTATTTGTTATATGGTTTAGGTATAGTTGAGAATGACCTTTTTTATTTTCTTAGCTTTTGGTAATAGAAGAATTATACTTTTCATTTGCTTTTTGTTGCATCTATTTTTACTGCACTGAAGTGGAAAGAGATTGGTGAAAAAATTTTCACAAGTCAACGTCAGCTTGTACTTTTCAATTAAAATTTAGACCGGGTGTGGTGGCTCAGGCCTGTATTCCCAGCACTTTGGGAGGCTGAGGCGGGTCAGTCACCTGAAATCAGGAGTTCAAGACCAACCTGGCCAACAGGGTGAAACCCCATCTCTACTAAAAATAGAAAAATTAGCCAGGTGTGGTGGCAGACACCTGTAATCCCAGCTATTCGGGAGGCTGAGGTAGGAGAATCGCTTGAACCCGGGAGGCGGAGGTTGCAGTGAGCTGAGATTGCGCTGCTGCACTCCAGCCTGAGCAACGAGAGTGAAACTCCATCTCAGAATTTAGGAATTCCCTTTAAAAAGTCATTGTTAGGCTAGGCATGGTGGCTCACCTCTGTAATTCCAGCACTTTGGGAGGCTTAGGCAGGCGTATCACTTGAGCTCGAGAGTTCAAGACCAGACTGGGCAACATAGTGAGACCTCCCCTCTACTAAAAATAAAAAATATTAGCTGGATGCAGTAGCGCATGCCTGTAGTCCCAACTACTTGGGAGGCTGAGGTGGGAGGATCACTTGAGCTTGGGTGGTCGAGGCTATAGTGAGCTATGATTGCGCCACTGCACTCCAGCCTGGGCGACAGAGCAAGACATTGTCTCAAAGAAAAGTCGTATTTTTATAGCCATTTTTCATATCTGGTAAGCCTGTGACTGCCTTTTTTCCCATGATTAGTGATCATTTATTTCTCTGTAACTTTGAGATCTACTCATAAGGTTTCTATAAATTAAATTTCATTTTTCCAGAAGATGGACTGCTCATTACTGTTTGGCACTCAGTTTGTGATATTTTGATGCTTAAGTGTTAACACTAGATTTTTTTCTATATGAAATAAATATCAGCTGTTGTGTAGTTGTTTTAACAAGTTAATCCCAAGGGGCCTTTGTTTTCTAAGGAATGTGAAGAATCTTACTCTTTCCAACCTGTGAAGGCAGTAACTAAGACTTTGAGAGGGGATCCATGAAAAAAAGCAAAGGTCCTCATTCTTGAGCTCTAGAATTACTTCATACCTCAATGACAATTAATGGCCCAATTCAGCAAGCCTTTAATTTGACTTGATACTTGAAAATAGGGCAGGAAAAATAATTTCTACCAAAAATAACTTCAGAATGCTTTTTATTCATATGCTAGTATATCTAATTTAAACCAGTGACATTCTGGTATATTTTATATAGTACACCTGAACAGGAGCAGCTGATGGTGGTGTGGCTAAGTTGGATGATAAAAGAAGAAGCGTATTTTGAGAGGTAAGATAATTTGATTTAGTTAGTTGAGAAAGCTTTTCTTCTTCTCTCTTTGGAAAATTCATATTTCCTATTTTGTTTTGACAGTACTTCAGGCGTCTCTGCTTCTTTTGGGGAGATGTTATTATTGGTGGCTATGTACTTTCACAGCAACCAGCTTAGTGCTATCATTGACTTGGTCTGTTCCACTTTGGGGATGAAGGTAATTTTCTTTTAACTTCTTTCTAAAAAAAAAAAGGTGTTTCTAAGCTGGACATTTTGTTGTAGTGTAAATAGATTGTTTTCATTTAAGTAATTTTAATTGTTTAATAGAAGTTTTATCAAGAGCGCTTAGAAAAATGCATTTTGAAACCTGTATTTACTAAAATAATAGATACTCATGCAAAAACCTTGGAAAGCACAGAAAAGGGAAAGATATCTTATAATTCCATGATTCAGAGATACCTAGTATACTACTATTAATATTCTGATGTCTGTTCTTTCTTTAAAGTGACGTACATATTTGATGATTTAAAAAAATTAATATATGATGAGCATTTACTCATATCAATAAATATTATAATACAGTATAATTTTTAATGACTGCATTGTCTTATAGTCCATTGTTTGATCTTCTTAATAGGTCCCTTATTATTTCCCATGTAGATTTTCTAGTTTCTGTATAATGCTTAGAGGAATGTCCTTGTTTATGTAAATACACACATAGGCACCCACATGTATCTCTTCATACACCTGTTGGATTATTTTCTTAGGATAAATTTCTAGAAGGTAATTGCTAAGGAAAAGTGTATGACTATGTTAAGGTGTTTCATGAGTACTGTCAGATTATCTTTTCGAAAGATTGTATCAGTTTAACTCTTACCGTTAGTAAGAACTACTGTTTTTCTAAACTTTCAACATGACTGAGCATTACTATTTTTTTTTAATCTTTGCAAATTTGGTTGATGAACAGTGGTATCACTTAGTTTGAATTTCTTTGATTACTAGTGAAACTTAGTATTTAAAATTTATGTGTTTTGGCTTGTTTATTTCTTTTGTGAAAAGCTGATCAGTATCCTAATTTTCCTGTAGGGACTTTGATTTATTTTTTTCTTTCACTGATTCAAAAGGAAAGATATGTCATTATGCCTTATACATCTTACTTCATATATTTCAAGACGTATATTTTACCCAGTATTGAAATTGGGATTCATTTTACAGTTGACATGTAATATGAAAGTGGTAGTGTTCCAACTCCTACTTTTTTCTTGAAAAGCTACTGTAATATTAAATCAGTGACATATCTTATAGTATCTTTAAAAGTGGAGAGTTCAATATGTTATAATTGACTTTTTCCAGTATTTTTTGCCATTTAACTTCGCCATGTGGAAATTATTATCATTATTATTTTTATGTAGTATATTAAATGTTTTTTTTTTGTTTTTTTTTTTTGAGATGGAGTCTTGCTCTGTCGCCCAGGCTAGAGTGCAGTGGTGCGATCTCGGCTCACTGCAAGCTCCGTCTCCCAGGTTCATGCCATTCTCCTGCCTCAGCCTCCCCAGCAGCTGGGACTACAGGCACATACCGCCACGCCCGGCTAATTTTTGTATTTTTAGTAGAGATGGGGTTTCACTGTGTTAGCCAGGATGGTGTCGATCTCCTGACCTTGTGATCTGCCCTCCTCGGCCTCCCAAAGTGCTGGGATTACAGGCGTGAACCACTGCACCTGGCTGTAAATGTTCTTTTTGTGTTTTCTATTTTGCTCTTATGCTTAGAAATGTTTTCCTTTCTTGGGTTTATATAAGTGGTCACTTATATTTTCTTCTAGTTTTTTTTGGTGGTTTCATGTTTTACATTTGAACATTTTAATCTACTTGGAGTTTCTTTTGGTGTATGGTGTGATATGTGCAAAAAGTGTATGTGTGTCTATCTGTACATATACATATATACATATATTTGTGTGTGTATATGTGCGTATATACAGACACAGACACACACATACACACACACACATATTTCTCTTGGCCTCACAGAGGGGCAGCTATCCTAGCTCCATGTAGTAAATAATCTGTTTCCCCCAACCGACTGAAAATGCCAATAATAGTATTTATTAAGTGCTTTTTATATTGGTTCTGTTTTTGAGTATTAACACTTTAATGTTGGGTTTGGGAAAGCACTTCTAAAACAGAGTAGAGTACTTGAACATTTGAACATTTATGTGTATCATAGCCATTTTAGATAAGTTCCCTAGAATAAATTGTGTTTCATATATTTTTACATGCTGTTGGAATTCTTTTGGTAATTTTAGATTGTAATTAAGCCAAGCTCCTTGAGCAGGATGAAGACAATCTTCACACAGGAAATTTTTACTGAGCAGGTATTTCTTTTTATTCTTAGGTACTTATTTAACTTTCTTTTACAATATTCTTTGGGAGAAAACTTGTGTGTCTTACCTTAAGAAAATAATATGGTCTTTTTTCTTTTTAAACTCATGATGATTTATTTCATCTTTGAAACTTTCTTAAAGAATAATCCATTTAAAATACACTTTTAAAACTAGTCATAACATACCAAGGCATCTTTTGAATTTATGTATTTTTGGAGACTTTGAGTAGATACTTAGGAGAATACTCTTAGATGTTGCTGGTAGGGCATCTCAAGGGGTAATTGTTTTAATGTGTCTGGAGAAAGATAAAATGAAGTCCTATTTAAACCTTTAGGCTGTAAAATTCATTTCTAACTAGATTACAGGCTAGAGTCTAAATTTCTTATACTTAACATGTTCTTCTTTAGCCTTAGCACTTTTGTCCATGGATAAGCATAAGGATTTTTTTCATTTCTTTTTTTTTTTTATCTCACTTTGTCACCCAGGCTAGTATACAGTGGTATGGTCATAGCTTACTGCAACCTCTGCCTCCTGGGTTGGAGCAATTCTCCTGCCTCAGCCTCCCAAGTAGCTAGGATTAGAGGTGCACACCACCACGCCTAATTTTTGTATTTTTAGTAGAGATGGGGTTTTACCACGTTGACCAGGCTGGTCTTGAACTCCTGACCTCAGGTGATCCACCCACCTCAGCCTCCCAGAGTGCTGGGGTTACAGGCATGAGCCACTGCACCCGGCCAGTTGTTGCTTTTTTGTGGCTATTAATATCTTTATTTCTATATTTTACTATCCCTCCCACCCTCAACACGCATATGCACATATACTCCTGAATTACAAGTAGTCACACAGCATGTGGGAGAATCATAAGTTATTTTTTGTCTTTAAATTTGAACCAATTGGAAGACAACTTTGAAGAGGGTCTTTAAAAGACGATTAGAGCCTATGCATGACATATTGAGAATAAATATTTCTGTTTATATTTATGTGGTGCTTTATAGTTCATATGATGTTTTTCCAAAAAGAATATTTTCCCCCCATAACAATGCTTTGAGGCAGGTATGGCAGTGTCCTGTTTTGTAGATGTGAAAAAGATTCAGAAGATAAATGACTTCTTCAAAGTCATTGAGCCCAGATTGTATGCTTCAAAATTTTATTTTATTTTTTTACCTTATCACACCACTGTGTATGTATCTATGTTTATAAACAAAAAATTAGGGAATTATATAAATCCCTAAATGTACATTTCCTCAGCATTCAAAGACAATTAAAACATGTAATAATTTATTTTCATCATTCATTTCTAGGGACCACACTTGTATTAGGTGTTGACAGTCTACTTACTAATCTCTCTTTCAAAATAATTTTATATTTAGTTCTATTATATTACTAATGCTATTTTTCCCTTTTAGGTTGTCACAGCTCATGCAGTTCGGGTCCCTGTCACCAGCAACCTGAGTGCCAACATTACTGGATTTTTGCCTATTCATTGTATTTACCAGCTTCTCAGGAGCCGTTCCTTTACCAAGCACAAAGTGTCAATAAAAGTATGCCCCTACAAATAAAACAAAATAAAAGCATGCCCCTACATTTTTATATATATATTTTTTTTCTTTTGAGATGGAGTCTTGCTCAGTCACCCAGGTTGGAGTGCAGTGGTGCAGTCTTGGCTCACTGTAACCTCTGCCTCCTGGGTTAAAGTGATTCTCCTGCCTCAACCTCCCAGGTAGCTGGGACTACAGGTGTGTGCCACCATGCCCGGCTAATTTTTGTATTTTTAGTAGAGACAGGGTTTCACCGTGTTGGCTGGCTGGTGTCGAACTCCTGACCTCAAGTGATATGCCTGTCTCAACCGACCAAAGTGCTGGGATTACAGGCGTGAGCCACTGTGCCTGGCCTACATTTATATTTCAAAGAACAACCTAAATTAATGCTTTCTCCCCAGTTGTATTTCAGTTTGTAGGCATTTATTGTGGGTTTTGTGTAGGAAATGTGTGGTATTAAGCTAAGTTACTAGTCATTTATATAAGTATAGTAATTAGGGATAGTAATTATAATTATATAATTATACAGTAATTTCAGATTTTTAAAACAATGTAAGATTTTCAAAATGCATAATACTCCATTTAAATTCTCAATAGTGGCACATGGCTATTTTATTAAAACTTAGAAACTGCCATTTTCTAATTTTTTTTTTTAATTTTAAAGACAGGGTCTCACTCTGTCGCCCAGGCTGTCATAGCTCACTGTAACCTCAAACTCCTGGGCTCAAGCAGTCCTCCTGCCACAGCCTCCTAAGTAGCTGGAACTACAGGTGCGAGCCACCACTCCTGGCTTTTTTTTTTTTTTTTTTTTTTTGAGATGGAGTCTCACTTTGTTGCCCAAGCTGGAGTGCAGTGGTGCTATCTCAGCTCACTGCAACCTCCGCCTCCTGGGTTCAAGTGATTCCCCTGCTTCCGCCTCCTGAGTAGCTGGTATTACAGGCTCCTGCCACCATGCCTGGCTAATTTTTTTTTTTTTTTAATTTTTAGTAGAGACAGGGTTTCACCATGTTGGCCAGGCTGGTCTCAAACTCCTGACCTCACGTGATCCACCCACCTCGGCCTCCCAAAGTGCTGGGATTACAGGCATGAACCACCGTGCCTGGCCTCATACCTGGCTTTAAAAAGTGTTTTTTTGTAGAGACAGGGTCTCGCTATTTTGCCCAGGCTGGTCTGGTCTTGAACTCCTGGTCTCAAGCAATTCTCCTACTTCGGCCTCCCGAAGTGTTGGGATTACAGGCATGAGCCACTGCAGTGGGCCTGGTTTTGTTTTACAAATTGGGGAAGCTGCCATGACTAGTATTTGTTGATTTGTCATAAGGACACCTCACACCTAACTTAGAATTTTGACATGTTTTGATTTGTCTTAGTTGGCTATATCTAACAAGTTAAAAGGCCCTCTAAAGAGAAGGTATTAAGACCCAGGAGGTAAAGTAGACTGAAACTTTTTCAGATATTTACAAAGAACAGTGAATAATATATGCATGATATATCACTTTTTAATTGTTGCTTGTTTTTTGTGATTTAGTGAGATTATTTTCCAGCCAGATTGCATCATCTGCTTTATATTTTTAGCAAGTAAAATAGCTAAGAATTAAGAGTTCACATGCACCCCCAACATTTTACATGTCCTCCATCCAATGATAGTTAAGTGATAAGTCTCCTGTAAGTGCTTTTCAGAGACATTTTCTTAGTCTATCTGAGGGTTTGCTGTGAAGGACCTATCTCTCTCTCTCCAAATTCCTATCTAACGTGAGCTCTCCCATGACGACACACATGGTGCTCTAAATACAGATATGGTAGGGACTTAAAATGTTTTTCCCACTACTTAAAAACTAATAGATTAAACCGAAAGGCAAGCTTCTAGTGGAGGGTGCACCTAAGATGATACAGATATAATGGTAGTTCATATTTTAAAATCAAAGGCAGTTATGATACTAGATAATATATTTGGAACTGCCAAAAGTTAATAGTGAGTTTTACTGATTCATAATTCATGTAAAACTGTATGTACTTTTATAATTTTGCTTGGTTTTTCTTTTTGCCACAATTAATTCAGTGTCTATAACATTCTTTCTTAGGATTGGATTTATAGACAGCTGTGTGAAACCTCTACTCCACTTCATCCTCAATTACTTCCTTTGATTGATGTGTACATAAATTCTATACTTACTCCTGCGTCGAAATCTAATCCAGAAGCCACAAATCAGCCAGTCACAGAACAGGAGATACTCAATATTTTCCAAGGAGTCATTGGGGTAAAATAGTGGTTCTTTTATATCTATTAACTTATTTTTCTTTTAGTTCTTCTTACTTAACCCATATTTTTATTTTCCTATCAGAGGACTTCTAGGTAGTTCTGAATTTAAAATTAGATTAAATTTCCTTAGATCACCTCTAAAAATTAAAAGAATGGTATTAGTTCCAAGTAGTTTGCTAAACAGGCACTTTTTTTTTTGAGATGGAGTTTTACTCTTGTTGCCTAGGCTGGAGTGCAGTGGCGCGATCTCAGCTCACTGCAACCTCCTCCTCCCTGCAACCTCTGTCTGCCGGGTTCAAGTGATTCTCCTGCCTCAGTCTCTCGAGTAGCTAGGATTGCAGGCGCCTGCCACAACGCCTGGCTAATGTTTTGTATTTTTAGTAGAGACAGGGTTTCACCATGTTGGCCAGGCTGATCTCGAACTCCTGACCTCAGGTGATCTACCTGCCTCAGCCTCCCAAAGTGCTGGGATTACAGGTGTGAGTCACTGTGCCTGGCCTTTTTTTTTTTTTTTTTTTTTTTTTTTTGAGACTGGAGTCTTGCTGTGACACCCAGGCTGGAGTGCAATGGGCAGTCTCGGCTCACTACAACCTCCGCTTCCTGGGTTCAAGCGATTCTCCTGCTTCAGCCTCCTGAGTAGGCTGGTCTCAAACTCCTGACCTCAAGTGATCCTCCTGCCTTGGCCTCCCAAAGTGCTGGGATTACAGGTGTGAGCCACTGCGCCTGGCCAGTAATTTTTTTTTTTTTAAGCTTCACTTTAAAGTCTAATGGGTTCCCTGGAGATTGTGTATTTGATCAAGTACTGTGTGGGATATCAAGATATTCAGCATAGGTTTGTTTAGCATCCTGGGAATCTAAGATACACCTACATTCATTTAGGGGGATTTTTTTTTTTTTTTTTGAGACAGAGTCTCACTCTGTTGCCCCGACCGGAGTGCAGTGACACGATCTCAGCTTACTGCAAACTCTGCCTCCTGGGTTCAAGTGATTCTCATGCCTCAGCCTCTCGAGTAGCAGGGATTACAGGCACCTGCCACCACGCCTGGCTAATTTTTATATTTTTAGTAGAGACAGGGTTTTACTATGTTGGCCAGCTGGTCTCCAACTCGTGACCTCAGGTGATCTGCCTGCCTCAGCCTCCCAAAGTGCTGGGATTACAGGTATGAGCCACTGCTCCTGGCTCATTCAGGGAAAATTTGATGAAAGTATTTTTTCCCCAGTTTGTTAGAAGGGAAAAACAGTTGCATTTTTCACAAATATATTTAAGTATACAATGTCTTATTTAGGAGTTACTTTTTTCATGGTAATTTCATATAATACTTGGGACTCCTGTCTTTCAGAAGCAGCCTGATGGGTTTGCTATTGAGTAGTAGCTGAAGTCTTTTCTTTGTCTTATCTTAAAGACCACTTAAGCATGTTGCCTTTCATCTCTCATGCCATCTCAGATTTCATGTTGTTTTTTTGAGTTTAATACACACACAGCAACATTTCTCCTGTTTTACCTGAGTTAGGAGCAGCAATGCTGAATAGTCTATTTTGATTCTTTTACTATCAAGAAAAAAAAAAGCACTCGTGAAATTCAGAGTATTTCAGAGTATTTGTAATATTACCTCCAGGGTGACAACATCCGCCTTAATCAGCGTTTCAGTATCACAGCACAGCTTTTGGTGCTCTACTATATACTGTCTTATGAAGAGGCTCTTCTAGCAAACACGAAGACTTTAGGTAAGTTGTACGTAGAGGAGTGGTTCTAGTGGTAGTTTATTTTATTAGCTTGTATTTTGTTACTTTCCAAACTGTTCTTTGATAAGGGCAATATTTTAATAAACTCTAGTATCATTTTATAATCTTTGCAATGTGGGCATTGTATACTTGATACATAAATCATGTATGTTGGGGTATGTAACCACGATTTATGGCCCAGTCCTCCTTATCAGAGGCTAAATTAATAGATAACAGAATTGCCTGTATTTTAACAATTGTATAGGTCTTGTTCACTAAATATAAATTTAACACCTGATGGAGCTGTAACTGAATTTTTTTCTCTTGATTTGAGTTGAGTCTTTGACCGGTCTTCCTTCCATTAGTGTAAAGAGTAACAACCTAATCAAAAACAATAGAAAAGGCCAGTCGAGGTGGCTTACGCCTGTAATCCTAGCACTTCGGGAGGCCGAGGTGGGCGGATCACCTGAGGTCAGGAGTTCGAGACCAGCCTGGTCAACATGGCGAAACCCCGTCTCTACTAAAAATACAAAAATTAGCCAGGTGTGGTGGCTCATGCCTGTAATCCCAGCTACTCAGGAGGTTGAGGCAGGAGAATCCCTTGAACCCAGAGGCGGAAGTTGCAGTGAGCTGAGATTGCGCCACTGCACTCCAGCCTGGTGGACAGAGTGAGACTGTGTCTCAAAAAAAAAAAAAAGTAGAAGAGTTTCTTTTTTTTTGTTTTGTTTTGGTTTGTTTTTTGTTTTTTGTTTTTTGTTTTTTGTTTTTGACAGTCTTGCTCTGTTGCCCAGCCTAGAGTGCAGTGGCATGATCTTGGCTCACTGCAAGCTCCACTTCCTGAGTTCATGCCATTCTCCTGCCTCAGCCTCCGGCGTAGCTGGGACTACAGGCGCCTGCTACGACGCCCGGCTAATTTTTTTGTATTTTTAGTAAAGATGGGGTTTCACCATGTTAGCCAGGATGGTCTTCATCTCCTAACCTCGTGATCCGCCTGCCTCGGCCTCCCAAAGTGCTGGGATTACAGGCGTGAGCCACTGCGCCTGGCCGAAGAGTTTCGTTTTGCCGTTAACATTGGGCTGGGTATGGTAGCTCATTCCCTGTAATCTCAGTACTTTGGTACTTTGGGAGGCTGAGATGGGATGGTCACTTGTGCTCAGAGTTTGACACCAGCCTGGAAAACAGCAAGATGCCCATCTCCACACACACACACACACACACACACACGCACGCACACACACGCACACAGAGAATGTCACTGAAATGGGCTTTGAAACTTAGTTACTTCACATAATATCAGAAGGTCAGATTTAGCATGCATGATATCATTATAAAGTGGTATCTTTTCCTGTATTTGAAAAAGAAGGTTTACCTGTGTTTATACTTCCTACATGTGTATAGTTCATTTCATCTATTTATTTTTTGAGACAGGGTCTCACTCTGTCACCCAGGCTGGAGTGCAGTGGCATGAACATGGCTCAGTGTAGCCTTGATCTCTTGGGCTCAAGGGATCCCTGCCTCAGCCTCCAGTGTAGCTGGGACCACAGGTGGACACCACCATGCCTGGCTGATTTTTTTTATTTTTTGTAGAGATGGGATTTGCCATGTTGCCAGGCTGATCTCAAACTCCTGGGCTCGAGCAGTCCTCCTGGCTTGGCCTCCCAAAGTGCTGGGATTACAGGTGTGAGTGATCCTCCTGACCTTTGTGTGTAGTTTTTAATTTGTTTTTCTTTTTTTTTTGAGACAAAATCTCACTCTGTCACCCAGGCTGGAATGCAGTGGTGCGATCTTGGCTCACTGCAACCTCCGCCTCTCAGGTTCAAACGATTCTTCTGCTTCAGCCTCCTGAATAGCTGGGATTACAGGTGCGTACCACATTCCTGGCTAATTTTTGTATTTGTAGTAGAGATGGAGTTTCATCATACTGGCCAGGCTGGTCTCGAACTCCTGACCTCAAGTGATCCACACACCTCAGCCTCTCAAAGTGCTGGGATTACAGGTGTGAGCCATCACACCCGGCCTGGATTTTCTTTTTTATGTTTTGACATTTTCTGTGTCTTTGATACAGTTCTTGTTTGGAATTTCTGTATATTCTCACATATTTAATCTTTTCCATGAACTTTATAATAATTTTGTTAAATTTCACAAATGAAAATTATGTTGGGATTTTGATAAGAATTATGTTAAACTTATAGATTAATTTGGAGAGAATTTACGTCTTTGCAGTACTAAGTCTTCCTATCTAGGAACCTGAAATAATTTTTTGCTTTTTAATCGTGCACATATAGTCTTTTTTTTTTTTTTTTTTTGAGACAGAGTCTTGTTGTGTTGCCCAGGCTAGAGTGCAGTGGCACGATCTCAGCTCACTGCAACCTCCACCTCCCGGGTTCCAGTGATTCTCCTGCCTCGGACTCCTGAGTAGCTGGGATTACAGGTGCCCACTAACACGCCCCACTGAATTTTGTATTTTTAGTAGAGAATGGGTTTTACCATGTTGGTGAGGCTGGTCTCGACCTTCTGACCTCAAGTCATCCACCCACCTTGGCCTCCCAAAGTGCTGGGATTACAGGTGTGAGCCACTTTGCCTGGCCTTACTTTAGTCTTATAGTTAACTCATGTAAACCCTCATAACAATTCTGAGATAGGTGTGGTTACGTTTATTTTACAGGGGAGAACACTGAGGCACAAGGAAGTTAAGTAACTTCCCTAAGTTAGTATTAAGTATTGTAATAAGTATTGGAACCAGGATTTATCTCTTTCTGGAACCTATAACTATTGTTTTAACTGCCTTCTGATTTTTTCTTAATTCATAAAAGATTGGTATGGAAAACTATGCTAATTTATTAACTTAAAAGGGAGATTATATCTAAATGAGAGTATATGGTATATATGTGGTCTATATAGACAGTGATTCTCAACCTTTATTCTAACACTTGCACTTACATACTTCTTGTCCTTAATAAAAGAAAAATGGTTGAGCTTTACTGTTTGTAGTTTGTAAGAGAATAAACACATTGTACATCCTTTGTGAAATTACAAACACCCTGATTGAGATTCTCATATATTCCTGTGGTGTAAAGGAAAGTACCTTGGAATGAGCTTTGGGTGCCAGGCATATAGAATGCAGTAGAGATGAGACAGAGAAAGATACTATTGACTGGCAAGGACCTTTACTCTGTGTGATCTGAGGATTCACTGAAGGTGGCCAAATCTCTATTTAAATAAGATGACTATGGCCGCAGGTTGAAGGATGGATTAAATTGGAGGCAGGGAAAGTGGGCCATAGAAGATATTTAAACAAAAGGTGAGTAGGCACTGAATTAGGATAGCAGCAAAAGTACAGAAATTAAAATGGACTTAGAAGAAAAAAAGGTTGGACATGGCTGGTTGAGGGTAGGAGTTGTGAGAGAAGGAAGTCAAATTCGTATTGCCTGACTTAATTTAAAAAGAGGCCAGATATGATGGCTCACGCCTGTACTTTGGAATGCTGGGGCTGGTGGATCACCTGAGGTCAGGAGTTTGAGACCAGCCTGGCCAATATGGCGAAACCCCGTCTCTACTAAAAATGCAAACATTAGCTAGGCGTGGTGGCGGGCACCTGTAGTCTCAGCTACTTGGGAGGCTGAGGCACAAGAATTGTTTGAATCCAGGAGGCAGAGGTTGCAGTGAGCCAAGATTGAACCACTGCATACCAGCCTGGGTGACAGAGTGACTCATCTCAGGGAAAAAAAAAGATTTAGTCACCACTATTGTATATAATATGATAAAATTCACTGTGGCTCATGCCTGTAATCCCAGCAGTTTGGGAGGCCAAGGCGGGTGGATCATGAGGTCAGGAGATCGAGACCATCCTGGCTAACACAGTGAAACCCCATCTTTACTAATAATACAAAAAATTAGATGGGCGTGGTGGTGGGCGCTTGTAATCCCAGCTACTCAGGAGGCTGAGGCAGGAGAATCACTTGAACCTGGGAGGCAGAGTTTGCAGTGAGCCAAGATCGCGCCACTGCACTCCAGCCTGGTGACAGAGCGAGACTCTGTCTCAAAAAAAAAAAAAAAAAAAAAAAATTGGCCGGGCCCAGTGACTCACGCCTGTAATCCCAGCAATTTGGGAGGCCGAGGCAGGCTAGATCCCCCTGAGTTCAGGAATTAGAGACCAGCCTGGCCAACATTGCAAAATGCTGTCTCTACTAAAAATACAAAAATTAGCCAGGCATGGTGGTGGATGCCTGTTATCCCAGCCAATCTACTTGAGAGGCTGAGGCGGGAGAATCGCTTGAACCCGGGAAGCGGAGGTTGCAGTGAGCTGAGATCGTGCCACTGCACTCTAGCCTGGGCAAAAAGAGTGAGACTCCGTCTCAAAAAAAAAAAAAAAAAGATAAAATTACAGTTTCTTTTTATAAGATGCATTGGAATCATGAAGCTCTAGGCCATATGTTCATGATCACATTTGATCTTGTCATTAGGTTTTGGAAAATCTTGACTCACTTGTTGGTTCTTTTAGTGTAGGGCACTTTTGCACATGGCTTCTCTCAACCTGTTATGAATTTTCTTCTGTCTAGTTTTAAATTTCAGGACATTTTCCAGATCTTGCTCCAGGTATGTTCTTGTTCTTCCTGTGTAGCCACTTGTTTTCGTAATGATTCTTCATCTTTTATATGCTATATTCGCAGGTTAATTGCATTAAAAGTAATTTGACTTTGTTTTTGTTTCCATTTGGGTTGAAGGTTAAGATTTCTGTTGTTTCTGGACATTTTATTTATTTTACACTTTTTATCTTTGATAGCTGCCATGCAAAGAAAGCCCAAATCATATTCTTCTTCTTTAATGGATCAGATTCCTATCAAATTCCTTATTCGACAGGCTCAAGGGCTGCAGCAGGAGTTGGGAGGTATGTTTTATTTTGCTTTTTACTGCTAAAGTTTATTGTTAAAAAACCTTTCTGTTTATAATGTTATGAAGTGTAATAGGTGCTTAATGTTAAAAATTCAAACAGTTCAAGAGTGAAATTCCTCTTTGCCTCCCTCACTAAATCTATTATTTCAGTTATTGCAAACCAGCCTGCCCCCTAAAACGCAACCCTAGCTATTTTCAGTTGATATGTATTTTCAGGCTTTTTTCTCCTGTAGGTTGAACTGTATGAAATTGCAGATATTCAGCTAATTTAGAGCTACAGAAACAGCAGGTTCTTGTGGTTGAACCTAACAGACACTTAACAGAGGTAAAAAAAAAAAAATTTTTTTAACTCTGAATAGTATTGTACACTACCTCTTTTGTTTGTTTGTTTGTTTTTGTTTTTGAGACAGTGGCTCACTCTGTCATCCAGGCTGGAGTGCAGTGGCATGATCTTGGCTCACTGTAACCCCCACCTCCTGGGTTCAAGTGATTCTCATGCCTCAGCCACTCAAATAGCTGGGATTACAGGCATGTGCGCCACCATGCCTGTCTAATTTATGTATTTTTAGTAGAGACAGGGTTTCACTATGTTGCCCAGGCTGGTCTTGAACTCCTGGTCTCAAGTGATCTGCCCACCTCGGCCTCCCAAAGTGCTGGAATTACAGGAGTGAGCCACCATGCCCGGCCTCCCCTGCCTCATCTAAGGCTTGTTTTTTTTCTTGGAGTCTTGAACATCTTTACATATCAGTACAGGTAGATCTGCCTTACTGTTTCTGATTGTTTTATGATCCATAGTATGGATATATTGTAATATTTTTACTATAAATCCTGTTAAGTAGAAATATTGTAGTGTTTTTTGAAATTAGATATTTTTCTTTCTTTCTTTTTTTTTTTCTTTAGGGAAAGGGTCTCACTACGTTATCCAAGCTGGAGTGCAGTGGGTAACTGCAGCCTCAAACTCCTGGGCTCAAACATCCTCCTACCTCAGTCTCTCTAGTAGCGGGGACTACAGGCCTATGCCACCACGCCCAGCTAATTTTCTAGAGATTTTTTCTTAATTAAATACCTCTTTAATGTTTGAGTGTGGGTGTTTTTCTTTCTGTTAAGTTGGAATTTTCTTTTTCTTTTCTTTTTTTTTTTTTTGAGACGGAGTTTCGCTCTTGTCTCACAGGCTGGAGTACTGTGGTGCGATCTTGGCTCACTTCAACTTTCTTCTCCCAGATTCAAGTGATTCTCCTGCCTCAGCCTCCCGAGTAGCTGGGACTACAGGCTCCTGCTACCATGCCCAGCTAAATTTTTGTATTTTTAGTGGAGACCTCATTTCGCCATGTTGGCCAGGCTGGTCTTGAACTGACCTCAGGTGATCCACCCACGTCAGCCTCCCAAAGTGCTAGGATTACAGGCGTGAGCCACTGTGCCTGGCCGGAATTTTTTCTTTATTATGGTTGGTTTCAAGGAGAAACATGAGCCTTCATTGCTCATCGTTAACCGGATGTCTGCAGCATGTATTTACTTATGTCTTTGTATAATCTTTTTTTTTTTTTAAGTAGAGATGTGGTTTCATCATGTTGGTTAGGCTAGTCTCGAACTCCTGACCTCAAGTGAAGAGCCCTACTCAGCCTCCCAAAGTGTTAGTATTACAGGCGTGAGCCACCGTGCCTGGCTTCTTTGTATAATCTGTTTCCAGAAAATAATGTTATTTTTAACAGCATTTGGCAATTGATATACTTTATTGAAAAGAGTATGAAATGTTGATTAGTTTACACTTTTGTAAGCAGTCTTTTTTGTGATGGTTGGGTATAGTTTTAACTGTATATATACTCCTGTATGCATTTAGAAGTTTAAATGTTAAAGTAATGCCATTTTTGATTGTTACGATGTCTTTTCAAACACAGAAACATCAATTTTAAGCTGTTTCTATGAGAACGGAATTGCGTATTGTTTCTACTGGGATAAAGCAGTGGTATCATTTGATTTGCATAATAAAAGGATAATTAGATCTAAAGTACTTTGATTCCTACTACTACTGCGTAGTCTTACTGTTATGATGATAATAGTATGGTAGCAACAATATTTATTAGGTACTTATGTGTGAAGCACTTAGCATAGTAGTACTTCGTTAATTCATTAACTAAATAGGCATTTTTATGGTGTCATAATTTTTTTTGAGACAGCATCTTGCTCTGTCACCCAGGCTGGAGTGCAATGGCATGATCTTGGCTCACTGCAACCTCCACGTCCCAGGTTCAAGCAATTCTTGTGCCTCAGCCTCCCAAGTAGCCAGGATTACAGGCGTGTGCCACCACGCCTGGCTAATTTTTGTATTTTTAGTAGAGACAGGATTTCCCCATGTTGGCCAGGCTGGTCTCCAACTCCTGGCCTCAAGTGATCCATCTCCCTCAGTCTCCCAAGGTGCTGGGATTACAGGCATGAGCCACCGCACACAGCCTCTCATTATTAACATTATACATAATAGTCATGAATAGTCAAACTGTGGTATAGGTAAAATGTTATAAATAAGGCTTTGATTTGGTAACAAGTTTTCCCATTTCTTTTGGTCTTCTTTAATACTTCTTGAACCAAGAAAAAATGCCCCCCATTGTGGGTATCATCAGTACTGCTTCTCTTGGCTGACATATGTGACTGTGTGACTTTAGGGTTGTTAATGTTAATAAATGTCTTTCAGCATTGTTTGTTCCTTACAGTAGAATGGAGGCATTGCTTACTTTGTATGAATGTTAGGGAGAGATGAGAAAACGTACATAAAGTACCTGAGACCTTTCAGGTATTCAAAGTGGGCAACTTTAATTTTACCATATCTATAGTGATGATTCTCAACAGGGTTGGAGGAAAGGGCATGTTCTCTACAGAAGCCTATCAGTATTTCTGAATAGGACCTTTTCCAAACCATATATGATAGTCCCCAAATGGACATTCTTTTCTCCTCCTTTTCTTTCCTCTACCCTGAACTCTTGAACCATTGCTATGTCAAACAACTTTAGGAGACTGTTATGTTGGGTGGGGTGGAAGAAAGTTGAAAGCTTTCTTTATAAGTAGTAGTTCCCACCTCACTGTTTATCACATTACTTCAGGATCTTCATTTAAGCAGTTTCCCTTGATCAAATGACTGTCAGGAAGTTCTTAAACTGTAGTTTGCATGCACAAGAAGTGCACATTCCTAGGCCTCCATTCTAGAGCTTCTGATCTAGTACCTGGGATGGTATTCATTATTCTGCACATGAAACAAGCTTCCCAAGCTTATGGTGCTGGTGGTGCTCTAATCATTCTTTTTTTATTTTTGAACGGGAGTTTTGCTCGTTGCCTGAGCTGGAGTGCAATGTTGCGATCCTGGCTCACTGCAACTTCTACCTCCCAGGTTCAAGTGATTCTCCTGCCTTAGCCTCCTGAGTAGCTGGGATTACAGGCACCCAACAACACGCCCGGCTAATATTTGTATTTTTAGTAGATACGGGGTTTTGCCATGTTGGCCAGGCTGGTCTTGAACTCCTGACCTCAGGTGATCCACCCGCCTCGGCTTCCCAAAGTGCTGGGATTACAGGCATGAGCCACCGCGCCCGGCCATCTAATCATTTTTTGAGAAACACTGACTTAGAGCATAACCCTCTTTCCTTGTGGGCTGATGGCTTGATAAAAATGAGAGGGGTGGGGAAGCTTCTGGTGTTTGAGCATGAAGAATCCAATTGATTTTCTGTAAATTTTCAAGGGTTGCATTCAGCTTTACTACGTCTCCTTGCTACTAACTACCCACATTTATGTATTGTGGATGACTGGATTTGTGAAGAAGAAATCACAGGGACTGATGCCCTGCTACGGCGAATGCTCCTGACTAATAATGCTAAAAATCATTCTCCCAAACAACTCCAAGAAGGTATAGTAAATTATTGATACTCCTTTAACCCCTTTTGTAGTACAAGGAGATGCTAGGCTAATTGAAATCTTATAATCATACAGAATTTTCCCATGGATATAACAATGTTTTGGTGAATGTATTTTAAGTATATAAAATACTCTTTGCGTTTAAGGAATTTTATGCTCCCTTCCCCTCCCCCCTTTCCTCCTTTCCCCCTTTCCCCTTTTACTCCTTTCCCCCTTTCCCCCTTTTCCCTTTCCTTTCCTTTTGTGTTTGTGTGTCTTTCTCTCTGTCACCCAGGCTGGAGTGCAGTGGCGTGATCTCAGCTCACTGCAGCCTCCACCTGCTGGGCTCAAGCAGTCCTCCTACCTGAGTCCCACAAGTAGCTGGGACTACAGGTGTGAGCCACCAGGCCTGGCTGATTTTTTTAGTTTTTGTAGAGATGGGGTTTCACCATGTTGCCCAGGCTGGTCTCGAACTTGTAAGTTTGAGTGATCCTCCTGCCTCAGCCTCCCAGAGTGCTAGGATTAAGGTGTGAGCCACTGTGCCTGGCCAGGAATTTTTACCATTTCTTTCTGATGTGCTTGTATCTTTTCTCTCATAGGTCCTATATTATATCACTAAAAAGGTGGTGTGGTTTTAGAAAGGTTCTAAACTGGTTAGAAATAAGTGCAGTGTAGGCCGGGCGTGGTGGCTCACGCCTGTAATCCCAGCACTTTGGAAGGCCGAGGCAGGCGGATCATGAGGTCAGGAGATTGAGACCATCCTGCCTAACACAGTGAAACCCCGTCTCTACTAAAAATACAAAAAAAAATTAGCCGGGCGTGGTCGTGGGCGCCTGTAGTCCCAGCTGCTCGGGAGGCTGAGGCAGGAGAATGGTGTGAACCCGGGAGGCCTAGGTTGCAGTGAGCCAAGGTTGCACCACTGCACTCCAGCCTGGGTGACAAAGCGAGACTCCATGTCAAAAAAAGAAATATGTGCAGTGGAATAGGACTATGTAATGGAGAATGTTCTTCTAGATCAGCACTGTTAAATAGAAATATAATGTGAGCTATAACACCTATATATAATGTGAGCTGTAACACCTATAAACTTTCCAGGAAAAAGAAACAGGCAACACTAATTTAAATAATCATTTTATTTGACCAAATATGGCCAATATTTTTTCTTTTCTTTATTTTTTTTGAGACAGAGCCTTGTTCTGTTGCCTACTCTGGACTGCAGTGGTGCAATCTTGGCTCATTGCCTCTCATGCTCTAGCAATCCTCCTGCCTCAGCTTCCCCAGTACCTGAGACTACAGGTACATGCCACCACACCCAGCTACTTTTTGTATTTTTTGTAGAGAAAGGGTTGCCATGTTGCCCAGGCTGGTCTCAAACTCGTGGGCTCAAGCAGTCTGCCTGCCTTGGCCTCCCAAAGTGCTGGAATTACAAGCATGAACCACCGTGCCTGGCCTGCCAATATTATTTCACCATGTAATCAATATTAAAATTTTAATGAGATATTTTACCCCCCACTAAGACTCCTGCACTTAGTCTTTGCAATCTGTTGTGTATTTTACACTTATAACACACCTCAATTTGGACTAGTTATTTCAGATGCTCAATAGCCAGATGTGGTTAGTTGTTATTGGAGAGCATAGTTCTAGATATTTTTTAGTAACAGCAATCTTCTGGGTGCTTACATCCTATAAGGGGACCACCTGGAGGAAAGTTTCAAGTTTGAGCCTTTCAAATAAATGTTAGCTATCAAAAGCAATACTTCAGCATATTTTCCTCTTTCAGTCCTGTTTTTAAAATCAGTCTGGGCTGGACAGTGACTCACGCCTGTTATCTCAGCACCTTGGAAGGCCAAAGCAGGAGGATCACTTGAGGCCGGGAATTCAAAACCATCCTGGGCTCTTGATTGGTAAAGGCAAGAGGGAAAAAAAAAAAAAAAAAAAAAAAAAAAAAGACCAGCCTGGGCAACATAGCAAGACTCCCATCTCTAAAATGAAAAAAAATAAATTAAAAAATAAGATCAGTCTGAATCACCAAGAAAATAAGATTAGTCTTCGGGTCAGTAAAGTGTTTTTTTTTTTTTTTTTTTTTTTGGAGACAGGGTCTGTTGCCCAGTCTCAAGGTTGGAGTGCAGTGGCAGGAACACAGCTCACTGCAAACTCTGTCTCCTGGGCATAAGGGATCTTCCTCTCGAGTACCTGGTATTACAGGTACACCACCACATCCAGCTAATTATTTTACTTTTTGTAGAGATGTGGTCTTGCCATGTTGCCCAGACTGGTCTTGAACTTCTGGACTCATGCAATCCTCCTACCTCAGCCTCCCAAAGTGCTGAGATTACAGGTGTGAGCCACCATGCCTATCCCATTAATGTGATTTTTAAAAAATATTTTTGTTCTTTATGAAAGAACAACTACACTTGCATGAATTTTTCTTAGGGCCCTTATTTTTTTATTTTTTTGAGATGGAGTCTTGCTGTGTCACCCAGGCTGGAGTGCGCTGGTGCAATCTCAGCTCCCTGCAATCTCCGCCTTCCGGGTTCAAGTGATTCTCCTGTCTCAGTCTCCTAAGTAGCTGGGATTACAGGTGCCTGCCACCACGCCTGGCTCATTTTTGTATTTTTAGTAGAGAGAGGGGTTTCACCATGTTGGCCAGGCTGATCTCGAACTCCTGACCTCAAGTGATCCACCCGCCTTGGCCTCCCAAAGTGCTGGGATTACAGGTGTGAGCCACCGCATCCATCTGGCCCTTATTTTAATAAGTTTAGTTGAAATTGTACCTAGGTTTCTGTAGGAAACAATAGCAAGTAACTATAGTTACTTTTTAGCCACATTGTTTTCTTGATTTGTTTGGTCTATAGTCTGAGAGAACACTACTACTTCCTGCTTGATAAACTGTACAGAATTTAGGTTATGATTGCTAAATTTTCTTTTTAGCATTTTCAGCTGTCCCAGTAAATAACACACAAGTGATGCAGATTATAGAACACTTGACTCTACTCTCTGCCAGTGAACTTATACCATATGCGGAAGTGTTAACATCCAATATGAGCCAGCTATTGAATTCAGGGGTTCCACGGAGAATTCTGCAAACAGTCAATAAACTATGGATGGTTCTTAATACTGTGATGCCTAGAAGGTAAATTCAGTGTATTGTTACATGTAATAGATAATTATATAGCAGGGATAATATACAATAACCTAAATTTAATTGTTTAAAAAATTTTTCACCACTCATAGCAGTATTTGTTGACTATATGACAATATATCTCCTTTCTTAAGACTACTAAATAGTTGTTATATCTTTAAGTAAAGCAAACTTTATTGAAATAGAAACCTTACAGTATTTCTAACTTTAGGAAGTTCTTGAAAATTGGGTTATCATGTATAGTTATTTGTGGCTAATTATGATTTAGATCACTGTTATATCTTGGATCTTTGCAGTTGTTCCAAGTTTTGCTGCACATTAAAATCACCTGGAGAGTTTTTACCACTACTGATCCCCAGGTTGGAACCCATGCCAATTAAATCAGACTGTTTGTGGGTGGGAGTCAGGCGTCAGTACTTTTTAAAAGATTCCCCAGGTGATTTCAGTGTGCAGCAAAGTTTGTCTTTAGTCATTGGGTCTCTGCTGGTTCATAGATTGGATCCTTAACACCTGGACAGGTCTAGAAAACAGAATACTGGGCTATAAATAGTATACAAGTTAAGTAGTATATAAGGTCTGCCTCACACCTTTGTATTTTAGACTTTAGCTCCCCAGAGACTACTATTTTCATCTCTTTTATCTTTTTATTCTGGTATTTATATCCTCCCCATATATCTCTTATAATGACTGTAATTTCCTGATTTTCCAATTTAGAAATTATCTGTTGACTTTCTACTCTACAAGGTGAAGGTTAGTTAGCTCTCTTACTTGCTTCCACTCCTGTGAGTCCCACTTCTTCTAATACACATTGCCCCTTTTCCTGTTTCTCACAACACAGGTATATTAAAATTTTTGTTAAAGCAATATTTCAAATGCATATTATTATGACTACAGAAGTGGTTTCATAATTGAGCTATGTGATAATCCTTTAATTACAATTTCATTCTTATGCAAGTGCCCTCCCCCTTACTCAACATATATGTTGGGTTAGTTAATACCTTTTTTCTATTTGCTCAGTTTTTTAAATTGGTATCAATAACCAATAACTAATTCATCCCCAAGCTTCATTATTGAGGGGAAATTTACTTCACACTTAATCATAACACATCAGATAATGTATCATTAACATTTTTTTGGCTGGGTGCACTGGCCCACACCTGTAATCTTAGCACTTTGGGAGGCCGAGGTGGACGGATCACCTGAGCTCAGGAGTTCAAGACCAGCTTGGGCAACATGGTGAAACCCCGTCTCTACAAAAAATACAAAAATTAGCAGGGCATGGTGGTGCATGCATGCCTGTATTCCCAGCTACTTGGTGGGCTGAGGCAGGACGATCGCTTGAGCCCAGGAGATGGAGGCTTCAGTGAGGTGAGATCGTGCCACTGAAACCCTGTCTCAAAAAAAAACAAAAGAAACACTATTTTTTTTTTCTTGGAGACATTCCTTTCAGAGCTTTCTGTCTTCATGTTCCCATCTGGGACAAATTGCTATTGTCACTCTTCTTTGTTGGATTCCATATTTTTCTCTTTCTTGGTTTATATCCTCGTTTTAGTGAATGGAACACACACTCATCTCGCTTCCTGAGAAAGAGAGTGTGGTAAACTTAACTTTTTTGAGATGCTGAATTATTCTCATATGTGACTGATATTTAGCCTAAGTGTGGAATTCTAGTTCATTTTTTAAAAAATTATTTTTTATTTTTACTTTTTAGATACAGGGTCTTGCTTTGTCACCCAGGCTGGACTGCAGTGGCACAATCATAGTTCACTGTAACCTCAACTCATGGGCTCAAACGATCCTTCTGCCTCAGCCTCCCAAATAGCTGGACTACAGGTGCATACCCCCGTGCCTGCCTAATTTTTTTTAGTTTTTGTAGAGATGGTGTCTCACTATGCTGCCCAGGCTAGTCTTGAACTCCTGGGCTCAAGCGAACCTTCTGCCTCAGCCTCCCAAAGTGCTGGGATTTCACAGGTGTGAGCCACTGTGTCAGGCCCTGTTCTTCTTAATTCTAAGAGCTCTTTGTTATCTGAATATTCTTAAATGCCTCTTGTTCTTGTTTCATGTATAAAATACTTTATTCTTTTAGGATATTAATAGTTCGAAAATTTTTTTTCTCCTTATCCCTACATTTTCTGTTTGGAGTTCCTTTTTTTCTGTTTGTATATTTTAATCTTTTTCAAAGTAAAAGCTTTCTTTAAGTGTCTGATGATCCTTGTTTATACAGTCATATTTAAGAGGGGGAAGTTCTCTGGTGGATTCCTGGGCTTCACTGTAAGATCAAGTACCTTCTGTATTTGCATAACCCTTAGTAATTATGATGTGCAGTCATTTTAGTAACCACTTATAATCTATTAATGTCTAATCTCAAAGTGGCATCTCACTTGGAGACTTTATGATGATAAATCCAGAATAGTGACTTATATTTATGGAACTAGATACAGAATGTTTTGGCAAGTCTTATTTCATTTACAGGTATTATGTCATTTCTATTTTACAGACGAGGAAACAGTTTAGAGAGCCTCAGTGACTTACACAGAGTCATATAGCAAGTATGGTATAACTAAGGTTTTAACTCAGGTTTTAATTTTATATGCCATGATTATTCCATTACAACTGTGAACGTTTCTGAAACTACTTTGTGTTTACTGTTTTATCTCTGTGTTTTTTAAAGAGATATTTTAATAGGTTAGATGTCTGTAGCTTAAATTTTTTCAAAGTTCATTCATATGTATTTTCTAATTATTTACTGAATATAACTTTCTAAGATAGAAAGGACTGGATGGCTACAGATTTTAATATATAAAAAACTGTTTTGAACATGTGATTATTTTCTTATCAGGCTATGGGTAATGACGGTTAATGCACTTCAGCCTTCAATAAAGTTTGTACGACAACAAAAGTATACTCAGAATGACCTGATGATAGATCCTCTCATTGTCCTAAGGTGTGATCAGAGGGTTCACAGGTACATGTCATTTGAGTTTCATTTTTATTATAGAGCTGTACTTTGGAGAGTCAAAAGAAATTGATGAAATTCAGTTTAAACTTATATTTTAATTTTTCTTGCAGATAAGTAGGCAGTGTGACCTGTGCGGTTTTTTGTCTTATTTTTTTAGTTGTGTTTATTCATGAAATGTATATTCATTTTAATATTTAGTATGTGATTAATAAAACCTAGCTTTAGAGAAATGCCATTCTTGGTTTTGGTGCCACAAATAGTGGTTTTTCTCTCTCACAATTTAGACCAGTAAAGAATAACTATTTCTGTTCTCACATTAAAAAGGTTTTTAAAAAACTGGTTTCTTGTGAACCGTTACCTGCGTTAAAACTGTGATCTTTTTGGCATGCACAATAGTGATGTTAGCTTCATTGATTCCACATTTGGCTCTAAATCCTTACCAATTGCTAAACTTCAGCATTGCTTTCAAGTGGCTTCATCTCAAAAGGTAGAATTTAGTTAATTCCTATCATTAATCTTTGAGTCACACTTGTTATGATAAGTACTATCAAAAACATATAAGTTGAGGGGCTTTCCTTTAAAGTGATTATCATTTGCATGGGACATAAGATAGATACATGATAAGTTACGTAATATGCTCATGTAGATGAATGGTGTGGTAAATGAATGTTCTTAAAAGTTCAGGAAAGATGCAGAGGAGATGGGACATGGGTAATGTTTCAAAGAGTGGAGTTAGGGCTGGTTCGAGTGCAGTGGTATTTACAACTGATTGATCATAATCAGGTACAGATTTCTTTGTTCCCTCTTCACTCCCACTGCTTTATTTAAACTTAAAAAAAGAAGAGTGGACATAGGGTTTAGGTGAATATTTGTTCATCTAATAGTATAAAGATGGGGGTCAGGGAGTCAAGGAAGGTACTTTGAGAAAAAGAGTAGTATGAGCAGAAGTTTAGAAGCAAGAATGAGGAAGCCGTGAAGAGGGTTATTTTTGAAAAGAGAACATTTTACAGTTGGAAAGTTAAATTGGGGTCAGGCTATCGAGGGCCTTGAATATTAGGCTAATGTGGTTGGGGTTATAACTTAGGAAAAGATGCTTTGTGCTAGGTGGATTAGAGGAGAGAGAAACTAGTAAGGAAGACTAAATAGGACACACTTGATATTTAAACTTGTCTGTCATCAACCAAGGGATGACATTCTCGAAGTGACAAAATCTACAAAATTAGCTAAATATGGTTTGGTAAGATTAAGATCTCATAGGAAATAGGAATCAGAACAAACTGTGTATGTAAATGATGTTAAGTATCTAATAAAAGGAAACCACAATAAATAACACTTCTAGAAAAGAGCTGTTTCTTGAAAAAATGATTTATCATTGTTAAAAATCCACTGAAATAGGTGAGCTTACACCTGAATCACCTTAGGTGATTCAGTTTTTAAGGAAGTTGTTAAATTCTGTTATCAAATTGTATCTAATGTTTTTGTAGCTCGGATTTTTCACTTAACAACTTGTGAACCTTTTTTCATGTTAATGTTCTTATTTCAAATTTATTTTTATTTTTTGAGTTGGGGGTCTTGCTATGTTGTCCAGGCTGGTCTTGAACTCCTGGGCTTAAGCAATCCTCTTGCCTCAGCCTCCTGAGTAGCTGGGATTACAGTTGTGTGCTGCTGTGCCTAGTTTATATTCTTATCTTAATTGGCTATATGGTATTCCATTTTATAGAGCTATGCTTAACCCAATCCCCTAGGATATTTTATTTCTACTTTTTGCTTTTATCAATAGTGCTTTGGTGATTATGTGCATTTCCCCATGCTGAGTATTTCATTAGAACATGGGAAAATGGAATTATTGGGGCAAAAGTGTCGTGCTCATTTTCAAGACTTTTAATTCAGATTTTCATTCTACTATGTAGAAAGGCTGAACTGGTTTACATTCCATAGCAGTGTTTGATAGTATATACTTTCCTGCACTATTTGATATAATGTTTTCCAATTTGATAGGTGAAAATAGATTCCCATTTTAATTTATATTCTTATTAGACTGGACATTTAACAGTATTTACTGGCCATTTATTTCATCTTTATATTTTAGCCTATATTTTTTATTGACTTAAAGAGCTCTTTATCTATAAAGGATATCAGCTTTTTGTACGTGTATTACAGTTTTTCTTCATGCAATATTGTTTTGCCCGCACCCGGTCATCTTTTCTTTAGAATTTACATTATACATATTTGACTTTAGCTGATAAGATGAAACAAGTAATACTATTTATATAAGGGCTTGAAATACAGAGAATAAGAAACATATATTAAACTTTTGAGAATGAATATTTTAGTGGGAAAAGTTAGTATGTACTACTCAGGTTTTTCTCAGCATTTAAACTAAATTGATCATGTTCTGGCTAATTTATAAATTTATATTCTTTCTGATATATTTTTCTTTTCTGCTTTCCTTGTTTAGATGCCCCCCACTGATGGATATTACCCTACACATGTTGAATGGATATCTTCTTGCATCTAAAGCCTACCTTAGTGCTCATCTGAAGGAAACAGAGCAAGATAGGCCTTCCCAGAATAATACAATTGGTTTAGTTGGACAAACTGATGCTCCGGAAGTTACCAGGGAAGAATTGAAAAATGCATTACTGGCCGCTCAGGTAAATTTTGCTAAAGTAAAATTTAGTCAAAAAGAGCAAGGGCTTCTCTACTAGTATAATCAGTTCAATAGATGGCACATTGTGCGCTCCATGTACATTGGTGACATATTGTGCATTTCTTTTATTATAGAATCTATTACAATGATGTTACCTTTGCTTCTGAGTATCAGATATGTTGTATTTCTGAAATCAGGAATAATCTTCATGATATGAATGAAATAGCCATTTAAATAAGATTTATATTTTAATAAAATTTAAGTGTTTACCTATTCTGAGTTTAGAGTTACATGTTTATTCATTCGGCACATTTTTTTTGTTTTTTTTGTTTTTTGAGACAGAGTTTCGCCCTGTCACCCAGGCTGGAGTGCAGAGGTGTAATCTTGGCTCATGGCAACATCCGCCTCCCGGGTTCAAGCAGTTCTCCTGCCTCAGCCTCCTGAGTAGCTGGGACTACAGGCACATGCCACCACACCTGGCTAATTTTTGTATTTTTAGTAGAGACAGGGTTTTGCTGTGTTTGCCAGGCTTGTGTTGAACTCCTAACTTGAGGTGATCCACCCACCTCAGCTTCCCAAAGTGCTGGGATTACAGGCATGAGCCACGGCACCCGGCCTCATTCAACCAATATTTACTGGGACACCTACTGTGTGCCAAGTATTGTTCCAGGAACTGGGGATAGAGTGGTGAAGAAGACAAAATCCTTAGTTATTTGTTTCTTAAGATCAAATGTCAAATTATGGAGACAGACAACAGAAAAACAACTGCATGTATAATAAAATGTCAGGCAGTGATAAATACCATGACAATATAAGCAGTTCAACTTTATATTTAGAAAAGTTTTTTGGCCAGGCATGGTTGCTCATGCCTATAATCCCAGCACTTTGGGTGGCTGAGGTGGGTGGATCACCTGAGTTCAGGAGTTTTGAGACCAGCCTGGCCAACATGGTGAAACCCCATCTCTACTAAAAATACAAAAATTAGCCGGGCGTGGTGGCCCAAACCTGTAGTCCCAGCTACTTGGGAGGCTGAGGCAGGAGAATGGCTTGAACCCGGGAGGCGGAGGTTGCAGTGAGCTGAGATCGTGCCTCTGCACTACAGCCTGGGCGACAGAGCGAGACTCCATCTCAACAACAACAACAAAAATCAATAAAATAAATCAATAAAATAAATCTGTTCCTAGGAGTTTCAGATAAGGGATTGAAGATCATAAAAGCTAACATCTGTGTAGTGCTTACCATATGGTAGGTGCTAGCCTAAGTTCTTTAAATATATTAGCTCATTTAATTTTTATAACCTACCTATGAGGTATAGAGTATTATCTCCATTTTTACAGAGTAGGAAAATGTGACCCAGAGAAGTTAAGTGACTTGCTCATGGTTACACATTTAGTAAATGTCAGAACCAGGATTCACTCCTAGGCACTCTGGCTCCTGAGTCAACAACAACAAAAGAAAACAAAACAATAACAATAACAATAACCAAAAACTCCTTTCCCCAAGAACCATGATTATAAAGTAGTCTAACCTCACTTTATAATAAGTTCTTAATCACTTAGCTCAAGTAATTGTTTTCTCTACCTTAGGCAGTAGCTGTCTATCAGAGGTGGATGTCATGTATTCATTTTTATTTTTTACTTCTTTCTGCTAGATGAGAGTGATTTTAGCTCTCCTTTATATATAGGGGCCTCAAATATATTGCCATTACCCCTCAAGCTACTGCTCTGTGCAATGATGCTCAAGCCTGTAGACTGAGCAATGAGTTGTGCAGGTGGAATGGATGGTAAGGTAGACTCTTTCCTTGTGAAACCAGAGCCTTAAACAGGTTGAAAAAAAGGGAAATCAGGATAGCATACTGGGAAAAGTAGGAGATTAAGAGGAAGGAAAGGACATTCTGGTAGAAGTCATTTTTGCCTAGGGCCTGTTTTGGATGTAACTGAATTCATGATACTCTTCTAGTAGATATTCTTAAACTGGAGTCCATGGATCTATTTTAGAGATATGTGATATCATTATGTAATGATGTTTGTTTATGTATGTTAATTTTTATCGGGAGAGGGTACATAGTTTTCTTTAGATTCTTAAGGGGTTCATAATCCTAAAAAGGTGAGAACCACTGCTCTACAGATTGCTCAGTTCTGCTCTTAGAAGTACCTCTTTGTGTATGTGTGTTTAAGAAATTAGTTATTTTATCATATCTGTTCATGTGAAAATAAAATCTGATTTGTTTTTTAACTTCTTAGAAACTTCTTACTTTTTCTATGTTTTGTTTGCTTATAGGATAGTGCAGCTGTCCAGATTCTCTTAGAGATTTGCCTACCTACTGAAGAGGAGAAAGCAAATGGTGTCAATCCAGATAGCTTGTTAAGAAATGTTCAAAGTGTTATTACCACCAGCGCTCCAAATAAGGGAATGGAGGAAGGAGAAGACAATTTGCTCTGTAACCTTCGAGAAGTTCAGTGCCTTATCTGTTGTCTCTTGCACCAAATGTACATTGCAGATCCCAACATTGCTAAGCTTGTTCACTTTCAGGTCTGTTTCCAAAGAATGATGCTTTGTGTTTGAACTTTATTTTTCTTGGGGGCTTTGAATACTATATTAACAGGGATCATTTAGAAACCAGAGAAAACACAAATGATCCATGGGCTTTTGCAATATGGAGAAAAATCCAGATTTTTAGTTGTTTTTTTTTTTAACCTAATGAAATGTTCGATAGTTTAATCTCTATTCTAGTGCATCAGAAAAGTGAAATGCCAGGTTACATATGGGGCACTATAGCCTTCTGAGCAATTTTTACAGAAAGGAAATGAAATCTTTCATTTGTATTTTTATCTGTACTTTTATAGTTATTTTATTTCTGACTTTTTTCCCGTTTCTTGTTGAGATAGGGTTATCCATGTGAACTTTTGCCTCTGACGGTCGCAGGTATTCCATCTATGCACATCTGTCTAGATTTCATACCTGAGCTTATTGCACAGCCAGAACTTGAGAAACAGGTAATGAGCATTTTGGAGCTTTAGGACAATTGATCTCTCTCTCCAGTCTTACTAGTTATACAAAACATTTTATAATTTTTAATACCTAAAGATATTCTTGAGAAACATGTAATAACTGGATTTTGTATTGCAGATATTTGCTATCCAGTTGCTTTCTCACTTGTGTATACAATATGCATTACCAAAGTCACTTAGTGTGGCTCGTTTAGCTGTCAATGTCATGGGAACTTTGTTAACAGGTATGTAGCCAATCAACATCAACAAACATCTGACATAAATTATTATAGTTCCTATATTTTCTGCATTTAGTGATGCAATATGTTTTTTCTGTCACTCTGAGACAGTATGATACAATATGTGTTAAATACTAGTTTAACTTATGCCGTCTTTTGAATTCTTCTTTTGGAAACTTCTGTTTACAAATGTGATTTATAGTGTAGTGGGAATGAATAGGTAGGCAAATTGTATTTTTCATTTTGTGAATGAGTATATATAGATTTGTAAATATAAGCTTTCTGTATTTTATAAATGGAAAACAAATACACTTTCAGAATGTAATTGTATCAGTAGATAACAAATGTTCATTTATTACAAATGCTCAGAGTTCCAGAAAAATATCATCATATGTATAAATGAAAGATAAATGTATTAGATGTCTTCATAAGTTCTAAAACATATTCTGATATTTTAACCACCTTCTGGTTTGTAGAATAAAATGGTCTGAAAATAAACTACTTTAAAATATATGAACTATAATGCAACCCTTAATGTAATGGCATAGTTAACTTAGTATTCTTTCTCATTATAATATTTCCATAATACCCTGTTGTTTTTCTTTTCATCGTATTTATATCCTGTTATAATTATTTGTAGTGATTAAGAGTTTACACTGCCTGAATTCAATCTCAGCCCCACCACTAACTGGCTTGTGATCTTTAACAAGTTTCTTAACCTCTCTAACCTTTTTTTAAGAGTTTTCTCATATATAAAATGAGTGTCATAATAGTACTTTGGTCATTCATAAGATTGTAGGAATTCAATGAAATAATGCATGTAATGTACTTATTGCAAAACTTGTGCATAATAATTTGTATCTTGGATAAAGACTGAGACTACTAGATTGTGAGCTTTCTGAAGACGGGTTGGCTGTGTTTAGAGAACTTCATATCTCCAGCACAGAGCATAGTTCCCCTTAGTATGTTGTGTAAGCTGTGTTGAATTTATATTTGTAAACTAAAATATTGTTTCATTTTTTTCCAACAGTTTTAACACAGGCTAAGCGGTATGCTTTTTTTATGCCAACTCTGCCAAGTTTGGTCTCTTTTTGTCGAGCATTTCCTCCATTGTATGAGGATATTATGTCTTTGCTGATCCAAATAGGGCAAGTTTGTGCCTCTGATGTTGCCACTCAGACAAGAGACATTGATCCAATTATTACACGTAAGTGGTAACTTATTTTCAAGGGTTATCTTAATATCTCAAACAAAAAGGCCAAATTCCTTTCCAAATTTCTTGGCCTTAATGTTTTTTTTCCCTTATGTTGTAGGTCTTCAACAAATAAAGGAGAAACCAAGTGGATGGTCTCAAATCTGTAAAGATTCATCTTATAAAAATGGATCCAGGGACACTGGAAGCATGGATCCTGATGTACAGCTCTGTCACTGTATTGAAAGAACAGTAATTGAAATAATAAATATGAGTGTTAGTGGAATTTAAAACAAAATTTAAAACAACAAAAAGTTGTTTGCTGCATATACCCAACATGAATCTGCATATTAGTAACAACTCTAAACTGAATGGGAACAGTAAAGTATTGTCTTGGAATCACTAAAACAATTCAATTCAACATGAGTATAGTTTAGAACTTTATGAGAATTATGCTTGCTTGTTTCTGATTGGCACATCTTTGGATCTACTTTGCTGATATGTTTCTATTGTAGCAGCTGAGCTTTTTTTTTTTCCACTGGGAACACATGTAAGAAACTCATTATTGGAAAGGGAATTTGGCCTTGTATTTAGCTTTTGAAGTGAAGACTGCCATGCCTTTAATTTCTTATAAAAATGAGTCTGTGGGTAGCCCTAGTGTTTATTTTAACTGTGAGCTTGTAACAGAATGTGACAAAGATGCAAAGATGGGAGAGGAAAAAAGGGTAAAGGGAAAGGAGAATTAAGGAAATAATAGGAGTTAAAAACACAAGTAGAAATCTCAAAGATTTGCAGTGCAAGTAATAGTAATGCAAGTTGGAATTCTAGTTCTCAAGAAAGAGTATTGAGAAGACTTTTAAAAAGGCAAGTAGCTTTTGTAAATGATTTCTGTGGAAATACAGATGAGGATTTAAAGATTTCACATATTTGCTTCAATTTTTATTAATATATGAAGCCATATGTTTAAAGAGATACTTGAATAATTTGGAATTTTAAGATACTGGTGTAAAAGTGTTTACAGAAACATCTTTGTTCAAAGAAGAACCTGAGAGATCTCATTTAGTTTTATGTTTTAAATTTATTTTTATAATGCTTTATTAACTTACCTAATGCTCAGAGGGGGGAAATATGTATCAAATTAAATGAAGGTAGAGCAATAAAACCCACTGGATTAAAGAGCTCTTGGTTTGTCATCAGGATTATAATTCATATCTTACTTTGAGAAGATCTTTGAGTAAGAAAATGCAGTGTTTGAACCTGAGGAAAAGTTAAAGTGTAGAAAATATTGTCTTGCCGAAGGATTTTGCAGTCCTCTGTCAGTAACTTCCATTGATTAGGCAGACATATTCAGGTAAACCCTAATCATTAAAAAAAAATTATCAATGTAGAAAGTAATTCCCTTTTTTCTCTCTGAGATATACCTCAATCACACACTTCCCCACCCCCACTTGAAACAGACCTCTTCACTTGTGTTTTTTTTTTTTTTTTCCTGAGGTGGAGTCTTCCCCTGTTGCCCAGGCTGGAGTGCAGTGGGATGATCTTGGCTCACTGCAACTTCTGCCACCTGGGTTCAAGGGATTCTCGTGCCTCAACCTCCTGAGTAGCTGGGACTGCAGGCACGCGCCACCTGTATTTTTGTATTTTTAGTAAAGACGGGGGTTTGCCATGTTGCCCAGACTGGTTTTGAACTCCTGGCCTCAGGTGATCTGCCCACCTTGGCCTCCCAAAGTGCTGGGATTACAGGTGTGAGCCACCGCACCTGGCCAGACCGCTTCACTTGTAAAAGAAATTAGGCTAATAAGAAGGTGTAGTTTTTGAGAAATGAAATTTAACTTTAGCCTTTTCACTAGTAAATAGTCACATCTCATTTTCTTCCTTTGTAAAATGGGGTTACTACTGGCCCTACCTCATATTCTATGAGAATGAGTTTGTAGCTGTTTCAAATCATGAAGTGCATAGTATCACATGTGATAGAATATTTATAACTTTTTATTAGATGCTTAATGTTCAATTAAGTAATTTTGATGTGAAAAATAAAAGTAATAAAAGTATCTTAAAAATAGCATAAGAATTTTCATATTTTTAAACAAGGCAGTTTTGTAGTCCCTTAAGATTAAATACAACTGCTCCTTTTTTTTTTAAACTGAGGCCTTGCGATATTTTGTGTGAATAGATATGCCCTAGGAGTTCAGAAAAAGTTAAAAGTATGTTTTCTAATTAAATGCAGTGCACATTCCTGGATCAATATTCAAAGACTGGTCATAACCTGCTGTGTTAAAATAATCACATATGCTCTTTTTCATCAGATTTGTTGATGATGTAAATAAAATGTGTAAATATATTAGTAAATGTTAATATTCATGTATTTTAAGTTAAGGTTATAAAATTTGTCACAATGTGTTTTTTTATTCAAGTGAAAACAGATGTGTGCAGCTATTTTGAATATTGGTTTATAAACATTCATATTCTTTATCAAACGAACCTGTAGTTTTTGTGTTTCATTCCACTAGAGTTAACCTGAAGGGAACGGTTCAAGGGACTGTATTCGAGGTCTGTATGGCTCCAGGGCCTACGTGTATCCCTTTCTGTTATGCCACATACATTAAATGGCAATGCAAGGTGAGAGCCAGTTGAAACTCTTAGTAATTTAGGAGAGGAAAATGAGAGTAGTTATACTAGAGCAGTTACTCAAAAGAGTTGATTTTTTTTTTTTTTGAGACGGAGTCTCGCTCTGTCTCCCAGGCTGGAGTGCAGTGGCGCCATCTCGGCTCACTGCAAGCTCCGCCTCCTGGGTTCACGCCATTCTCCTGCCTCAGTCTCCCGAGTAGCTGGGACTACAGGCGCCCGCCACCACGCCCGGCTAATTTTTTGTATTTTTAGTAGAGACGGGGTTTCACCGTGTTAGCCAGGATGGTCTTGGTCTCCTGACCTGGTGATCCGCCTGCCTCGGCCTCCCAAAGTGCTGGGATTACAGGCGTGAG
This sequence comes from Homo sapiens, assembly GCF_000001405.40. Lineage (NCBI taxonomy): Eukaryota > Metazoa > Chordata > Mammalia > Primates > Hominidae > Homo > Homo sapiens. The sequence continues at coordinate 61,864,866 of NC_000017.11, read as the reverse complement.
CCACTGCGCCCGGCCAAGAGTTGATGTTTTAAAAATTATAAAAGAGAAATGACAATTTGAAGGTATTTTTAAGGATTTATTTTTAAACATTATCCTTCCTTTCATTGTCTTAACAGTAAATTACTTCATCTTTGCTCATTCATATGTATTTTCACATTACTGAATCCCTAACACCCAGTTTGGGGTTTGCTTTGCCTTTTTTCACTTAACCTTATATGGGATTTTTTCTTGCAAGTTTAATTTTTATAAGTTTATTGGCTTCATAATGTATTGAATTCATCTGTCATAACCACCTCCATATTACTAGACTGGGAAGTTCATAATTTTTTTCAGTATTACCAATAGATATTATTGTCAATTGCGGTATCACATTTTCTTTCGTTTAGATTACGTCTTTAGGATAAATATCTGGAGCTCAGATTACTAGGTCAAAGGGTAGAGTTTATTTTTATGACTACAAGTTTTGTCATTTTTGGTAAGATATATCACAATTGACAATGAGGCAAACAAATCAACTAGCCCCCTCCTGCTCTTTCTTCCCAGCAAACTCCTTCCCCAAACTAGTTACTTGAATTTGAGAAACAGTATGAGGTTTTGCCTTTTGGAGACATTATTATTTGAGCCAAGTTTAGGTTATACAGATTTTTTAAAAAAATAACATGATTTGGCAAGATCATGATGAACCTCCTTTTCTTTGAGTAAATTAAAGTACTACTGGCAAATAATAAACTGGTCTTAGGAGGGATGGAAGGCGGATAAGCCTTAATGGAAGTAGAAGTGATCTGATACTGGAGACCCTGAGAGCTTGTCTCTGGCTTATTTTAGCATCCGGGAAAGCCTTGAATATTATGAAAGATAGATTGTAGCCCGATGTCACAGAGCCTTCTTACTTAAGTTTGGCTCAGCAGTCTGGCAATTCCCGCCTGAGTCTTCGCTATCCTGGCTACTGCAAAGCTGGGTAATTTAAATTGAGTGGCACTGATAAATGCTCAAAGAACTTGGCAAAGCTTAAAGATACTTCCTTTCCGCTGGTCTACGGACGTGAAGAATGAGACTTCCAGTTTCCAAGGAATTTGCTGCATAGACTCTATCGCCGGTTTCAAAAGTCAAACTGAGACGACTTTCTACTTTAAACAAACACTAGGGATTTGCTGGAGTGGCGACAACCTTCCGCCGCGTACCTTGAGCCCTTGTTTTTTTTTTTTTTTTTCGGAGACTTCCATTGGATGCCGAAGTTCTCGCCCCCTCACCTCGCACCGGGACTGGTTGATTCCTGGCCTTGGCGGGTGATTGGTCGAGCTCGCTGGGCTATTGGGCGCTGGGAGTCGAGGGGGCGGGAGGCGGGAATTCGTCTCGGGTTGTGTGGTTGAGGGGTCTGGTGGGTCGAGGAAAGGTAACGGCGGCCCCAGTCCTGCACACAAGGCCGGGGAAGTAGCAGCACCCCCAGGAAGAGGGAGGAGGAAGGGCTCGTGCCCTTTCTTCTCTTCCAGGGCTCCGCTTTATTTGCTCTCAGAAGTCGGTTTCCTTTCCTTTTCTTCAGTGAATCGGAGCTCAGAGCGTTGCTTCGGTTTCCCTCCAGACAGGCAAGTCGGAGGGAAGTCCACGGAAAGGGCTTGAGTTCTTCTGCACAGCCTGCGGGCCCATGGGTGGTGACTGGATCACCAGGGTCTCGGGGATCTCAACTGGCTGGGGGAGGAGGGAGATACGGGGCAGAAAACCTGAGGAGGGAGCCTATCCTTACCTCCTTTGAGCGCAGGCCTGTTCTTAGCCCGGGCGCTGCGTTAATTCTTGGCGGGAGGCAGAGGGGTGTGTTTATCCTTTATGCAATGTTTGGGGGAAGCTACCCCATTTTGACACTATTGTTGCCACAGCCGGGGTACAGGACGGGCTGATTTCTAGATTATATCTGAGTAACTAGGCCAGCGTTGAGTTGTTGATTCATATTAAGAGGTTAGATTCCACCATACCTCATTCTCAGAGCTTTACAGATAGAATCGCAAAATGTTAGAGCTGGAAAATACCCTAGAATAATGGTTCTTCTTTTGGAGCACACAAGCAGTGGTGAATGTTATTATTGGCTTCATAATCTATTGAATTGCTATTTTAACCATCTCTTCGTCCCCAGGTTGAATTTACAATTTTTTCCCACGACTGCAAATAATTCCTTATTTAATAACAGTGCATGTAATTTCCCCCGCTATTTTGATTTCCTTGAGATATATTTACGGGAAGAGAAATCTATGGACTTTTTCTTCAGAAAAATGCAATCATGTACAGAAACTTATGCTTGCAATTTCAAGAGGTCATTGTCTCTGAATTACATCCGTGGATCCTAGGTTAAGAAAAGTGGTTTAGAAGAGGTGAGGATTAAAGTGATCCTCATCTGTATCAGATCCTGGGTTAGGTACATTCTGCCCTGGCTAATTTTCATAAAAACCCTGTCAGGTAAGTAGTAGTATTTCAATTCCATATATGGAGAAACAAGCTCTGAGAAGTTAAGTGATTCACACAGTGGAATTCAAACTTAGGATTGCCTTACTCCAAAGCCCATCCTGTTTCTATAATACTCTACTGATCTTCAAATAACATTTTTGAGTGCCTACTATGTGCCAAGGCATTCTCTTTCTTATAACAGCCTTTAAATTAAATTAGGGGTTATCACAGGTAAGGATCTTAGACTAGAGAAGTAAAAAGATATGTCAAAGATAACATACCTGAGTCAAAGATAACATACCAGGCAGTATACCAAAACCTGGTATAGAACCTATGCTTCCTGACTTCTGGTCAACAGCTTTTTTCTTCTAACTGGAGGACTGCAGAAAGGGGTAACACAAAGGGGAAGAACTGGAGAAAGAGTGATGCTACGGAGTTGTAGAGAGAGAGGCCTCAGGAACTTATTTGTTTCTGTAGGTTGATTACATCTGATCTAACTGTTACAAGAGCTCATGTTTAATCTGGTATGTACTTTATCATATTTGCACATTATTTCACTTAATCATTACCACAATCCTATGGGGTACATGCAGTCACTGTGGCTTAGAGAAGGTAACTAACTTTCCCGAAGTCACACAACTAATACCTGGCAGAGTGAAGGATACAAATCTAGATTTGTTAGACTCTAAGACATGCTCTTGACCGCTGTGATTTATAAGACTAGGAAATTATTTTGTTTCCATTTGTTTTGTTTATACTTTTATTAATTCCAGTTTCTGTTTCCAGATTTCTCCCTTAGTTTTGGTTCTCTGGTTTTCTTTGTAAGGCGTGTCTCAATATTTGACATTTTCATTTCTGTTGTAGTTAGGAATCTGAAATAAACAGGAAAGCACTATGTCTTCAATGTGGTCTGAATATACAATTGGTGGGGTGAAGATTTACTTTCCTTATAAAGCTTACCCGTCACAGCTTGCTATGATGAATTCTGTAAGTATTTTTCAGCAGTTAAGTTTTTATTAAGATATAGATACTTATGACCCATAAAGTACATTGAGTATTTGACTGCATTCATATTCTCAGTAAATGGAGAATATTTTCTGGGTTCACTTGGAAGAATATCTAACCTCTGGGAAACTACTGATTGCAGCTAAACTGTATATATCTGTGGTTAAGGCAAAGAAGAACATTCTGAAAAATGTTCTCAGCTCATTTGGAATTTCTATACTTTTAATGAAAAACTGCTATACTTTTAAGTAAAAACAGAGTATTTACTATCTTTTACACAGAATACTATTTTTCTCACCATTGTTTTGTTTGGATCATGTAGAAAATTAATATACAAATTTGAGTAAACCAGCTTTCCAGTTTTGTTACAGCTATTTTGCCATATGTACTTCATATCTTATTTACTGGTAACAAGATTATTAGTATCCTGAATTTGTTCTTTTCCTTTCCTAGCCATGTTTTTATACTTTTATTACATATATATGTATCCATAAACAATATAGAATATTATTTTACATATTTGAAACTGTGCATTGATGTGATACGGTACCTTACTTTTTATGCAGAACTTGAGTTTTTTAACTTAGCATTATTTTTAATGTATAGCCCTGTTGATTCTTAATCCATTTTAATTGTTGTATAAATTCCATTGGATGAATATACCAGAATTTATCTGTCCATTTTCTTATTGGTAGACATTTAGGTTGTTTACATTCTTTTGCAGTTACAAACAATGCTGCTGTGAACTTCCTTTTTTCTTTTTGTTTTTGAGACAGCGTCTCACTCTGTCGCCCAGATTGGAGTGCAGTGGCGCGATCTTGGCTCACTGCAACCCCTGCCTCCCAGGCTGAAGCTATTCTCCTGCCTCAGCCTCCCCAGTAGCTGGGATTACAGGGATGCGCCACCACGCCCAGCTAATTTTTGGATTTTTAGTAGAGACGGGTTTTCACCGTGTTGGCCAGGCTGGTCTCGAACTCCTGACCTCAAATGATCCACCTGCCTTGGCCTCCCAAAGTGATGGGATTACAAGCGTGGCTGCTGCTGTGAACTTTCTTATGCATGTTTCCTTGTGTTCATGTGGGAAAGGTTTTGGGTGTACACATAGAACTGGACTTGCTGGAGCTGGGCATCTTCACTTTATAAGAAATTGTTTATTTCTCTACCAAGTAGTTGTAACAATTTGTACTCTCACTAGCAGTATCCTTCATTAAGTTTTCATCAAATATATTGATAGGTAGTAATGTATTCTGGTTTTACAGAAATCATTGATGCTTGCATAATTCTGGCACAGATTCCTCTTTTCATTTCTTCTCTTGTGCTTGATATTTTAGTAAGATAATCTTAGGGAGAGGTGTAAAGGAATACAGTTTGGATTTAACTAAATATGAGTTCCTTCTGCTATTGTTGTGTTCCCTGGAGTGCAATCTCACTTTTCCTTGCTGTTCTATTTAAACTTCAGATGGAGAGAGACCTTTATAAAGTTAATATGTTTATTATTTTCATTGGTTTCTGTGTTCATAGATTCTCAGAGGATTAAACAGCAAGCAACATTGTTTGTTGGAGAGTCCCACAGGAAGTGGAAAAAGCTTAGCCTTACTTTGTTCTGCTTTAGCATGGCAACAATCTCTTAGTGGTAAGTAGTTGCTTGATATCTTCAGGTTACTTACTGGGATCTGAGAAAATATAATACAGTATTCTTTATCCAGACTGGTTCAGCCATGCTGTCGCTAACTTAAATATTTGTTTAAAGATGTTTCTTTGAAATAAGTTATAAATCTTCCAAAAGAGTTTCAATATAGCAAAATATGTTTAATTAATGCTAAAATAGTATTGAACATAATTTAGTCTTTTGATGAGTCGGAAAGTACATAAAGACTTGGCAGCCTGGGCAGCATGGTGATACCCCATCTCTACAAAAATTGACAATCAATTAGCCAGGCATGGTGATGTACACTTGTAGTCCCAGCTACTTGGGAGACTGAGGTGGTAGGATCGCTTGAGCCCAGGAGGTCGAGGTTGCAGAGAGCTGTGATTGTGCACTCCAGCCTGGGTGAAAGAAAACAAACAAACAAAGTTTTGGATGCTTAGAGTTATTATAAAAATAATTAGATGATAATTTGTATGTAAAAGATGCAAGAGATGGGCTGTCATGATGCTGTAACACATACTAATTGCTTTTTTTGGGGGGGGAAATCCTTTAATATATTTGCTTACCTGTTCCTTTCTCATAACATCAGCACATGGAATATATAAAAAAGAATACATTCTAGTTGATCTTTCTACTTGTTTAAATGCCAGATAAACAGAAATTTAGTATAATATTGTTTGTATGAATTTATATTACTTCCCACTACTTTTCCTTTTTTTTTTTTTTTTTTTGAGTGGCGTCACCTGGGATGGAGCATAGTGATGTGATCATAGCTCACTGTAACCTCAAACTCCCAGGCTCAAGTGATTCTCCTGCTTCAGCCTCTTAAATAGTTGGGATTATAGGCATGAGCCACCAGGCCAAACTATTTTTACTTTGTTTGCTAACAAATGCCTATTAATATTTACTTCTATGAAAGACTATATAAACTACATAATGAATCAGAAATATAATATTGGATACATTTTAGTTACATTAGATGGCTTTAACCTAAAGTATTAGGAGAATTGAGGTTAAACATGGTATGTGTATGTATGTATGTATGTGTATATAGGTATATAGATACATTTTTAAAATGAAATGTTTGTTACTAATAAGAGTATATTAAGGCTGGGCACAGTGGCGCACGCCTGTAATCCCAGCACTTTGGGAGGCCAAGGCAGGTGGATCACCTGAGGTTGGAAGTTTGAGACCAGCCAGACCAACGTGGAGAAACCCCGTCTCTACTAAAAATACAAAATTAGCCTGGTGAGGTGGCGTGTGCCTGTAATCCCAGCTACTCGAGAGGCTGAGACAGGAGAATCACTTGAACCTGGGAGGTGGAGGTTGCAGTGAGCCGAGATCGCGCCATTGCACTTCAGCCTGGGCAACAGGAGCGAAACTCTGTCTCAAAAAAAAAAAAAAACAGTAAATACTTCATAAGCTTTTGGTTGTTCATTTTGATTCTCACTGACGTTAATTTTGGGAAAAATGAGTTTATCGGTACTAACTTCAGGTCTTAATGGCAGATGTCTGGAAAATAGAATTAGGAATATTTATATGGTACAAATGGGAAAACAATGTCAATACTGATTATTTTTAAAAATAAATTATTTAGCTTTTTTGGGGGTATATGAATTGTACATTTGTATACAATGTAGGCACACAATGTAAACTTATTACAATTTGGTATTATATTTAGCACTAAAATTACCTATTTTATTGATTTGAATATTGACCTTAAAATGTATTTTGATGCAAGTATCAGAATTAATACATCAAAAAACATGTTTCTATTTGAAATAGAAGTATAATTGGGGGAATGATTTAACCCTTATGTGTTAGATTATTATCTAATATATTGAACTTTCAAATTCTTCATTTAGGGAAAGAGTAGTAATTAAGGATATACTTTATGTCCTTGTTTCAATCCATTCTTGAATTTTAGATAAATCTTAATATAAATGAATACTTGAGTAGTTGTACTTTTATTACATTATTAATCTTAGATTATTAGATTTTTACAGATTACATAAATGGGTGATAATTTCCCTATAAATGTTTTTGTTTTGGTTTTTGAAACAGAGTCTTGCTCTGTCGCCTAGGCTGGAGTGCAGTGGCATGACCTCTGCTCATTGCTACCTCTGCCTCCCAGGTTCAAGCGATTCTCCTGCCTCAGCCTCCTGAGTAGGTGGTATTACAGGCGTGCACTACCACGCCTGGCTAATTTTTGTATTTTTAGTAGAGACAGGGTTTTACCATATTGGCCAGGCTGGTCTCAAACTCCTGACTTCAATTGATGTGCCTGCCTCGGCCTCCCAAAGTGCTAGGATAACAGGCGTGAGCCACTGTGTCCAACCAAATGTTTTTGGCTTATTTCTCTCCTGTCCTAATTTGATGCTGCAGATAAAGTGACCAGCTTGTCCAGGTTTGCCAGGTACCTTCCTGGTGTTAGCCCTAAAAATCTTTTATCTTAGGAAACCTCCCAATCCTGGGTGAACTGGGCTGTAGAGAATGATTGATGTTTATTTAATTAGATATATTATAAATAGATGTTCTTTCATTTTTAGGGAAACCAGCAGATGAGGGCGTAAGTGAAAAAGCTGAAGTACAATTGTCATGTTGTTGTGCATGCCATTCAAAGGATTTTACAAACAATGACATGAACCAAGGAACTTCACGTCATTTCAACTATCCAAGCACACCACCTTCTGAAAGAAATGGCACTTCATCAACTTGTCAAGGTAATTTATATTTTGCCTGGGTCAGTTGATATCTGTAATAAGAGTCTTAATTATTACTGTTATAAGCCCTAATTTATATAAGTTTGGTTAGCATAACTGATTATATATCTCTATCTAGTTTCTCTGGAATGATTTTAAAATAGCACAGAGTGGTCAAAAATCCATAGACGTTTTTAAATTCTTGGTTTGACTTTTAATTTATTGAGACATTTTGTTGTCCTAAATAATTTTTTAAGGAAGGCAAGGCAAAATAAATGATTTTCCAAAATTGATGTTATTTGTAGCCATTATTGTTAATTATATGTTAGAATTCTATAAAACAATGTTTGTATCCTAAGACGAAATCTAATTAGCCTCATTGATTCATTCTTGATAAGTTTGCCTGGCCTTCTGAGGCCAGTATCCTACATAAGTATCAGGTATGTTTATGTGTGATCTTTAAATAATTTTTACTAATTTTAGAGAAATACATTAAGAGTAACATAAGATTATTAATAATATATTTAAAAAATATTTCACCTGCTTTTGGCTGTATAGAAAGGATAGACTATTATTTACCTAAGAAACCTAGGGAACATCCTGGACACTTTGCTCTTTCTTATTTCTTCATGTACATCTCCATATCCATTGGTACCTCCATAGTCCAAACTACCATTTCTTGTTTAGAGCATCCAATAACGCTTTTTTCTGCTTTTACTCATGCTATTCCTTTACCAGTCACTGGCAGGGAGACAGAGGTTGCCATGATTGACTTAAGTCAAAACAAAGAGTATCCATTTCCTAAAATCAAGGATGGAGTCAGCTTCCTCTAAAGCATGTGACTATATAGAGGAGGGTAGATGATTGAACTTCTGGTAGGAATGAGGAAAGAGAAGTGGAACAGTTATTAAATAGGTGACCAATAGTGTTGTCTACATTGTTTTGATTTTGGCCTTTTGGATTTCTTCCCTTTCCTTCAAAGATTTATGCTTTCTCCTTCCTCAGAGCCTTTGCTTCTATTAGTGTCTCTTCTGAGCAAAGTTCCATCTTCAATTTATTATCCTTTTCTTCCTCAGTTTACATGTGACTTCCTTGGGGTATCCATCACTGATTTTTCTGTCAGAGTAGATTTGATTTTCCTATTATAGTCTGTCTTCTCCTTGTGTACCTTTCCTTTATAGCACTTGTTACAGTTTGTATTATATGTGTCTGTCTAAATCTTTTATTAATCTCTGCTTCCTTGGCAGACTACTTCATGAGGTTAGGAATATTGTCAATTTGCTTACCATTGTATCCCTAGAACTCTAGCAGGGTGCCTGGCATATGGTAGGTGCTAGATAAATATTTGTTGTTAGGAATGAATGGGATTAATTTTCAGCTAATTATAGGAATTCTGGTGTATAATATTTATATACAACCTTTTAAAAACAGCTTTATTGACGTTTACTTGACATAACAAATTGCATATATTTAAATGGTACTTTTTTTTTTTTTTTTTTTGAGACAGAATCTCACTCTGTTGCCCAGGCTGGAGTGCAGTGGTGTGACCTTGGCCCACTGCAACCTTCACCTCCTGGGTTCGAGCAATTATCCTGCCTCAGCCTCCCAAGTAATTGGGATGACAGGCGCCTGCCACCACACCCAGCTAATTTTTTGTATTTTTAGTAGGGACAGGATTTTACCATGTTGGCCAGGCTGGTCTCGAACTCCTGACCTCAAGTTACTCACCTGCCTCGGCCTCCCAGAGTCCTGGGATTATAGGCGTGAGCGACCACGCCCAGCCTAAATGGTACACTTTGATACATTTTGACATATGTACCTCCATGAAACTTTCACCAGAATCAAGACAGTGAACATACACACCAACCCCATATTCACTTTATCCAAAACTTTTTAAACATGCTCACTTTCCCAAAAAGTTTTCTCATGGACTTTTGTTATCCCTCTTTCCCACCCCTACATGACTCACCTCCCCAACCAACCACCTGTCTGATTTTTGTTACTATAGATTAGTTTGCATTTTCTATAGTTTATATAAATGGATTCATACAGGATGTATACTTATTTTGTCTGGCTTCTTTCACTTATGACAATTATTTTGAGATTCCTCTATGTTGTTGCATGTATTAATAGTTTGTTTCTTTTTATTTCTGAGTAATTGTGCATGGATATACCACAAATTGGTTATTGGCTGTTTATGTATATTTGGGTTATTGCTAGTTCTGGGCTATTACAAAGACAGATACTGTGAACATTTGTGTCTACATCTTTGTATGGATGTATGTTTTCATTTCTCTTGGGTGAATACTAGGAGCAGAATGACCAGATTGCTTTGTAGGTGTGTATGTTTTAACTTTTTTTTTTTTTTTTTTTTTTGAGACGGAGTCACTCTTGCCCAGGCTGGAGTGCAGTGGCGCAATCTCAGCTCACTGCAACCTCTGCCTCTCGGGTTCAAGTGATTCTCCTGCCTCAGCCTCCCAAGTAGCTAGGATTACAGGAATGTGCCACCACACCTGGCTAATTTTTGTATTTTTAGTAGAGATGGGGTTTCACCACGTTGGTCAGGCTGCTCTGTAGCTCCTGACGTCAAGTGATCCACCCATCTGTGCCTCACAAAGTGTTAGGATTACAGGCGTGAGCCACCGTGCCTGGCCAACTTTTTAAGAAATTTCTAAACTGTTTCATGAAGTGGTCATACCATTTTATATTCCCATCAGCAGTTATGAGAGTTCCAGTTTCTTCACATCCTTGTGAACCCTTGGTATGGTCAGTCCTTTTAATTTTAGCCATTCTTTTTTCCTGGAGATAGGGTTTCATTCTGTTGCCCAGGCTGGGTACAGTACTGTGATCTTGGCTCACTTGGCTCATTGCAACCCCTGCCTCCTGGAACCAAGTGATCCTCACACTTCACACTCCCTAGTAGTTGAGACTACTGGCATGCACCACCACACCTAGCTAATTTTTATAGTTTTTGTTGGTTTTACTGTGTTCCCCAGGCTTGTCTTGAACCCCTGGGCTCAAGTGATCTGCCTTCTTCGGCCTCCCAAAGCACTGGGATTATAGGCATGAGCCACCATACCTGGCCTTAATTTTAGCTACTCTAATAGGCATGTGGCAGTATCTCATTGTGGTTTTAATTTTTATTTCCCATATTTTCATGTTCTTATTAGCTATCCATGTATCTTGTTTGATGATATGTCTGTTCGAATAATTGCCTATTTTTTATTAGTTTGTGTTCTTACTGTTAAATTTTGAGACTTCTTTAAACATTTTGAATACAAGTCTTTGATCAGATAGAATTTTAGGTTTACATTTAGGTCTAAGATCCATTTTGAGTTAATATGTGTATATGGTGTAAGGTATGGATTCAAGTTCATTTTTTTGCATGTGGATATCCAGTTGTTCAGCACCTGGATATATCGAAAAGGCTATCCTTTATCCACTACATTGCCTTTGTGTCTTTATCAACAATGAGTTATCCATATGTACACAACTTGATTTTGACATTACTGTGAGTCAGTGTTATTTAGAATAGTCTAAATGGGAAAAATCAAGGTTGTATTCTGATACGCTCTTTATATTTGTAAGTAAATCCTTTAATCTGTAACCTAAATATAGAAAAATGCAAATCCTAAGTATATAACTTGATGAATTTTCACTGTCATAACTACTACATAGATTAAAAAAAAAAGAGAGAGACATTACCAACACCCCAGAGGCCCTCCTCATCTTCTTTTTCAGTCACTGTCCCTTCTTTCCATAGGTAATTCTTGTCCTCCTGTGACCATTGATGAGTTTTGCCTTTTTACAGAAATAGAGTGAAACTCCATCTCAAAAAAAAAAAATGGAATTATATATGTAATCTTGTGTCTGTCTTCTGCTTAATATTGTATTTGTGAGATTCATTCATGCTGTTGCATATAGTAGTACTTCTTGTTTCTGTGTATTATTTCCTTGTATGAATATACCACAGTTTATTAATCTGTTCTACAGTTGTTAGGCATTGGGTTGTTTTCAGTATTGTTTAATAGTGCTGTTATGAACATTCTTGTTCAAAGGGTGCAAATAGGTAAGTATTGTCTGTAGACACATACCTGGTCATAGTATATACATATGTTCAGCTATAGTAGATACTGACAACATTTTCTAAAGTGGTTGAATCAATTTATGCGTCCCCGGTCAGATCCCTCCAACCCCTGCAGCAGTATATGAAAGTTGTTCACCATTTTTGTTAGTACTTGATATTTATAGTTTAAAAAAAAAGTTAGTCATTCTTGTGTATGTGTGGTATTCTCATTGGGTTTTAGTTAGTATTTCTCTGGTGACTTCATATGTTTATTGGTCATTTGGATACCCTCTTTAGTGAATTGCCTAATCAAGTTGTTTGCCATTTTTCTTTTGTTTTTTATTTGAGGTGGGGTCTCACTCTGTCGCTCAGGCTAGAGTGCAGTGGTGCGATCTCAACTCACTGCACTGGCCAGCTCCCAGGCTCAAGCAATTCTCCTGCTTCAACCTCCTGAGTAGCTGGGATTACAGGCACCTGCCACCACGCCCGGCTGATTTTTGTATTTTTAGTAGAAATGGGGTTTCACCATGTTGGCCAGGCTGATCTCTAACTCCTGACCTCAAATGATCACTCGCCTCAGCCTCCCAAAGTGCTTGAATTACAAGTGTGAGCCACCGTGCCCAGCCTCCATTTTTCTATTGGGTATTTCTTAGGTTTCTTGAAGATTTTAAAAAAACATAATCGGGAGATATCTTCTTTCTTTTTAACTTTGTATCTTAAAGATTTTACCCCTTTGATGAACTTCCTTCAAACTCCCTTGCTATCAAGACCAGGAAGATAAGCCTTTTTGTATGTGATGATAATATGATTTTTATTTTTATGAATTGGGGTTACCCTTATTTGGCACATGGCAGTTCAGTTTTCTAAAACTAAATGATCATTTTGGGTGGACATTCCCTACCCTCTTAATAGGCCCATGTCAGTTTGCCCCGTATTTATTTGGGACAGAGTTTCTCCACAGTGGCACTATTAACATTTTGAGTGGGATAACTCTTTGTTGTAGGAGCTCTCCCTTGTGAGATGTTTAGCAATACTTCTGGCCTTTATGCACTGGATGCTAGTAGTATTTCCACCTCTGCTCTTTTTGTGACAACGAAAAATGTCTCCAGACATTGCCCAGTATGCCTGGGATGAGAAGTGGTGGTGTTAAAATTGGCCTGGTTGAGAATCACTGATCTAGGTTTATTTTGTGGTTATTTTACTGGTTGCCTGGACATGCAGAGCTCAAAATTACCTATCTTATCTAAAATATATATGGAAATGCAAAGGACTAAGGATAGCCAGGATGCTTTTGAAGAAGCAGGTCAAGGTGAGAGATTTGATCCACCAAATATACGGATTTATTGTGTGTAAATATAGAGTAATTAAGACAGACTGAGGTTAGCACAGTGATAGACTCATATAAAAGTATAGAGAACCCTAATTTGGTCCCACATGTATCCAGAAACTTGATATTTTTATAGAAGTGCCCCTACAGCTTGTAGGGGAAAGGAAGAACTTGGGTGGTGCTAGGCCTGTTAGATGTCCATATGGAAAAAATTGAAATTGGAGCCCTACTTTATACCATATACAAAAGCCCATTCAAGGTAGATTAAAGACCTACTTCTGATAGGCAAAACTATTAGGATTTTTAGAGTATAGTGGTTTTCAAACTGTGTTTCTAAGAACCTTATAAAGAAAGAAACATGACTCATAAGGGAAGGGGGAAAGTGGATCAGGGAAGTTCTGGGTCTTTCATCCCTATTTTGGAAATTTTAAGCAACATTTCTTTTTTTTTCTTTTTTTGAGATGGAGTCTCGTTCTGTCACCTAGGCTGGAGTGCAGTGGTGCGATCTTGGCTCACTGCAACCTCTGCCTCCCGGGTTCAAGTGATTCTCCTGCCTCAGCCTCCCAAGTAGCTGGGATTACAGGCATGCACCACCATGCCCAGCTAATTTTTGTATTTTTAGTAGAGATGGGCTTTCGTCACGTTGGCCAGGCTGGTCTCAAACTCCTGGCCTCAGGTGATCCACCTGCCTCGGCCTCCCAAAGTGCTGGGATTACAGGTGTGAGCCACCGTGCCCAGCTGCAACATTTCTTTAAGAAGAAAATATTCCTACACTTTAGAAAAAACTTGAAAATCAGTGCTATGTGGCATAGGTTCATTTCTGAGTTTATGTAATCTCAAGCTTTCTTTTTTTTTTGGAGACATAGAGTCTTGTTCTGTTGCCCAGGCTGGAGTGCATGGCGCGATCTCAGCTCACTGCAACCTCTGCCTCCCAGGTTCAAGAGATTCTCATGCCTCAACCTCCCGAGTAGCTGGGATTATAGGCCTGCACCAACATGCACAGCTAATTTTCGTATTTTTAATAGAGATGGGATTTCGCCATGTTGCCCAGGCAGGTCTTGAACTCCTGGGCTCAAGTGATCCACTCGCCTCGGCCTTCCAAAGTGCTGGGATTAAAGGCGTGAGCCACTGGGGCCGGCCTCAAATTTGTGTTTTGAAAACAGTATTGGACCTGCTCATGTAGGTCTTTCTCTGCTGTAAATCCTTTAGGGCCAAGGATTCTCTTTTTCACTGTTTTTCCATGGTGTCTGGCCATGGGTTAGACTCAGTGTAATAAATGATTGTTGGCTGGGCACGGTGGCTCACGCCTGTAATCCCAGCACTTTGGGAGGCTAGGCGGGTGGATCACCTGAGGTCAGGAGTTCGAGACCAGCCTGACCAACATGGAGAAACCCCGTCTCTATTAAAAATACAAAATTAGCCAGGCGTGGTGGCACATGCCTGTAATCCCAGCTACTCAGGAGGCTGAGGCAGGAGAATCGCTTGAACCTGGGAGGTAGAGGTTGTGGTGAGCTGAGATCACACCATTGCACTTCAGCCTGGGCAACAAGAGGAAAACTCCATCTCAAAAAAAAAAAAAAAGATGGTTAAAAAAGATTGTTAAATTAATTCAAGCCATGGGAGTGGAGAGAATGCTTAGAGAGAAGCAAAGAGGAAGGAGGGTACCTTTAAGAATATTTATATTTAGGAAAAGGGAGAAACCAATGTATGAGAATAGTTAAGAGCAGTGTTACAGACATTAAGGAAGAAGAAAATGTGTTTGCTGTGTTCCAAGAAGACAGTGTTGGCTGTATGCCTAAGAGGTTACATGTATGGATGTTGGAGTCACACAGCAGGATTCAGTCATGTCTAGGCTCTACCATTTAATAACTGTATGATACTGGGCAAGCTACTAGACTTTTAAAAACCTAGTGTTCACATTTGTAAGATTGGGATAATTAATGTTATTTGGTGATTAAGAGGTCCTGGATGACCTTGAGAAGGAGCTTTCAGGATTATGGGATTAAAAGACAGATTATATGAGCTTGATTCTATAATCAATGGTTTTGCTCTAAAGAACGTGGAGAAACTTAGTAGGGAAGAAACGTTGATACTGTAAAGAAAGATTTTTACAGACATGAAATATATTTTCTTCAGAGATCCTTGCAGTTATACATTTTAAATCATGTTATTGGGAGTAGTCTACAAGTACATAAGGCGATTTAAAAAATCAAATTGGACTTTTCCTATTGAAAGCATGTTTCTCAGAATCTTTGGTAAAGTAAACTGAATGGTAGAGAAGTACTTTTTAAACATGTTTAAGTTTCATGTTTTAGATTATGGTATGAAATTTCTAGAAATAAGCCTTACATCCTGGTTCCAGTTTTCTTCTAGAAAAATTGCCTACCTGTAAGTTATTTATGCTGTTTTTTTTAAATTACTTATATAAGACTCCCCTGAAAAAACCACTCTGGCTGCAAAGTTATCTGCTAAGAAACAGGCATCCATATACAGAGATGAAAATGATGATTTTCAAGTAGAGAAGAAAAGAATTCGACCCTTAGAAACTACACAGCAGGTAAACAGAGTTTATTGGCAGTAAATAACCCAGTTAGTTACAGCTGAACATGGTAGTCAAGTATCATGTTTTTAATGCACTTGTGGAGATTAGTTGGGTCATGTGACAGCCATAAATTAATAATTTGTTGTAATTTCATTTTGTAGAGTTACTTGTTACAAAGGAGTTTATTATAGCAGATTATTCACAGTAACATGTCGTTCAAGTGAAACTGCATGGTGTTTCTTATATATGAGGAATTTGATAGTAAAATATTTACTTAAGGCATATCTTAGTGATATACTACTTTGTACTTTTTAACTCCTCCATTGTTTTTATCTTAAAATAGCATTTCCTTTTGGCTAAAATACCTTTGATATGATTATTCATGTTATGGATATTTTGGAATTGATAGTTTTAATGTAATGACAAGATGTATTCTTACTGAGTTTTTAAGATTGATACATGATAAAATATGTATATTTATTTCTAAAAATTACTAAAAGGCTTGAATTACCAGATATTTTAAATGAAATTTGGATGCAGATGAACACAATATTTTCTCAGAATTCATGGCAGTGAGATAGGAAGGCTGGGATTTTAATAGATTTAGTTACAAATAAAAAAGATAATTATTAGGCTGAATACAGTGGCTCACGACTGTAATCCCAGCACTCTGGGAGGCTGAGGTGGGAGGATCTCTTGAGTCCAGCAGTTTGAGACCAGCCTGGGTGACATAGCAAGGCTCCTGTCTCCACAAAAAAGTAAAAAAAAAGACCGGGTGTGGTGGCATGAGCCCTACAGGCTCATCAGACATGTAGCCCTACAGACTACTTTCCAGCTACTTGGGAGGCTGAGATAGGAGGATTGCTCAAGCCTAGGAGTTGAAGGCTGTGGTGAGCTAAGATCATGCAATTATGCTTCAACCTTGGTGACAGAGCAAGACCCTGTCTCTAAAAAATAAATAAATAAAAACATAAAATAAAAAAATTATTAATTAGGATGTTATTTGTAGGTAAGTAACTGGGTACTTTTAATTGAGTATACTCAAGGTTCTTGAAGTCTTATGTAGTTTAACTGTTCCACTTACAGTCTTTATAAATTTCTATAATTCAGCCTTGTTTTTAGAAATAGAATGAACTAGTTTATTTTATCAAAGTACCAATGACAAATGAGGTGTGAACCTATAGAGATTTCCCCCCGACAAAATGTATTCATAGATTTGCATGTCATCAGGTAGGGCTCAACATAAAACATTTATTCCCTCACTTCACTGGTTCTCATTTCATTTTTGGCGGGAATGAGATTATCAATAGAAATGCTTTTCTCCCCAATTATATAGTGAATAGATTTTTCACAAATAGGAAAAGCATGGATACAGTTTGGAAAGAAAACTTAGTGGTATTTATAAAAGAAATTTAATCAAAGGCAACTTGGTTTATCAAATATCTAGTAAGTAACAGTGATAATAGTAATCGAGTAATTTATTCCATCCTGTAGGAAATCATGACTGTTTACATTAAAAGTTTTATTCTGAGTTCTTTTCAATGTAGAATTATGCTTAAATTTTGATTTACTTTTATTTTCCAATTAGATATAAGATTGGACTTTCCAATATTGCTATATTTGATGTCCATATGATGGGACTATTTTATGAGAAGTTCATTTTACAATACTCTAATTTTGATACATCACTAATTAAAGATAGTTTGGCTAAGATTCATGAGTCACTACTATGTTCTATTTCCTTTAAGTGTTGTAATGAGGTGCTTATTTGCATTTTTAAAATTTCTTTTATTATTGCCTGTTAGAAATAGTCTTTTTTTGGATGCAGGAAAAAAATACATAGAGCTGTTTTGGCCTT
Source organism: Homo sapiens (assembly GCF_000001405.40). Classification (NCBI taxonomy): domain Eukaryota; kingdom Metazoa; phylum Chordata; class Mammalia; order Primates; family Hominidae; genus Homo; species Homo sapiens. The sequence continues at coordinate 61,847,285 of NC_000017.11, read as the reverse complement.
TGAGAACAACTAGCCAGTTAAACTTCTAGTTCACCTTAAACTTCATTTTGGTTCTGTGTTTACAGATTAGAAAACGTCATTGCTTTGGAACAGAAGTACACAATTTGGATGCAAAAGTTGATTCAGGAAAGACTGTAAAACTCAACTCTCCACTGGAAAAGATAAACTCCTTTTCGCCACAGAAAGTATGTATTAATGCCATTGTTCAGTTTTAAAGAAGGAAGATATGGAATTTTCTAAACCAATTTTTGACAAAAGAGGAACAATAGTATAATACAAAGGACAGTAGCAACCCACTCAGAAGTCCTCAATGCTGTCACATCTCTGTTACTAATGTGTGAGATGGCAAAGCCTATTCTCTCTATGCCTCGTTTCCTTATTTATAAAATAAGAGAATTGGACTAGAGAGAGATCTGAAAGTCATTTTTTTCTGTTCTGTATTTTAATGTTTGTAAATTCTCCAACTCCTTACAGTTCTTTCAGGATTCTTAGGGCAACAGTTCTCAAGGAGTAGTCCAAGGAGTTCTAGATATTGAGATTTTTTTGGGGAGTGATCTGTGAGGTGAAAATTATTTTTGTAATAATATTAAGATGTTGTAGGCCAGGCGTGGTGGCTCACGCCTGTAATCCCAGCACTTTGGGAGGCCAAGGCGGGTGGATCACTTGAGTTCACGAGTTTGAAACCAGCCTGGGCAACATGGCGAAACCCTGATTCTACAAAAAATACAAAAATTAGCCGGGTGTTGTGGTGCACACTTGTAGTCCCAGCTACTTGGGAGGCTGAGGTGGGAGGATGGCTTGAGCCCAGGAGGCAAAGGTGCACTGAGCCAAGATTGCACCACACTGCACTCCAGCCTGGATGACAGAGTGAGACCCCGTCTCAAAAAAAAAAAGGAAAAAATACATTATTGCCTTTTGGATTGTCTTGACATTTGTACTGGTGGCGCAAAAGCAAGAATGGGTAAAACTGTTGGTGCCTTAGCAGAAATCAAGGTATTGGCTCCAACCTCTCTCTCTCTCTCTTTCTCTCTCTCTCTCTTTTTCTCTCTCTCTCTCTCTATATGTATATAATTTTTTAAATTTATTTATTTTAATTTTTTTTTGAGACGGAGTATCGCTCTGTCACCCAGGCTGGAAGTGCGGTGGCGTGATCTCCGCCCACTGCAAGCTCCGCCTCCTGGGTTCATGCCATTCTCCTGCCTCAACCTCCCGAGTAGTTGGGACTACAGGCGCCTGCCACCACGCCTGGCTAATTTTTTGTATTTTTAGTAGAGACGGGGTTTCACCACGTTAGCCAGGATGGTCTCGATCTTCTGACCTCGTGATCCGCCCACCTTGGCCTCAACCCAACCTATGTTAATAATAGTTTTCCAGCATCATTAGATCACAGTTTTGAAAAAAAACCAGTTTCATTTAAGAATGTCTTTGATGAAGCAGTAAAAATTACTAATTTTATTTAATCTCAGCCGTTTAGGTTTTTAACATTCTGTCTGAAGAAATGAATAGAACTCATAAAACACTTTTGCATACAGAAGCAGGATGGATGTCCTGGGGAGAAGCGCCTGTAGGATAGTTTGGATTGTGAGCTGACTAGCCACTTTTTGTCATGGAACATCATTTTTGCTTGAAAAAGAGTGAATGATATACTAACCATGGTAATTCTTTATGATAAAATGAGCCAGATAAAATTTGAGCTTTCAAGTGAAAATCAGAATTTTAAAAAATTTGTATATACTCTGAGCTTGGCAGCTTTGTGATAACTACAGACTTTTCTGATGAAATTGGTGATATTACAGAATATGACTTTTTATATTTATATAATGAAATGTGTCAACATTTGTAAGATCTGTAAAACTCAATGAACTTAAACTCAGCGAACTAAATATTATTTAAATGACCAGTGCATGATATTGCAAAATGATGCCTAGAAAAGGTCCATCCTAAGTGCAAGATAGACTGATGGACCTTTTTTCTGCCCTGTCCCCCCATTCCCAGGCAACCACAGATTTGTTTTCAGTTACTGTACATTTAATTTGTGTTTTGTTGGTGATCTTCACTGAAGCTTTATATTAATAGTTGGAGAAATTATGTAGAAGCTTCTTCTGTTAAATTGCAATAATCATCAACATCATTATAATGTAAGCTATATGTTGAGCTCTGCCACAGTGTTTTCTCATTCATTTTCTTTCCTTTCCTTCATGGGCTTACTATTATCTGAAATTACTTGATTACTTGTTTATTATTTGTCTGTCCTATTACGATGTAATGTCAGTCTTTTTCATGTGTGTCCCTCATGCCTAGAATAGCATATGGTGCATATTAGTTGTCTAATAAATATTTATTTGTTGAATGTTACTGAGTTCTTACAATGATTATGAAGCAGGTATATTGGTATTCCCATCGTACAGATGAGGAAACTCTGAGAAGGAAGAAACTGGCCTAAGATCACAAAGCTAGTAAATAGTAGAGCTAAATCCTGCCTAGGCATTCTCATGTTCTGGCAAATGCCCTAATCACTTTATTTTATATTCTCTCTAAAATGCCTCTTTGCAGTCCTGGAGCCACCTAAATAGGGTTCTAACACCAAGATAAGGAAAGAAATATGTAGAAGCTCACAGATAAACAAATCAAGTATAGAGTCACCTGTGATTAAGATTTTTTTTTCTTGGGAATTGTTTTTGTTTGCTTTATTTGTAGACACAGGGTCTCAATGTGTTGCCCATGTTGTAACGCAGTGGTGTGATCATAGCCCACTGTAACCTCAAAATCCCAGGCTCAAGTGATCCTCCAACCCCAGCCTCCTGAATAGCAAGGACTACAGCTGTGCAACACCATGCCCAGCTAATTTTTTATTTTTATTTTTTGTAGAGATGAGGTCTCACTGTGTTGCCCAGGTTGGTCTCAAACTCATGGCCTCCAGTGATCCTCTTGCCTGGGCCTCCCAGAGTTTTGGGATTATAGGCATGAATCACTGCACCTGGCTTGTTTTGTTTTTATTGGTTAAGAGAATGGACTTTGGACACATACTGCCTGATCTTAATTTTTAAATAAAGATTGGGCCAGGCATCATGGCTCATGCCTATAATCTCAGCACTTTGGGAGGCCAAGGTGAGAGGATTGCTTGAGGTCAGGAGTTCAAGACCAACCTGGGCAACATAACGAGACCCTGTCTTTATAAAGAATAGAAGAAAAAAAATAGCTGTGTGTGGTGGTGTGTACTTGTAGTCCTAGCTACTCAGGAGGCTGAGGGAGGGGGATCCCTTGAGCCAGAAGATTGAGGCTGTATTGAACTATGATTGAACCACTGTACTCCAGTCTGGGTGACAGAGCGAGACCCTGTCTCTAAAAAAAAATAAAAAATAAATACATAAAATAAAAATTATATATATTTTAGGTGTAAAACATGATGTTTTAATATATATATACATAGTGAAATTATTACTACAGCCAAGCTGTGATAGTCTGTTTGAATTGTTATAAAGCAATACCAGAGGCTGGGCAATTTATAAAGAAAAGAGGTTTATTTTCACTCACAGTTCTGTAGGCTGTGCAGGAAGCATGGTGTCAGCATCTGCTTCTGGTGAGGGCCTCAAGAAGCTTACAAGCATGCCAGAAGACAAAGAGAGAGCAAACTTGTCACATGGAAAGAGAGGACAGAGGAGAGAGCAGAGGAGGTTCCACACTGTTTTAAATAACCAGATCTCGTGTGACCTCAGAGCAAGAACTCAACTCATTACTGTGAGGAGGGCACCAGCCATTGATGACCCAAGCACTTTACACTAGGCCCCACCTCCAACTTGGGGGATCACATTTCAGCATGAGAGTTGGAGGGGACACACTTCCAAATCATATCACAAGCTAATTAATATATTCATCTCCTTACATAGTTACCTTTTGTGTGTGTGTGTGTGTTGAGAACACCTGAAAATTTTAAAGCCAATATCGAAATATCCAGCCTAGAATATAGTATTATTAACTGTTGTCATGATGCTGTTCATTAGATCTCTAGACTTGATTCATCCTATGTAGATTCAACTTTTTACTCTTTGATCAACATCTCCTCAAATCCCCCACCTCCCTGCCCCAGTAACCATTGTTCTGATTTCTGTTTCTATGTATTTGACTTTTTTAGATTCCACGTATAAGTGAGATCATGTAGTATTTTTCCTTCTACATCTGACATATTTCACTTTGCATAATGTCCTCCCTCCAGGTTCATCCATGTTGTCACAAATAGCAGGATCTTTTTTAGGGCTAATATTCCATTGACATACACATACACACCACATTTTCTTTATTCATCCATTGACAGACACTTAGGTTATTTTCATATCTTGAGACTGCTTGGATTTTAATCATAGCTCTACTCTTTATTAACTGTATAACCTTGATTTTTTAAACTCTTGGTATTATGTTTAGCTATTTGTTAAATGGGGTTAGTAATAGTACCTATCTCACGGGGCCGTTAGGAGGATTAAACAAGTTGATATCTATACAGTGCTGAGAGTATCTGGCATACCTTAGAGTTTAAGCGCCAAGTGGTAGTAGAAGTAGCAGCAGCTGTAGTAGTAGTAACAGCAGCAGATGGATACATATTTGTAGTTCTTACCTTTAGCTGCTGCTGATAAAAGATTCTATATAATACCGACTAATAATATTACATATTTGTAGTTCTGATCTTTATTTTTTGTTTATTTTTGTTGACACATAATAATTATACATACTTATGGGATTCAGTGTGATAATTTTCATACATGTATATGATGTGTAATGATCAAATCAGAGTAATTAACATATCCATCGCCTCAAACATTTGTCATTTCTTTGTGTTGCGAATATTCAGAATTCTCTCTTACAGCTTTTTGAAAATATGTAAGAAATTATTGTTAACCATATTTACCCTAGAGTGCTATAGAATACCAGAACTTATTCCTCCTGTTTCTCCAATCTAGCTGTAGTTATGAATTTGTAAACCCACCTCTCCTTATCCTCCCCTCCCCTCACCCCTTCCTAACCTCTGATAACCACAATTTACTCTACTTCTATGAGCTCATTTTTTTTAGCTCCTACATATGAGTAAGAACATACAGTACTTACCTGCCTATGCCTGACTTATTTCACTTAATATCTTCCAGGCTTACCCATGTTGCTGCAAATAACAAGGTTTCAATATTTTTCTATGGCTGAATAATATTCCATTGTGTATATGTGTCACATTTTCTTTATCCATTCATCTGTTGATGGACATTTAGGTTGATGCCAACTCCTTGTCTATTATGAATAGCGCTGCAATAAACATGGTGTTGGCTGGGTGTGGTGGCTCACACCAGTAATCCCAACACTTTGGAAGGCTCAGGTAGGAGAATCACTCAGGCCAGGAGTTTGAGACCAGCCCCGGCAACATAGCGAGAACCCCATCTGTACAAAATTTTTAAAAAAATTAGCCAGGCGTGGTGGTACGTGCCTGCAGTCCTAGCTACTTGGGAGGCTGAGGCATGGGCGATCACTTGACTCTAGGAGTTTCAGACTGTGGTGAGATATGATCATGCTACTGTACTCTAGATTTTCTTTCCTTTGGATAAATAGTAGTAGGATTGCTGGATTATATGATTATATGGTAGTAATATTTTTAGGTTTTTGAGAAGCCTCCATTGCTGTTTTCCGTAATGTCTGTACTAATTTACATTTCCACTAATAGTATATGAGTTTCTTCTCCACATCGTCACTAACATTTGTTATTTTTTTTTGTCTTTTCGATAGTAAGCCATTCTAACTGAGTGAGATGATATCTTATTGTGCTTTTGATTTATATTTCCCTGATGATTAGTGATGTTCAGCATTTTTTCATGTTCTTGTTGGCTTTATGTATCTTTTGAGAAATGTTTATTCACACCCTTTGCCTATTTTAAAATCAGATTTTTTTTTTTTTGCTGTTGAGTTCCTTGTATATTCTGGATAGTAGTCCCTTCTCAGATGAATAGTTTGGAAATATTTTCTCCCATTCTACAGGTTGTCTCTATACTCTGTTGTTTCCTTTGCTGTGCAGAAGCTTTTTAGTTTGATACTGTCCTATTTGTCTATTTTTGTTTTTGTTGCCTGTACTTTTGAATTCTTACCCATAAAATCTGCCTAGATCAGTGTCCTGAAGCTTTTGCCCTATGTTTTCTTCTAGTAGTCTTATAGTTTTGGGTCTTATGTTTAAGTCTTTAATCTATTTTGAGTTGGTTTTTGTAGATGGTGAGAGGGATCTAGTTTTTTCCTTTTGCATATGGACATCCAGTGTTCTCAGCACCATTTATTGAAGAGGGAGTCCTTTCCCCGATATGTGTTCTTGGCATCTTTGTTGAAAATCAGTCAACTGTAAATACCTGGATTTACTTCTCGGTTCTCTATTCTGTTCCATTGGTCTATGTGTCTATTTTTATACTAATACCATTCTGTTTTGGTTACTATAGCTTTGTGTAGTACATAGCGTGGTGCCTACAGTTTTCTTTTTGCATACTATTACTTTGGCTATTCAGGGTCTTTGTGGTTCCATATGAATCTTAGGATTGTTCTTTCTATTCCTGTAAAGAATGTTATTGGTATTTTGATAGGGATTACATTGAATCTGTAGGTTGCTTGGAGTAATATGTAGTTCTTATTTTCATTTTATTTATTTGGTTAACTTTTTTAGAGACAAGGTTTCGCTATGTTGCCTAAGCTGCTCTCAAACTCCTGGGCTTAAGCGATCCACCTGCCTTGGCCTCCCAAAATGCCAGGATTATAGGTGTGAGCTACTGCACCTGGCCTTGTAGTTCTTATTTTTAAATGCTGCTGAAAGCTATTATTAATGTTATTGTTGATAATACTGATCAACATTATAAATTTTGAGGAGTTAGGTTTAGAGTTTAGTAGAAAATTCCTTTTCTTTTTTTTTTTTTTTTTTTTGAGACGGAGTCTCCCCTGTCACCCAGGATGGAGTGCAGTGGGCGATCTCGGCTCACTGCAACTTCTGCCTCCTGGGTTCAAGTGATTCTCCTAAATCAGCCTCTTGAGTAGCTTCTCAAGTAGCACCTGACACCACGCCCAGCTCATTTTTGTATTTTTAGTAAAGATGAGGCTTCACCATGTTGGCCAGGCTGGCCTTGAACGCCTGACCTCGGGTGATCTGTTTGCCTCGGCCTCCCAAAGTGCTGGGATTACAGGCGTGAGCCACGGAACCTGGCCAAAAATTCTTTTGATATCTGTTGAAGATGTTTATGGCTGAAATCTTTTGAGTCTAAACCGCTTGACCATAAGCACATCTACTGTGCCCTTGGTTGAGTACCTTAATTTTAAGCCTAATGCTTTGATTGATTTCTCCTTTTGGTTATGTAGTATGCTGATATATGTTGATCATTGATTATGGTCTGCTCATTGGTAAAATATAGCTGTATCTATAATTGTATATCTGTATCTTTATATCTGTTTTATTTTTAAGCTAGAAATTGCATATTTTCTTCCTTGGCTTTAGGTGGTATAACTCTACATATCTCTAGAAATGGAATAATTTTTCATAAGTGGGTGATTTATTACTCATAACATTAAGATATAGGCCTCTGACAATTTCTCATAAGTCTGAAAACTTCTTGAACAAGTTAAATCTCTCAATTAAATCTAGTCCCTCAAATGATAACATTTCACTAGTGTGACACTGAATTTTTGTTTGCAAGAAGATGTAAGAGATATATGTCATACTAATTAAACATGCATAAAGTAAATTTAACAGACATCAAAGCACTTTTGCAATGCAAAGAACATATGGTTGAGCTCTAATATTTGTTTCTTTTCATGGTAGTCTATGATGAAAAACATGACGTATAAAGTAATTTTATGTGCTTTCTGAAAGGTTATGGGAAAAAAAAACCCAAAAATACATAGGTAAAATGATTTGTATTTTCAACTTTATTTTTTTCTTCCTAACATAAAAATAGGATAAGTACTTATAATAGAAATATAATTATTATAAAATGTATAGTTTTAGTGAGCATGAATGTTTCTCCTTTTTGTATGTTAAGTAAATTTTTAGTAAATTTCTCATGGATTTCTAGCATTAAATAATACATCTAGGTTTTCAGAGAACAAGGACTAATTATTTCCAAGAATGTAATATAAGAAAAAATAATGGGGATATGAGTAGAGGTAATTTATTTAAAAAATGGGATTTTTGGGTGTCATAGGGGAGTAAATATTTTTCCTTGTAGGAAATTACTTTGGTTTCTGCTGTAACATTTCTTAGTCTTTGCAAAGTGACTTATTATAAATCATAAAAGTATTTTCTGTAGATTTTGGGATAGGTGGTTTCATGAAAAGTAGAAGAAAAATAGTTTCATGTGTATTAATGTCGTAAGTTTTAATATTTATTATACAGCAGCTTTTGAAATGAGTTTATTGCCAAAACTTTTGGATAAAGTAATTGAAAAAAAAGTAGTCCATATATTAGAACTTTTCTTATGCTGACAGATCATATGCCTCACTTTTTTTTATATTTTTTTATTTTTGCTTTTTTCTTCAGACCAAAATGCCTCACATTTTATCTGTTGTATTTTAATCTAGACCTTGTAATAATCTTGAATAAGGTAAATTGATAGACTTGGGTAAGTAACTTTTTTGTGAAAACCAGTTCCTTCATATGGAAGGAAAAAGAATGGGAGACTAGATTTAATGATGCTTTATTTATTTATTTATTTATTTATTTATTTATTTATTTATTTATTTTTTGAGAGGGAGTCTCGCTCTGTCGCCCAGGCTGGAGTGCAGTGGCGCGATCGGCTCACTGCAAGTTCCGCCTCCTGGGTTCACACCGTTCTCCTGCCTCAGCCTCCCAAGTAGCTGGGACTACAGGCGCCCGTCACCACACCCAGCTAATTTTTTATATTTTAGTAGAGACAGGGTTTCACCGTGTTAGCCAGGATGGTGGCTCACTCCTATAATCCCAGCACTTTGGGAGGCTGAGGCGGGCGGATCACGAGGTCAGGAGATACGTTATATCTAATTGAATTCTAACACCTTTAAATTCTAAGGACGCTTTTCCTATCTTGCTTTTTATTATATGATACTAGGGAGTACAGTATTTTTTAAATAGAAATATTTATTTGGATTCATAAATTAATGGTTTAATTCTCATCCCTGCAAAGGTGTGTCTTAGTCTTCACGTTTTTCAAATCTGCAGTTGCATTACTTTTGACAAACCTTCTTCCATAAATTAAATGGTAAATTAGTTTGATGATTTCTGTTTTCCCCTGAATTTGACATTAAACTTTTTAGGTTCTTCAAATTTTCTTAGTTTTTATGAAAATCATTTAGTTTCCACCTAGTGGATTGGAGAAGTAGATTGTTGTCTCTTTATTTTTCTATCATTTCTAGTCTCCTAACTCTCTTTTCAAGTCGGAAGATAGTGTCAGTACCTTTTCTTATATAATTAACTTTCTGGTGTCCCCTGCTTGATCCCTTTCCTTACAGTTCAGATTTATTTTCTTAATCTGACAATTCATATGTCAAAGTTCTAGTGAAGCATCTGTCTCCACATGGTCAAAATATAGTTAAGAAAAACATTGTTTTTTAGAATAGTATGTTAACGTTTTGATATTACTTTGTTCTATCATTCATAATCATTTTCTCTAGATTTATTTATATTCTGTTCTTTTTTTAGTAAATCCTCACAATAGCCAGGGTTGTCTTCAGATATATTCTTATGCTTATACCTGCTTTTTATTTATTCATTAAATAAATGCTAACATTCTTTATATACTTTAATTAAAGTAATTATATTTGATTTAATGTAGCAGTAGCATATTATTTTAATTCATAACTTGGGCCTGGTGTGTGGAAGACACTTGGGTCCAGCAGAGTGCGCTGTTGACCTTCTTACAAAGTGTTAACACTGGGGCGATCCTTAGGCTATTTTTCTTCCTTTTTCTTCCTCCCATACCCCATTTTTATTTCCTTCCTTCCTACCCTTCTTTCTTTTACTTTATGGTTTTAATTTACTTTTATTTAAAATAGCTATTTAACATAACTGCATATATATGCTGATACTGGTGCTTACTGTGTTATGTGCCAGACACTCTGCTAAGCACTTTAGAAATATTAATTCACCTGGCAAATACAGGTTCATGTGAGTTGATGCTTATTGTCATGTTCTTTTAACTTTTCTTTGGGTTTGACAGTTTTCAAAATAAAAGAATTTAACTCAATCTTTATAACAACCGTATCAGGAAGGTATTAATATTTTCCGCAATTATAGCTGAGGAAACTGAGCCACAGAGTATTTGAATAACTTGTTCATGTCACAAACCTGGTGAGTAGAAGCTGGATTAAAACCCAGGCAGTCTGGCTCTGGAATTGATCCTCTAAACCACCTCACTATTCTGTCTCTGAATAAACTCTTCCAGATGACTTTTTGATGACAGTTCATTTTTATACTGTTACAGGTCATATTATATGCATTACCATGCAGGTTATTTATTCAAGATTCGTCCCTTTTTTAGTGTCTCAACACCAAATCTAAGCATTTACAATGCTTACCCAAATTTATAATTATTTATTTATTTGTAGGTTTAACTGTTTTTTGTTTTGTTTGTCTCATTACCAGACTGACCATAAGGACAAGTGTAATGTCTCTTTTTTTCAGTTTTTTATAACCAGCATCTGGCACAGAGCCTGCACCTAGTAGCTACTTGTATTATTTGTTGAATAAATGAATGAAAAAAATGGCCATAGTTAAGTAGATGTATGATTCACCACTGTTTCTTGTAGCTTACAATTTTTACTCAGATCCTTATACCTAAGAGGGTATGACAGTATTGTTAAATACAGGTGACTTAATGCAGATTTAAAAATAGTTTTTGGCCAGGCATGATGGCTTATGCCTGTAATCCCAGCACTTGGGGAGGCTGAGGTAGGTGGATCACTTGAGCCCAGGAGTTTGAGATCAGCCTGGGCAACATAGCAAGACCCTGTCTCTACAAAAAACAAACAAACAAAATTAGCTTGGTGTGGTGGCTCATGCCTGTGGTCCCAGCTACCAGGAGGCTGAGGCAGGAGGATTGCTTGAGCCCGGGAGGTAGAGGTTAAAGTGAGCTGTGATCATGCCACTGCATTCCAGCTTGGGTGACAGAGCAAAACCTGTCTCAAAAAAAAAAAAAAAAAAAAAAGAGTAATAACATTTTTTGAAAAACCTTTAACATTATAAAAACCAATACAGAATAAAAATTAAAATGTTCTCCCTTATGTTAACCCCATCTCCCTTTCTGCTTTCCAGAAGGAAACACCATGAACACTTTCATGAGGATCTTTCTAGATCCGTTTCTATAAATTTATAAGGATATTTTTAATAGTTCTTTTACAGTTTTGTTTGTGCATTTAACTCTCTTGTTTATGGGATTTATTTTCATGCATGTATGAGGTCAGGCTCTAATTGCATATTTTCCCAAATAGTTGATCAGTTGTCCCAGTGTCACTTAATCATTTTTCCAGTTTTGAAGTTTTGCTGTTATCATGTACTAAATTGTTATATGTACTTGGATTGGTTCCTGGACTTTTTTTTCTCTTTAATTTTTTTTTTTTAACAGTATGTGTGAAAAAATATGTCAAAGAATTCCACTTGGCTTCAAACAGAAAAGCAGTAGACCCCTGCCCTAATTCTATTATTCACCAATTCCCACTATCTGAAGTAAATAATTTTCAATTATTTATCCTTTGTATTCTGATAGTTTTTGAAGTAGCATGCATATTTTGCTTTTCTCTTGAGTTTTCGGTTTTAGATACTTTCTGTTGTCTTCCTCCTATTCTTTTCTCCTTTCTCATTACTTCTACCCTTCAGCCTGCCAGCATTTGGTATTTGTATTGTTATAATTCTATAAATATTTAAACTTATTACAGTTCTTTCCCCAAACCAGTATTTATTTTTTTTGGTGCTAGTAGTTGTCTTGTCCTTTGCTTAGTTTCCTATGTACCTGTAACTATTTATCTCCAAACTCTCTGTTAGAAAGTAAAATCTATCAGTTCATTTAAATACATCAGGTCAAGATGTCCATATTTTTAGACTTTCAATATTTAGTGGAAATAATGAAAAATACTCTTTTATATTGAATTAAATTTTATATTTCTAAATAACTTTTTTCTGAATATAAAAGCATCATCTAAGAGAAAATTTGGGAACCACCAAAATGTGTACTTAAATTATTAACATTAATCCTTAATTAAACTGTCTCCTCAATATCAACCCCTGATATTCTGCCTGCTGTCTATTCTTAAGTGCGCACATGTGCGTGCACACACACATGCAATGTTATCTGTTGCTGTAACAAACCAACCATTTATTTAGCTTACTGTTGTGGGGGTCAGCAATTTAGGGTGGGCTCAGCTGGGCATTTCTTCTGCTGATCTCAGGTGGCCTACTCATGTGTCTGTGGTCAACTGCAGGTCAGCTGTAAGTCAGCAAGGCAGCCCTGCTTCAGGGAGTTGATTGGTAGTCAGCTGGGACCATGAGGTGGGTCTCTCTCATCATCTAGCAGGCTAATTCTGGTTTATGTATATGGTGGCCTCAGGGTTCCAAGAGCAGCAAGAGAACAAGCCCCAGTGTACAAATGCCTTTTGAGTCTGTTTGTGTCAGGTTTGCTAATGTTCCAGTCACCAAAAGCAAATCACATGACCAAATCCAGACTCAAGGGGTAAAGCTCACATCTTGGTAGGAAGAGCTACAAAGTAACCTTGAAAGGGAGCTTATATACAAAGATAAGTAGAATTTGTTGCCATTTTTGTTACGTAGTATATATTACATATATACCCAGTATCAACTGAGTATATATGTAAACATTTCCACCATAGAGAACACTACTATGTTTTCTCCAGGCTCTCAAAAAAATCGTAATTATTGGGCCGAGCGTGGTGGCTCACTCCTGCAATCAGGTGTTGTACAGAGCTCAACCCCTGTAAAGGGGTTGATACTGTAGTATATATTACATATATTTGTTATGTAGTATATATGACATATATTACACATATATTACATATATACTCCCTCCCCACACACAAAATTAGGATTATAGTATATAGCTTTTATTTTTCACCTAATATATCACGGTCATAGTAAAATTTAGCAGGTCTATTTTGATGGATACTTTTTTGTCGTAATCTTTTTTCCTATGCCAGTGGTTGGCAAACTATGACCCATGGGCAGAATACAGCCTGCTGCCTGCTTTTATAAATAAAGTTTTTTTGAACGCATTTTACATTTGTTTATACATATTGTCTGTGGAACTTTTGCGTTATAACAGTAAAGTTGAGTAGTTGTGACAGAGACCATATGGCTCACAAAACCTAAAATATATACTCTGTCTATTTATGTATTTTTCTTTTCTTTCTTTTCATGTTCAGCCAGCAGGAAAATCTCTGGCCTTTTAGAGAAAAAGTTTGCCAGCCCGTTCTATACTATTGTAATCTTGGTTAAGTTAGGCCAGAGGTTAGTGGAGTTAGTGTGAATCTCTTGCCTTGTCTGCAAATTTGCCTAGGGGTAGGATGATAGAATGGATGACTAATTGCTTGAGTATGTCCTTCAGCTCCAATAATTATGGCTTTTTTTTTTTTTTTTGAGGTGGAGTCTTGCTTTGTCACCCAGGCTGGAGTGCAGTGGTGCAGTTTTGGCTCACTGCAACCTCCACCTCCTGGGTTCAAGCAATTCTCCTGCCTCAGCCGCTCGAGTAGCTGGGATTACAGGTGCCTGCCACCATGCCTGGCTAATTTCTTTTATTTTTAGTAGAGACAGGGTTTCGCCTTGTTGGCCAGGCATGTTTCGAACTCCCAACCTCAAATGATCCGCTTGCCTTGGCCTCCCAAAGTGCTGGGATTACAGGAGTGAACCACTGTGCCTGGCCCAGTAATTATAATTTTTTGAGAGCTTGGAGAAAACATAGTATTCTCTATGGTGGAAATGTTTAATTCTCAAAAGTTTCAAATCTTCTTTATCATATTGAGTGAACTTGGTGAATATTTCAGAGAAAGTTGACAAAATTCAGCCACTCCTCTAAGTTTTCTTGATGTGTAGATACATTAATGAAATAAATATGTATAGCAACCCATCCGACATGAGTGTAGCTATTCAGTGGTGATAGTATCTGCAATTGTCATGTAGAACGTTTTCATTCATGGATACTGGGTGTGGAAAGATAACTTTACCTTTGAAAACTACTTCGTTAATTGACCAACTGTCTGCCCAGTAAATTTATCTTTCGGTTATTTTAGCTTTTTAAAAGTTTGGCTGTCACAAAATTATAGAGAAATTGGAAGTACAATCCAAATATCTTTTTTTATTGAGCCATTTAAGAGTATGTTGTTGCCCTGATGTTCCCTCACCCTGAAATACTTTAGTGTCTATGTCTTATAAGCAAAGACATTCTTATACATAATCACAATATAACCATAAGAATCAGGAAGTTAAAATTGATTCATTGTTGCCATCTAATACTCAGAACCGGTTTAAATTTTAGCAGTTGTCTTAATAACGCTTTTATAAAAGCAAAAGAATCCAGTCAGAACCATGCATTGCATTTAGTTATCACTTTAGTAACTTCTTCAGTCTGGAACACTTCTTCAGTCTTTCCTTGACTGTCATGATTTTGACACTTCAGAATATTACAGCTTATCTAGAATGTCTCTTAATTTGGGTTTTCTCATTAGACTGAGGTTATTTATCTTTGGCAGGAATGTCACAGAAGTGATGCCTTCTGCTCATTGCATCTTATAAGGTGGCACGCAGTTTCATTTTTTCTCATTAATGATTGATAACTTGATTAATATGATATCTGCTAGGTAAAAAATATAACTTTACAGTTATCTTTTTGCCTTTATAAAAGAGGACTTTATGGGGAAGAACTCTGAAATTATATAAATAACATGTCCTTACAAAAATTCAGTTTACTCATTTTATTTATATCTTTATGGACTTGTGATTTTCCATTTTATTCGGTGAGTTATAATTATTATATGATTTGTTTTGGTACTCAAGTGGGAAACCAGTTAAGTTGCTTGTGTCTTTCTGACATATATCAATCATTCTTGGAACGCTTCCTTATTTTTTGGCAAAAGATAGTGTTCCAGGCTCACCTTATATTTTCCCTGCCCTAGTCTCGGATTCAGACATTTCTCCAAGGAACCCTGGTTCCATTTAGTGAAAAATAACATTTGAACGCTGTGTTCTGGGAGTTAGTTTTGCTCATTGCTGTTGGAGTTGCTGCTCCAGGCCCTTTCAGCAGACAGCTAGAGAATATACACAATGTATTGTGTACACAAACCCAGACTCATAGACATATACATTTATGTCTATATTTTTTCTGTATCTGTCTGTCTGTACACTGAAAATTATGAGTGTTTATACCAATACATCCAGTTCCATTCCAGTACCAGAGGGCCCATTCTAATTTTCTTCCTTTCTGTATGTTTAACTGAAAAACCTTGTTCCTGATTCCTCTGAAAGTTAAAAACAGAATTACCATATGGTCCAGAAATAACATTTCTAGGCAAATATCCAAAAGAATTGAAAGCAGGTACTCAGATACTTGTACACCAGTGTTCATAGGAGTGTTATTCACAATAGCCAAAAGGTGGAAACAACCAAAATGTCCATTGATAAATAAACGAATAAACAAAATGTGGTGTATACATACAATGGAATATTATTGAGCCTTTAAAAGGAAGGAAATTCTGACATGTACTACAACATAGATGAAACTTGAAGACATTATGTGAAGTAAAATAAGCCAGTCATAAAAGGACAGATATTGTATGATTCCACTTATAATTTCCTTCCAGTTATTCATTACTATTATAGAAGTAGAATTCATTTTTGTATATTTACCCTGTAACCTGCAACTTGTTATATCACTTATTGGTTCTAGTTGATATTTTTGGAGTTTCTTTAGGACTTTCTAAGTACCCAAAGTTGCATGTTTCATTCTCTAGTAAATACTGTTTTACTTCTTCCTTTACAGTGTTTACCTTTCATGCAGTACAAGGCTGAATTAGAGTGATGAGAGTGGATACCCTTGCCTTGTTCACAACCTTGTGGTGGAAAACATTCTGGTCCCTCACTGTTCTGTATGACATTTGTGCTAGGTGTTCTGTCTATGCCCTTTGTCAGGCTAAAGAAGTTTCCTTCTATCGCTAGTTGGCTGAACATTTTTATAATGAGTGGATGTTGGATTTTATATTTAAAGTTTTACTGCATTCCTTGGTAGGATTATATGTTTTTTCTCCTATATCCTGTTGATATGGTAAATTACATTGATTAGTTTTTGAATGTTGGCCTGACTGTAAATTAGTGGAATAAAACCCACTTGATCATGGTATAGGACCCATTTTATATAATTGTTAGATTTGACTTGCTAAATTTTGTTAAGGATTCTTTCCATCTATGTTCATAAGAATATTGGTCTATAGTTTTCTGTAATGTCTTTATCTGGCTTTGATATCAAGGTAATGTTGGCTTTATAAAATGAGTTGGGAAGTATTGATATTACTTCTTCCTTAAATTTTTGATAGAATTCACCAGGGAAGCCATCTTGCCCTTATGTGTTATTTTTGGGAAGACTTTTACTTTTAAATTTAATTTTAAAAATGAGTATAGGAGTATTCACATTTTCTGTTTCTGAGTCAGTTTTAGTAATTAGTATCTTTCAATAAATTTGTCCATTCAAGTTTTTGAATTTATTGGCATAATGTTCAAAATATTCTCTTATTTCTTTAAGTGTCTGTAGGATTTGTAGTGATATGCCCTCTTTCATTTCTGATATTCATAATTTGTGAATTTGTGTCTATCTCCTTTTTTTTGCTTAATCTAGAATTCATTTTGCTCAATCTGTAATAGGTAGTAGAGGTTTATCCATTTTATTGATCTTTTAAAAAGTTTTTGTTGACTTTCTGTTTTTCCATTTTCTATTTTGTTGGTTTCTGCTTTTTTTTTTTTTAATTACCATTGTTTTACTTTCTTTGGATGTAATTTTCTCTTCTGCTAGCTTCATAAGATTGAAACTTGGCCAGGCATGGTGGCTTACCCCTGTAATCCCAGCACTTTGGGAGGCTGAGGCGAGCGTATCACCTGAGGCCAGGAGTTTGAGACCAGGCTGGCCAACGTGGCAAAACCCTGTCTCTATTATAAATACAAACAATTAGCCAGGCATGGTGGTGGGCGCCTGTAATCCCAGCTACTCGGGAGGCTGAGGCAGGAGAATTGCTTGAACCCAGGAGGCGGAGCCTGCAGTGAGCTGAGATCGTGCCATTGCACTCAAGCCTGGGCAACAAGAGCGAAACTCCGTCTCAAAAAAAAAGAAAAAAAAAAAGATTGAAACTTAAATAGTTGATAACTGATTTTGGACCTTTTTTTTTCCTAAATAAAACACCAATGAAAGCTATACATTTCCCTCTAAGCACTTCTTTATCTGTGTCCCACAAATTTTGATGTTGTTACATTTTTTTCTGATTTCCCTTGTGATTTCTTCTCTGACCCAAGATTTATTTAGAAGTCTAAATAAACACTAACTAGGTGTTTTTTCCTAGATATTTTTCTCTTACTGAGTTCTAATTTATTTTTGTGTGGTTAGAGAATAGATTCTATATGATTTCAGTTCTTTTAAATTTGACGATCTGTCTTGGCAAATGCTCTGTGAGTTTTTGGAAAGTATGGGTATTCATTTATAAAAATCAGTTAGGTCAAGTTTGTTGATTATCTTGCTAAGATCTTCTGTATCCTTGCTGGTTTTTTTTGGTCTACTTATAAATTAATTAGAGAATACTGTAAGGGTCCTATAATTGTGGATTTGCCTTTTCTTTCAATTCTACCAGTTTTTGCTTCATGGGTTTTCATGGTCTGTTATTAGCTGTATACACATTTAAGATTATTATGTCTTCTTGATGTATTAACCCATCTGTCATTATGAAATGTCTTTGTTCTGAGATCTATTTTGGCTAACATTGATATAGCCACTCCAGCTTTCTTAGGATTAATGTTTCCATAGTATATATTTTTCATCCTTTTATTTTTAACCTATTTGTGTCTTTAGATTTAAGATAAGTTTCTTATAAATAATTGTCTTCTTTATTTATCCAATCTGACAACCTCTTCTTTTTAATTGGAACACTTATACTATTTACATTCAGTGTAATTATCACTGTGGTTACTATTTGTTTTCTGTTTGTTCCAACTTTTCTTTATTCCCCTTTTCTGTCTTCTTTGAATTAATTAAACATGTTTTAGGATTCTACTTTACCTTCACCACTGTCTTCTTAAGTATACCTCTTAGTTTTATTTTTGTGAGTTGCTTCATACTTTGCATCTTAAACTTATCACAGTGTACCTTCAAATAATATTTCAACTCACAAATAATGTGTAAGAACCTTCTGCCAATATACTTCCGTGTCTACTCTCCCATGTTTTGTGCCATTTTTGTCAAATATTTTACTTCTACATTTGTCATAGCCCTCACAGTGTTTTGTTATTTTTAGTTTAAATCATCAGCTATGTACAAATTTACAAATGAGGAAAATAATTTCTTTCTTAACCCTCCAGTTTTTCACTTCTGGTGCCCTTCATTTTGTAGGTCCAAGTTTCTGTATTGTGTAACTTTTCTATTAGCTTAAAGAGCTTTATTTAACATTTGCATTGCAAATATTTTTTCAGCTTTTTTTCTTACCTTCATGTTTTTAATGGTAAAATATATATAACATAAAATTTACCATTTATCTGTTTTTAAGTGTAAATTCAGTGGTATTATGCATATTTATATACTATTATCTAGTGCCAGAACCTTTTCATCTTTCCAAACTGAAACACCATACCCATGAAACAATATCTCTGTATTTCCCTATTGTCCAGCCCCAGGAAAAATGCCGTTCTCCTTTCCGTCTCTATGAATTTGACTACTCTAGATACCTCATGTAAGTGGAATCATGCAATATTTGTCCTTTTGTGTCTGGCTTATTTTACTCAGCATAATGTTTTCAAGGTCATCCACCATGTAGTATGTGTCAGAATTTTATTTCTTTTTATGGCTGAATAATATTCCATTGTATGGATATACCACATTTTGTTTGTCCGTTCATCTGCCAGTGGACATCTGGGTTGTTTCCATCTTTTTGCTATTTTGAATAATGCTGCTGTGAACATTGGTGTACGTATCTGTTTGAGTCTCTGTTTTCATTCGTTTGGGTATACACCTAAGAGTGGAATTTCTGGACCATATGGTAATTCTATATTTAAGTTTTTGAGGAACTGCCAAGCTGTTTTTCACAGTGGCTGTACCATTTTACAGTTCCATCAGCAATGCACAGGGGTTCCAGTTTCTCCACATCTTTGCCAACCTCATTATCTGTTTTGTTGTCCTTTTTAAAGAATAGCCATTTTTAAGGGTGTGAAGTGGTATCTTGTGTTTTTGATTTGCATTTCCCTAATGATTAGTGATGTTGAGCATCTTTTCTTCTGCTTATTAGCCATTTGTGTATTTTCTTTGGAGAAATGTCTATTCAAGTCCTTTGCCCTTTTTTGAGACAGGGCTTCACTCTGTCGCCCAGGCCGGAGTGCAGTGGCACTATCTCAGCTGACTGCAGTGTCCGCCTCCCAGGATCAAGCAGTCCTCCCACCTCAGCCTCCCGAATAGCTGGGATTACAGGTGTGTGCCCCCACGCCTGGCTAATTTTTTGTATTTTTAATAGAGATGGGGTTTCACCATGTTGGCCAGGCTAGCCTTGAACTTCTGGTCTCAAGTGATCCTCCTGCCTTACCTCTCAAAGTACTGAGATTACAGGTGTAAGCCACCACTCCCAGCCCCATTTTTTTTAAATTTAATTTTTATTTTAAGTTCAGGGGTACATGCTCAGGTTTGTTATATAGGTAAACTTGTGTGGTAGTGGTTTGTTGTACAGATTATTTTGTCACCCAGGTATTAAGCCTAGTACCCATTAGTTATTTTTCTGATCCTCTCCCTGCTCCCACCCTCTACCCTCTGATAGGCCCCATTGTGTGTTTTTCCCCTTTATGTTTCCATATGTTCTCATGATTTAGCTCCTACTTATAAGTGAGAACATGCAGTATTTGGTTTTCTGTTCCTGCATTAGTTTGCTAAGGATAATGGTCTCCAGCTCTATCTAAGTTTCTGTAAAGGACACAGTCTCATTTTTTTTATGGCTACATAGTATTCCACAGTGTATATGTACCACATTTTTAAAATCTAGTCTACCATTGATTAGCATTTAGGTTGATTCCATGTCTTTGCTATTGTGCATAGTGCTTCAATGAACATACGTGTGCATGTGTCTTTATAATAGAACAATTTATATTTCTTTGGGTATATACCCAGTAATGGGATTGCTGGGTCAAATGGTGTTTCTGTTTTTAGGTCTTTGAGGAATTGCCACACTGTCTACTGTCTTCCACAATGGTTGAACTAATTTACATTCTTACCAGTAGTGTGCAAGTGTTCCTTTTTCCTTTTTCTCTGCAACCTCACCGGCATCTGTTTTTTTTTTTTTTTTTTTTTTTTTTACTTTTTAATAATAGCCATTCTGACTGGTGTGAGATGGTATCTCATTGTGGTGGTTTTGATTTGCATTTCTCTAATGATCAGTAATGTTAGCTTTTTTCCATAGGATTGTTGGCTGCATATATATCTTCTTTTGAAAAGTGTCCATTCATGTCCTTTGCCCACTTTTTAATGAGGTTGTTTTTCCTTTGTAAATTTAAGTTCCTTATGGAAGCTGGATATTAGACCTTTGTCAGATGCATAGTTTGCAAAAAATTTTCTCCCATTCTGTAGGTTGTCTGTTTACTTTGTTGATAGTTTCGTTTGCTGTGCATTAACTCTTTAATTTTATTGGGTGTCATTTGTCAATTTTTGCTTTTGTTGCAATTGCTTCTGTTGTCTTCATCATGAAATCTTTGCCTGTTCCTATGTCCAGAATGGTATTGCCTAGGTTGTCTTCCAGGGTTTTTATAGTTTTTGTTTTACATTTAAGTCTTTAATCTATCTTAATTTTTGAATACGGTGTAAGGAAGGGGTCCAGTTTCAATCTTCTACATATGCCTAGCGAGTTATCCCAGCACCATTTACTGAATAGGGAATCCTTTCCCCATTGCTTGTTTTTGGTAGGTTTGTTCAAGATCAGATAGTTGTAGGTGTGACCTTATTTCTGGGCTCTCTATTCTGTTTCATTGGTCTATGTATCTGTTTTTGTACCAGTACCATGATGTTTTGATTACTGTAGCCACGTAGTATAGTTTGAAGTTGGGTAGTGCGATGCCTCCAGCTTTGTTCTTTTTGCTTAGGGTTGCCTTGGCTTTTTGGGCTCTTTTTTGGTTCCATATGAGTTTTAAAAGAGTTTTTCCTAGTTCTCTGAAGAATGTCAGTGGTAGTTTAATAGGAATAGCATTGAATCTGTAAATTGCTTTGGGCAGTATGACCTTTTTAATGATACTGATTATTCCTATCCATGAACATGGAAGGTTTTTTCATTTGTTTGTAAGAAATCTCTGATTTCTTCAAGCAGTGCTTTGTAGTTCCCTTTGTAGAGATCTTTCACCTACCTGGTTAGTTGTATTCCCAGTTATTTTATTTATTTATTTATTTATTTATTTATTTATTTATTTATTTATTTGTGGCAATTGTGAATGGGATTGCATTCCTGATTTGGCTCTCAGCTTGACAGTTGATGGTGAATTGGAATGTCAGTAAATTTTGCATATTGATTTAGTATCCTGACAAGTTGTTTATCAGCTTAAGGAGGTTTTGGGCTGAGACTGTGGAGTTTTCTAGATATAGGATCATGTCATCTGCAAAGAGGGATAGTTTGACTTCCTCTCTTCCTATTTGGATGCCCTTTATTTCTTTCTCTTGTCAGATTGCCCTGGCCAGGACTTCCAATAATATGTTTAATAAGAGTGGTGAGAGAGGGCTTCCTTTTCTTTTCTTTTCTTTTCTTTTTTTTTTCGTTTTGAGACAGAGTCTTGCTCTGTCGCCCAGGCTGGAGTGCAGTGGCACAATCTTGGGTCACTGCAAGCTCCGCCTCCCAGGTTCACGCCATTCTCCTGCCTCAGCCTCCCTAGTAGCTGAGACTACAGGTGCCCGCCACCTTGCCCAGCTAATTTTTTGTATTTTTAGTAGAGACGGGATTTCACCATGTTAGCTAGGATGGTCTCGATCTCCTGACCTTGCGATCCGCCTGCCTCAGCCTCCCAAAGTGTTGGGATTACAGGCGTGAGCCACTGCACCCGGCCGGGCTTCCTTTTCTTGTGCTGGTTTTCAGGGGAAATGCTTCTAGCTTTTGCTCATTCAGTATGATGTTGCCTTTGTCCATTTTGGAATTGGATTGCTTTTGTCGTTGTTGAGTTGGTGGAAGTTCTTTATGTATTCCAGATATTAATACCTTATTGGATACATGATTTGTAAATATTTTCTCCCATTTGGTGTGTTGCATTTTTACTCTGTTGATGGTGGTCTATGATACATAAACGTTTTTAATTTTCATGAGTCCAATTTATCTCATGAAGTCCATTTTTTATCACCAGTGCTTTTGGAAAAGTTTTATGGTTTTAGCTTTTATATTTAAGGTTTTGATCCATGTAGAGTTAATTTTTCCATATATTATAATGGTGCAACTTCATTGTTTGTGTGTAGATATCCAGGTTTCCCTGCACCATTTGTTGAAAAAACTGTTCTTTTCCCATTGAATGGTCTTGATAGGCTGCTGAAAATTATTTGACCATATATGTGGGGGTTTGCTTTTGGAATTTCTATTCTGTTCCATTGGTCTATATTTCTGTTTTTATGCCAGTACCATGCTGTTTTTCTTACTGTAGCTTTGTAGTAAGTTTAGAAATCAGAAAATGTGAGACCTCCAGTTTTGTTCTTTTTCAAGATTATTGTGGTTATTCGGGGTTCCTTGAGAATCCATGTGAATTTTAGGATGGTATTTTCTATTTCTGCAAGAAACTTCATTGGGTTATTGATAGGAACCGTCGCTTTGTTTTGAAACACATTTTCACTGGGTATTGAAGTTTAGGTTCACATTTTCTTTCTTTCAGCACTTAAAAGATATTCTGCCCTTGGCTTGTCTTACATAGTTTCTATAGAGTAATCTGTGGCTGCTTTAAAAATTCTATCTTAGGCCGGGCATGGTGGCTCATGCCTGTAATCCCAGCACTTTGGGAGGCTGAGGCGGGTGGATCACCTGAGGTCAGGAGTTTGAGACCAGCCTGGCTAACATGGTGACACCCTGTGTCTACTAAAAATACAAAAAATTAGGCAGGTGCGGCGGCACATGCCTGTAATCTCTGCTGCTCAGGAGTCTGAGGCAGGAGAATCACTTGAACCCAGGAGGCGGAGGTTGCAGTGAGCTGAGATCACTTTGGGCAACAACTGCGAAACTCCGTCTCAAAAAAAAAAATTCTATTTTTATCTCTGCTTTCAGCAATTCAACTAAGGTGTGTGTGTGTGTGTGTGTGTGTGTGTGTGTGTGTGTGTTTATTGTGTGCTTGGGGTCATTGAGCTTTTTGGATCTATGGTTTTATAGTTTTCATCAAATTATGAACAATTTGAGCCATTTAAAAATATTTTCTTAAGTACTCATTTTTTTCCTTTCAGACTTCAATTATGTGTATATTAGACAGCTTGATATTATACATCACTGACTATATGTTCATTTTTTAAGCTATTTTTTCTTCTTTGTGCTTCATTTTGTCTACCTTCTATTGCCGATTTGTCAAGCTCCTTGATCTCTTCTGCTATTTCTAATTTGGTGTTAAATCTTACTAGTGGATTTTTCTTTTCAGTTATTGTGTTTTCATCTGTAGAAGTAAAGTAATGTAGTTATCACCTCTTTGTTTCCTTTTCTCTGAGATCACAATTCAGTGTCTGAAAAGTACTGTTTCATATATCTTGTCCAATTTGTTAGTAGTTTATGGTGCAAGATAAGATTTCTGTTTTTTCGTATGGCTAAAAGCAGAAGGCCATACAATCATATTTTTAAGGACATTTATTGTTTCTTTAAATGTTGGCCTTTTGGAAAACTTAAACAAATATATGCATTGTTCTAAGTGAAAACTACTATAAGCCAGATGTTGCATTACTTGTGCAAGGTTAACGTTTCATTCAGAAGATAATTGATATTGACAACAGCATTGGAAACATGTATGAATCTTTTAAAGAAAGATGCTTTTGAGGTTTAGTGAAGTAGGCACACATCAGGGCAGTAAAAATGTCAGATTCTCCTTGTTACTCAGTGAATCTGGAGTAGGAGAAGCAGTCACCATCCTGGGGTACTTCATGATCTGTGTTGATGATCTGCTATTTTGACCATAGTTCCTCAGCCTTCTTGAAACTTACGACCTAATTTAGCCATTAATTCAACAGCACCACTACACATGGGACTTCGTTGTCATTTGGAACCGTCCCACCTTTAAACTGAAAACTTGTTGGTCCCCATATTAGTCATACAGGGCCTTTTTTTTTTTAAACACAAACTTTTCCCCATTCACATCCCACTACACATTTACACATCACTGGATGTTTGTCAATTATTTTTCCTCCTTTCTATTGATTCTTTTCCTTAGCTATAACCATGTTATGTTTTCTCCTGTCCTTCCACAAGGAAACCTTGTCTCAGCTCTTTCCTTAATCTAATATTCTGAACAATAGTAGATGTGAGAGCAGTCTGTTTTCCTATTCAGTCATCTCATTAACCTGTATGATTGATTTGACTGGCCTTACTGGATAGTCTGTCCAGTTCCCTTTCTTCCTTGGCGCTTTTTGGTGCATTTTTCCCAGAGGGCACATAACTGGATCTATTAGTACGACAAAAATCTTATCAAATTGAGTAAAATGATTCTGCAAGCCCTGAAAAACTAGTTACTTCTCCTTTTGGTAGTATCTCTACCCTGTATATTGTTTTCTTTTCTGTGTATGTTTTTAAAAAATGTAATTGTTTTTATAAAAGTGATATTTGCTTATAAAAATTCTAGTAACATCAAAGATTTTACAGAAAAAAATGATGAGAATCCCATTATCAGTCTATTCGTCAAATAGCTTTTCTTCTTCTTTTATTGTCTTTTATTTTTTGTCATTTACTAATTTTATGTAACGCTTATAGGGAAGACATTTCATTCATTAATTTATATTTTTCACATCAAAAACCAGTCACACGAGGTTTTTATTATGTCTTCTGTCATTTAGTTCTTTTACTGGTGGCTATTACTGATTCTTCTGACAATTTTTAGTCATTAACAAATGTTTTCATGTGCAGTTTTAGTTAATGTGAGATTTATTTATTTTGTTGCTTATTTCTACCAGTAATATTCATTGAGCCTTCAATATCTGCTGAGAATGAAATGGTGGCCTGATGTGGTGATATTCACCTGTAGCCCCAGCTACTTGGGAGGCTGAGACGGAAGGATCACTTGAGCCGAGGAGGTTGAGGGTTGAGAATGAAGTGAGTCATAATTGTGCCATTAAACTCCAGCATGGGCGAGAGAGAGAGAGAGATCCTGTATCTTAAGAAAAATTTTAAAAAGACAAAAAATGCAAAAAGTAGCCAGGCGTGGTAGCATGTGCCTATAGTCCCAGCTACTCGGGAAGCTGAGGCAGGAGGATTGCTTAAACCTAGGAGTTCAACGTTGCAGTGAACTATGATTATATCACTGTACTCCAGCCTGGGCAACAGAATGAGACCCTGTCTGTAAAAAAAAATAAAATTAAAAATAAAAAGGTAAAAAATACAAGAAAAAAAAAGAGAATGAAATTGAGGCAGGAGAATAGGGTCTGGAGGCAGGGAACCTAAGGCCGATTCACACTGACTTCCTAAAACTGAATCAAAAAGAAAAACTCACCTCTCCACCCCCAAGTAACAAAAGGATCAGAGGCTACTCTGTTTGCAACACCCTGCCTTTCTACTGAATGGCAGGTTAAAGAATGGAAAGTACCTCTCCTTCCCACAACCAGTCTTCATGTGCATAGGGTGTAACTCTGTAACTTCACTTCAGCCTCTGATTGGTCCCCTCTCACAACCAATCAGACTGGTCATGGGCCATGTCTTCCTTTGCATAGGATGTAACTGTAGCTTCCCTTCAGCTTCTGATTGGTTGCCTCCCACAACCAATCAGACTGGTCACAGGCCACGTGTTTATTTACATAGTGTGCAACAAAATAACCAATGGAAACCTCTAGAGAGTATTTAAACTCCAGAAAATTTTGTAACCAGTGCTCTTGAGCCTCTTGCTCAAGCCCCCTCCCACTCTGTGGAGTGTACTTTCTTTCTTTCTTTCTTTTTTTTTTTTTAAGACAGAGTCTCGCTTCGTTGCCCAGGCTGGAGTGCAATAGCGGGATCTCAGCCCACTGCAACCTCCGCTTCCCTGGCTCAAGTGATTCTCCTGCCCCAGCCTCCCGAGTAGTTGGGATTACAGGTGCATGCCACCACGCCTGGCTAATTTTTGTATTTTTAGTAGAGACAGGGTTTCACCATGTTGGCTAGGCTGATTTTGAACTCCTGACCTCAAGTGATCCACTCCCCTCGGTCTCCCAAAGTGTTGGGATTACAGGCGTGAGCCACTGTGCCTGGCCCTTTTTACACTTTTGTAACCAGGGTTGGCAACTTAAATGAGCACCAGATAGGTAGCATGAATGAAAGAAGGGGTCTAAGTATAAGTGCATGTGATTACATTCTTTAAGTGGCAGGGACTGTGATACCTTGAGAGTATATGTCTCATCCAAATGTGGCAATCTAGTCAATGTTAGTGGATTGCTGTCCTGTAAGAATACAGGCCTAATGTGGCCAGTCAACCAGTTTTTCTAGAAGAAACCAGCACTATGGATTTTCATCTCATAATTTTTAAGTAGTTCAAATTTATAAAACTCTGTGTAGCCATTCAAAACATGATTGTGAAGCAGGTATGATTTGTGGACCTCCAGTTTGCAACTTCAGCTACTAAGTAAGTTTATTTTAGTGGTGTTTTAGGTGGGAAGGAGGGCAAATGTGTGTACCTAATCTGCCATATTAGACTGGAAGTCTCGTGGTTTCAGTTCTTATATACTGATCTTTAATTCAACTGTAAATTATTTTGATGTAAGGTGGGAGATAGGATCTAATTTTTTTCCCCAAATAGTCATTCATCTAAATATTAGTTGAATAATTTCCCCCACAGATTTGAAATGCCACCTGATTTAAACAGGGTGGTTTGCTTTTTTTTTTTTTAATTTTTAATTTTGGTGGGTACATAGTAGGTGTATATATTTATGAAGTACATGAGACATTTTGATACAGGCATGCAATGTGTAATAATCATATTAGGGTAAATGAGGTATCCATCACCTGAAGCATTTATCCTTTGTGTTACAAATAATCCAATTATACTCTTAGTTATTTTGAAATGTACAATTACATTATTTTTTACTATATTCACCCTGTTGTGCTAGCAAATACTAAGTCTTATTTATTCTTTCTAACTACTTTTTTGTTCCCATTAACAACTCCACTCTCTCCCCTCCCTAGACTACCTTGCCCAGCCTCTGAAAACCACCCTTCTACTCTCTCTCTCCATGAGTTCACCTGTTTTAATTTTTAGCTCTCACAAATGAGTGAGAACATGCAAAGTTTGTCTTTCTGTGCCTGGCTTATTTTACTTAACATAATGACCTCCAGTTCCATTTATGTTGTTGAAAATGACAGGATCTCATTCTTTTTATGACTAAATAGTACTTCATTGTGTATGTGCCACATTCTCTTCATTCATTCATCTGTTGATGGACACTTAGGTTGCTTCCAAATCTTGGCTATTGTGAATAATGCTGCAATAAACATGAGAGTGCAGATATCTCCTCGATATACTGATTTTCTTTCTTTTGGATATACACCTAGCAGTGGGATTGCTGGATCATATGGTAATTCAATTTTTAGTTTTTTGAGGAATTTCCAAATTGTTCTCGATAGTGGTTGTACTAATCTACATTCCCACCAACGGTGTATGAGGGTTCCCTTTTCTCCACATCCTCGCCAGCATTTGTTATTGCTTGTGTTTTGGATAAAAGCCTTTTTTTTTTTTTTTTGAGACAAATTCTCACTCTGTTGCCCAGGCTGGAGTGCAGTGGCATGATCTCGGCTCGCTGCAACTTCTGCCTCCCGGGTTCAAGTGATTCTCCTGCCTCAGCCTCCTGAGTAGCTGGGATTACAGGCGTGCACCACCACACCTGGCTGATTTTTGTATTTTTGGTAGAGATTGGGTTTCACCAAGTTGGCCAGGCTGGTCTCGAACTACTGACCTCAGGTGATCTGCCCCCCTCGGCCTCCCAAAGTGCTGGGATTACAAGTGTGAGCCACCGTGCCCAGCCAATAAAAGCCATTTTAATTGGGATGAAATTATATCTCATTGTAGTTTGGATTTGCATTTCTCTGATGATCAGTGATGTTGAGCACCTTTTCATATGTCTGTTTGCCATTTGTATATCTTTTGAGAAATGTCTATTCAAATTTTTGGCCCATTTTTAAATCAGATTTTTAAGGGAGTGATCTGCTTTTTAAGAAATAGAAACCCGCTAAAAGAAAGATCATGCAGGAGATATAATTCCCCTCATTGGAAATGAAAAGTTTTTAGGCAGCTTCTCTGTTCTCTTTGGGGCCTCTGGTGTGACATCTGCATTTCTCAGCAAAGTTTTCTCATTATTTTTTGTAGATTGGTTTTTCTAGATACTTACACTCTTTCATATGACCTTACCATGACATCTCAAAGTGGAAGCCTAAAATCTACCAAATGATGTGGCCTATTTTCTGTAATTAATCAACTCAGTCTAAATGCCCCAAATACAAGTTCTTGGGAAAGTGAAACTAATTGATCTTGCTATGCCTGAGAGTGTCTTTGGATATGTGTTATTAATGTGGATATTAGGTTCAGCCTTTCAGCAGGGGATATAGATGATTTCAGAGTAAGTAGGTGGACACATGTCCATAGAGGTGCCTAATACAGCATCTTTATCATATATTTGAAATTCTTACATCTATAGAAATATATACCCTACTTGCCCATCTTTCCCCCCCCTCCCCCCTTTTTAGAGATGAGGTCTTGCCATGTTGCCCAGGCTGGTCTCGAACTCCCAAGCACAAGTGATATGCCTGCCTTGGCCTCCCAAAGTGCTGGGATTACAGGTGTGAGAGATCACACCTGTCCCCATCTTATTTTTCCAAAAAGTTTTGGTTATTCTCACTTATTTATTTTCAAGATTAAATTTAGATTACCCAAAAAAAAATCTTGCTGGGATTTTGATTGGAATTCAGACAAAAATTAGAACAAAAAAGATTAAGAAAAGTAGTTTACTAGTCTACAAAAATTGTGAACCCAGTTTTCATGAGCTGCAACCTGCAGAACCCATTTTTACCTATGAGCACACAATTTTTACAGTGTACTTTTGCTTTTTCCTTTCTAACTTGAATTTACGAAGAGAATTTCTCACACATACAATGCACCTGCAATAACCATTGGTTTTCTAGAATCTCTGATAATACTTTAAATGTATTCTGTCCACTAGCCACATGTATTTATGTTTTTTGATTAATTAAAATTAAAATTCAGTTAGTTGTACTAATTACATTTCAAGTGCCCATGCGGCTAATGCCAAATATATTGAATAGTGCAGATATCAAATACGCTGTCATCACAGAAAATCCTGTTGGGTAGTGCTGCTTTAGAGACTTGTATGTAATAATAACCATTTAATTTTTAAAGCCCATAGAAGCACAAATCTCTATGTCATATGTTTTGTTTATAGCATTTTGGTTAATATGTGGAAAATGACATGATAGGATAGCATTGTTTTCTCATTTTAAAAGGTTCATTGAAGAAAGTTTGAAAAATACCATAAAGGAGAAAGTAAAAATTACCTGCAATCTCAAGAGATAGGGTTTTTTTTAAAAGCCTTTTTGAAATACAATCTATAACCAAGTGTACATATCATAAATTACAATTGGATGAATTTTCACCGACTAAATAATACATATATGTCTTTTTACCACAGTTTCTCTATTCCCAGGTTCTTTTTGATTCATGTCTTGATTGTTTGGATTTAATAATCATGTAGTTTTATTGAAGATGGGCACAAGAGTATATTTCTTATATCAGGAGGCATATGAAGCCAGTTAGTCTCAATACCATTGATGCTGAATTTCACCACTTGGTTAGAGTGTCACTGCCAGGTCTCTTCATTGTAAAGGTACATTTTCCTTTTGTAATTAATGAATAATCTGTGGGGTGATATTTTGAGACTTTGTCAATATTCTGTTCCCTAATAACTTTTCACTGAAAGATTTCAGCATCCATTTATGTAACTTGCCTGAATCAGTTAGTACAGGAAAGTTGCAAAATGGTGATTTTTAAAATTCTATCATTTTATTTACAATTCTTAGCTGGCATTCTTATTTAAAGAAGATATTTTCCGCCTACCCGCCCACTTCCCCATTTTGCTCGTTTGAGTCTTCTTTTTCCCCTTTTTATTTTTTATAAACACCCTGGGTTTTTCTCATGAAGTTGATCGGTGTGACTCATCACTGCTTTGAGACTCATTGCTATAATCACATCTATGTAAAGTTCTATTATACCAGGATAATTTTTGCTTTATAGCAGGTCAGTCATCTTTATGATATGCTTGTTCTTAAACTGATAATTCTTATTGATTTACTCTATTGAAACACAGACTTTTCAGAAACTGGAGCAACTGTGTTAAGGAATTCCCATTTACACTAGGCAAGAAAGTAAACAGTAAGTGGAGAGTAGGGTAACAAACACTTATGGTATCAAAAAACAACCGTGAAAAGGATCTGTCTTAATGTGCTAGCCCACTGCAGTTTAACATATTGCTTACAACCTTCACAATAGAATTTGAGTGACTTCAGTTACACATTCCAGGAGACTGGCAGTCTGTTACAATCAGAGTCTGAACTTTAGAGCAGGCTAATTTACAGCGATGGGATGAAGAAAGTTGTGGATTTGTATTACACACTCTCACCTGACACTGTATCTGATCCCCTACCTGCTGATTGACATCTTGAATGAGCTCTTTGAAGCAAGTTCCAGCTTAATTAAAACGTTTGCTTGGTTAGCAGTGATCTATGAAAGCCTGTGATAAATATTGAATCAGGTTCACCTGCTGGTTGCTGTGAGTGGATAAACAGCTGCTTTGTGCAGTCTAATCATGAAACGGTGGCAGTAGGGTACTACTACTGTTTGAATTTTTAAAAAAAGAATAGTTGAAAAGGTATAGTTATGTTACTTTTGCTATCTTACTAGAGTGTGTGCTAATGTGAGATTTTGCACAACGGGCATTCAGTACCTGTTTAGATGGCTTGGACAACAGCAAATGGTTGATAAAGATTAAAAAACCCTTTTTTATGTCTCAAAGTTTGTAGTATAATTCTATGTTCATTGGCCTTTTACCACTAGCTCTTCATATGCATGACTTTTTGAAATAAAGGGCAGTGTTTTGCTTTTTTGCTTAAGTGGTAGATGAAAACAATCCTGTTAAAGCTTCACTTTAAAGATTTAAGGTTATGAATTTCAACTTCTCCACAAATTTATTGTGTATTTTGTGGGAATTTGAATTCTTCTGAATTTCCTTTTTTATCTGTAAAATGAAGTTAGAAATATACATTAGTGAACTGAGTATTTTAGCCTTATGTTAATATTAGGTAATTAACAAACATTAAAATAGAAATGAGTTCAGAAGCAGTGGAGGAAACTTTATGAAATTCTCTTGGCTGTTGTTTATTCCTTTACAGAATAACTATGTCTGGCTAATTTGGTTATAAAGAAAATGTTGTTTCCATTTGATTTTCGTTAAAAAACCAGATATAAATTCTGGAATAAAGCCCTAACCCAAATCAGTCACAATCTGCTTTGAGCACTTGATTAAAGTTAGGGGTTCACTTTCTAAAAATGCACACAAAATTGTGTCTGTAGTTTCTGGGTGATCTGTAATAGCCCATGGACCCTAATTTGAGAACCCATTTCCTAATAAATTAGGTTGAAAACTTTTGAGGAGGAGGTGTTAAGATGAAAGCTATTCTGCTGGGTATGAAACAACTGAGGAGAAACCAGAACAGAGTATATTTACTGTGGGTTTTTTTTTTTTTTTCCAGCACTTCTAGCATTTTTCAGGTATGTTTTTCATGACAATTGTTAGCTTTTAAGATTATCTTCCATAGTCTTGATTCCTCACTCTCTACCTGAAGTTTTATATTTTTATTTCTATCATCAACTTATTTAGAATTTTATGGGGAAAATACAATTTTGTTTAAGCCATACTCAGCCTGTTCAACTGCTTGTTCATGTTTATCGATGTCGATGCATACAACTGTCATTCATATATTTTCATTATAATATTATTCCATTGATTGGAAAGAGCCCACAATTTACTCATCCATTCCTTCTGTTGATACATGTAGCTTGTTTTTCTCACTATTAAAACAATGCTGCAATTAATATTCCTCTTGTATCTGTCTTAATGTGCAAGAGTTTTTCTAGCATGTATACCTAACAGTGTCATGCTGGGTCAAAGGGTATATGTATCTTTGATTTCACTAGATCACCAATTTGCTCTCAAGTAGTTGTGCCAATTTATACTTCGATCAGCAGTGAATAAGAGTTTCTTCATATCCTCTCCAGTACCCAATCTGGTGGATAGGAAATGGAATCTAATTATGGTTTTAATTTGCATTTTCCTAATTACTAGTGAAGCTGTACATTAGATGGCACATCTTTTCAGATATTTATTAGCCTTTCAGCTTTTCTCTTCTGTGATTTGCCTGTTCTTGGTTTTCTGTAGGGTTTGTCTTTTAAAAATAGATTTATTGGAATTCTTTATATGTTGTAGATACTGATCCTCACTTGACTGTAAGCACTGCAAGTATCTTCTGTCAGCCTGTGCCCCCTTTTTACCTATTTTTCTTTCCTTCTTTAAGGAATATGTATCTTTAAATAGAAGTTTAACATGTTAATGAAGCTGTGTTTTCACTCATTTGTGTTTTTGGTTTATTGTTTTAGGAAATCCTTCTCTACATTTCGATCATAAAAGATATCTTCCTATGGAAGAAGAGACCATATAGCCTTTGAAGCTTGAAATGTTTACTGTCTGGCTCTTTTGCTGACTCTTGCTCTAAAGAGTCTATTAATTGAAAGTTTGTGTTTTTTATTTTTCCCTTGGGGGACATAATATGGATCTTGTTATAACATATTTGATTTAAATGTCAACTAATAAGTTAAAACAATTTTTATGAAGATCATACTTAGGAATATTTTGTAATTGCATTCATAAAATAATATAACTAACTTTAAACAATTCCTTGGTTTATGAGTGAAAATGGTGTGATAAACTCCAAGAACTACACTTTGTAGAACAATTTAAGAATGAAGCTCTCTTTGTCAGTAAGATGAGGTGATCCTTGTCATTGTCTTCTCCGTGGCTTGATATATAGGGATTCCAATGTCTCTTGAGTCAATGAATGAATGAAATGGGATATTAGATGAAAAATGTTTAGCACAAGGACAGGCTTAAAAATGGCAGTATTATTACTAATGAAAATATTGGGATATATGTTTGTCACGACTAAAATACTAGCATAAGATGGTTTTTCTTTTTGGCCTTGAAAAATAGTAATTGTCCTGTACTTTTTCCTTTAAAAGCTAATCTGGATTTTGAAGTATCTTTTTGATATGTGCAGCACTTCAAATTAGGACATCATTTAAGCATCTGTCAGATTTAATTGTAATGCATGGGTACAGTATTTGGTTCAGGGACATTTAGTCATAATTCATCAGTTTAAAAAAAGCTAAGTTACAGTTATGTGCAAAACACCACTCTCGATGAATGAGCTATATAAAGAAATGTAAGACATAGTTTCTGTCTTCAAGGAATTTGCAGTGTGGTTGGAAAGACAATACATGCACATGTGGAAAGTTATGGAAGAACACAAGTTTTTGTATTTTTTTTTTTTACTGTTTCATTGACCTAGTTTTCCTTTTATTTCACTCAAACAGGTTTCTCTTCATTCTCTTTTTCTCTCTACTTCTTTATATACTTAGTTTTCGTACTCCTGCCTGCTTTTGAAATTCAATTTGTAGTCTCCTTTGAGAATCTCTCCTGATTTACAGTTAGCAAAGGAACTTCTTCTTTGGCAATGAAATTAGTTCCTATTTCTTTATCATTTTCCATTTCTAAAAATATTTAATTGCTATGCTCATTTTTCAGGTATTTAGGCATAGTATTTTTTTGTGTGAGTGGTAGGGAAAGTTTGGAGAAAGTTATAAATCTTTAGAAGTTGACATTGTGGTATGTTACCGTTTGAACTTATAATTATAGCTTGTGAAAGGAACAGTGGCAAGGACTCAGCAATTCATCTTTCTTTCAAGATCAAATCTTCGAACTCTTCATCTTTGAAAGAATGTAGACATGTCTCTATATAATACAACAAGAGAGGGAATATAATTTATTAAACACAAGAAAAATTTTCTGAAAATCCTTGGTTGCTGATGTTCTAAGAACAGTTTTGATAATTGTAGATTTGAAATGTATTTTTAAACAATTGGCTACTGCACATGGAAATATTATAGCTGTCACATCCACATGTATCTCCTGTTTTTTTTTTTTAATGATAGTATATTTTTGCAGTTACTTGGGTTGGGTTTTCTTGCCTTTTCTTGAAGTAAAAGGACTCTGAACAGTTTCTAGCTTGGAGAAGAAGCCATTTCTTAAAGAGTTTGGTTCTGGCACTGTGTAGCCACTTACAGGTCTTAGAGTTTACAGATTTTGGAAAGCCCCATGTCTTATGTATTGATTTTCAGATATATTATTGGATGAGAGTGAATATTATAAAATTTATTCTCTAGTTTCCTGGAGAAAAGGAAATCTCTGTCAATTTAAACAGCAAAGGGAAAATAAAAAAGTCTTTTTGAAAGATAAACATGATCATTTGTTAGCAGGAAAAATACTCAATAAGAGATACAAAATTATTTAATTTTATTCATCTAATTGTTTTAAGACCCCTGGGTCAAAGGGTTTCAGAGAGAGGCCATAAAGTATTAGCCTGGTAATTTGATTGGGGGATATTCTGACCTCCTGACACTGCTGGCATCAGGATCCTTCCTCTAGTTTTCTTAGAGCATTGAAAGTTGCTGATTTTGGTACAGGTAATTATCTTTTGTTATAAGTGACTTTTTGAAGCCTTTGTTATATTACTACAATCAGTTTTTCTGTCTTCAAATATGATTGTACCAAATCTTTTATTATTTATTTATTTTTTGAGATGGAATCTTGCTCTGTCACCCAGGCTGGAGTGCAGTGGCGTGGTCTTGGCTCACTGTAACCTCCGTCTCCCTGGTTCAAGTGATTCACCTGCCTCAGCCTCCCGAGTATCTGGGACTAGAGGCACATGCCACCATGCCTGGCTAATTTTTGTTTTTTCAGTAGAGACAGGGTTTCACCATGTTGGCCAGGCTAGTCTTGAACTCCTGACCCAAAGCAATCCACGTGCCTCGGCCTCCCAGAGTGCTGGGATTACAGATGTGAGCCACCATGCCCGGCCTGTACCGAATCTTTTAAATGGAAACTTTAATAGAAGATTGCTTCTGAAGAAATAATTCCTGTTTAATAATGCAAAGGGAAAAGAATTAACTTTTAATTTCCACCTTATACCTTACTTGCCTAAGTACCTATTGAAAACCATCTTCTTGGCCGGGCATGGTGGCTTACACCTGTAATCCCAGCACTTCGGGAGGCCGATGCAGGCGGATCACCTGATTTCGGGAGTTCGAGACCAGCTTGACCAACATGGAGAAACCCCATCTCTAATAAAAACACAACATTAGCCAGGCGTGGTGGTGGACGCCTGTAATCGCAGCTACTTGGGAGGCTGAGGCAGGAGACTTGCTGGAACCTGGGAGATGGAGTTGTGGTAAGCCGAGATCATGCCATTGCACTCCAGCCTGGGCAAAAAGAGTGAAAGTCTGTCTCAAAAAAAGCAAAACAAAAAGAAAAACAAAAAAAGAAAACCATCTTCTTGAGGAGTCTACTTAAGTTCATAGATGTTATAATTTGTTCATATTACTTTACAACTTAAAAAAACAAACAAAAACATTTAATATAAAGTTAGCTGTGGTTTATAATATTCTGAATTATGGAGTGAAAAAACAGATTTCAAGTCCTAACTAAAGTCACTCTAGTGAGAAAAGTTTTCTGAGACTAGTTCTTGATCTTTTGCTTTTGTTAGTACCACTACTAGTGTAACATTTAAAGATAAGTAGAACATTAAATTATTTGTGCCAAATTCACCCCTTTTAAAAATTAAAAACTTTGAAAACAAAGTATCTAGTTGTAAAACTGTATAATAGCATCCCTTTCTATTTGAAAAAAAGATATGAAAGATATGTATATATGAAGGTCAGTAAGTTATACACTAAATTATTCGTGATGGGATAGTTGATTTTTAAAAAATATTTCTGTATTATTGTTTGAATTTTTTTGACCAAGAGAAAAGGTGAAATTAAAGGGAGTAGATGGTAAAGCTTTAAGTGGAATTGATGTTGAAAAGTGTAACATCAAAAAGTAAGTTTTCCCAGCCTTGAGAAAAAGCTACTTTATTGGATTACTTTTATGCTTAGATAGAATGTATCTATATAGTACATAACAGTGCATTGGGCCATAGCATTCTAGTATTCACATGAATTTAACTGTATCATAAGGAAGAGAAATAGTATAATTGAGGGAAAAAATTGATGGTATGAAAAAGTAAATTAATTCTAATTGAGTTACCTTAATTCTTTTTGTATGTTAATTGATTAATGTGATCATTGCAAAAGCCAAAAAGAATTCAGTCAGAAATATCATGATATAATTTGCATTCCATTTTCTCTGTGACCGTAAATTGTTGGATATTGCAACATATGTAACATAAACCACATGTCAGCTGTTTCCTGCCTCACTGTTGACAAGAGCCCCATTCATAACTCTTCTTTTTATCCTTTTAGTGAATAAGTAATTATTCAATATAGAAGGCAGGATATTTGGAACTGGCTATTTAATGTGGCAGCACTCTGTAATGAAATCTGCTGTTACTGGCAACCTGAGAGGAGAATGTAACAATTCCAGCATGGCTGTAACTTTATCTGCTTTGACTGACTGTTTATTTGGCACATCAGTGAACCTTTTATCCCAGTGAGTGACAGCTCCAGAAGGGTCACATTTACATCCATTCTATCATGTATTGTAATATTTAATGGCGGACAAGGTTGAGTGAGACTGGGAGTAATTTGAACTTGCTTTTCCACTGAGTTGAGGCTAAAAGACAGCTTCATCCCCAGTATTGTGGTGTAACATGCTATGACTTAGCATTTGTTTATGAAGGCTAATCTTACTGATTACAATAATAAAAAAAAACAGTCAAGTAGAGTGTTTGTTCTACTAAATTAAAACTCTTTAGCACACAGTCTTTTAAGTTACAATGCTATTTACCTTTTTTCCCTCCCCATCAATGACCACTTCTATAAATTAACCATTTTACACTATTTCTCTAAAATGAGACTTTGTTCTGTGTCATTTGGTGTAATAATTGAGACTTAGAAGGAAGTAGTTATTAAGAACCTGTGAGTTCTAATATATAGCATTAAACTTTTTTTTTTAGTATTTGAGAATTTGGAAACAGAAGAGAAAAATCAGGTAAATTAAGTAGACTATATTCCTGATGTTCCATATGGTTTGTTTAAAGAGACATTTATATAACTATTTCAGTTATGAAACTGAGTTACAAGTGAAATTGTCCAGGAAAAACTACCCTGGATGATAATTTTACTGATTGGTTTACACTCCATGACAGGTAACTGAATTTCAGATATACTTGTTCCACACAAGCAACCTGCTTTCATTATTAAATATTAATATTTTGCATTTATTTTCGTACCTTTGCTAAAGAAGAATTTTCTCTTTTTGAAGTTGTTAAGTGATCCTTTAGATTCAACTTGATAATTCTATTCTTTTGTAAACTATATTTAAAAGTGCTTCAAAAGCATTGGTGTATTAAGGAATATTTGAATGAACTATGCTGTGAACAAAACTATTAACTCTAAACTATAATATCACAAGTTCGTATGAAGCCTAAGAAAAAATTAAAATTGTTCCTACTTTGTTTTATCATTTTTATAATTTATGAAAGAGGAGAGTTAAAATGTACTCAAAACATTTGGAATTGGAGAGTTAGAGTGGTATGTTGGAAAGAATGCAAATTTGGAAATATCATTTATAACTTTTAAAAGAAAGAATGAGGACCAATTTTAAATTGTAGTTTTTTCTTTAATGGCAAGTTTTAGATACTATAATTTCTTGTTATTTCTCTTTATTTGACCATTGTGATTCATTACTTACAGGTTCTGATTCCATGTGAGGTTTGATAACGTTTTTTATGGTAGTTTAGATATTAGTTATCGTTTCTTTCCTTTCTTACAGCCCCCTGGCCACTGTTCTAGGTGCTGTTGTTCTACTAAACAAGGAAACAGTCAAGAGTCATCGAATACCATTAAGAAGGATCATACAGGGAAATCCAAGATACCCAAAATATATTTTGGGACACGCACACACAAGCAGATTGCTCAGATTACTAGAGAGCTCCGGAGGACGGCATATTCAGGGGTTCCAATGACTATTCTTTCCAGCAGGGATCATACTTGTGTCCATCCTG
The DNA here is from genome assembly GCF_000001405.40 of Homo sapiens. Lineage (NCBI taxonomy): Eukaryota > Metazoa > Chordata > Mammalia > Primates > Hominidae > Homo > Homo sapiens. The sequence continues at coordinate 61,808,525 of NC_000017.11, read as the reverse complement.
AGGTAGTCGGTAACTTCAACAGAAATGAGAAGTGCATGGAATTGCTAGATGGGAAAAACGTGAGTAAAGTTATTTTGTGTTAGAGAAAAAATAAGGCTGAAAATATTTAAATTACTCAGTATGTGTTTTATATGTACATTTTAGTGATAATCAACTTCGGAAAATCAAATTAACTGCTAGTATTGATATCTTTTAAAAAACAATTTTCCTGTAATAAAATCTTTAGTCAAGTTTTAAAGTATGGGATTTGGTCTTAAAGCTTGGGATATTTAATTCCTTGAAATTAATTTCTGTTGTAGTCAGACATCTTAGTTTCTTCTTTTAAATCCTGCTACCAAAAATAGTCAAACTTGGATGATATCATATGAGGAGATAGAAGTGTTTAAATGGTTTAGTCTAATTAGATCTAATTAATATACTTTATATACTTAAAAACTTCAAAAGCAGATAGTTTATTTAGGCTGTCTGGGCAAAGTTTGAATTTTCTTAATTGAATGAGAAATATAATGATTATCCCACCTCATAATTCTGATAAATACAAACCCCTCTTTTAAAAGTTATACTAAATTATTAACTTTCAAAAGATGTCATTGGTGGTTTTGAAATTTTCCAGGGAAATTAGAATAATATGAATTTGGGCTTGGTGGAAATAGAGAATTCTTTCTTACTAAAGACTTATATGACTTTCAAATAATTTCTTTTGGCAGTATTAGTTTGGGAGCCTATGTTCTGGTGTGATAATTAGTTTACTCTAAAATTGAAGTTGCAAGTATGAAATTATACCCCCAAATCAGTGAACCATAAATTGATTACTATGAAGTGACCAATGATATTTTAATATATTTTTAGAGTTGTTTTGTTTTTCACTAGTATCTTATTAGAGTTGGTTCTACACAAAAAACTGTGAGCTATAGCCCCCAGAGTTTCATTTCATTGATATATCACCCCCTACCATATAATGTGAATTATTTTGTTTTATGCTTTTCTTCCTTAATACTCTCTTTTATAGATGAAAATTTATTTAAACTTTATTTAGGGATGGTCAAAAGATACTTTAACAGATATTCAAACGAGATTATAAAGTATAAGTAGTAAGGTGTTCCAATGGCAAAACTTGAGTGACTTGTTCCGAGCCAGGAGAGAATACAGAATTACTGAATCAAAGTCATTGTTGAAATCCTACAGTCATATTTATTTCCAAAGAGTTATTTCTAACTAACTGAGGAATTGTGAAATTCCTTTACTCTGTATATTAAAAAACTTCTCTTCAAGGAGAGATGAAAGTATTAAGTGTCAGGTGTTCAAAAATAATAAAATAAAGCTCTTTATGGTAAAACTCCATGAATTTCATGCATAAGTAGACTGCTTTCCATAGTGACTAAGTGATCTGCTGAATTCCTCAAATGCTTGAAATTTATTTTTTGGCTATATAGCCTATGCAAGAAGACTTGCTGGCATTGTCACCATATTTTTATCTTTTTTTGTTTTACTTGTTATTGGGGAAATTAATTATGTATTTGTAAAAAATACATTGGCTGGGCCTGATGGTTCATGCCTGTAATCCCAGCACTTTGGGAGGCAGAGGCGGGCACTTGAGGTCAGGAGTTCGAGACTGGCCTGGCCAACATGGCAAAACACATCTCTACTAAAAATACAAAAAATTAGCTGGGCGTGGTGGCGCATGCTTGTAATCCCAGCTACTTGGGAGGCTGAGGCATGAGAATCGCTTGAACCCAGGAGGCAGAGGTTGCAGTGAGCCAAGATCGCGCCACTGCACTGCAGCCTGGGCAACAGAGCAAGGCTCTTGTCTCAAAAACAACCAACCAACCAAAAACATACATTGGTAAAATACATTGGTAAAAGCAATGATAAAGTGTAAGATTGTGTATTGAAGGCAGACAGTTTCATTTTGTGTAACCTAGAATCCTACAGTGCTGGTTACGTTTTTATTGATCTTTACTCATAAGTTTGAATCATGTAAAAATAAAAAGGAATTCAGTAGACTTCAATGTTCCGAATTTTTCATTGGCCTTTAGTTTGTCTTAAAGTGAACAGGTATTTTATTTTTTAATATTAGTAATATGAATAATTGAAGATATCTGCTTGTGGTTTGTCTTGACCTAATTCTGCCTCAGAATGCTTACCTCACGGGCATACATGAACATCCTCTTTCTTGTTCTCAAGCCCTGTTAGTAATTTGGTATTGTAATGAAGGGCAATTACAAAGTCACCATAGGTGTCTGTGTTTACTTTGACTGAATTACCAAAGCGAAATGATAAATAGATAACTGACAGTTTGAATGGAAGTGTTTAAAGTGTGATAACACTTCAATTGACAGACTTCCTCAGGGTTGTGTTACACTGCTAAAATGGATGAGCTTTTCTGGTTTTGCTGTCAGCCTGCAGAGGGGTGTCATTCTAACTGCCCTTAAAGTGTAAACTTTCTGATTTTTTGGCTTGATCCAAGGCACATGTGTTTTTGTTCATTGTTTCTTTTACTAAAGTGCCCTTATACTGGAAAAGTATGCACTTATCTGTTAAAAGTTAATTTTTGTTTCAGTTAAGAAAAAATAATTTTAACTAGAGTCAGGAATGACAATTCTGAAATATTATTTTAGATATATATCTTTTTTTGGTTAAAATGAGACTTAATAGCTCATAGTCATAGATTCTAAAGGCACTTTAGTGATCATTTTGTATAAAGGTAAGCTTTCAGAATTGTATGGAAGAAGCTTGGAATGAAGAAATGGTGAATGTCCTATTATTAAACTCAGTCTGTATCAAACTGAGAGTATGAAAGATGATTGACACGTTTTTACCTGAATCACAGAATTTTAGAGCTGGAAGGAATTTTAGAGATGATATAGTCAGTGAGTCAGAAGGAATCTTACAAGCCTTCTGGTTCAAATATTCTTTTGATGCTTAGTCACATGAGAAAAATGGGCCCTGGAGTTTTCTCAGTCAGACAAGTAATTAGCAAGGAGGGACCAGAACCCAAATTTTCTGATTCCTCATCCATTGCTATTTTGGTTACACTAGAAACAAAATCCAAAGATGGCATTGAGGTAGGGAGAAGTTGACACAGTATGAAGAATAAGAACAGTAGAGGTTAGAGAAAGTGAGTGAAAATAATGTAGAAAATGGCCTAAATAAATATAGTTAGATGAGTCCTTTCCTCCTAATTTTTATTTTTAATACTTTGGAGGACTAACAGGTATCATCCTTTAACATGGCTGAATACAAAGCTTTAGGAGAACTGGTCCTCAGCTATTCATGTCTTGTCCTTTGATTTGCTGACATTCTTTTATAGGTTATGAATCTCTTATGGTTTACTTTGTTTCTAGCAATATCTAGATACATTTGTGTATGTATTGATGTATGTATGTTTTGAAAACACGGATTCTCCTTTTGGATAATTCATAGATAAAAATACATGTAAAGATTATATATATGCATATATATGTGTGTGTATATATATACAATTTAATTTATTATACAGACGTATACAAATACAATTTAATTTTACACACACACACACACACACACACACACACACACACACACACACACAGAAAGAGAGAGACATTTCATCCTGCCTTGGCTTCTCAAAGTGTTAGGATTATAAGCATGAGCCAGTGCGCTCAGCCTGTAATGAAATCTTTTATTTCCAGTAATACAATGGCAAAGGACATTAGTAGATAACCTAAAAGAAGAAATTCAAATTATTGCTGAACCTTGTTAGACTAATTATTTTTATATTTTATAATTTTAATAATTATTAGACAAAAATATTTTGAATATATATATATGGGGAAATTATTATGTATTTGTAAAAAATACATTGGCCGGGCATGATGCTCATGCCTGTAATGCCAGCACTCTGGGAGGCTGAGGTGGGCACTTGAGGTCAGGAGTTCAAGACTGGCCTGGCCAACATGGCAAAACCTGTCTCTACTAAAAATACAAAAAATTAGCTGGGCATGGTGATGCGTGCTTGTAATCCCAGCTACTTGGGAGGCTGAGGCATGAGAAGTGCTTGAACCCATATGTATATATGTATGTGTATGTACACACACATACACACACACACACACACACACACACACACACACACATATGTATATAGCTGCCTCAAAGTCTTTTATCCCTGATATAATTTATATATTTTATGTATGGTTGTTTTTTGTTAAGGATAGCAAACTAGGAAAAATAAATATTTTTATTTCAAAATCGTTTTAAAATAAATAGTAGAATTAATTAAAATAAAAGTGGCCCATTATTCTACCACTTAGTTCCAATGACAATTGAAAAAGAGAAGTAGTACATGTATGTGGTTAGAAAATGAAAAGAGAGGCTTTTTCTAGATCCTCCATCTCCTTAATCCTTTAAGGTAACTACTGTAAGATTTTATATATCTATTCTACCAGAATGTTTAAAAAATGTATTTGCTATAATGTATGTGCACATATTCTTTAAAAAAGCAATTTACATGAATTTAATCATTCTATACACGTTATTCAACATGTTTTTCTCACTTAACATAGAGAGCCTAATCAACACATAGACAAATCTAAATCATTTTTAAGGGCTAAAGTTTTTGTATTAATTTACCATAATTTATTTAACATGTCCCTTATGGGTAGACATTTGGTTAATTTTCAATTTTTTGGCTATTTAACAGTACAGGGTACATCTATTCACATTAATGGTAAAATTTTAAATTTTGGTAGTTTTTTGACAAATTGCCTATGTACTTCTACTACTAGAATTTTATACTTCTACTAAAAATATATATACTTTTCTAATTTTGTACATTTTTAATAGTATATGAGACACTTGTTAGGGCTGGGTTTTATCAAACATTTTATTTTTTTATTAATGCACATAATGAGTATTTTTTTTTGAGACAGGATCTCACTCTGTTGCCCAGGCTGGAGTGCAGTGGCGTGGTCACTGCTCACTGCGGTTTAATTTTTTTTGTTTTTTTGTAGAGATTGAGTCTCCCTGTGCTGCCCAGCTGGTCTTGAACTCCTAGGCTCATGCAGTCCTCCGGCCTTGGCCTCTCAAAATGTTGGGATTATAGGCATGAGCCACTGTGCCCAGCCTGTAATGAAATTTTTTTATTTCCAGTGATAGAATGGGGTGGAGTGCAGTGGCTCATGCCTGTAATCCCCAGCACTTTGGGAGGCCGAGGCAGGCGGATCGCTTGAGTTCAGGAGTTCAAGACCAGCCTGAGCAACATGACAAAACCCTGTCTCTACAAAAAAGGAGCCATATGTGGTGATGCACTTGTGGTTCCAGCTACTTGGTGGCTGAGGCACAAGAATTGCTTGAACCTGGGAGGCGGAGGTTGCAGTGAACCAAGATTGGATCGTGCCACTGCACCCCAGGTGACAGAGTGAGACTCCCATCTCTGAAAAAAAAAAAGGTAATAGAATGGCAAAGGGCATTAGTAGATAACATAAAAGAAGAAACACAAATTACTATTGAACCTTGTTAGACTATTCATACAACACTATGTTAAACTTTGCTAGAAACTATAAAAAATACAAATCAAAACAAGATTCTATTTTTTACTTTTAAGATAGAGATAACAAAAGATAACACCAGTGTTGATAAGGATGTGGGAAAAGGGTAATGCAAAGCAATATATACTTTCTGGAGGATAATTTCACTATATGTTTTCAAGAAACTTAAAAATACCTTGTAGCGTCTGATCCCATAATGCCATTTCTAAAAATATAGACTAAGAAAATATTTAGAAACCAGCATAAGAATGCTCACTGCAGCCTTATGTCTAAAGCAGAAATTGGTAACAGTCTATAAGCCCAGTAATAAGAAAACTGGTTCATCAGCTATGGCACATTAATTCAATGTACATATATGAGCAGCAACGAAAAGATGCTTAGTGATGTCAAGATTTTCCTTGTATGATTTTTAATACGCTAGACAGAAGAAAACAAAGGGAATATGCTTTATAAAAATTTTTGTTTATTGTGGCTGAATTGTTAATAATCCTCAATGCCTGGGGAACATTTGCTTTGTTCTTGTTTTTATTACTATTTAGAGATAGGGCTTTGTTTTGTCATCCAGGCCGGAGTGCAGTGGCTTGATCATGGCTCACTGCATCCTCGAACTCCTGGGCTGAAGTGATCCTCCTGCCTCAGCTTCCTGAGTAGCTAGGACCATTGATGTACGCCACCAATCCTAGAAAATTTTTTATTTTTTGTAGAGACAGGGTTTTGCTACATTGCCCAGGCTGGTATCAAACTCCTCACCTAAAACAGTCCTTTTGCCTAAGCCTCCCAAAGTGCTCACACCTGTCATCGTGCCTTGCTTGTTCTTGTTATTTTAATATTGGGTCACATTGTAGAGATATCCTTATATACACATGTATAGAAGAAATATGAAATGAAATACACCAAAATGTTTCTAGTGCATTCTTTGTGTAATAGAATTATGGATAATTTAGGCTTTTTTTGGTACTCCTGAATATTTTGTAGTGAATACTCTTACTTTCTTTTTTTCCCCTTAGGACATTCCAACCTACCTACTTACCTTCCTTCCTTCTTATTTATATTTGAATAAGAAATACTATCACATGGCTCAAAGTTGAAAAGGTACAAAAGGGTCTACAGAGAAAAATCTCTCACTCCTGTGCCCAGTCACTTAATTCTCATCCTTGGAAGCAACCAGTGATACCATTGTTTTGTGAATCCTTTCAGAAGTATTTCATGCCTAACATCAGTTTAATCAGAAAAAAAAAGGCATAACAAACATATTTAAAAGAAATTTTTTTCAAGTTAATTTAGGGTATTTGGAGCTCTTCCGATTTGGACTTCTATCTAAGTCTGAGTCAACCAGACTTCGTTGTGATTGTAGCTATGGTATTGTCTCAAAAAAGACAAAAAATTAGCCAGGTGTGGTGGCGTAGCCAGTAAAATCTTAGCCTTGTGGCTTTAATGATGTTCCTCAAATTCTGAGATAAGCTTATTTTATTCCTTCTATGCTAATATTGGTTCACATTTCAGTTATGCATATTTGTTTCTAGGGAAAATCCTGCTATTTTTATCATGGAGTTCATAAAATTAGTGATCAGCACACATTACAGACTTTCCAAGGGATGTGCAAAGCCTGGGATATAGAAGAACTTGTCAGCCTGGGGAAGAAACTAAAGGCCTGTCCATATTACACAGCCCGAGAACTAATACAAGATGCTGACATCATATTTTGTCCCTACAACTATCTTCTAGATGCACAAATAAGGGAAAGTGTGAGTATATGTGTAAAAATGAGAACCTTCTTCCTACTCATGGAGATGTAAATGTTGAATGTAAAAGCTTTTAGATGTTTTAATTTTTTTTGCTTTAATTTATGTAAATAAATTTGTGTAAACATATTAGAGTACTGAAAACATATCCTAACATGGGTTAAAATCAACCCACTCATTTTAATTTCCAAAATAACAAGCAGTTTTAAGGAACATAGTGACTGAAGTGGGATTACAGCAGGATTTCTCTTTGCATTTATGAATATTCAAAAAGAATTATTTAGAAACATTTCTCTGAAAAAACTATGTTTTGAAGAACTTATGTGGGGGAATAAAATTATGCCTTGTGAGCTTTGAGAAGTGAACTTCAGATAATGGCATTTGTGTTTGTTTGCCTGGTTCTTTTTAGAGACATGCAATTGTTAACAGCATAAGACAAAAAGTGAATAATTTGGCATAGTCAATTGTTATTCCTGTCTTCAGATCTGACTGCACAATTCATCTCAGCTTTCTATTTCTTTAAGATCCAAATTAATAGGCATTATGTTTACTACCCCTTCTATCCTACCTCTTATTTGGTTATCTCTTAACTAGATCTCTTCCTTCTGAGACACTGTGCATATCAATGCCAGGTCAGTTTTCCAAATATTGCTTTTATTACATCCTTTTATCTGCCTAAAAATCTATTGCTTCCTTTGCTCATGAGATAAAGTTCATATTTCTTAAGCTTACACTCAAGATGCTCAATAGTCTGACCTGGATCTGCCCAATTTGAATCCTTCAAAAATTACCTCATACTCCCTTGAGGATACCTTGTTCTTTACTCTATCTTTGCTTTTGATGACACCTCTTTGGAATGCCCTGTCCACTCTTTGTCTGTCCAAATCCAAATCCTACTTATCTTTTAAACCCCAATATATTTCCTACTCTTCCATGGTTTTTTCTCAACTTTTCAGCTGTCTGTGTATTCTTACTTCCTCAAAATAACTCATTGACAATTGCTTTGTGACAGTTCCTTGTATTAGTCAGTACTCTTTCTATTGCAAGTGACACAAACCTACCCTAAAAAATGCTTAAGAAAAAATACTTGATTCTCTTTATTGTGATGGCTTTATTCTCAGGCAAGTTCTCACTCTTGCTTATGGAACAAAGATAACCATAAGCAGCTAGCTCACCTGGAGAAAAGAGCATGGCCACATATTAGTCCCTCCAAATTACTCTGGTTGGCCTACCGTGGATCACATGTCTGTTCCTGAACCTGAACCAGTCACTGTGACCACAGAAGGATGGAATACTCTATTTAACTGACAATCCTGGGCCTTACCCCCATTGTGAAAGTGGTGATGTCCTTTGATTCACAGGTTAATAGTCCTGCCAGCATCACATGGGAGTTGGAGAAGAACAATTCTCCAACTCCCATGTTGGAGAAGGATTGCAGGACAGATTAAAACAAAACATATATATTATGTTAGTATTTTAAGAGTCATTTTAATCTTGTATTGTTATTTTACTTTTAAAGGTTTTATGCTTTTAATCTTGTATTGTTATTTTACTTTTAAAGGTCTTATGCTTTTAATCTTATATTGTTATTTTATTTTTAAAGGTCTTATAATTAGTTTGTAAAATTATGTTGGAAACACTTTCATAGTGGGATTTTATACCTTTCTGTGTAGCCTGTGGTACCTTGATCCAGACTCACTGACATATTTTTGTTGCTGTCGATAGGTTTGCAAAGTATTTTAAGAGTAAAAAAATGGCAAACACAATAATGTAGAGCTGATATTTGGTTGGCCATAGTGCTTCAGAAGTTTTATTTAAGACCTAGAATCTCTGTTGCTTATGTAATTGCATTTGCAATATTGGCCTATAGTGTGAATTTTAAAATGAAATATCTTGCCTGCTGTTGTTAAATCTATTTTGCCAAATGTTTTACAAGAAAATTCTTTTATCTTATAGATGGATTTAAATCTGAAAGAACAGGTTGTCATTTTAGATGAAGCTCATAACATCGAGGACTGTGCTCGGGAATCAGCAAGTTACAGTGTAACAGAAGTTCAGCTTCGGTTTGCTCGGGATGAACTAGATAGTATGGTCAACAATAATATAAGGAAGAAAGATCATGAACCCCTACGAGCTGTGTGCTGTAGCCTCATTAAGTAAGAAGATTTGTCTATTAGTGTATTTGTGCTGCCTTTATATGAAAAATATGTTTGATTATGCCAGAGTATTTAAAGTTAGTAAACTTTGGTTAACTAGGCTTCTTGGGAAATGAATTGTTCCTTGCCAGTTAAGCTTTAAAAACAAGGCTAGTCCAACCTTTTGTCTTGTTCACAAGAATATAATGAACATAAGTGATTTTTAAAAATGAATAATTGTGAATCTTATTCCTAATTTGGCAGGATAACATAATAGCCCCGAAGGATGTGTCTAGGATATTGAACCAGAAACTAAACGTGCTTTTAATTAATATATTTTAAAATTCTGGATCATGGCTTTAATTTATTGCTTTATTCTCCAATTTAAATAGGATTCTAGTTTCATGGGTTTTAATTAATCAAGATTTCAGTACTCTAAAATAATATATTTAGTACTAGCTTTATGACAATTTACACTAATTTTTCTTTTATTAGACATTAAGTTGTTGATCTAGAATCTTGTTACCATAGAAAAAAACTTCCCAACTCTGAATCCCATTTCATTTATTGTAGCATTTTTCTGTTTCCTTCACATTTACACTTTAAAAAAATTTGAATGTTACACAGTCACATGGTTTGAAGACAAAATGTATACAAATTTGTATAGTAAAAACCTCCTTCCAGTTCCATCCCTGATCTGTTTAATGTCTGTGTTCTCCTAAACAAGTTTATCATTCAATGCATATTACTCATTTATGAACCAATATTAGATATATTTTCTTGTCCCTCACTATTTTCCAAATGATGGCATAGTATACATACATTTTTCTGCAACTTGCTTTTTTCAATTCCCAGTGTATTTTGGAGACCTTTCCATGTTAAGACCTAGAAAGCTTTCTCAGTTTAAAAAAAAAATAGATATCTAGAATTCCATTAGATAGATATGCAATAGTTTATTTAACCAGCCTCTGATTAATAGAGGAGGTTGTTTCTAGTTTTTTGCTCTTAAACTGCTATAATGAATAACTTTGAACATACATAATTTCATTTGTATGCAAATATATCTATAGGAATCTTTTTAGAAGTGGAATTGTTGGGTGAAAGCATAGACATATTTGTAATTTCAATAGATATAGCTAACATTTACACAATAGGTGGATGACAGGGGGGCTAATGTATGCTTCTACCAGCAATGTATAAGAGTATGGAAATTGTTTTCTTCTAGCCTGCTAGGTGAAAAGTGGTATCCCAATGTAGTTTTAATATTCATTTTCCTTAATATGCATGAAATTAAGCATCTTTAAAGGCCATTTATATTTCCTTTTGTGTCAACTGCCTGTTGACATCTCTGTCCTTTTTTTGTTCTTATTGTGGTTCTTTTTCTTAATGATTTATAGAACCCCATTCATATATTAGGGAATTAAAATCTTTGCCTGCAATAAGAGTTGTAAATACTTTCCACCCCATTTTGCCATTTGTGTCTTTTCTGGTGGTGTTTTGCCATGCAGATTTTTGTGGTTTTTATTTTACAGCATAACTTGTTGAAAGAGTTGTCTGTAGTTGCTAATTCTATTTTCTCACTTGACATTCTTCCCTCATCGATCTTAGCAGTGTTGCTCTCTGGACAATTCTACGCAAATTGTTTTGATCAAGATCACTAGTGATCTCTATATTGCCAAATACAGAGGTTATTGTTTCTTTTATCTCAGCCAGTCAGTGGTGTTGGGTAGTTGATGACTACCTCTTTGAAAAGCATTTTTGTCTTAGCTTCTGTGACATCTCTGATTTTCCTCCTTCTCACAGTCCATTTTTTTTTATCATTTCTTTTGATAATTCTTATTCTTTTTGATATCTAAATGTTGGGGTGCCTCAGGACTTACTTGGTACTGGGACCTAGTTTCTTCTGTAGTTCTATTTTCCCTAAATAGTTTGTAGTATCATAGCTTAGAATATAATCTTCAGTACTGGTGAGGCCTGAACCTATGTCTCTAGCTTCAGCCTCTCCCTAGAATGCCATTCTTATATCCAACTATCTACTTTATAGCTCTTTTTGTATATCAAAATAGACATTTCAACTTTACATCTAAAACAGAATTGCTTTTCTTCCTGTGTTCTGTTTTCTCCCCAGTCTTCCTCATCTAAGCAAACAGTATGTACCAGTTCCTCAAGTAAAAAAGTTAAATACTATCCTTAATAATATCCTTACTGCCTCACCTCATCCAATTAATGAGTAAGTCTTATAGATGCCACCTGCACAGTATATCCCCAATTCCTCAATATCATTGATTGTTCATATCTATCATCCTACAGTCTTCTCTCAACAAGGATATTATAACAACCTCCTAACAGGTCTCTACTTTCACTCATCTTTCTCCAGTAATCAATTCTAGCTTGGTAGCTAGAATCATTTTTTAAACATGTAAAATAGATAGTCTGTCTTTTATTTAAAACTCTGTATTTAAAACCTTCCCACCAAAACAGCACAGTACTGGCATAAAAACAGACACACAGATCAATGGAACAGAATAGAGAACTCAGAAACAAATCCACACACCTACAGTGAACTCATTTTTGACACAGGTGCCACGAACATGCACTGAGGGAAAGACAGTCTCTTCAATAAATGGTGCCGGGAAAACTGGATATCCATCTACAGGAGAATAAAACAAGACCCCTATCTTTCACCATTAACAAAAATCAAATCAAAATAGATTAAAGACTTAAATCTACAACCTCAAACTATGAAACTACTACCAGAAAACATTGGAAAAACTCTCCAGGACATCGGTCTGGGGAACAACTTCTTGAGCAATACCCCACAAGCACAGGTAACCAAAGCAAAAATGGACAGATGGGATCACATCAAGTTAAAAAGCTGCTGCACAGCAAAGGAAACAATCAACAAAGTGAAGAGGCAACCCACAGAATGGGAGAAAATATTTGCAAACTACCCATCTGACAAGGGATTAATAACCAGAATATATAAGGAGCTCAAACAACTCTGTAGGAAAAAATCTAATAATCTAATTAAAAATGGACAAAAGATTTGAATAGACATTTCTCTAAAGAAGACATACAAATGGCAATCAGACATATGAAAAGTGCTCAACATCATTGATCAGCATTTCTCTGCTGATCAAAACTACAATGAGATATCACCTCACCCCAGTTAAAATGACTTTTATGCAAAAGACAGGCAATAACAAATGCTGGCAAGGATGTGGAGAAAAGACAACCCTCGTATACTGTTGGTGGGAATGTAAATTAGGACAACCACTATGAAGAACAATTTGGAAGTTCCTCAAAAAACTTAAAATAGAGCTACCAAACGATCCAGCAATCCCACTGCTAGATATATACCCAAAATAAAGGAAATCAGTATATCAAAGGTATAGCTATACTCCCATGTTTGCTGCAGCACTATTCACAATAGTCAAGATTTGAAAGCAGCCTAAATGTCCATCAACAGATGAATGGATAAAGAAAATGTGGTTACATATACACAATGGAGTACCATTCAGCCATAACACAGAAGGAGATCCTGTCATTTGCAACAAAATGGATAAAATTGGAAGTCACTATGTTAAGTGAAATAAGCCAGGCACAAAAAGACAAATATCACATATTCTCACTTATTTGTGGGATCTAAAAATGAAAACAATTTAATCCATTGAGATAGAGAGTAGAAGGATGGTTTACCAGAGGCTGGCAAGGGTAGTAGATGGGGATCACAGGGGAGGAGGGGTTGGTTAATGAGTACAAAAAAAAGAAAAATAGAATGAATGAATAAGGCCTAGTATTTGATAGCACAACAGTGTGACTATAGTCAATAATGATTTAACTGTACATTTAAAAATAACTAAAAGAATATAATTGGATTATTTGTAACACAAAGGATTAATGCTTGAGAGGATGGATACCCCATCTTCCATGATGTGATTATTACATATTGCATGCCTGTATCAAAACATGTACCCCATAAATATATACACCTACTATGTACCCACGAAAATTAAAAATTAAAACCCAAGCCTTCCCATTGCCCTTTGAATAAATTCAGATTTCTTATGATGACTCAAGATGACTGATTTCTGCTTATCACTCTGACATTGTTCATACCATTATTCATTTTTGCCCATTGTGCTGCAAATCATATTGGCTTTCTTTCAGATCCTCAAACAAGCAAAATTTGCTAACCACCTCAGGACCTTTCTCCTAGCTGTTCCTTCTGCTTGGATATTTCTTTTCTTCTGATTCTCCCATGACTGGATACTTTTTGCATTCAGTTATTAGAATAAATGTCACCTCAGGGAGAGCATTCTTGACATTAAAATTAAAGTTGCAACTAGGTTATATTAAACTAATTTATTTTCATAATTTATTTGTATATAATTACCTGATTTTTTTTTCATTTTATTAGAACTTTTTTTTTTAACTTTTAAGTTCAGGGGTACATGTGCAGGTTTGTTATACAGGTAAACATGTTATGGGGGTTTGTTGTACATATTATTTCATCACCCAGGTATTAAGCCTTATAACTCATTAGTTATTTTTCCTGATCTTTTCCCGTCTCCAACGCTACACCATCCGATAGGCCCCAGTATGTGCTGTTCCCCTCTTGTCCATGTGGTCTCATCATTTAGCTCTCACTTATAAGTGAGAACATGCAGTATTTTCTGTTCCTGCATTAGTTTGCTAAGGATATGATCTCCAGCTCCATCTATGTTCCCGTAAAGGACATGTTCTTGTTCTTTTTTATGGCCATATAGTATCCCATGACTACCTGACATTTTCTTGTTTATGTATTTGTTTTGATGTTTATTCCTGTCTCCCTTTAGTAGAATGTAATTTCCATGAGAGTAAGGACCTTGCCTATTTTATTTAACTGCTGTTATTTTCACTACCCAGAACAATGTCTGGAATAAAATAGGCATTCAAACACTTAATGTATGAATGTGTATATATATCAATGAATGTATTTATATATTTTCTAGTAATTCTCTTTTTTGTGTTAATATGTAACACTTTAATTTCTTTATTAGGTTGTTTTGCATTTCCTTTTATATATATTTGGGATAAGTACCTAAGACCTGGCTCTCAGTTGAAGAGACATTAGCTAAGTAAAGCAATGTGAATCCACAAAACAAGTGGGAAATCATATGCATGTTTGTTTCTTCTGAATAAAAGCTTTCTTTTCAGTTATATAAAGTTTATTTTGCAATATGAGACATGAATGCTTTTTAAAAGGTGTCTTAATTAATCCACATTCATGTCCTAAGAATGTCAAGATATACAGATCAACGCATGACAATAATGATGATTCTCTTGTTCTGCTGAAATAGTGTGTGTAAGGATGATACTGGTTGACACAATTGTTTTATTTTATTTCAGTTGGTTAGAAGCAAACGCTGAATATCTTGTAGAAAGAGATTATGAATCAGCTTGTAAAATATGGAGTGGAAATGAAATGCTCTTAACTTTACACAAAATGGGTATCACCACTGCTACTTTTCCCATTTTGCAGGTAAGATATTTTTTCTACCTGTGAAACGTATTTAGTGAATTAGAAGTGATTTAGTCGTGACTAAATCCAGATTAAATCTAGTGAGTAACCCAGAATTGTTAAATATAGCAATTTAATTTTTTAAAAATTTTATTATCTAAATTTGATAATCTTTAAGTGATGGCATGGGTAAATTGTGGGTGAAAATATAGCATTATTTAGTTTGAAGGAAATTAGTCTTTAAAGGGATTAATTGCTTTGTTTAAAGCTAAAAGGAGTCAATATTTTTAGGTTGTAGACTTACTTAGTCAATTGTAAAAGTTAAAATTTTAGAAAATAAAAAGAGGAGAAATTCCTATTTTGTTCATCTTAATTTAGAAATTATAAACCTGATATTCATGGAGAGATCATGAGTAGGCTTTGGAAGACTATGAAACTTATGAAGCTATATGCAAAATTTTATGAGCGTATCCTTTTGTACATTTTTCTAAATAGAGGCTGCATAAATTTCATTATATTTTCTAATGTTTTTTGCCGATAAGAATATATTTTCTTTTTTTGTTGCTATTTACTTATTTAAATTAATAGATTATGTATTTTAGAATGGTTGTTTTAGGTTTAGAGAAAAATTAAGCAGAAGGTCCAGAATTCTCATATACTCTCACTCCCAGCTACACACCTATACACATACACAATACACACCAACTCCATAGTTTCCCCATTATTGACCTCTTACAATAGTGTAGTATATTTGTTATAATTGATGAACCATTATTGCTACATTATTGTTCATTAAAGTCCATAGGTTACCTTAAGGTTTACCCCTTGTGTTGTAGAGTTCAATTAGGTTTTGCCTAGGAATCCACCACTACAGTATCATACAGAGTGTGTTCACTGTCCTAAAAATCTTCTGTGTTACACCTATTCATCCCTCCACCACACCACGCCCACACCCACCAAACCCTTGGCAACCACAGATTTTTTTTACTAACTCCATTGTTTTGCCTTTTCTGGAATGCCATATAGTTGAAATTGTGCAGTATGTAGTCTTTTCAGACTGGCTTCTGTCTTAGCAATATGCATATAAGATTCCTCCATGTATTTTTTTGCCTTGATAGCTCATTTCTTCTTATAGCTGAATGATATTTCATTATTTGGATGTACCACAGTTTATCCATTCACCTACTGAAAGAAACATTGATGGTTTCCAGTTTTTGGCAATTGTGAATAAAGCTATTATAAACATTTCTATTAGTGACAAGCTTTCTACTCATTTGGATATTTACTTAGGAACACAATTGTTGTATTATATGGTAAGACTGTGTTTAGCTTTGCAAGAAACTGCTAAACAGTCTTCAAAAGTGGCTGTAACTGCCGGGTATGGTGGTATGCGCCTGTAGTCCCAGCTACTTGGGAGGCTGAGGCAGGAAGATTGCTTGAACCCAGGAATTTGAGGCTGTAGTGCACTATGATTGCATGCTTGTGAATAGCCACTGCTCTCCAGCCTGAGCAACATAGCAAGACTTTGTCTCTTGACAAAAAGTGGCTGTACCATTTTGCATTCCCACCAGCAATGAACAAAAGTTCCTGTTGTTGTACATCTTCACCAGTGAACTTTGGGGCTGAGGACTCTGCTTCTACGAGTACAACTTTTTTAGATGACACATATGAGTGATAGCATGCAGTATTTGTCTTTCTATCAGGCTTATTTCAGATAGCATAATACTTCCAGTTTCATCCATGTTGTTGCAAATGGCAAAATTTTCTTCTTTTTTAAGACTGAATATTTCATTATATATATATGTGCCACATTTTCTTTATTTCATTAATCACTCACTATATTCTCACTTTTCCCCATGGGAAGAATTGTGGGCTAATGGAGGCTCTCTTGGCACTGGGCTGTACTTCCATGGGGCAGGGGTGATGTAGGTAATATGAAACTATACTTTTTGCCCTCTTCAATGCATCTGTTCTTGGATTTTTTGCTCCAATGGGGTCCTGGAACTTCTCTGCTAGACTCTTAGACTCTTAACAAAGGTACTCTCATGTGCGAGTGGTTGTCAGAATTGGTTCATTGTTGGGAGATGACAATGGAAAACTCAAATTCTTTTTTTTTTTTTTTTTTTTTTGAGATGAAGTCTCACTCTGTTGCCCAGGCTGGAGGGCAGTGGCGTGATCTCGGCTCACTGCAACCTCTGCCTCTCGTGTTCAAGTGATCCTCATGTCTAAGCCTCCTGAGTTGCTGGGACTACAGGCATGCCCCACCATGCCCGGCTAATATTTGTATTTTTGGTAGAGACAGGGTTTCACCATGTTGGCCAGGCTGGTGTCAAACTCCTGACCTCAAGTGATCCACCTGCCTTGGCCTCCCAAAGTGCTGGGCTCACAGGTGTGAGTCACCGTGCCTGGCTAGAAAACTCAAATTCTTCCATCTTGCTGATGTTATTTCTCAAAGAGGTTTTTGAACAAAAAAAATGATGAAAATAATTGCCAACATGATCACAATAGTATTCGGGGCATGTGACTATTAAAACATATATTTTAATCAGGATATACTTAAATTTTTGCCCTGCATTTATAAAATGCAGCGTGGTATCTATTGTAAGAATTTTTCCATATTGTGACATCTTTCATAATATTTTTTGCATAAATTGTTTGCATTTTGAAAGCTACTTATATAACAGTAAAATGGGGCTGAGGGTGGTGGTGCATGCCAGTAATCCTACACTTTGACAGGCTGAGGCTGGCGGATTGCTTGAGCCCAGGAGTTCAAGACCAGCCTGGGCAACAAAGACCCTGTTGTCTACAAAAAATTAGCTGGTGTGGTGGCATGCGCTGTAGTCCCAGCTACTTGGGAGGCTGAGGCAGGAGGATCACCTGAACCCAGGAGGTTGAGGCTACAGTGAACCATGATTGCACCACTACACTCCAGCCTGGGGCACAGAGCAAGACCCTGTTTAAAAAAAAAGAAAAGGATAAATTGTAGCATATTCATATAGTGGAATACTACATAGCAATAAAAAATGAACTGCTTCCAACACAACCATATAGATATATATATATATTTTTTTGAGATGGAGTTTCGCCCTTGTTGCCCAGACTGGAGTGCAATGGCGTGATCTCAGCTCACCGCAACCTCTGCCTCCTGGGTTCAAGTGATTCTCCTGCCTCAGACTCCCAAGTAGCTGGGATTACAGGCATGCGCCACCACACCTGGCTAATTTTTTGTATTTTTAGTAGAGACGGAGTTTCTCCATGTTGGTCAGGCTGGCCTCGAACTCCTGACCTCAGGTGATCCGCCCACCATGGCCTCCCAAAGTGCTAGGATTACAGGTGTGAGCCACCGCACCTGGCTCTAGATGAATCTTAAATATTATGTTAGGTGAAGGAAACCAGATTCAAAAGGGTATAAACTGTATAAATCTATTTTTATGAAGTTGAAGAACAGACAAACCTAATTATGGTGACAGAAGTTGAAGTACTGGTTACAACTATGTGGGGGTTTGAAGCAGTTTGGGCTGAGAAGGGGCACAAAGGAACATCTGGGATTCTAGGAATGTTTTGTATCCTGGTCAGGTGTTAGTTACATGGGGAGGTGTGTGTATTTAGTGAGGTGTACATGTAAGATTAGTTCATTCTACTGTATATGTTACATGTCAGTTATAAAATGTACAAATAAAATGTATGTCAAGGGAAAAAAACTGGAAAATACAGAATGGCACAAAGAAAAATGACTCATAAACTCAAAGATGAACATTGTGAACATTGTGATTTATGTCTACTTATGCCTTCTTCTATGCCCATATTTGCTTATTATAAATATATTTCTGATATGACACATTTGTTTTACCCTCTTTTAATTTAACAATATATTGTGTATACTTTCCTATTTAAGTAAAGATTCCTTCACATAATTTTTAATTGCGGTGTAGCATTTTTATGAGTGTACTTATTCTAAATTGATTAATCTGATAAGTTGAAATATAGGTTATTTCCAGTTTCCCAGTATAATAAACAGTTCTGATATGAACATCCCTTATGAATTGTGGTTTTTGAATTTACTTTAAGCAGTCTTTTCTTATCCTATGTTATATTTCTCCTAAAAATTTTAAGGTATTTATTGTTTATAAAGGATGGGATTTATAAATACTTTTACAAAGCCTTGGATTCATTTTGTTTATGTTGTGAATTTATGAATCAATTTTTTTCCTGTATGGATAGAGAATTGTCCCAGCACTGTTTCCTAAATAGTGCATATTAATTTCCCTCTAATTTGTAATGCTACCTCTGCTACCTATTTTTCTTTTTTTAATTAAAAAAATATTTTTTAACTTTTTTTTTTTGTTTTTAAGAGACAGAGTCTTGCTGTGTTGCCCGGAATGAAGTGCAATGGTGCATTCATAGCTCACTGTAACCTTGGATTTCTGGTCTTAAGGGATCCTCCTGCCATAGCCTGCTCAGTAGCTGGGACTACAGGCATGCATTACCACACCTGGCTAATTACTTATTTTTTTATTTATTTTGAGACAGAATCTCACTCTGTTAACCAGGCTGGAGTGCAGTGGTGTGATCTCAGCCCACTGCAACCTCCGCCTCCCAGGTTCAGGCAATTCTTGTGCCTCAGCGCCCCCAAGTACCTGGGACCACAAGCATGCCACCACACCTGGCTCATTTTTTGTATTTTTTTGTAGAGACGGGCTTTTGTCATGTTGCCCAGGCTGGTCTCCAGCTCCTGAGCTCAAGTGATCCACCCGCCTCGGTCTTTCAAAGTGCTAGGATTACAAGCATGAGCCACCCGTGCCTGGCTTAATTTTTTTTATGTTTTGTAGAGACAGGGTCTCACTATGTTGCCTAGGCTGGTCTTGAACTCCTGGCCTCAGGCGATCCTCCCACCTCGGCCTCCTGAAGCACTGGGATTACAAGAGTGAACCACTACACCCAGTCCCTCTAATTTTCATATATGTGTGAATTTATATCTGGACTTGATTGTGTTCCACCATTCTGTTTCTCTAATTTGTCACATTTGTTAATTAATGATTTAAGAAAAGTGCTTATATATAGTAGGGCATATCCCTCACTTTATTATTTTCCTTTGGAATTGTATCAGCTGTCCTTTGTTTTACTCTGCCATTTGAATTTTAGAATTAGCTTATAATCTCTAGGAAAAGTTCTGTTAGAATTTTTATTGTAATTGCACTGTATTTATAGATTAATTTGGAAAGAATTCATGCATTTACATTATGAAGTTTTCCCATTCATGACAAGATATAGTTCTTCATTATTTTTTCCTATCTTTCAATAAAATTTTATAATTTTATTTTTAAAAGATTAGATGGCTTTGGTTAGATTTATTCATGGGTAGCTTAAAGTTTCTGTTTCCATTACAAATGATATATTTTTAAAATTACATTTTTAATTGTTATTGCTATATAAAACTGGTGTTTGATTTTTATATATTTATCTTATAATTGTCTTATTAACCACCTTGTTGAATTATTTTACAGGTTTGCCCACAGATTATCTTAAATTTTCCATGTAGATAACCATATTGTCTGAATAATGACCGGTTTCTTTCTTTCTCATTTCTTTCTATTTCTTCATGTTTTTATTTCTTACTATGCTGTCTCAGACTTCCAGTGCGTTGTTTATCACAGGCAATGAAAAAGACATCCTGGGCCAGGCGCAGTGGCTCACGCCTGTAATCCCAGCACTTTGGGAGGCCGAGGCGGGCAGATCACGAGGTCAGGAGATTGAGACCATCCTGGCTAACACGGTGAAACCCCGTCTCTACTAAAAATACAAAAAATTAGCCGGGCGTGGTGGCGGGCGCCTGTAGTCCCCGCTACTCAGGAGGCTGAGGCAGGAGAATGGCGCAAACCTGGGAGGCGGAGCTTGCAGTGAGCCGAAATCGCGCCACTGCAGTCCAGCCTGGGCGACAGAGCGAGACTCTGTCTCAAAAAAGAAATAAAATAAAATAAAAAAAAGAAAAAGACATCTTGGTTTTGTTGCTTAAAGGAGGAATTACTAGTATTGCACCCTTTATTGAGATGTTTGCTGTGATTAAAAATTCTTTTTTAATTAACAGCTCTATTGAGGTATAATTCACATGCTTAAAATTTACCTTTTTAAAGTGAGTTCTGTGGGTTATTTTTATATTATATATTTATATATAATATATAGTATATATATTATATATTTTATATAAATATTTTATATAAATATATATACTATATATAGTATATAACTATATATAATATATTAATATATAATGTTTTATATATTTTTATATATTTTATATAGTATATAATATATTTTTATATATTTTATATAGTATATAATATATTTTTATATATTTTATATAGTATATAATATATTTTTATATATTTTATATAGTATATAATATATTTTTATATATTTTATATAGTATATAATATATTTTTATATATTTTATATAGTATATAATATATTTTTATATATTTTATATAGTATATAATATATTATATATTAATATATTTATTAATACATAAACATGCAATATATTTATATATAATTATATTTATAAATTTATATAAATTTATATAAATTTATTTATAAATAAAATTATAATTTTATAAAATTATTTATAAATTTATATAAATTTATAAATATAAATATAATATAAATATATTATATATAAATATATTATATATAAATATATATTTTTATATTTACATTATATATAAAATATATTTATATATTAATATATTAATACATATATGAATATATATTTTATATAAATATATTATATAAAATATATTTATATAAAATATATAAATATATAATATATACTATATTATATATAAATATATAATATATAAAATATATAATATAGAAATAACCCACAGAACTCACTTTAAAAAGGTAAATTGTAAGCATGTGAATTATAGCTCAATAAAGCTGTTAATTTTAATTCAATTCAATTCAGTTAATTAAATTAAAAAATTAATTAGAGCTGTTAAATAATATATATATTATATTTTTATTATATTATATATTTTATAGTTATTTTTATTGGATTAAGGAAATTTGCCCTAATTCTAGTTGGCTAAGACATTCATCATTATGATTATCAATATTTTTAGGAATTTTTACCAAAGTAGTATACCTATAGAATATAAAGAGTCAGTTCTGTTGAGAAAAGCATTCCTCTGACCCACTCCTCAATCCCAATTCTCACTTTGGAGTGCACTTTTATCTCTTGTAGTGGTTTCTTCTGATATTTAACCACATTTAAAAAAATAACGTGGGTTCTGCTTCTTTGGAGTTTTCAATTTTAGATGTTGTCTGTTGACTTTCTGTTAAGTATAATGATGATTTAGCTCCTTTAGACACGCACACACTCACACACACTCTTCTCTCTCTGTCACACACACACACACACGCTCACTCATGCGCTCTCTCTTCTTCCTTTGCTTCCTGCTTTTCTGCCCTTCTTTCTTCTCTCTCTTCACTCTCTATTCTGCCAGTATAGTTATATTGATATTCAGCGTGGATATCATCACGTGTATGTATTATTATAGCCCATGATAGTAATGCATGTAGCTTACTTGATTATATTTTTATACAGCTTTATGTATGTTTCCTAAGGAACCATAATTAACTTTTTATTTATTTTTCCATTGCTTAGTTTTCTATTTTTCTACCCCCCCCAACCCAGCTGCCAATGTGTAGGTAAGCTAACTGGAATTGAGCTCGGAGTACTCTAATAATTGAATATGTAGGATTTCATTTAGCCCTTCTGTTTTTAGTACAGCGCCTCACCTTTAGTAGTTTATATTTTCTATATTTTATCAGAGTAAATTGCCAGTGTTCTGCCAGTGTTGGAGAAGGATATTAAGCTTTGATATAAGGTGTTGCTGAGGGGACTTCATTTTTCAAAAAGAATAATTTGATATTTGTATTTCATTGCAGGGCTGAATATTTTTCCAAGTTCATGTTGTCTTTCTTGTTTGTTCTTTGTTGGTTTGTTTTTTAAGTCTTTCTACTTATTTGTATTCTGTAATGTTTTGTTCAGTGAAGGCTGATTTTTACTCTTATAGATTTGTATTGTTTCATGATATATCTGAATATTAAAATGTATCTTTCTTATTTATCCTATTTCCCCATTTTATTTTCATTGAACACATTTTATTGTCAGACATCAGAGTTGTCACCAATATCTTTTATTGCTTCAGTATTCAGAATTTTCTCTTTTACAATGTGGGGAACATACTCTTCTGTTTTCTTATAATTTTGTTTTAATGTCCACACTTTCATCCATATTAAAACTTATGAGCCATGTAAAGACCAAAGAACCAGTTAACATACATTTTGTTATTTAGCATGTATTGTTTCCTTAAGTCATTTAGTTTTGCTTGTGATGTAGTCATATTATTCTCAGCATCAGAATTACTTTCTGGAAATAACTCATGGATTTAAGGCAACATATCAACTCTTTAAAGCCTTTTGGAGAAGCCATTTGCTACATTTTTATTTAATTCCTTACATCTGAAAGGCACCAAATAATACCCTGATTGAATCTTCTAAATACCTAACTTATTATTAAAGAGTCTTTGACTCTGAGGAGAATTTTGCTAATATGGCAATCTAAAATATATTGTTAGCATTGTGCTGTTAATAATTGTCTTTGTTTGTATCACTATAAATACCTGAGGCTGGGTAACTTACAAAGAAAGGAGGTTTATTTGGTTCACAGTTCTGCAGCTTGTACGAAGCATGGCTCCAGCATCTAATTTTGAGGACCTTAGCCTGCTTCCACTGATGGCAAAAGGTGAAGGGGAGCTGGTTTGTACAGATCATATGGCAAGAGAAGAAGCGAGAGAGAGAAGGGAGGGAGGTGTCAGGCTCTTTCTAACAACCAGCTCTCGTGGGAACTAACAGAGCACTAACTCACCCCCTCTCTACTTAGGGAGGGCGTTAATCTATTCATGAGGTATCTACCCCCATGGTCCCAAACCTCCTGATATGCCCCACTTCCATTACTGGGGATGAAATTTCAATATCAGATTTGGAGAAGTCAGACTATCAAACTATAGCAATTCTGTTCACCTAAAATTTCAATGCATGTTTTGTTGGGTTTCATTGTATTTTTGAGAAGTTTCTTTTTCCAATTCCCTCCCAACCCCTCTATACTTAATATGGTAATTTCTTATAGGGACATTTTTCTGCTGTTCTTCAAAAAGAGGAAAAAATCTCACCAATTTATGGTAAAGAGGAGGCAAGAGAAGTACCTGTTATTAGTGCATCAACTCAAATAATGCTTAAAGGACTTTTTATGGTACTTGACTATCTTTTTAGGCAAAATAGCAGGTAAGTGAAGATAACTAGTATGTATTTTCCTTTTAAAAATAGCCTAATTTGGATGCTAGCATGTGTTTAATACATACCTATTTTGGGTGAGTAAATAGGAGAATTGAAAACAAGTGTTATAGATATTATTATATATTTGCTCTTATTGACACAGACTTAGAGGAATTGAAATTAGTCTGATGCTTTTTTGAGACAGGGACTTCTCTGTCACCCAGGCTGAAGTGCAGTTGCATGATCACAGCTCACTGCAACTTTGACCTCCTGGGCTTAAGCAATCCTCCCACCTGTTTCCTGAGTAGCTGGGATTACAGGTGTGCAACACCCACACCCAGCTAATTTTTTAATTTTTATTTTTTTTGTAGAGATGAGATCTCACTATGTTGATCAGGATGGTCTTGAACTCCTGGCCTCAAGTGATCCTCCCACCTCAGCCTCCCAAAGTGCTAGGATTGTAAGTGTGAGCCCATGCCTGGCCAAAATTAGTCTTTTATATTAATGAATATTGAAATCATTAAATAAATATATTTAATTAATTCATATTAAATTATCTTCTATTGCTAAAGTTTTCTTATGTTCCTACAGTGTCAGAAAGTCCCTTTTTTATTGTATGAACTGTGGAAAATGAAAAACAACCAATCCCTCTCATCCTGTAACTTAAATTATAGTAGTACCTAGTTCTGGTATTTTTTTTTTATTGTGGTAAAATATACATAAAATACACCATTTTAACCATTTTACGTATACAACTCAGTGCCATTAAGTACAGTATATTTGCAATGTTGTACATTGTACTCATTTCCAGAGATTTCCAGAAATTTTTTATTATTCCAAATAGGAATTCTGTACCCATGAAATAATAACCCCTAGAGTCTTTCCCCTCATCACCTGCTAACCTGTATTCTATTTTCATCTTATGAAGTCCTTTCTAGGTATTTCACATAAGAGCGATCATACAATGTTTGTCTTTTTGTGTCTGGCTTATTTCAATTCATTTGGCACAGTGTTTTCAGAGTTCATTTATGTAGTAGCATATATCAGAATTTCATTCCTTTCTATGGCTGAATAATACTCCATTGTATGTATATACCACAATTTGTTAATTTATTCTTATGTTAATGGACATTTGGGTTGTTTTCATCTTTTGCCTATTGTAAACAATGCTACTATGAACGTTGGTGTACAAATATCTGAGTTCTGCTTTCAGTTCTTCTGGGTGTATATAAGTACCTAGCAGTGGAATTGCAGAATCATATGGTAATGCTGCATTTAACTTTTTGAGGACTCACCATACTGTTTCTCACAGCAACTGCATTATTTTCCATTCTCATTATCAATGCACAAGGGTTCCAATTTCTACACATCCTTGCCAACAGTTTATGTAGCAGCATATATCAGAATTGTTTTTGCTGACACTCGTTATTTTATTTTTTGTATAATAGCCATCCTAATAGGTATCAAGTGATATCATCTGGTTTTTATTTGTATTTCCTAATGACTAGAGAAGTTGAGAATCTTTTCATGTGCTTATTGGCCAATTGTATGTCTTTTTTTGGAGAAATATCTATTGAAGTCTTTTGCCCACTTTTGAATTATTGGGTTTTTTTGTTGTTGTTGTTGAGCTGTAGTTATTTAGATATTCTGGATGTCAGTCCTGTAAGAGATATATACTTTACAAATATTTTCTCTCATTCTGTGGGTTGTTTTTTCATTTATTCATAGTGTCCTTTGATGCAGAAAAGGTTTTTAATCTTGTTGAAGTCCAATTTATCTTTCTCTTTTCTTGTTGTTGCCTGTACTTTTAGTGTCACATCCAGTAAATCATGGCCAAATCTGATATGAAGATTTCCCCTATGTTTTCTTTTCCTTTTTTTTTTTTTTTTTCTGAGACGGGAGTCTCGCTCTGTCACCCAGGTTGGAGTGCAGTGGCGCGATCTCGGCTCACTGCAAGCTCAGCCTCCCGGGTTCATGCCATTCTCCTGCCTCAGCCTCCCGAGTAGCTGGGACTACAGGCGCCCGCCACTAAGCCCGGCTAATTTTTTGTATTTTCTAGTAGAGACGGGGTTTCACCGTGTTAGCCAGAATGGTCTCGATCTCCTGACCTCGTGATCCGCCCACCTCGGCCTCCCAAAGTGCTGGGATTACAGGCGTGAGCCATCGCACCCGGTCTCCCCTTTGTTTTAAGAGTTTTACAGTTTTTGGCTCCCAGTATTTTTATAAGATTCTCTCCACAGTTGTTAAGTTCCCAACTTTAATTTTGAGATCTAATCTCTCTAGGAGTGAAATGAATAAGGAAATACTATAGCGAAGACATGGTAGAGAATATCACATTTTACTTTTTTTTTTTTTTTTGAGATGGAGTCTTGCTCCGTCACCCAGGCTACAGTGCAGTGGCGCTATCTCAGCTCACTGCAACCTCCACCTCCCGGGTTCAAGTGATTCTCCTGCCTCAGCCTCCTGAGTAGCTGGGGTTACAGGCGACTGCCACCACACCTGGCTAATTTTTGTATTTTTAGTAGAGACGGGGTTTCACCATGTTGGCCAGGCTGGTCTCGAACTCCTGACCTCGTGATCCACCTGCCTCGGCCTCCCAAAGTGCTGGGATTACAGGTGTGAACCACCGCGCCTGGCCACATTTTATTATTTTTAAGCTTAACCATTTTCTAGATTCTTATTGAAAGCAGTTATACACTGGATGGGATCACAGATATCATCTGGTTCAGCACCTTCATTAAAAGTAGATGAAGGCTGAGACTCAGGTTTCAAAGGAATGTAAGAATTTTATAACTTGTTGCTAATACTTTAAAAACTTTCAGTAAAAATTATCCTTCTATTTTCTCATTTAATAAAAAAGTATAACCCACCTTTTAGTCTCTTTAACCATAATACTGTTTTCTATTTTGTAACTCATCATGTAGTAGAGCATGCAGAGAGCTCTGGACTGGGAGTTAGGAGGCCTGGATTTTAATTCTGCTTCTGCCATGACATATGTAATGTTTGAAAATGAGGTTAGGAAGTAGCTGATAAAAGATAGATGGTTAGATGATTTCTAATATTCCCTCTGAGAATCAGTTGATTCTATGATTAATGGCTTTATTAATATCAGAATTACTGAATTTAATTAATGGTAAGGAGAATGTTATTTTTGAATGGGAAGGTACCAGCTCTTTCAAATGAGTTTTAATGTAATCAGTTTTTATATTGTATGTAGCTGGGTCATAGGTTTTAAAAGTTTTGCCACTTAATTAGCACTTTCTTTGCATCTAGATTTGCAGATGATTATAAAATTGCGATTCAACAGACTTACTCCTGGACAAATCAGATTGATATTTCAGACAAAAATGGGTTGTTGGTTCTACCAAAAAATAAGAAACGTTCACGACAGAAAACTGCAGTTCATGTGCTAAACTTTTGGTGCTTAAATCCAGCTGTGGTAAGCTCATCATGTAAATGGAAATTTTGTCTTCTTGCTCAGTACCAGCATTTTAATAAATGTGGTTGACTCTTTTAAAGATAGTTGTTTGTTGTTGTTGTTGTTGTTGTTTTGAGGCAGGGTCTTGCTCTTCACCCAGGCTGGAGTGCAGTGGTGCAATCTCAGCTCACTGTAGCCTTGACCTTCCAGGCTCAAGCGATCCTCCCACCTTAGCTTCCCGAGTAGCTGGGACTATAGGCATGTGTCACCATGCCCGGCTAATTTTTGTATTTTTTGTAGAGACGGGGTTTCACCATATTGCCCAGGCTGGTCTCAGACTCCTAGACTCAAGCGATCTTCCTGCTTCAGCCTCCCAAAGTGCTGGGATTACAGGTGTGAGCCACTTTGCCCAGCCTCTTCTAAAGATAATTTTATTTATCTAATGTTGTTTTCTTTTAGGCCTTTTCAGATATTAATGGCAAAGTTCAGACCATTGTTTTGACATCTGGTACATTATCACCAATGAAATCCTTTTCGTCAGAACTTGGTGTTACATTTACTATCCAGCTGGAGGCTAATCATATCATTAAAAATTCACAGGTTAGTTGTTGTTTTTTTTTTTGGAAGGCCTTCAGTGTTTCTACTTCAATATAACTATGTAAACAAGTTAGAAGATACCTGAAGTGCCAGCAAGTAAATCTTGGTAGGAAATTCAACATTCCAGTTTTACAATAAAAGAAAATCTGTCAGCTACTTAATGATGTGTCAACAGAAGGAAATAATCCAGTCACTTGGGATGCAAAAGGCTGTATTTCAGCTTCTTCTTCTAAGTAAGTTTTAGTTTTGTAATGAAAACAAAATTTTGATTTCTTTAATTCTCATTGTATAATTATGTTTTATTTATTGATTGATTGATTTTTGAGACAGAGTCTGGCTCTGTTGCCCAGGCTGGAGTGCAGTGGTGTGATCTTGGCTCACTCGTGTTTAAGCAATTCTCCTGCTTCAGCCTCTCAAGTTGCTGAGATTACAGGTGTGCGCCGCACGCCTGGCTAATTTTTTATTTTTTTGGTAGAGATGGGGTTTCAGCATGTTGTCCATTCTGGTCTTGAACTCCTGCCCTCAAATGATGCACTTGCCTCAGCCTCCCAAAGTGTTGGGATTACAGGCGTGAGCCACTGTGCCCAGCCTATTTATATTTTATTTATTTTATCTCTGTATTTTTATTTTTACTTTTATTTTTTGAGACAAGGTTTTGCTCTGTCACCCAGACTGGAGTGCAGTGGTGCGATCTTGGCTCACTGCAGCCTTCGCCTCCTGGGTTCCAGCGGTTCTCCTGCCTCAACCTTCTGAGTAGCTGGGATTATGGGTGTATGCCACCATGCCTGGCACATTTTTGTATTTTTAGTAGAGACGGGGTTTTGCCATTTTGGCCAGACTTTATCTTTTTAGAGACAAGGTCGCTTGCTATGTTGCCCAGGCTGGCTTCAAACTCCCAGGCTCAGGCAGTCCACCTGCCTCAGCCTCCTGAGTAGCTGGGACTACAGGCATGTACTACCATGCCCAGCTTGTATAATTATTTATGCTTCTCTTTTCCATTAGACTACAGTGTATCCTGATTCTTCCTTTTACATCCACGTTCTTCCTCTGTGCCTAGATTAATAGCTGGTATTTAGCAAGTGTTCAGCATGTTTGAATATCTGAAATGAGTTAAAAGTACTCTTATGAGTCCTATGATTTAAGATTTTAATGTTTTATAACGATGGCTACTAAATGTTATTTTAATTTTTGTGGAAATGTATAGATTGTTATTTTTCATTATGCCTTCTGGTTTCTTTTTATGAAATATTTTAAAGTGGTTAGGCACACAGGTGATGTTAAGCTGTGGTTAATGCTAAAGTGGTTAAGTTAACATCACCTGTGTGCCTAACACAATGCTAGCTCTTTATTAAGCTATATACACAGGTTTATAGGTGGGAACATTTTTGGTCCTCACAATTACTTGGGAGCAACTACGGCATTTGGTAGTTGGGAACCTAGAATGCTACTCCTATGTAACTAAGAATTGTGCTTTCCAAATGCCAGAGTGTTCCTGCTGAGAAATGTGACTATGAACAGCAGTGAAGGAAGAATACATGTTCCACGTTTTCAAGTTGCTTTCTTTAGAGACACAGATAAATATGGGAAGTTGGTAAATTCAGCATACGTTTTCTCATAAGAATGTTATTACAGGCTCTATGTTCTCAGCCTACTGCACAAAAGTCCATTTAACCTATAATGTCGCTGAATTATAATAATGTAGTTGTGCAGCTGGATTCTGTTACACTGTAATATTTTCCTTCAACTTAAAATTTAAAAAACTTTTAATTGTGGTAGAATATATATAAAATTTACCATCTTAACCATTTTTGAGTATACAGCTCAGTCTTATTAAGTATGTATATGTTGTTGTGCAACCAATCTCAAGACTTTCTCCTCTTGAAAAACTGAAACTCTGTTCCCATTAAACAACAGCTCTCTATTCTCCCCCTCTCCTCAGCTCCTGGTAACTACCATTCTGCTTTCTGTTTCTATGAATCTGATTACTATAAATACTTCATATAAGTGGAATCATAAAATATTTGTCGTTTTTGTGACTGGCTTATTTTACTTAGTAATGTCCTCAAGGTTTGTCCATGTTGCAGATAATGTCTTCAAAGTTCATCATCTATGTTGTAGCATGTGCCAGAGTTTCCTCTTTAAAGGTGAATAATGTTTCTTGTGTGTATATGCCTGTGATTTATAATATATATATTTGGTCTTCCACTCCATTTCCTGGCATACAACTCCTAAAATCCTTAGAATCTCCAAAGTGACATTTTGTATGCTAATGAGATGACTAATGGTAGGGGGCTCCTAGGTAGCATCAGGATCAGGGCTGGCCTCCGGGAAGACCAAGACATGATAGGAGAGTTGGGATTTTCACCCCCATTCCTCAACCTCTGGGGAGGGCTTGGGGGAGATGATGCTAAAGGTTAAGTTTATCTTAATGGCCAGTGGTTTAATCAATCATGCCTACATAATGAAGCCTCCATAAAAACCTAGAAGGACAGGGTTCAGAGAGCTTCCAGATAGCTGAACACTTGGAGGTTCCTGAACACTTGGAGGGTGATGTGCCTGGGAATTGAAGCTCTGAGCCCCTTCCCACATACATCTCTTTATCTGTATCCTTTGTAATATTTTTTCTAATAAATCAGTAAGTGTAGGTAAATGTGTCCCTGGGTTCTGTGAGCAGCTCTACCAAATTAATTGAACCCAAGCAGAGGGTTGTGGGATGCCCGATTTCTAGCTGATCAGTCAGAAGTGCAAGTAAAAACAACTGTGACTGGCCACAGAAATCAGGGGCAGTCTTGGGGACTGAGCCCTCAACCTCTGGGATCTGAAGTTATCATCTCCCAGTAGATAGTATCAGAATTGAATTGAATTAGAGGACACCCAGTTGATGTCTGTTGCAGAATTGATTGCTTGGTATGTGGAAAAAACCTCCCACACATTTGGTCACAGAAGTTTTCTGTGTTGATTGCTGTGGTGTGAGAGCAAAGGAAAAAGTTTGTTTTTTTCTACTCAATGCTACATTTTGATCATTCATTCATTGATTCTTTCAACTGTATTTCAAAAAATTAGAAATTTCAGAAAAGTTGGAAAGATAATATTAATATTGTGAATATCTTTATATCCTTCACCTAGATTCATCACTTGTTAACATTTTGCAAAATTTTCGTCTCTCTCCCTCTCTCTACATATAAGGGAGATAGAATTGCAAATAACTGTAAGATGTGGTGGGTGTGATTTTTTTCTATGACTAAGGATCTTTGAGCACCAATGAATTTTTGAAAGAGTAGTTCCTGTCATTTTTGAGACTTGCCTATGGCAAATTATACTGGCCTTCATCCCCAGTATTTTGGAATTATCTGATTCTGCTATTGGTATATATTCATCATTTCACTTGTTCATTTATTCACCTAACAAAAATTTGTTACATGCTTAAATTTTGCAAAGCTATTAAGTAAACAGAGACAGGTACAACCTGTTTTGCTTTCAAAGAATTTTCACTCTAAGAGAATTTAGTGATCTGCCTAAAGCAAAACATTTATAAATTAAATCTGTATACAGTTAATTGAAGGTAATAGAAAACCCCCTGACAATTTAAAAATAAATTGTTAAACTTGTTGCTTGATCTTTTATGTACATACTTCCAAATAAATACTAATTTCCATGCCTTTTTCAGGCATAACTCTAATAATGACATATTCATATTCTAGGTTTGGGTTGGTACCATTGGGTCAGGCCCCAAGGGTCGGAATCTCTGTGCTACCTTCCAGAATACTGAAACATTTGAGTTCCAAGATGAAGTGGGAGCACTTTTGTTATCTGTGTGCCAGACTGTGAGCCAAGGAATTTTGTGTTTCTTGCCATCTTACAAGGTAAGGGAATATTTATTGTTTCTTTTGCCTTTAAATAATCATTTACATTTTAAACATTGGCATGCTAATTTTAAAATTACCACAGTAAGCTTCCTAGGGTAGAGGCAACAAGGTAATAACTATAGTTTTCTAAACATCACATATTATTTTACTTATTTTTTGATTAAGATACTGCCTGATTGTCCTACCTCTGTTTTACTTAAAAGTCTGAAAGAGCAAGGCTGGACGTGGTGGCTCATGCTTGTAATCCCAGCAGGTTGGGAGGCTGAGCTGGGAGGATCACTTGAGCCCAGGAGTTCGAGACCAGCCTGGAGAACATGGTGAAACTCTGCCTCTACAAAATACAAAAATTAGCTGGGTGTGGTGGCACACACCTATAGTCCCAGCTACCTGCGAGGCTGAGGTGGGAGGATTGCTTGAGCCCAGGAGGTTGAGGTTACAGTGAGCTATGATTGCACCCCTGCACTCCAGCGTGGGCAACAGAATAAGACTCTCTCTAAAATAAAATAAAATAATCTGAAAGAATAAAAGTCTTCAAGCAATGTTAATTATATAGGAGAAGTGTTTATGTGTACATTTTTATTCTTAGGGACAAGTCGATATTTTCAGAGTAGAAAGAAACAGAGCATTCTTTTTTATTTTCATAAATTACATTTCTGAAGGTTTCATTAAAGTTAATCTAAGCCAAACTTTCTTCGTTGCCCTCATTTTACTTCATGTATCTGGCCAGAAGAATTTTGTTGTTGTTTTTAGAGTCACTGATTTTTAATAATTTTTTTTAGTTAATTTGAAATTATTTAGTATATTTTGGTCCTCCTAACATTCAAAGCATTGAAACCACTTATAATTCCTGAAAGTAACATCACATTGCATCAAAATCTAACCTAAATCCAATGTAGAGAAGTGGCGTTCCCTTCTCTTTTTTCCACAGGAAGTTATACCTCTAAGGACAGAAGCATTTGGAAGTAATATATTTGAATGACAATATTGATACTTTTGACTCTTCTACTGTCTTTTTATATATATGTACTTTGATAGCTAGGGATACACTAAAGCAATTAGTCTCTTGTAGATAAATTAAAGGATTTGTTTTCAAAAACATATTTAATCAGATAATTTTTTACAAGAATATCTAAAAATAAAACGGACATAAACATTTTTTAAAATTCTTAATGGAAAACAAGATTTATTCCAGTGTGAACATCTACACCAAACAGTTATATTTAGGAAAACTAGTAATTAAGCTTGATACTAAGTCATACAATAAAACTTGTAGGGAGTTGGTCTTACCTAATAAAATTTTTAGGACTTTTAATTCTTAAATATGGAGACAAATATCTTCCGGGAAATTGGAAGAAAAGTTATTTATGGGATTATGGAAACTGTACTCACTCCACAGTTATGTAAGCGATTAAAGCAAAATCTTATTTCATTGCTAAAACCTTTTTATATTTTCCAGTCATAGTCACAAAAAGGGAGATAGGAGATGTCTGGGTGACATTTTTCTGCTAGGCTTGGAATGCATATAGCAGACAGTATGAATTTTAGTTACAGACATTTATAATTGGGTGACTAGAGACTATAACATTGAAATAACTTTTTAGTGACTGTATATATATTAGCAAAATGAATAGATTATTTTTCTGCTTCTAGCTTTTCAATTAAAAATAAAGACACAGGAAATCCTTCGAATATACTTTGTTCCAATTGAGTTTATTTCTTTGATTGCGAAATTAATTGTTCTGCAGGTTTTTGTTTAATTTTTTTGTGGCTTAAAACAGTAAACATTTATTATCTCATAGTTTCTTTTTTTATTATTATACTTTAAGTTCTAGGGTACATGTGCACAACGTGCAGGTTTGTTACATACGTATACATGTGCCATGCTGGTTTGCTGCACCCATCAACTCGTCATTTACATTAGGTATTTCTCCTAATGCTATCCCTCCCCTAGGCCCCCACCCCAGAACAGGCCCCAGTGTGTGATGTTCCCTACCCTGCGTCCACATGTTCTCATTGTTCAATTCCCACCTATGAGTGAGAACATGCGGTGTTTGGTTTTCTGTCTTTGTGATAGTTTGCTGAGAATGATGGTTTCCAGCTTCATCCATGTCCCTGCAAAGGACATGAACTCATCCTTTTTTATGGCTGCATAGTATTCTATGGTGTATATGTGCCACATTTTCTTAATCCAGTCTATCATTGATGGACATTTGGGTTGGTTCCAAGTCTTTGCTATTGTGAATAGGCTGCAATAAATATACGTATGCATGTGTCTTTATAGTAGCATGATTTATAATCCTTTGGGTATATACCCAGTAATGTGATGACTGGGTCAAATGGTATTTCTAGTTTTAGATCCTTGAGGAATCGCCACACTGTCTTCCACAATGGTTGAACTAATTTATACTCCCACCAACAGTGTAAAAGCGTTCCTGTTTCTCTACATCCTCTCCAGCTTCTGTTGTTTCCTGACTGTTTAATGATCACCATTCTAACTGGTGTGAGATGGTATCTCATTGTGGTTTTGATTTGCATTTCTCTGATGACCAGTGATGATGAGCATTTTTTCATGTGTCTGTTGGCTGCATAAATGTCTTCTTTTGAGAAGTGTCTGTTCATATCCTTTGCCCACTTTTTGATGGGGTTGTTTGTTTTTTTCTTGTAAATTTGTTTAAGTTCTTTGTAGATTCTAGATATTAGCCCTTTGTCAGATGGGTAGATCGCAAAAATTTTCTCCCATTCTGTAGGGATGGGAGCCTACAGAATGTTCTGTAGGCTGTTCACTCTGATGGTAGTTTCTTTTGCTGTACTGAAGCTCTTTAGTTTAATTAGATCCCATTTTTCAATTTTGGCTTTTGTTGTCATTGATTTTGGCGTTTTAGTCATGAAGTCCTTGCCCATGCCTATGTTCTGAATGGTATTGCCTAGGTTTTCTTCTAGGGTTTTTATGGTTTTAGGTCTAAGATTTAAGTCTTTAATCCATCTTGAATTAATTTTTGTATAAGGTGTAAGGAAGGGATCCAGTTTCAGCTTTCTACATATGGCTAGCCAGTTTTCCCAGCACCACTTATTAAATAGGGAATTCTTTCCCCATTGCTTGTTTTTATCAAGTTTGTCAGGTTTTGTCAGGTTTTGTTTTTGTCAGGTTTGTCAATTAGTTGTTCTGCAGGTTTTTGTTTAATTCTTTTAAAATTTTTGTTTATTGTCTGCTTGTCTTGGTTGTATTTGTCTTTTTAATTGATTTGTATGGGCTTTTAAATATATAGTGTGGATAGTAATCCTTTATAATACATATCATTAAAACCTTGTTGTTTGTCATTAAATTCTTTAATTTCTTTTTTAGCTTTAAATATCTTAATTTATCAAAATAATTCTTATACATAATTAAATAATGTTAGAATGGTTATAATGAAAAAACAACAGCTCCCTTCACTATACTACTCCTCCTTTCTTCCCAGTCCCACATCCCCAGAGGCTTCGCAGGTCTTTGATTTATTTTTCTGATATTTATTGTCATTTCTAATTGTGGTGAAACATGCATAACAAAATTTAGGTTTTTTTTTTTTTTTTTTTTTTTCTGAGATGGAATTTTACCCTTGTTGCCCAGTCTGGAGTGCAATGGTGTGATCTTGGCTCACTGCAACCTCTGCCTCCCGGGTTCAAGTGATTCTCCTGCCTCAGCCTCCTGAGTAGCTGGGATTGCAGTCATGTGCCACCACACCCGGCTAATTTTGTATTTTTAGTAGAGATGGGGTTTCTCCAGGTTGGTCAGGCTGGTCTTGAACTCCCGACCTCAGATGATCTGCCCGCCTTGGCCTCCCAAAGTGCTGGGATTACAGGCGTGAGCCACTGCGTTCGGCCTTAGCATTTTTTGTGTGTGTACAATTAAGTACATTCACAATGTTAGACAACCAAGACCACTATCTATTTTCAGAACCTTTCATCATACCAAATAAGAACTCTGTTCCCACAAAATAACTCCCCAGATTCCTTTTCCCCATTTCCTGTTACCCTCTAGTATTCTTTCTGTCTCTGTGAATTTGGCTATTGTAGCTACTTCATATAAGTGGAATCATACAGTATTTGTCCTTTGTTTCTGATTTATTTCATTAGCCATAATGTTTTCAGGGTTCGTCCATCTTGTAGCATACATCGGAATCCTTTTTATGGCAGAATAATATTTCATTTTATATATATATATATATATATATATATATATATATATATATATATATATATAATCTCACATTTGCTTATCCATTCATCTGTCGATGGGTATTTGGATTGTTTCTACCTTTTGCCTGTTGTGAATAATGCTGCTATGAACGCTGGTGTACAAATATCTATTTGTGACCTTGCTTTCAATTCATTCGGATATATACCTAGAAATGTAATTTCTGGATCTTGTGATAATTCTAAATGTAACTTCTTTTTTTGAGATGGAGTCTCACTCTGTCACCCAGGCTGGAGTGCAGTGGCATCATCTCAGCTCATTGCAACCTCCGCTTTCCAGGTTCCAGTGATTCTCCTGCCTTAGCCTCCCGAGTAGCTGGGATTACAGGTGTCCGCCAACATGTCTGGCTAATTTTTGTGTATTTTTAGTAGAGACAGGGTTTCACCATGTTGGCCAGGCTGGTCTTGAACTCCTGACCTCAGGTGATCTGCCTGCCTCGGCCTCCCAAAGTGCTGGGATCACAGGCGTGAACCACCACGCCCAGCCTAAATTTAACTTTTTGAAGAACCACCAAACTGTTTTTTTTATAGTCAATGCATAATTTAGATTCCCATCAGCAGTGCACAAGGATTCCAATTTTTCCACATTTTTGCCAATACTTGTTATTTTATGTTTTTTTTGATAATAGCCTTTCAAATGGGTATAAAGTGTAGTATCTCCTTGTGGTTTTGATTTGCAGTTCCCTGATGACTAGTGATGTTAAGTATATTTTCATGTGCTTATTAGTAATTCAGACATCTTCTTTAGAGAAATGCCTATTCAAATTCTTTGCGCATTTTTGCATTGAGTCATTTTTAGTATATTCACAAAGTTGTGTAATCATCACCACTGTCTAATTCCAGAATATTTTTCTGACCCCAAAAAGAAACTCCTAACTCATTAACAGTCACTGCCTACTCTTACCTGCTATTCCCTAGTATCCACTAATCTGCTATTTCTATAGATTTGCCTTTTCTGAACATTTCATCTAAATTGAATCATACAATATGTGACTTTTTGTGTCTGGCTTTTTCACATAGTGTAATGTTTCCATGTTCAGCATTATAGGATGAATTAATACTTTATTCCTTTTTATGGCTGAATAACATTCCTTTTACTTTCAACCTATTTGTGTCTAAATTTAAAGTGTGTCTCTTATAGACAGCATATAGTTGGAGCATTTGAAAAATTCATTCTGCTTATCTCTGCCTTTTAACTTGAGTGTTTACTCCATTTACGTTTAATGTAATTAGTGCTAAGGTAGTGTTTACAAATGCCACTTTGCTGTTTGTTTTCTGTATATCTGGTGCCTTTTCCCCCTCTATTTCTCTATCATTGCCTTTTGAATCTAATAGATAGATATTTTCTAGTGTGCCATTTAAATTTTTCTAATGTGTCACTTTAATTCCCTTGGCTTTTCTTTTACTGTGTATTTTTTAGTTATTTTCTTAGTGGTTGTCCTAGGAATTATATTTAACATCTTATGTAGTTTGGATTAATACTAATTTAATTTTCAATAGAATGCAGAAGCTTTAATCCTATGTAGCTGTTTTTTTAATCCTACCTTCTTTGTGTCATTATTATAAAAATTACATCTTTACACATTGTATGTCTCTCAACACAGATTTACAATTATTACCTTTTGCAACTGACTTTCAAATCAGATAAAAAAAATTAAAAACAGAATACATTTTATATTGTCTTTTGTATCTATGTTAAAACACATTTTATACTGTCTTTTATAACTACCTTGTAGTTATCTTGACCAGTGCTCTTTAATTAATTCTTAATGTGGACTTGAGTTACTCTCCAATGTCCCTAAAAACTTATTCTTAAATAGAATCTGAGCCTTGCAGCTGTCTCTCTCTGTTGTAATCCTCTGCTGTTATACTGGAGCCCTGTTGATGTGGTGGTAAGGTATGGGGAACAGGAAGCATCTTCTAATCCTATGATTATGTCTCAGTCTTTTAGCATGACTGTGTCCCTTGCCTGTGACCTTCACAAGTGTTTCTGAGCTCTTCATTCATATCATAAGATTAGATGGCAGGGAGCTGCAGTTTAGGAAATGATCCCTTCCCTCATGTTGGATAAGGATCTGGTAAAATCTTCCTTACTGGCAGACTGGCCATTGTTTTAGAGAATGCGTTGAACGTATTTCAAAATGGTTGTTTTTTTCCCTCCTCCTGCCCGAAACAGTAGGGTTTTTCTTGGCTCTTTACTGTGGGAACCTGGTGGGATTTTTAGAGGTAATGTCTTAAAAATTGTGGGCCCCCTGGCAAGACTGCAGCCCCTAGGAGTTTCTCACTTATAAACTAGTTCACATTTTATCTCCAGCAATTCATCAATATTATCTTTTAACTATTTCTGTCAATTTATGTTTTAGTGGCCGCTGTCCCAGTAAGCATATCTTGATTCTCTGTATTTACCTGTCTCTCCAGATTTCAGGGTGGCAGTTTGCCTTGTGACCTCAGTTCTCAGATGGATCCCAGAAAAGTAATTGATTTTTAGTTTGTTTAACTTTTTTCTGTTGTAAAACAGGTGTGATGACTTCCAGTTCTTTACATATTGGAGCTGAAATCAGAAGTCCAATAAAATTGGCAAAAATAAATTTGCTACTGAGTTTCAGAATCTAGTCATAAGAGCAAACTAGCACATTATTATAATCTTTTGTCAGTACCGTTGTCAATTCTCACATAGTACAGTGACTACAGTTATTAAATGTATTAATATTATGCCATCTAGTTTTCATTTCAGAGGGGTTTGATACTGACCATGCAGAAGACAGAAAGCCTACATTAGAATTCATTTCAGGGGGACATGAGGAACCAGGATTGAAATATAATTAGATGGGTTGTATTAGTTCTATGTTGCTGCATAACAAATTACCACAAAATTAGCACCGTAAAACAGTACACATTTATCATCTTACTCTTTCTGTGGGTCAGGAGTCTGGGCATGGCTTATCTGGGTTTTTCTTCTCAGTGTATTACAAGGCTCCCAGCAGAGTCAACTGGGGTTGTGGTCTCACTAAAGGCTTGACTGGGGAAAGATTAGCTTCCAGGGTCCCTCAGTTTGTTTGCAGAATTTATCCCTTGTAGTCGTAGGACTGAGTGAGATACCCAGTCTTTTGCGGGCTGTTGGCTAAGGATGACTCTTAGGTCTTAAAGGTTGCATTCAGGTCCTAGTCATATCGCCCTCTCAACAACGTGGCAGCTTATTACTACTACTACTTTTTTTTTTCCTTCTTCAAAGCCAACAAAGGTGTCTCTTCTGTAGGGGTGCATTGTATCTTTTAAGGACTTTTACCTGATT
Organism: Homo sapiens; assembly: GCF_000001405.40. Lineage (NCBI taxonomy): Eukaryota > Metazoa > Chordata > Mammalia > Primates > Hominidae > Homo > Homo sapiens. The sequence goes on along the minus strand of NC_000017.11, from coordinate 61,768,872 downwards.
AAGTCAGGTCCACCCAAGATAATCTCCCTTTTGATTAACTCAGAATCAATTGAGGTAGACCTTAATTACGTTCATAAAATCCCCTCATCTTTACTACATAATATAATCTAATCATGGAAGTAAAGTCTTATTTTTATCTCACAACGGGGAGAAGTTTATGCAGGTTGTATATAGGGAGTAGGAATCTTAGGGGCTATCATAAACTTTTTATCACAGGGGTTAATTTATCAGGGTAAGAAAAAGGTTAGGAAGAACCATTAGAATAAAGATTTGTGACTATGGCATATGAAAATATTAATAGAAGTGAAATGATATTTATGAAATTTAGGTAGCAAAGGCATCACAACTGCACATAATAATCTTTCCATAAATGCTTGATGAATAAACACACGAATGGATGGAGACTAACTCTTATTGTTCCAAGTCTTTCTTACTGCCTTTGAAGTTAGAGGTATTTTAGAACTGCAAACTAAAATTCCTGTGATTTCCCGTAGAGCAATACAGCCTAATTCCATATACTAATACTTATTTTGTATTGAGAAAGAACTTTAAATATCTTTAGTTGAATTTCTTTAAAATACCAAAATATTTATATTGAGAGCCTTGCTTATATTATATTTAAGATCTTCCTGAGAAATCTCATAACTTTACTTCACATTTATTTTTATTTACTTAATCCATTGAAGAAATCATTATTGAGTACATACTTTGTGCGGAGGACTGCACTAAGTCCTGTTAAAGATTCAAAAATAAACAAGTTACTGTCTCTTCAAGAAGATTTCAGTTTGGGTTGTGGTATAAAATAAGTGTACACATCCTTGCATTATTTGACAAAATTTGTAATCATTAGAGAGATTAAGAAGAATGATAATGGAATTAAGAGTAGGAAGAGATCACATGTGATTGAATGAAGCAGAGGAGTTTCCTAGAGGAGGTGGTTGATATTTCAGTGGGTATTAAAGAAAGGTGGATAGATTTCTACTGGTAGATGTGGGAGTGAGGAATATAATATTCTGGACCAAGGAGACATGTATTAGCAAAGGCACAGAAAATATTTTCATAATCACAGAGTTTAGCTTGGCATGTGTGAAAATGTAATGTAAAGACTGGTTGCAGAGTTTCATAAAAGAAACATAGGATAAGGGCCAGGTGCGGTGACTCACACCTGTAATCCCAGCACTTTGGGAGGCCAAGGTGGGTGGATTGCCTGAGCTCAGGAGTTTGACATCAGGTTGGGCAACATGGTGAAACCTCATCTCTACTAAAAATCAAAAAGAAAGAAAGAAACATATGGTAGAAGTCTAGGCCCAGTGCAGAAGCCTATAATCCCAGCAATTTGGGAGGCTGAGATAGGAGGATCACTTGAGGCCAGATGTTCAAGACCAGCCTGGGTAACATAGAGAGACCCAGTGTTTAAAAAAACAAAACAAAAAATATCAGCCAGGTGTGGTGTTGTGAGTCCCAGCTACTTAGGAGGCTGAGATGGGAGGATCGCTTGAGCCCAGAAGTTTGAGGCTGCAGTGAGCTGTGATCACACCACTGCACTCCAGCTTGGCCAATAGCAAGACCCTATCTCTAAAAAAGAAAAATATATGTCTAAAGTTTTTCAAACCATACATTTTAGTGGTCATTTCTTCCCCCTTATATTTAATGGCCAGTTTTCTTCCTGTACTAGATAATTGGAATGGGTGATTTACTCAAAACTTTACTCTTTCACTGAGTAAAAACTAATATTCTTTTGATGTAAACTGCAGCATTTGTTTAAGGGTAAGAGTGAGAACGTTGTTCATCTAGTTTTTTTCCCCACATTCTTTCAGACCAATAGTTTATGGTAACTAGGAGGAATGCCATTCTTCCACTAAGATAAATTTGATTTTGACTCTGTTGTTATTTAAGTAGTAGCAGCATTGCTTTAGAACTCTCTGAAATTCATTTTTATGGGTAGAAGAGTTTCTAAACTCTTTATATGGACAGAGAAGTTTCTGTCCATATAAAGAGAATAGAAACTTTTCTATTAAATCATTTTGAAAAGAGACTCTCTGGTGCCAAAGTAACAAGTTGGATCTTTTTATTCATACAATACAGACTTCGACTTAAAAAAAAATACATCTTTATGAGTAATATGTATAAACCATTTTCCCTGAGGGCATATTTTACATTCATCACTGAATGTCAGATGAGGAATAAAATGCAAACATTCCTGTTCACTCTCTAGCTGTAGTTTTTTAAAGTATTGTTCAGCACTAAATTTGTATGTTAAGAAATTTGCAGTGCTACTAGTTTGTTTTGGTTCTCATTTTTAAAGCTGTACCGCACTTAACCTAAAGGAGAAACTAAATTGCTACATTAAAAAGTGTTTTTTTTCCCCTCGTGTAGAAGGCTGAAATTTCTATAGATATAAATTTGCTTTAAGTGATCAACTGAGCCTTTTGAAGAAATATTTTTTTCTACAGTGTTAAATAGAAAGAATCATTATGCCATTGAGGCTTTGGGATGTGGTAGAGAGGTTGTATATCTCTCAGGTTAGATGTAGTTCTTGAGAACTTCTGCTCTTGGTTATTAAACAAAAAGTATTCCTTTGTTTGTTCCTTTGTTTATTCATTTGACAAACATTTACTGGGCACATACTACATTCTGAGTAGACAATTCATATGGCTAAGGTCATACATTTAATTAGTGAAAGCATTTGCCTTAGAACTCCTGATTTTCTAGTTCAATGCTATCCTCGTAATAGTATTCTACTGTTTGAAATATAGTTGATCTGATAAATATTAATTTGACCTATTATTTTTATTTAGAACAATATGCACTTATATAAAAATACCTACATATTGGTATACCTATATTTATGTTTGCTTTTCACATTTGTTTTTGATTATGAGCTAAACTGTTAGGAAGATAGATATAAGAGCTACTCTGAAAGAGGATGTTAAAAAGCTGCTTTAACAATTGAATGAAAATAGTAGGGCAGTTGGAAAGTAACAATTTAATAACCAAGTTGTTTTTTGCTCTGTGTGTGTGTGTGTGTGTGTGTGTGTGTGTGCATGAATATAGTCATTTATGTACTTTCTATAAATAACATGAATATATTTGTATCACATCTGGTTTCAAAAAAGCTTTATAAAAATATATTGATTAGGCTGGGCATGCTGGCTCATGCCTGTAATCCCAGCACTTTGGGAGGCCAAGGAGGGTGGATCACCTGAGGTCAGGAGTTCAAGACCAGCCTGGCCAACATGGTGAAACTCCGTCTGTACTAAAAATTCAAAATTAACCGGACATGGTGGCACATGCCTGTAATCCCTGCTAATTGGGAGGCTGAGGCAGGAGAATTGCTTGAATCCAGGAGGCGGAGGTTGCAGTGAGCCAAGATCACGCCATGCACTCCAGCCTGGGCAATAAGAGTGAAACTCTGTCTCAAAAAAAAAAAAAAAAAAAAAAAAAAAAAATATATATATATATATATATATATATATATATATATATATATATAATATATACACACACACACACACACATACATATGTATGTGTATATGTGTATGTGTGTGTTTATGTATGTATATGTATTATAATTTTTAAGTGAAAAATCTAGGGAGAATAAAGGCAGAGAAGTTAAGATTAAACTAGAGTCAAGGATGTCCAGGTAACTTAGTTTGAGAAGGCAGTGTCTTGGTCAATTTTTTGATGCTATAACAGAATACCACAGACTGGACAGAAAGAAAATAAATTTATTTCTCACAATTCTGGAGACTAAGAAGTCCAAGTATCAAGTTGCCAGCATCTAGTAAGGGCCTTCTTGCTCCATCATCTCGAGGTGAAAGGTGAAAGGGCAAGTGACACAGAAAGAAAAAGCTCCTTTATTTTTTAAAGGCATTAAACCCATCCATGAGGACAGAACCTTTCTGGCCTAATGGTCTCTTAAATGCTGCACCTGTTAATACTGTTACAATGACAATTACATTTTAACATGACTTTGGGAGGGGACATTCAAACCATAGCAGGCAGGGATCAAGTAGCAAATTTAGAAGCTGAATTCATCCTAACTCCCTGTGCTCCCCCCACCCCCTTAGTTCTAAACTATTTTTCATGGATGTAAGGATAAATATAGGAAGCACTTTTGGGAAATGACAGACAAATTAGTTAAATATAACTTATGATTAATTTACTGTACATTTTACATATTAAAGCAATTTTTGAGCTTGATATGGACTAGAAAAACTTGGAGGTTCTAGTTGTTTCATCTTGGTTACAATCTTTAATATCTACCCAGTTAATCTTCATAATAGCAACCAATTGATTTTCCTTTTTGGCTGACAGTTTCATATTGGCACCTTTTGAATTTAGATGATTTGTGTGGTGTCAGGAGGGACGTTAACTTGATGCAGTGGTAGTCTCCAAATATACTTATCCCAGAGGTCATGGGACAAAAAAGTGACACCACATTGGGATGCTTGAATCATATAGTTTAGTAAAGATAGTTAAAACACACAGTGGGAGGCAAGGGGAGAGAGTTGAGGGTAGGTTAACATGTGAATACAATGTAAGTGGGTGGAAGGACCACACTACCTAAATCCTGGGCTGTGCAATGTTTATGTCTTGTCTTTCTCTTTTCCACATCAGCTCTCCTTTGCTGATGGTGTGCTTACAGAGACTAGAAATGAGGTTTATGCAAGGGGACCCAACAGATGCACAATTGACACACTTTATTAGAGTAAGGCCAGCGCAAATGCACTTGGCCACAGCTGTAGTCCATCAGTTTGCCTGCTGAGCTACAATGTATTTTATTTGCCTTTCTTGGGCAGAGGATACATGGAGCCAGAATGGGTGTCACCAATGGGTGGCTGAATAAGATTTTATGGATATTGGGTAGTATTTTATATGCCTCAGATATATTTAATGTATCTTGGATATTTGATACCTCATGTATATGTAGTGTATCTTGAATATCTAGTGTCTTTCCATCCTTTTTCATCTATGTTCATAGAGAAATGCTGTACTTACTTTATCTCTTTAATATGGCTTACACAGGTTTCTAACTTCTAGCTACGATTTTAACATTTTAAGAGTTTCACCCATCTATTTGGGTTCTTGTATTTTATATATTCTCAAATATACAGCAGATGCAAATTATAGAAGCGAACTCTCCCAATCTCTAGCCTTCGATTTTAAGATATCTAGTTAACTCAAGGGTTATTGCATTTTTGAAAAGTCTTTCAAAAGATACATCAGTCTCTACAGGACATGGTGAATGAATGGTTAGAGCTCATATCAGTGCGTTGGTTGTTTGCCTTTGTACAAAGTACTATTTCTGAGGAGTTTTTAGAAATAAGATTCACCTTGCTTGCCTAGTGTAGATAATGTTAGCTTGAAGTCATGCTAACATGAGAGATCATAAAGGAAAAAAGTCATCAAGGAAAAGATTCTACAGATAGCAGCTCAATGTAGAGAATACCATAGGTCACATGGTATTTTTTATACCAGTTTTAGGTTCACAGCAAAATTGAGTGGACAGTATAGACAGCTCTCATATACCCCTTTACCCGACACATGCACAACCTTCCCCACATTCCCATACCAGCTGCCCTGTGTCTGGACTTCTGACCTACAGAGACTGTGAGATAATAAATGGGTATTTCTTTTCATGCTACAACATGGATGAATCTGGAGGACATTAGACTAAGTGAAATAAGCTCGTCATAAAAACGGCAAATACACTATTACACTTATATGAGGTACTTAGAGTAGTCAAATTCAGAGATAGAAAGTAGAAGGGTGGTTGCCCCAGACTCTGGTAACTACCATTTTACTGTCACTTCTTTGAGTTCAGTTGTTTTAGATGCCACGTAAAGTAAGGGCATGAGACATTTATCTTTCTGTGCCTGGCTTATTTCACTTAGCATAATGTTCTCCAATTCCAGCCAAATGAACAATGCTACAGTGAACGAGGGAGTGTAGATATTTCTTCTGCAAACTGACTTCAAATTTTAGGGGTAAATACTCAGAAGTGAGATTGCTAGATCATAAGGTAATTCTGTTTTGAGTGTTTTGAGTAATGTCCATTCAGTTTTTTATAATGGCTGTACTAATTTACATTCTTACCAACAGTGTCCAAGGCTTCCCTTTTCTCCACATCCTCACCAACACTTTGTTATCTTTCATCTTTTTGACAGTAGCCATTGTTACAGGCATAAGGTAATGTTTCATCATGGTTTTAATTTGTATTTCCCTAATGATTAGTGATTTTGAGCATTTTTTCATGTATCTGTTGGTCATTTGTTGTCTTCTTTTAGAAATGTCTATTCAAATCCCTTGCCCATTTTTAAATTGAGTTATTTGTGTTCTTGCTAATGAGTTGTTTGAGTTTCTTATATATTTTGGACATTAACTCCTTATTGGATATATAGCTTGTAAATATTTTCTCCCAATCTGTAGGTTGCCACTTTGTTTATTGTTTTCTCTTTGTTGTAATTGCATTGGCCTATTTTTGCTTTTGTTGCCTGTGCTTTTGGGATCAAATCCAAAAAATCATTGCCTAAACCAATGTTATGTAGTTTTCCCCCCTCTGTTTTCTTCTAGTAGTTTTACAGTTTCAGTTCTTGGGTTTAAATCTTTAATTCATTTTGAGTTTTTTTTTAAATATTGTGAGATAAGGGTCCATTTTCATTCTTCTGCATGTGGATATCTAATTTTCTTAGCACCATTTTTAGAGAGTCTTTTTTTCCCATTGTGTATACTTGGCACCTTTGTTGAAAATCAGTTGAGCACATACATGGGTTTCTTTCTGTGCTCTTTGTTTCGTTGGTCACTGTGGCTGTTTTTTATGCCAATACCATGCTGTTTTAATTACTATAGCTTTGCAGTGTGGTTTGGAATCAGGTCGTGTGATGCCTCCATTTTTGTTCTTTTTACTCATGACTGCCATGGCTATTCAAAGCTTCTTGTGGCTCTATATGAAATTTAGGATTCTTTTTTCTATTTCTATGAAAAATGACATTGGAATTTTGATAGAGATTACATTGAATCAATATGTCACTTTGGGTAATATGAACATTTTAACAATATTCTTCCAGTCTATGAGCAAAGAATATCATGCTATTTACTTGTATCTTCTACAATTTCTCTCATCAACATTTTATAGATTTCAGCGTACAAGCCTTTCTTCACCTTGGTTAAATTTCTTTCTTTCTTTCTCTCTCTTTTTGGTAGCTATTGTAAAAGGAGTTCTCTTAATTTCTTTTTTGGATAGTCTGTTATTAGTATATAGAAATGCTACTGATTTTTTGTGTGTTGATTTTGTATCCTGCAAGTTTACTGTATTTATTCATTTATTAGTTCTAACAGTTTTTTGTTGTAGTCTTTAGGGGTTTCTATATATAAGATTATGTCTTCAGCAAACAGGGGCAGTTTCACTTTTTTCTTTTCTATTTGGATGCTTTTTATTTCTTTCTCTTTCTAAATTTTTCTGGCAAGGACTTCAGTACTGTGTTAAGTGGACATAGTGAAAGTGGGCATCCTTGTCTTGTTCCAGATCTTAGAGGTAAGGCTTTCAATTTTTTCACCATTGAATATAATGTTAAGTGTGGTCTTATCATATTTGGCCTTTATTGGCCAAATATGCAGTACATTTCTTCTATACCTAATTTAGTAAAAGTTTTTCTCAGGAAAGGATGTTGAATTTTGTCAAATGATTTTTCTACATCTAATGAGATGATCATATGGTTTTTGTCCTTCATTCTATTAATGTGCTGTATACATTTATTGATTTACATATGTTGAACTATCTTTCCATCCAGTGATAAATCCCATTTGATCATGTTGAATTGTTCTTTTAATGTGTTGTTGAATTTGGTTTGCTAGTATTTTGTTGAGGATTTTTGCTTTTCTATTTATCAAGGATATTGGCCTACAGTTTTCTTTTCTTGTATTGTCCTTATCTGGCCTTGGTATCAGGGTGATAATGCTGGTCATGTAAAAAGAATTTAGAAGTATATCCTCCTTTTCAACTTCTTTGAAAGCATTTGAGAATGATTGGTATTAGTTCTTTAACTGTTAGGTAGAATTCAGCAGTGAGCCAACAGGTCTTGGGCTTTTCTTTGATTGGAAAGAACTCATTATTGGTCTGTTTAAATTTTCTATTTCTTTATGATGCAGTCTTGGTAGGTTGTATGTGTCTAGGAATTTATCCATTTCTTCCAGGTATCCAGTTTATTTTGTTGGCATATAATTGTAATAGTCACTTTGATCCTTTGTATTTCTGTGGTATCAGTTATAATATCTCCTCATTTGTTTCTCATTTTATTTGAATATTCTCTTTTTTTCTTGTTAATCTAGCTAAAGGTTTGTTGATTTCATTTATCTTTTCAAAAACCAATTCATAGTTTTGTTGATCTTTGTGTTGTTTTCCTAGTCTCTACTTTATTTATTTATTCTCTGATCTTTATTACTTCTTTCCTTCTGTTAATTTTGGGCTTAGTTCTTCTTTTTCTAGATCCTTGAGGAGTAATGTTATTTATTTGGGATCTTCTTTTTTGATGTAGGCATTTGTTATTGTAAACTTTCCTCTTAGGACTACGTTTGCTGCATCCCTTAAGTTTTGGTATGTTGTGTTTCCATTTTTGTTTGTCTCAATATATTTTTTTTAAATTTCCCTTTTAATTTCTTCATTGCCCCCTTGGTTGTTTGGTTGTTCAGGAACATGTTGTTTAATTTCCATATATTTGTGAATTTTCCCAAATTTTCCTGTTACTCATTTCTAGTTTTATACCATTGTGGCCAGCAAAGATACTTGATATGATAACAAACTTAAATTTGTTAAAACTTGTTTCATGGCCTAATATATAATCTATCCTGGAGACTATTTTATGGTATTTGAGAAGAATGTGTATTCTGTTGCTCTTGAATGGGATATTCTGTACAGGAATACCTTATTTTATTGTGCTTTGCTTTATCGCACTTTGCAAATATTCTGGGTTTTTTTTTTTTCATAAATTAAAGGTTTGTGGCAACCCTGTGTCAAGCAAGTCTATTGTCACCATTTTTCCAATACTATGTACTCACTTCATGTCTCTGTGTCAGCATTTTTTTAGCAATAAAGTATTTTAAAATTAAGGTATGTATTTTTTTAGACATAATGCCACTTGTACACATAATAGACTGCAGTATAGTATAAACATTAACCGTTTATATATGATGGGTAACAAAAATGTATGACTCACTTTATTGTGATATTTGCTTTATTGTGGTGGTCTGAAACTGAACCTACAATATCTCCAAGGTATGCCTGTAAATGCCTGTTAGGTCCATTTGGTCTAAATTTATTCAAGTCCAATGTTTTTAAATATATTTTCTGTCTGGATGATTTGTTCATTGTTGAAAGTGGGGTATCAATGTCTCCTACTATTATTGTATTAGAATCTATCTCTCTTTTCAGATCCTTTAATACTTGCTTTATATATTTAGGTACTTTGATGTTAGGTGCATGTGTATTTACAATTGTTATATCCTCTTGATGAATTGACCTTTTTTTGTTAAATAATGTTCTTCGTTGTTTCTTTTTACAGTATTTGACTTAGTCTATTTTGTCTTATGTAAGTATAGATAACCCCACTCTCTTTTGGTTTCCATTTTGTTGAATAGCTTTTTTCAGCTGCTCACTTTCAGCCTCTGTGCATCCTTAAAAGCAAATCTCTTGTAGGCAGCATATAGTTGGATCTTCTTTTCTTACTCTTTCTAAATTGCTCTGGGAATTAAGACTCTATGTCTTTTTGCTAGAGTGTAATTCATTTACATTCAAGGTAGGTATTGAAAGGTAAAGAGTTATTACTGCCATTTATTTATTTATTTATTTATTTATTTATTTATTTATGACAGGGTCTTGCTCTGTCACCCAGGTCAGAGTGCAGGGGTGTGATCATAGGTCACTATAACCTTGAACTCCTGGGTTGAAGGGATCAACCTCAGCCTCCTGAGTAGCTGGTACTACAGGCATGTGCCACCACACCCAGATACATTTTTTAAAAACTTTTTTTTTTTTAGAGATAGGGTCTTGCTGTTTTGCCCACACTGGTCTTAAACTCCTGGCTTCAAGCAATCCTTTGGCCTCAAGCAATCCTTCTGCCTCAGCCTCCTAAAGTGCTGGAATTACAGGCATGAGTGACCACGCCCACCCAGCATTGTGAATTATTTTCTAGTTGTTGTGTAGGTACTTTGTTTCTTTATTTCTCTTGCTGTCTTCCTTTGTGATTTGATGGTTTCCTGTAGTGGTATGCCTTGAGGCCTTTCTATGTTTGTTATGCACTGCACTGTAATTTAAATATTTTTCTTTTGGATCTTATTCACTAGATTGTGAAGCGATGCTTTCTCCAAAAAATTTCTTTCAAGTTTTAGAGCAACAAATTTACAGCAGATTCAGATGGCAATACTTGAAAGTAGTAACTTTTAGGTAACATTATAGTGGTTGCTTCTTATTCATCTGCTTCCCTCAGCCTGAATTCTAATAGTGCAAGAGCACTGACTTCATTATAGTTTAATTATTAGCCCATTTACAGAAGTATAGAAAACGAGTTGCCTTTTTCGCCTACAGTTAATCTATTCAGGAAAAGAATGAAACATATAGTTGAATTTGTGTGAATAAGTTTATACATTCAGATTTTAGCCAACATTATTAACTCAGTCAACAGTTCTTCATTTTTAAAAAGCAAAACAAGTCAGATTATATACATTTTAACTAAATGATTACTTTAGACATTGATGAATTAACTGTTGATGAAACAACAGTAATTCAGAATTTATGTTTCAAAGAGTTAAGAATTTGTTCCATACATAACATAGTATTGAGTTCTTATTGTTTTCTTTTCTTTTTTCTCTTTTTTTTTTTCAAGACAGTGTCTCATTCTGTTGCCCAGGCTAGAATGTGGTGGTACAATCACTGGCTCACTGTAGTCTTTACCTCCCTGGCTCAGGTGATCCTCCCACTTCAGCCTCCTGGGTAACTGGGACTACAGGAACATACCACCATGCCCAGTTATTTTTTTTGTAGAGATGGGGTTTAGCCATGTTGCCCAGGCTGGTCTTGAAATCCTGAGCTCAAGAGATCTGTCTGCCTTGGCCTCCCAAAGTGCTGGGATTACAGGTGTGAGCCACCGCGTCTGGCTTTTATTGTTTTCTTTTCACATGATTTCAGGAAAGTAGAATTTCATGTGTAAATATGTTAGTTGTTTTACAAATGTCATTTTTTGAAGTTTTTTGCATTGTAAATATCATTGTATATTTTTATCAGAATGTATCAAGAAGTAACTGTAAATCAGGTGTCACTAGTGCATTACTGCACTAGTAGTGCAGCTCTGACATTTTCAGAGTCCTCAGTATTTTAACTAATTTATGAGAGAGAGTGTTCCTTTTCAGAGAGGGCTGTAGGATCTTCATTTCCAGTTAGATTGCCAACAGAGGTCTTACTTTCACTTTAGGGCAGTATTTGTCTATATTATTCCTCCAAGTGCACCTCCAACTGCACCTGTGTTCATTGAAAGTTTGATTCTGAAATATAACCCAGCCTCTTGAGGTGAAAGTGCTGAGTCAAATATCACCAAACAGGAAGCTGTTTCAATAGAAATTCATATTCTTGGTTTTCTTATATTTTCAGTTTGTATTTAGCAAAAATTAAGGACATTCATTTTTACTGTAACTAAAAAAGTTATTTAAAAAACACTACTACTTTTTCATTTTTATTAGTATTTAAAAGGAACTCTTTTTTATTTCTAACATATGCCACATATGGGTACATATCAACTGAATAAAAGAAAGTAAACATTTAAAACATATGAGTACCTCATGAAATGAATAATGAAGAATCATCTTTAGATGGAAAAATATACCAGGTTCTACTTATGAAATAAATTATGTGAGTAAGATTACAAAAGATGGTAGTCTGTTTAGGCAGGCCTATTAAAAGCATTAAGACTTGAGTACTGGCTATTAAAGTGAGTAAATGGCAATATTATAAAGTTAAACACATGCCAAAAAACATTTTCCAGAGGACTGGGATTGTAACAATACCACTAATGAGGGCAAAGAGGTCTTAATGCAATTTGCACTTTCTAAAGTTTCAAAAAGAGGCTTTGAGTTAGTGTATTATTAATGTACTGAACATCTGGAACTGTGTAAAAGCTATGGACATTGAGCAAATGCAGGATTTCCCCACTAGGTTGCATTCTAACTTATTCCCTCCCTAGCGAAATACTAGTTTTAAAGAAGTTTGACAAAGTAAAATGACAATATCCAGATAAGACATGGGCATTCTAAAGTGTCTTTTAGTTTGTGAGATCTGACTTTAAAAAAAATTGCCTCTGAGGTTAACAAATTGAAGTGATGTGAACACCAATTAGTAAATTAAATCATCTCTATCACTATATGTTGGCTGGTCTCCCTATATGAATAGTATTTACCCTTTATGAGCTATTAAGTAGGATATTTTCAACAAAGATACCTCACATTTTTCATATATGTAAGCCATAAGACCTGAGAGACAGCTCTGTGTCATCGTACTTTCCTTTAAGTTAGTTTTTAGGTGCCTAGTTAGGATACCTAAGAGAATTTAACAATTGAGTTATTTTTGTGTTTATTTATGTGATTTCTCTGGCAAGACAGAAATAGTTAAGCTGTCTAAATGTGTAATTCAAGTGTCACCTGCAATGAGAATATAAAAGCTGTAGACCTAAATATTTTGTTATCTGAAACTGAAAATTTGCTGTAGGCCATTTTCACTAAAATAACCAGTATGTTTTTGCTATAGAATTGTACTCCAAATTTGCATGTAGCCCCTGTGTAATCCTTAACAAAAGGTTTTAAGGTACTTTAAAAAAAATCTCCACTGAAGAAATTAAAATAAAACACATTGTGTTCTGTGGAAATGTGTCATAGTCACCAAATTCTCCCTTTTATGAAGTGTTCCTCATAGCTCTTTGCCCGAACTAAAATCCGGATAGACCCAGAGGACATACCACTTCGTCAGACCTTCCAAATTGTGACCATCCTTTCCTCTCGTAACTTGCAGTATCTCAGACTTAGTATCCTATTTACTCTCCATTGTTCTTTCTAAATCTTTACCTGTCTGTTTTCTTCCGGAAGGGAGGGGAGAAGAAAGGAAGGGAGGAAGGAATGAATGAACAAAGTCTCACCAAGAGAAAACTAGTCTAGTCTAGCTAGTCTGTTTGCTCATGTCTTTTAGTCATACCCTTCTTTCCCCCTCATCTTTGTCATCTTACAAAGCATCTGGATACTCTTATTTTTAATATTTTATTTTTATTTGTTTTTTCAGATAGGGTCTCACTCTATCACCCAGGCTGGAGTACGGTGGCATGATCACAGCTCAGTGCAGCCTCAACCTCCAGGGCTCAAGCAGTCCTCCCACCTCAGCCTCCTGAGTAACTGGGATCACAGGCACACACCACCACACCCAGCTAATTTTTGTACTTTTGTAGATACAGGGTTTTGCCAAGTTGCCCAGGCTGGTCTTGAACTCCTGGGCTCAAGTGATCCTCCAGCCTCAGCATCTCAAAGTGCTGGGATTACAGGTGTGGGCCACTGCACCCAGCCAACTCTTCTTTTATTAAGGACTTGGGCATCTGGTTTTACAGTTATGTTTTACCCCTCCCTACTCTCCTCCCTGACCTTCCATTGTTTTGGACCTTCATTTTTCATTCATTTATAAAATTCATTCAAAAAGTATTTACTGACCACTTTCTATATGTAAGGTACTGTTCTATGCACTGGGCAATCAGCAGTAAGTAAAACAGACAAAAATCATTGTCCTTTTGTATTCCAGGGTGAGAGACAGAAAATAAATGAGAGACACAGAAAGCTACTAATATGTTAGATGATATTATGGACTGAATGTTTGTATACCACCAAATTTTTTATGTTGAAGCCCTAACCCCCAGTGTGGTTATATTTGGAGATGGGGCCTCTAAGGAAGTAATTGCGGTTAAATGAGGCTGTAAGGGCCTTCCTTATCTGATAGGATTAGTGTTCTTATAAGAAGAGACACCAGAAAACTTCATTGCTCTCTCTCCCTGTTCCTCTCTGAATAGAGAGGAAAGGCCATGTGAGGACACAGAAGGTGGCTGTCTGCAAGCCAAGAAGAGAGCCCTAACCAGAAATCAAGTTAACAGGCACCTTTATCTTGGACTTCATAGCCAAGAAGTAAGAAATAAATTTCTCTTGTTTAAGCCACTCAATCTGTGGCTTAAACTAATAACTGTAAGAAATAAATTTCTTTTGTTTAAGCCATTCAGTCTGATATTTTTGTGTGGTAGCCTGAGGGGACTAATACAGATGGTGATAAGTGCTATGTAGAAAACTAAAGCAAGGAAAGGGGGAAAAGAGGATCCTGGGGTTGGAATTTTTTTGGGTGGGGGCTGGAGGGTGCTCATTTAGAATTTAATTGGATGGTTTGGGAAGGCCTATCTGAGAAGGTGACAGTGAGTAAAAGTGTAAAGGAAGAGAGGAAGCAAACCATTCTGATTTAGGGGGAAGAATGTTCAGATAGTGGGAATCTTGAGACAGGAGAGTACCTAGTTTGAGCAAAAGGAAGCCATTGTAGCAGAGTAGGACTGAAGTATGGGGAATTGAAGGAGATACGGCCAAAGAAATAGCTGGGTAAAATCACACCACAGTAAGAATTTAGATTTTGTTCTAAATGCAGTAGGAAGCCATTGGAGGGTTTAAACTTAGTTTTAAAAGGATTATGTTGGCTGCTGTATGGAAAATGGACTGTAGAGAGCATAGGCTGAAGCAAGGGTGACTGTTAAGGAGTCTGCTGTAATCTAGATGATAGATGGTGGTGGCTTGGACCACTGTGGTAGCAGTAAAGATAGTGAGAAATGTTTAGAGTCTAGATAAATTTAAAAGTAGTGCTGGCAGGATTTGCTGATGAATTGGATGAGCAGTAGTAGAGATGAGGGGCTGGGTGTGGTGGCTCATGCATATAATCCCTTTGGGAAGCCAAGGTGGAGGAGTGCTTGAGTCCAGGAGTTTGAGACCAGCCTTGGCAACACAGCAAGACCCTCTCTGGTTTTTTGTTGTTGTTGTTGTTGTTGTTCTTTTCAAGCCAGACATGGCAGTGCATACCTGTAGTCCCAGCTACTTGAGAGGTTGAGGTGGGAGGATCGCTTGAGCCCAGGAATGTGAGGCTACAATGAGCTGTGATCACACCACTGCACTTCAGCCTGAGCAACAGAGTGAGATCCCATCTCTAAAAAAAAAAAAAAATGGAGAGGAAATAAGATTTTCTTGCTGGTCCCCCCTTTTAAATCTGTACTCTCCCACTAGGCAATCTCATCTCTATACATTCTTTTTTAGTTTTATCTTTTGTCATGCTTTCCTAATATATAATTAAATTCTGACTTCTTCCTTAAGTACTATGCCCATATACCCAACTGCCATATCAACATTTCCATTTGGATATCTTAAAGGCAACAAACTTTTAATCTTTCCTTCCAGTCTTGGTCCTTTGCCAGTGTTGCCTGTATGAATGAATGGTACTGTCTTAGTTCATTTTCTGTTGCTTGTAACAGACTACCTGAAACTGGGTGATTTATTTTTTAAAAGGAATTTATTTCTTGCAGTTACAGAGGCTGAGAAGTTCAAGACTGAGAGGCTGCATCTGGTGCGGGCCTTCTTGCTGGTGGGAACTCTCTGCTGAGTCCCAGGGTGGCTCAGAGTATCACAGGGCAAGGAGGCTGAGTATACAAGCTCGAGTCTCTATTCCTTTTTGTATAAAGCCACTAGTCCCACTCCCATGATAAGCCATTAATACATGACTGGACAAATCCATTCATGAGGGCAGCACTCTTGTTACCCTGTCACCTCTTAAAATCCCCCACCTCTCAATGCTGCCACATTAGAGATTAAATTTCAACATTTTGGAGAGGACAAATGTTCAAAACATAGCAGGTACTGTAATCATATTTGGGCTAATCATATACCTACAGAGCACCTGTGAACCTTTTTCTCCCTTCCCTGTCATGTCCCATCCAACACCATATCTTACTCATTTTAATTTTAAGTATTTTTATAATCTGTTCACTTTTCTTTCTCTACAGTTAATTTTCAAAAAGATAAAGTCATAGCTCACATATAAAGTTAACACCTATCACAGATTTTATTAAACTCACTGATTAATGAAGAAAAAGTATGATGATTGGCCTATTCAGAGAGCATTTAAGGATTCACGTACTTGTAGGCAATTTAATAAAGGAATAGACTATAAGAAAACTGGTTGATGTACTACAGGGCAATAAATAGTAACTTTTAGGGTTATCTTTTCTCCTGAACAGAAATGATTTGTATTTGTATTAGACAAAAATATCTAAGTTGAAATATAATTTTGCTAAGTCTGGAACCTTAATTAATAGTGAACAGTGAGTTCAACAAAGTGTATTTCCCTAGATAATCTTCTAGTGGGCCTTTGCCTCCATTTGAAATGGAAAGTTTGTACTGTTTCTTTTTTATCTTATTCTCAAGGTTTGCATTTTTTTTCTTAACTCTTTCTAATTCAAGCTACCACCATCTCTGGATTACTATATTAGTAGCCTAAATGTACCTGTTATAACCCCTCCTCTAACTCATCATATTAATAATCAGACTAATGTTGTTTAATTTTTATATTTTATATTTGTGAAATATGTGTGTATATAAGTCTACAAAACTAATATGTACATTTTAAATAATAATAAAATGGAGATCTGAGTATCCATCACCCAGCTTAAGAAATAGAACATTATTTCTACATTAGAAGCTTCCATCTGGCCAGGCGCAGTGGGTCATGCCTGTGATCCCGGCACTTTGGGAGGCTGAGGGGTGGATCACCTGAGGTCAGGAGTTCGAGACCAGCCTGACCAATATGGTGAAACCCCGTCTCTACTAAAAATACAAAAATTAGTCAGGTGTGGTGGTGTCCGCCTGTAGTCCCAGCTACTCAGGAGGCTGGGACAGGAGAATTGCTTGAACTCAGGAGGCGGAGATTTCAGTGAGCCGAGATCGCACCACTGTACTCCAGCCTGGGTGACAGAGCGAGACTCTGTCTCAAAAAAAAAAATCCTCCATTTGTTCCTTCCCAATTGTATCCCCCTAAAGCTAAAGGTATTAGTTTCATGAGTTTTTTAAAGTTATATATATTTTTCTCAAAGAACATATTGTTTTTGAACTTTATATAAATGAAATCATATTTGTTATCTATCTGTATTTGCATTTTTTACTCAACATCTAGAAGTTTATGATTCATCCTGGTTAATATGTGAGAAACTAGTTCATTTATTTATGTTACTAAATAGTATTCATTTGTGTGTTCTTTTCAATTTTTAAAATTGTGGTAAAATACACATGACATAAAATTTACCTTTTAAGCATTTTTAAGTGTACAACTTAGTGCCATCAAGTACATTCATGATGTTGTACAACCATCACCAGTATCCCTTTCCAAAACTTTTCAATCATCCCAGTCAGAAACTGTACTGATGGAACAATGACTCCTGTTTAGCCCCTTCCCTCAGGCCCTGGTAACCTCTGTTCTACTTCCCATCTCTAAGAATTTGTCTATTCTAGGTACCTCATATAAGTGAAATCATATAATATTTGTACTTTGTGTACAAAAATACAGTGGCTTTTTTCACTTACTATGGGTTTATCCATATTCAAGCATTTGTCAGAATTTCATTCCTTTATAGTTGAATAATTTTCCATTGCACGTAGGTCATACATTTTGTTTATTCATCTGTTGATTGACACTTGAGTTGTTTCCACTATTTGGTTATTGGGAATAATGCTTCTATAAACATCAGCATACAGCTGTTTGTTTGGATCCTAGTACTTTCAGATATTTGGGGTTATATACTTAGGAGTGGAATTGCTGGATCATATGGTAATTCTATGCCTATGAACTTTTGAGGAACTGCCAGACTGTTTTCCTCAGCAGTTGTACCATTTTACATTGCCACTAGCAATGTGTGACAGTTACAGTTTCTGCGTGTCCTTGCAACACTTACTTATTTGGACAGCAGTTATACTAAGTGAAGTGGGACTTCATTGTGGTTTTGACTTGCAGTTTCCTAATGACTAAGGATGTTGAGCATCTTTTCATGTCCTTTGGGCCTTTTTTTTTTTTTTAATCATTCAAGAAATGTCTATTAAAGTCCTTTGCCTATATTTGAATCTGTTTGGTTTTTTCGTTGTTGAGTTGTAGTTCTTTATATCTTCTGGATATTAATCTTTTATCAGCCATATGCTTTGCATTCTGTGTACTATCATTTTAACTTTCTTGACAGTATCCAAAAAAGTTTTATAATTTTTTATGAAATCCGAGTTTATCTGTATTTTTCTTTAGTTACTTATGCTTTTGATGCCACAGCCAACAAATCATTGCCAAATCCAAGGTCATAAAGCCTTCTATTTTTTTCTTTTAGAGTTTTATATTTTTTAGCTCTTACAGTAATGTCTTTGACCAATGTTGAGTTAATTTTTATTATGTAGGCAAGGTGTTACTTCATTCTTTTTACATGTGGTGATCCAGTTTTCTCAACACCATCTGCTGAAAAGAATCTTCATGCATTGTTTCAATAATGCAAAAAAGCATTTGACAAAATGCAGCACACTTTCATGATACAAATTCTCAACAAGGTAGGAATAGAAGGAAATTTAATATAATAAAGGTCATATGTAAGAAGCTCGTAGCATACTCAGTGGTGCAAACTGAAAGGTTTTCCTCTAAGATCAGAAACAGGGCAAGGATGCCCACTCTTGCCATTTCTGTATAACGTAGTACTAGAATTCCTAGCCAGAGCAGTTAGGCAAGAAAAAGGAATAAAAGTCTTCCAAATGGGAAAGGAAAAAGTAAAATTGTCCTTATTTACAGACGTGATCTTTCCTAAAGATCTTATTTTTAAAAAACCTGTTAGGACTAATAAATTGAGTAAAGTTGCAATATGCAAAATTAACATACAAAAATGAGTTGTATTTCTATACACTGACAACAAACTGTCTGAAAAGCAAATTAGGAAAACATTTCCATTTGCAGTAGTATCAAAACAAATAGAACACTTAGGAATAAACTTAAGGAGGTAAAAGACTTGTATATTGAAACCCATAAAACATTTCTATATATACTGTTTTATTTTGATTTTTATTTCCTTTTCTGTTTTCCACAGTGGCTATACTGTTTTATATTCCCACCAGCAATACACAAGGATTCCAATATCACAACATCTTCACTAATAGTTATTTTATTTACTTTTTTAAATAATGGCCTTCCGAACAGCTGTGAACCAATATCTCATCGTGGTTTTGATTTGCATTTCCCTGATAATTACTGATGTTGAGCATCTTTCCATATACCTGTTAACCATTTGTATGTCTTCTTTGGAGAACTGTCTATTCATGTCCTTTGCCTGTTTTTCAATTTTTTTTTAATATTGGGTTTCTTAATATATTTTGGATATTAACCCCTTATCAGATATATGGTTTGCAGATATTTTTTCTCATCCTTTAGGTTGCCTTTCCACTCTTTTTTTTCCCTTTACTTTGCAGAAACCTTTTAGTTTGTTGTGGTCCCAATCGTAGGTTTTACTTTTATTGCCTGTGCTTTTATGTCATATGCATAAAATCATTGTTAAATCCAATGTTACAAAAATTTTCTCCTGTGTTTTTTTCTAAGAGTTTTGCAGTTTCAAGTCTTTTTTTTTTTTAGACAGAGTCTCGCTCTGTCGCCAGGCTGGAGTGTAGTGGCGTGATCTTGGCTCACTGCAACCTCCGCCTCCCAGGTTCAAGCGATTCTCTTGCCTCAGCCTCCCGAGTAGCTGGGACTACAGGCGTGCGCCACCATGCCCGGCTAATTTTTTGTATTTTTAGTAGAGATGGGGTTTCACCGTGTTAGCCAGGATGGTCTCAATCTCCTGACCTCGTGATCTGCCCGCCTTGGCCTCCCAAAGTGCTGGGATTACAGGCATGAGCCACTGCGCCCAGCCAACAGTTTGAAATCTTACATTTAAGTCTAATCCATTTTGAGTGAACTTTTGTGTATTGTGTAAGATAAAGGTCCAGTTTTATTCTTTTGCATGTGGATATTGTTTGCCCTGAACTATTTGTTGAAGAGACTGTCCTTTCCCCATTATGTATTTTTGGCACCCTTGCTGAAGATCAGTTGATCATACATGTGTGGATTTATTTCCAGGCTCTCTATTCTCTTCCAATGGTCTATATGTCTGTCTTTATGGCAATGCAATTACTATTTTGATTATGGTGGGTTTGTAAGATGTAAGTGTCATGAAGCACGATGCCTCTAGCTTTGTTGTTCTTTCTCAAGATTGTTTTGATTATTCCAAGTCCTTTGTGGTTGCATATTAATTTTTGTATTTTTTTCTGTTTCTGTAAAAAATGTCATTGGGATTTTGATAGGAGTTACATTGAATCTACATTTGTATTAGTCTTTAAAATCAATGGTCCCCAACCTTCTTAGCACCAGGGACTGGTTTTGTGGAAGACAGCTTTTCCACAGACCTGGGTTGGGGGTGGGGGTGATGGTTTCGGGATGAAACTGTTCCACCTCAGATCATCAGGCATTAGATTCTCATAAGGAGCATATAACCTAGATCCCTTGCAAGCACAGTTCACAATAGTGTTTGTACCCCTATGAGAATATAATGCTGCTGCTGATCTGACAGGAGACTGAGCTCAGGCAGTAATGCTCACTCACCTGCCACTCACCTCCTGCTGTGCAGCCTGGATTCTACCAGTATTCTGTGGCCTGGGGGTTGGGGACCCCTGCTTTAAATGTTTCATAGAGGACTGTGCATAGTGGCTCACACCTGTAATCCCAGCACTTTGGGAGGCCAAGGCAGGAGGAGCACTTGAGGCCAGGAGTTCAAGACCAACCTGGGCAATATAGTGAGACTCCATACCTACAAAAAAAAAAAAAAAATTACCAGGGCATGGTGGCTCATGCCTCTAGTCCTAGCTACTTGGGAGGCTGAAGTAGGAAGATTGCTTGAGCCCAGGAGTTTGAGGTTACAGTGAACTATGATCACATTACTACACTCCAGCCTGGGTGACAGAGCAAGAGTGTATCTCAAAAATAAATTAATTAATTAGCAAAGAAATGAAAATAAAAAATTAATAAAATTAAATAAATAAAAATGTTTTGTAGAATCGGTATTGAGGCCATTTAGGTCCTTAGCTTTTCTTTGATGGGAGACTTTTTGTTACTGATTCAGTCTCCTTACTAGTCTGTTCAGATTTTCTGTTTCTTCATTATTCAGTCTTAGTAGGTTGTATATTACTAGGAATTTGTCCATTTCATCTATTTTATCCAATTTATTGGCATATAATTTTTCAGAGTAGTCTTTTATTGTATCGGTGGCATCAGTGTGTCTTCTTTCATTTCTGATTTTCTCTTTTTTTTTTCCTTAACCAATCTAGGTAAAGACTTGTCAATTCTGTTGATCTTTTCAAAAACCAACTTTTTAAATTGTTTTTCTGTTCCCTATTTTATTTCTGCTCTAATCTTAATATTTCTTTCCTTCTGCAAACTTTGTATTTACTTTGTTCTTTTTCTAGTTCCCTGAAGTGTAGAATTGGGTTACTTGAGATCTTTCTTTTTTAATGTTGGCATTACCGCTATAAACTTTCCTCTTAGTACTGCTTTTGGTGTATTTCTTACTTGTGGTATGTTGTGGTTTTTTTTCCACTGGTCTCAAGATAATTTCATAACTTTCCTTTTGATTTCTTTTTTGACCCATTCATTGGTTGTTCAAAAGTGTGTTAATTTTCATATTTTTGTAAATTTGCTGGTTTTCTTTCTGATACTGAATTTTAGTTTGATTCTGTTGTGGTTGCAAAAGATACCTGGTATTAATTTTTATCTTACATTTGTTAAGACTTGCTTTGTTACCTAACACATGATCTGTCCTAGAGAATGTTCCATGTACAGTTGTGAAGAATATGTATTTTGCTGCTGTTGGGTAAAATGTTCTATATATGTCAGGTCCATCTGGTCTCTAGTATTGTTCAAGTTCCGTTTCCTTGTTGATCTTCTGTTTGGATGTTTTATTCATTACTGAAGGTTAGATATATGACTTTCCTACTCCTCTTATATTGCTGTTTATTTCTCTCTTCAGTACAATCACTATTTGCTTGCTATATTTGGGTGCTCTGATGTTGGTTGTGTGTATATTTATAGTTGTTAAATATTCCCAGTGAATTGACCCATTTATCATTATATAATGTCCTTTTTTTTTGTCTCTTGTGACAATTTTTGACTTAGAATCTATTTAGTATCTTAGAATTGCCACCTCTGCTGTCTTTTGGTTACCATTTATAAGTAATATCTTTTTCTATCCCTTCACTTTCAGCCTATGGGTATCCTTAAATTTAAAGTGAGTCACTTGCAGACAGCGTTTTTATCTATCCAGCTACTTTATATCTTTTGATTAGAAAATTTAATCCATTTACATTTAAAGTAATGACCGATAGGGAAAGACATTATTATCATTTCAATAATTGTTTTCTGTCTAACTACAGCTTTTTTGTTCCTCTATTCCTCCCTTGATGTCTTTCTGGAGAATAAAAAGTAATATAATAACTTCTTAGCTGTGTTTATGGAATTAAAGTAGTTCTTCCTATTTAATTAAAGCATATTGTACAGCAGTTAACTATTTTACTAATGTTTTGTTTTATAGTCTTATTAAGAAGTTTATTTCTAAAAATAGTTAAAGGTAAAATTGAGGAAATAAACTATCTTATAAAAATTGATCAGTTGCTGTTTTCCAGAGAATTTTGGGTGGTTTCTTATAATAACTTGTCCAAATTGTGTAGAACTCATAGTATATAACAAGTGGATAAAACAGTTCAATTTAAATAATAATCTCTAATATTAGCTTTTGTCTTTTTCATTTATTCAGCTTTATTATTAACTTCTTTCTTTGCATTTGCTATATTTCATTTTCTAGCTTCTTGGAAAGAATACTTGATTCTTTTATTTTGACATTTTAAAAATAAATATATTTAAAGCTATAAATGTATTTCCATGTATTGCCATTGCTGTATGCCACATGTTTCGAATTGTGAGTGCTTTTCTTATTCATAACTAAAGATTTCATGAGTTATACTGTGTTTTTTCTATTTAACTCATATGGTTTTTAAGAATATGAGTTTTACAGCCACGTGTGTTGGTTCACACCTGTAATTTCAGCACTGTGGAAGGCTGAGTCTGGAGGATCCCTTGAGACCAGAAGTTTGAGACTAGCCTGGGCAACAAAGCAGGATCTCATCTCTACACAAAATATAAAAATTAGCTGGGTGTAGTGGCATGCACCTGTAGTCCCAGCTACTCAGGAGGCTAAGGTGGAGGGATTGCCTGAGCCTAGTAGTTCGAGGCTGCACTGAGCTATGATCTTGCCACTGTACTCCAGCCTGGGTGACAGAGACCCTGTCTCTAAAATCAATCAATCAATCAAGATGAGTTTTTGTTTTGGGCTTGACTTTTAATCTACCATGACTTTATATTATTGACTTTTAATCTACCATGGCATAACTGTTGAAATATGTGATCAATATGATAAGGATTGCTTAAAATTTGTTGAATGTCCTTTTGTAATCTAGCCCATGGCTGTAAATGTTCCATTTGTGCCCATATATTTTCTACTTCTTGGCTGAGTCTTTATTTCTATCTTTTTTCAATGCAGGTTATTAATGATGATCAAATATTCAAATAATGAGCTTATCTGCCTATACACTTAGTAAAATGATCTTAAATCATCTTCATTTGAAGACTATTTAAGAATATTAAGAAACTTCACCTTAGGTTTAAAGAGAGAACTTAAAGTTTGTTAACTTTGACAGAGGTTTTTTGTTTTTTGCTTTTGCTTTTGAAATTGCCAAGATAGTAGTAGTAGTAGTAGTAGTGGTGGTGGTGGTAGAAATTGCCAAGATAATAGTAGAAGTAGTAGTAGTAATAGTAGTAGTAGCAGTAGTAGTGGTAGAAATTGCCAAGATAATAGTAGTAGTAGCAGCAGCAGCAGCTAACTGTGCCAGCACCATTCAGATCTCTCTAAATCTGTTAATAAATTTAACCCCATAACAGCTCTATGAGATATATTGTTTTCCTCATTTTATAAATGAGAAAAGACACAGAGAGATTAATATACTTGCCGTAGTCACATTGGCTTAAACAAATGAAGTTAAGTTTGTTTAGCTAGACACACAAAAAATCATTTTTTTCTTTCCCCTCTTTAGTTATTAGAAAAATTAAAAGAACGTTGGCTCTCTACTGGTTTATGGCATAATCTGGAGTTGGTGAAGACAGTCATTGTAGAACCACAGGGAGGAGAAAAAACAAATTTTGATGAATTACTGCAGGTGTACTATGACGCAATCAAATACAAAGGAGAGAAAGGTAACTGGAAATTATTTCATGGTCGGTGAAAAAATATTTTTTATTACAAAGTAAGAAGGTACAATTATAATTTTATATTTTTAGATGAATTACACTTAAGAGAAAAATTATAATCCTGAGTGAAAAGAAAATAAATTGGGTAAAGAAATTCTTTTAATTGTACTTGTTCTCCTATGAATATTTTCACTTGAGTATGCTGATTCAACTTTAAGAAAAACGATGCCATCATCTCACAGTCTTCAGTGCACTACCTGAAATAGTTTGTGCAAAAAGGCAGTTAGGATATATATAAATATATTCCTTACTAGCCAAATGAGACCTATATTCTGATGCATTTAGTACACTTGGTGCTTGTATTCTATTACATAAGGTAAACTTGAATTTTCAAAACATAACTGAAAACTCAATTCCAAGTTAGAGCATATCCATGAAGAGTTTGATGTGAGGCCGGGCGTGGTGGCTCTTGCCTGTAATCCTAGCGCTTTGGGAGGCTGAGGCGGGTGGATCACTTGAGCCCAGGAGTTCGAGACCAGCCTGGGCAACATGGTGAAATCCTGTCTCTACAAAAAGTACAAACATTAGCAGGGTGTGGTGCATGTGCCTATAGTTCCAACTACTTAGGAGGCCGAGGTGGGAGGATTACCTGAGCCCAGGAGGTCAAGGCTGCAGTGAGCTGTGATTGTGCCACTGCACTCCAGCCTGGCTGACAGAGTGAGACCCTGTCTCACACACAAAAAATAATAAAATAAAATAAAAAAGTTTGATGTGAAGGGATAGTAGTAGTTTATGAACAATGCAAGAAAGAGGTAATATAACATATCAGTATCTTTTTATGGTGTATATATTATGGTGTTCTCTGTGTCTGTTTTCAATACTTTTAAATATATTGATTCCATATGATATGTATTATCAATTACAATTATTTCAATTATTCTGAGAATTTTACTTTCAGGTGGTAAAGGTAATAATGCAACTTCAATTTTTATTAAATAAACCTGTTTATAATCACACAGTTCATATGCAAGTTGCTATTCTGACATGTTTTTACTGTATAAGTTATCTGGAAGATGCAGAGTTTGTAAATTGGTTTGCTACCCTTTTGCATATAAATGTAATTTTGTTCCCCTTATTTACTTAAAGACATTGAACTTTTAAAACTTTATCTCATAATAGTGTTTTATTTTGATTATTTTAAATTTGCTACTGTAATTACTATAATTATAAATCAGGTATTTTCAAAATGACAAGAATAAGCAATTTCTGAGAATTTTGGATATGCTTTTTTCTGTTGTTTAAGATGGAGCTCTCCTGGTAGCAGTTTGTCGTGGTAAAGTGAGTGAGGGTCTGGATTTCTCAGATGACAATGCCCGTGCTGTCATAACAATAGGAATTCCTTTTCCAAATGTGAAAGATCTACAGGTAGGCCATCAAAACCTTAAGTTTTATTATTACAGGAGTCATTGGTTTTGTATAAAGTTAATTGCAGGGATCCCTCATTTTATTGCGCTTTGCTTTTATAGTGCTTTTTTACAAATTGAAGGTTTATGGTAACCCTGCATTGTGCAAGTCTTTCAGCACCATTTTTCCAACAGCATGTGGTCACTTGTTTCTGTTTCACATTTGGGTTAATTCTCACGATATTTCAAACCTTTTCATTATTATTATACTGTTAGGGTAATCTGTGATAAGTGATCTTTGATGTTACTATTGTAATTGTTTTGGGGCATCTCATACTGTACCCACATAAGAGAGCAAACGTAATTCATAAGTGATGTATGTATTCTAACTGCTCCACTGACTACCCTTCCCCCATTTCTCTCTCCTTGGGACTCTCCATTCCCTGAGACACAACAATACTGAAATTAGGCCAGTTAATAACCCTACAATGGCCCCAGAGTGTTCAAGTGAAAGGAAGTGTTGCATGCTTCCTACTTTAAATCAAAGGCGAGACATGATTAAGCTTAGTGAGCAAGGCATATTGAAAGCTGAGACAAGACAAAAGCTAGGCCTCTTGCACCAACCAATTAGCCATATTGTGAATGCAAAGGAAAAGTTCTTCAAAGGAATTAAAAGTGTTACTCCAGTGAATGTACAAATAATAAGCAAACAGTCTTATTACTGATATAGAGAAAGGTTTAGTGTCTGGAAAGAAGATCAAACTGTCCGTAACATTCTCTTAAGCCAAAACTTAATTCAGAGCAAGGCCCTAACTCTCTTCAATTCTGTGAAAGCTGAGAGAGGTGAGGAGGCTGCAGAAAAGTTTGAAGCTAGCAGAGGTTGTTTCATGAGGTTTAAGGAAAGAAGCTATCTCCATAACTTAAAAGTGCAAGTTAATGCAGCAGGTGCTGATGGAGAAGCTACAGCAAGTTATCCAGAAGATCTGGCCAAGATAATTGATGAAGGTGGCTACGCAAAACAACAGATTTTCAGTGTAGAAGAATCAGCCTTCTATTGAAAGAAGATGCCACCTAGGACATTCATAGCTAGAGAGGAGAAGTCAATGCCTGACCTCAAAGCTTCAGAGAACAGGCTGACTCTCTTGTGATGGGCCAGTGCAGCTGGTGACTTTAAGTTGAAGCCAATGCTCATTTAACATTTTAAAAATCCTAGAGCCTTTAAGAATTATACTAAATCTACTCTGCCTGTGCTGTATAGATGGAACAACAAAGCCTGCACGACAGCACATCTGTTTACAGCATGGTTTACTGAATATTTTAAGTCCATTATTGAGATCTACTCCTCAGAAAAATCAGTTCCTTTCAAAATATTACTGCTCATTAACCACACATGTGGTCACTCAAGAACTCTATGGAGATGTACAAGGAGATTAATGTTGTTTTCATGCTTGCTAACAAAACATCCATTCTGCAGCCAATGAATAAAGGAGTAATTTCTACTTCCAAGTCTCATTACTTAAGAAGTACATTTCACGAGGCTATAACTGCTATAGATAGCGAGTCCTCTGATGCATCTGGACACAGTCGATTAAAAACCTTCTGGAAAGGATTCACCGTTCTAGATGCCATTAAGAACATTCATGATTCATGGGAGGAGGTCAGAATATCAACACTTACAGGAGTTTGGAAGTCATTGATTCCATCCCTCATTGGATGACTCTGAGGGAGTTAAGAGTTCAGTGGAGGAAGTAACTGTAGCTGTGGTGGAAATAATAAGAGAACTAAATTAGAAGTGGAGCTTAAGACGTGACTAAATTGCTGCAATCTCATGAGGACACTTGAACAGATGAGGAGTTGCATTTTATGGATGAGCAAAGAAAGTGGTTTCTTGAGATAGGAACTATTCTTAGTAAAGATGCTGTGAACATTGTTGAAATGACAACAAAGGAGTTAGAATATTAAATAAACTTAGTGCATGAAGCAGCGGCAGAGTTTGAGAGGCTTGACCCCAATTTTGAAAGAAGTTTTATGTTGGGTAAAATGCTATCAAAGAGCATCTTATGCCACAGAGAAATCTATTGTGAAAGGAAGAGTCACATGATAGAGCAAACTTCATGGTCGTCTTATTTTAAGAAATTGCCACAGCCACTCCAACGTTAGCAACCACCACCCTGATCAGTCAGCAGTCATCATTGAGGCAAGACCCTCTACCAGCAAAGAGAGTGACTCACTGAAGGCTCAGATGATCATTCACCTTTTTTAGCAATAAAATATTTTCAAGTTAAGGTATATACATTGGCTTTTGAGACATAATGCTGTTGCCCACTTAATAGACTGCAGTATAGTGTAAACATAGCTTTTATATGTGTTGGGAAACCAAAAAATTCATGTGACTTACTTTGTTATGATATTCTCCTTATTGGGGTGGTCTGGAACCAAACTTGCAATGTCTCTCAGGGATGCCTGTATATGTTTTCCTGTATCCTTAGACATTTTTAAATCTTTGGTGAATCTGAATGAGTGAGAAAAATTTAGTAGATACAGATTTTATTTTATTTTCAACTTATACTGTCTTTGGTCAACAGGAGTTATTTTCAAAGTCTGGTCCTGGGCCAGGTGCATTCGTATCACCTGGGAACTTAATAGAAATAAAGACTTTCAGGCTCATCCAGACCTGCCAAATCAGAAACTGTGGAAGTGAAGCCCAGCAATTTGTGTTTTATCAGTCTTTTAACCACAGACTCATGGGTTCCTCCGGGGAATCCTGGGGTCTTTTGTCCATCTGGCTCGCTTCTTTCCAGTGTCCTGCCTTGCAGATCTTGTGATTTAGTCACTCCATATTCTGATCTCTTCCACCTCAGCTCAACAGGACCACTGCGCTCTGCTTGTACTTTAATGCTCTGTGCTGTGGTCAGGAAATTATACCCAAGCAGAGAACTGGGATAATGGAGTTCACCTAATGAATTCCACTTAGCTCCAGAATTACTGTCTTGTGCTGTTTGGTGTCTACTACCTGAAAACAATTGCTCCATTTTGCCCGGTTATGCGATTACTTACAATGGAAGAAATATTCTTAAACCAGTTACTCAATCTTGGCCAGAAACAGTTGTATCTCATTATCACTGACTGTTTCCTAAACAATATATTTGAAAAACTATAGTAATAATTTGAGCCTAAGTTGAACTTATTGTTCATCAAGGAGGATTTTCTTTTACTTCCTACAGGCATTTGAAAGTGCTGGCAATCTGAGAAAATTTGAGATTTTCTGACCACTGAGCTGACTTATTGATTATGACCTATATCCCTCCCCCTAGGATACAGTCAGTTAGGGTCTCATACCAAAGCAGGAGTTCTTTCATTAGAATAGTTATCTTTTTAATTGTTAATACTTTACTAGGTACTGTGAATTAGATAATTTTTCTTTTATTTTTCTAGTCCGTAGCAGTCTTTAGGTAACATTAACAGTAATAAGCAGTATTTCTTTTGGTAGCCCTTACTCTTCCGTAACCTCTGGACCTCTTCAAAATTTCTGAAAGTCCTCAGGGGGTATCTCACTTGATGATTCAGAGTCTAATACTTTTTCAGCCTCCAGTAACTTTGGTGGTTTCTACTACCTTTCTCCAGTTAACCAGTGCTACTGCTGAGGGCACTAATGGCTATGCCCAAAGCTGGGTCTCCTATTCTAAAATGGCTGATGCTGCCTTGACTACAGCTACTGATGAAACAGTTGACATCTACCCAAGAAATCTACTGTCACCATCAACAGCATTGGTGCTGCATTCCACTGAAGTAGAGTGCTACTGATGGCACTGCTGTTGGTACTGGTATTGTCTCCTTTTAATGTCTTATCATTTTACTCTAGCTCTACATTATTGCACTAAGGCTGCTTTGTTAAAGTGGAAAGAATCCTTTTCCCTTCTTTAGACCACATCTTCTTCCAATATCTTAATAAAATACAATTTTGTTCCCTAAAACTAATTATTTCCATTTTTGCCTATGTCCTCTCTCTTCCTTGGACCCTACATATGAGTTCTTGAGACCTGGAAAAGAAGAAAAACTTTATGGCTAATACTAGGTTGTACTAAATATTATACGTACAAAGTAACAAGGCCTGAAAGGATCATCAAGATTATAATTCTGATTACATATGAGGAGAAGAGAAGGGAATGATATTCAGAGTAGTTATCAAAAGAATTTTAACTTTTTCCATAATTTTTAGTAAAGGAAAATAAGCTGCAAGAAAATATGAGAATGCAGGTATTTATTATGTTATTCTTCATTATTTTCCAAAAATTCTTAAAATTAAAAATATACATTTGTGAGAAAATTCCATTTCTCTTTTCTCCACCTTTGCCTCAACAGCTATGATTTTGAACATTGTTATTATACCAATCTGGGGTTCTTAATGCTTTTTTTCCTCAGGATAAATTCTTCCTAGACAATATCTCAGTCTGTCATGCAAAAAAGACACCTGATGGCCTACTCTGACATTCCTCAGTCATGATCCTATTTGTCATAGTTCTGCTTATGTGCATAAAACAGCAAAATAACAGAAGCATCAATGGGTTCTGGGTAGAGGGGAGGAAGGTGGTTCTAAAGGGTTATCCCTAGTGGTTCCCAAAAGGTACAAGTAGAGTGGACACAAGAATAGTTCAAGCTGCAGGGACAAGGGATAGAAAAAGTGAAATTATTTACCAGCACTACTAGATGTACTGGGAAGTGTATTTCTTATTGCCATATGTCTGGATCAGTTCTTCTTCTGTAACAACTCCAAAACTTAGTGACTTAAAACAGCAATCATTTATTACAGGTCATACATCTCTGGAGTGATTGGGTGACAGATGATCTAGGCTTGGGCTTGGTTGGTTGGCTCTCTCGATTTTAGCTGGGCTCAGCTACTCTGCCCTAGTTGGCTGATCTGTGTTGAAGTCAACTGAGTCAGCTCTGTTCCACCTGTATTTCATTCTTTGTGGACCAACAGACTAGCCAAGGCATGTTATTATTGCAATGGCAGTAGTACAAGAGGGCAGGCTTAACTGTAAGCAGTTAAGTCAAATACCTATTTACATCACATCTGCTAACCTCCTGTTGCCCAAAACACGTCCATGCACAATCTCAAAGTCAAGGAAGGGGAGAAAAGGGATAATTTCTACCGCACATGGCAAAGGACTTAGAATCATGACTTCAAAAAGAAGTCCTCAACTATCGCATTTTTTCATAATTAAAAGGTATTTGTTAGTTATCCATTTATAAGACTGGTGTGTTACAAGCTTTAAGAGTATACGCATGCAGTTTTTATAATGATTAAGAAGGCTTTTTATTATTTGGAAATGCCCAGAATATAGCAGTCAATACCTAAAATACTTGAAATATGTCAGAGCATCATTATGGGTGATTTCTTAACATTTTTATAAATGGTTAAACAAGTATTTGAAAATATTTGTATGCCTCTATGGAATATAAAAGTTAAGTTTAAAATTCTAATGCAGTCCAGTTTATCTGTTTTTTTTGTTTGTTTGTTGCCTGTGCTTTGGTGTCATATTTAGGAAAATACTGGCAAATCCAACATCATGCATATTTGCCCCTAATGTTTTCCTTGAAGAGTTTTATAGTTGTAACTCTTTAATTTAGATATTTGATTCCTCTTGAGTAAATTTTTCTATGTGATATATGGTGAGGTCCAATTTCCTTATATCTAAGTGAATCTTTTATTTACAGCGTATAGTTGGATCAGGTTTTTAAAAATCCATTTGGCCAATCTCTGCCTTTCAATTGGAGAGTTTAAACCATTTACATTTAAAGTAATTACTGATAGGAAAGGACTTACTTTTGCTATGT
This sequence comes from Homo sapiens, assembly GCF_000001405.40. NCBI lineage: Eukaryota > Metazoa > Chordata > Mammalia > Primates > Hominidae > Homo > Homo sapiens. The sequence continues at coordinate 61,737,196 of NC_000017.11, read as the reverse complement.
AGCTATTTGTTTTCTTGTGTCATGTGCTTTTTGTTCCTCAATCCTTCATCATTTCCTTTTTTGTATTTAGTTGATTTGTAGTATACTATTTTGATTCCCTTCTTTCCTTTTATATGTATTTTTTGGTTTTTAGTATTTACCTTGGGGATTATAACTATCATCTGAATCTCTGTTCCTCCCTTTTTATATTGTTATTGTCACAGATTCCATCTTTATACTTTGTGTGGCTGTTAGTTTTTAATTATTGTTTTTATGCATTTGCCTTTTAAATAATATAGGGAAAACAGAGGAATTGCAATTCAAAAGCATATTGTAGTATTCACCTGCAGTTACCTTTACCAGTGTCCTTTATTATTTCCTAAAGCACATATTTAGTGTTTATAAAGATGTTTTATAATCTGTTTCATGGTGTACCTTGAGGATAGGGATAATTTCTTCAGCATCTTTGTGTCTCTACAACTAAGATATTACCTAAAAACACAGTGTTTAATAAATGTTTTAGTTAATGATTGAATGGGGTTTTAGTAGAAGTTGTTAAAATTGTATTTGACTTTGTTATTTGTTTTTAAAAACAACAGCAACCACTCTCCATTCCTGGAGACTTTAAGGATGGAAATGATAGTAATCATTAGATAATAATGAACAGGATGGTAGTAAACAGTGATATGACTCATAAGGAGGCAATACAGGGTAGTTATAGTAGTAAATCATTAGAGGATATGTAGAAGGGAATGCTCAATCCTCAACAGCATCTTACACTTTATTTAATACATAGTAGAACATAATAAGTGGAGGGAGTATCTTATATTGACTATATTAGCTATCCCTCTTTTATTATTTATTTATTTAAATATTTTTATTTTATTTTATAGACAAGGTCTTGTTCTGTCGCCCAGGTTGGAGTGCAGTGGCACAATCATAGCTCACTGCAGCCTTGAGCTCATGGGCTCAATTGATCCTCCTGCCTCAGTCTCCTGGGTAGCTAGGACTGTAGGCATGTGCCACCACACCTGGCTAAACTTTTTTTTTTTTTTGGAGAGGCGAGGTCTTGCTATGTTGTACAAGCTGGCCTTGAACTCCTGGCCTTAAGGGATGCTCAGACCTCAGCCTCCCAAAGTGCTGGGATTATAGGTGTGAGCCATCATGCCCAGCCTGTATTAGTTTTTTATTGCTGTGTAACAAATTATCACATAGTGGCTTAACACACATTTATTATCTCAGTTTCCATTGGTCACAAGTGTGGGCATGGCTTAGCTGGGTCAGGGTTCCACAAAACTGCTGCAATCAGAGTGTTGGCCAGGTTGTGTTGTTATCTGGCACTTGGGGTCCGTTTGTGGTTGTAGGACTGAGGTTCTTCCTAATCCATCCAAGAGGCAGTCTTTTTTAAATTTTTTTGAAAACAGGGTCTCACTCCATTGCCCAGGCTAGAGTGCAGTGGTGCGGTCATGGGTCACTGCAGCCTTGGCCTCTCGGGCTCAGGTGATCCTCCCACCTCAGCCTCCTGGGTAGCTGGCACTACAGCCACACGCCACCACACCCAGCTAATTTTTAAACGTGGTTTTTTTTTTTTTGTAGAGGCAGGATCTTGCTATGTTGCCCAGGCTGGTCTCGAACTCCTGAGCTCAAGTAATCCACCCGCGTCAGCCTCCCAAAGTGCTGGGATTACAAGTGTGAGCCACCGTGCCTAGCCCTAAGGTGTACTCTTGGCTTCAAGAAGCTATTCACAGTTTCTTGCCATGTGGCCTTTTCACAAGCCCCCTCGTATCATGACAGTATACTTCCAGAGGCCAATAGGAAGCTCTCTAGCCCCAGTCAGCCAATACAGAGTCTTACACAACTTAATAAAATTGTGAGGAAAAAAATAAAATTAAAAAATCATGGGAATAACTTCCCATCATTTTTGCTATATAATATAACCTAATTAAGAGTGACTATCCCAGAACCCTTTCCATATTCTGTTGGCTAGAAGCAAATCACTGGTTCTGCCCTCACTTAAGGGGAGAGCATTACAAAGTTGTGACTCTCTGTATATCACCTTAGGGTGTGTCTGCCATACTCCTATTCCCTATGAAAAGAGATGATGATCTAAATGACCTACATAGATGGCTCTTCCAAAACTAAAACTATGCTTCAAATTATAGGACCTTAAATTAGAACTTTATAGTTTTCTTTTACATTAATAGTCTAATAAGTAGAAGTTATTTAGTAAATAAAAATTTAAATGTTCTACCTTATAGAAACGAAACAACCTATTTCTGCATTATTTTGTCTATTTCATTTGACTTCATATTTAAAAAGGTTAAGATCATTGAGTCAGAAAAGTGATTTGAGTGGGAAAAAGAAGGCAGTGACATTAATTTTATGATACTAAAATTTTTTCTTAAATTTGAGAAAGATTATGGAAGTAAAAGTTAAAATACAGTTTAAAATACTAACATAAGACTTTGCAGTCTCAATAGCAGGGTTTGGCTTTTTGAGAAGAAGGAAAATGTATGTTAGAGCCAAAAATATGACTCCTTTGGCTGTGACCAGGATTTCCTCTTCCCACCTTAGGGACTAGAAAGTAGAGGTAGGAAAATTTCATTTTGGAGCCAAGTGTGACTTGTTTAGTTCAAGTCATAATTTATTGCACATACCTGAGGGACCTGAAAATAAAGAAACCCACTATGAAATGTTGATAATGGGCTACTCTGAAGGTAAGCATTAAGCTAACTTTCCCAGTGAGGATTTTTTTCACTTCCACCTTTCCCAGATGCTTCTGATCATTCATAAGGATATACTTAATCGTATAATAGTTAAAAAGAAAACTTTCTGTGCACTAAACCAAAGCATTTGAGGGGCATGAGAATGAACCAAGGCTTTTATATGACTAGATGTCGATGGAAAAGTATAACTAAAATAAAAGTTGTTTTCTTTTTCATGTAATTAAATCACAGTATAACAAGGCTGCCTTTTTAATGGATATCTAAAGCAAATCCTCTGGCCAATTACTGTGATCTAACAACCACAGGAGTATTCAGCTTTATAATTGAGGCATCCACCTCTCCAATTGGTGACATGGACATAGTTTGTGAGATATGATAAGGTACAAATATATTTAGGTTTTAAAATTGCATTTTATTTGTATTGCCTAGCATAGTATAGTATAATAGTATATAGAAAAGTTCTCCTTCGTAGGTATTGTTCCTTTACTTCTCTGAAGAAAAATGTATAAAACCATGGCATATGGCTAAAAATGTTTATATTTTTAAAATGTTGAAGTGGTGTGTTTAGATTTTTATAATTGGTTTAATAAAATTTGATGGTACTTTTCATTGTCAGAAGTGCCCTTACAATGATTAAAATAATTTATCATGCTAATAAATTTTATATTTGTGGGTTTTTTTGGTAATATAGTATGTTGAGTTACCAAACTAGATTTTATTTGGAAACTATTTAAAATTCGCATAGTGATCTGAATTGTCTATCTTACTATTAGCATACAATAACCATTATGAGTTCCTTTTTTTGTTTAGGAAACTTATCTTAGCTCTCAATGTACCAAACTATTTGGGTATATATTATTTTAATCAATTTTTTAAAATTACATTTATGATTGAAAAATTCAGACATCTATTTTAGTTATATTAGTTACTTATCGACTTTATAACAAACACACACAAAAAAATTGATAGGCTTCCATGCATTGTTGGCATTTTATAAACCACAGAAAAAGGGTGCTTTCCCTAAAGGATAACAGCATTAATAAAGTAATAAAGCACATTAAACCATGTTAAACCAGTGCTTTCAACTGTCAAAATATTATCAGATGATGGTAGTATTGGAATTAAAAAAAAATTTTTTTTGAGACAGAGTCTCACTATATTGCCCAGGCTGGTCCTGGGCTCAAGTGATGATCCTCCTGCCTCAGCTCCCGAGCAGCTGGGATTACAGACTCGCGCCAATTGCACCTGGCTGTATTAGAATTCTTAAATCTAACAGATTTCTTTTTAAGGAGAATGATATTGTTCCATTGTTATTCCTTTTGCTTTGACGGCAATATGAATATTCACGAGAAAATGAATGAGGGCAGGAATGCAAAGGACTGTAGTATATCAAGAGGAACTTGACTTCAGAAACCTTTTAGGTAGATTCATCTGTTCCTTTTGAATAGATTTATAAATCCCTTTTGAATTACTCTTCTATCAAAACTATGTTAATGACGGCCGTGTGCAGTGGCTTATGCCTGTTATCCCAGCACTTTGGGAGCCCAAGGTGGGCAGATCATTTGAGGTCAGGAGTTCGAGACCAGCCTGGCCAACATGGTGAAACCCAGTCTCTACTAAAAACACAAAAAATTAGCCCCGGTGTGGTGGCACACGTCTGTAATTCCAGCTACTTGGGAGTCTGAGGCAGGAGAATCACTTGTACCTAAGGGGCAAAGGTTGCAGTGAGCTGAAATTGCGCCACTGCACTCCAGTCTGGGCGACAGAGCAAGACACTGTCTCAAAAAAAAAAAAATGTTAATGATATTGAATGTTTTGTCATGCACTTATTCATTCATTTAACAAACTTTTTTTAAGAGCTTAATTTGTACAAAATGCAGTAGGTGTAAAAATGAACAAGATGCTGTCTCTACACTAGTAATGTCAATAATTTATGGAAGAACAGGAACATATAACAAGATGCTTTGGTGGAATAGAAACCAGGTGCTCAGATGCTTAGGAAAGCTGAAGTTGACCAACACCTTTCGCCTCCCTTGCAGATACCAATTTACTTTGACTAACTTGCCTAAAAGGGATGGAGGAGCCAGAGAGATGAGATTTGAATCTTCTCTACAGTGAGATTCAAATATACAAACATTTCATAAAGTGGAATGGCCTCATCAGAGGTTAGATTACAACAAAACTATTCAGATTATAAAACTATTCAGAATAGGCCGGGTGCAGTGGCTCACACCTGTAATTCCATCACTTGGAGGCCGAGGTGGGTGGATCACTTGAGGTCAGGAGTTGGAGAACAACCTGGCCAACATAATGAAACTCTCTCTCTCTACTAAAAATACACAAATTAGCTGGGTGTGATGGCACAATCCCAGCTATTTGGGAGGCTGAGACACTAGACACTAGAGTTGCTTGAACTTGGGAGGGGGAGGTTGCAGTGAGCCGAGATTGCTCCACTGCACTCCAGCCTGGGTGACAGAGACTCTGTCTCAAAAAAAAAAAAAAAAAAAAAAGAAAGAAAGAAAGAAAGAAAAGAAAAAAAGCAACTATTCAGAATAATAAAGCAACCTTTTTTTTTTTTAATATCTGGCTAGAGCACCAAGTATTATAATAGACTCAGGGGACAGAGTGATACACAACACAGTTTATAGCCCCTTGTCTCATGTTGCTTATAGTCTAGCAAGGAATATTGACATTAATGTAATGAAGAAACAATCACAGTTGTGATAAAGGCTATAAGAAAAAGTCACAGGAACCCTGGGAATGTTATAGCAGGTCTTTGGGGATCAAGAAAGGCTTCCTGAGGAAGTGATATTTAACCTGACACTGGAAAGAAAACTAGGAGTTATGAATGTGTACAGAATGGATAAGAGTATTCTCAACAGAGAGAACAGCATGTGTTAAGGTTCTAAGGTTGAAAGAGGATAGCAGTTTCCAAGAACTGAAAGAAGCTGAAGTTGTGAGTCTGAGAGAATGGCATGTGAATAGAAGCTGGGAGAGGTATTTAGGAGCCAAATCACTTAGGACTCTGTATGCCATTTTCAGGATTTGGGACATTCTAAGTTATGGGAAACCAGATCCAGGAATACAGCCTGAGGTCAGAGTGGAGTGGACTTCTGGTTATAGTGTTGCATCTGATACAGAGACCCACCTGGATATAGCTCTGATAATAATACATGGTTACCCAGGGGAAATGGATGTGAATATAAACTTAAAGTGCTGTAATACTTAACTCTTTAACATTTACAAGTTCAGCAACTTGCTCTTGGAATTTTTGGAAATACTTAGGTTCCATCACAGATATAGAAGAAAAAACCTTGTCACCTCTAAAAGTCTAGAGTGAGTATATCCTCAATTACTTAAACCTTTTTTTTCCTCCTCAGAGTATTTTTTTCCCCAGCTTTTTTTTTTTTTTAAGATAGTTTGGCCAAAAGTATTTTGAAAGCAGTTTCTAAGTATATCTTGAAATTCCAAAATTAAAACCTAGTTTAAATCTAAGTAAGCTGTCTAGGTTAATAAATTGTATATTTACCTTGGCCAGCAAAAAATGAGTTAATGAAACCCCTCTGTTTCCATCCCTTCTGAAAAACAAATGAACAAACAAAAAAACACAAAACAAATGGATGAATTGCTGAGGTTAATTTTTAAATTCTCCATATTTTTAAAAGATATTTTGGGATCAAGGATGGAAATATTTAAAATCCCAAAATTTTAAGCAAGTTCGGTTGATAACCTTTTTCTCCTAATACTCATGTCATTGTATTTCCTTAGCAAAAAATAAATAAATAAATACATAAAGCCATGCCTGAAAATATTGCTGGAAGTTTCTCTGGATAATTAATAAATAAAAACTTTTGGTTTTGATTTTTGAACAATTCTGAAGTTATTTTCTTGTGTTCATCTTATTTTTGGTGAGAAAAGGAACTTTGACCTTTATATATTAATTTTGCTCTCAAACTAGGTTGGAGGATTTAAAAGTGAAATTATCACCCTGAGGACTTGTAAGGTTGATTGACACTTACCTACTTATGTTGGCATGGAGCATAATCAGCAGCTCTACCTTAAGGGCAGTGGTGGGATTGTTTTTTAGCTTCTCTGAAAATAACTAATTTTTTTCTTTTGAGGAGAATTTTAGTTGTGAATTTTAATCAGTTTATTCAGTCAAATTCTCTCAATGCCTACAGATTGTAGACATGTAGAGGGGCTTCAGGTGACTATGTCACTTTTTTTTCTAACTGTAAAGCTTTAAGGTCTCAAATAACATAAACTGTAGTAGATATTGCTGTTCCATGTTTACAACATCACTCTTTCCTGTTTTTCCCTAGGATTAAAGGCTTGAAAGCTTGGGAATGAGTTCAGTTTATACTTTGTAACTGTAGGACACATCACCCCAGTGCGTCAGTGACTATAGTAAGCTATACAAATAACTCAGTGTATTTTCCTACTGCATCAAGTATACCAGATTTGTGACTTGAAATTACTTTCAAGCTGTGTTTCTCAAACTTGGCACTATTGACATTTTGGACTGGGTAATTCTTTGTTCCGAGGAGTGTCCTGTGCATTCCAGGATGTTTAACAGCATCTCTAGCATTTACCCACTAGATGCCGGTAGTGGGATCTAGACACCCCCCACGGTCACCCTGCCACCAGTTGTGATAACCCAAAATATCTCTAGACATTGCCATTATCTTCTGGTTGGCAAAATTGCTCTCGGTTGAGCACCACTGTTTTACATAGTGAGGCATACAAATGTATACAATAAATTAAAATTAATAATCTGCATTTGTTTTTAAATTATGATTTATCAAGTTGAAAAACGTCCAATAAAGCACTTACCAAGAGTCTAATATACACTAAATACAGTAGATAGCTTTTTCTTATAACAGTCTTTTGGCCTGCACCCCACTTCTAGCCCCTGCTTCTGACAGGCAGTGACTTTCACTTCTTTAGCTATTTTATCTGGTATTTACCTCCATATTTTATCTTTATTTAATCAGTTTTAGACATGAACTATTAAATTCCTATTTGAGACAGGATTTTACCTCACTTACTCTGCTTTTTCCTTCTTATAGCCTCCCAAGATAGTTACATTACAATTTTTAATTAAATCTATAGTTATTATGTACATTATCATGACTATGAAAATACTGTTCACTGTAATCAAATGATTTCCTTTCTTTTTTGTTTGTTTGTTTGTTTTGTTTTGTTTTGTTTTTGAGACGGAGTTTGCTTTTGTTTCCCAGGCTGGAGTGCAATGGCGTGATCTTGGCTCACCACAACCTCCACCTCCCAGGCTCAAGCGATCCTCCTGCCTCAGCCTCCCGAGTAGCTGGGATTACAGGCATGCGCCACCACGCCCAGCTAATTTGTATTTTTAGTAGAGATGGGGTGTCTCTATGTTGGTCAGGCTGGTCTCGAACTCCCGACCTCAGAAGATCCGCCCGCCTCAGCCTCCCAAAGTGCTGGGGTTACAGCCGCCCGTCCTCCTTTCTGTTTTGAACTTTAGGGTTGATAGAACCCTCCTCTCTTCCACTTCCTTTTTCTCTTTTTAAAAGATCTTTATCTAAATAAATGTGTCACCTTCCAATAGTTGTGTGCCATGCCTCTCAATACAGTTTTTCTATCAGACCTGTCAGATAACAGGCCAGTTCCTTTTTTCTCCTGGAGATATCATTTCTGGAGCCTCCTGATCTTCTACTTCGGTCAGGGCTAAATTGCTCATCAAGCCCAGATAACTGCCAATATCCTGCTATCATCCAATAACTGCTATCATCCTAGGAATTTGATTTGTCTGTCTTCTGTGATGGATTGCCAGTTTCCTGGGTCTCAGATCTTCCTCTTGTTTCTTGCTTACTGTTTCATCTTTGCGGTACACATCCTCCCAACAGTTTCCTTATACCTCCATTTCCTGAGACTTTCTGAACTCCTGCAGGTCAAACTGGCTTATGTCCCAGCAGTAGCTCTGTGGATACGTTGGTTTGAACTTTCTCTTTTCTGCTTAGTCATTTAACATTTGTCCATCTACCTTTTATGTTCATATATTGGGGCTTGGAATCAGATGTCTCTTAGCTTTACTGAAGTTGGAGACTGTGTTTCTGTTTCCTATTTGTCTTTTAATTTAAAGGCAGTTTCTCTGACAGGTGAGGGAAAAAGAAATGTCTGGGGTTTTTTTTTTTTTTTTGACTTATTGAAATCAGAAGTCTGCATTACTTTCTAAGATAAAGCATGAGTTATCAAAGTGCTATGATTCCATATGTCTTATTCCAAAACTCACATTCACATTTGAAAAGCTCTGAATCAAATATTCTTGGCAATAATATTTCAAAGGTAGAAAGTGATCATATATTTTAAAAATCAAACCTTTGTGGCCAGGCGCGGTGGCTCACGCCTGTAATCCCAGCACTTTCAGAGGCTGAGGCGGGTGGATCACTTGAGGTCAGGAGTTTGAGACCAGCCTGACCAACATGGCGAAACCCCGTGTCTACTAAAAATACAAAAATTAGCCGGGCGTCATAGCACACACCTGTAATCCCAGCTACTGTGGAGGCTGAGGCACAAGAATTGCTTGAACTGAGGGAGCAGAGGTTGCAGTGGCCAAGATCATGCCACTGTACTCTAGCCTGGACAACACAGCAAGACTGTGTCTCAAAAAAAAAAAAAATCAAACCTTTGCTCATGTTTGAAAGATTATATATATATATATAGAGAGAGAGAGAGAGAGAGACAGACAGACAGACAGACAGAGTCTCTGTTGCCCACAATGAAATGCAGTGGTGAGATCATGGCTCACTGCAGCCTCAAACTCCTGGGCTCAAATGATCCTCCTGCCTTAGCCTCCTAAGTAGCTGGGACTACAGACTCCTACCACCATGCCCAGCTAATTTTTATTTTGTAGAGACAGGGTCTTGCTATGTTGCCCTGGCTGGTCCTAAACTCCTGGCCTCAAGTGATCCTCCTGCCTCATCCTCCCAAAGTGCTGGGATTATAAACGTGAGCCACCACACCTGGCCCTGAAATATAATTTGGATGTAATAATAAAAATCTAGATAGCAAAAGTGTTATACTTCATCTTTTGGACTGTGGTGGTAATAAAGTTTTAAGTGTATTTTCAGCATTTTCCAGTACTCATTTAATCTTTTTTCTTATGTACATGCTCGCTCTTGCTTAGGTTTGTTTTTAGATGTTAGGGTTTAATCATATGAAAGCTGAGTCTGAGCCTCCTCTCACTGGGATTAACTTTTACTTTTTATGCTACTATTGCCAGGAACCTTTATATAATTCCCTGAGTGCCATTATGCGTCATATTACATCTTCTGGCATCCAAAAGCCTCTTCCATGAGCAATCTTGCCTTTTTCCAGTGTTATATAAGGTAGAAGTAGGTCTCTGTCACCTGCTGAATGCACCATTACTGAGTCCCCTTATTAAATCCTCTTAATATTGACTCATTCCTTTAAGAACCTCTGATTCTATTTACTGCTTTCTTACATAAGATAATATTTTATTTTGTTAGTTGTTATTGCTAGCAAAAGTTTATTCACAGTTATCGGGCTCTCATATGTGACTTTAACAAGAAAAACTCTAGATTGTAAGATATTTGAATAAAATAATATTTAGACTAATATGGTACCAATCATGCACTCATTCTCATAGATTACACCACTAGCATATTTTATATAGTTATGCTTTCAAAAACACTTCATAAGTTGAAAAGTGACCAAAAAGTATTATGGAGGATATTAAAGAGTGCTAATGTTAGCTAAAATTTCTTAGAAAATTTAAGATCAATTGTAGAAGTTATTTTTTAAAATATTTGTTTCAAAACTGTTTGAACACTGTTCTGTATGTATTCTGCCAATGTATATATTTTCATTGACACTTGATGAAAAAGTAGCCACTCCAAGAACCCAAGAAACTTACTTTTTAAGTCACCTAAAGTTATGTGCCAAACATTGAATAATGTAGTCAGAGCTCTTTCAGAAGGAATCGGTCCAGGTGGTAAAATGATTTGGGGTGAACTGACTAAGGTAATGACTATATGGCCTCCACAGCCTTATGGCTTATTTCACATACCATGCAGCAATATATTACGACAGCATTTAAAGTCCACTGAAACCTACACTGGGTTTCAGAAATATGGGGTAAGTAATGACTTTCTCGTCCACTTACCTCTAGTATCTGATGCTTTACTGTTTCATGCATATTGTCATTTATTTCTTCAACCAATTCTCTAAGGTAAGGTTGGCACACAGTCTCCAACTTCAATAAAGCTAAGAGACTTCTAATTCTAAGCCCCTTCTTACAGACGAAGAAATTGAGAAAGGAAATTATAAAGGGCTACTGTGACTTGTCCAAGGTCAAACAACCTAAGTCTCAAGGCCTTGATTCCAAGCCGTGTGCTTTTTCTTTTTTTCCATTATACCTTCTTCCTCAAAATAAACTATAACACGAATGGTGGCATGTTCTAGAGATGATAATTTAAACATTTGCAGGTTTGTTTGAGTAATATTTTAACATGGATAACCTACCTAAATTGACACAAAGGTCATTACTCTTAAAAAGAATTTTTTAGGCCAGGCATGGTGGATAACACCTTAATCCCACAGCTTTGGGAGGCCAAGACAGGAGGATTGTTTGAGGCCAGGAGTTCAAGACCAGCCTGGGCAATGTAGTGAGACTGCGTCTCTAAAATAATTTTTTTTTTTAATTAGCCTGGTGTTGGGGCACGTATCTGTAAGTCCTAGCTACTGAGGAGGCTGAAGCAGAATGATTGCTTGAACCCAGGAGTTGGAGGTTGCAGTGACCTATGACCATGCCACTGCACTCCATTCTGGGTGACAGAGCAAGACCTTGTCTCTAAAAAATAAAAATGAAAACTTTAACTTAGCCCTTTACAGAATAAGCATGCTAAGATTTCTTGCATGTCTTAGAGTATTAACTTTTTAATAGGAAAAACTGGTTATATTTTTATAACCAGTTGAGGCTGAATATGTTGAGAAGAGGAGATACCTGATTTCAGAGGGATATATTTTGTTCTATTTCTTAAATTTGAAATATCCAGGTTATTTTAGTCAACACTGACAATTAGCGATACTAAGTTTAATATAGATTTCTCTACCAAAAAAAGCACCTTATCCAAAACAGTCTTAAAGCATATGTGAAATATATTGCTGTTACTATGTCTTGATAGATTATTGTGGTCAAGTTGTAACGTAACAGGGAAAGTAAGTAACAACTAAAAACCATTTCTAATGTGCTTTTATCATTATTATTCTTATTTAAAAGGGAGCCTGGCTTCTTAACTCTTGGCAGAAACTAACTCATTTTCCCCATTTAAAAAAAGTGTATATACACACACACACACACACACACACTATTTGGTTAACTGTGTCAGAAATCTTGAAAATATGCCAGATGAAATAAAACCAGCTATATTCTTTTTAATCTAGCTAAATTATATCACATACAAGATCTTATGCTGAGTTTATAATTCTAACCATTGGAATTTATATTGTGATACCCTGATAGAAGTGTTTACACTATGATGATACGGAGCAGCAAATGTCTCTAATGCACAGTCTCTGTCTTCCAGATTTGGTTTGCTGTAAATGTTTAGGCTTTAGGCCCTGCACCTTGGCTAAAGATAAAACTGTTCTACTCAAGTGTTTGCTAGACAAATGTGTTTATTTTTCTGAAGCAGAGTTTTCTTAATATTTTTATAATTATGTAGTTTAGCTGATTATTTGTCCTTAGTCTCATTTGGAGGCTTGAACTTTTGTCTTCAAGCTTACATACAAGAAAAAAATTATATTCTTCTATTGATTGCTTTCAGGAAGGCATTTATTACTGAAATCATAATATGTATTGGTATGAGTTGGGATAAAATCCACCATCTTTCATGTGAAGCAGCAGTAAAATGAAGAGATGCATTTATAGTTCTAGCTCATATTTATCACACCATTTATTTTTTCAGAAGCTACTGATAAACTTTAAAAAGGCTACTTTTGTGCAAAGAGTTTGACTGAAAGTTGAAAAAGTCTAATGTTAATAATTGTGACCTTAATTTCTCGTTGACATATGCAGTATAATCCTTTTGATTATTTCATATTGTCTATTGCTGCTATAAGTGCTCTGCTACTTATACTGTTTCCAATAAAACCAAGGCATGGAGAACTTAAGAAACTTTCTGTTCAATCTCAAGTACATTATGATATAATGGTAAAAATCAGAATCCAAAATCATATAACTTCTGCTTGAATGCCATCTGTCTATTGGGTATTTTTACCCAATTCTAAACCGCCTCAGTCTTAATTATCAATGCCTTTGATATTGAGGATCTTATTTCTACTTATGTCAGTTAGGTTAGATTTTGATGCAGATATATATTTATTTGTCTAAAAACTATCATAGTAAGGGAGCTTTACATTTGGTACAAACTTGACCTTCAATTATGAAATGATAAATTTTTGTGAATCTATGCAGCATCTGAACCAATGGGTTGCAAACTCAAGCAGCTACATGAATTAAACAGGTTATTTAAATGAGTGGGTTAGTTGAGGACAGTGGTGAGATAGCCAAAGTTTTAGATGGTAGCAAATAAATTTTAATTATTTTAAGCCACAGTAAGGGCCACACAAAACACAACTATGGGCCTTCAGTTTGCAACTGTTAATAAAATAGTTTGTCTTTTTCCTGCTCTTCACACCCCTCCAAAATTACACATACACTAATTTATTGGGGATGGGAAGCAAGTAGTTTAACTGTTTCCAAAAAGTACAATTAAGTATAGCTTTCTATTTTGGGAAAGGCTTGTAAAATGTATTTGAAAAGTAATGTTAACTGATCTAAAAGATCATCTTCCCAAACCACACTTGAGCTCAGTTTATGGTGCTTACTTTCTGTCAAAACTTAGAAAAAACATTCACAGTTAACTTCCATAATGTAAAATGTCTGTCTCATTAGGCATTAAGGAAGCATTGGTCAACAGGTATAATGTTGTTAGATTATAAGGTAATGTGAATGTGGGCATGACCTCCCAAATAGATCAAAGACTAATCTCTTTGACAGTTACAAGATGGCAGAGCTTGCCTTGGGCCTTTTGCTGGTGGTGCACATTGAAACTATTTGTTTGGAAAGCATGCCTGAGAGATAAGAATGTGTTTATAAGGATGAGCAGGTAAAAGTAAAAGGTTGTCTTTTGACATTTCAACTAATCCCTTCCAGCCTTTGGTTTACTTAACATTTAGGCTATTTGCTGGCAGGAGAAACTGGCTTTTTCACATATGCTGTATGTCATTTTAAATTGGTCATTGATTTTCATGCTTGATAATCCCTAAGTGTACAATGAAATAGATTCTGATGTCATTAAAATGAGGTGTACTCACTTTCCACCTTTTCTTAACCCTTAGTTTTGCTTTTTCCAATTAACTGTGATCTCACAAAGTAATTTTTATTATTGATTAATTTTAAAAATCTGTTTATGTAATAAGAACTATTTCAAAGTTAACCTTTATATACAGTTCATTTCAGGGTTTTGTTTTTTGTTTGGGAGTTTTTTGTTCTTTTGTAGGTTTTTAAACTTTTTATCTAAAATAAATTCCCCTGGGTAAAATATTGGCAGTATTTTAAAGGCCATTTGGAGTGTAAAAGGTGTTTGAAAATTTGCAATAAATTAAAACAATGTAGCCATACAGAAAATTTTAATTATGTTAATGAAAAATAGAAGACCAAGGAGTCATAATTTTATTTAATCTAATAGTTGCTACATTCACTCTAAATATTCCATTTATAACTAATACGTCCTAGAGCAACTGTTGTCTTCGGAACAGTGACCACTATAATGTATCAGTCTGTCCATGGTGTAGGAAATTTTGAAAACACATAAGCTATTATGTCTGACAAAGTAGATGTCAACTTTCTTTGAGGAAAATATTGTTAAAGAAGAGAAGCTGCTTTAGTTACATTTTTGAGAGATAGGTAGGAAATACATATATTTTTCCCAGCTGGACAGAATTTTAAAAGTACTTTTTCTTATAGTCTTAATTATCATGTGCTTTATTGCTGAATTTCCAGGGAGGGTATTAACATATCATCTAATATTTACTATGGTGTTATGTTATCATTTACTACTTATGTTGCCCTAAAAAGCAAAGTTGGGCTGGGGGCAGTGGCTCCATGCCTGTAATCTCAGCCCTTTGGGAAGCCGAGGCAGAGGGATCACCAGGTCTGGAGATCAAGATCACCTGGCTAACACAGTGAAACCCCCCTCTCTACTAAAAATACAAAAGAATAGCTGGGCATGGTGGCATGCACCTGTAGTCCCAGCTACTCAGGAGGCTGAGGCAGGAGAATCACTTGAACCCAAGAGGCAGAAGTTGCAGTGAGCCGAGATCATGCCACCGTACTCCAGCCTGGGTGATTGAGCAAGACTCCGTCTCAAAAAAAAAGAAAAAAAAAAAAAGCAAAGTTGGCTAGGCGTGGTGGCTCACACCTGTAATCCCAGCACTTTGGGAGGTTGAGGTGGGCAGATCACCTGAGATCAGGAGTTCGAGACCAGCCTAGCCAACATGGTGAAACCCTGTTTTTACTAAAAAACAAACAAACAAACAAAAAATATATATATACACAAAAAATTAGCTGGGCATGGTGGCGTGCACCTGTAATCCCAGCTACGTGGGAGGCTGAAGCAGGAGAATCACTTCAACCCAGGAGGTGGAGGTTGCAGTGAGCTGAGATCGCACCACTGCACTTCAGCCTGGGTGACTGAGCGGTACTCTGTCCAAAAAAAAAAAAAAAAAAAAAAAAGGCAAAGTCTATGTCCTTTATATGTCCTTTATATTCTAGTTGTAAAGTTTCATTTTAGAAATTTGACAGATTCTTTTGAGGGAATGTAAAATAAAAAGGGTGGGGTTTTGGGTTTTTAGATTTTGGCCAGGCACAGTGGCTCACGCCCGTAATCCCAGCACTTTGGGAGGCCGAGGCGGGTGGATCACGAGGTCAAGAGATCGAGACCATCCTGGTCAACATGGTGAAACCTTGTCTCTACTAAAAATACAAAAAATTAGCTGGGCGTGGTGGCACACGCCTGTAGTCTCAGCTACTCGGGAGGCTGAGGCAGGAGAATCTCTTGAACTTGGGAGGCAGAGGTTGCAGTGAGCCAAGATCGCGCCACTGCACTCCGGCCTGGTGACAGAGCAAGACTCCGTGTTAAAAAAAAAAAAAAAAAAAAAGCTTAGATTTTATTTTTACAGTAAGATAAAATTTTTTGACCTCCCAATTTGAAAGCTGCTTTTCAGAAGTGTACTGTTCTGTTTTCTTTCCTAAAGCATGTTCTTTTATTTAAAAAGGTTAATAGTGGCTGGGCACAGTGGCTCACGCCTGTAATCCCAGCATTTTGGGAGGCCAATGCAGGTGGATCACCTGAGGTCAGGCGTTTGAGACCAGCCTGACCAACAATGTGAAATCCCAACTCTACTAAAAATACAAAAATTAGCTAGGCATGGTGGCGGCCGCCTGTAGTCCCAGCTACTTGGGAGGCTGAGAGGAGAACTGCTTGAACCTGGGAGGCGGAGGTTGCAGTGAGCCAAGATCATGTCACTGCACTCCAGCCTGGGCAATGGAGCGAGACTCTGTCTCAAAAAAAAAAGAAAAAGTTAACAGTGTTATAGAGTACACGGAAAATACTTTGTTTTTTCTTGAGTAGGTTTACAATTTAGTAAAGTATTATTAAGTAAAATAGAGGTCACTTGAACCTAAGCACTGCAATACCATGACACTCGATTAGACCTAGACAGCTACTAAGTAACTACTAACTGCTGGTGGGTAGTATGTACAGCATGGATATACTGGACAAAGGGATGATTCACATCTGAGTGGGATGGAGCAGGATATAGCATGAGATGTCATCATGCTACTCAGAACAGTGGGCAATTTAAAACATAAATTATTTCTGGAATTTTTTATTTAATATTTTTGGACCACAGTTGACCGCAGTTAACTTAAACCACTGCAGATAAGAGGGAACTGCTGTATAAGTTTTGTTAATATATCTTGAAAGCCTAAAATGTTTCCAAGAAGTTTACTCTTTATTTTATTTTTTAGTTGACAGATAATTATTGTACATATTCATAGGGTACATAGTGATGTTTTGATACATATGATGTTTATTGATTAGATCAGGGTAATTAGCGTATCTGTCATCTCAAACATTTATCATTTCTTTGTGTATGGAACATGTAATCTCCTCCTTCTAGTTATTTGAAATGATGTAATATTGTTAACTATAGTCATCCTACTGTGGTATAAAAGATTAGAACTTATTCCTTCTATCTAGCTGTAACTTTATATCCTTTAACAAATCTCAGCCAGACGCAGTGGCTCATGCCTGTATTCCTAGCACTTTGGGAGGTCAAGGTGGGAGGTTTTCTTGAGCTTATGAGTTGGAGACCATCATAGGCAACATAGCAAGAATCCATCTCTATAAAAATTAAAAAAGAAAAAAATTGGCCAGGCATGGCAGCACACACCTGTAGTCCAACCTACTTGGGAGGCTGAGGTGGGAGAATCACTTGAGCCCAGGAGGTCAAGGCTGAAGTAAGCCATGATCGCACCACTGCCGTCCAGTCTGGGGGACAGACTGAGGCCCTGTCTCTCAAAAAAACAAGACAAAAAACAAATATCTCCCCATCCCTCCCTTCCTTCTCCCCTTCCCATCTGCTAGTATCCTCTGTTCTACTTTTTATTTTTATGAGATTAACCTTTTTTTTTTTTTCCGAGACAGAGTCTCACTCTGTCACCCAGGCTGGAGTGCAGTGGTGCGATCTTGGCTCACTGCAACCTCCGCCTCCTGGGTTCATGCCATTCTTCTGCCTCAGCCTCCCGAGTAGCTGGGACTACAGGCGCCTGCCACCACACCTGGCTAATTTTTTTGTATTTTTAGTAAAGACGGGATTTCACCGTGTTAGCCAGGATGGTCTTGATCTCCTGACCTTGTGATCCACCCGCCTCAGCTTCCCAAAGTGCTGGGATTACAGGCCTGAGCCACCGTGCCTGGCCGAGATTAACATTTTTAAGCTTCCACATATGAGCAAGAACATGTGGTGTTTAACTTTATGTTTTTTATTTATTTCACTTAAGGTAGTGTCCTCAGTTCCATCCATGTTGCCGTGAATAACAGGATTTCATTCATTTTTATGACTGTTTAGTATTCCATTGTGTATATATACCACATTTTCTTTATCCACTTATCTGTTGTTGGATACCTAGGTTGATTCCATATCTTGGTTATTGAGAATAGTGCTGCAATAAACATGGGGGGGGGGCAATGTCTCTTCAATATAATGATTTCCTTCAAGAAAGTAACTCCACATATCTTTATTTAGGCTTCTACTACAAAAATACACAACTGGCCCTCTGTATTTATGGGTTCTGCATCTGTGGATTCACCTAAGTGTGAATCAAAAATATTTGAAAAAAAATTGCTTCTGTACTGAACATGTACAGATTTTTTTCTTGTCATTATTCCCTAAACACTACAATGTAACAACTATTTGCATAGCTTTACATCATATTAGCTATTAAAGTAATCCAGAGATTATTTAAAGTATAAAGGAGGATATGCATAGGTTATGCAAATACTAAGTCATTTTGTATCAAGTACTTGAGCATCCATGGATTTTGGTATCTGAGGGAAGTTCTGAAACCAGTCACCCATGGATACCAAGGGACAACTGTACCATTTGATATACTTGTCCTGGAATACTACAATTGCACCAGATTATTACCTGGAGACAATTACTAGGCCACAGTTCAGGGAGAATAAACTCAAACAGAGCTCAGTGGTCACACTGAGTTAAAGAGATAAAGTTTAGGGAAAGTCCGTGGCAGCTAGAATTTGCAAGGTAGAGTACTAGAGAGGATGGAGCTACATAGAGAGAAAGCTCCAGGTATCTGCATAGGCGTCCCCTTAAGTTTTTGGTCAAGTACTGATTGGCATATACATGAGAGGAAGCTACATAAGGCCAGGGAAATGAGTAGGCAGAAAACTTCCTAGTGCTTACAAAGTCTGGGAATAGTTTGAGTTCCCAGCAGCCAGAAGAGAAAAACTTCATAACACATGGGGTACTTGAAACAATCATCAGTAGAGTTTCACCTTTGTATGGGGGATAAATTAGCCCTAGACTAAAGGCTGCTCTTGACTTTCCCTAACAAAGCTGCCAAAGAATGAACTGGTTCCAAGTACCCTAATTGCATTCACAGCAAAATCCAGTAACCACTGACTTAATGCCCACAATGTCTAGTATCCAATCAAAAATTAGCAGGCATGCAAAGAAGAGAATTTAACCCATAATACAGAGGAAAATCAATCAATAGAAACAAAACCAGAAATGACAGAGATGTTAGAACTGGCTAGCAGACAAGGATTTTTAAAATATCTTATGTTTTATGCTCTGTAAGTTCAAAGAAGATAGCAGAAAACATAAGCATACTGAAAAGAGAAACAGAAGCTATTTTTTAAATACCTATGTGAAATCTCTCTATATGAAACAAAAAATACACTGGATGGATTAGACACTGCAGAAGGAAAATTTGGTGAACTTGAAATCTTATAAATAAAAATTATCCAAAATGAAGTGTAGAGTGAAAAAAAAGAGGGTCAGTGACATGTGGAGTAATATAAAGTAGTCTAATATAGTTGTAATTGGAGTCTAAGAAGAAGAGTTTCGAGGCAGAATAATATATATATTTAGAGAAATAATGGCTGAAAATTTTTCAAGTTTGATAGAAACTATAAGCCCACAGGTCCAAGAAGCTTAATAAAAACGCAAGCAAAATACACACAACAGCACACTGTAATCCAATCCAAAGTCGCTAAAAGAAAGGGGAACATTACAGAGATAGGACAATAGCATATTTTTTCTTCAGAACTATGCAAATCAGAAAACAATGAAAAGCCGTCTTTAACAAAAGAAAAAACCTGTCAATTTAGAATTCTTGATCAAGTGGGACAATCTCTTAAAAATGAAGATAGTGAAGTCTTTTCAGAAAAAGAAAAGTTGAAAGAACTCATTGCTAGCAAACGTGCACTACTAATATTAAAGAAAGTTCTTCAGGTAGAAGGAAAATGATACCAGATGGAAATTTAAATCTACGTGAGAAAATGAAGAGTGCCAGAAATGGTAAATCTGTGGGTAAATACGGTATATTTTAAAAGATAATCTTTTGGGACAAAACAGAAATCTGAATAAAATACATAGATTATTTAATACTAATGTACTAATGTTAATTTCTTAATTTGACATGAGCTATAGTAATATAAGATGTTAACATTAGGGGAAATTGGGTAAAGGGTATAAGGAATCTCTGTACTATCTTTGGAACTTTTCTGTAAATCTAAACTTATTTCAAAATTATAAACTTATTTAAAATTAAAAGATAATGTACTGTTTAAAGCATAATCAAAATGTTTTATGGGTTTATAGCATGTATAAAACTAAAATGTATGGCAGCAATAGCATAAAGGACAATAAAAGGAAATGGAAGTATATTGTGGTATTGTTTTTACATCATATGTGAAGTGGTAAAATATTATTTTAAGGTAGACTAATAAGGATGTATATCATAAACCCTAGAGGAGTCACACACACACAAAGACATAGCTAATAATCCAGTAGTGGAAATAATATGGAAGCATATTATTTCCAGTAGTGGAAATAATATGGGGGGAGGGGGGAACTTGATTGATCCAAAAGATAAAAACAAAATGGTACAGATTGGGGGGGTAGGGGGGAAGCAAGGTGGTAGTCTTAAACCCAATCATAACAATAACTACATTAAATGTAAATGGTCTAAACATTGCAATTAAAAAGCAGAGATTACCAGACTGGATAAACGTAAAAGAATGAACTACTCATAAACCTTTCAACATGAATGAATTCTAAAAGTATATTAAATGAAAAATGTCACAAGTCATTACATAGTATATGATAATATTTATATGAAATTCTATAAAGGGCAAAACAGAAAGCAGATCAGTGGTTGCCAGGGCCAGCAGTGGAAGAAAGAAATTTACTATAAAGGGATAAGAGGGAACTTTTGGGGGTGATGAAAATGTTCTATATTATGATGGTGGTTACATTACTATATATGTCAAAACTCACCTACTTGTACACTGAAAATTGTGTGGATTTAATGAATGTAAGTTCAATAAAACTGCTTGAGATCACACAGCTGATTAGTTATATGCATTAGGTAATTTAAGGAATGTGAAGCTAAATAAAACTATTTTAAATGAAACGAAAAAAATCAGTACTGAAAAACAAAATAAAATCTCTACCCTAAAAATATGTATATTCAAACTGTTAGAAGTTAATATGATGTTTAAAATGAGCTTTAATTATCTACTAATTTTTTAAATATATTTTAAAATTATTAGGTTGAACTAAAACGACAATACAATGACCACCATTCAAAATTGAGAGGTCTTCTACCTGGCCGTCAGTGGTATGAAATTCAAGCATACAGGGCCTTAAACCAGGCCCTTGGTAGGTAAGTGGAGTGAAATTTAATATAATATTATCTGTGACAGGGCTATATATATAAATCTAGTCTTGCTACTTTACTCTTTATAATAAACTTGGTAAAATTTTATTTAACTGGAACCATAGGAACTGGTATGTATTCAATGATAGCTGTCACAAGTAGAATTTGAAAAGAGTAAGAAGAATAAGTTATTCCCAAAACAAAACTCACAATTTGCTAAAGTTTAAAGAAATTTTGTGATTGATCTAACAATGAATAGCACACAAAGATGCTCAGTAAATATTAAAGAAAGCTTATCAAATCAAAAAAGTTTTGTCTTGTGAACATCAAAGCTCAGATAACAATTTTATAGATAAACAGACCTCTCTCCTCACCTCCCCCAAAATGTCAGGGAAGAAAATTGATATACCAGCCAGTGTGAGGAGATATTCTATTTGAAAGTGTACTTTCAGTACGGAATCTGTGTATCTGTTAAAATATCATCAAATAGAAACAAAATCTATTTTACTGCCCAGTGAGCTTCTGTAGTTGCACAATTTTTCATTCTGCTTCTATGTAAAGAAGACATCTGACAGAAAAAAAAATCATTTTCATTTTAATGTTATTTGTAAGCTTTAGATAACAATGTGATTACAATCTATATTTTCTTGTGCCTTTTATGTATAGTGATAATGTTGAAGGATAACATTGAAACTGAAGGATATTTAATAATTAAAGAAAAAATAAAATAATTAATTATTATTATTATTATTATTGTTTTAGACAGCCTCACTGTGTTGCCCAGGCTGGAGTGCAGTGGCGTGATATCGGCTCACTGCATCCTCCACCGCCCAGGTTCAAGCAATTCTCCTGCCTCAGCCTCCTGAGTAGCTGGGATTACAGGCGTGCGCCACCATGCCCAGCTAATTTTTGTATTTTTAGTAGAGATGGGGTTTCACTATGTTGGCCAGGCTGGTCTGGAACTCCTGGCCTCAAGTGATCCACTCACGTCAGCTTCCCAAAGTGCTGGGATTACAGATGTGAGCTACTCGGGAGGCTGAGGTAGGAGGATCGCTTGAGCCTGGGAGGTGGGGGTTGCAGTGAGCCAAAATCATGCCACTGCATTCCAGCCTGGGCAACAGAGCCAGACCATGTCTCAAAAAAAAAAAAAAAAAAATTAGCAAATCATTGAAGAAGGGTTAAAACAAACTATAATCGTGATCCTAAAGAATTAACACCAACTAAACATTTAATCATGATACTCCGACTTCTAAATATTCTTGCCCATTAAGATTTGTGCTTTGTGAGACTCATTTTTAAATCATTATTTTATACAGTCATGCATCACTTAATAACGGATATATTCTGAGAAGTGAGTTGTTAGGCAATTGTATTGTTGTGGGAACATTATAAAATGTACTTACACAAATCTAGATAGTATAGTCTACTACACATATAGGCTATATGATATAGCCTATTGTTCCTAGATCACAAACCTATACAGCATGTTACTGTACTATAGACAATTGTAACACAAGGATAAGTAATTGAGTATATAAGTGTAGAAAAAGTACAGTAAAGATATGGTATAGAAATACAGTATATTAAAAATGGTACAAATGTATATGGCACTTACCACGAATAGAGCTTACAGGACTATAAGTTGCTCTGAGTGAGTCGATCAAGTAGTGAGTGAATGTGAAGGCCTAGGACATTACTGTACACTAACTGTAGGCTTTATAAACACTGTACACTTAGGCTATACTAAATTTATTTATTTTTATTTTTTCAATAATAAATTACCCTGAGCTTATTCTGACTTTTTCTTTTTGAGAGATGAGGTATGGCTATGTTGCCCAGGCTGGTCTCGAACACCTGGGTTCAAGCAGTCCTCTCACCTTAGCCTCCCAAGTAGCTGGAACTCCAGGCACACGCCACTGTGCCCAGCTTGCTGTAACTTTTTTACTTTATAAACTTTTTATCTTTTTATCTTTTTTTTTACCTTTTTGACTCTTTTACAACACTTAGCTTAAAACACAAATTATACAGCTGTACAAAAATAATTTTTATATCCTTATTCTATAAGCTTTTTCTATTTTTGAAATTTTTATTTTTTATTTTTTTACTTTTTAAACTTTTCTGTTAAAAATGAAGACATGGGGAGCGCAATAGCTGAAGCCTGTAATCCAGCACTTTGGGAGGCCAAGGTGGGCAGATCACTTAAGGTCAGGAGTTCGATAGCAACCTGGCCAACGTGGTGAAACCCCATCTCTACTAAAACTACAAAAATTAGCTGGATGTGGTGGCAGGTGCCTATAATCCCAGCTACTTGGGAGGCTGGGGCAGGAGAATTACTTGAACCCGGGAGGTGGAGGCTGCAGTGAGCCGAGATCACCCCACTGCACTCCAGCCTGGGCGACAGAGCGAGACTCCATCTCAAAAAAAAAAAAAAATGAAGACATAAACACTCATGTAGTATCCTAGGCCTACACAGGATCAGGAGCATTAATATCCCTGTCTTCTACCTCCATGTCTTGAATCACTGGAAGGTCTTCAGGACCAATAAATAACATGCATGGAGCTGTCATCTCCTGTGATAACAATGCCTTCTTCTGGAATTCTTCCTGAGGGATCTGCCTGAAGCTGTTTTATAGTTAACTTTTTTTTTAATGTAAGTGAAAGGAGTACACTGTAGTGATAAGAAGTACAGTATAGTAAATACACAAACCAGTAACACAGTTATTATCATTATCAAGTATTATATACCATACATAATTGTATGTGCTATACTTTTATAAGACTAGCAGCACAGTAGGTTTGTTTACACCAGCATCGCCACAAGCACTTGTAATGCATTGTGCTATAATGTTACAATGGTGACATCACTAGGTGATAGGAATTTTTCAGCTCCATTATAATCTTATGGGACCACTATCATATATGCACTTCACACTGACTGAAACATCATTATGTGGTGCATTACTATCCCTTAATTTCATATTGTAGGGCATCAACATCTAATTTGTAAATGCTATAATTAGGTTTTGTGCAAATTAAATTTTTTTTTTTTTTTTTGAGATGAAGTCTCGCTCTGTAGCCAGGCTGGAGTGCAGTGGCACAATCTCAGCTCACTGCAACCTCTGCCTCCTGCGTTCAAGCAATTCTCCTGCCTCAGCCTCCCAAGTAGCTGGCACTACAGGCTCGCACCACCACGCCTGGCTAATTTTTGTATTCTTAGTAGAGATGGGGTTTCACCATGTTGGCCAGGATGGTCTCGATTTCTTGACCTTGTGATCCGCCTGCCTTGGCCTCCCAAAGTGCTGGAATTACAGGCGTGAGCCACCACATTCGGCCCACAAATTAATATTTTATATTCTCTATGAAATTTTAATTAACTTCACCATGTAATTATTTATTTCCTAGTGAAGCTGTAAGGCATTTGGATAATTCATAGAAACAGGTTGGGCCAGGTGAGGTGGCTCATGCCTGTAATCCCAGCCCTTTGGTAGGTGGAGGCGGGTGGATCACCTGAGGTCAGGAGTTTGAGATCAGCCTGGTCAACGTGGTGAAACCCCGTCTCTACTAAAAATACAAAAATTAGCTGGGCATGGTGGTGTGTGTCTGTAGTCCCAGCTACTGGGGAGGCTGAGGCAGGAGAATTGCTTGAACCTGGTAGGTGGAGGTTGCGTTGAGCTAAGATTGCGCCACTGCACTCCAGCCTGGGCAACAGAGGGAGACTCCATCTAAAAAAAAGAAATTGGTTAAGAGTAAAATCATGAAAACATGATCAGTTGACATATTTGCACTTCAACCAGAAGTCCCACAACTAATCATAATCTTAACCAGTCAAATAAAAAATTTTTATTTTTCTGGTGTCTTGTGTATTTACATTAGCCCATTTGTAAACCAGATGGCATGTGGGTTCAGATTTGTGTATCGCTTAGACATAGCTATATGTATATATATACAAATACATAAGCTATGTGTATTTGTGTATAGCTTAGACATAAGACTACAACAACTAGATTTAAGCCCTAGAACATGTCACCCACTGTACTCCCCATCATTTTATTTTTTATTTTTGTTTTTATTATTATTATTATTTTTTTTTTGAGAGAGTCTTGCTCTGTTTCCCAGGCTGGAGAGCAGTGGTGCGATCTCAGTTCACTGCAACCTCTACCTCCCAGGTTCAAGCGATTCTCCTACCTCAACCTCCTGAGTAGCTGGGATTACAGGCACATGCCACCACGCCTGGCTAATTTTTGTATTTTTAGTAGAGACGGGTTTCGCTATGTTGGCCAGGCTGGTCTTGAACTCCTGGCCTCAAGTGATCCTCCTGCTTCAGGCTCCCAAAGTGTTAAGATTACAGGCGTGAGCCACCACACCCAGCCACTCCCCATCATTTTAGAATGGTATTCTGCATGTGTTTTTCTTCAAACTGAGTGATTCAGGTCTATGGTTAAGCTACAGAGATCCTGCTCCCCTTTTTTCCCTAGAAATCCCATTTTACTTGGAATCAAGTTGCACTGAAGGTTATTGAAGCATCACATCTGCTTACTTTGTGTCTCCCTGCTGATTGACATTTTTTTTTTGAATTTTAATATTCAGCTAATAGTTTCTAGGGGCGCTTGAATATATTTTTGAAATTGTTGACTTTTAGTCATTATACTCAATTTGCGGAAAATAAGTATTCTTAGCTCAGTTGATTTTTTTCTTCCTTTTAGTATAAGCAATGCCTTGAATTTCAAGAAACCATGTGAAACAGAAGTCATATTTGTATGTGGTTTTCTCGTTTACAAACCTTCTCCACATATATTATCTCATTTGATTCTTCTACCAATCACTTCCAGTAGCAATGCATGTTGCTACTTGATGTTTTATTTGATTTGCTTTGTTTTTGTTTGTTTGTTTGGGTTTTTTTGGGTTTGTTTTTTTTTTTTTTTTGAGATGGAGTCTCGCTCTGTCGCCCAGTGCAGTGGTGCAGTCTTGGCTCACTGCATCTTCCTCCACCCAAGTTCAAGCGATTCTCCTGCCTCAACCTCTTGAGTAGCTGAGATTACAGGCACGCACTACCATGCCCAGCTAATTTTTATATTTTTAGTAGAGACGGGGTTTCACCATGATGGACAGGCTGGTCTCAAACTCCTGACCTCAGATGATCCACCTGCCTCAGCCTGAATTGTTTTTAAACTGGTTGTGAGAAATTAAATTATTTTTCTAAGGCCACATGGCTACTAAATGGCCCTTTACATCTTGTTCCCATCCATTTCTAAAACTGTAATACCTGCTTTTTCATCCTTATCCTCTACCTCTAGCCACCGAATTTTTCACTATTAAACATAAGTATGTCAGTATTAAACTATCAAACATGCTATATTCTTTCATTATGCTTTGCCTTGGCTTATAAGTTATCATACAATTCGTTTGGCAAATTTAGCAATCAAAACCTCATTGAAAGTCATGTCCTTTATGAGGACCTTTAAAACTTCTCCAACTAGAGTTATTTATACCTTAGTAAACCTATAGCATTTTGGTTGCTATCTGTATTATAGCACATATCTCATTGTATTGTAATAGCCTATCTGTTTTCTTCCTTGAACATGTGTTACGTTGTTACATTCTCAGCAACCAACTAAGTCTCAAATGCTTGTTGAATTAGTGAAAAATGTGAGGTTCAGTGCTTTTTCCTGCCATACAACATTGCCCAGAGAGCTTTTAGAGCTTCAAAACATGCTTTCCTGGAATATCATAAAAATCATGTATTTATAGTATTGATATATAATACTGTACTTTTAGAATTTTATTAATTTTTTTAAATGGAGAGCCCAGCTATCATTTTACTGATTTTCAGGGAATAATGTCAATAATTAATAATTTGTTACAAAGGAACTTACCCTTTAAAACCAATCAATAAGTAAAATTTTTTAAATTAAAAAAATAAAGACCAAGCAAATGTTTTATGTTATTTAATAAAACTCATAATGTATATTGATTGACAGAAAAGGTGCTTATACTCTGAGGCACTCTTCTTGTAAGGGATACAGAAGATCTAAAGTAAGCAGAAACCAATGGATTCCTTTTAATGTTAATTTTTTTAAGCACACATGGGACTGTTAGAGTATTTGAAGTAATATAAGTCTATGAAATACAAGAACAGCCTTTGGAAACATACAAGATGGTTTTGCAACCAGGTTACAACTGCACTATGAGTTTTCTAACTAGTCTTTGTTGCTTTACTGAAAGTATAATCTTTGTCTCAAGCCGGCATAATTCATTTAAGCAAGGCAGTTTGAAAACAATGGTAAAAAGAAAAGGTGAAATCTTTTTTCTTTGAATTGTTTCATTAACAGAAATACCTTTCTACCATACCATAGAATGCTTTAAACATAAATCAAACTGGAACCAAAATACAGTGGCACACTGACTTTCCATTGACTTTCAATACTCTTCTGTAGTATTGACAATATTAATCTTCTTCCTATCCTTCCCAGTGTTATGGTCTGTTGCCTTGGAGCCTATAGGTTACTTTAAAATAATATCAAAAAATAATGCCCTATAAAATTTAGATTTTTTTTGTCTTTGTAGAAAAATTGAACATTTATGTTACTCTTCACCCCCTCAAAATCCTATGATAATAAAGAAATGAAAATGTCAAACCTACAATATTACAAAGAGAGAGAGGAGACAGTGACAGACAAGCGATATCAACACATTTTGAACACTGGAAAACAGCCGAATGACTGAATGACTTAGCAGGCAAGAGAAAGCTGAAATTTAAATCTACATTGATGATAGTCAACAAGCACTTTCAGATTTATGCATGAAAAAGCCTAGGATTTGGAGCAATCTAAAATGTCAATGAAAGTAAGGTTTAAAAACAGGTGGCTTGGTTGCAAATTAGTATAAGAAACAATTAGCCTCCTCCCTCACCCAGGTTTACTTCTGGAAAGGTTGAACAACAGAGACTCTGTATTCTTCAACACCAGGCACAGCTGAGGACGTATTAAAGATGGAGGTTAATATTATATACGGGGATTTTACATACTGAATGTGAGAACTCCACCCCCCTTTTCTTTTCAGCTCTGAGTAGGCTGACAATCAGTCTTACATCTACCAAGCGTGTAGAATTCCTTTTTAGGGAAACTGACCACCCCATGAGAAAATATCTACAAATTGGCCCAGTTCCTGCCAAATTACCCTATAGCAAACTTCCCAGCCTATAAGCTCTACCCATACATTCAGAGCTGCCAATCAGTGTTTTAGTGCCTTACTCTTAAGTAAGTGCAGAGTCTTCACCAGATTGTCAAAGAAAGTCTGTAACATGAAAAACAGACCAAAACAACAACAACAAAACAAGTCCAACAAAGCAAACAAAAACACAGCAGAAGAACTCTGAGAAAATAGAAACAACACAACAGACTAGAACAAGGATTGGCCAGTGTTTTCTATAAAGGGCCAGACAGTACAGTAGTCTCTCCTTATCCACAGAAGATAGATTCCACAACCTCCACTAAATGCCTGAAACCATGGATAGTACCAAACTCTACGTATACTATGTTTTTTCTATCTGATAACCAAGATGGCTACTAAGTGACTAATGGGCAAAAAGAGTATACAGCATGGACATGGTGGACAAAGGGATGATTAACATCCTGAGTGGGACAGCATGAGATTTTTATCATGCAACTCAGAAGGGCATGCATTTTTAAATGTATGAATTATTTCTGGAATTTTCCATTTAATATTTTTGGACTACATTTGACCGTGAGTAACTTTGACCATAGGCAAGATTGTGGCTGTGGGGGACTATTGTGTATATTTTAGGCTTTGCAGGCTACATACAGTCTCTGTCACATATTTTTTGTTTTTTCCTTAATCCTCTTAAAAATGATCACTTGAGGTCAGCAGTTTGAGACCAGCCTGGCCAACATGGTGAAACCCCATCTCTACTAAAAATACAAAAATTAGCCAGGTATGGTGGCGCACGCCTGTAATCCCAGCTACTCAGGAGGCTGAGGCAGGAGAATCACTTGAACCTGGGAGGCGGAGGTTGCAGTGAGCCGAGATTGCACCACTGCACTTCAGCCTGGGCGACAGAATGAGACTCCTTCTCAAAAAAAAAAAAAAATGTGAAGACCATTCCTACACATTGGAGGCTGTACAAAAACAAGACATGGGCTATTTTTGTAGGCACTATAGGCTATAGTTTGCCAACCCCCAGATAGGAGAAATCTTCAAAAAAAAATCTTAATATCCATAGAGATGTACCATATTGCCTCCATGAAACAAGAACAAAAGAATAAGAAAAAGTGCTTAGAAATTAACATGATACCAACAATTTTTAAATGCATAATAGGGCTTGGAAGATAAAATGGAAATTTTCCAGATCAAAAAGAGAAAGCAGGAAAGAAGAACTAGAAAATTAGAGGATCAGTATGCAATAACCAACTTCTGATACATAGAAGGCTCAGATCATGAGAACAGAAAAAATAAAGGAAAGAAACATCTCAAAGAAATAACTCAAGAAAATTTCTCAGAATTGAGTAACACGATTTCTTGGTTGAAGGGGCTCACTCAGGCACAGGTAAAGGAGGAAAAGCTACAAAGCACTTCACTGTGCCCTTTCCAAGTACCGGGGATAAAGAAAAAGTCTTAAAATCTTCCAAAGACAAAAAGACAGGTCTCTATCTTACAAAAGATAGAGAATCAGAATCATAACAGACTTCTGAAAAGCAACACTGAAACCAAAAAAATAGAAGAAATTGTCTTCAAATATTTTAGGGAAATTTTTGATTTGTAACTTAAGTTCTACATGAGCCAAACTATCAATAAACTATAAGACAAAATAAAGCCTTCAACATACAAGGACCTAAAACATTTGCTTCAAATGGACACTTTCTCAGGATGTTACTGGAAGATGTGCTCCATCAAAATAAAAAAAAAAAATTTAAAAAGGAATATCAAGGATGCAGGGAACTAGGGTTCCAATCCAGAATAGAGGCAAAGATAATTCCTAAAACAACCAGGAAGGAAAACTCTGGAATGATAACAGTGCAGCAAGTAGTCTAAATTGAGTTCAGAGGATAGAAGGTTTGACCATACTTGGAAGAATTTTTACAGCTATGGCATGGTTTGGGGATTAATTAATGACAGAAAACATTAAAAATTAATCCACAAAAAGAAGAGGCAGTTATTAACTCCAGGGAAGGCAAAAAGTCTTGTACAATAAAGGAAATCTAATTATAGTGCACTATGTGACTCAGTTGTTAATATTCCCAGGAAGGGATGGTGAAGTATCAGTGGTATAAGAGAAATAAACATCTTCCACAGGAGAGAATCAGTACGTAAGTTCTAAAGTTCAAAAACCAAGAAGTAGTAGTAGGATCAATGTTCCTTAGAAATATGGAGATAAATAACCAGAAGATCTACCTAAAATATTGAAAGTAATTGTTTCTGAGGAATGGGAATTGTAAACAGGAGGTGGGTAGGGAAAGGACAGTTATGTTTTTCATTGAAAACATAAAACTATGTGTTCGTGTTTCTTTGATAAAAGTTAAAATTTACAAAGCTAAAATTAACTTTAAAAAATAGTTTGGGCGTTTCAGTCCTAGAAAAGATGAAGTAAGCATATTTAGTAGTCTAAAAAACCTAGACAGAATATGTGGAGTAGCTGTTTGAGAACTCTGAAAAGTCAACACTAGCAGGTAGATTAAGAAAGGAGACCAGAATTCAAAATACCAATGATCTAGCTCAAGTAACTGTATAATACCAGATAAAGTAGAATTCCAAGCAAACAAAATTAGGGATAAAAGAGAACATTACATAATGATAAAAGGGTGAATTCACCAAGAAGACATAAGAATCATAAATGTGTATGCACCCCAAAACAGGGTTTCAAAATACATGAAGCAAAAACTGACAGATCTGAAGAGAAAAATAGAAAAATACACAATTATACTTGGAAACTTCAAAATTCCTCTCAATAACAGAACTAGTAGACAAACTAATAAAGATATAGATGACTTGAGCAACATTATTAGCCAACTCAAGTCCAGTATGTTCTCTGACTGTAATGGAATTAAACTAGTAATCTAGTTTAAACTAGAAATCAATAACAGAAAAATGTCCAAATACTTGGAAATTAAGCAGCATATTTCTAAATAATCCACAGGCAAAACAGCAAGTTTCAAGTAAAATTAGAAAATATTTTGAACTGATCAAAAATGAAAATACAGCATATCAAAATGTAAGGACTGCAGCTAAAGCAGTGCTCAGATGGATATTTATGTCATTAAATGCTTATTTTAGGAAAAAACATCCTCAAATCATTGATCTTAGTTTCTACCTTATGAAGCTAGAAAAAGAAGAGCTAAATAAATGTGAGGCAAACAGGAAAAAAAGGAGTAATAAAAACAAGTATAAATTGATGAATTGTAACAAAAATAATGAAATCAGTGAAATGAAAATTAAGCTGCTTGAACTAAGAGTTGAGCTACCATTCAACTCAGCAATCCCATTACTGGTTATATGCCCAAAGGAAAATAAATCATTCTGCCAAAAAGACACATGCAGCTGTGTGTTCATCACAGCACAATTCACAAAAGCAAAGGCATAGAAGCAACTCAAATACCTATCAACGGTGGACTAGATAAAGAAAATGTGGTACATATACACCGTGGAATACTGCACAGCCATTAAAAAAGAATGAAATCATGTCCTTGCCGCAACATGGATGCAACTGGAGGCCATTATCCTAAGCAAACTAACACAGAAACAGAAAACCAAATACCATATGTTCCCACTTATAAATGGGAGATAAACAATGGGTACACATGGACTTAAAGATGGGAACATAGACACTAGGGAATGAATGTAAGTGGAGGCAGAGAAGGAGGGAAGCAAGGGTTGAAAAACTACCTATTGTGTTCTATGCTTGCTTTCTGGGTAACAGGTTCAATTGTACTCCAAACTCAACATCATGCAATATACCTTTGTAACAAACCTGCACATGTACTCCTGGAATCTAAAATAAAATAAAAGTTGAAAAACAGAAAAAAATAGACTCTTTGAAAAGATCAATAAAATTGATAAACCTCTAGCAAAATTAACAAAGAAAAAAAAGAGAAGCCACAGTTACTAATATCAGGAATAAAAGAGGTATTAATAGTATAACTACAGACTCCACAGGCATTAAAAGAATAATATGAGAATACTACGAAAAACTCTATACATATACATTTGATAACTTAGATGAAGTAGATTAATTCCACAAAACCCACAAAATACCAAAATTCACCCAAGATGAAATAGATAACATGAATAGCTATCTAGCAAATAAATAGAATTCATAGTTAAAAGCCTTCTAAAAAATTCTCCACCCAGATGTGTTCATTAACAAATATTACCAAACATTTAAAGAAGAAATAACATAAATTTTACAAGATCTCTTCTAAAAAATAGAAGATGTAATCCTTCTCAATTTATTTTATGAGGCCAAGATGAAACAGATAACACGCATAGCTATCTAGCAAAGAAATAGAATTAATAGTTAAAAGCCTTCTAAAAAATTCACCCAGCTGTGTTCACTAGCAAATATTACCAAACATTTAAAGAAGAAATAACACAAATTTTACATAATCTCTTCTAAAAAACAGAAGATGCAATCCTTCCCAATTTATTTTATGAGACCAGAATTAACCAGCAACCAAACCAGATGAAGACTACAAAAACAAAAGGAAAAGGGGGAAAAAAGAAAACTATAAGAGCCTAAAAATAAAACTGCACACCTACAACCATCTGATCTTTGACAAAATTAGCAAAAATAAACAATGGGGAAAGGACTCCTTGTTCAATAAATGGTGCTGGAGTAACTGGCTTGCTGTATGCAAAAGAATGAAACTGCACCCCCTACCTTTTACCATATACAAAAATCAACTCAAGATGGATTAAAATTAACTCAAGATGGATTAAAGATTTAAGTGTAAGACCTCAAACTATAAAAATCCTAGAAGAAAACCTAGGAAATACTGTTCTAAACATCAGATTTGGCAAAGAATTTGTGACTAAGTCCTCAAAAGCAATTGCAACAAAACAAAAATTGACAAGTGGGACCTAACTGGCTAGCCGTAAGCAGAAGATTGAAACTGGACCCCCTTCCTTACACTATATACAACAACCACCTCAGGGTGAATTAAAGACTTAAATGTAAAACCTTAAACTAAAAACCCTTGAAGAAAACCTAGGAAATATCATTCTGGACATAGGCTCTAGCAAAGATTTCATCATGAAGACACCAAAAGCAATTGCAACAAAAACAAAATCGACGAATGGGACTTAATTAAACTTAAGAGCTTCTGCACAGCAAAAGAAACTATCAGCAGAGTAAAGACAAACCACAGAATGCGAGAAAATGTTTGCAAACTATGCATCTTACAAACGTCTAATATCCAGAATCCATAAGGAACTTAAATTGACAAGCAAAAAACAACCCCATTAAAAAGTGGCCAAAGGACATGAACAGACATTTCTCAAAAGGAGACATGCATGTGGCCAAGAAGCATATGAAAAAATGTTCAACACACTATCATTAGAGAAATGCAAATCAAAACCACAATGTGGCTGGGCGTGGTGGCTCACGCCTATAATCTCAGCACTGGGAGGTCAAGGCGGGCAGGTCACTTGAGGTCAGGAGTTGAAGACCACTCTGCCCAACATGGCAAAACCCCATCTCTACTAAAAATACAAAAATTAGGTGGGTGTTGTGGCGCACACCTGTAATTCCAGCTACTTGGGAGGCTAAGCAGGAGAATCGTTTGAACCCGGGAGGTGGAGTTTGCAGTGAGTTGGGATTGTGCCACTGCACTTCAGCCTGGGCAATAGAGTGAGACTCTGTCTCAAAACAAACAAACAAACAAAAACAAAAAAACACATACATACACAATGAGATAACATCTCGCACTAGTCAGAATGGCTATCGTTAAAAAGTCAAAAAAAAAAAAAAAAAAAGAACAGATGCTCGCAAGGTTACAGAGAAAAAGGACCACATATGTACTGCTGGTGGGAATGTAAATTAGTTCAGCCACTGTGGAAAGCAGTTTGTTGATTTCTGAAAGAAGTTAAAGCAGAAGTACTGTTCAACCCAACAATTCCATTATTGGGTGTATACCCAAAGGAATGTGAGTCATTCTCCCATAAAGACATATGTATCTGTATGTTTATCACAGCACTATTCACAGTAGCAAAGACGTGGAATCAACCTAAATGCCTATTGATAGTAGACTGGATTAAGAAAATGTGGTACATATACACAATGGAATACTATGTAACCATAAAAAAGAGTAAGATCATGTCCTTTGCAGCAACATGGATGGAGCTGGAAGCCATTATTCTAAATGAACTAACGGAGGAACAGAAAACCAAATACCACATGTTCTCACTTATACACGGGAGCTAAACATTGAGTATATGTGGACAGAGAAGGGAACAACAGACACCAGGGCCTACTTGAGGGTGGAGAGCTTAAAATTAAGCTGTTTGAACTAAGAGTTGAGCTACCATTCAAGGAAAACTACCTGTTGGATACTATGCTGCTTTTTACCTGGGTGACAAAATAATCGGTCCTAATTTGTCACAACAAATCACCATGACATGCAATCTGCCTCTATAACAAACCTGCACATGTATTCCTGAAACTAAAATAAAAGTTAAAACAACAACAACAACAACAACAACTATAGATCAATATCCCTCTGAAACATAGATGAAGATGTCCTCAACAGAGTGCCAGCAAATTGGGTAAGGTCCTCAAAAATGGCAGAACAAAGACCTCTGAAATTTCTAAAAGCAATGAGAAAATAGGCAAAAATAAGTTAGAAGCAACTTTATCAAAACTCTGGGTATTAACCAAAAGTTACAGCATTCTAGGAAGAATTTACTCCTTAAAAATAGCTGAATTGCAGTAAGAACAGTAAGCTTTGTGGTATTTTAACTTGCTCTGTTCTCACCTCTCTCCAAGTTCACAATAGCCTTAAAAACCAATAGCCTGAAATCGTGAGGAAAGCCAACAACCTGACAGTCATTGGAGGGAGCAAAACAGGTCTGGAGTACATTTCCAGAGAATTATGTGACCTACCTGGGAGTTTCCTGGAAGACCCCACTCACAAGGCTATCTTTATTTGACCTGACTCAGAGCTCACCCAGCCAGCTGTTTAACTTCACAGTTGCCTGAGACAATGAATGACATTTGGGGCAAGTGAGAGGCTAGCCAAAAAATGTAAAGAGAAAAGCTGAGGAATGCAATGTCCATAGAGAGCTTTTAAAGTTCTGACATATTCCTGGGATTTTAGTGGGCCATGCATATGTGTAGGAGAGTGCATGTGACCAGTGATGTGGACATGCTAAGAAAAGACCTGAAAAGGCCCTAAGCTATCACCTTGGTGCTCTGCTGAAGCAGGAAGTGAAAACAAGATCAGAGTTATTACCTACAGTGCTGAGGATTGAAATTATGCCCCAATATATGCAGAGACTCTTGGCAAAGAATGGGAGACATGATGGTTCTAGACATTTAAGGAAATCTCTGTCTAATTATTAGCTGACTACTAAGTTAATCGAGCAGTCTTCAATGACCACACATGACAATACAGACTTTACAAGATTATTTTAGAAAAATTACAAGAACAAAAAACCTTGAAGAGGGAGAATAATCCGATTTCTATATTTGCCACATTATATTATTTAAAATGTACTGTTTTCAACAAAAATCATGACACATAACAAAGAAAGTATAACTAAGAGAAAAAAATAATAGAAACTCTCCCTGAGGAAACCCAGACATTTGTCTTAGTAGACAAAGCTATGCCTTAGGAGAGAAAGCTAGTTCAAATACATTCAATAACTAAGCAAACTGTGTCAAAAACTGTGAGAATGATGTCTCACCTCACTAAATAGGGAATATCAATAAAGAGATAAAATTTGCTTAACAAAAACCTAATGGAAATTCTGGAGTTGGAAAGTATAATAGCTAAAATGAAATATTCATTACAGGGGCCCAACAGCAGATTTAAGAAGGCAGAAGAAAGAATTGATTTACTTAAACATCAATTGAGATTATTTACTCTGAAGAACAGAAAGAAAAAGAATGAAGAACAACTAGCATAATCTCAGAGACCTGTAAAACCTCATCAAGCGTACCAACATATGCATATTTGGAGTCCCAGAAGGAGAGGAGAGAAAAAAGAATAGAAAGAATATTTAAAGAAATTATGGCTGAAAACGTTCCGAATTTGATGAAAAACGTTAATTTATACATCCAAGAAGATAAGCGAACTCCAAGTAGGATGAACTCAGGGAGATTCCTATCTAGATGGTTGAAATCAAACAGCCAGAAGACAGAATCTAGAAAGCGGCAAGAGAGAAATAACTCATCATATACAAAACATCCTCCAGACCAGGAAGCAGTTAATTGACATGTTCAAAGTGCTGAAAGAAAATGACTGTCAACCAAGAATACTATATCTAACAAAACTGTCCTTCAGAAATAAGGTAAAAATTAAGACATTCCCAAATAAACAAAAACCAAGAGAATTACTCTGTAGCAAACTTGTCCTACGAGAAATACTAAAAGGAGTCTTTCAGGCTGAAATGAAAGGATATTAGGAAGTAAGTCAGATGCACACGATGAAATAAAGAATACCCACAAAGTTAACGACATACGTAAATGTAAAAGTTAATATAAAGGTACTTCTTGCTTATAATTCTTTTACTCTTGATTTTTTAAAAGAGCAACTGCATAAAACAATAATTGTAAATCTGTGGTGATTGTCTTGTGGGTTGCCAAGACCACCTTCAGGTTCAGCAATTCACTTGGAACAGTTAGATAGCCTCAGGATATAACTGTATACATGGCTAGGATTTATTACAGTGAAACGACACCAAGCACAGTCAGCAAAGAGAACAAAACATGTGCATGGGACAAAGTCTAGGGAGCCAGTCTTAAGCTTCCAAGTGTCCTCTCCCAGTGCAGTTACACAGGACACACTTCCCCGAGCAATGAGTTGTGGCAACATGTGTCAAATATTTCCAATCAGAGGAACTCATTAGCACCCAGGGATTTTACTGGGGCTGGTCATATAGGCAGCCTCTGCCTAGCAGTTTCCAGAAGACTAGACTCTCAAAAGGAGAATGAGTATTCAGCATTAATATATTGTTTACTCAAACAGTTCAGGCACAGTGAGACACTCTTATCAGTCAATCACAGGTACCCTCCTGAATCTAAGTTTTCATTCATCAGCCCAGGAACACCTTTAAACAGACCTTTCTAGGGGTAAACAATCCAACCTACAATGTTAATTCTTCTGCACCAGCATACAATGTTTAAAGATATAATTTATATGACAATAACAACCCAAAGGTGACAGATGAGGGAACAGAAGGACCATTTTTTTGTACTATTGAAATTAAGTTGGCAATTTTCCTGACTAGTTTATTACTGGTTGATATGTTTATTATACTCTTCAACCACTAATAAAAATAAGAAAATATAGTAATGTAAATGACAAGAGAATTAAAATTATATACTGGAAAGTGTCTATTGGAGAAAATGGAAAGTAATGGAAAGACAGAAGAACAAAATACGTAAGGCATATAGAAAGCAAATAGCAAAGTGAGTATTTTACAAAATAGCTGAGTAAATCCTACCTTATCAGTAATTACATTAAATGTAAATGGATTAAATACTCCAATCTAAAGGCAAAGTTTGGCTGAATGGATTGAAAACAATGTGATATATGCTGTCTGCAAGAGAAACACTAGTTTAAAAAACACAAATAGGTTGAAAATAAAATGATGGGAAAAGACATACCATGCAAATAGTAAACAAAAGAGAGCTGGTTTGGTTATACTAATATCAGATAAAATAGACCCTTAAGACAAAAAAAAGTTAATAGAAACAATTAACATTTTATAATGATAAAAGTGCCATTCTGCCTGCAATCCCAGCACTTTGGGAGGCTGAGGTGGGCAGATCGCTTGAGCTTAGGAGTTCAAGACTAGCCTAGGTAACATGATGAAACCCTGTCTCTACTAAAAGTACAAAAAAATTAGCCAGGTGTAGTGGCATGTGCCTATAATCCCAGCTATTCAGGAGACTGATGTGGGAGAATCACCTGAGCCCAGGAAGTTGAGGCTGCAGTAAGCCATGACCTCACTACTTCACTCCAGCCTGGGCAACTGGAGTAAGACCCTGTCTCAAAAAAAAATAAAAATAAAAAATAAAAAAAAATAACAAGTCTAAATATGCAATTATAAACATACAAAGTTAACAAAAAGGCCCCAAAACACATCTAGCAAAAAGCATCAGAAATCAATAATTTAGTAATACTTGGAGACTTCCATACCCTGCTCAATAATGGGTAGAACAACTAGAAGGAAAATCAACAGAAAATAAAAGCCTTGAACAAAACTACAAACCAACAACTACAAACAAACCTAACAGACATCTGTAGCACACTTCACCCAACAACAGGAAAATACGCATTCTGCTCAAGTGAACATGGCATGTTCTTCAGGATAGGCCATCCGTTCATCCATAAAATATAAGGTTCCATAAATGTTAAGAGGTTGAAATCATTACAAGTATTATTTCTGACTACAATGAAATAAACCAGAAATCAATAATGGGAGGAAAAATGGAAAACTCACAAATACATGGAAATTCAATGATATACTTTTAAACAACCAGTGGGTCAAAGAAGAAATCAGAAGAAAAATTGAAAAATACATTGTGATAAATGAAAATGGAAACAATGTCCCAAAATTTTGGGGACACAGTGAAAGTACTACTCCCAGGGAAACTTAAAAAAGCTGTAAACATCTAGGCCAGGCACGGTGGCTCACGTGTGTAATCCTAGCACTTTGGGAGGCCAACACGGGCAGATTACCTGAGGTCAGGAGTTCGAGACCAGCCTGGCCAACATGGTGAAACCCCGTCTCTACTAAAAATACAAAAATTAGCCAGGTGTGGTAGTACATGCCTGTAATCCCAGCTACTTGGGAGGCTGAGGCAGGAGAACTGCTTGAGCCCAGGGGGCGGAGGTTTCAGTGAGCTGAGATCATGCCACTGCACTCCATCCTGGCTGACAGAGCGAGACTCTGTCTAAAAAAAAAAAATACTGTAAACATCTGTATTTTAAAAGAATAAACATCTGGAATCAATAATCTAACCTTCCTCCTTAAGGAATTAGGAAAAAAAAAAGAGCAAACTAAACCCAAAGCGAGGCAATTAAAGGAAATACTAGAAATGAAAAAGGAAATAAATGAAATAGAGAATTCAAAGAACAGTAGAGAATAACCAAGGTAACAAAAGTTGATTTGTTGAAAAGATCAACAAAATTGACAGACCTGTACCAAGACTGACCAAAGAAAATACAGAGAAGTTCTAATTCACTAAAATTAGAAATGAAAGAGGGGATGTTACTACCTTACAGAAATACAAAGGATTATAAGAGAATACCTTCAAAAATTGTGTGATGACAAATAACTTAGATTAAATGGACAAATTCATAGATAGACACAAAATACTGAGAATATATCAAGAAGAAATAGAATATCTTTTTTTTTTTTTTTTTTTTTTTTTTTTTTTTTTTGAGACAGAGTCTCACACTGTTGCCTGGGCTGGAGTGCAATGGCATGATCTCGGCTCACTGCAACCTCTGCCTCCCAGGTTCAAGCAATTCTCCTGTCTCAGCCTCCTGAGTAGCTAGGATTACAGGTGCCTGCCACCATGCCCGGCTGCATTTTTAGAAGAGACGGGGTTTCACTATGTTGGCCAGGCTGATCTTGAACTCCTGACCTCGTGATCCACCTCCCAAACTGCTGGGATTACAGGTGTGAGCCACTGCGACCAGCTGAAATAGAATATCTGAATAGATGTATAACAAGTAAAGATAGAATTTGTCATCAAAACACTTCCCCCCCCCTTTTTTTTTTTTTTTTTTGAGACAGAGTCTCTATCTGTTGCCCAGGCTGGAGTACAGCGGCGCAATCTCAGCTTACTGCAAGCTCCACCTCCCAGGTTCACGCCATTCTCCTGCCTCAGCCTCCCGAGTAGCTGGGGACTACAGGTGCCCGCCACCACACCCGGCTAATTTTTTGTATATTTAGTAGAGACAGGGTTTCACCGTGTTAGCCAGGATGGTATCGATCTCCTGATCTCGTGATCTGCCCACCTTGGCCTCCCAAAGTGCTGGGATTACAGGCATGAGCCACCACGCCTGGCCTTTTTTTTTTTTTTTTTGTGAGACAAAGTCTCACTCTGTCACTCAGGCTGGAATGCAGTGGCGTGATCTCAGCTCACTGCAACCTCTACCTCCCAGGTTCAAGTGATTCTTCTGCCTCAGCCTCATGATCAAATGGCTTCACTGGTGAATTCTACCAAAAATTTACAGAAGAATTTGCATTAATCTTTCATTAACTCTAGCAAAAAATGGGAGAGAAATATTTACCAACTCATTCTATGTGGCCAGTATTACCTGATACTAAAACAAGTAAAATACATTACGAGAAAAGAAGATTGTACAGCAATATTTCATATGACTATAGAAATAAAAGCCATTGACAGAATCAGCAACATACTAAAAGGATTATACACCATGACCAAGTAAGATTGATCCCAGCAATCCAAGACTGGTTCAACATGCTTTATAAAATCAATTAATGTAATACACCATATTAAAAGAAGACTAAAACCACACGATCTTCTCAAGATGCAAAAAAAAAAAAAAAGCATAAAACAGTATTCAACACATTTTCATGATGAAAATACTCAACAAAGTGGGAATATAAGGTTACTTACTTAGCTTTAATGAGGTCATCTATTAAAAGCTCACAGCTAACATCATACTTAATCTTAA
This sequence comes from Homo sapiens, assembly GCF_000001405.40. Classification (NCBI taxonomy): domain Eukaryota; kingdom Metazoa; phylum Chordata; class Mammalia; order Primates; family Hominidae; genus Homo; species Homo sapiens. The sequence continues at coordinate 61,696,070 of NC_000017.11, read as the reverse complement.
AAGACTGAAATGTTTTTCCTAAGTTCAAGATCACGACAGTGATTTTCACTCTTACCACTTCTATTCAATATTGTATTGGAGGTTCTAACCAGGGCAGTGAGACAAGAAGAAGAAAGAAAGGTATACAGATTGGAAAGGAGGAAGCAGAACTATTTTTATTTGCAAATGATATATTACATTCTAAGAAAATTCTAAGAAATCCATTTTTAAAATAACAGAACTGATAGGTTCAGCAAGGTTTCAGGTTACAAGACCAATATTAAAAAATCAATGACATTTTTATTCACTAGCAGCCAAAAATCTAAAAATGAACTTAAAAAATACCATTTAAAATAACATCAGAAAGAAGAAAATACTTAGAAATATACTTAACTAAGGAGATGAAAGATCTGTATACTGAAAACTGCAAGACATTATTGAAAGAAAATTCTAAATAAATGGAAAGAATCCCACGTTCATGGATTAGAAGACTTATCATTAGGATATCAACACTCCCCTATATTGATATAGAGGTTAAATACAATACTAATCAAAATCCCAGCTGACTTTCTGGCAGGAATTGAGAAGCTGATTCTAAAATTATTATGGAAAAGCAAGGAACCCAGAATAGTCAAAACAATCTTGAAAAAGAAGAACATACTAGGAGAACAAACAGTTTTCTATTTCAAACTTACTACAAAGCTACAATAATCAAGACTATGTTGTACTGGCATAAAGACAGATGTATAGATCAATGGGTAGAATTGAGGGTCCATAAACAAATTCATACATCTACAGTGAACTGGTTTTTGACAAGAGTGCCAAGACAACTCAAAGAAAGAATAGTCTTTTCAACAGATGGTGTTGGGACAACTGGATATCTGTGCAAATAATGAAATTAGACTCCTACCTCACACCATATACAAAAGTTAACTCAAAGTGGATCAAAGACAGAAAAAGGCAAAAACAGAGGTATAAATTTTCTTGACCTTGTATTAGGCAATAGTTTCTTAGATCTGCTATCAGAAGCACAAGCAACCAAAGAAAAAGCAGATAAATTGGACTTTGTTACAGTTCAAATTTTTATTCTTCAAAGGACAGTATCAAGAAATGGAAAAGACAACTCACATATGGAGAAAATATTTGTAAATCATGTGTAGCAGGATCTAGTATCCAGAATATATAAAGAACTCTTACAACTTAATAATAAAAAGACAAAATGGGCCATTAAAAATGGACCAATAATTTGAACAGACTTCTCCAAAAAAGGATACACAAATGGCCAGTAAGCACGTAAAAAATGATGTTCAACATCATTGGTTGTTAGGGAAATGCAAATCAAAGCCATAATGAAATATTATTTCACACTTTCTAGGGTAGATATATTTTTAGAAGGGTATACAATAACAAATGATGGTGAGGATGTGGAGATTTTGGAACCCTTGTACGTAGGTGGTGGGAATGTAAAATGTGCAGCTGCTTTGGAAAACAGTATGGCAGTGTTTGAAAAAGTTAAACATAGAATTACTATATGACTCCCCAATTCCACTTCTAGGTGTATGCCCAAGAGAATAAAAAACATGTATTCATATAAAAACTTGTACCCAAATGTTTAATAGCAGCATTATTCATACTAGCCAAAAAGTGGAAACATTAACTTATAAATGAAGTACTGAGAAATGATACAATATGAGTGAATCTTGAAAACATCATGTTCAGTGAAATATGCCAGATACAAAATGCTACATATTGTCTGATTCCCGTTAAATGAAATGTCCAGAATTGGCAACTCTCTAAGGACAGAAAGATTAGTGGTTGCCAGAGGTAATGGGGAATAATTGGGATAATTTGGAGTAACAATTAGTGGGCACAGGGTTTCTTTTTGGGGTGGTGAAAATGTTCTGGGATAGATAAGTGGTATAGGTTATACAGCCTTGTAAATATACCACAAACCATTGCATTGTGCACTTTAAAATTGTTTAATAATTATTAAAAAGTATGTTTTTATTTTTAATGTGTTTTTTTAAACTAGCAAATTGAATCCAACAATCTATAAAAAGAATAATACACCATGACTAGGAATGCAAGGATGATTCAGTGTTTGAAAATGAACCAGTGTAATCTACCATATTAACAGTCAAAAGAAGAAAAACTACATGTTATGTCAATTGAATTTTAGAATATTTTTGACAAAATTAAATGTTTATTCATGATTTAAAACTCTCATCAAACTAGTAAAAAGGACCTTTACAATTATTTATAATACTTAAGGTAAAAAAAAGAAAACAGTCTATGTGGCTAAGAAAGATCTTAGAATATATTTTCTATAATTTTCTTGAGTGCAAAATAAAATACAACATTTTGGATGCAAGTTATCTGTATTTGGAAAAAGTAGGGAATTTTTAATACATCTAGTTTGTTACATTGTGTTGGATAGCTTCTGTAACTTTTCTGATAATAACAAATTGTTTAAAGGAATCTATAAAATTGATTTTTTTCCAATTTTCTGTCTGTCCCACTGGAAAACTGGATTTATTTCCGATGTTATAATTATTTGACTTTTTCCCTATTTTTTCTAGATGTATTAGACACAGAAATGATTGGGGAGCTCTTATTCTAGTGGATGATCGCTTTAGGAATAACCCAAGTCGCTATATATCTGGTAAGATCTCAGCTGGGCTTAGAGTAAAAACTAGTAACAATCTTCATATTTTTATTGTGGTGAAAAACACATAACATGAGCTCTACTATCTTATTAAGTGCACAGTACAATATTGTTAACTATAAGCACAGTATTTCACAGCAGATATCTAGAACTTTTAAATCTTACATAACTGAAACTTAACACCAACTGAACAGCAATGCCCCATGTCCCTCTCCCCCCTGTCCACTGACAACCACCGCTATACTTTCTGCTTCTATTAGTTTGACTGTTTTGGATACCTCATATAAATTGAATTATGCAGTATTTGTCCTTCTGTAACTGGCTTATTTCAGTTAGCATAATGTCCTCAAGGTTCATCTATGTTGCAGGATTTCCTTCTTTTCAATGACTGCTTAATATTTTATTTTATGTATACATTATACCATATTTTCTTTATCCATTCATCTGTCAGTAGACATTTAGGTTGTTTCCCCCTCATGGATATTGGGAACAATGCTGCAATGGACATGGGAATGCAGATATCTCTTCAAGATGCTGATTTCAATTTTTTTGAACAAATACCAAGCGTAGGATTTGGCGAATCATCATAGTTCTAAGTTTAATTTTTTGATTTGATACTGTTCTTCATAGCAACTGCACCATTTAACATTCCCACCAATAGCACACAAGGGTTCCAGTTTCTCCATATCCTCCCTAATGCTTATTTCCTTTTTTCTTCTTTTTCTTTTTAAAATTTCATAATGGCTCTCCTAGCAGGTATAATGTGATAGCACAGTGTGGATTTGATTTGCATTTCTCTGATGAATAGGGATGTTAAGCATCTTTTCTATACCTGTTGGCCAAATCATATGTCTTCTTTGGAGAAACATCTTTTCATTTGCTCATTTTTTAATTGGGTTATTTGGATTTCTTTGCATATCTGTTTTTTTGGTTTGGTTTTTGGTGTGTTTTTTTGTTTGTTTTTTCTATTGAGATATAGGAGTTTCTTATATATTTTGGGGATTAACTCTTTATCAGATATATGCGTTGCAAATTATTTTCTCCCATTCTATAGGCTGCCTTTTGACTCTGCTGATTATTTACTTTGCTGCACAGAAGTTTTTTAGTTTAACATGGTCTTCCTTGTCTAATTTTGCTTTTATTGCCTGTGTTTTTGGTGTCATATCCAAACAATCATTGCCAATACCAAGACTGGATAATTTATAAAGATAAGAGATTTATTTGGCTTATGGTTCTGCAGGCTGCACAAGAATCATGGCATCAGCATCTGCTTCTAATGAGGACCTCAGAAAGTCTACAATCATAGCACCAAGGCTTTCATGAGGGTTCTGTCCCCATGACCCACATACCTCCCACTAGGCCCCACCTATGACATGGGGGAACACATTTCAACATGAGCTTTGGAGGAAACAAATAACCAAAGCATATCAATCCCCAATGACACCCTGTTGAAGATCCGCTGACCATATATGTGTGGATCTGCTTCTGAGCTCTCTATTATGTTCCATTGGCTTATATGGTTCTCTTTATGCCAGTACCATACTTTTTTGACTACTACAGCTGTGTAATGTATTTTATAATCGGGAGGTATGATGCCTGCAGCTTTTATCATTTTTCTCAAGGTTCTTTTGCCTATTTGTGGTCCTTTGTGGTTCCATATGAATTTAGATTGCAGCCGGGCATGGTGGCTCACGCCTGTAATCCCAGTGTTTTGGGAGGCCAAGGCAGGTGGATCACGAGGTCAGGAGTTTGAGACCAGCCTGGCCAACATGGTGAAACCCCATCTCTATTAAAAATACAAAAATTAGCCGGGTGCGGTGGCGGGTGCCTGTAATCTCAACTATTCTGGAGGCTGAGGCAGGAGAATGGCTTGAACCTGGGAGGCGGAGGTTGCAGTGAGCCAAGACCGCGCCACTGCACTCTAGCCTGGGCAACAGAGCAAGATTCTGTCTCAAAAAAAGATTGCTTTCAGTAGTATGGACATTCTGACAATATTAGGTGTTCCAATCTGTGAACATGGGATATCTTTCCATTTATTTGTGTTATCTTTACTGTTTTTCAGCAATGTTTTATAATTTCCAGTGTACAGGTTTTTTGCCTCCTTAGTTGTTTATTCCTAGGTATTTTATTATTTTTGATGCTATTTTTTTTCCCTGGTTTGAGTTTTTTTATTTTAATTTTTATTTTTATTATTATACTTTAAGTTCTAGGGTACATGTGCACAACGTGCAGGTTTGTTACATATGTATACATGTCCCATGTTAGTGTGCTGCACCCATTAACTTGTCGTTTACATTAGGTATATCTCCTAATGCTATCCCTCCCCCCTCTCCCCCCACCCCACAACAGGCCCCGGTGTGTGATGTCCCCCTTCCTGTGTCCAAGTGTTCTCATTGTTCAGTTCTCACCTATGAGTGAGAACATGCCATGTTTGGTTTTCTGTCCTTGCGGTAGTGTGCTGAGAATGATGGTTTCCAGCTTCATTCATACTATTATAAATGGGATTGTTTTCTTACATTCCTCTTTTGGTTGTTTTTAGTGTATAGAATTGCAAGTGATTGTTGTACATTGATTTTTGTATTCTGCAACTTTACTGGATTTATTAGTCCTAACAGGTTTTTTTTCAATCTTTAGGGTTTTCCACATAAAAGATCATGTCATCTGCAAAGAGAGATCATTTCACTTTATTCTTTTTCAATTTGGATTCCTTTTATTTCATTTTCTTGCCTAATAGTCTGGCTAGGATTCTTAGTACTAAGCTAAATAGAAGTAGTGAGAATGAACATCCTTGCTTTGTTGCTGGTCTTAAAAGCTTTTCATTTTTTAATTTTTTGAAGAAAAATGCTTTGATTCCTTTCTCATTTTTCTTTTGTATACCTTCTATAGATATTTCCTTTGTGGTTACATGGGTCTTACATGAAACATAGTTATAACAATATTTTCAGCTAACAAATTCATTTCAGTTGTATAAACTCTACACTTTTACTTTTCCCATCACATTTTATTATTAAAGTCACAAATTATACCCTTTTATATAGTGTATCCACTAACATACTATTATAGTTATTTTCATACTTTGTCTTTTAACTTCTGTATAGAATTAAACATTATTTATGTATCACTGTTGTTATATTAAAGTATTCTGTATTTGTGTACACTTTTAACTTCACGAGCAAACTTTATGCTTTTGTGTTGCTGTTTAGCAGGCTTCCTTTAGCATATCTTGTAAGGCACGTTTAGTGGTGAAGTCCCTCAGCTTTTGCTTATCTGGAAAAGTTTTTACCTCCTATTCATTTTGATAGATGGCTTTACCAGATATAATATCCTTCACTGGCAGGTTTTTTTCTTTCAGCACTTCAAACATGTCATCCCACTTCCTTACAGCATGCAAGATGTCGCCTGAGAAATCTTTCTCTTTTTGGAGACAGGATGTTACTCTGCCACCCAGGCAGGAGTCCAGTGGCATGATCATGACTCACTGCAGCCTCAGCCTCCCAGGCTCAAGTGATCCTCCCACCTCAGCCTCAGCTGGGACTACAGGCATGCACCACCAGACCTGGCTAATTTTTAATTTTTTTTGTAGAGATGGGGTCTCACTATGTTGCCCAGGCTAATCTCAAACTCCTCGGCTCAAGCAATTCTCCTACCTCTGCCTCCCAAAGTGTTGGGATTATAGGCATGAGCCTTCATGCCCGGCCTAGTGACTGTCTTATGGGACTTCATTTGTATATGACAAGTTGCTTTTATCTTGCTGTTTTCAAATTTCTATTGTTTTCTTTGACTTTTGACACTTTGATTATAAAGTGTTTTGGTACAGACTTTTGGGTTCATCCTGTTCAGGTTCACTGGGCTTCATGTATTTGGATGTCATTTTCCTCCCCCCAGGTTTATTAAGTTTTCGGTCATTATTTCTATAAATAAGCTTTCTGCTCCTTTCTCTCTTTCTCTTTCTAGGACTCCCAGAATGTGTATATTGGTCAGCTTGACGGTGCCCCATAAGTCAAGTCATAAATGAAGCCATAAGCCTTCACTTTTTTTTTTCCATTTTGTTTTTTACTTTTTGCTTCCCTGACTGGATGATTTCAAACGACTTGCCTTCAAATTTCCTGATTCTTAGCACTTTGGGAGGCTGAGGAAGGTGGATCACTTGAGGTCAGGAGTTCAAGACCAGCCTGGCCAACGTGGTGAAACCCCACCTCTACTAAAAATACGACAATTAGCCGGGTGTGGTGGTACATGCCTGTAGTCCCAGCTACTTGAGAGGCCGAGGCAGGAGAATCGCTTGAATCAGGGAGGCGGAGGTTTCAGTGAGCCGAGATGGCGCCACTGCACTCCAGCCTGGGCGACAGAGCGAGACTGTCTCAAAAAAATAACATAACATAACATAACATAACATAACAGAATATAAAATATATAAAATAAAGTAAAATAAAATAAATTTCCTGATTCTTCCTTCTGCTTGATCAAGTCTGCTGATGAACCCCTGTAGTGAATTTTTCAGTCCAGTTATTGCATTTTTTAGCTCCAAAATCTCTTTAGTTCTTTTTTGTATTCTTTATCATTGTTGAAATTCTCCTTTTTTTCTATATTATTTTCTTGAACTTGTGAGCATCATGTTGACAGTTATTTTAAATTCCTTGCCAGGTAATTCATATAGCTTTTTTTTTTTTTTAAGGGTTGGTTTCTGGAGACTTATTTTGTTCCTTTGACAGGGTTATTTTTTCCTGTTTCTTTATGTTTCTTGTAACCTTGTATGGTATCCACACATTTGAAAAAACAGCCACCTCTCACAGTGTTTACTAACTGGTTTTGTACAGGGAAAGACCTTCACTCATCAGCCCTGGTAGGCATTCTGGGAGCCTCTCAAACCTTTTCCGTGGATCTGTCTTCTTTGGACTTCTCTGTAAATTCCTTATTAGAAATATTTGCTTGGTTTTTTTTTGTTTTGGTCAAGGTCTCACTCTGTCGCCCATGTTGGAGTGCAGTGGTACAATCTCAGCTCATTGCAGCCTCGGCTTCCTGGGTTCAAGGGATTCTCCCACCTCAGTCTCCCAAGTAACTGGGACCACAGGTGTACACCACTATACCCAGTTAATTCTTGTATTTTTTGTAGAGATGGGGTTTCACCATGTTGTCCACGCTGGTCTCAAACTCCTGGGCTCTGGGCTCAAGTCATCTGCCTGCCTCGGCCTCCCTAAGTGCTGGGATTACAGGCATGAGCCATCACGCCTGACTCTCTTTTGTTCTTAGTAGATTCCAGGCATACAGAGTATGCTAGGTCCAGTCAGTACTCTATGACAAGCAAGACAGAAACGAGTCCCTAGACAGCTCCTTGAAAAGCCAAGATGTTGGATGCACACTCCAGGCTTTTCTGTCCCCCTGAGGGAGTGGCCATCAAACTATATGGGCCTCTGTTGCACTGTGGTTCCTGTGGAGCAGAAACTTGCTGCACAGCGCTTTTGTTCTTAGTGGCCCCTGGGCATGTAGGGTATGCCAGCTCATGTCAGCTCTTCAGTACAGGTAAGATAGAAGCCAGTCCCTGGGGCAGCCTCCCAGAAAAAGACATAAGGTCCAGTTTTCTCTTTTCTCCCCAGGAAGAAGCAGCCAGGTATATTCTGAAGTGGGGATCATGACAAGAGGGTGCCACAAATTTTCCTACCGCTTTGATGCAGGCAGTAGTATCATTTTTTTCTCACTCGATGGTTTCATCCAACAGTAAACAGTTTTCAGAGTCAATACCAGGAGTGATTACTAAAGAGCTATGGGATACATGTGTATCTTTATTATTACCTTTTAGCTAAAAAAAAAATACATTTTATTATAATAAAGAGATGTTAAATTTTGTTTTAGATTAGCCATGTGTGGGTGTAGACTCTACCTTTTCAATTTCAGAGCTTAATGACTGTATTTGGTTTGATATTAAAACATAAAGCAGAAAATATTGCTTTATTTGTTTTATCTTCCCTTTCCACGTAAAGTGTGCAGTAGCATAGGTCAAACAGTAACTAAAGGCAAAAATGCTAAGTGCTGGTGTCTAGTCAGCAGGTGGAGCTCAGATTCTTTCAAGTTTTCAAAAGCAGACAATGATATTTTACATTGAAAAGGCTTTCTTTGATTATAAAAAGGTTGAAATGAAGAGGTAAATATAGTACTAAAATTCTTATTTTTATTTACTTATTTCTTTTTTAGAGACAGGTCTTACTCTGTTGCCCAGGCTGGAGTGCAGTGACGTGATCATAGTTCACTGAAACCTTGAACTCCTGGCCTCAAGCAATCTTCCCACCTCAGCCTCCCCAAATGCTGGGATTATACATGTGAGCCACCACACTCAGCCTAAAAATTTTCAATTTTAGAGAATTTCACATATTTTTATGGTCTAATCATATTCCCCAAATGAACAAAATAAAAAACTTCAAGGGAAATGGCTTATTTAAAATTTTTTTAGTTTTAAAATCTAGAACTTAAATTTTTACCCTATAGTGACTTTTAAAACTAATTCCTCCAAAAGATGATGCTAGTTTTAGTAGTGTTAGCAGGGAATATTTATTTTGTAAAAGTCCAAATACCTGATTTTGCATTTCATTTGGAAGCACACCATACTAGAAAACACCTTAAACTCTTAGGTTTCATTTTTGTGCAGTTTTTATGTCACAGGTCAAATCATATCCTTTATAACTTGATTATATATTAAAAATAATTATATCATAAAAATTCAGAAGGGATGTGATTTACCCATAAGACAGTGTTATTTATTTCACCTCCAGAATAATTTTAATTTAAGATATATTTGGAATTGGTGGAGGAAGGGAACAAAAAAACTTGAGACTAGAATCTTGAAATTATTTTTGCAAAAGGAGTAAAATTTAGAATATTAGAATGGAAAGTTGTATTGTTTACAACTTCTAGTTTCCCTACAAAAAAAAAAGGCAATTTTTGTGGGGAATTATGATGAAATTAAATTTGCCATGTTCACCAGTTATTCTTAACCAGAGAATATGTTTTCCCATCTCTGCCCTACTTCTACTGCCTCTTTGCTCTCTCCATTTGACAATTACTGTATATAAAGAGAATGTTACTCATATGTTACTGATACATATGTAGTAAAATTGCTGAATTGCAGAAAAAACATATGGAGAACCATTCTGTATATTCAAAATACAAATTAGGTTACTTCACTAGAAAAAGCAAGTGTATTACCTTAGCATGTAATATTTTAATAACTAAGTAACCAAATTTTCCCTGGGTTTACCTTTTTCTTTAGGACTTTCTAAATGGGTACGGCAGCAGATTCAGCACCATTCAACCTTTGAAAGTGCACTGGAATCCTTGGCTGAATTTTCCAAAAAGCATCAAAAAGTTCTTAATGTATCCATAAAGGACAGAACCAATATACAGGACAATGAGTCTACACTTGAAGTGACCTCTTTAAAGTACAGTACCTCACCTTATTTACTGGAAGCAGCAAGTCATCTATCACCAGAAAATTTTGTGGAAGATGAAGCAAAGATATGTGTCCAGGAACTACAGTGTCCTAAAATTATTACCAAAAATTCACCTCTACCAAGTAGCATTATCTCCAGAAAGGAGAAAAGTATGAAAAGTTCTTCCCATTTACCTTTGATAGAGAAGTCTTTCATTATATTTAGTGAAATGATATTTATTTGGGTATAGATTAATTCCTTAAATATGGTGGTTTGTAATATAAGGTGTTATCATAAAATAGTGAAACAGTATGGTGTACTGTAATGGGAACAAACTTTTGTCAGGAGACCAGAGCATATTTTCTGGTTTTCCACTAACTGGCTTTGCCACTTACTAGCTTTGTGATCATGAGCAAGTCATTTGTCCTTTTTGAGTCGTAATAGGAAAAAAAAAATGCCTGCCTAGCTATCCCTTCAGGTTGGGTTGTAAAGGTCAAAATTATAAATATCACAGCATTGTAAAGTACCATGTAAGTGGTAGATGTTATTCTAAAGGCTATATAAAAATTTGGCCTAATTTTTATGTAGATACTTCTATATGAACTACTTTTCCTATATAGATAGTTCTTATGAACTTATTTTTAGGAGGTGAGAGACATTTATTTTAAGTGATGAAAAATAATATTTTAAAATATTTTGAAATAATCATCTGTATCAGATTGGCAAACTGTGGCCCATGGGCCAAATTTGGCCTGCTGCCTGTTTTTGTAAATAAAGTTTAATGAAATGTAGTCATGCCCATTTATTTACATTTTAGAAACAACAGCAGAGTTGAGTATTTGTGTGTATTGCACTAGAACAGCATAATTGAGTAGTCGCAACAGATACATTATGCTCCACAAAGCCTAAATATTACTATCTGGCCTATGACAGAAAAGGTTTGCCAAACTCTGGTCTATTCCATTGGATATAATTTCAGTTGTTTTAATTCATATATCCAAGGCGGGTGGATCATCCGAGGTCAGGAGTCCGAGACCAGCCTGACCAGTGTGGTGAAACACCGTCTCTACTAAAAAAATACAAAAATTAGCTGGGTGTGGAGGCAGCTGTCTGTAATCCCAGCTACTCAGGAGGCTGAGGCAGGAGAATTGCTTGAACTGGGAGGTGGAGGTTGCAGTGAGCCAGGATTGCGCCATTGCACTCCAGCCTGGGCAACAAAAGCAAAACTCGGACTAAAAAAAAGAAAAACATCAATTTTTAAACATGTATTTTGTAGTATATAAGTACTACAAAATAGTAATACAATTTTGTATATAAATACTACAAAATAGTAATACAAAATTCACTATAAATAGTGAATTCAAGCCGATTAACTTGGTAATCAGGAAACCTAGTTTCTAGTCTTGGTCTTCTTACTAACCAGTTTTATAACTTTGAGCAAATAACTTAGCCTTATGTCACTTTCCTTATTTATTAAATAAAAGAATTAGTCTAGGTAAGTTTTTCTCAGTCACTGGTTAGTGGATTTTCAAGGCAAATGTTTACAGCCTGTTCCCTCCTTTCCTCAGCTCCCTTCCTCTTCCCTTTTACCCCTTCTTTCCTCATTCATTCTTGAGCTCCCTGCTGTGGAATTTGATAGTTTACCAGACAGCATTATAACTTGGGCTAGGAAACATTAGAGACCTAAGATTTCTTTCAGAGTTAATATTCTGTTCCAAGATGAAAATCCACTAGTATTCGTTGGGGGCTCTAAGTTATGTATCCTATACAGTTATTTAGGTATTTCTAATAAATAATTATTTTAACCTAGCAATTATGTTAGCTAGGAGCAGAAAGTTAAATCTCTTAAATTCTTGTATTCTTAGATGATCCAGTATTCCTGGAAGAAGCAGGGAAAGCAGAAAAAATTGTGATTTCCAGATCCACAAGCCCAACTTTCAACAAACAAACAAAGAGAGTTAGCTGGTCAAGCTTTAATTCTTTGGGACAGTATTTTACTGGTAAAATACCGAAGGCAACACCTGAGCTCGGGTCATCAGAGAATAGTGCCTCTAGTCCTCCCCGTTTCAAAACAGAGAAGATGGAAAGTAAAACTGTTTTGCCCTTCACTGATAAATGTGAATCCTCAAATCTGACAGTAAACACATCGTTTGGATCATGCCCTCAATCAGAAACCATTATTTCATCATTAAAGATTGATGCCACCCTTACTAGAAAAAATCATTCTGAACATCCGCTCTGTTCTGAAGAAGCCCTGGATCCAGACATTGAATTGTCTCTAGTAAGTGAAGAAGATAAACAGTCCACTTCAAATAGAGATTTTGAAACAGAAGCAGAAGATGAATCTATCTATTTTACACCTGAACTTTATGATCCTGAAGATACAGATGAAGAAAAAAATGACCTAGCTGAAACTGATAGAGGAAATAGATTGGCTAACAATTCAGATTGCATTTTAGCTAAAGACCTTTTTGAAATTAGAACTATAAAAGAAGTAGATTCAGCCAGAGAAGTGAAAGCTGAGGATTGCATAGATACAAAGTTGAATGGAATTCTGCATATTGAAGAAAGTAAAATTGATGACATTGATGGTAATGTAAAAACAACTTGGATAAATGAACTGGAACTGGGAAAAACTCATGAAATAGAAATAAAGAACTTTAAACCATCTCCTTCCAAAAATAAAGGCATGTTTCCTGGTTTTAAGTAATAATACTTAACTCTCAAGCTAAGTAAAAATATGTCATCATGCTTATGTTAAACTCTGTTGTAAGTAATAATTTGTAAATTGAATAAGTGGCATACTTTTTAAAAAACTATTTTATGTTCAGAAATGTAAATGTTATTATTCTTGAGTTTTTGGGTTTTTTTTTTTGAGACAGAGTCTTGGTCTGTTGCCCAGGCTGGAATGCAGTGGTGTGCTCTGGGCTCACTGCAACCTTCACCTCCAGGTTCAAGTGATTCTCCTGCCTCAGCCTTCTGAGTAGCTGGGACTACAGGTGTGCACCACCATGCCCAGCTAGTTTTTGTATTTTTAGTAGAGATGGGGTTTCACCATGTTGGCCAGGCTGGTCTCGAACTCCTGGCCTCGTGATCTGCCCTTCTCTGCCTCCCTAAGTTGCTGGGATTACAGGTGTGAGCCACAGTGCCTGGCCCATTCTTGAGTTTTGATAAAGTAATTCATACAAAGTACTGTCCTCAAATAAGTCTTCCTTAGCTAAATGCAATTTAAAATTATTCAAAGATCCTAGGGCACTTCTAGTTTCACGTAAATATTCATATTAGGTGGTTCTCTTCATCCATTTGTTTTCACACTGATACATAAAAATTAACAGCAGTCTAATCTAGTGACACCTCAGTCATATTTCGCTATAGATTTTACCTCAAATCAGTCCAAGACTTTTTCAGAGATCACCATTTGTCTTGAAAGGTTTATTTCGTTATTAAACTGCCTACTTATAAGTAATTAAGAGAAATTAAGAAAGTAGTATGCATTTTTAATTGAAATTGTTTTACATTCTTTGTATAATAAACCTAAAACCAAACATGTCATAAACAAATTGACGTAAAGATATAAAATGCCAAATGAAGTATTCCAAATTTTCTATTCTAATTATTTAGCTTCACCATCATTGTGGAAAAAAATACTAGATCCTGCTTAGTATTATATATTTTTCCTAGTGGATCAGTGAGTAATAAGTACCAAACACTAGACTAGAAGGTAATTTCTACATTGTTTAGAAAGGGTGAAACAATTTATCCCCTCTGGTATTGTTCTAGCATAAGCTTTAGTTATACAATGATTAAGATAGAAAACTTCATATATAAATTTGATAAGCAAACCCACATTTATAGCTGCAGCTAAAATATGTTTCCTTAGGGCACAGTAATCCTTTCTGTGAATTTTGACCTTGTTTGTGTTTTTGTGAATGAAGCTATATGTCTAATCAAAAATGATTATAAAAGAGGCTCATCTCTGACATCATTCCAAAAATACATTCATTGATCTCTTTTTAAGAAACATCTGTTATTCACTGGGCATTGGGACTTTTTGTGAGTAATTTGAATTGAAATTTTATGAGCTATCCAAGAATTCTGTATGGTCTATTATTTTCAAGTCAAAATTTCCAGTAAGGATTTACTTTACATTTCATTTGGATAAATGAATCATTATATAGGTATGTCTTTGCTTCCATTTTGAGACATTTAGATTTTTACAGCCTGTTTCTATAGCATTTGATGTTACAACTCTAAGCGTAGTTCAAAGACATTTAAATTGACAAGTTACCAGTTAAAGAATTTAGAATATATTAGATCCCATCTAGTATTATATATTTTTTCTAGTTGATCATTGAGCAGTAAATACCAAATACTCGATTAGAAGGTAATTTTTACATTGTTTTGAAAGGGTGAAACAATTTATCTCCTCTGGTATTATTCTTAAACCACAGATAGGGATAGTAGGGTAGTGAAACGAATAAATACCTGGTAGAAGACAAGAGACTTGGGCTCTACACCTGGCTCTGCCACTGATTTGCTAAGTCATATTGGCAATCACCACACCCTTCAGGGAATTAGTTTCATCTGTAAAATGCAGCGGTTAGTACTATAAAATCATACAAATTTCTTTGTGCTTTGAGAATCTATAAAGGAATGTCTGTTGATATTCTGAGTCGATTTTCATTTGCTTTTGTTCCAGAACGGTTAAAATAAAGCATATTATTTCATTTAAAAAGTAAAGTGGCTCTTACTCATTTACATTTAGGGAACGATGGTGACGTGGTTTGGCTATGTCCCCAGCCAGATCTCATCTTGAATTGTAGTTCCCATAATCCCGACGTGTTGTGGGAAGGACCCAGTGGGAGGTAATTGAATCGTGGGGGCGGTTACCCTCATGCGGTTCTCGTGATACTGAGTTCTTATGAGACCTGATGATTTTATAAGGAGCTTTTCCCTGCTTCACTCTCATTCTTCTCTCCTGCTGCCCTGTGAAAAGTTGCCTTCCGCCATGATTGTAAGTTTCTTGAGGCCTCCTCAGTCATGCAGAACTGTGAGTCAATTAAACCTCTTTCCTTTATAAATTACCCAGTCTTGGGTATGACTTTATTAGCAGCATGAGAACAGACTGACACAGATGGTATATGTGCATAATAACTTGGAAAGCTAGATATTTATTTTCGCAATGCTACAATTAAAACATTTTGAGGACTTTTAAAATTACCTTTAGGGCCAGGCGCGGTGGCTCACGCCTGTAATCCCAGCACTTTGGGAGGCCGAGGCGGGCGGATCACGAGGTCAGGAGATCGAGACCATCCTGGTTAACACGGTGAAACCCCGTCTCTACTAAAAATACAAAAAATTAGCCAGGCGTGGTGGCGGGCGCCTGTAGTCCCAGCTACTCAGGAGGCTGAGGCAGGAGAATGGCGTGAACCCGGGAGGTGGAGCTTGCAGTGAGCCGAGATTGCGCCACTGCACTCCAGCCTGGGCGACAGAGCGGGACTCCGTCTCAAAAAAAAAAAAAAAAAGAAATTACCTTTAGAATTGGTAAACTACATGAGAAAATTAAGCATATTATTCATATCTTAGTGTTATTACCCAACTTCATCTCCAATACTTTCCCCTTTCCCTAGCTAGATATGTTTTTGTTTGTTTGTTTTAGACAGTCTTGCTCTGTCGCTCAGGCTGGAGTGCAAAGGCACGATCTTGGCTCACTGCAACCTCTGCCTCGCAGGTTAAAGCGATTCTCATGTCTCAGCCTCCTGCGTAGCTGGGATTACAGGTGTACACCACTGCACCCAGCTAATTTTTTTTTTTTTTTTTTTTTAAGTATCGACAGGGTTTCACCATGTTGGCCAGGCTGGTCTCAAACTCCTGACCTCAAGTGATCTGCCCACCTCGGCCTCCCAAAGTGTTGGGATTACAGGCGTGAGCCACCATGCCTGGCCTAGATATTTTTTATTCTTTCCAAAATTTAATTCTCCCTGAAGTTAAAAATTTTCATTACTGAGAATGTACATAGAGATGTGTCACAACCCTTTAGTAATTCCAAAAGGTGTTTCAAAAATTTTATACAATGATAATCACTGTTGAAACAGGTGTATATTCTCCTCAGATCATGACTGACCAAGATGATATTCCAAGAAGTAAACTACTGGCCTTTATAGAGTAGGATGTAGGCCATTTTCATTACTGATAACATACTTTTAAAAGAAATGTTTACAGATTTAAATAAGTTAAAACATCTAAATGCTTTTAAAAGAGCACCTGGCACATTGCAAGTTATTCATTATTAATTAGTAGATGAATCATATATCTGGAGTGCACCCTTGCTCTATATGAAAGCTTCCCTAACTATAGATATATAGGTGATAGACTGACAATAAAGATTTGAGGAAAGAAAAATTATTTGGCTGGCTTATTTTTTAAGCTTTTGAGATGTATAAGGTAGAGATTGTTTATCAAATAATTTATGTGACACATTCAATGCATATGAAATAATTATCTAATACTGAATTTATTCAAGGACTGAAAGTATATAGAGCACACAGGCTGCAAACCAGGAAAACTACCAGTTAGAGACAGGGCTTTATTCTTGGAATAAAGGTACAATGTAAAGAGTAGATGTTTCATGACTTGATTAAATTATTTAAAACTGTCTAGAATTGTGTTATAAAACTATTACTATGTTTCTATGCACTTAGTTATTACATGGGTTTAAATTTGGCACTGTTTCTAAGTTTCTATAAGGCTTTGTTGTTAAGATCTTTCTATTCAAAACATTAATTTTAACAAAAAGCTTTTCCCCGTTATTTTTCTGCAACTGGACTTTTTTGTATTACTTTCCTATATTAAAACGCATTTAAAATATTTAATTCTTTAGGGCTGCTTACAAAATTTCATGAAATCAAAGCACCTGTTGTCAAATCACTTGAAAGGCTGGTTATCATGGTCATCTCTAAGTGATGGCATTCTTTTGTATTTGATTACCACACAATTATTCTCGCATATGCTCTTTTAAACGCTGATTTCTCAATGAGTTACACAAGAATTTAACCTTTATGAATTCTTGGTGGTTTATTATCTATTTCCATAGGTAAATGCAGTTAATCTTTTGTAAATAGATAGTATTGATGATAATCAAAAAAAATTTTAAGACCAGATCAAGCAATGAATGTAAGAAAGCTAAAACCTTAACGTAAAATAACTGCAGAGCTATGAAAAATACAATAAAGAACATCAGGAAATAGAAATTTGGAAAAGTGACCAAGGCTTATGATCCTCTAGCCTTAAACAATTTTCATGTCTCAAAAAAAAAAAAAAAGAATTTTGTTTCTTAAGTTTCATTTGATAGAACCATTAGCTGCCTGGCTTCCTGTACTCCACAATGGAGCCTTGTTATAATATACATGGGATCTGAGCCAGCAGATCACCTTATTGGTAAGACTACCTTATAATGAGGTGCTTTCAGTAACTAAACCCTCTTGGACCAGGTCCAAAACAACCCATCTTACACCAAATTCCACTCTGTAATAAACAAGCGTCAATGTATTGGAAAGAAAACAAAAGCTATATGAAATTTACTGTTCCCAGAAATTAACCTTTGAAAACCCAATGGTAAATACTGATTAAAAGGAATGTGTAACAAGGCATAATTAGATAGATATTTTAGTACATTTTATAATAACTTTGTATTTTCTTGGCTCAGTCTTCCTTTATTCGGGAATTTATATTATTTTGATTATCTTAACGCTTTCCCCAAAATTTCATCATTTCACATGAAAATATTTTACATTAATATTTATAGAATTCAATATTAAAGTTTGATTTGGCTCCTTGCTATTATAAAACACAAAATTGTACAAGAGGCATACCATTTCTGTAAACTAGGTGCCATTATCTTTTATATATGATTCACATATAGTTGAAAAGTTTTAAAAGTATTTAGTACTGTTTGTTATTATTTTAGATGCAGTATTGTCTTCGTATATTTTCCCTGTTTTTCTTTTTTTTCCTGTATTTTTATTTTTTTAATTAATTTATTTTTATTATACTTTAAGTTCTAGGGTATATGTGCACAACGTGCAGGTTTGTTACATAGGTATACATGTGCCATGCTGGTTTGCTGCACCCATCAACTCATCATTTACATTAGGTATTACTCCTAAGCTATCCCTCCCCCAGACCCCCACCCCCAGACAGGCCCCAGTGTGTGATGTTCCCCACCCTGTGTCCAAGTGTTCTCATTGTTCAATTCCCACCTATGAGTGAGAACACGGGGTGTTTGGTGTTCTGTCCTTGTGACAGTTTGCTTAGAATGATGGTTTCCAGTTTCATCCATGTCCCTGCAAAGGACATGAACTCATCCCTTTTTATAGCTGCATAGTATTCCATGGTGTATATGTGCCACATTTTCTTAAACCAGTCTATCGTTGATGGACATTTGGGTTGGTTCCAAGTCTTTGCTATTGCGAATAGTGCCGCAATAAACATATATGTGCGTGTGTCTTTATAGTAGCATGATTTATAATCTTTTAGGTATATACCCAGTAATGGGATTACTGGGTCAAATGGTATTTTTAGTTCTAGATACTTGAGGAATTGCCACACTGTCATCTACAATGGTTGAACTAATTTACACTCCCACCAACAGTGTGAAAGCGTTCCTATTTCTCCACATCCTCTCCAGCATCTATTGTTTCCTGACTTTTTAACGATCACCATTCTAACTGGCATGAGATGGTATCTCATTGTGGTTTTGATTTGCATTTCTCTGATGACCAGTGATGATGAGCATTTTTTCATGTGTCTGTTGGCTGTATAAATGTCTTCTTCTGAGAAGTGTCTGTTCATATCCTTTGCCCACTTTTTGATGGGTTTTTTTCTTGTAAATTTGTTTAAGTTCTTTGTAGATTCTGGATATTAGCCCTTTATCAGATGGGTAGATTGCAAAAATTTTCTCCCATTCTGTAGGTTGCCTGTTCACTCTGATGGTAGTTTCTTTTGCTGTGCAGAAGCTCTTTAGTTTAATTAGATCCCATTTATCAATTTTGGCTTTTGTTGCCATTGCTTTTGGTGTTGTGGTCATGAAGTCTTTGCCCATGCCTATGTCCTAAATGGTATTGCCTAGGTTTTCTTCTAGTGTTTTTATGGTTGTAGGTCTAATATTTAAGTCTTCAATCCATCTTGAATTAATTTTGGTGTAAGGTATAAGGAAGGGATCCAGTTTCAGCTTTCTACATATGGCTAGCCAGTTTTCCCAGCACCATTTATTAAATAGGGAAAATTCCTACTTAATATTGGTCTCTTTTTTGGTTGTGTCTCTGCCAGGCTTTGGTGTCAGGATGATGCTGGCCTCATAAAATGAATTAGGGAGGATTCCCTCTTTTTCTATTGATTGGAATAGTTAGAGAAGAAATGGTACCAGCTCCTCTTTGTACCTCTGGTTGAATTTGGCTGTGAATCTCTCTGGTCTTGGACTTTTTTTGGTTGGCAGGCTATTAATTATTGCCTCAATTTCAGAACCTGTTATTGGTCTATTCAGAGATTCACCTTCCTGGTTTAGTCTTGGGAGGGTGTATGTGTCGAGGAATTTATCCATTTCTTCTAGATTTTCTAGTTTATTTGCATAGAGGTGTTTATAGTAGTCTCTGATGGTAGTTTGTATTTCTGTGGGATCGGTGGTGAAATCCCCTTTATCATTTTTTACTGCATCTATTTGATTCTTCTTTCTTTTCTTCTTTATTAGTCTCGCTAGTGGTCTATCAATTTTGTTGATCTTTTCAAAAACCAGCTCTGGATTCACTGACTTATTTTGAAGGGTTTTTTGTGTCTCTATCTCCTTTAATTCTGCTCTGATCTTAGTTATTTCTTGCCTTCTGCTAGCTTTTGAATTTGTTTGCTCTTGCTTCTCTAGTTCTTTTAATTGTGATGTTAGGGTGTCAATTTTAGATCTTTCCTGCTTTCTCTTATGGGCATTTAGTGCTATAAATTTCCCTCTACACACTGAGAGATTCTGGTACGTGGTGTCTTTGTTCTCATTGGTTTCAAAGAACATCTTTATTCCTGCTTTCGTTTTGTTATTTACCCAGTAGTCATTCAGGAGCAGGTTGTTCAGTTTCCATATAGTTGTGTGGTTTTGAGTGAGTTTCTTAATCCTGAGTTCTAATTGGATTGTACTGTGGTCTGAGAGACAGTTTGTTGTGATTTCTGTTCTTTTATATTTGCTGAGGAGTGCTTTACTTCCAATTATGTGGTCAGTTTTGGAATAAGTGCGATGTGGTGCTGAGAAGAATGTATATTCTGTTGATTTGGGGTGGAGAGTTCTGTAGATTTCTATTAGGTCCACTTGGTGCAGAGCTGAGTTCAAGTCCTGGATATCCTTGTTAACCTTCTGTCTTGTTGATCTGTCTAATATTGACAGTGGGGTGTTAAAGTCTCCCATTATTATTGTGTGGGAATCTAAGTCTCTTTGTAAGTCTCTAAGGACTTGCTTTGTGAATCTGGGTGCTCCTGTATTGGATGCATATATATTTAGGATAGTTAGCTCTTCTTGTTGAATTGTTCCCTTTACCATTATGTAATGACCTTGTCTCTTTTGATCTTTGTTGGTTTAAATTCTGTTTTATCAGAGCCTAGGATTGCAACCCCTGCTTTTTTTGGCTTTCCATTTGCTTGACAGATCTTCCTCCATCCCTTTATTTTGAGCCTATGTGTGCACGTGAGATGGGTCTCCTGAATATAGCACACTGATGGGTCTTGACTTTTTATCCAATTTGCCAGTCTGTATCTTTTAATTGGGGCATTTAGCCCATTTACATTTAAGGTTAATATTATTATGTGTGAATTTGATCCTGTCATTATGATGTTAGCTGGTTATTTTGCCCACTAATTGTTGCAGTTTCTTCATAGCATTGATGGTCTTTACAATTTGGCATGTTTTTGCAGTAGCTGGTACTGGTTGTACCATGTTTAGTGCTTCCTTCAGGAGCTATTGTAAGGCAAACCTGGTGGTGACAGAATCTCTCAGCATTTGGTTGTTCGTAAAGGATTTTATTTCTCCTTCACTTATAAAGCTTAGTTTGACTGGATATGAAATTCTGGGTTGAAAATTCTTTTCTTTAAGAATGTTGCATATTGGCTTCCACTCTCTTCTGACTTGTAGGGTTTCTGCCGAGAGATCTGCTGTTAGTCTGATGGGTTTCCCTTTGTGGGTAACCTGACCTTTCTCTCTGGCTGCCCTTAACATCTTTTCCTTCATTTCAACCTTGGTGAATCTGAAAATTATGTGTTTTGGGGTTGCTGTTCTCAAGGAGTATCTTTGTGGTGTTCTCTGTATTTCCTGAATTTGAATGTTGGCCTGCCTTGCTATGTTGGGGAAGTTCTCCTGGGTAATATCCTGAAGAGTGTTTTCCAACTTGGTTCCATTCTCCCCGTCACTTTCAGGTACACCAATCAAACGTAGATTTGGTCTTTTCACATAGTCCCATATTTCTTGGAGGCTTTGTTCGTTTCTTTTTACTCTCTTTAATCTTGTCTTCTTGCTTTATTTCATTAATTTGATCTTCAATCACTGATACCCTTTCTTCCACTTGATCAAATCAGCTGTTGAAGCTTGTGCATGCGTCACGAAGTTCTCATGCCATGGTTTTCAGCTCCATCAGGTCATTTAAGGTCTTCTCTACACTGTTTATTCTAGTTAGCCATTCGTCTAACCCTTTTTCAAGGTTTTTAGCTTTCTTGTGATGGGTTAGAACATGCTTCTTTAGCTCAGAGAAGTTTGTTATTACCGACCTTCTGAAGCCTATTTCTGTCAACTCGTCAAAGTCATTCTCCGTCCAGCTTTGTTCCATTGCTGGTGAGGAGCTGCGATCTTTTGGAGGAGAAGCAGCACTCTGGTTTTTAGAATATTCAGCTTTTCTGCTCTGGTTTCTCCCCTTCTTTGTGGTTTTATCTATCTTTGGTCTTTGATGTTGGTGACCTACAGATGGGCTTTTGGTGTGGATGTCCTTTTTGTTGATGTTGATGCTATTCCTTTATGTTTTGTTAGTTTTCCTTCTAACAGTCAGGTCCCTCAGCTGCAGGTCTGTTGGAGTTTGCTGGAGGTCCCCTCCAGACCCTGTTTGCCTGGGTATCACCAGCGGAGGCTGCAGAACAGCAAATATTGCTGCCTGATCCTTCCTCTGGAAGCTTCGTCCCAGAGGGGCATCTGCCTGTATGAGGTGTCTGTCGGCCCCTACTGGGAGGTGTCTCCCAGTTAGGCTAAACGGGGGTCAGGGACCCACTTGAGGAAGCAGTCTGTCCGTTCTCAGAGCTCAAACGCCGTGCTGGGAGATCCACTGCTCTCTTCAGAGCTGTCAGACAGGGATGTTTAAGTCTGCAGAAGTTTCTGCTGCCTTTTGTTCAGCTATGCCCTGCCCACAGAGGTAGGGTCTACAGAGGCAGCAGGCCTTGCTGGGCTGCAGTGGGCTCCACCCAGTTTGAGCTTCCTGGCCACTTTGTTTACCTACTCAAGCCTCAGCAATGGCGGATGCCCCTCCCCTAGCCAGGCTGCAGCCTTGCAGGTTGATCTCAGACTGCTGCTCTAGCAGTGAGCAAGGCTCCGTGGGCATGGGACCTGCCAAGCCAGGCACAGGAGATAATCTCCTGGTCTGCCGGTTGCTAAGACTGTGGGAAAAGCACAGTATTTGGGTGGGAGTGTCCTGTTTTTTCCAGGTACAGTCTGTCACGGCTTCCCTTGGCTAGGAAAGTGAAATCTCCCAACCCCTTGTGCTTCCTGGGTGAGGCAATGCCCCACCCTGCTTCGGCTCGCCCTCTGTGAGCTGTACCCACTGTCCAACCAGTCCAAATGAGATGAACCAGGTACCTCAGTTGGAAATGCAGAAATCGCCTGTCTTTTCCATTGATCACGCTGGGAGCTGCAGACCAGAGCTGTTCCTATTCGGCCATCTTCTTCCCTGTTTGTCTAACTGATGTTATGGTATTCATATTTAAAGTTAACTATCCTTTCAAAATGTTAATCTTTTTTATCTGTTGTGAAAGCACCCACGGACCTGCCTTGCTAGTCAGCACTTTATGGTATTGCTTATGGAGTTGAATTATTACCTAAAGCAGGAGCAAGTAGGAACTATAAAAGCTTATTTTGTACCATTTTTTAGTATCATTGTTGGAGATAGGCATAACCTTAAACTAAGGAATTATTTAGATTATAAGCTCACCTAATATACATTACAATAAAGTAAAGCTGGGCACAGTGGCACACACCTGTAGTCCCAGCTACTTAGGAGGCTGAGGCATGAGGATTGCCTGAGTTCAGGAGATCGAGGGTGCAGTGCACTATCTGGGCAATGTAGCGAGATCCCATCTCTTTAAAACATTTTAAAAATAAAAATTACAATAAAGTAAGTTGATATATTAATATTTCTATATTTGTCTTTAAAGTTGATTGGCAATATACATGAATTTTGTTACCATTAGACATGGAAATATGTTCCAGCTCCACCTGCCAACTTACTTTGGGCAAGTTATTTAATCTCTCTGAACTTCTGTTTTTTCATCTTAAAATGGGGATAATAAGAAGTAGATCAAACATGAGAATCAAGTGCAGAAGAGTATATGGAAGCTCTTTTGGACTAGCTGGTCAAGGGAATGAGTTTGAGTTTTGCCCTGCAAAACTTGGTCATTTTACTTTACCTCATTTAGCCTCAGCTTTGTTTTCTACCCAAAAAAAAGTGTGCAAAAATAAATAAATAAAAACGTTGTTACTGAGGATTAAATGGGGTAACATTCAATATGTAAAAGTGCTTTATAAATTCTGAAGCACTGTTCAATTATTAATTGTTAGGAACCTGAAACAACAGTATAATTGATATCTTGGTATCCAGAAATTGCACCTTCAAAGGGCTAATAAACCTGTTAGAATTTGGTCCATGTGCTGAAAAACACTTTAAGCTTTTTATTTTTAAAAATCTAGGTCAGGTGTGGTGGCTCATGCCTATAATCTCAGCACTTTGGGAGGCCGAGGTGTGTGAATCACTTGAGACCAGGAGTTCAAGACAGCCTGGCCAACATGGTGAAACCCCGCCTCTACTAAAAAAAGACAAAAAAATTAGTGGGTGTGGTGGCGGGTGCCTGTAATCCCAGCTACTTGGGAGGCTGAGTCAGGAAAATCGCTTGAACCCGGGAGGCAGAGGTTGCAGTGAGCCAAGACTGTGCCACTGCACTCCAGCCTGGATGGCGGAGCAAGACTCTGTCTCAAAAAAAAAAAAAAATTAATTATTCCTTTATTAGTAAGACTTAAATATTATGACTACTTTCTATTTTTACATATCATATTTTATACCTTAAAAGTTGTACGTATTGCAAACAAGAAAATATCAAGGGAACATTGAAATCCATGGATTCCAATTAGAAAAATTCTATGTAAGATCTATAAGGGCAGGGATTTTTTTTTTATTTTGTCTGCATTTGTTTTTGTACTCCCAACACTATATTTGCTGACCAAATGAATTGAATTCAGCATTTTATTAATGTGTTTACTTCTCAGCCCTCACATATGCCTATTTCATTTGACCAATTTCTAGACTCTAGCAACCTTTCTCTATTCCAAACTTTTTATTCTTATTACCTGAACCACATTAAATCCTCCATCCTTTCTCCATTCCTGTTTACTAAACCTTTACTCCTTCAATTGTGGGCCAGAGATTGTCTTTTCTCTTCCTTTTATTCTACAGGGTGTTCCTTTGCCAAATTTACCTACAAAAAGAATGTTGGACTCTTGCAATTTTGTTTGAGATTCTCATGAAGATAATTATTGTAACACAATTGTATTCTAAAATATGAATTTGACTTCACATCAGCTAGTTAGCCTAAATGTCAGCCTATTTGTAAAAGCCTTTTAGTCCCATTATCACCCCGGACAAAATTAATGTTTCCTGCCTATGTCCCAAGGTAATATGTACTGTATGATATTGCAATTAATTGTGTACAAGTCTGTCTCTCCTGCACACTGTGACTCCTAAGGATAAGAACAGCTTTCCATATTAGCTGGTATTCATTAATCCATTCATTCATCTGACATACTTTGAGAGTCTGCTTTGCATCAAGAACTGTGCTATGTTCTAGGGATACCAAAGTTGAATAAGAAAGGGATCGTATTCATCAGGAATTCATAGCCTAATTTGCATACAAGTAAACGCTTGTGCAATATGGTACAGTATGATGGGAGCTGTAATAAAAGAAAGGCACCCAACAGAGCTTTGTTGGGTATACATATTCTGGTAGGTACAAATAATAGTTGTGGTAGAGGATCTGTAAGTTAGCAGCGGAAGTCACTTAACACAGGAAACGTCCTCACAGACTTTCTTTAATTTTTTAATGAAAAAAATGCTTGCAATTTATATCTATATCTATATCTATCTATCTATCTATCTATCTATCTATCTATCTATCTATCTATATATCTGTCACGCAGGCTGGAGTGCAATGGTGCAATCTTGGCTCACTGCAACCTCCGCCTCCTGAGTTCAAGCAATTCTCATGCCTCAGCCACCCAAGAAGCTGGGACTACAGGCTCATGCCACCATGCGCCTGGCTAATTTTTGTATTTTGTGTAGAGACAAGGTTTCACCATGTTGCCCTGGCTGGTCTTGAACTCCTGAGTTCAACTAATCCACCTAGGGGGCCAGGCACGGTGGCTCACGCCTGTAATCCCAGCACTTTGGGAGGTCAGGAGTTCGAGACCAGCCTGGCCAACATGGTGAAACCCTGTCTCTACTAAAAATGCAAAAATTAGCCGGGCATGGTGGCAGGCGCCTGTAATCCCAGCTACTCAGGAGGCTGAGGCAGCAGAATTACTTGAACCCAGGAGGCGGAGGTTGCAGTGAGCCAAGATCATGTCATTGCACTACAGCCTGGGTGACAAGAGTGAAATCCCACCTCAAAAAAAAAAAAAAAAAAAAAAAAAGTAATCCCCCTGCCTCGGCTTCCCAAAGTGTTGGGAGTACAGGTGTGAGTCACCATGCCCAGCCTTGAAATATATTCTTGAGGGAGTACCAGGATATGCTGTTTTCCCTGATGTTCCCATCTCCAGTTGGGAATTCAGAGCAGAGCCTCTCTGCTCTGAATTACTGTGTTAACTAACCTAATGGGAACAGAACAAGAGCATAGCAAATACATCTTCTGTGGTGCTTTAGTGCATAGCATGAAATATATCATAGAGCTTTCACAACCATTAGCTCACTTGATTCTCAACACAGCCTGCCAAAGTCAACAGCACAGGTGGTATTATCCTTATTTTACAAAGGAGGAAAATGAGACATAATGAGACTACAATCAAGGTCATACTACTCTTCACACTAGTCCATAATGCCACAGTGTGTTGTTGATATATGTTTGTACTTGCATATTGATTTTCATCTACCTTTGTTCTCCAGAATCTCTTTATGAAAGGCATAGTCTTGGAATCTGAAAGCAAGCCTCATTATCTTACTTTTCAGAATCATCTTATAACATTTTAATAATACTAAATGAAGATACATTAACTCACATTAAGGAGTATGAGCTCTTTGAGGGCAGACACAGTCCTAGAGCATGATATACTTCTGGACACAGAGTAGGTGCTTAGTAATTTTTTTATGGGAAGAAGGAATCTTCTAAAAATAAGAAGAACTTAACAGGTTTGTTTTAAGTAACATAGATAATTAGTGACATTAGAGTCAGGACTAGTACCCTGGTGTCATAACTTCCAATTCCAGATTCTTAACACCTTACCAACTACCTAATTACCAATTCTCAGTTTCCTAACTTCAACTCCTGTGATTTTACCTCCATTTCATCCACCCACATTGAGTATACCTTAAAACTTCCTCACTCACGTAACCATGAGCACTAATATACCTCTCTCTGACCACCATCCTGCGTCCTTCCAGCATTCATTTTATTACTCCTTCTATACCTATTCCCTCCATTGTCTCCCAGCCTATTGGCCTCCTGCAGTCTTCAAAATGAAGTCAAAACTCCATAGGAAGATATACCAGGCTTTTTGTAATCTGGTCCTACCCAACATCTCCAGCCTCATCTCCTAGCCACCCTTTGTGAACTTTATTCCTAAGAATTATTTTAAAAACAGACCATGTTGGCCAAGCACAGTGGCTCACATCTGTAATCCCAGTGCTTTGAGAGCCTGAGGCAGGAGGATCACTTGTAGCCAGTAGTTCCAGACCAGCTGGACAATATAGTGAGACCCTTATCTGTACATACACACACACACACACACACACACACACACAAAGTTGGGTGTGGTGGTGCAAACCTGTAGCCTTGGTTACTCGAGAGGCTGAGGTGGGAGAATCCCTTGAGGACAGGGGTTTGAGGTTGCTGTGAGCGATGATCATGCCACTGCTCTCCAGCCTGGATGGCAGAGCAGGACCCTGTCTCTAAAATATAAAAACGGACCATGCTGTTTCATATCCATCACCTTGGTGAATGCTCTTCCACCTATGCAGAGTTCCCTTCCTCTTTACCTAGCAAACTACTACAACATCCTGAGAAATTCAATTGAGACACTATTTCTCTGGAAGCTTGCCATGTCTTCCTGACATAGTAAGCTTGGATTAAGTGTACCTCACCTACCTTCATCTCAAAAAAAAAAAAAAAAGTATGATTTAGTTTATTTGTGGAACTGAATAGTGCTATAAATTGGGCACTTACTATTTTAAGGCATGTGCCAGATGCAAGAGTGACAAACACAGTCTTACCTTGTACAGACTTACAATTCTGGTACAGAAAACAAGCAAAAATAGACAACTTTAATATGGTGTTGAAAATTCTGTGTTGAAGTTACATCCTGGGGGTCGAGTCTTGCCCTGTTGCCTAGGCTGGAGTGCAGTGGTGCAATCTTCAATCTTGGCTCACTGCAACCTCCACCTCCCAGGTTCAAGCGATTCTTCTGTTGCAGCCTCCTAAGTAGCTGGGACTACAGGTGCACACTACCACACCCGGCTAATTTTTGTATTTTTAGTAGAGATGGGGTTTCACTATTGTTGGCAAGGCTGGTCTCAAACTCCTGACCTCAGGTGATTTGCCCGCCTCGGCCTCCCAAAGTGCTGGGATTACAGGCATGAGCCACCGCGCCCGGCCAACCATGCTATCTTGAAACTGGCTGCTTTTGTTTTGGCACTGCTTCAATTTGTTATATTTTTATTACTGTTTTAATATTTTAGAATACTTTACAAGTCATCTACTTTCCTTAAACATAAAGTAACTAAGGCCCAGAGAGATTTAGAACTGAGACCAACATATTGATTGCAGAACACCACATTGTTTTCAACGTGGCTTAGTTCTTATTAACTCAACTTTCTCAAGGTATTCTTAGGGAAAAGTACAATTGTAGATAACTAAAATGTTAAACAAATTAAAGTACTAAATAAAAAGCCACTCAGGCTGGGGGCGGTGGCTCACACCTGTAATCCCTGCACTTTGGGAGGCTGAGGTGGGTGGATCACTTGAAGTCAGGAGTTCGAGACCAGCCTAGCCAACATGATGAAACCCCATCTCTACTAAAAATTCAAAAATTAGCTGGGTGTGGTGGCACACACCTGTAATCTCAGCTACTCGGGAGGCTGAGGCATGAGAATTGCTTGGAACCAGGAAGCAGAGGTTGCAGTGAGCCAAGATTGTGCCACTGCACTCCACCCTGGGCAACAGAGCAAGACTCTCTCAAAAAAAAAGCCACTCAGTCACATTCTTTATAAATTCTATGGTTACATGCAATCACAATGAGAAGCAGTACTTGGTGGTGGTAATAGAATTTAATGATAATATCTTTACTTGTTTTATTGTTACCACTATGTGCAATAATTCTTCATAGAGTTGCCTTCTGATTGGCTAACATACATCCACAAACACACATTAACAAATTTATGCAATTGGCAGCATTTTTAAAGGAAATTAATATAATTGTTGGTGTGATATGCCTTTTTTTTCACTTTTTTAAAAATTATACTTTAAGTACTGGGATACATGTGCACAGCGTACAGCTTTGTTACATAGGTATGCACATGCCATGGTGGTTTGCTGCACTCATCAACATATGATCTACATTAGGTATTTCTCCCCTAGTCCCTCACCCCAACAGGCCCCAGTGTGTGATATTCCCCTCCCTGTGTTCACGTATTCTCATTGTTCAACTCCCACTTATGAGCGAGAACATGCGGTGTTTGGTTTTCTGTTCCTGTGTTAGTTTGCTGAGAATGATGGTTTCCAGCTTCATCCATGTCCCTGCAAAGGACATGAACTCATCCTTTTTTATGGCTGCAGAGTATTCCATGGTGTATATGTGACACATTTTCTTTATCCATTCTATCATTGATGGACATTTGGATTGGTTCCAAGTCTTTGCTATTGTGAATAGTGCTGCAGTAAACATACATGTGCATGTGTCTTTATAGTAGAATGATTTATAATCCTTTGGGTATATACCCAGTAATGGGATCACTGGGTCAAATGGTATTTCTGGTTCTAGATCCTTGAGGAATCGCCACACTGTCTTCCACAATGGTTGAACTAATTTATACTCCCACCAACAGTGTAAAAGCATTCCTATTTCTCCACATCCTCTCCAGCATCTGTTGTTTCCTGACTTTTTAATGATCGCCATTCTAACTGGTGTGAGATGGTATCTCATTGTGGTTTTTATTTGCATTTCTTTTTTTTTTTTTTTTTTTGATGAAGTCTCGCTCTGTCATCCAGGCTGGAGTGCACTGGTGTGATCTTGGTTCACTGCAAGCTTCCCATCCCGGGTTCATGCCATTCTCCTGCCTCAGCCTTCCAAGTAGCTGGGACTACAGGTGCCCACCACCATGCCCAGCTAATTTTTTGTATTTTTAGTAGATATGGGGTTTCACTGTGTTAGCCAGGATGGTCTCGATCTCCTGACCTCATGATCTGCCTGCCTCAGCCTCCCAAAGCGCTGGGATTACAGGCATGAGCCACCGCTCCCAGCCTGATTTGCATTTGTCTAACGACCAGTGATGATGAGCTTTTTTTCATATGTTTGTTGGCCACATAAATGTCTTCTTTTGAGAAGTGTCTGTTCATATCCTTCACCCACTTTTTGATGGGGTTTTTTTTTCTTGTAAATTTGTTTAAGTTTCTTGTAGATTCTGGATATTAGCCCTTTGTCCGATGGACAGACTGCAAAAATTTTCTCCCATTCTGTAGGTCGCCTGTTCACTCTGGCGATAGTTTCTTTTGCTGTACAGAAGCACTTTAGTTTAATTAGATCCCATTTGTCAATTTTGGCTTTTGTTGCCATTGCTTTTGGTGTTTCAGTCATGAAGAGGAGCTGGTACCACTCCTTCTGAAACTATTCCAAACAATAGAAAAAGAGGGACTCCTCCCTAACTCATTTTATGAGGCCAGCATCATCCTGATACCAAAACCAAAAAAAGAAAATTTCAGGCCAATATCCCTGATGAACATCGACGCAAAAATCCTCTATAAAATACTGGCAAACTGAATCCAGCAGCACATTAAAAAGCATATCCACCACAATCAAGTCGGCTTCATCCCTGGGAAGCAAGGCTGGTTCAACATACGCAAATCAATAAATGTAATCCATCACACAGACAGAACCAGTGACAAAAACCACATGATTATCTCAATAGATGCAGAAAAGGCCTTCAATACAATTCTACACCGCTTCCTGCTAAAAACTCTCAACAAACTAGGTATTGATGGAACGTATCTCAAAATAATAAGAGCCGTTTACGACAAACCCACAGCCGGTATCATACTGAAAGGGCAAAAGCTGGAAGCACTCCCTTTGAAAACCGGCACAAGATAAGGATGCCCTCTCTCACCACTCCTATTCAACATAGTATTGGAAGTTATGGCCAGGGCAATCAGGTAAGAGAAAGAAATAAAGGGTATTCGATTAGGAAAACAGGAAGTCAAATTTTTTCTGTTTGCAGATGACATGATTGTATATTTAGAAAATCCCATTGTCTCAGCCCAAAATCTCCTTAAGCTCATAAGCAACTTCAGCAAAGTCTCAGGATACAAAATCAATATGCAAAAATCACAAGCATTCCTATACACCAATAACAGACAAACAGAGAGCCAAATCATGAGTGAACTCCCATTCACAATTGCTACAAACAGAATAAAATACCTAGGAATACCACTTACAAGGGATGTGAAGGACCTCTTCAAGGAGAACTACAAACCACTGCTCAAGGAAATAAGAGAGGACACAAACAAATGGAAAAACATTCCATGCTCATGGATCGGGAGAATCAATATCGTCAAAATGGCCAAACTGCCCAAAGTAATTTATAGATTCAATGCTATCCCCATCAAGCTACCATTGAGTTTCTTCACAGAATTAGAAAAAACTACTTTAAATTTCATATGGAACCAAAAAAGAGCTCGTATAGCCAAGACAATTCTAAGCCAAAAGAACAAAGCTGGAGGCATCACGCTACCTGACTTCAAACTATACTACAAGGCTACAGTAACCAAAACAGCATGGTACTGGTACCAAAACAGATATATAGACCAATGGAACAGAACAGAGGCCTCAGAAATTACACCACACATCTACAACCATCTGATCTTTGACAAACCTGACAAAAACAAGCAATAGGGAAAGGATTCCTTATTTAACAAATGGTGTTGGGAAAACTGGCTGGCCATATGCAGAAAACTGAAACTGGATCCCTTCCTTATACCTTTTACAAAAATTAACTCAAGATGAATTAAAGACTTAAATGTAAAACCTAAAACCATAAAAACCCTACAAGAAACCTAGGCAATACTATTCAGGACATAGGCATGGGCGATATGCCTTTTTAAAGTATGTTCCTCCTTATTTTACTCTTAGAAATATTTATAAAAGCTTTTTCCAAGACTACAGGGCTGATAAAAATCCAAAAAATCTTCCTGAATGTTAAATTGCACAAAATCTTTTTGCCATTGCTTAAGTGAGTCAGAGTACAGATCCTAAGAAGAAATGTTATTTTATGTTATCACTGGCAATGCCATTTAATGTTGCCCTTAACCATTTAAAAACCACATTAATGGTGTATCAGACTTCAGTGAAGAATGAAGGTAAATGTATTGAATGGCTACATTGCCTCCTTGTCACTTTCTAAAGTCTTCAAATGTAAATAAGGTACCTTTTTATTTTTAAATGAGTTTGGAAATGAAAAGTAACTTATAAATCACTTTAAAAAATATGTTCCTCTAAAGAACTGCAAAGGAAAAAAACCTCAAACTTAACTTGTACAAAACAAAGAAATGTACAAATAACAGACATCACATTAGATACAGGAGGCATTGCTTCATCTGTTTCCGATAATGACTCTCCAAAAAACATTTCCATGGCGTACAAGTCCAGATTGATGCTTTGGCAGGCTCAGCTTTGTATAGGATGAGCAGCAACGCATGCAGGCAACTTACAGGATAAAAGAAACTGGGTTCCACCAGCTGTTCCTAAAAAACAGTGAGATGGGTGCTTACATACAAACAAATGGCCCATAACCCCAAGTCCTTTTTCCTTTGTATAAATGTCTCCGGTTGCCTCATGCCCTTTTAGAGTTTCTGAACCACTTTCAAGTCTGTTCATCATGTTCATTTTTGTCATGCTAATACCTGTTTCTAATGTTGAATAGAAGGGACTAAGCTATACATTATGATTTATCCCAAGCCCTGCACTCATCCAAAAATAATCCTATAACAAACTCCACTCATTCCTAAAAGTGATATGGCCAAGGAGAAGCATATTACTTATATTCCAGAATACTGACTTCAAATCACCCACATCTGTTATTTCCCCATCTTTGAAATCAGTGGATTCATTTAAACTCTCTTTTTTGACTGTTTAAAACCTGTGGGTAACAAGTTCTATGATAATATCTGTTCATTTCAACACTTAAGTATAAAAGACACTTAAAACTATAACTTGGGATTTTCCCTGCCGCTACCCACTCAAAGGTGGACCATTCATGCTTTGGTTACAAATGTTTGCAGAAACATATGGTCAGATCATATGGTTCTAATAATGTTCCCTTTAGTACTTTGTAGCTTTGACCAATTTCAATATTTTTTTCTGGAATTGGACATTCTTTCTTGTGGTAATGTACTCATTTATCAAAAAATGAATATGTGGTTGTGAAGAATTTTTTGGCTTATTGCAGTGTGGAAGACTCTAAGAAGTTTTTCTGAGAACTACAACGTTACATAGATTGATAGTCATATTATTACACAAATTCTTCCTGTTTTCAATGTATACCCACGAGTTTGAAGTGGAAGGTCGTGTTGTTATTATTTTTCTGAGCTACCTCATCCAATGTCTCCTCCATTCTGAGTTTCCACTCCTCTGTCTATTCAATGGACAGTGATTTCCATGCACAAATGTAATTCCAGCCCAAATAAGACTGGGCAAGTGGGGGTGCATAAGAGAGGTTCCCTCTTGCTCTATTGTCTTCCCTCTGCCATAAGTACCTCTGTTGTACAGCACCATTAATTTCTACAAAAAGTAGCAAATGCTCACTTACGAATCACTACAAATCATTCAACACCTGGGGTTCTCAGTGCCTCCAGGAAAACTCGTAGTTTTGCTCACTTTATTGAAACGGCAGTCCAGCATAAAGGAGGTTGTCCTTGGAATTTTAAAATTTGGATTGTTTGGTCGATTGTTCAACTGAAGAATATACGGAAACTTTTTGTCTTGAAACTAGATGTACAGCAGTGACACCTATTAGCATTGTGAATGTACTGTCAAAGGAACAATGCTACTCCCACAGATGTGGAAGCCTGGGAAAAATTACTTTGTTCTTTCTACATGCTGAGGAAATATTTGCATTTTTTAAGTGTCTTTAAAATAGCCTTCTCTTAGAATAGGAATCTTCAGGATCTGTGTTTTTTCTATTATAGCCTCTATCATGGGAAAGATTGCATTCTCATATTTTATAGGATAATCGAAGTTCTGTTTTAAGACGAACTGGTGTTAAAATTTTGAAAGGCATCATTTCACATTTAATTAACATGGGCGGATTTTCTTCAAATAACCCACAGAATTTTAGAATGTGGAGATTTGTTAATAGTGTTCCCAGTTCTACATAGTTTTATTTGAAAACAAGGAATTATGTTTTCTTTTGAAAATGTTTTGATTCTTAAGGAGGCATTAAACCAAAGCGATCTGAGCCTGAGTTTTGGATTTGAACATTTTAAACCCCAGCCTACTGCTTTCTAACTTTAACTTATGCTCCCTAAGTTTCCTCATCCAGGCAGTGAGGACAGTAATACCTCACAGAGGTCTATGAGGATAAAATTAAATAATGAACTTACATCATAAGCATTCGCAAATGTAAGCTGTTACTCTTTGTTTTTTTCTTTTTTTTACTTATTTTCTGTACTCTTCTATACTATGTTAGACTAAAGATTCTTACATTTTCCCTTTGAATATGTTAAGCTAATGTTTTTTAAAAACACGATCCAGTCTTAACATCCAATCTACTTTCTATTAGATCTTTACAAGTGAAATTGAGATGTTAAATCTGGTAGTTTAGGGTTTATGAAAGGCTTTTAAACATTTTTGTAAGCATGGAGATAAGTTTATCTTTAAATGCCATCTGGAATATGAAATAATGTTCTTTCAGCTACTTACAGTGTAGAATAGACCAACCAGTCTCTTTAATATTGCTGAATCAGGGGTAAGTTTATGTTTGTTCTGAAATTTAAGATAAGGCTGTGCATGCATAACTATCCTCATGTAATAATGAAGATATATGAAGTATTGCTATGCTATAGATAAATACGATCCATAAGGCCCATTTCTCTTATTGATTAAAAAAAGTATGATATGCTATTAAAGATGAACTATTCCCAAATGTAGTATTTTTGTATGCTTGACATTAAACCATAAGTATCAAAGCCAAAACTGAAAAGGCATTTAGTATGCCAGCATAAAAATTTGGACACGTTATGCTTCCATGTTATATGTTAAAACTTGCGTTGTTAAAGTAAGCCAGTCTTATCTCTTTGTGTGTTTTTAATCTGCTCCTTTAAGCCTAATCAGGATTGAATACACATTGGAGACAAAAACATGACCCAAAGATTAGTCTTGTAAAATAAGGATCGGATTTCCAACCAATGTAAACTCCTATTGCACATCCCTAAACCAAGCAGATTCAAAGTTATAGTAGTAATGTAAACAATTCCATCAGAGGATGGTAGTACTTTCAGCAAATATTCATTCTATGGGTAAGACGAGGTATGTTCTTCAAGTGCGGTGAATAACATCACTTTAAAAAACAAATCTCAGGTGACTAAATGTAGTTAAGATTTTAAAAAATGTTTTCTCAGTGTAATAGAGTGCAGCCGTTAAGAATGTAAACAGTGCAATGAGACCACTTGGATATCAGATTCAACTTCCGCCTTTTTATAAATTCTACGATTTTGAGAAAGATACTTAACTTCTCTGTGCTTTAGTTTATTTTTGTGCAAAATGGGGAAATAATACCTAACTCATGGGGTTAGGGGTTAGTGGGTTAAATGAGTTAATTCATATAAACCACTTAGAATAGTGCCTGGCATGATGTAGTAGCTCCCTAAGTATTAGCTAACAACAATAATCATAATGATGATAAGGAAATATTATTAATGTAGATACTACTTTAAACTTAGTCCTTTATAGGAAAGTGCAGGATCGTGCATTATTCCAACATTAATTAATGTAATTAGATGTTGAACATTTTCCCATTTCATTGTTTAAATTGTCTGATGATAGCGAGGCATATGAAATTTAAACTATAATATTCCTATTTTAGCATCATGAAATACTGTGGTATCATAGTCCCTTAGCAACAAGAAAGGCTGCACTGCTATGGATTTTATAAGGTGAGTTTCAATATACATTCAGAGGAAATGCCATTTATAAGCATACAGTTAATGGAGTGCTCACAGGAAGAACACAGTTAAGTATTATTTCTCTGTGGGCTGGTGAATTACATCTTACAATTAATACTTCTCTATGGGAAAAAAATGGAGCTTATCTTTCTTCCAAGGAAGGTAAAATTGGCAGTATGGGAACACTGAAAAGTTCTGGCAGGGATGTATATTTTATTCTTTAAAATTTACTTTTCCCAGTTGGAAATGCAATAAATATTTTGTAACAAGGTTTTTGTTCCATTGTCTTGACTGATAAGAAATTTAGACAAGAGAGTAAGCATAATTTTATTTTGGTAGTGGAGACCAGATGATTTGAATTATTTTTCATATACGGTTTTCTCTTTTATGGTTATGCCTTATCATATCCATTCATATTACACTCATATTAGTAAGTTAGGAAATTACCTCATCACTTATTATTTGTGTTGATTGAATATAACCGTCACCCACATTCCTCAAAAATAGCTCACTTTCATTCTTTTGTTCATTCTTATATAATATTAGCACACCAAAAATCAGATATTATTTTTAAACTTATTTAATGAAATGATTCTCTTAAACTATGAAGATATTTGAGAATCTGAAGTCTGAAATGATTGTATGTGCAAATGTGCTGTGTGCCGAATGGATTGTTTCTGATGTTTCTGGATTTACCGAAGGTGGTTTTTATAACTATTGTTGGCAGTCTTATTGATGAAAATGAGATATGTTCTAGAGATATTTTTAATCCAGATATATCACTTGTACCTGAGTAATCAACATCCCACAGCACAGTCGATACTTTGTTCCAACCTGCAGCTACCTGGAAAATCTCTATTCCCAGGGTGTTGTAGCTATTTGATTTAACTGAGAGTTGAGGGGTGGGACGGAGCAGGGGCAGTGGGCCTCCAGGACCCTATGGAAGCACTACTGGTCTTCTGGCAACATCACAGCCGCCTAAGGCTGTGCTTGCAGATGGGACAAACAAGAGTCTGGCTAGGAACTTAACAGGAAACTGTGGAGAAGTAGAAAAGCATAGGGAACTTTGAAAAGCTCTCATATATTCCTGGGGAATCTAAAAGGCTACATGCATGAATAAGTTGCTATACATGCTCACAGAAGATAGGGAAGGGAGAAGGCCCCAGCCAATCACTCCAGCTGACTGTGAGGTCCTACAGAAGTAAAAAGTAAAAGGTAAGGCTGTCTTATGAACTGCTTAAAGTTTGAAGGTGGGCCTTCAAAGGATATCCTTGAAAAATAATAGAAAAGCATTTTAGGAAATCTGATGGTCTTTAGCTGATCACTAAATTATAGTGACCCAGAGGGGACTGCTAGAAACCCATGCTTAAAAACAAAAACAATAAAACACACACACACACACACACACACACACACACACACACATTCAGGAGAACTCAGTGGCAGGGAATAGAGAATCTATACAATTAGTTCAAGAAATCCTTGAGGAGAGATGAACCAAATACTGGAGTTGTTACAATGTATTCTCTAAAATACCCAGTTTTCAACCAAAAAAATTACTAGATATGCAAATAAACAGCAAAGTGTGCAAAATACACAGGGTAAAAAGCAGCCAAAGAAAATGTCTATGAGCTGGCCCAGATTTTTTATTTAATAGAACATAGTGATTTCCAGGGATTAAGGAGGGCGTACAGGTAGAAGGTAAGAGGGTGTGGCTATAAAAGGGCAACATGAGAGATCTATGGGGTGATGGAAATGTTCAGCTTTTTGACTGTATCGCTGTTAACAGCCTGGTTGTGATATCATACTACAGTTTTGCAAGATATTACATTGGGGGAAACAAAAACAGATGCTAATTGTAATCTCCAGAGCAATCACTAAAAAATTTAAAAGTATGGTAAAAGAAACAACAAAGGAATTTGCATGGTACACGAGAAAATACCTAGGATGAAGAAAGATCATAATTGATAAATAGAAGAACAAAAGATACTTAAGTCATAGAATATAAATAGCAAAATGAGACACATAAATCCTACTTTATCAGTAACCACATAAAATGTGAATGGACTAAATATGCCAATCAAGAAACAGATATTAGCAGAATAGATTTTTACAAAACAATCACATATGCCTTCTACAAGAAACACGGTTTAGATTCAAAAACACAAATAGATTGAAAGTAACAGGATGGAAAAGGTAAGCTATGCAATTGGTAACCAAAAGAGTTCTTTCAAAACTTCAACAAAAGTTGACATTTAGCTATCTTGATTAAAACAAACAGAGTCAAATTATTACCATCCTTAAAGACATAAAAATGATTATTACTGTGAACAACTATATGACAAAAAAATAGATAACTTAGATGAGGTGGACAAAGTCCTTGAAAGACACAAACTACTGAAACAGACTCAAGAAGAAACAGATAATCAGAATAGGCCTATAACAAGTGAAGAGACTGAATTAAGAATTTAGAACCTTCCCTCAAAGAAAAGCCCAGGACCAGATGGTTTCACTGGTGAATTCTACATATAGTTAAAGAAGAGTTAATATCTATCCTTCTCAAACTCTGCCAAAACACATAAAAGAAGGAAACATTTCCTGACTCATTCTAAGAGGACAGTATTACTCTGATCCCCAAATCAGGCAAAGATAACACAGGAAAACTATAGACCAATATCCTTTATAAATTTAGACACAAAAATCTTCAACAAATACTAGGAAATTGAATCCAGCAACATAAAAAGGATTATATCCTATGACCAAGTGAGATTTATTCCAGGAATGCAAACCTGAAATCATTTAATTCAGTAATCAATTAATGTAATACACCACATCAATAGAATAAAGATTAAAACTACATGATTATTTCCATAGATGCAGAATAAACATTTGACAAAATCTAGTATATTTGTATGAAAAAACAATAAACTAGAACTAAAAGGAAACTTCCTCAAGCTGATAAAATGCATCTATGAAAACCACACAGTTTACATCATACTTAATGGAGAAAACTGAATGCTTTCCCCCTTAGGAGCAAGATAAGGATGTCTGCTCTTGAAACTTTTATTCAACATTACTGGGGATTCTAACCCAGGCAATTAAGCAAGACAAATTAATAAATCATTGAGATTAGAAAAGAAGAAGCGAGCCAAGCTTGGTGGTGGTTAGTACCTGTAATCTTAGCACTTTGGGAGGCTGAGGAGAGAGGATTGCTTGAGGCCAGGAGTTAGAGACCAGCCTGGGCAACATAGTGAGATCCCCATCTCTAAAAAAATTTTTTTTAGAAGTGGGCAAAACCAAATAAATTTTTTTTTAAGTAGCCAAGCATGCTGGTGTGGCCCATAGTCCCAGCTAGTTGGGAGGCTGAGACAGAAGATTACTTGAGTCCAGGAGTTCAAGCCTGCAGTGAGTGATGATCATGCCACTCCACTCCAGCCTGGGCAAGAGAGCATCTCTAAAAATAATAATAAATAAACAAATAAATAAGTAAATAAATAAATAAAAGAAGGAAAACTTGCAGGTGACATGATCTTCTATGTAGAAAATCCTAAAGAATCCACTAAAAAAATTAAAACCAATAAATAAATTCATCAATATGGAATATACAAGATCAATATACAAAATTCAGTTGTATTTCTGTAGAGTATGAATGAACAATTCAAAAATGAAATTGAGAAAACAGTTTAATTTGCAATAGCATCAAAAAGTATAAAATACCTAGAAATGAATTTAACAAAAACATCTCATGTTTATGGATCAAAAGATTTAATATTATTATTATTATTATTATTTTTTTTTTGAGACAGAGTTTTGCTCTTGTTGCCCAGGCTGGAGTGCAATGACGCAATCTCGGCTCACCGCAACCTCTGCCTCCTGGTTCAAGTGATTCTCCTGTCTCAGCTTCCCAAATAGCTGTGATTACAGGCATGTGCCACCACGCCCAGCAAATTTTGTATTTTTAGTAGAGATGGGGTTTCTCCATGTTGGTCAGGCTGGTCATGAACTCCCGACCTCAGGTGATCCACCTGCCTCGGCCTCCCAAAGTGCTGGGATTACAGGCGTGAGCCACCATGCCCAGCCTAGATTTAATATTATTAAGATGGCAGCACTCCTCAAATTGATTTACAGATTCAACACAACTATCGCACTTTCCATTTCTAAACTTACTACACAACTACAGTAATCAAGACAGTATTGTACTGCCATAAGGTTAGATATACAGACAATGGAATAGAGTCAAGAGTCAAGAAATAAACCCATACATTTATGGTCATTTAATTTTTGACAAGAATGAATGACAATTCATTGGGGGAAATAGTTCAACAAATGGTACTGGGACAACAAGATATTCACATGCAAAATGAGGAAGTTAGACTCCTGCCTTATATAAAAGTGAACTCAAAATGGATTCGAGATTGAATTTAGGAGTTAAAACTCTTAGAAGAAAACAGAGGTAAATCTTCTTGACTTGGGATTAGGCAATGGTTTTTAAAATATAAGCTTTATTTTTTTTAGAGCAGTTTTATGTTCACAGCAAAATTGAGAGGAAAGTACAGAGAGTTCTCACATACCCCCTCCCATACACATGCAGTCTCCTTCACTATCAACATCCCACACCAGGGTGGTACACTGTTACAATCAACAAATCAACATTGACATCATTATCAGCCAAAATCTATAGTTTCCATTAGGGTTCACTCTAGATGTTGTATGTTCTATGAGTTTGGACAAATATATAGTTGCATATATCCATCATTATAGAATCATACAGAATAGTTTTACTGTCCTAAAAATCCTCTATGCTCCACCTATTTGTACCTCCTTCCCTTATATTTACGATTAGTTTACATCCTCTTTCAAAAAACTATACCACTTCATGGGTAGTGCAAGTATATAGCAACAGAGTATTCCCAATTTGTCCCTCCCACCACTTGTAACATTGTTGTCATTCATTTCACTTATCCACAAGCTATAATCACTAAATATATTGCTGCTATTATTATTTTGAACAAGCATATGTTGGATCAATTAAGAAAAATAAAGATAAAAGATTTTGTTTTAACTTCATTTATTCCTTCTCTAATGCTTTTCCTTTCTTTATGTAGATCTGAGTTTCTGCAGTTTGCTAGGGCTGTTAAAACAAAATACCACCAACTGAATGGCTTAAACAACCAGAATTTATTTTCTTACACTTCTGGGAGCTAAAAGTCCATGATCAGAGTGTTAGCAGGTTTGATTTCTCTCTCCTTGGCTTGTAGATGGTAGCTTTCTCCCTGTGTCCTTACATGGTCATCCCTTGATTTAAGTGTGCATGTGCTTGGGATCTCTCTCTGTCTATATCTTGATTTCTTCTTATTATAAGACTGCTTGTCACAATCCATTAGGGTCCACACTAATGACCCAATTTTAACTTCATTACCACTTTAAAGGCCCTACAAAGAATTTTGAAAAGCAAACAAACAAACAAACAAAAAACAGTTTAGCCCACAACACTGATCTGAATCATTTTCTGAAGAATTTCTTCTAATATTTTTTTTTTTTAAATTTTTGAGACGAAGTCTAACTGTCACCCAGGCTGGAGTGCAGTGGCACGATCTCGGCTCACTGCAACCTCCGCCTCATGGATTCAAGCGATTCTCCTGCCTCAGCCTCCCAAGTAGCTGGGATTACAGGCACACACCACCATGCCCAGCTAATTTTTGTATTTTAGTAGAGACAGGGTTTCACCATGTTGGCCAGGCTGGTCTCAAACTCCTGACCTCACGTGATCCACCCGCCTCGGCCTCCCAAAGTGCTGGGATTATAGGCATGAGCCACCTCGCCTGGCCAATATTTCTTGGAAAGTAGGTCTACTAGTGGCAAATTTTCTCAATTTTTGTTTGTCTGAGAAAATCTTTATTTCTCCTTCACAAGAAGCATAACTTAGCTGGATACAGAATTCTGGGTTGGTGGTTTTTTTTCTTTCAATACTTTAAATATTTCACTTCACTGTCTTT
Organism: Homo sapiens; assembly: GCF_000001405.40. Lineage (NCBI taxonomy): Eukaryota > Metazoa > Chordata > Mammalia > Primates > Hominidae > Homo > Homo sapiens. The sequence goes on along the minus strand of NC_000017.11, from coordinate 61,654,101 downwards.
TTGCTTGCATGTTTTCTGAGAAGTGCAGTGTAATTCTTATCCATGCTTCTCTATAGGTAACATGATTTTTCCCTCTGGCTTTCAAGATTTTCTCTTTGTCTTTGATTTTCTGAAATTTGAATATGGTAGGTATGCCTAGGTGTAGATCTTCCTAGGCTGGAGTGCAGTGGCATGATTCTGGCTTACTGCAACCTCCGCCCCCTGGGTTCAAGCAATTCTTGTGCCTCAGCCTCCTGAGTAGCTGGGATTGCAGGCATGCACCACCATGCCTAGCTAATTTATTGTATTTTAGTAGAGATGGGGTTTCACCATGTTGCCCAAGCTGGTCTCTAATTCCTGAATTTAGGCAATCTGCCTGCCTCAGCCTCCCAAAGTGCTAGGATTACAGGCATGAGCCACCATGCTGAGCCCTAGGTATAGATCTTTTGGTATATATTCTGCTTGGTGTTCTCTGACTTTTCTGGATCTGTGGTTTGTTGTCTATCATTAATTTTGGGAAATTATCAGTCATTATTGCTTCAAATATTTCTTCTGGTTCTTTCTCTCTTCTCTTGGTATTCCCCATTACATATATGTTATACCTTTTGTAATTGCCCCACAGTTCTTGGATATTATATTTTGTCTCTTTTTGTAATTTTTTCTTTGCATTTCAGTTTTGGAGATTTCTATCGACATTTCTTCAAGTCCACTGATTCTTTCTTCAGCTGTTTGTCCAGTATATTAATGAGTTTACCAAAGGCATTTTTCATTTCTGATACAGTGTTCTTGATTTCTAGCATTTTCTTTCGATTCTTTCTTAGGGTTTCCAACTCTGTTTACATTGTTCACCTATTCTTGCACATTGTACACTTTTTCTACTAGATTCTCTAGCATATTAATTATAGTTGTTTTAAGTTCCCAGTCTGATAATTCTAATATCTCTGCCATATTTGAATCCTCTTCTGATGCTCGCTCTGTTTTCAAATTTTATTTTGTCTTTTAATATGCCTTATAATTTTTTGTTAAAAGTTGGACATGATGTACTTGGTAAAAGGAACTGAATAAATAGCTTTATTGTTAGGTTTTGTGTTTATCTGTTTAGAAGTTAGTTTGTGTTTACTATTTGCTGTACCTGCAGGTGTTGGGGGCTACAATTTCCTTTGGTATCCTTGGTTTTGCCTCCTCTGCTATTTTTATTAAATAATTTCTGAGATGTGCAGTTCTTTAAGTTATATTCCACTGTTATTATGTAGGAGCCCTATTGATGTGGTAAGGTTTGGTGGGAGGGAAACCATTCTATGGTCTTATGATTTGGTCTCAGTTTTTAGTGAGCCTATGTATCTGGCTTCTCAAATTCTTCTCAGTTTTATTTTGTTTTGTTTTCCTTGTTAGGTGAACCAGGAAGGATTAAGGTGGGGCTATGTTTGGACATTTCCTCCCCCCATGTGAAAGGCTAGAGGGAGCCGAATTTGGGTATTTCTCTTCCTACAAATTGGTTGGGCTCTAATAAAATCCCAGTTGGTTGGGCTCTGATAAAGTAATTTCTCTTGAGGGCAGGCCTTGTTAAGAACAGAATGTTCTGGATATATTTTAAATTGGCTACTTTCCCCCTCCATCACCTGGAAGCACAAAGGGATATTTTTGTGATTTTTAACAATGATAACCTAGTAGGGCTCTTGGAGGTAAAACTCACAAAAGTGTGGGGATCCTCCTACAACTGGGTCCCTGTGAAGTCTTTGACTCTCAAACTCATCTATGCTGTGCCTCTGGCAATTTATCAATAACAGTTTAAGTTTTCTCACCCCAATTTGGTTCCCACAGAGATTTCTGCTGTCGTAAGTTGTGATTCTCTATATCTGCCCATATCTCTCTCCAATTTTGGGGGCAACAGTTGGCCTTATGATCTCAATTCTCTGGAGGATCTAAGAAAAGTTGTTGATTTTCAGTTTTGTCAGCGTTCCTTGTTGTCAGGATGGGAAAGATGACTTCAAAGATCTTTGGAGACAGCAGATCTGCTGTCTCTTTGGACACCAGATCTCACTTTCACTTTTGAATGAAATTTTCACTGGATATAAAATACTAAGCTGGCAAGATTTTCCCCCCAAGAACTTTGAAGATGTTGTCTTCTGGCATCTGTTGTTATTAAACAAAGGTCTGCCATCATTCTCATCATTCCCCTGTATATAACTTTTTGCTCTTACTGCTAAGACTTTTTCTGTTTACCTCTAGTTTTTATCAGTTTAACTATGATGTTCCTAGGTATGATTTTCTTTGTAGTTATTTTTCTTGGTTTTGGCTGAGCTTCTTAAGTCTGAGGGTAGATCTTTTAAATAAAATGGAAACCATTTTAGCCAATATTTCTTCAAACTTTGCCCTATTTTCTCTCTCTCCAGTTGACACCCCAGTTACATATATGTTTGACCACTTGATATTGTCTCACAGGTCACTGAGGTTCTACTCATTTTTCCTCAATGATTTTTTTCTTTGTACTTTAGTTCATATAGTTTCCATTATTGTATCTTCAAATTTATTGATTGCTATTTTTAATCTGCTGTCAAGCTCATCCAGTAAACATTTTATTTCAAGTATTGTATTATTCAGCTCTAAGAGTTCTGGTTTTGTTGCAGTTTTCAAATATCTGTTAAAATTCTCCCATCTCTTTACCCATTATATTTATCTTTTCCTATAAAATCTTTAACATGTTTATAATAGTTTATTTAATGTTCTTGCCCAATTCCAACATTGGGTTGTCTCAGGATCTCTTTCAATTGACTGTTTTTTCTCTTTAAGTCTCATTTTTATGTTTTTTTATACATCTGGTTTTTATTATATACTGAAAATTGTGAATAACATATTCTAGATTCTGTTATATTCCTCTGAAGAATTTTGAATTTTATTCTGGAAGGCAGTTACACTGCTGGAAAATAGCTCTTATCTTGTGAAGGCTAGATTTTCAACTTTGTTAGAATGGGTCTATTCTGATTTTGCTCTTAGTCCTGTGATATAGTCCTTACGTGTAAAGTAGCCTTCCTGGGGTTTAATAGGAAAGCCCTAGTGTTCTTCTAACTTAGTAGAATTTGAACTCCAAACTCTATTTTCCCAGCAATAAGCAGCTGCTGAAGTCTTCTCACCTCTTTCTACCTTACAGCTACAGCTTTCCACTGGGCAGTTGGAGACATGCCTTACACATGTACAGTTGTTCAAGAGTCAACCAAGGATTGGAAGGATATTTATACTTACATTTTGGGGTTCCCTTCTTTGTGGCACAATCATGCCCAAGATTTCTTCCCTTAATTTCTAGTCATTCTAGCAGTCTCAGATTCAACCTGTGTTTCCTCATTCTCGTAAGACTGAAACTTTCTGCTTGAGCTTTATTCCCTGACACATGAACTGGGGCATTCACTGAAGGGAAAACTAATTAAAGAAAGAGCTCTCCAAATGTGTTTCACATCTTTCAAGGATTGTGTCTCCTGAAGTTTCTGTTTTTGATCACTCTCTAGCACTTCAAAAATGGTTTTATTTAAAAAATTCAAAATTTACAATTGTTACTGGTAGGAGCAGTGATCTAATAGAAGCTACTTCACCATTATCAGAAATTGTCTTTTCATAAATAGTATAAAATCTTTAAGGTTTTAAAAAGTTTTGAATTAGGATTCTAATAAGGTGCCTACATTGAGATTTGTTGATGTGTCTTTTTTTTTTTTTTTTTTTTTAGTCAGATTCTCACTTTTGTCGCCCAGACTGGAGTACAATGGTGCAATCTTGGCCCACTGCAACCTCTGCCTCCCAGGTTCAAGCAATTCTCCTGCCTCAGCCTCCTGAGTAGCTGGGATTACAGATGCCTGCCACAACACCCAGCTAATTTTTTTTGTATTTTTAATAGAGACAAGGTTTCACCATGTTGGCCAGGCTGGTCTTGAACTCCTGACCTCAGGTGATCTGCCTGCCTTGGCCTCCTAAAGTGCTGGGATTACAGGTGTGAGCCACCATGACTGGCCTTGATGTATCCTTTAAGTCTCTTTTAATCTATAGGGTCCCCCTCCATCATCTGTTTTATTCTTTTTTTTTGCATTTATTTATTTGATAAAAGCCAATCAAGGTATTTGTACTATAGAGTTTTCCACAATCTGGATTGGGCTGTTTGTTGTCCTATGGTATAGTTTAACATACTCCTCTGACCTGTATTTTCCATAAATTGATAGTTGCATCTAGAGGGTCATCTAGATTCAGGTTTGACTTTGGCAAGACTACTTCATAGGTTGTGTTCTTCCATCAAGAAGCATTAAAGAGTATCTCTTTTTTCATGATGTTAACAGCCATTGAGTCTCAACGCCTATGGCCATTAATTCATCAGAGTTGCAAAATAGTGATATCTTAATTCTGTCATCCCTTATGTAGTTATACAGAGTACTCCTAGAAGAGATTTTTCCCTTATCTACTATTCGGTTCCTCAGAGGTACAGTTTAAATAAGAAAATCAGGATAAATTCTTGATACCGTCCTTTAACATAATTATTATCATGAGTTTCTTCACTAGCTTGCATAATAATAATGTTTTTTGCTGTTTTTTATTTCTTAGTTTCACCATAAGCTCAGAAACTTAAACATTTAGATGTACAGATGCTTCTCAACTTATGATGGAGTTACATTCTGATAAACCATCATAAGTTGAAAATATCATAAATAGAAAATTCATTTAATACACCTAACCTACAAAACACCATAGCTTAGCCTAGCTTACCTTAAGCTCAGAACACTTACATTAGCCTACAGTTGGGCAAAATCATCTAACACAAAGCCTATTTTAGAATAAAGTGTTGACTATCTAATGTAATTTATTAGATACAGTACTGAAAGTGAAAAACACAATGGTATATGGGCACTCAAAGTACAGTTTCTACTGAATGCATATCACTTTCACACCCTCATAAAGTTGAAAATTTGTAAGTCAAACTACCGTTAAGTCAGGGACCATCTGTATTTCAGTTTATGTCAGATTTCTAAAAATGGAATAAAAGCTCAGATTTTATTTACTTGCTGGTTAATATAACCACATTCAGAAGACATTACAGTTTGGCATGGAATACAAAATGTGGACCAAAGGCATGAATGGAACTTCACACAGAAGGGTGTTCAAATGGCCAATAAATGTGTGAACAGACGTTCAACCTCAGTAGTCATCAGTAAAGTGCAAATTAAAACCATAGTACAACACCACTATACACCCACCAGAATGGCTAAAGTGAAAACAGAAAATGTTAAAGATGTAGAACAGCCAGAATTCTCATTACACTGTTAATGGAAATATGGGTTGGTATAACCATTTTGGAATACTGTTTCATAGTAGCTACTAAAATTGAACATACATATGTCCTATGCCAGAGCAATATTCCTGGGTATATACCCAACAGAAATGCATACATATGTTCACCAGAAGACATACAAATTGTTTGTAGCAGCACAATTCATAGTAGCTATAAAATAGAAACAGTCATAGAAAGGATAAATAATCCCAAATCTACCACTAGCAGTGATTGAGTTTTGAGTAGATAGACTTAGATGGTTACCTTTCATATTTCCTGACCAGTGAGTTTTAGGGAAGGATATTTATGATTTTATATTTTTCCAAGGTACTGGATCCTCTCAAATTCATACATTTAATGTTATACTATTGATGAGCTATTGTCAAGCATTTTATAAATACTTATTATAGGTTGTAAAAACTATTTCTATAATATGAATATTTATATAGACAGAGATAATAAATGTTTGTCAAGTAAATGATACATCCTCCACAGCCATGAATGAAAATGAACTCCAACTACACTCAAAAATATTGAAGAATCTCACAAACATGTTGAAAGAAAAAAGTGAGGCACAAGTTCAAAAACTAGCAAAAGGCTGGACACGGTGGCTCAAGCCTGTAATCCCAGCACTTTGGGAGGCCGAGGCAGGTGGATCACGAGGTCAGGAGTTCGAGACCAGTCTGACCAACATGGTGAAACCCCGTCTCTACTAAAAATACAAAAAATTAGCCAGGCGTGGTGGCACGAGCCTATAATCCCAGCTACACGGGAGGCTGAGGCAGGAGAATTGTTTGAACCCAGGAGACGGAGGTTGCAGTGAGCCAAGATCACGCCACTGCACTCCAGCCTGGGCGACAGAGCAAGACTCCGTAAAAAAACAAACAAACAAAAAACAAAAAAACTAGCAAAATTAACGTTTGGTCTTTATAGTCAAGTTAGTGAGCTGGTAGGGAGGGATCTAGTGACTGCACTTCCAGGATGCTATTTCTTGATGTTCAGTTTTTTTCAATCTGGCTACAGGTTAACTGGTATGTTCATTTAGTGAAAATCTATTGCGATTTTAACTTACTATTTGTGTACTTCTCTTTATGTTTGCTATACTTCAATAAAATGTCTTAAATATACAATATGTGGGCTCGGCGTGGTGGCTCATGCCTGTAATCCCGGCACTTTGGGAAGCCGACCAGGGCGATCACTTGAGGTCACGAGTTCAAGACCAGCCTGGCCAACATGGTGAAACACCATCTCTACTTAAAAATACAAAAATTAGCCAGGCATGGTGCCGGGTGTCTGTAATCCCAGCTACTAAGGAGGCTGAGGCAGGAGAATCGCTTGAATCTGGGAGGCAGAGTTTGCAGTGAGCTGAGATCGTGCCTCTGCACTCCAGCCTGGGCAACAGAGCAAGACTCTGTCTCAAATAAAATAAAATAAAATAAAATATGATATGATATGTGATATCCTTGTCTAACTGCTTCCATACTTTATTAAGTAATGCTTATTTATATAAGTAACAATTCTTGAATTCCATTGGATCCAAGGCATTTTAGGAACATGAGTAAAACAGATTCCTTTCGAGTTGCTCACATTGGATCATTGGAAGAAAAATTGAAGCAACGGAACTGAACTCCTAAGTCTCCTGTGGCCCAATTTTATCATATTCCCAGTGTTTGGAGATCAGAGCAAATTAATTTAAAACCATTCTAAAAATTTAAACACATGCAACCCATGAAAAAGTTTAGTCTATTTTTTCATAACTGATCAGACAAGTCAGCTGTTGCAAAGGTAGCCTTTGTATAATAGGGATTTTGTGGGTTTTTTAGGGGGATTCATGTTAACACATTTGATAAACTTTTATCTTAATGCGCCTTTCTGGAATACCAGTCTGACCTCAATCTGAACAAAGCCTTAGTTGATGATGTTTGCAGGAGGTAGCTTGGTCATTTTCTCAGCCTGTATGTTTATTATTGAATGTTAATCAGATTCATCATTAAAGATTTCATCTGCCACACAAATGCATAATTGGCTATGTCTGAGTGGCTACCTTTTGTCTTGAGCAGATTGCTAAAACTGCATTAAGCATCATTAGACCAAAATGATGACCTTATTAATTTGCCCTTTACTTGTTTTCCAACAGATTGGGCCTTATTATTATGCAAATGCACTGTAAAGAACAGTGTTAGAAACAGCTCATGAATTTCTCTTAGTTCCTAACAGGCTTTTATGCCTGAAGGATGCATGAAATGATTGCCAATCATATTTATTAAGCTGTTTTTTGGGTGTCTATTGTAGAGCACCATTCAGAAGCTGTGACTTAAAACTAGTACAAAGGTGAGAAAATTATAAATTAAGAATTGCTCTTCTACCTTGATTATTTTATCTTCCACTTTTGTTAATAAAATGGTGCAGAGGAAATAAAGATTAAATATACTATTTAAACTTGCATGTTAGTTTTTAAAAAAATGAATCAATGAGATAGAAACAGAAAATAATCACGAAAGTATAATTTTTAAGCAATATGTATATTACATCCACATTTTTACTACAACATATTTTTTCTTAAACTCACATTTGTTGAGCTTTTCTGTATGTGACTCACAGAATGTCATCTGTAAAATATCCATCTACGTTTAAATATTCCAAAAGAATGATATGTAATGACATCTTTCATATTCTGCTGTTATTATTATTAGGTGAACTTGATGGAAATGAAATGCATGAAATTGGCTGTCAGCTGCAATCTGACAATTTCAGCATAATTGGTTTAAGCAGGATGCGCTTCATACTGATCTCCAGAATGTCTTTGGTAATCTGTCTGCTCTTGGAGTTGAGACTTGGCCATAAATGAAGTTATTGCGGCCTTAGAATGAAATCCTCACCCATTATGGGTTCAGGTGGACTTAGCTTTATAATCTGGTTTAAAAGTTTTGAGTAGATATATTTAGATGGTTACCTTTCATATTTCCTGACCAGTGAGTTTTAGGGAAGGATATTTATGATTTTATATTTTATCAGGAACTGGAGCCTCTCAAATTCATACATTACACATTATATTAGGGATGAGTTATTGTTAAGCATTTTATAAATGCTTATAATAGATTGTAAAAACTATTTCTATAGTATCTATTTAAGAGTGAAAATATTTGCCCTTTAATGGAAATATTTTTATAGTATCTGAACCAAACTTTTATACAGCACTATAAAACAGACTGGCTTATGGTGTAGGTGAGTGATAGTCTAAGTGGACTTAGTGACTGTAGTGCCAAAATAATTCTTATGAGTTGACAAATGGCACAATGTAAATGCAATGAAATACCATTGAGTTATAAAAGATAGCAAATATTAGTCAATATAGCTTAAATAAAACACTGCTTTAATAAAGATGATCAGTTGGCCAGTTTTGTTTCGATGCTAGATTTTTTGCAGAAGTTGTTCCTTGACCCTAAAACACTTCTTTCCATCACTTTGACTATCTTGCCTTTCCTATTTAGGACTCATCTCCATTGTGAAACCTTCCCTTAACCTTGTGGCCACATGAATCTGTCACTTTTCTGATAATGCTTCCTGTCTATTGTATACATTGAACCACTCAATCATAAATAGCTTTTGATATCTGACTGGTGTAGGTCTTCTATTCCCCTTGAGATATGTTCTTCACAAATAGCAACTCTAACCTGGAAAGAAGGAAGGAAGGAAAGAAGGAAGGAAGGAAGGAAGGGAGAGAGGGAGGGATGGAAAGAAAGAAGGAAAGAGAAAGAAGGAAAAGAAAGAAAAGAAAGGAAGGAAGGAAGGAAAAGAAAGGGAAAGAAAGATGCTTAATAAATGTCAAAGTGAACAATCTCTTTTTCTTCAACATCTCTAAGTCACACTTCTAGTCATTCCTCTCATTCCTGGTCCTACTACTTTTTTCTGCTTTTTAAAATAATTTTTCTAATTATAAATATGTATCAGGTGTAGGTGGGAATGTCTATGTACTATGTATACAGTGTATTCATATAATTTGAATCGGTCCTAACAATAGTGTAATTTTGTCAAAAGGCAAAGACTCCTTATATAACATTTAGCAGACAACTGGTAGGTGTTAAGAGAGTCTGATTTTTTTTTTTCTTTTTTTGGTGGGGACAGGATCTCACCTTTTTTTGGTGCAGACAGGATATCAGCCCATCATGTTATTTTCATCATTGGTGTAGTGATTATTTTTTACAACATCATCGAAATCTTCTTAGAACTCAGTGGATCTTAACTCCTGGCCTGTATGTCCTTGTAACGCTGAGTTAATACTCCGTTTGGGCATTAGAAAGAATACTGGATTAGGAATTTTAAAACCTGAGTACTAGTCTTAGCTTTACCTCTGTAATTCCCTTAAAATCTAAATAAGAACAGCATGTGAAAGACTAATTCCTTTACCCAAGATTTCTGTGAATCTGGAGGGCGGGATTGGTATGTTTTCTTCTTTACCATGAAGTTCAAGCTTATGCTTCTGTTGATTTTATTCAGGTACAAATTATTTCTTCTTTCTCCATATGCTGTCCCTGTCTCACACTGTGCTAACCCAGATATGGAATTGAATAAATATTCCTTTTTTAAAAAAGAGAAGGAGAAAGAGAGAGGAAAAAGGAAAAGGAAGGAAAAAGGAGAAGAAAAAGAATGAATAAAAAGAAACTTACTTGAATTTATGTCTGTAAATACATAAACTACAAGGTTGACTGCACATTTGGAAAGAGGGAGATTTAAATGGAAAGAATTACACATCACAGTGTATATTACCTACTCCTATGCTTTTTTTTTTTTCTTTGAGACAGGGACTCGCTCTGTTACCCAGGCTGGAGTGCAGTGGCGTGATCTCAGCTCACTACAGCCTCGACCTCCGAGGCTCAAGCGATTCTCCCACCTTAGCATGCTGAGTAGCTGGGACCACAGGTATGTGCTACCACACCCGGCTTATTTTTCATTTTTTTGTAGAGACGAGGTTTCGCCATGTTGCACAGGCTGGTCTCAAACTCCTGGGCTCAAGGGATCCTCCCGCCTCAGCCTCCCAAAGTGCTGGGATTATAGGCATGGGCCACTGCAGCTAACCAAATACTCCTCCCATTCTTTAAAGGTGCTTCGGTGACCCCAAAGATTGCTAACCATCCTTTTCCTTCCTCACTCTGTTCTATTTTTAATTCGACCCTATGCTAATGCCTGAAATCCCGCTTGTTTCGAATGTGGAGATTACCTAGCTCTTACTTCCTATCTCCAGCTGTCCATGTTCTCAGAATCTCATTTTTTATACCCCAGGGTCACATCAAAGTGTTTTTCTAAGCAAAATATTTTTCTGTTACCTCCCTAATAGAAAATAAATTTTCTTGATAACAGTAAAGACAATGATTTTGCTACAACACGATGAATTTAGGCAAACTGCTGATACTCTCTAAACCTTAATTTTATTATCTGTAATTGGAGTTGTTCTCTCTGCTCTTCCTGTGGCTCAAAGTAATAAATAAATAAATAAATATATATATATATATATATACACACACACACACACATATCAAAGTGTTATGTGAACTGTAAAGTTTGATGCACATTTAAGAGCAATCATGTGGGAGAAAGCATGGTGTAAGTAACACTGAATTTCAGTTGGAAAGGATATGTGCTTATTCTGTATATTATTTAATTTATTCCTGACAACAATTGTGAATAATCATTACCAAAATTATTACATATAAAGAAACTGAGACACAGAAATGCCAAGTAATTTGCCCACTGTCAAATAGTTATTGAGTAGGAGAGCTAGAATTTAAATCCAAGTCTAATTGCTTACAAAGCCTGTGGACCTGCTTGTTTGTTTGTTTTTCATTATGCCTTACTGATGAATTTCAGTTACTACATGTACAGTCTTTGAAATGGTCTATATATTTTTTTGCCTTTTAAGAAGCTCAAAGCTTTTCCAGATTTAGAGAAGGATGTCGCTCACTATATAGGTAACATCAATAGAAACTTAAAGGATTAGAAATCGATATAGCAAATGCTTACAATTATTAATGATATACATTGTACATTCTAAACATCAATGGTATATTTTAGTCAACATTCTAAATTCTAGCAAGGCTTTTTAATATTAAGTCAATTCTGATGATACGTTACCAATTTGTTTGAGATTTGTAGGTAAGTAGATGAGTATTAAATAAATTTTATAAACAAATGTATGTGCAATTTTTCTTTGGTTGTTATATTCTAACTTAAGAAATTTACAGGAGTGTGCATACATTTTTTATTAGCTAATGTGTACATAGTTGTATTTTGTGCTACTGGTGGGCTTCAGCCATCATAAATTTATTTATAAATAAATTTTCTGTAAACTGTATGAAAATAAAGATGATAAATTTTGCCATGTAGTAATACGTTTTTAATTTTTAAAAAAATTTTTGGAGGTGAGGTCTTGCTCTGTTGCCCAGGCTGGAGTGCAGTGGCATGATCATAGCTCACTGCAGCCTCAAACTCCTGGGCTCATGTGGTCCTCTTGCCTCAGCCTCCCAAGTTAGCTAGGACTACAGACATGCACCACTGTGCCTGGCTATACCTACTTTAGTTATGGTATGATGCAGTTTTTAAGGAAAAAACGCATTTAGTTTTGAAAATTTGTCATGTGAGATTTGAAGGTTGCATGCATATTGTAAGAGCGCCCTAAAAGTTTTTTTTTTTGCATACTGTCATTTTGTAAATTAATGTGTCTCTGCCTTCCTGAATTGAAACTTTAAGGTTGTATAGTCTTAAGCAGGAAATCAGAAGATAGCAAGAACAGCTGGTAAAAATAGGAATTAAAGATGGATGCTGCATATTCTAACAGAGTCATTAAAGTAGGATTGTATTTTATGCTGATTGTGCTGCCACTGACCTTTCTTTCAGGAGTTACCAAACATAAATCACGTCTTTGTTATTGGCATGTTATTTGACTTTAGAGGAGTGAATTCAAAACATCAATCAAAAAAAGAGAAAAGATTATTTTCAATATTGTACAGCTTTTATAAATGATATAATTTAGTTGTTTGATTTCTCTGTGATCAGTTTTTCAAGTATCAGGGGCATTAAATAAGCTTTTAGAATTTTTTAAGTTGCAGATAGATTTGTCCCAAGAATGTTAATTATAGAGTATATCAGATAAATGAACAGCGTTAACAATAATTTGATTTACTAAATAAAACTCAATGTTTATAAACTAAACTAAATAGTTATAAACTAAATAAAACTCAATATATATAATAATAAGAAAATTATAAAGTTATATGAAACTTGCTGACTTTTTAAACTTTAAAATACTTTAATGACTTTTAAGTTCCTCCTTTAAGGTGGGCTGAGCATTTTCTAAGTAGTTGTGTATGAGCGCATCATCATTTATCTCCTTTAAAGGAGGGTGTATTAATTTGTTCTTGCATTGCTATAAAGAAATACCTGAGGCTGGGTAATTTATAAAGAAAAGAGGTCTAATTGGCTCACAGTTCTGCAGGCTGTACAGGAAGCACGATGCTGGCATCTGCTTGGCTTCTAGAAAGGCCTCAGGAAACTGACAATCATGGTAAAAGGCGAAGTGGGAGCTGGCGCACATCACATGGCCGGAGCAAGAGCAAGAGAGAGAGGGGGGAGATGCCACACACTTTTAAACAACAACATCTCGTGAGAACTCACTTACTAACTTAAGGACAGTACCAAGGGGACAGTACTAAACCACTCATGAGAAATCCACCCCTATGATTCAATCATCTCTCATGAGGCCCCACCTCCAACATTGCGGATCACAAATGAACGTGAGATTTGGATAGGAACACAGATCCAAACCATATCTGAGGGTTTAGAGCTTTTATTCTTTTTTTTTAAGCTGTATCTTTAAAACATGTTTTTCTGTGGGTACATAGTAGATGTATATATACGTGTGTGTGTGTATGTATAGATAGATAGATAGATAGATAGATAGATAGATAGATAGATAGATAGATTTTTTTTTTTTTTTTGAGATGGGGTCTCACTCTTGTCTCCCAGGCTGGAGTGGAATAACATGATCTCGGCTCACTGCAACCTCTGCCTCCTGGGTTCAAGTGATTCTCCTGCCTCAGCCTCCTGAGTAGTTGGGATTACAGGTGTGCACCACTACTCCTGGCTAATTTTTGTATTTTTAGTAGAGATGGGGTTTCACCATGTTGGCCAGGCTGGTCACGAACTCCTGACCTCAGGTGATCCACCCGTCTCAGCTTCTCAAAGTGCTGGGATTACAGGTGTGAGCCACTGCACCCAGCCATTAGATGTATGTATTTATAGGGCACATGAGATATTCTGCTACAGACATACACTGCATAATAATCACATCGGGGTAAATGGGGTATCTGTCACCTTAAGCATTTATCCTTACTTTGTGTTACAAACAATCCAATTACACTCTTAGTTATTTTAAATGTACAATAAATTATTGTTGACTGCAGTCACCCTGTTGTAACAATCAAATACTACACTTTATTCATTCTATCTAATTATATTTTGTACCATTAGACCATCCCAACTCCCTTCTGGCCTCCCCTCCAAGCCCCTCTACCCTTCTCAGCCTCTGATAATCATCTGTCTACTCTCTATCTCTATGACTTCAATTGTTTATTTTTTTTAGCTCTCATAAATAAATGAGAACATGAGAGGTTTGTCTTTCTGTGTTTGACTTATTTTCACCTAACATAAAGACCTCCAGTTCCATCCATGTTGTTGCAAATGACAAGATCTCATTCTTTTTTATGGCTGAAGAGTACTCCATTGTGTGTATGTACCACATTTTCTTGATCCATTAGTCTGCTGTTGGACACTTAGGTTGCTTCCAAATCTCGGCTCTAGTGAATAGTGCTGCAATAAACATGGGGCTGCAGATGTCTCTTTGGCATATTGATTACCTTTCTTTTGGGTATATATTTAGCAGTAGGGCTGATGGATCATATGGCAGTTCTATTTTTAGTTTGTTGAGGAACCTCCAAACTGTTCTTTATCGTGGTTGTACTAATTTACATTCCCACCAACAGCGTATGAGTGTTCCCTTTTCTCCACATCCTTGCCAGGATTTGTTATTGCCTGTCTTTTGGATATGTCATTTTAACTGGGGTAAGATGATACCTCATTGTAGTTTTGATTTGTATTTCTCTGATGATCAATGATGTTGAGCCCCTTTTCATATACCTGTTTGCCGTTTGTATGTCTTCTTTTGAGAAATGTCTATTCAGGTATTTTGCCTATTTTTTAAATTCAATTATTAGATTTTTTTCCTATTGAGTTGTTTGAGCTCCTTATATATTCTGGTTACTAATCCCATGTCAGATGGGTAGTCTGCAAATATTTTCTCCATTCTGTGGGTTGTCTCTTCACTTTGTTGACTGTTTCCTTTGCTGTGCAAAAAGTTTTTAACTTGGTGTGATCCCATTAGTCCATTTTTGCTTTGGTTACCTGTGCTTGTGGGATATTACTCAAGAAATCTTTGCCCAGTCCAATGTTCTACAGAGTTTCCCCAATGTTTTCTTGTAGTAGTTTCATAGTTTGAGGTCATAGATTAAAGCCTTTGATCCATTTTGATTTGATTTTTCTATATGGCAAGCGATAGAAGTCTAGTTTCATTCTTCTGCGTAGGGATATCCAGATTTCTCAGCATCACATATAGAAGAAACTAACCTTTCCCCAGTATATGTTCTTAGCACTTTTGTCAAATATGAGTTCACTGTAGTTGCATGTATTTATTTCTGGGTCCTCTGTTCTGCTCCATTGGTTTATGTGTCCATTTTTATGTCAGTACCACGCTGTTTCAATTACTATGGTTCTGTAGTATAATTTGAAGTCCGGTAATGTGATTCCTCCAGTTTGTTCATTTTGCTCAGGATACCTTGGGCTATCCTGGATATTTTGTGGTTCCAAATACATTTTAGGATTGTTTTTTCTATTTCTGTGAAGAATGTCATTGGTATTTTGATAAAGATTGCACTGTATCTGTAGATTGCTTTGGGTAATACAGACATTTTAACAATATTGATTCTTCCAATCCATGAACCTGGAGTATCTTTCCATTTTTTATGTGCCCTCCTCAATTTCTTTCATCAATGTTTTATAGTTTTCATTGTAGAGATTTTTCACATCTTTGGTTAAGTTTATTCCTAGGTATTTTATTTCATTTGTAGCTATTATAAATGGTATTACTTTCCTGATTTCTTTTTTAGATTGTTTATGGTTGGCATATACAAATGCCACAGATTTTTATGTTGATTTTGTATCCTGCAACTATACTACATTTATTAGTTCTAATAGCTTTTTTGTGGAGTCTTTAGGCTTTTCCAAATATAAGATCATATCATCTGCAAAGAGGGATTATTTTCTTTCTTTCTTTCCAATTTGGATGCCCTTTTTTTCTTTCTCTTGTCTGATTTCTCTGGCTAGGATTTCCAGTACTATGCTGAACAACAGTGGTAAACGTGGGTATCCTTGTCTTGTTTGAGATCTTAGAGGAAAGGCTTTCAGTTTCTCCCCATTCAGTATGATACTAGTTGTAGGTCTGCCATATATGGCTTTTATTGTGTTGAAGTATCTTCCTTCTATACCCAGTTTTTTGAGGGTTTCTATTATGAAGGGATGTTGAATTTTGTCAAGTGCTTTTTCAGCATCAATTGAAATGACCATATGATTTTTGTCCTTCATTCTGTTAATATGATGTATCACACTGATTGATTTGCATCTGTTGAACTATCTGTGCATCTTTTGAATGAATCCCACTTGATCATGGCTAATGATCTTTTTAGTCTGTTTTTGAATTTGGTTCGCGGGTATTGTGTTGAGGATTTTTGCATCAATGTTCATCAGGGATATTGGCCTATAGTTCTCTTTTTTTTATTAGTCTTTGTCTGGTTTTGGTATCAGAGTAATACTGGCCTCATAGAATAAGTTCCTCTATTTTTGGAATAGTTTGAGTAGGATTCGTTCTTCTATAAATGTTTGGTAAAATTCAGCAGTGAAGCCATTGGGTCAGCTTTTCTTTGCTGGGAGACTTTTTAATACAGCTTTGATCTCATTACTTGTTTTTCTGTTTTTTTTTTTTGTTTGTTTGTTTTGTTTGTGTGTTTGTTTTTGAGACACAGTCTCACTCTGTCACCCAGGCTGGAGTGCAGTGGCGTGATCTCAGCTCACTGCAAACTCCACCTCCTGGGTTCAAGCAATTCTTGTGCCTCAGCCTCCCAAGTAGCTGGGACTACAGGCATGTGCTACCACACCAGGCTGATTTTTGTATTTTTAGTAGAGGTGGGGTTTCACCATGTTGGCCAGGCTGGTCTCAAACTCCTGACATCAAGTGATCCACCCGCCATGGCCTCTCAAAGTGCTGGGAATACAGGTGTGACCCACTGTGCCTGGCCTGATCTCTTACTTGTTATGGGTCAGTTCAGGTTTTGGATTTCTTTATGGTTGAATCTTAGGTTGTATGTGTCTAGGAATTTATCCATTTCTTCTGAGTTTTCCAATTTATTGGCATATAGTTGCTTATAGTAGTCTCTAATGATCCTTTGAATTTCTCCAGTATCAGTTGTAATGTTTCCTTTTTCATCTCTCGATTTATTTATTTGGATCTTCTCTCTTTTTTTCTTAGGCTAAAGGTCTTTCTATTTTGCTTATCTTTTTAGAGAAAACAAATTTTTGTTTCATTGATCTTTTGTATTTTTTTATTTAGATTTTATTTATTTATACTCTGATTTTTATTATTTTATTTCTTCTACTAATTTTGGCTTGTTTGCTCTTGCTTTTCTGGTTCTTTAAGATGCATTGTTAGGTTGTTTATTTGAAGTTTTTATACTTTTTTGATATAGGAGCTTACTGCTATAAACTTTGCTCTTATTACAACTTTGGTTGTATCCCATAGGTTTTGGTATGTTGGGTTTTCATTTCCACTTGTGAAACTTGCTAATTTTTAAATTAATTAATTCAACAAATAGTTATTAAGTATACACTCTATAGCAAGGACTGTACTGGGTCCTGGAAATACAAGGGAGAACAAAGCCAGACACTAGAGATCATAGTCCAGTGAAAGGAGCAGACAAATTTTTAAATTATGTAAATGGTTAATTAAATAAGTAATAAATGTAATCAAGGAAATGAAATATCTGTACACTGAAAACTATTAAACATTGATGAAAGAAATTGAAGAAGTCACAAATAAATGAAAAGAAATCTTATGTTCATGGATTGGAAGAATTAATATTGTTAAAACGTTCATACTAGCCAAAGAATCTACAGATTCAATGCAATCCCTATTAAAAATTCAATGACTTTTTTCACAGGACCAGAAAAAAACAATACTAAACTTTGCAACCACAGAAGACCCATAATGGCCAAAGCAATTTTGAGAAAGGAGAACAAACTGAAGACATCACACCCCCTGATTTCAAACTATATTACAAAGCTGTAATAATTCAAACATTATGAAATGGCATTAAAAACACATCTACTAATGGAACAGAATAGAGAGCAAAAAAAAAAAAAAAAATCAATGCATTTATGGTTAACAGACTTTTGGTAAAGATGCCAGTAATACAAAATGAGGAAAAGACAGTCCCTTCAATAACTGATGCTAGAAAAGTTGTATACTGACATGTGGAAGAATGAAATTAGAATAATGAACGTTTGTGAGAGTCAAGACAACCCTGGGCTTAAGGCGCCATCTAGTGCTGAAAATGAGGCAGCAATCTAGGAGTAAAGGGATTCAACAAACAATTGTAAAAGACCTCTTAGGAAACATAACCTAGAAAGGCCAAAACAAGAGATGAAGTGAAGATAGGTACAAGTAACTAATCCTTGAAGCATAGGAACTAATCCTATGAAGCCATAGATGTACATCCACAAGAAACAACAGCAAACGAAACTATGACCTCCCCAAGTCAACAAAGCAAGGAGGCAGTGATCAACCCTACCATAATGGCAAAGTGTGAGCTCTCAGATCAAGCATTAAAAATAGCAGTTTCAAGGAAACTCAGAAAACTCCAGGGTAACATGAAAAAGCAATTCACAAATTTATCAGAAAAATATAGCGGAGATAGAACTAATAAAAACAATCAAATGGAAATCCTGGAACTGATAAATACATTTGCTGAGCTGAAAAAATACAATAGAGGCTCTCAACAGCAGAATGAATTGAGCCAAAAAAAAGAATCAGGAAGCTTAAAGATGGACTATTTGAAAATACACAGTCAGAGGAGAAAAAAGAAAAAAGAGTGAAAAAGAATGATGAATACCTACAGGATATACAAAATAACCTCAAAAGAGCAAGTCTAGGAGTTGGTGTTCGAGAGGGAGTTGAGAAGGAGCAAGGTGTAGAAAGCATATTCAAAGTAATAATAATAACAGAAAACTTTCCAAACCTAGAGAAGGACACAAATATCCAGGTACAAGAAGTTCAGTGATCACCAAACAGATTCAATCCAAATAAGACTGCCCCAAGGCATATAACATTCAAACTCTCAAACATCAAGGACAAAGAGAAGATCCTAAGAGCAGCAAGAGAAAAGAAGCAAATAACACGTAAAGGAGCTCTGATTCATCTAGCAACAGATTTCTCAGCGGAAACCATACAAGTCAGGAGGGAGTGGATGACATATTCAACGTCCTGAAGAAAAAAAAACTGTCAACTGAGAGCACCGTACCCAGCAAAGTTTTCCTTCAAACATAAAGAAGAAAGTCTTTCCTAGATAAGCAAAAGCTGAGAGAATTTATCACCACTAGACCTATCTTACAAGAAGTGCTAAGAGGAGTTTTCAATATAACAGAAAGTGATCCTAATATGCAAAAAGAAAACATTTGAAAGTATAAAATTCACTGGTAAAAGTCAGTATATAGACAAATTTGGGATACTGTAATATTGTTAGAGTTGAAAGAGTTGAAAAAAAGATATTCTATGGAAACCATAAAAGAGCAGAAGTAGCTAAGCAGAAGTAGCTATACTTATATTAGTTAAAATAGATTTCAAGTCAAAGACAGTAAAATAAACAGGGTATATATAGTGATAAAAGGATCAATTCAGCAAGAAGATTCAGTAAATATATATGTACCCAACACAGGAGCCCCCAAATATATAAAACAAGCATTAATAGATCTAAAGGGAGAGATAAGACTATAATACAATAATAGTAGGGGACTTCAACACCTCACTCTCAGGAATGAACAAATCATCCATACAGAAAATCAGTAAAGAAACACTGGAGTTACACTACATTCTAGACTAAATGGACCTAACTGACATTTACAGAACATTTCATCTAACTGTTACAGAATACACATTCTTCTCATCAGCACATGGAATATTCTCTAGAATAGGCCATCTATGAGGCTACAAAACAAGTCTTAACAAATTCAAAAGAATCAAAATCATATCAAGTATTTTTTCTGACCCCAGTGGAATAAAACTAGAACTTAGTAACAAGAGGAACTGTGGAAAATATACAAACATATGGAAATTAAATAACATGCTTCTGAATGACCAGTGAGTCAATGAACAAATTAAGAAGGAAATTTCAAAATTTCTTGAAACAAATGCAAATGGAAATGCAACATATCAAAATCTACAGGATACAGCAAATGCAATACTAACAGGAAAGTTTACAGCAACAAGCACCTGCATCAAAAGAGTGGAAAGCTTTCAAATAAACAGCCTAATGATGCACCTCAAGAAACAAGAAAAGCAAGAACAAACCAAACACAAAATTAGTAGAAGGAAATAAATATTAAAAATCAGAGTAGAAATAAAATTGAGACTAAAAAATATTAGAAAAATCAACAAAACAAAAAGCTGGTTTTTTTGAAAAGATAAAATAGACAAAGCTTTTGCTAAATAGAAAAAAAAAAGAGAAAATCCGAGTAATCAGAAACAAGAAAGAAGCCATAAAAATTGATGCCACAGAAATACAAAGGATCATTAGAGACAATTATGAATGACTATATGCCAACAAATTGAAAAACCTAGAAGAAATGGATAAATTACTGGACACATACAAGCAACCAAGATTGAACTATGAAGAAATAGAAAATCAAAGAAAAGCCTGGGCCCAGATAGCTTCACTGCTGAATTCTACCTAACATTTAAAGAAGAACGAATACTAATTCTACTCAAACTACTCCAAAACATTAAAGAGGAAGGAGTACTTCCAAACTCATTCTATGAAGCCAGTGTTACACTGATACCAAAACTAGACAGATAAGAGCAACACTAAAAAAGAAATCTGCAGGCCAATATCCCTGATAAAAATAGATGCAAAAATCCTCAACAAAATAACAGAATACAACAACACTTTAAAAAGATCATCCACCATGATCAAGTGAGGTTCATCCCAGGATTGCAAGGATGATTCAACATATGTCAATCAATAAATGCAGTACATCACATTAAGAGGATAAAGGACAAAGACCATATGATCATTGTAATAGATGTTGAAAAAACATTCAACAAAATTCAACATCCCTTTATGATTAAAAAAAAAAACTCTCAACAAACTGGGTTTAGAAGGAACATACTTCAAAACAATAAAGGCCACATATGACAAAGCCACAGCTAACATTGTACTAAATGAAGAAAAATGGAAAGTCCTCTAAGATATGGAACAAGACAAGAATGTCCACTTTCACCACTTTTATTCAACATAGTGCTGGAAGTCCTAGCCAGAGAAATTAGGCAAGAGAAAGAAGTAAAGAACATTCGGTTGGAAAGGAAGAAGTCAAATTTCTTGTTTGCAGATTACATACTAGTACATTTGGAAAACCCTAAAGACTCCATCAAAAAAAAGTTTAGATTTGGTAAATGAATTCAATAAAGTTACTGGATAGGAAATCAACATACAAAAATTAGTAGCATTTATGTACACCAACAAAGAACAATATGAAAAAGAAGTCAACAAAGCAATCCCATTTACAATAACTACAAAAAAAAATAAGAATAAATTTAACTAAAGAAGTGAAAGATCTCCACAAGGAAAACTATAAAACATTGATGAGGCCATGGATGGTCTCATGTCTATAATCCCAGCACTTTGGGAGGCCAAGGATTGCTTAAAGCCAAGAGTTCAAGACCAGCCTGGTCAACACGGTCAGACACTGTCTCTACAAATAATATAATAATAATATTAATAATAACAAAAATAAGTTAACTAAGCATGGTGGCTCATGTCTGTAGTCCCAGCAACTTGAGAGGCTGAAGCAGAAGGATCACTTGAGCCCAGGTGTTTGAGGCTGCAGTGACCTATGATCATGCCACTACATTCCAGCTTGGGTGACAGAACAGGATCCCATCTTAAAAACAAACAAAAAACACTGTGGAAAGAAATTGAACAGGATACAAAAAATGGAAAGATATCCCATGCTTATGAGTTGGAAGAATTAATATTGGTAAAATGTCAATACTCCCCAAACTAATCTACAGATTCAATGTAATCTCTATCAAAATACCAACAACATTCTTCACAGAAAGAAAAAAACTCCTAAAATTTGTATGAAACCACAAAAGGCTTCAAGTAGCCAAAGCAATCTTCAGCAAAAAGAATAAAGCTGGAGGCATCATACTAACAAACTTTAAAATATACTACAAAGCCATAGTAACCAAAATAGCTTGGTACAAGTGTAAAATAAACACATGAGTCAATGGAATAGAGTAGAGAACCCAGAAATAAAATTGTGCATTTATGGCCATTTCATTTTCAATTGAGGCATTAAGAGCAGACATTGGGAAAAGGTATCTCTTCAATAAATGGTGCTGGGAAAACTGGATAATCATTTGCAGAAAAATTAAACTAGACGCTATCTCTCAGCATATACAAAATCAAATCAAAATGCACTAAAGACTTAAACATAAGACCTGAAACAATGAAACTAGTAGAAGAAAAACATGGAGGAAATGCTTCAGGACATGGGTCTGGCAAAGATTTTTTAGTGTAAGACTGCAAAAACACATGAAGCAAAAGCAAAAATAGACAAATGGCACTATATCAAGCTAAAAAAACTGCGCAGCAAAGGAAACAATCACCAAAGTGAAGAGATGACCTGCAGAATGGAGAAAATATTTGCAAACTATCCAGTTGACTAGAGACTATATATAAGTAACTCAACAGCAAGAACAAAACAAAACAAAATTGGAAAAAACCCTAAAACTCCCAAATAATCCAATTAAAAAATGGGGAAAAGATCTGGGTAGACATTTTTCAAAAGAAGGCATACAAATTGCCTATAGGTATAGGAAAAAATGCTCAACAGCACTGATCATCAGGAAAATGTGAATCAAAGCCACAATGAGATATTGTCTCACTCCAATTAAAAAGGCTTTTATCAAAAAGATAAAAAATAACAAATGCTGGTGAGCATAAAGAGAAAGCTGAACACCTGTACAATGTTGGTGGGAATGTAAATTAATATAGCCATGGAAGACAGTATGGAGGTTCCTCAAAAACTAAAAATAGAAATACTGTATGATCCAGCAATCCCACTGCTGGGTATACATGCAAAAGAAAGAAAATTAGTATGTTGAAGAGCTATCTGCACTCCCATTTTTATTTCAACATTATTCACAATAGTCAAGATATATAATCAACTTAAGTGTCTTATCAGTGGATGAGTGGATAGAGAAAATGTGATGCAAATACACAATGGAATATTATTTAGCCATAAAAATGAAATCCTGTCATCTGTAGCAACACAGATGGAATTGGAGGTCATCATGTTAAGTGAGATAAACCAGGTACAGAAACACAAATAGTCCACGCTCTCACTCATATGTGGGAGCTAAAATGGCGGATCTCATGGAGGTGGAGAGATGATTGGTGGTTACCAGAGACTGGAAGATGTTGGAGGAGGTGGGATGTAAAGAGAGGTTGTTTAGTGTGTACAACAAACAGCTAGAAGGAATAAGATCTAGTGTTTTGTAGCACAGCAGGTTGACTATAGTTCACAATAATTTGTTTTATAGTTCCAAATAGCTGGAGGAGAGGAACTGGAATGTTCCCAACATAAAGAAGGAGTGAATGTTTGCGGTGATAGATATCCCAATTGCTCTGGTTTGATCTTTACAATTATATGCATGAATCACAATACCACATGTATTACCAAAATACATACAACTATTATGTAGCTATTAAAAGTTGTAAAAAAATAAGTAGGAGGTAGAAAAATATACCATGTTTTGCTTGAGATAGGAAAAACCAAATTTTTTTTCACTCTTACCCTCATCACAATACAGAAAATTTCTGTGATCAAAATATGTGGGGATTTCTCCCCACAGCAAACAATTCTCCGGCAGACATTAACTGGGTGTCCCACAATTCAATTTACTTCTGACACCATCTACCTGCAGTTAGAGTCAGGCCAACCGGCTAATGGTTCAGTTCCACAAGACTGCTCCTCACTGCAAACAGCAATTGCAAGTAGTAGGTTGTCATCTATACTTCTGACTGACTATAAGCTGCAGTTCCCAAAACCCTCTCCTCAGATTTGATTAATTTGCTAAAATGGCTCACAGACCTCAGAAAAACACACTTACCAGTTTATTTTATTAATAAGAGATATGATAAAGGATACAGATGAACAGCCAGATGAAGAGATATATAGGGGAAATTCTAGAAGGGTTCCTAGTGCAGGAGCTTCTGTCCCCATGGAGTTGGGGTGCACCACCCCTCCTGGCACATGGATGTGTTCACAACTGGGAAGCCCCTTGAACCTGTAGTTCAGGGATTTTTATGGTGGCTTCATCATGTAGACATGACTGATTATTAACTCAATCTCCAGCCTTTCTCCTATCCTAGGAAATGGGGGCTGAAAGTTTCAAGCTTCTAATCATGGCTTGGTCTTTCAGGCATCCGCCCCCATCCAGCAGCCCACCAAGAGTTGCCTCATTAGAACAAAAGATGCTCCTGTCATCTGGGCAATTACAAGAGTTCTAGGAACTCTGTGTCAGGAACTAGGGACAAATATGAAAATACATATTTTCTCATTATAAATCACAATATAATACTTGCTAATAATAACCAAACAAACCTGAAATGTTATATTAATTCTAAATGAAGTAGATATAAGTGCCAAGGATATTACCATTGATAAATATGGTATTTTCATAACAATAAAGGGATCAATTCATCAAGAAGATGTAATAATCCTAAATGTTTCTACTCCTAGTAATAAGGTTTTCAAAATACATAAAGTAGAAACTGAAAGAACTTCAAGCAGAAATGGACAAGTTCACAATTATATTTGAAAATTTCAATACCTCATTTTCATTAATTTATAGAACAACTGGACAAAAAAACAAGCAAGATTTTAGAAGACTTGACTAATACTATCAGCCAACTTGACCTAATTTAATTTATTTAAAGAACTCTAAGCTTTGGACAAAGGCGCACAATAATTAATTGGAAAATAATAGTATTTTCAACAAGTGGTGCCATGACAACTGAGTTTCTAAATTTTGGTTGGACTCCTACCTCATACCGTATGGAAAACATAATTCAAAATGGCTTGTACACCTAAATATAAAAGATTAAATTATAAAACTCTTAGAATAAAGTTATGGAGTTAATTTTCATAGCTTTGGATTAGGCAACAACTTTGTAAATACAACACCAAAAGCATAAGCAACATGAGAAAAATAAGTTGGTCTACATCACAATGAAAAACTTTTGTGCTGGCTGGGCACAATGGCTCACGCCTGTAATTCCAGCACGAGGCGGGTGGATCACCTGAGGTCAAGAGTTCGAGACCAGCCTGGTCAACATGGTGAAACCCCATCTCTACTAAAAATACAAAAATTAACTGGGTGTGATGGTGGGCGCCTATAATCTCAGCTACTCGGGAAGCTGAGGCAGGAGAATTGCTTGAACCAGCCAGGCACAGTGGCTCATGTCTGTAATCCTAGCACTTTGGGAGGCTGAGGTGGGTAGATTACAAGGTCAGGAGTTCAAGACCAGCCTGGACAAGACGGTGAAACCCCGTCTCTACTAAAAATACAAAAATTAGCCAGGTGTGATGGTTGGCGCCTGTAATCCCAGCTACTCAGGAGGCTGAGGCAGAGAATTGCTTGAACCCGGGAGGTGGTGGCTGCAGTGAGCTGAAATCGTGCCACTGCACTCCAGCCTGGGTGACAGAGCAAGAGTCCGTCCCAAAAAAAAAAAAAGAATTGCTTGAACCTGGGAGGTAGAGGCTGCAGTGAGCTGAGATCATGCCACTGCACTCCAGCCTGGGTGGCAGAGTGAGACTCTGTCTCAAAAAAAAAAACAAAAAAAACAAACAAAAAACACACACAACAAAAAAAAAACAGCCCACTTTTGTGCTACAAATGGCTGGGCGCAGTGGCTTACACCTGTAATCCCAGCACTTTGGGAGGCCAAGGCAGGCAGATCACTTGAGGAGTTTGAGACCAGCCTGTCCAACATGATGAAACCTTGTCTCTACTAAAAATACAAAACTTAGCCAGGCGTGGTGGCACATGCCTATAATTCCAGCTACTTGGGGGGTTGAGGCAGAAGAATCACTTGAGCTTGGGAAGCAGAGGCTGCAGTGAGCCAAGATCACACCACTACACTCCAGCCTGGGTGACAGAGCGAGACTCCATCTCAAAAACAAAAAACGAAAAAAACCCCAAACTTTTGTGCTGCATACAATATCATCAAGAAATTTTAAAAGGCAACCCACAGAATACAATCAAATATTTGCTAATATATATCTATTAAGAAATTCATATTCTGAATGTATAAAGAATTCTTACAATGTAATAATAAAAAAAGCAAATAACCCAATTTTAAATGGGTTAAATGTTCCAAATGGACAGTTCTCCAGAGGAAATGTAAAAGTAGCCAATAAGCACATAGGAAGATGCTAACATTACTATTTATTAGGGAAATGCAAAACCACAATGAGACCACTTCACACCCACTGGGATGGCTGTAACTAAAAAGACAAGTGTTGTTGAGGATGCAGAGTGATTGGAAACCTCCTACATTGTTGGTGGGAATGTAAACGGTGCAGCTGCTGTGGAACACAGTTTGGCAGTTCTCAAAAAAGTTAAACATAGAATTCCTATACGACTCAGCAATTCTATTCCTAGGTCAATACTCAGAAGAGATAAAAACATATGTCCACACAGAAATTTGTACATAAATGTTCATAGCAACATTATGCATAATAGCAAAAAATGGAAACAACTTAAATCTCCATCAACTAAAGAATATATAAATAAAATGTATATCTGTGTAATGGACTATTACTCAGCAATAAAAGGAAATAAAGTATTGATACATGCTACAACACAGATGTTCCTTAAAAACATTATGCTAAGAGAAAAAGCCAGTCCCAAAAGACCACATATTGTATTCCATTTATATGAAATGTCCAAAATAGGCAAATCCATAAAAACAAAAAGTAGTGATTGCCTAGGGCTGGGAGGATTAGAAGGAAATGGGAAGTGGCTGCAAGTGGCTATGGGGTTTCTTTTTGAGGTGATGAAAATATTCTGAAATTAGATAGTGGTGACAGTTGCACCACCTTGTGAATATACTGAAAACCACCAAATTGTACACTTTCAATGGGTAAATTTTGTTTTTACATAATATGTGAATTATATCTCAATTTTTAAACTGTAGAAACAGAAAGAAGTTAAAATAGTGGTTGCTTAGGACTGGGATAGCCAAGGGAATTGGATGATAATGGGTATGGGATGTTGTTTAGAGGGGAATTAAAATATTCTAAAATTAATTTGTGGTGATGGTTACACAACTCTGTGAATATAAACATTAAACTCTGTGTGATTTTTATTGCTTATGACTTATATCTTAATAAAGATATTTTAAAAAAACACTCACCAAGCAACAGCAGGATATACTTTTTTTTCTTTTTCAATTTCACATGGAATATTCACCACACTAACCATATTCTGGGCCATTAACAACTCTCAATAAATTTAAAAGATTTCAAATAAGTTTGTGCTTTGACTATAATGGAATTCTATTAGAAATTATTTTAAAAGATACTTTTATAATTCCCAAATGAAACACCTTACTGAAAATGTATTCTACAAAATAATGGCTGAAGAATTTCCAAATTTAGCAAAAGACATATACATTCATATTCAAGAAACAGCGACCGTCAAACAGGATAAACCAAAGATCCATGAAGACATCATAGTCAAACTTCTGAAAACTAAAGAAAAAAAGAATGAAATGTGTAAGAAATTACACTTACTCTATAAGAAAAGCAATTCAAGTGAGAACAGATTTCTTATCAGAGGTTACGGAGGCTATAAGAAAGTGGAACAATATTTTTCAAGTACTGAAAGAAAAGAACTGTTGATTCAGAATTCTATATCCAGGACAATATTATTCAGGAAAGAAGGACAGCAGAAAAAATATAGTAATGCGCTATCAGACAAAGTAGACTTTAGGGTAAATGAAATTACCAGGAAAAAAGAGGGAAATTACACAATAATAAAAGGGTCAACCCACCAAGAAGACAGAGCAATTCTAAATGTGTATGCACAAAGCTACCGAAGGGCAAAATATGTGAAGACAAAACTGATAGAACTAAAAGGAAAAATAGTCACACAGTTATTGGTGATTTTAACATTATACTCAGCAGTTGATAGAATACCTAGATAGAAAATCAGCAACGATATAGAAGAGCTCAAAAAACCATGAACCAGCAGGAAAAGCATTTGCTCAACACCAAACAACAGAGTATACATTCTTTTCTTTTTTCTTTTTTTTCTTTTTTTAATTTTTTTTTTTGAGATGGAGTTTCACTCTTGTTGCCCAGGCTGGAGTGCAGTGGCGTGATCTTGGCTCACTGCAGCCTCGGCTTCCTGGGTTCAAGTGATTCTTCTGCCTCAGCCTCCCAACTGGCTGGGATTACAGGCACCCGCCACATGCCCAGCTAATTTTTTTGTATTTTTAGTAGAGATGGGGTTTCACCATGTTGGCCAGGCTCGTTTCGAACACCTGACCTCGGATGATCCACATGCCTTGGCCTCCCAAAGTGCTGGGATTACAGGTGTTAGCCACCGTGCCTGCCCTATACATTCTTTTCAAGCAGCCACAGATCATATACCAAGATAGACTATACCCTGGACTATTTTTAAAAGTCAATAAATTTAAAAGAATTGAAACCACATGATGATTGACCAAAATGGAATCAAACTAGAAACCAATGGAAACAAATAGCAGAAAGAGAAAGGAAATAACAGGGTAATCTTTAAGCACTGGAAACTAAGCAACTGACTCTAAATACTATAATCTGCAGGTCAATGAGGAAGGCTCAATGGAAATATATATATGTATATATATATATATATATAATATATATTGCAGTGAATGAACATGATGAAAATGAAAATACAATATACCATAATTTATGGGACTCAACTAAAGCAGCTCTGAAAGGGAAATTTATAGCACTTAATGTTTACATCAGAAAAGAAGTCTCAAATCAGTAATCAAACTTCTCACCTTAGGAAACTAGAAAAGGAGGAACAAAATAAACCCAAAGCAAGCATAAGAAAATATATAATAAACACAAGAAATCAATGAAATTAAAAAAAAATAGCTGGGTGGATATTACCATGGCTCATGCCTGTGATCCCAGCACTTCAGGAAGCTAAGGTGGGAGGCTTGCTTGAGCCAAGGAGTTCAACACCAGCCTGGGCAACATAGTAAGCCTGCCTCTCTACAAAAAAATTAAAAATTAGCTGGGTGTAGTGGCATGTGCCTGAAATTCCTGCTACCTGGGAGGTTGAGATGGGAGGATTGCATGAGCCTGAGAGGTCGAGGCTACAGTGAGCTGTGATTGCACTGCACCCCAGACTGGACAACAGAGTGAGACTCTGTCTCAAAAAAAAAAACAAAGAAAAGAAAAAGAAAAAAAACAAAAAGAAAAAAGAAAAAATCAATGAAGGAAAAGTTTTTTTAAGAAAGATCAATAAAATTGACAAAACTCTGGCAAGACTGACAGAAAAAGAGAAGACACAGGTTACCAATGTCAATAATGAAACAGAGATATTGCTACAGAGCCTGCAGGTGAAAATAAGAGAATACTAAAAACAACTCTACATATAAATTTGACAAATTGAAGGGACCAATTCTCTGAAAGGCACAAATTACTGCAACTCATCTAATATGGAATAAATAATTTGAATAGCATTGTAAATATTAAGGAAATGGAATTTATAATTCTAAGACATCAGAAAAAGAAATCTTCAGGCCCAGATGGTTTCACTGGAGAGTTTTGCCAAACATTTCAAGAATTAACATCAATTCTACACAATCTTTTCCAGAAAATAGAAGAGAAATGAACATTCTCAATTCATTTTACAGAGTTAATATACCCACTACCAAAACCACACAAAGTCCGTTAAAAAAAAAGAGAAAATGACACATTAATATCTCTTATAAATATAGATGCAAAAATACTCACCAAAATATCAGTAAGTCAAATCTAACAATATGTAAAAAGTGTTAACACCATAACTATGCAAGCCTGGTTCAACATTTGAAAATCAATGTAATCCACAATATCAACAATCTAAAGAAGAAAAATCATACAGTCATATCAATTGGTGCATAAAAAAGATGCATAAAATTTTATACACATTCCATGATAAAAATTCTCTGTAAACTCCTCAACTTGATAAAGAACATCTAGAAAAAAACCCTACAGCTAATATCATACCTAGTGATGAGAAACTAGATAGCTTTTCTCTGAAGACTGGAAGAAAGGTAAAGATATCATCTCTTGCCATTTTATTCAAGTTCATGCTGGACATTCTAGCTTTACAATAAGATAAGAAAAGGAAATAAAATCAACCTGCATACCTTTTATTAGAAAGGAAGAAACAAAACTGTCTTTATTAGCTAATGACATGAATGTATAGCTATGTAGAAAATCCCAAGAATTGAAAAACATCTGCTAGAACTGATAAGTAAATATAGCAAAGTTGAAGGATTCAAAGTTAATGTACAATAGTTGATTGCTTCTATTGCCAGCAATGTACAATTGGAATTCAAAATCTTAAAAAACATTTATAATAGTACCAATATAATGAATTACATAAGTATAAGTCTAACAATGTATGTATAAAATCTAAATGTGGAAAACAACAGAACTCTGATAAAAGAAATTAAAAATCTAAATAAATGGAGAGTTAGTCCATGTTCATGGATTGAAAGAGTCATACTGTTAAGATGTCAGATCTTCCCAGCATAATCTATAGATTAAGATGAAACCCCAGTCAATATCTCAGCAGCTATTTTGTGGTAACCAACAAACTGATTCTACAGTTTGTGTGGAAAATACAACACCACTTAAAATCACTTTAACAATGAAATACCTAGATGCAAATCTAATAAAACATGTATAGGACTTGTATGTCAAAAACTACAAAATACTAATGAAATAAATCAAAGAAGATCTAAATAAATGGTGAGATACATGTTCACAAGATAGGAAGACTAACCACAGTAAAGATGTCAGTTCTCCTTAAATTGATATATAAATTTACTGTGAATCCAGCAAGAGTTGTGATAAATATAGATAAAATTCTTCAAAAAGGCAACAGACTAGTAGCTTGACAAGAGAATAAAATGGGAGGAATCACTTTACCATACATTAAGACTTATTATATAACAATAATAAGACAAGACAATATCTCTCATCTCAGCAAGACAGAGACATATTGCTGGAGGGATAGACACAGATCAATAAAACACAATGGAGAATTCAAAAATATTTCCACAGCAATATATTTAACTGATTTTTGAGGAAGGTGTTATAGCAATTCAATGGAGGAAAGATAATCTCTTCAACAAATGATGCTGGAGCAATTGAACATCCTTAGGTAAAAATATAAACCTTGACCTAAATCTCATACAAAAATTGTAAAAATTAACTCAGAGTGAATCATGAACTTAAATGTAAAATAAAAAGCTATAAAACTTTAACGAAAAAACATAGGAGAAAATTTGGGATCCAGAGCTAGACAAAGAGTTATTTGACACCAAAAGCAAAATCCATAGTAAAAAAATCAATAAATTGTTTCTCTAAACTTGATTTCAATTAAAATAAGACTTTTGTTCTTTGAAAGCTCATATGAAGAGGATGGAAGAATTAGCTACAGTGTACGGGATTGGGGGATATTTGCAAACCAAGTGTCTTATAGAGGACTGGTATCTAGAATAAATAAACAATTCTCAAAACTCAACAGTTAAAAAGATTGAACAATCCAATTAAAAAATGTGAAAAAGACATGAAGAGACATGTCCCCAAAGAAGATATACAGATGGCAAATAAGCACATGAAAAGATGTTCAACATCATGAGGAATTAGGGAAATACAAATTAAACCACAATGACATATCACTACACACCTATCAAAATGACTACAGTAAAAAATAATGACAATATCAAATGCTAACAAGAATGCAAAGAAACTGGATCTATTATAAATTGATGGAGAGGATGTAAAATGTTACAGCTACTTTGGCAAATATTTTGGCAATTTCTTAATAAACCAAACATGTACTTACCATGCAGCCCAACAATTGCACTCCTGGGACTTATCTCAGAAAAATGATAACCTATGTCCACACAAAAACGTATACACGATTGTTCATAACAGCTTTGTGTGTAATAGCCAGAAACCAGAAGCAACCACAATGTTCTACAATAGGTAAATGGTTAAACAATGTGTGCTACCTACATACCACGGAATACTACTCAACAATAAAAAGGAGTGAACTATTGATACATACCCAGTTTGGATGGATCTCAACGGCATATGCTGAGTGAAAAAAAAGCCAATGTCAAAAGGTCACATACTTTGATGATTAATTTTGAGTGTCAACTTAACTGAATTAAGGGATACCCAGATAGCTGGTAAAGCATTATGTATTCTCAGTGCTTCGGTAGGCACTGAGCCCATCTCTCTTCTGCTGAAGGGGAGACTAGGTGGTTTCACTTTTAATTAGAATGATTGGGCTGATCCAAGTGTGTCTGTGAGGTGTTTCCAAAAGAGATTGGCATGTGAGCTGGTGGACTGAGTGAGAAAGATCTGCTCTTACTGTGGGTGGGCATAATTCAATCAGCTGGGGACCTAGATGGAACAAAAAGGTGGAGGATTTCAGCAAATTTCCTCTCTCTCTCTTTTGGAGCCAAGATTCCCTTTTTCTCCTGCACTTGGACATCAGAACTCCAGGTTGTCTGGCTGTTGGACTCTGGGACTCACACCAGTCCCTCCCGCCAGGCTCTTGGGCCTTTGGCCTCGGACTGAGAGTTACACTATTGGCTTAGTTTGTTCTGAGGCTTTTAGACTTGGACTGAGCTGTGCTAACAGCTTTCCTGCTTCTTCAGCTTGCAAACAGCATATTGTGGGATTTCTCTGCCTCCATAGTCAAGCAAGCCAATACCCTTAATAAATTTCTTTTTATATCTCTCTCTTTATATCCTATCACTTCTGTCTCTCTGGAGAACACATACTATGTGATGCCATTATATAACACTCTTCAAATGACAAATTATAAAGATAAAAAACAATCAGTGGTCTCCAGAGGTTAGAAATGGTGGCA
This sequence comes from Homo sapiens, assembly GCF_000001405.40. Taxonomy (NCBI): domain Eukaryota; kingdom Metazoa; phylum Chordata; class Mammalia; order Primates; family Hominidae; genus Homo; species Homo sapiens. Next base: position 61,621,216 of record NC_000017.11, on the reverse strand, counting down.
GGGAGGGAAATGGGTATAAAGATGTAGCATGAGGAAGATCTTTTTAGTGATGGACTTGGAATCATTCTGTATCTTTATTGCAGTGGTGGTTACATGAATCTACATATGTTATAAAATGGCATAGAACTGTACATACACTTCATGTCAATGTTAGTATTCTGGTTTTGGTATTTTACTATAATTATATAAGATGTAACTGGGAATCAGTTTGTTGGTAACCACAAAATAGCTGCTGAGATATTGACTGGGATTCCATCTTAATCTATAGATTATGCTGGGAAGATCTGACATCTTAACAGTGTAACTCTCAATCCATGAACATGGACTATCTCTACATTTATTTAGATCTTTGATTTCTTTTATCAGAGTTCTGTGGTTTTCCACATTTCATATTACAGATGAAACTGTAATAGAGGAAAGTGGGATATACAGGACCTCTGTGTTCTATCTTTGCAACTTTCTATGAATCTGTGAGTTTTAAAAAATAATCCATGATTATTTAAAAGGTAATCAATGTAATCATCCTATTAATAGTCTAAAAAAGAAAAATCATGCATCTATCTCAATAGATGCAGAAAAAGCACTCGGGCCAGGCACGGTGGCTCATGGCTGTAATCCCAGCACTTTGGGAGGCCAAGGCAGGTGGATCATGAGGTCAGGAGATTGAGACCATCCTGGCTAACATGGTGAAACCCCATCTCTACTAAAAATACAAAAAATTAGCCAGGTGTGGTGGCAGGTGCCTGTAGTCCCAGCTACTTGGGAGGCTGAAGCAGCAGAATGGCATGAACCCGGGTGGGGGAGCTTGCAGTGAGCCGAGATCATGCCACTGTACTCCATCCTGGGCAACAGAGCAAGACTCTGTCTCAAAAAAAAAAAAAAAAAAGCTCTTGGAAAATTCACCATCCATTTACTTTCAATAAACAAGCTGAAAAAGGGATTTATGAAAAACCTACAGCCACTAGCATGCTTAATTATGGTGAAAGATTAAATGCTTTCCCCTTATATCAGAAACAAAGTAAGATGTCTGCCATCATCACTTCTATATGACATTGTACTGGAAGCCATAGCCAGTGCAACAAAGGAAGGGGAAAAAAAGTCATACAGATTGGAAAGCAATAAGTAAATCTGTTTTTATTCATAGACAACATGATCACCTATGTAAAAAAATCCTAAGGAATCTGCCAAAAAGCTACTAGAACTAATCGGTGGGTTTAATAAGGGTTCATGATACACAGTCAATGTACAAAAATAAATTATATTTTTTATATAGTAGTATTTATTTTAGTGTTGGACTGCTGGTAATCAATTCTTCCAGTGTTTAATTGTCTGAAAATATTCTTTCACATTCATTTTTGAAAGATATTTTCACTGAGGATAGAATTCTAGGTTGGAGTTACTATCTTTAAGCACTTTGAAAATAACAATCTATTGTCTTCTGACTTCCATTGTTTACATTGAAATGTCATGTGTCCTTTCCTCTGACTACTTTTAGGATTTTTCTCTTTGCCTTTGATTTTTAACACTTTACTATGATTTTACTAGTGTACGATTTTTTATGTTTATTGTTCCTGGGGTATGTAGCAGTTCCTGAATATGTGGCTTGATATATTTTCTGAGTTTCTAAAATTCTCAGGCATTGTCTCTTCAAATATTGTTTTGGCCCATTCTTCCTCTCCTCTCCTTCTGGGACTCCAAAATGAGTCTGCAAACCTGTGTACCTGACTTATTCTTGTTCACTGGAAGAAACTGACTCCAAATACCCTTATCTCTCTATATTAATATTTTGTAGACTTTTATGCCATAAATGTGCTACATATTATAAAGAAAATAACTCCTTTCTTGCGGTTGGGCACTGGAGTTTCTGAATATCTTTCAAAGAACAAGTATAACATTTCTTTATTTGATTTTTACCTTCTTGTGAATTAAACAAATGCTTTTGCTTTAAAAGAAAAAGCATCAATCTCAAATACTGTTTTGATACTTAAACTGTATTTTATAAGCATTAACTTCTATTCACCCACACTTATGGAAAAAGTCTGTATCCTTCATTTATTAATAACAGCCAGAGATATATGGTTGTGGATGCATATTTCTGTTTCAACTTTTGTTTGAGCAGCTTCCAAAACATCATCCTATAGGTTTTTGGAATCCGTGCCAAGTTCAGTTCAGATTAAGTTTCTTTGTTAGAATTGCTTTTTAAAGCATCTGGATCAGAAATCATATACTTCTGCTGCATAGCAAAGAAACATTTGGAAATCATCAGGGACATTATAATAGAGGATGAATAGTATTGTATGTTTTTTCTCAGGGTAGGTAAAGGCTACAACAAAAAAGAATTTTATTAAGAATTTAGAAAATGCTAGGTTGATATTGTTAAAATATTTTAAGCAGCTGATAGCTTGCTTTCAAAATGATAATATTGTACATACTATTTTTCCTAAAGCTACTATGGAATATTTCTGAGTAAAGGCAGTAATTTCTTCCTTTTACCTATTTTCAATGCTACAGACACACACACACACACACACACACACACACACACACACACACACACACACACACACAGAGAGAGAGAAGGAGAGAGAGAGATTAAGAAGGTATGCAGGTTAAACATTTTTAGCTTAACATCATAATTTTCCTTTTGTTTTTGTTTTTCCCCAGATTTGAAGCAGAGACCTAAATGATTCTTTATATCATTTCAACAAACAGCATTTGTTTGAGTAAAGAGGTTGTCTTAGGTTTGGTTTATATTTCACTGGACAACAATAATCTATCTACTCCCCTAAATAGAAAGACCTATCTTAAAAAAAATCTCCAAGAGAAACCTTCAGTTTCTAAAATAGTAGTACATTGTGTCATATTCATAAGTGGGCCAGAATTTCAAAATGAATCTCAGAACTGCTGTACTTATTAAATAAATCTGAATATATGGTTTTTAGGCTCTCTAATAGTTTCCAAAATGATTGATAGGTTTTGGAGGGATCATTTGATTATGCCATATATAGCCATGAGAAGATACATTTAGGTTGTGGTCTAGAAACCTAAATGATTTAGTAAGCTCCGTACTGTAGAACTAGAAGAAAATATTTCTTTTTCTGATTGGAGGGTAACCTTTGTCATGCTCCCTTCTGTGTTTAGAAATAACTTTTTCCTCCATGTTCACCTCAAAAGGATGGTGTGAGCCTATGAAATCATCATGGTACAACACAACCTAAATGTACCTTCTCTTGCCTATACATGGGGTAATAAAATGATCTCTCCAAATTTCATCAATCATAAAATCATATATTAATCATCTGGGTGCTAATTAAAATGTTTGTAGCTTTTGTAAACCAGATCCTTCATATTGTTAGAGCTGTTTTTCCAAAATCTCTAATACATATTTATTTCTCTTTATCTTGCTAGCAAGAAGATAGTAGAGGAATGGTGGACAGATTCTTTGAGGGGTAAGAAAATGCACTTTTGCTTCTTTATAGCCTATCTTATCTGCACGTTAAAGACAGAGCTAAAATGTGGTGTGTGAAATATATGTAGCAATGAAGTTTTTATTGATTGATATGTATGGCTTTGTGCAGCTGAATACTGCTGGTAGGAGTTACTGGCGTATGTAATACATTATCTTATTACACTCATTTTATGGAAGCTGATCCTGATGGGACAGTGGAAGGAGAGCTTACTCTGGCTTTCTGGAAAAGCAATTAATCCTACTGCTTATGTAGTAACCATGTCTTGGATCGCACTGGTGTGCTGGCACCCTTTCTCCTTTTATTAAAACAAAAATGCAGCTGCTGACCAGAAGTGCGGCTCTCCAAGTGGGGCTTTCATCATGTTGGTAAGAGATTCATATCCAGGGTTGACATCATTTCAGTTATGGCCTTTTCATTATTAAAGTTTGGAATTTCAAGTTTGTTTATTAAAGATTTAAAGCTATAGGTTAAATCACCAAATTGAAATCCACTTATTTTCCTATACTATGATAAGTGGATAAGGTGTGCTGGAAAATATGTTTTTCAGATTTTACCACCAGATGAATTATTTAAATTGTGAAATGCATTGTATCAGAAAGGAACTGACCTTTTTTTTTCCTGAATCTTCAGCATTTCTTTTTTATAAGTAACTTTCACATCCCTCAGTTTCTAGTAAGTGCATTTAGCAAATGTTTTAGAACTGTTGACTATTAAGTGTTAGTAAAAATAGTGGTGAGGACTTTTACTTAGTCCTTGTGGCAACTTTACTGTATGTTTCATCCGTTTCTCATCCATCTTTAAAATTGATAATTCTTTGAGACATGTGGAATTCACCAATGTTTATGATGATTTTTAACTCTCAGTACAGTCTTGTGCTCAAGGGCTCTCTGAATTTGTAATCCAACCTTTTTCATGCTGGCACTGCATCTTTTATTGCAAAAACAAAAATTAGCAGAATGCTTTTTATCTAGAGTTTAATGTAAATTCTATTTTAAATAGCAGAATTCGTATTGTATAGTTGACAAAGACAATTTTATAAAGACATTCATGAAACAGAAAGTTCATATTCTAAAATTTCTAGTGTTTTGAGTTCTTGGCATTTTAGCTCTTGCTTTCCCATTAAGTCATAGTCTGTTTGGTTTCACTTTTGACCTCTATAAAAATTATTGTAATAAAGACCTTTGAATACATACACGATGGCTTTTATTTTCATGCCCTGTGCATTCTGCGTATGTATTATTAGTAGGTAATAATTTGGGTTTTTAAAAATTTGTTTTGTTAAAATGAAAGTAACTTTAGAAAAAGCAATTGGTGTAATGGTTGTGACATCACTGACATCTTTTCTTTAAAAACTATTTAAATTGTTTAGTTACACATTGCAGGAAGCAGAGTAGAAATAAATCCAAAAGTTTACAATTCTTGAAATAAAAGTGTTTGTTGCTGTCTTTCAACACCCAGTTACCTGATGTCAACCAGGTGTCCTCCAGTTCAATTCAATTCTAACACCAACTACCCAGAGTCACCATCAGACACCACAGGCTTAGGACAAAGTCCTTCATTGCCTCCACTTCAGGTTCCAGTCATAAGTTTTGGGTGTTACCAAATCGCCCACACTTCTGCCCAGCCAGCTACACATTGAGGCTTCCCACAGCTCCCTTGTGTTTTGTGGTTTGCCAGAATGACTCGCAGAACTCAGGAGAGCACTATACTTGAAATAATTGTTTTACTATAAAGGATCTAAATGAACAGTTAGATGAAGAGATAACCAAAACAAGGTCTGGAAGGATCCCAGGCACAGGAGCCTCTATCTCTGTGGAGTCAGGATGTGCCACTAGTATATGGATATGTTCACCAGCCAGGAAGCTTCCCTGAGCCGTGGTGTCCTTACGTTGGCAAGATTGATTAAATCAGCCACCTGATTGAACTCTCCAGCCTCCTCCCCTCTCTGACAGTTGGGCTGGTCAATGTGTCAATCTTTTTTTTTTTTTGAGACGAGTCTCGCTCTGTCGCTCAGGCTGGAGTGCAGTGGTGCGATCTCGGCTCACTGCAAGCTCCGCCTCCCGGGTTCACGCCATTCTCCCGCCTCAGTCTCCCGAGTAGCTGGGACTACAGGCGCCTGCCACCACGCCTGGCTAATTTTTTGTATTTTTAGTAGAGACGGGGTTTCACCGTGTTAACCAGGATGGTCTCGATCTCCTGACTTCATGATCCGCCCGCCTCGGCCTCCCAAAGTGCTGGGATTACAGGCGTGAGCCACCGCACCCGGCCTAATGCTCCAATCTTTTAATCATGTTGTTACTCTTTCTGATGACCGGCCCTCCTCTTGAAACTATCTAGGGGCTTTGCCCAGTCATTTCATTAGCATAATAAAGACACTCCTATCACTCAGGAAATTCCATGGGTTTTTGTCTGTGCCAGGAATCCAGGACAAAGGTCAGATATACATTTTTTATTATATCACAGTTGCCTGTTACAATGGTTACAATGACAAATACTTGTCATTGGAAAAAAAAAAAAACAGATAGTTAGAAAGACAATTCTGATGGAATTTCACATACAGTGGTAATCAGTAGATTAATGACAGTCACTCTGGATAAATCTCATGGGGGAGTTACTTTTTTTTTTCTTTCTGCACCTACATTTAAGGTAAGTTTAAAGATTCGTAATGACTAGTTACTTATTTGATACAGGATCATGGAATGTTCTGGGCTATTCTGGGCACACTGCCTATGGGATAGTCCTGCTCTGCAAGAAGCAGTTAAAAAAAATAAAAAATAAAATAAAAAATAATGTTCTGGGCCAGGCATGGTGGTTCACACTTGTATTACCAGTACTTTGGGAGGCTGAGGCAGGAGGACGGCTTGACCCCAGGAGTTTGAGACCAGCCTGGGCAACATGGTGAAACTCTGTCTCTAGAAAAAATAAAAAAATTAGCCTGGTGTGATGGTGCGTGCCTGTGGTCTGAGCTACTCAAGAGGCTGAGGTGGGAGGATCTCTGGAGCCCAGGAGGTTGAGGCTGCAGTGAGCTGTGATCATGCCACTGCACTTCAGCCTGGGTGACACAGCGAGACCCTGTGTCAAAAGTAATAAATAACAATAATAATAATAATAATAATAATAATAATAATATTCTGATTCCAGTTTTAGATTTTTTTAAAACCTTATACTTCACAAAGGCAATAAGCACCATTCAGGGTACTTGAAATAGGAAGTTTTTACCATAGAAAACTGTTACCATTAGCCAACTTGTATTTAAAATACCTATGTTACTGCAATTTACTAACACAGAGATTAATTTATTTCTTCAGCCACACATTGTTAATGCCAAAATCTCAAATCTGAATATTGACCTTCCATAAGCCTTTGCTCAAAGTACCTATCCACAGTATAGTTCAAATTACAGTATAAAATTTTCTGAAATATTTTGATATTCAAATAGTATAATAATTGCATTACATATATCATATTACTAGATTTTTTTTTACCTTTTGTTAATATTACTCTAACTGGCACAATACATTTCTTTATGAATAATGAATGAATGACACAATTCAGATCTTACAGATACGGAAACTGAACCACCATTCTGTTTTTATTACGAGGGTAAGAATTGAATTTAGTTTTCCTACTAAATTCTATATGTAGTATCAATTACTATACTAGATGTACTTCTCCCAAAATAATCAGAAATCTCAAAGCTTCATAACCTAGGAATGGCTGAGCATTGAGTGGAGATAGGATTGCTAACACCACTATAAAAAATCAAGAATGATTTTTTAAAATCCTCTTTTGTCAGTAACAACCACTTTCTTCCAATGGAACTGGCAAATACTGCAAAATACATTTTCAAGAAATTAGTAGAATTAAATATTTTAAGTAGAGAATGTGATACTTGATTGAAATTATTGCTGTATTTTGGGATAATGTAGACAAACCACTAGAAGAAACGATCAGTTATTTTAGGGAGAAAAATCAATTTAAGATAACCTAAAAAATCTGGCTTTCTTTTTCTTTTCTTTTCTTTTTTTTGAGACAGGGTCTCACTCTGTTGCCCAGGCTGGGGTGCAGTGGCGCAATCTTGGCTTACTGCACCCTCGACCTCCTGGGTTCAAGCAATCCTCCCACCTCAGCCTCCTGAGTAGCTGGGATTATAGGTGCGCGCCACCGCCACCCCACTAATTTTTGTATTTTTAGTAGAGACAGGGTTTCACCATGTTGGCCAGGCTGGTCTCTGAACTTCTTACCTCAAATGATCCACCCTCCTTGGCCTCCCAAAGCGCTGGGATTACAGGCGTGAGCCACTGAACCCAGCCTGTTTTCTAGCTTTCTTTTAAACCAATAAGATAGGAACAAAGTATACTTATTGTTTATATATAAAACTCTAAATTATCAACATATAAAATTATAATATTACATAATTTCTAAAGTATGTTGCATATTTACGATTGTATGTGTATATATATGTACTCATATATATGTACTTGGATATATATATGTGTGTGTGTGTGTGTGCGCATGTGTGTATATATATATATGTACTTGGACAGATAGTATCTCCTGGGAGTGGGAAGAGAAAGAAAAAGAGAAGTTCAGGGTGGTAGGGTGAGTAACAGATAAAATGAAGAAAAAATGAGACTCAGAATAAGTCATAAACAGAAAAGGCAGACAGACAGCTAGTAAAATTGGACTATGAGGGTAACACAAATACAGCTAGATTTTGCTAGATTTTTTTTCTCTTTTTGAGACGGAATATTTGCTCTTGTCCCCCACGCTGGAGTGCAATGGCACGATCTTGACTCACTGCAACCTCTGCCTCCCGGGTTCAAGTGATTCTCCTGCCTTAGCCTTCTGAATAGCTGGGACCACAGTCTCCTGCCACCATGCCTGACTAATTTTTGTATTTTTAGTACAGATGGAATTTCACCATGTTGGTCAGGCTGGTCTTGAACTCCAAACCTCAGGTGATCCACCTGCCTCAGCCTCCCAAAGTGCTGGGATTATGGGCATGAGCCACCACGCCCGGCCCAATATGGCTAGATTTTTAAAAACAGATAAACATTGCTAGAATTTCACAATCAGGTATTTATTGAGTACATACTATTTGCTTAGCACTATGCTAATAAGGGAATAAAGAGGAAGCTTAAGCCATGGCCCCTGGTTTCAAGGAATATAAAATCCACTTGGGATGACCAAATTAACATACATAAAAAACCTGGAGAAATAAGTTATATGGTATTGGTGTGGAATGAGTTAGCTCTTCAAAGGAAGTAGAATTCACAGGTTTTAAACAAAAAGCATGTAAATTCCTTCCTAAAGTTTCATACAATCATTCCTGAAATCAGGTCTTTCTTGTTTCCACTAGGAAATTATAACTTATTTGCTAAAAAGTATATAAGAAGCAGGTCAATTTAATGTTATAACATCACTGCTTTATGTTTTTCTAGAATGTAGCTACTAAAGATTTAAAGCCACGTTTTTGCGACCCTTCCAGCTACTGCTCCAAGAGCCAGATAAAGTTAAGCTGATGTTTTGACTCAAACCCTGATATCAGGCTGGAAGTTTTCTTTCTTCTTTTGTTCCTACCCTTTATGCACTAGGTAAAGAAAAAAATATTAACAGAAATGACCTGCAGAATCCCTTAACTTATCAGTGAGGATAAATTTGCAAGACATAATTTTCTCATATTATTTCAGTACTATTAAAATTATTTCGGATATATCAAAATTTGATAAAGAATTTAAACTAAAATGAACCTGCATTTGGTAAATGGTGTTGTTATTAGCATTGTATAGAGCAAGATTTTTTTACAATAGAGAAGTCCTTTGTGGTCAGTGGGGTATAAAATATGGCTTTAAATGCCAAAGTGTAATGAAATTAAATTTATGTCACTCTATTTTTGCTTTCTTTTCTGTGAACTAATCATGAATCTACTGTGTCACTTGAGTTTGCTTAACAGCTGGTGTTGATGAAAAGATACTGGCCTTAATATATAGTAAGGATGGCTATAATAAACCCAGTACAATATGCTGAAAATTTTTATGAGTCAATTCATAATGTACATGCGAACTTGTCAGAAAAAATCAATACCTTAGTGAACAATAAAGTTGGGGGGGGGGCGGATTCTGAGATCAGAGTTTTTGGACTATTTACCATTTGTCTTTAAGTTTGTAAAAGGTAGCTATTTTAAAATTATATGTGAATCGCATTTGCATATTTTAGCTATTTCGCCCCCAAAACAAATCAAAGATTTGTTTACTAATTTTTTTCCAATCTGATAGCTTCTAGCTGTTAAGAAAAATTGGATATGATGATATTAATTTGCTGTTAACTCATGTTGTACAACACTGCTAAATGACAGTCCATCTGTCAATTTAACGTCACGACATCCCACTTGTTATTTTAATATGTTATGAAGATGAAATGTGTTTTTTAGATATGTTTTACATTTGTACTAAGTAATGGAAAGTACGATATATTATGTGCCTGTGCCCTGAGGAAAGTTTGGAACAAAAATAATTGAAGGTAATAAATCTTACCCCCTTTCCCTCCTTGTTGCCCCTTTCCTGGTATACGTGCTGTATGACTGTATCTCCTGTGTGTAGCAAGCCTTCTAGATAGCGGCAAAGACGGAGACCTATTGTGTGCATTATAGAATAAAACCCAGCCTATTTCCCAAAAGTTTGCTTTGCCCTGGAACACAGACTTAATAAACATTCTCTACGATCAGTTTCATGACTGGATTCCCTTTCCTAAGATTGAACTGTGCTCTTGAATGATGTTGCTATTGAACGTCAGACAAGTTTTTCGAATAATTAGGAACATCTACAAGCTAATAAATCTCTCCTACGGTTTTAATTTGATTGTATACTTGGTAGATGTTTTTGCTTAAGAGGGTGTTGGGGGGATGCATGATTTATAATGTGTTTGGGTGTTTTGTTTAAATTGTCATAGGCAGCTGTGTGGTAAAATTTGGTGCAGAGAAATGATGCAGTTCACATTTGATATATAACTTATTATTATCTTTAATAATGTCTTGATCTTGCCAACATTCCCCAGTGTGAATTTTTACAATTTGAAGATGATTCGCTTTGAGACATATCACTCTAACAACTAGTGTCCCTTACAGTGCTTTGTTTTCATGCGTAAATATACAGCATAATTAATTATTATACAGTATCCTTTCAAAAATGATTACAGAGTTTCACAACTTTTATGTAACATTATCCAGAGTATGTTCAGTGTATGTTTAAATATGACAATATCTCGTGGAAGCAAATTTTTAAACTATTTAAGTGGAATACTTTTCAACAAGAAATAATGATGTGAATATAAACTAATCCAATACATATGAATGTAGCCCAGGCTTGCAATATTGGTTTATCCATTAATTTTCTTAGCCCAGGTGTTTGTTTAGTGGGAAGTCATCTCACGAAGTGATGATAGATGTATTTTACTCAGAGCTGGTTATACAAGCTCTTGTACTTTTCATGCTCAAAACTCTTTGGTTAGGAACCACTGCCTAGAAAGCGGGAAAAAAATCACCATTCAGGAAAATTATTCCTGACTTTTCAATAGGAGCAGCACTTTCTAAAAGCTTTAATGAACAAATTAGAACATTTAAAAACCCAGGTAGAAACGAGTTTTATTAAGAATTTTATTACAAAATTCTTTTTTTTTTGAGATGAAGTTTCACTCTTGTTGCCCAGGCTGGAGTGCAGTGGTGCGATCTCGGCTCACTGCATCCTCCTTCTCCCGAGTTCAAGCAATTCTCCTGCCTCAGCCTCCCAAGTAGCTGGGATTATATGCACCCGCCACCACGCCTGGCTAATTTTTGTATTTTTAGTAGAGACAGGGTTTCACCATGTTGGTCAGGCTATTCTCGAACTCCTGACCTCAGGTGATCGACCCGCCTTGGCCTCCCAAAGTGTTGGGATTACAGTTTTGAGCCATCATGCCTGGCCATAAAATTCTTATTGAATAATTTTAGATCAGATTTTTTTTTTTTCTAAAATGCGGATCTTTTACTATACGGACTTTTTTTTTTTTTTTTTTGAGACGTAGTCTCTTTCTGTCGCCCAGGCTGGAGTGCAGTGGAGTGAGATCTGGGCTTACTGCAACCTCCTCCTCCTGGGTTCAAGCGATTCTCCTGCCTCAGCCTCCTGAGTAGCTGGGATTACAGGTGGCCAGACCACGCACAGCTAATTTTTAGTAGAGATGGGGTTTCGCCATGTTGGCCAGGCCGGTCTCGAACTCCTAAGCTCAGGTGATCCACCCTCCTTGGCCTCCCAAAGTGCTGGGATTATAGGCGTGAGCCACCATACCCGGAGAAAACCATTGTTATTAATAACACTCTGCTGTATATCCTTCCAGGATATTTTTTACAAACTACTTTTTAAATTTAGTTATATTTATGCATAGTACTTTGCAAACCACCTTTTTTTTCATTTAATAGATATCTTTCCAGGTCAATAATATAGCTGTTCGTAATTTTTAATGATGACCATGGTATTTTGGTCATAGTGAAACAACATAGAGGGAAACCACAATTTCTTTAGTGAGACTCTCTGTGGATGAACATTTCAGTTGTTTCCAATTTGGAGTGATTATAAACAAAATGGTGATTTTTTTGGAGTAAATTCCTAAAAATTCAAATTATTGGATTTAAGTGTTGAGATATTTTATAATTTTATGTATCTTGCCAAATTGCTGTGAGAGTAATACCAATCAGTATGCAAATTTCCACTGCTACCAACAGTGTGCAAGAGTACTCCACATTTTCAGTTGCTCTGTGGATAATGTTTCCAAAATTTGCCAGTTAGATAAAATACAAATTCTATTTTATTGTTATAATTTAAAAATCTTATGCTGGGCGTGGTGGCTCACGCCTGTAATCCCAGCACTTTGGGAGGCCGAGGTGGGTGGATCACCTGAGGTTAGGAATTTGAGACCAGCCTGGCCAACATGGTGAGACCCCATCTCTACTAAAAATAACAAAAATTAACCGGGCGTGGTGGCGAGCACCTGTAGTCCCAGCTACTTAGGAGGCTGAGGCAGGAGAATCGCTTGAACCCAGAGGGTAGAGGTTGCAGTGAGTTGAGATCGTGCCACTGCACTCCAGCCTGGGGGGGTGATACAGCAAGACTCCGTCTCAAAACCTAAACAAAACAAAACAAAAAAACTTCTATTACTAATGGAGTAACACATCTTATACATTTATTGACAATTGTAATTTTCTTCATTTGTGAATTACCAGGAAATGTATGCCTTTTCCCTATTTTTCTATTTAAGTATTCATCTTTTAAAAATTAATTTGTAAGAGCCCTTTATATAGTGAAGGTATTAGTCTTTTGTGTATCATATGTTGAAGTTTATTCTTTTTTTTTTTTTTTTTTGAGACAGAGTCTCACTCTGTCTCCCAGGCTGGAGTTCAGTGGTGCGATCTCAGCTCACTGCAACCTCCGCCTCCTGGGTTCAAGTGATTCTCCTGCCTCAGCCTCCAGAGTAGCTGGGATTACAGATGCGCACACCACCACCCCTGGCTAACTTTTGTATTTTTAGTAGAGACGGGGTCTCATCATGTTGGCCAGGCTGGTCTCGATCTCCTGACCTCAAGTGATCTGCCCGCCTTGGCCTCTCAAAGTTCTGGCCTTGAAGTTTATCTTTTAACTTAGTTTATGTTATGTGGTAAATTTGTGGTCAATTATGTGGTGAATTATATTAGCCTTTTTACTGAGTTTCCAGCTTTAGTGAGTGCAAAGAAAGGTTGTCTTCACCCAAAAATATGAAATAATATCTTTTATATTCTTTTTTTTTTTTTTTTTTTGGACAAGGAGTCTTGCACTGTCACCCAGGCTGGAGTGCAGTGGCGCGATCTCGGCTCACTGCAAGCTCTGCCTCCCGGGTTCATGCCATTCTCCTGCCTCAGCCTCCCGAGTAGCTGAGACTACAGGTGCCTGCCACCACACTCAGCTAATTTGTTTTTATATTTTTAGTAGAGATGGGGTTTCACCATGTTAGCCAGGATGGTCTAGATCTCCTGACCTTGTGATCCACAAGCCTCGGCCTCCCAAAGTGCTGGGATTATAGGCCTGAGCCACTGCGCCCAGCCATCTTTTATTTTCTTCTAGTGCTTCAATAGTTTTGTTCCATTTATTTTTAAATTCATTGTAATTGATAAATAATTTAAAAAAAATTTTTTTTGAGATGGAGTCTTGCTCTGTCGCCCAGGCCGGAGTGTAGTGGTGTGATCTCAGCTCACTGCAACCTCCATCTCCTGGGTTCAAGCGATTCTACTGCCTCAGCCTCCTGAGTAGCTGGGACTATAGGTACGCACCACCATGCCTGGCTAATTTTTGTATTTTTAGTAGAGATGGGGTTTCACCATTTGGCCAGGCTGGTCTTGAACTCCTGGCCTCAAGTGATCTGCCCACCTTGGCCTCCCAAAGTGCTGGGATTACAGGCATGAGCCACCGCACCCGGCCTGATATATAACTAAATGCATTAAATTGTACATATTTAAACTATATAATCTGACAAGTTTTGACATATTTGTAACCCATGAGGCCATTCATCATCTCAAAAAGTTGTCTCATGCCTCTTCGTAGGTCCCCCTCCCACCTCTTTTTCTGCAACCCCTTACCCCTAGGTCCCCAAACAACCACGGGTCAGCTTTCTGTCACCATAGATTAGTTTGCATATTCTAGGATTTTGTATGAATGGAGTCATACAGTCATACAGTATGTATTCTTTTTTGTCTGGCTTCTTTCACTCAGCATAATTATTTTGAAATTTCATCCATGTTGTTGCACATAACAATAGTTTACTTTCTTTTATTGCTCAGTACTATTCCATTGTATGGATATGCAAAATTTGTTTATTTATCCACATGTTCACGGACACTTGGGTAATTTCCAGTTATTTGTTACAACAAATAAAGCTGCTATGAACGATCACGTACAAATCTTTGTATGGATGGATCTTTTCATTTCCCTTTGGTAAATACCTGGAGTGAAATGGCTGAATCATATGGTAGGTGTATGTTTGACCCTTTTAGAAACTGTCAAACTGTTTTCCAAAGTGATTGTACCATTTTACATTCCTGTCAGCAAAGATATAAAAGTTTAAGTTCCTCCACATTTTTGTTGACGCTTGGTATGTACAGTCTTTTTGATTTTAGCCATTCTAGTGGGTATGTAGTAACATTTTATTGTGATTTTAATTTGCATTTCTCTAATGACTATGATATTGAGCATCTTTTCATGTGTTTATAGATCATCCATAGATCTTATTTGGTGAAGGGTCTGTTGAAATCTTGTGCTCATTTAAAAAACTGGTTTGTTGGTTTGTTGCTGAGTTTTAAGAGTGCTTTATATATTCTGGATTCAAGTACTTTATCAGATATATGCCTTGCACATATTTTCTTCCGGTCTGTGACCTTTCATTCTATTAACAATGGCTTTTGAAGAACAGAAAATTTTAAGTTTGATGAATCAAATTTGTCAATATGGATCATACTTTTGGTATCATATCTAAGACATTTTTGCTTCACTCTAGGTTACAGATATTTTTCTCCTGTATTTTCTTCTAGAAGTCTTATAATTTAAAGTCTATGATGCACTTTGGGGTAATTTTTGCATGTGATATGAAGTATGAGTCCAATTTTATTTTTTTTTGAATCCAATTATTCCAGCAACATTTATTGAAATTAGTATCTTTTCTCCACTGGTTTGGTTTTGTGCCTTTGTCAAGAATAAGATGTCCAGGCTAGGCATGGTGGCTCATGCCTTTAATCCCAGCACTTTGGGAGGATGAGGTGGGAGCATTGCTTGAGCCTAGGAGTTTGAGACCAGCCTGAGCAACATGGTGAAAGTCTGTCTCTACAAAAAATACAAAAAGTTAGCCAGGTATGGTGGTATGTGCCTGTAGTCCCAGCTACTTGGTAGGCTGAGGTGGGACAATTACCTGAGCTCAGGAGGGTCAAGGCTGCAGAGTGAGACCCTGTCTCAAGAAAAAAAAAAGGTTGTCCATATATGTGTGGGTCTATTTCTGACTCCATATTCTGTTCCACTTTCTTTTCTATAGTTACCACACTATCTTGACTATTATAGCTTTTTAAGTCTTGAAATCAGATAGTGTTAATCCTCCAACTTTGTTCTTCTTTTTTTTTTTTTTTTTTTTTTTTTTTTGAGACGGAGTCTCGCTCTGTCGCCCAGGCCGGACTGCGGACTGCAGTGGCGCAATCTCGGCTCACTGCAAGCTCCGCTTCCCGGGTTCACGCCATTCTCCTGCCTCAGCCTCCCGAGTAGCTGGGACTACAGGCGCCCGCCACCGCGCCCGGCTAATTTTTTGTATTTTTAGTAGAGACGGGGTTTCACCTTGTTAGCCAGGATGGTGTTCTTCTTTATAAAAATTGCATTGACCATTCTAGGTCCTGAAGGAGTATGTATATAATTGAATTATTTCTTCCTTAAATGTTAAGTAGTATTTGCAGTGGAGTTTTCTTATGAAATTATTTTTAACAGCTTCGGTTTTGTAGATAGATATAGGGCTATTCAGATTATCTGTTTCTTCTTGAATGAGCTTTTATAGTTTGAGTCTTTCAAGGGATTTTTTCACTTAATTTAAGCTGTCAAATTTATGGGCATAAAATTGCTCATAATATTCCCTTATTATTCTTCCAATGTCTGTAGGATCTTTAGTAATATATTCTCTTTTATTCCTGATTTTGGCAATTTGTGTCTTTTATTTTCTTGATTAGAGTGGCTACAGGTTAATCATATTGATTTTCATAAAGTACAAGCTTTTAGTTTTATGGATTTTCTTCATTACTCTCTTTCATTTTATTGATTTCTATTCTCTTATTGTTTCCTGTCTTCTTCTTCCTTTGCATTTAATCTGCTCTTACTCTTCCAGTTTCTTAAGGTATGAGCTGAAGTCAATAATTTGAGACCTTTCTTCTTTCCTAATATAGGCTATTAGTCCTAAAAATTTCTCTCTAGTCAAAATAATTTCTAATTTCCTTTGTGATTTCTTCTTTGATTCATTGGTTATTTAGAACAATGTTGCTTAATTTCCAAGTACCTAGGCATTTTTAAATACCTTTTTCTATTACTGACTTCTAATTAAATTACACTGTGGTCAGAAAACTTACCTTGTATGACTTAAATCATTTAAAATTTATTGAGACTTGTTTTATGGGCCAGAATATGGTCTCTCTTGGTAAATGTTTCATGAGCACTTGAGAAGAGTATTTATCCTGCTGTTATTAGTTGGACTGTCCAAGTTGGTTGACATTATTTCAGTCTTGAGTGCCTTTTCTGCTTTTCTGTCAACGTGTCACATCGGTTATTGAGAGAGGGGTTTTGAAATATCTTATATAATTGTGGGTTTGTTTATTTCTCTTTTCAGTTTTATCAGGTTTTGCTTCATGTATTTTGAAGCTCTGTTATTAAAGGTATAAATTTTTAAGATTTTTAATGTCTTCTTGATGAATGGAAATAATTTGGGCATTGAAGAGTAAGAAGTCAGATAAGCAGGAGAAATCATGAGCTCACTGAGGTTAGGTTTATTCAGACACATTTGTTTTCCCCTCTACTTCATTCCAAAAAGATTTAAGATGGGTAGTTATTTAGCTCCTTCTATATTCTAGATATTAGAATAATGTTCTTCAGAAAATAAATTTTTACTATAATCTTATGGCAAGAAATACATTGTACATAGGGAACTAGTTCACATGCTTATTTATACATATTTTATATATGTATGTGCATACAAAAAAGTTTCAGGCCAGACACGGTGGCTCACACCTGTAATCCCAGCACTTTGGGAGGCTGAGATGGGTGGATCACTTGAGGTCAGAAGTTTGAGATCAGCCTGACCAACATGGTGAAACCCTGTCTCTACTAAAAATACAAAATTAGCCGAACATGGTGGCGCATGTCTGTAATCCCAACTACTCGGAAGGATGAAGCAGGAGAATAGCTTGAACCTGGGAGGCAGAGGTTGCAGTGAGCTGAGATCGCACCACTGCACTTCAGCCTGGGCAACAGAGCAAGACTCCATCCTAAAAAAAAAAAAAGAAAAACAGTTTTTCACACACACACACACACACACACACACACGTGCGCGTGCGCGCGCACACACACACACACACAGATTACCCTTACTATATGTGGTATAGTCTGACACTTTCTCTTCTCTTCCACATAATTTTTAAAAACTAATACTAGCCATAACCCACTAATTTGATTTAATGACCAACGACTAGATTGCAACTTGCAGGTTGAAAAAGGCCCTACAAGGATAATAGAAATATGAATAACACATAGTTCATGTCCTCAAGGAACTTTCATTGTAATGATGGAGGCAGACACATAAACAGATAAAGTTCAACACAACATAATAAACTGTGCTAGGACACGGGGCACTGTGGGATGTTAGAGTTGGTGAGGTGAAGAACAGTGTCACCAGTGTCGTAGGCCAAGCGAACTGCAAAGGAAAAGAAAGAGAGCACAAGTTAAAAGTAGAGAGTAGTAGGGGAAAGAAGCTAGAGATATATAGAGAACCAAGTCACTTAGGGCTTTGTATGAGGAATTTGGCCTTCATTCTGCAGATGATGAGAAGCTACCAAAGCACTGTAAGTAAAGAGGCGATACGATCAGATTTGTGATTTCGGGAGATCACTCCAGCTGCAGTGTGAAAGGTGAGAGAAGGACAAGACTGGGGACAAGAGGACTAGTTAGGAAGTTATTGCAAAGGCCCAGGGGAGAAATGATAAGAGTCTGAACTAAACTGTAGCAATGATAAGAGAGGCGTACTTTAGAGACTGAATGAAAGATTTGCTGATTGAGTAATTGATTTAGTATAGGAAGTAATGGTGAGGGTAGGAGAAGAAATTATGATGTGATGACTCCCATCCATTCATTCAGCCATCTGAATTGAGATGCTTCTTAAAGGACTTTTATAAGTCAGGCACACTACTGGGTGCTAGCAATCCACTCAGTATGGAGTGGTGAGCAAAGCAGACGTGATTCCCATTCTCTTGAAGCTAACAAGCATTGGGACATTGACTGTACCTTGTCATGTACACGGATAGACATTATCTGAATAATTTTAAAAATAGGTATGTAAAAATTATAACTATTCTGAAGGAAAAGAGTAGTGTTTAGATTAGGAGATAAGAAAAGGCCTCTCTTTTTTTTTTTTTCTTTTGAGATGGAGTCTCGCTCTGTCGCCCAGGCTGGAATGCAGTGGCTCGATCTTGGCTCACTGCAACTTCTACCTCCTGGGTTCAAGTGATTCTTCTGCCTCAGCCCCCCAGGTAACTGGGACTACAGTGCCCACCACCACACCCAGCTAATTTTTGTATTTTTAGTAGAGATGGGGTTTTGCCATGTTGGCCAGGCTGGTCTCGAACTCTTGACCTCAAGTGATTTGCCCACCTCAGCCTTCCAAAGTGCTGAGATTACAGGCATTAGCCACTGTGCCAGGCCAAAAGGGCATCCCTTAGTGACACTTTAGGTGAGACGGGAAGAGTAGACAGGCAGGCAGATAATTGGCAGGGTAGAAGTAGCCTGGGTGGAAGGAGCTGTATTTTTGAGGCCCCTGAGATAGGAAAAAGCTTAGTGTGTTCAAGAAATGAAAAGGGCCGGGCACGGTGGCTGAGGCCTGTAATGCCAGCACTTTGGGAGGCCGAGGCAGATGGATCACAAGGTCAGGAGTTCGAGACCAACCTGACCAACATGGTGAAACTCCGTCTCTACTAAAAATACAAAAATTAGCCAGGCGTGGTGACATGCACCTGTAATCCCAGCTACTCAGGAGGCTGAGGCAGGAGAATCACTTGAACCCAGGAGGTGGAGGTTGCGGGGAGCCGAGATCGCGCCACTGCACTCCAGCCTGGGCGACAGAGTGAGACTCCATCTCAAAAAAAAAAAAAAAAAAAGAGAGAAATGAAAAGGAGGCCAGAGTTGCTGGAGCTCAGTGAGCCGGCGGGGAGAATATAGTAAAACAAGGCTGGAGGGGTCACCAGGGCCAGATTGCGAAACATGTTACAGGCCTTCTTAAGGATTTTTTATTTTCTTCTAAGAGCAGTGGGAAGCAAGAGTTTTAGACTGAAGAATATCATGATTAGATTTGAATTTTAAAAGATCGATGTGCTTGCAATATGGAAAATGGATTAGATTTGAGGATGACAATAGTGGAAGCATGAATGCTCTTGCAGTGGTCTGGGTAAGAAAAGATTGCCTATCAAAAAAAAGCTTGGCCAGGTGCAGTGGCTCACGCCTGTTGTAATCCAGCACTTTGAGAAGCTGAGGCAGGAGGACTGCTTGAGCCCAGGAGTTTAAGACCAGCTTGGACAACATAGTGAGATCCCATATCTAAAACAAAACAAAACAAAACAAGAAACAAAAAACTAGTCGGGTTTGGTGACGCATGCCTATGGTCCCAGCTACTCGTGAGGTTGAGGTGGGAAGATCGCTTAAGCCCAGGAGTTGGAGGCTGCAGTGAGCTATGATCACGCCACTGCACTCCAGCCTGGGTGACAGACTTGTCTCAGAAAAAAAAAAAAAAAAAAAAAAGCTTGGCTTAGAGGTGATGTCAAAGTAGCTGTATAAAATAGAGTCAAGATCTGTTCTGGAATTAAAATAAACAGGACTGAGTGAAGAGGAAAATGTGTGGGAAAAGGGATATTGAATTAGAGTTCTTTGGTTGCTAATAATAAAAATCAAATCTGGCTTAAACAAAAAGGGAATTTTAAAAATAAGGATATTGGACAACTAAAAAAATTGATCAAAAGGGTGGAGAACTAGGCTTAGAAATGACAGGGGCCAAGTCAGTAGGAGCTAATTGACATTTTCACTGGGCTACTGCCACTGGAATGAAAGAGGTCCTACTGATTTTTCCTGTCTCACTGCACTTGTGACTCGAGTGGGAGGGAGGAAGGACCTTGTGTAGGAAGGAAAGAAGTTTAATATTGAGTTTGGTGGGGCAGAAAACAGGAAAATGCCGTCTAGACTTAAGAGGTCACTGGGAAGCTGAAGTCAATTGCTTTGATAATAGGAGAACTAAAGAGAAGTCCCAGAAAAGGCACTCCCAGCTAGCTGAGTTTAAGCCATATGGTTGGCTTTTGATAATCAAGACAATAAGAGTTACAGATCTTATGGAAGGAGGATATAATTGCATCTGAGAGCCCCATCAGCTTTCATAGAGCAAGGACAAGGTATCTCGATTTATAATATTCAAAATTTAGTAAAGAAAATCCTCACCCCCCAAATGTTAGGGTGATGTTAGGGAGGAAGATTGAATTTCAGATAGCCAAAGAAACATCAGATGCCCACCACAGAGGGGGAAGTCTAGGATGACTCCCTTTCTCAGACAATAGAGTTCTTGGACTTTACAAACACAAATATCTGGTTAACCCTCTTTAACAGTTAAGAGTCCAAATGATAGAAACATAAAAAACATCTTTACTCAAGGACCTGAGCTCTTTGCAGACTTTCTAGCTGAAAACAATTCAATTGTTGGGGGGCACACCCTTCAACAAATGAAAAATCAATTTTGGGACAAGATAAAGTATAGTCCCAAGTGCATACTAACGGGTTGGCAGCCAAGTACTTCTAACCTTCTGCACTTAGAGCCCTCTTTAACTCTCTTAAAGACTGAAAGACATCTTCTTTAGTTCTCCTATTATCAAAACTATTAAATTCAGCCTCTCAGCGACCTCTAAGTCTAGACAGCATTTTCTGTTGTCTGCCCCACCAAACTCATTATTAAACTTTCCTTCCTACACAATGTCCTCCCTCTCTCCCTTCCTTTTCTTCCTTCTCTGATCCAAGTAAGCAGTACTGTGGAATTTGAGGTCAGAAGCATGTGCTATTGCATAGGGGTACACCATTGAGAGGGATAACTTTTAGACTTAAGGACCTGCCATCTGCAACCAAACAACATCTAGAGAGCTGGGCATCTAATGTTCCACTTCGTGAGCATTAAGGGTGAATGCTATTCGTACTCTGGTCAAAAGCCCAGCCATTAGGAGTTCCAGAGAACAAATTCAACGTGGAAAATCCTGTAGTATTTAGAAAATTGGAATTGGTTCTCTAATTAAGTGATGATTAAATCTGTGATCCTCTTTGAAGACATAGCACTATTATCTGGACACAGCTCTGGAAGGTACATTTGTGAAGATGAGCCTGGATAAATGGGAACTACTCTAATAAGCTGAGATCTTTTAACAAACATGTTGGGGACAAAACGAATGTGGAAAGACTTATCCGTCCTAGTTAAGAGACTGTGATCTTTTGATCTCCGATCCCACAGTCACCTGTCAATGCAACACTTAGAAGCCATTTCAGATACCTTCTTAAGATTGCAGCTATCTGTGGATGGGGTCTGAACCATGCTTCAGCTTGCCCTATTCCCTTACCTAGTATAGATCCTTGTCCCTAATTTTGAGGCTCAGTCTGCCTGCTGCTTTAGTGAGTTCCAATCTAAATTAATCCCATTGTTTGTGCAATTTTTGATTACTGTTTTGCAATTACCCTTTTTCTGGTCCCTGCCATTTGACCGTGCCACTTGCTTAATTTTATCACAACCCCAATTTACACCATAGAGAAACTAATTTAACGTCTCTTAGTATTTGTAGGCAGGTCTAAGAGCAAAGCCTACACTGGTGAATAACTTCCCACCGGTTTTGAAGATCATCAGTGCAACTAAACCAATGAACACTTTTTAAAGGATGTAATGCCTGAAAGTAATATGATTGGCACTGAAGAGGAAGACAATACAAAGAACAGTCATGGTTCTTGCCTTCAAATAGCTTACTGTCTAGTGAGGGAGACAGCAATAGAAGCAATTAAATACAGTGTAAGTTGATGGAAAACAAGTCCAAAAAGCACCTGATTATACAGAGAGAGGAGTGGCCAGATGAGAACAGGGAAGACTTCACAAAGGAGTTAGAATGGGAGGCCAAGGCAGGAGGATTGCTTGAAGCCAGGAGTTCAAGACCAGCCTGGGCAACACAGGGAGACCCAGTTTCTTAAAACAAACAAACAAACTCAAAATAAGAGCAAATGTTTATATAGTATCATGTACCAGGTACAGGTACTGCTCTGAATGCTTTACATATATTAACTCACTTTAAATTATTTTAATAGGATTTTAATATATAACTATAGAGGGAAGAGCATAAGTCAGACACAAAAGCCTAACTCATAAATTCTTTCTCATCTGTAAAAGGGGTTAGACTAATATTATCTCCTTCTCAAAACTGATCAGAAAACTATCTAGATTAGACTGATTGGAGAAGTAAGCCAGGTGGCCGAATAGAGATACCCTGAAACAAGATCTTGTTTCAGGGTATCTCTGTGTTTATTCTCTGTACTACAAAAAGCTAGATTATGGAGCCACTTTACCTACCTGTAACTGTGGCCTTATATTATTTTTTACGTATAAATCTCAACAAGTAGTACAGGATTTTTTTCCCATTCAAACAAGATAAGTATTTAAGGGTGTGTTGCTGTAGACACAAGGGAAGTACAAGAGAAAGAAAGGGCTACTTTCCCCAGCCACGAGCACAGGAAAAAGCCCTAAGCCCTTGGGTAGAGGCAACAAAAGCAGGAGTTTAGTATTTCATCACAGAACCCAAGAGAATAATCTCTAATTATCCAGGTAGGGAAGAAAAGACACTTAGACCATTTGTCTAATGCTATGGAAGGAGCTGGTGTTGGGCAATGGATTAAATCTAATTCAGCTAATATATTTGATCAGATGCAGTTAGAATAACCTTTCAGGTTTAGACTGAGGGACTCAGGTTGCTAAATAAGCAGGAGGTAGAACGCATGACTCTGATAATTGTGGCTAATTTTGAACTACCATATCCTGCCTGTAAGCAAGCAAGCTGTCATTTTGAGACCAGGGCCAGCCCTTCATTTCCATTTACAGTCCTGTGAACCCCTGAGGCATACAAATTAAAGCTGGCCACTTATGGAGATCTCTTTGGGACCACTTATATGAAATGACGAATAGGGTTAAATTCTAAAAAATTAAATCTAAAGAGATTTCCCAGAAGTTATGCATAAACCGTCATTAGGTACATTTTCCATTTTGAATTCTTGTGGATAGGAGCCAATAGGATGGTGAGGCCAGCATCACATACTGCAATATGCTCAGTACTTAAATGCTTTGTATTTGAATCTTTCATATTTTTGGCTGGGCATAAAGCAGCATCTTTCAAGCCAAGTAAGAATAATGAAAGAGAGAAAGCTTAGGTAAAAAAATAAAAAAAAAAACCTATTTTTTTTTATTATTTCTTTATTTTTAGTAAAATCTTTAATTTCAAATTAGAGACATTTTCTAGACAACATGAAGGTTTAGCAATTTTCTACTGAAAATCAGAAATTCATTTGGGATCACTGAAACTTTAAAAAAAATTCACCTAATGTTGAGGATGGTGAAATATGACAATTTCAAATAAAACAATTCTGTCTCTTAACATATGCTAAATGCCAATGAGCCAGTT
Organism: Homo sapiens; assembly: GCF_000001405.40. Lineage (NCBI taxonomy): Eukaryota > Metazoa > Chordata > Mammalia > Primates > Hominidae > Homo > Homo sapiens. Next base: position 61,597,228 of record NC_000017.11, on the reverse strand, counting down.
CTATGGAATTCTACTTGTTGGACTTTATTTTGTTAAAAATTAGTTAGAACCTTCCTCTGATTGTAGTTCTAAACAATTTTTAACATAATTATCTGAAATTGAGTAAAGCATAGCGCTTTTGAGATCTTTTTTTCCCTGATGTTGTTGAATCTTAACAGATTATAAAATATTTTCAAAAAAAGTCTAAACAAAATAATCAAAGTGGAATTCTCCTATAAACCAATTCAGTAGCCTTTGCCACCAGCTTTAAGTGTATATCTCTTCTTCCAGGTAGACATAGCTGGCATTGAGAATGAAGAGAAATGCTACTGTCTATTCATAGAACTCCTGGGATCTAGAAAAATACCAATTTTAATAAGACACTAGAATCATGTGATGCTTTGACACCTATCCCCAATATTTTATTGCTTGAGAAGAAAACATATGTATCTTTTGCTTTGGAAGAAATATATATATTCCTATGTTTTTGTTTTCAAGTCTTCAGACCTAAGCAGTTTTGCAAAGAGAGACGATATTAATACATACTTGCAATAGCTTAAAAGCCAGTTGAGAAACAAAGTAATATAAATTGGAAGGGATGGAAGCCTGATGTGCCTTCTTTCTATGTTGCTTTGCTGTTGCTCACTCTGAGAAAGTGAGACCTATGTAATGTCCTTGGAAGGGTGATGAACTGAGAAAATTGTCTTCTGGTAGAATTCTGAATTTCAGTGTAATCATGGTGGGGTGGTGGGGAAGCTTCTCATCAGCAGTCACTTTACAGACCCAGTAAGTTATCAGGACACAGACTCTGGCATCTCCTTAGACAGACATCCAGGAAACAAACAAGCGATAAAGAAAAGCTCACAAGCAAGCACTTCGGATGCCAGCCGCCCCAGTCCAGCCCTTATTCTATTCCTCCTCACTGGTTACGTTAAAGGAAAAATCGGATACCATTGGAAAACAAAATCCTCACGACCTTCATACATTCAGACTTTATAAACGGAGGTGGGGATTTTAGAGCAATGACAGGAGTTTTAATAAAGGAAAACAGAATACCAAACCAGGAATTTTAAAATCGAGGAAATGCTCAGTGTTGATGAAAGGTACGGCTGTGGAGATTTAAGGAACTGGAGGGAACTGATTTCCCATGGAGAGTCCTCGAGCCTCTGGAAGCATTCTTTCCCTGGCATTGATGTTGAACATGATTCCATTCTTTTTTTCCTTTCTTGAAATTCCTGGCAGAATTTCTGATTTGGCAATTGGGACTAATTACATTCTCTTGTTCATTGCAATTCAAAAACTGCGTTTCATTTTAAAATACAAACCTCATGCCTATCCAGAATTACTGTATTCCCACTATGAAGCAATTTGCTGTCATTAGGTTTAAATCAAAAGATATCTGAGTCATATAATTTTAGTTCAAATAGAAATTTTATGACTAAAGTTTAATTTCTCAAAAGATGATGATGCCAATCAGTTCTCAGCACCTAGAATTCAAGAGACAGAAAATTCACTCGGCTTGGCTACAGCTCACTGGAAAACGCACAGGGATTTTGATTCGTTTTGTTTTCTTTACTTTGACATTTGCCCAGGTCAAGTTAGGCAACAGGGGGTAGGAAGAAGAGAAAACAGGGAGTCAGGGAAATGTGGGTTCTCTTCCAAAGTTTGTCACTTAGCCAAGTGACATTGGACAAATTATTTAACCTTACTGAGCCTCAGTTTTGAAGTTCATATAATGGAGATAATAATACCTATTCTGCATTCTTCATAGGCTAATTGTGAGAATCAAAACAAATCATGTGATAGAAAGTTCTATGTAAAGAATAAAGAAGAGTCAGGCTGGGCATAGTAGCTCACGCCTGTAATCCCAGCACTTTGGGAAGCCAAGTCAAGAGGATCACTTGAGCTCGGGAGTTTGAGACCAGTCTGGACAGCAAAGTGAGACCTCCTAGCTACTAAAAAAAAAAAAAAAAAAAAAATTAGCCATGCATGGTGGCTTGTGCCTGTAGTCCCAGCTTCTCAGGAGGCTGGGGCAGGAGGATTGCTTGAGCCTAGGAGATTGAGGCTGCCGTGGGCCAAGATCAGTCCACTGTACTGCAGCCTGGGTAACAGAGTGAGACGCTGTCTCAAAAAGAAAAAAAAAAAAGAATAAAGAAAAGTCCAGGTAAAAAGTACTCGCAGACACAAAGGTATAGATGGCTATTAAATAATCACTGCCAGGAAAACAATCTGTTAGTGCTGTTTCTTTACTTATTAATTTCCAGTGACTTCTTTTTGACTAGAGGGTAAGTTGGAAACACTTTATCATGGCATAAAAAATCTTCAATAAATTTTATAGCTTATCTTTCACCTTTTTCACCATCTCCTACACACACATTCATCAACCTTCTTAATCTTCCGCAAGCAAACCACACTCATTCATGTTGCCAATTCTTTGCTCATGCTGTTCCTTCTGCCTGCCAGGTATATTATTACCTGTGAAGACTCAAATGGAAGACTGGGTAAGAAAAGATGGTATTTTAAAAAGCCTGGCCAGGCCCAGTGGCTCATGCTTGTAACCCCAGCACTTTAGGAGGCCAAAGCGGGAGGATCGCTTGAGCCCAGGAGTTCAAGACCAGCCTGGGTAACACAGTGGGACCCCATCTCTACAAAAACAAAATACAAAACATTAATTGGGCATGGTGGCAAGGGCTGGTAGTCCTAGCTGCTTGAGAGGCTGAGGTGAGAGGATTGCTTAAGCCTGAGAAGTCAAGGCTGCAGTGAGTCATAATGGCACCACCGCACTCCAGCCTGGGTGACAGAGTGAGATTCTGTCTCAAAAAAAAAAAAAAAGAGACTCAAATGGAAGTAGTGCTCCGCGTGGTTGGAGTAAACTAGAGGTATTTCAAATTTCTGATCTGTTTCTTGTTAGATTGGGCAAGTTAATTTATTTATCTGGACCTCAGTTTCTTTATCTGAAAAATTGGAAGTATAATGTCTAGCTAATAGGATTGTTGTAAAAATTATATGAAGTACGAGCATATTATAATGTCTGATACATAGTAAGTGGTCAATAAATGGTAGCTATTTTTATTACTATGTTGAAATGTCTCCTTTTCTATGAAAACTTTCCTGATGCCCCCAGGCAGAGCTGTCTCTTTAGCTTCATAGCACTTTTTAAAAACATACTCTAGTAACACTATGGGAACATATCATACATGGCCCCTGAAATGCCATGCCTGTTCTTTTACTGATTGATTAACTGAAAGTCTTTTTATAAATTATAATAATGTCAGAACTGTAAATGCACATTTTCATGGATAATTACAAAGTCAAACTCATTTAACCACCTGCGCTGGATCATTTTATTTCAAATTGATTAACCTGGGAACTGTGTTTCCCAGAGTCCCCTTCTGTGCATGGCCAAAAAAGCAGCCTGTGTGAGATCTGGGAGACAGAGGTGAAGCAGCAGCCCTTCTCTCTGCAAGTTGCTGTGGTGGGTGTGGATACAGAGAGACGCAGAGGTCTCACAGGGTCCAGGTGTCCTTGCTCTTCCCTGTGCCACACGCAACTCTCCTCCCCAACAGCGGTCCCAGGCTCATGACCAGATGTTTGGCTGCAGACCCAAAGAAGCAACAGCTTCCCACAGACTCCTTCGGCAGCCAAAGGAATCTGTGCAGTCTCATTTTGGCAGCTGGATGCGCTTGGTTTCTCAGCTGGATCAGTTGGTGACTCCACTGGTCCTCCAACTTCCTCTTGAGACGTTACTTCCCCAGCTCCTCCCACAGTCGTGTAAGGTCTAATTCCTATAATAAATCCCTTATCCTATGACCCAAAGAGGTTCTTCTTCCCTGATTGAGCTGCAACTAAATACACCATTATCCAGGTCAAAAACTAGAACATCACTAGCACCCCAAAAGTCCTCTTTATGTCCCTTTCTGATCACACTCCTCTCTTTTCTCCTAGAGGTAATCATGATCTGACTTTTATGATAATCATTCTCACTTTTTCTTTCTCTCTTTTTTTTTTTCGAGACAGAGTCTTGCTCTGTCGCCCAGGCTGGGGTGCAGTGGCGTGATCTCGGCTCACTTCAACCTCTACCTCCCGGGTTCAAGCAATTATCCTGCCTTAGCCTCTTGAGTAGCTGGGATTACAGGCATGCCACCACACTCGGCTAATTTTTGTATTTTTTTAGTAGAGGTGGGGTTTCACCACGTTGGTCAGGCTGGTCTCAAATTCCTGACCTTGTGATCCTCTTGCCTTGGCCTCCCAAAGTGCTGGGATTACAGGCGTGAGCCACCACGCCCGGCCAATATTAAGTTTTCTAAGATTTATTAATGTGGTTGTGTGCAACCTAGTTTACTAATTTTCACAATATGCCACAATTTATATCTTCTGTTCTTTTTAAGTGGTTTGTTTATATGTCTCTCTTTCTCATTTGATGAACAGAAACTGTGTCTTACCTATCTTTGCATGTTCCTCCCATTTAACCTGCTCAACCCAGCATATAGCACAGTATTTGCCTATCTCAGCTAGGACCTCAATACTGAATTACTACCCTATTGTGCTTCTTTAGTGATCATTTTCTTCCTTCTATGCAGCACCTATTCCAAATCTTTTCCATCATACATAAACCTTTAACTCTCTTGCCTTCCCCTCACTCTCAGCAGACAGCTCCTCTAGCCTCTTAGAAAAAAAAAAAAATAAATGTTACCAGATGGGAACTCCTTTGACATCGTGCTACCAAACCTAAAAATCTGCTTGCACCCAAATCCATATTTTTCTTCTTTCCTCCTATTACAATGAAAAGGATGCCTTTCCTGCTATTCAAGATTAGTCGTTCTACTTGTGCCATGGATTTCATTCCTGGCTCCTCAGAACCTTGACTGATCAACTTCCCTCTTTCATTTGTATTTAACTACTCCTTTTAGAATTTAAACATGCTCAGGTCTCTTCTTAGGAAGAATATGTGTTTACCTATCCGCCAACTATAATTATGTCTTCAGCTACTGCACTGTCTCCTCCCGCACAGTTAAACTTCTTATAAGAGTACTCTGATCTAATCCAATCTTTCCATTTCTTCAATTCCTACTTCTCAGCCCACTGCAATCTAACTGCCTTCTGAGTCATCCCCTGTAACTAAAGCAAAAACTCTCTTAACGTATATTTAGCCAACATAATGCAAATTGACTGATACTCTCTGTTGCCTTCGTGAAACATATTGGTGGAAGCCAACGGCACACTCTATAGCTAACGTGCTACTGCCTAGTACATACGCGGATTTTTGTTTTTTGGTTTTCTTTTCTATGGATTTTTTGTTTTCTCTATACAGTTATAGGCTTACCAAGAATCAGTTGTGTTTATTTAACCTATTTATGCTGGGTATTCTTATTACTATAATTATGTAATTTAACTGATTATTACGTAAACTCATTATATAACTGTTATATGAAATATAAATAGAAAAAATAAAATAGTTGTTTCTGTGCAAATTAAATTGAATGGTTTGGAAACATTTACAATTTTCCATTCATTGGGGGAGCAAGAAAAGATCGAGGGAAACCATACATATCTAGGATTCTGCGTTCAGATTGCTTCATGAGCACCTTTGAGTTCTTGGTCTATTTTAAATAAACTAAAACAGGGAATGATAGACAATACCTTTATAGATATGATTTATGTGAGAAAACCGAGGCTGAATTCCAATAAACAGATAATACTCAAAGAAAGGTTTACGGCTCCTATCAAAAGATTGGCAAATAAAAGTACAGTGATATGTTTTCAGTTAAAACAGCATGTTAAATAATGTAAATTTTAAAAAATGATTCCCCAATTTAGTCATTTTTTCAAGGAACTGACCATTAACCAATTCCCAAGTGCCACTCACACCGCACCACTCAGACCGCGTAACTTACAGTCTCTAAATCCAATAGATCCTTTTCCATTCCAACTTGACCTCATGGCAGTGTAGCACTGCTGACAAATGTCTTTTTAAATGCTCTCTTTTTGCTTCCCGCTGCAACAAGCGTGGGTCACGCTCTCGCTCGCGCTCTTTCTGCCGCCATCTTGCTTCCGCGTTCCCTGCACAAAATGCCGGGCGAAGCCACAGAAACCGTCCCTGCTACAGAGCAGGAGTTGCCGCAGTCCCAGGCTGAGACAGGGTCTGGAACAGCATCTGATAGTGGTGAATCAGTACCAGGGATTGAAGAACAGGATTCCACCCAGACCACCACACAAAAAGCCTGGCTGGTGGCAGCAGCTGAAATTGATGAAGAACCAGTCGGTAAAGCAAAACAGAGTCGGAGTGAAAAGAGGGCACGGAAGGCTATGTCCAAACTGGGTCTTCTACAGGTTACAGGAGTTACTAGAGTCACTATCTGGAAATCTAAGAATATCCTCTTTGTCATCACAAAACTGGACGTCTACAAGAGCCCTGCTTCGGATGCCTACATAGTTTTTGGGGAAGCCAAGATCCAAGATTTATCTCAGCAAGCACAACTAGCAGCTGCGGAGAAATTCAGAGTTCAAGGTGAAGCTGTCGGAAACATTCAAGAAAACACACAGACTCCAACTGTACAAGAGGAGAGTGAAGAGGAAGAGGTCGATGAAACAGGTGTAGAAGTTAAAGACGTGAAATTGGTCATGTCACAAGCAAATGTGTCGAGAGCAAAGGCAGTCCGAGCTCTGAAGAACAACAGTAATGATATTGTAAATGCGATTATGGAATTAACAGTGTAACCATCTGAAAGCAACTTTTTTTGGTGTCTCAAAGGAGTAACTGCAGCTTGGTTTGAAATTTGTACTGTTTCTATCATAAATAAAGTTATGACTTCTTGCTGGAAAAAGAAAAGAAAAGAAATGCTCTCTTTTTTTGGTCTCCAAGTGCCGTACTCTCCGGATCTACCTTCTTCCCTGGCTTATTCTTCAGTTTCCTTTGTGGTCATCTTTTCTTCTACCCAGTTCTTAAATATTAGTGCATCTCAGGGGTCTTTCCAAGGCCTTGTGTTCTTTTCACTCTGCACACTCAACATAGGTGATCAGATTCATTTCTCTTGCTGATGATCCTCAAATAGTTTCAGTCCCATCTTTGTCCTAAGACACAGATTTGGATATCCAGCCACCTACTTACCGTCTTTCCTTGGATACTCTCCCGGCACCTCAATCACAGGATAGCCAGAAGTATACTCATCATCTCTCCTCTACCGGATGACTAGAGCTCCTTCTCCAGTGTCCCCAGCTCAGTGAAAGTCACCATCATACCCTTCATTCCCAAACCAGCTACTCGATACTCATCCTTAGCTCTTCCCTATCCTTTAAAATCTCTGGCACCCAGTAAATCTTCAAGTCCTATTGCTACTGCCTCCTGAGCATTTCTCAGATTCATGCACCTCTCTGTGTCTCTACTGCCATCATCCTCTCCCAGATTTTCCTAATAACCTACTAAACCGTCTCTCTACCTCCAGTCTCTCTTCTGTCCGATCCATTCTGCAACCAGAGTTGCATATCCCTTCTTTAGTGTATGAGCAACTGAAATAGTCTGAACTCTTCATGTGGCTTATTAGGCCTTGTATGGTCTGGCCTCTGACAGTTTTCTGCTATTCCCCTAAATGCTCTGGTCATACTGAACGTCTTTCAGTTCCTGCAACATCACACTCCCTTGCCCTCAAGCGTTTACACATGCTGTTCCCTCTACCTGGAACATTCCTAGTCATCTTTCAAATCTCGGCTTCAAAATCATTTCCTCAGGAAAGTTTACCCTAATCCCTAGACTAGCTTAGGTCTCTCTGAAATATGTTCTCATTACGCCTCTCTTTGCTGTTTAGTATTTGTCTTCTTAATTGGATGAAGTCTCTGCAAGAATAGTGGCCATGTCTTTCCTATTCACTGCTGGGTTCCTAGCCCAGTTCCTATAGAGTAATAGGGACTCAGTAAATAATTGTTAAGCAAATGAATGAAAGAACAAATTGACAATAGCTAGCCCTCAATAATTGTTTGTTGGATGAATAGTTTTAAAATCAAATATACTATTAAATACAACTTGCTGTGCAGAGGAGAGTTGCCCTCAGCAAACTCACTGCCATGAGATATGTTATTCCAGAATCTGAAATTCTGGAGTTCTTTTTGGAATTGCCTTCATAACATGTGATATGTTCTCCTAAACACTCTAGATAGTGGCAAATACTCACACTTTGAGATTGGATTTTATTTTGGAAGCAGCAAAATCATTCAGAGCCAAAATGGGTGATCAAGCTGGGTAACTCCACCAGAGGTGAAAAATTAATTATGTGTGACTATAAATTAATGAGACTGAGTTTTCTATATGGCTCATAAACTAGGTCATAAGGCAATTCCAATAAAGAAGTTCCAAAAGTGTTTTGATCTAATGCAGGATTGTTAACAATGTTTGTATAGCTTCCCAAGGGAGCTCCTTTGTAGGAGGTATTGCTCATTTGATGTATACAGTCAGACATTTTTTAAAAATCGTGTTTCTTTTAGACACACCGTCTATGTACATATGAGCTTTCTTCAAGCTTCAGCAAAAGCATAATATAGTAGAGACCATAAATTAGAAGTAATTGTTACTTATCATCTTCATTGTTGTGAATACTTACAACAATATGCAAATTATTGATCATCATAATTTGACCACAGGTCACCACAAAACAAAGTTACTTTAGCCCACCTACTTCAACTACCTCCAACAAAATGTTATGAAATGTAGATAATCCTTTGCCAACTAAGATAGTTCTCCAGGGTACCCACCACTGTGAGATTGGGTTGGCTCTGTTCACTGAAGTTAATGAGTGAGTCCAAGGTTCATGGCACAGATGGTGCCTTCACGCTCTTGTCAGAAGCCTCGAAATATGTATTAATGGTCACAAGGGAAATCGTGGGCAAGAACAGAACTGCAGAAATAAATCTATTAAAAGCAGCAATAATAGATCTCACTTAGATCCCCCACAATGTGCTAGAAATTATGCTAAGCTAAGCACTTAATATGCAGGTGTTACTTTTCATTTTAGAACACAAAGCTAAGAAAGGTTGATGATACTCATTATCATAGATCTCTCAATTAAAAGAGCTAGACTGAGAACTCATGGTCTACATGATTCCAAAGCCCATGTTCTTTCCACTTCACTCAAATTAAGTAATGAAGTGGAACAAGGCTACTCTCATATGCAAAAATGGTACATTTTTAGATCCCAACTCTACCACTGTAATTCTTTTTGTGCCCATTTTTTCAGCAGTGTCTCAGTCTTCTGGCAGCTTTACCTTCTTCAAAATGAGCATCAAAGTTTTCTGTTGGGTACATTTCCCTCAACTTTTTACTATAATGTTGAGCATTTTCTGGCCATGGTCTTGACATTCCTTGAAGAGCTATGCCAACCTTCTAACTTCATTGCCCCCTAAGTTGTTACTGCCCATCCTTCTCAGATGATCTTCCCCGTGGAAACTAATTTTCCATGATTTTTACTTCTTGTAGAATGGCAGGCACGTTCTTGAAGGAAGGCACCAAGCTTCCCTATGGAGAATTTTTCTTGCCACTTGATAATTGAGTCTGTTATGGGGAAGGGTGGGGTGGGGATGAGGGTCGATGGAATATTTCTAGTTACTAAATCTGATATCTGTATCTTGTTCAAGTACAGACTCCAGTGTGGATCTGGACCTTGCTACTGGACTCTGTCAGTCTCTAGGGAATGCATCAGCTGTCATAATATTTTTATCATTTCTCTGTCTTGATTATGCCATTATGTAGATGGAACCAAATTCAGTTACCACCTTTAACTAGGTGCCCTTGTTGAGGTTCTTGGAGAGAAATATGATTCGTCTTGTGTAGGTAGGCTGGCACATTATCTCTGTTTTCTGGCTTAATAGTAGCAAAAAGACTATGACACAAGAGTCTTTAGTGCCCAGTGATAGGGAAGCATCCAGCTAAATAAATGAGTAAAGTCTTGTGCCATGAAAATCTGTGAATCCATTTTTCTACCTGTTTACAAGTTAGCATGCTTTAACCTCATCTCCTTGTGCGTTGGACTTCATAGAGTTTATTTTAAGGTCAGTAGAGTCTGTTTCTAGCTCATCATTAATTTTAATTCTTTGTCTATCCCTTGCCATTCATCATGATTTATTTAATTAGTATTATAAGCATCTCTTGAGTCACCTCTGCTCATAGAGATCTTTTCTGGGCCCGAAAAATAATATAGAATTTTATAAGCCATCCTCTATTCTCGAAGATCCTCTTATATTGTAATGAGGAGGGTAAACACATGAAAAAAAACTTACCTAAGATAAATATTTCAAAGGATATAAGAAATAATTAGAAAGAAAACGTCCAGGTGTGGTGGCTCATACCTCTAATCCCAGCTCTTTGAGAGGCCTAGGTGGGAGGATCAGTTGAGCCCAGGAGTTTGAGACAAGCCTGGGCAACATGGCAAAACCCCATCTCTACAAAAAATATAAAAATTGGACGGGGGTGGTGGCATGCACCTGTAGTACCAGCTACTTGGGAGGCTGAGATGGGAGGATTGCTTGAGGCTGGGAGGTCAAGGCTGCAGTGAGCTTTGATTGTACCACTGCGCTCCAGCCTGAGTGACAGAGCAAGACCTTGTTTCAAAAAAAAAAAAAAAGTAAAAATAAAAATAAAGAAAACATGCAAAGAGGAGAATTATTAGGAGCCTCAAATTGGTATGTTAGCAGGCCTCTTTTTATCCATGTATTTATCCGATATTTTGGTCAGAGCAGCTTACAATATGATTAGTCTACTAATACTAATTTTCCAAGGTTTCTGCAAAGTGATTTAGTAGCAGGAATAATTATTCTCACCAAATACACCAGGGAAATAATCAGAACAGGACTTGTACAAGGTCTTATGACAATTATAGAAAAGATATTTAGATGTCTTGACTCCTAGCGATTTACTAAAAATAAATTGATTTCTAGGGAGATTTGGCCACATATTTCTTCGTTGTCTGTTAGTCTACACATTTCTTCCTTACATCTGTAAAGCTTTAAGTGTGGAAAATAAATTCCAGGATGTGATAATTAGTTATAAAAGGGCTAAGGATTATCAAGAAAGAAACCCAAGAAGAGAAACATGCACAAAATGTTGAAGAAAACTAGCAATGATTTTTATACTTGTTTTACTCTAAATCATCGTTTTTTGAACTTTTAACCATGATTCACATTAAGAAATACATTTGATCTTAAGACCCAAAGTTGCTATCTTCACTGTGTCAAATGTACCTTTGCCGTTATATCTATTTCAATTTTTAAAATTCTAGTCAGAACCCAATAAATGGGTCAAAATCCATAGATTGAAAATTCTTGCTTTAAATTGTCCACAGCTTAAAAAAAAAAAGTATGAGTTAAATGAAAACATAGATTAGTCCAAGTCAACTTTAGTAACTTGATATGATCATTTCTTTTCCTCGCTGACAAATATGTACTTTAAAAAAAAGAGAAACCTAGTGTGCTTGAATTAATATTTTCTTTTTTCTTTCTTTTTTTTTTTTTGAAATGGAGTTTCACTCTTGTTGCCCAAGCTGGAGTGCAATGGCGTGATCTTGGCTCACCGCAACTTCTTCCTCCTGGGTTCAAGCAATTCTCCTGCCTCAGCCTCCCAAGTAGCTGGGATTACAGGCATGCACCACAATGCCCAGCTAATTTTGTATTATTAGTAGAGATGGGGTTTCTCCATATTGGTCAGGCTGGTCTTGAACTCCAGACCTCAGGTGATCTGCCTGCCTCGGCCTCCCAAAGTGCTGGGATTAAAGGCGTGAGCCGCCACACCTGGCCTAATATTTTCTTATAAGACTCATCTAGGAATATAGAACATTTTGTTTGCCATCTATGAATTATTACAATAAATGCTTTTTCTGAATTTTGCACCCATTTTTAAATAAAGGAAACGATACAAATGGTATTCTAATTCCATTTAAAAAACTTTCAAAAGAAGGAAGTTATTAATAAATGTGCTCAACGTTACATATTTTTAGGATACTGACAAGTTTTTGCTTAGGTTGCCTGTTCTTATTTTAATGTAATAGTGCAAAAAGGATAGACAGATGTATTTGTTGTTTTTGTTTTAAATCAGCTAGTGTGAACTTTCAATAGCAGATTTCTGCGTTCTCATATAAATCATTTGTATCAGATTCATCTGTTCATCTGTTCCTTTTCATATGGTTTATCACAAGTGGGTTGCAGCTGGCAGCCTTACAAACTGGAATTTGGGTTCTATTAACAGCTCCAGTGAACAATTTCTCTCTAGTATCTGGGCTTCTTCATTGCTACACACGCTGAACATGGCTTTAGCACATTACTTAAAGCTCCCTCAATTAGAAATTGCAAGATAGCTGTCATCAAACTCATGTAATGTGGACCAGTCAAGTGTCTGGCAGAATTCTTATGTGCAACAGATTAAATACATACATTGTTTTCTCATCTTGAAGCAAATACATTGCTTTTATAGCTAATGGAAAAATCAGAAGTGTTTCCATTATCTTAGTTTTAAAAATATGTATACAACAAAGCAAATCTCAAAGTAAAATGCATGTTTTTTAAATATCACATTTAGGAAGTGGATAAAATAGCTTTATTTTCATCAGAGTGAAACTTCAGCATCATTTTTAAGATGTGAAATATAAAAATAATGAGGGATTGGTAGCTTTTGAGTAAGTAGCATAGTTGCTAAACATAATGAATTTTACTGTTTGGCAAGTTCATGTAAAATTCACTCAACTTCTAAGCAATATTGTGTCATACGGTAGAAAATGCACTAGGCTATGTAGAAGGCCTGGGATCTGGGCTTAACCATTTACTGATAGTGTAATTTTAGATGATTTGCTTAACCTTTCTAGGCCTCAATTTCCTAATTTTAAAAATGAAGGTGTTGAACCACATGGTTTCTAAACTCTATAGTATCTTGGGAATAGTTAGGCTTGAGTTATGTATTTAGTATATGAACATTAACAGACAGGAATTACGACTCTTTTCTTTCCACATTAATTAGTTGGTACCTAACATCACACATGTAGGAAGTAAAAACAGTGTCTTTGTTTGAATGCCATAAAGTTTAATAAACATAAAAAAAAAAATCTCTGACCCCTCTTGGAAACTAATAGAAAAGAGGTTTCTAAAAGTCTATTCTGGGCCATGCACAGTGGCTCAAGCCTATAATCCCAGCACTTTGGGAGGCCGAGGCATGAGGATCACTTGAGGCCAGGAGTTCAAGAGCAGCCTGGGCAACACAGCGAGACCCCATTGTTACAAAAAATAAAAATAAAAAAATTATCTGGGTGATATGGTTTGGATGTTTGTCCCTTCCAAATCTCATGTTGAAATGTATTCCCCATTGTTGGAGATGGGGACTGGTAGCACGTGCCTGTACTCCCAGCTGTTTGGGAGGCTTAGGCAGGAGGATCGCTTGAGCCCAGGAGTTCAAGGTTGCAATGAGCTGTGAACATGTCACTGCACTCCAGCCTGGGCAACAGAGCAAGAGCCTGTCTCTCTCTAAAAAAAGTTTAAAAGCCTATTCTTATTATCTAGGCAAAGCTAGTGATTACTATACTAAAACAATAAATTCTATAGAAAAACCATTAATGAAGGCTGAGAGAGTAATAAAACAGTGTGCTCATCCACTCATATCAGTGAAAAAAGGCAGTGTGTTTTTATACAATTGAATTCAACAAAAATTATACTTACTTATGAATACCAGGGCTACCAGAGACAGGGAATGGTGACCATCTGGAGCTAAGAAGTTTCTTCTTCATGTAATCACAGTGATGACATCATTCATAAGTGGCAGAACATAGTAAAGCATTTATCTTTCATTCCACAAGGTGGTGTGTTTTCTGTTTGAACTAGCTGGGTGTAGTATATGTATTCTGAATCTAATGATGTGCTTTTTAAACCGTTTTCTTATTTTTGCCTTGTTTGTAGTACATCATTTAGAATCTTGCCTCTGGGTCTAACAAATTGCTCGATGTCAATGCAGATACGTATAGTTGTTCCCAAATGGATAACATATGCCAATATTTTCTGTATTGCCCTCAATGAACACACTTCTGGGCATATTCTTGACCCTGATCCCAATAAGAAGTCCAAATGTGTTCTCTCTCAGCAAGATCAGCTTCCCCTGTGGCTATTATTTTAAAAATTAAATACACTTCAGAAAAATAATATGATCCTTTACCTGTAAATATTATTTGCATAAATATAGACCTGAATGAAGTTTGTGAAATAATATTAGAAATTATTCAGAACAAAAAGTTAAGTATTATTGGCAATAAAGTCCACCAACTTTAACCTCTCTAAGGATCTACTTAGAGACATCCAAATACCTGAGATTCTGCCTTTTTCTCTCTTGCACAATAACTTCTTCAACTGAGCCTGCTCTCAAATCCTTATTCTCAAATGAATTCTAAGGTTAGTTTCAAGGAATCCAGGTTAAAGATGTTTGGTTTCTGATTATTTGTTTGCCTTCCAGATATTTGTTTCAAATACATCTGTAAACTGAACATCAGTGGTAAGCAAATGTTGGCCATTTAGCCATTCATTCATTTATTCTCTCACTCATTTGTTAAATATTTATTGAGTGCCTTCATTGTTGTAGGCATTTTGTTAAGCATTGAGGATGCAAAAATGAAATGAACTCTCCCCTAAGAGTAATATTAATGATAGTACTCAGCAAAGTAAATGAAATTTAATAACTTTTTATTTAAAAAATAATCCTTTATTTCAAATGATTTTTTCTATTGTTTTCTATTATTGATTTGAAGTTATTATTTCACTTATTTGTTGCTTTCTTGTCTTCAAAACAGTTTAGGCTAAGAGTTATTTATGGCTTTAACACCACATCTTGCCAGAAAAAAAATGATTAGTAAATGCATTTAAACATTTTATGAATTTTAGCTGGCTTCTAATTATTATTTTATTCTAATTTTTGCTTTAAAACAAATTTATATTTTCACTGTATGCTTGGGTCCTGGAATGTTAGAAAAATGGCAGGAAATCTCTCCCAGCAGGTCTTTGGGGAATGGATCTCAAAGGTTATGTATTTAGAGAAGATTATAATGGTCTGAGCTCAGAGGTCAGGAGCCAGTACACACCACAAAAGCAAATATAATTATTAATAGGACACATAATGGAAAGTTTAACTGTGTATAAGAAAAATCAATAGTAGTCTCTTTCCACTCTAGGAGGGGTTGTCAGGTTAAAGAGTGTCCTGGTTCAAATGCAAAACAAAACTCGTGATCAAATGCCTTCCTAAACTAGAGGATAAGTTCAGGTGTTTACCTTTAATAGTCTTTCTGCTCAGGGCATTAAAAATTGTGGATGAAAATGAAAAACATTCTGTATACCGAAAGAAAATAATGCTGCTAAATGGTAAGGTAATTCTTATTCAAACTAAAAACGCCTCTTTTTCTTTCACTCAAATTGAGTCATCAGAATGTGTAGTATTATGCTTAAGCCAATAAAAGGAAGAAAGAATAAAATACTCAGAGGTAAAACATGTCCATACTTACACAGTTTCAAGTTAGAAGTGGTTGGCTAATTATCTTACTAAGTTGCTATCCAACTACAATGCTTGGGGCTTTAAATTTCTGAAGTGCTGCACAAATATTAATGAATTGATTCTTACAACACTTTTTAAAATGTGTGTGTTGTCACTGAGATTTCTAAGACAAAGAGAGAAATTTCAAGTCATTTTAATGAGGGTACACTGGGCTGGAGGGACTGTGGCAAGTTTAAGATATCCTTAAATAAGTTAGTCCTGTTCCAGAGGCAAGAGAGGTACTTCTGGAACAATTAGGGAAGAATTCAAGATTGGATGTGATTACAGGCCAAAATAAACAATAATTGCTACAGATCAGAGTAGAGAGGTAGAAAGCCAGATCAATCTTAGAGCAATGGGCTATTTTGCTTCTTAAGTAATGGGAGGCGTTAACAGACTATGATTTCATCTTGCATCCATACGACCTCAGCACTGTAGCTGGTTTGAGACTAGGGGAGGGAGTTGCTCTTCCTTAGGTAACTCTGAACACATACGTAACATTAACTATCCCTGCACTCAAAGGCCATTTCGTTAGCATCTAAGATGGGTGCAATCTTGCTTGTCAAATATTCCCCAAACAAGAGACAATAAAAGCCAGGCATTCCCCAGGGGCAAATCTTAGAGAATGACCAGAAATGTGGAGGGGGTGGGCAAACATGATGCAGTTTTCTACATGAGTTCTCCCTACCCTGCTTTTTTTTTTTTTTTTTAAATAAGTGAGCTAATTCATGAGATTTCCAAATGCATTCTTTTGACATATGGTAAGAGTGTAAACATACTGAATTTATTTCAGAGGAAGAAGTAACCTGATTGATTCAAACAGTACCTCGGGATTTATTCAGTAATGTCAAAAGTCACAACTTCTTTTTATCACTTTGGATTCACAAAATTGCATGACAGGAAGATGTATGCTTGAGTGTGATTGCTCCCAGACATGCATTTTTCTTCCATCGAGGATCTGAAATAATACTAAAAGACCAACTTGTACTGGAGGGGTTCAGTGGCACCCCTCCAGCATGACTTCCCCCTGAACACTATGCCAAAACCTGTAAAACCATGAGGTTATATCCTGACACCAGTCATTTTCTCTCTGGCATTTAAATTTGGACTCTTCTGTTGATATAAGTGTACTCCAGGTTTAACTAGCTATCTTGTATTGCTTTTTTTGAGGGGAGGGCAGGAGTGATGAGTGGGCCAGTATGGGAGTGAACATGTGAAACATCAAAAGGATATGAGAAGTTGCTAAATAATAGAAGAGCTCTAAAACCAGAGATAATGATATTCTTACACTTAGAAATGAGCAATGTGAAATTCAAAGCCCATTTTATTTGAATGTAGAGAAAGTACACACTGGAATGAAGTCAAGTCTGGTGGAGGATTAAGTCTTCATTCCTTTTCAGGAGGGAGAGCCCCTCCCATGCACGCGTGTCACCACGCTAACAGGCGGCAGGAGACACTGTTGCACTGTGCTCTCTTCCCCAAGCGAGAGGCCTGGGGATGAAATCAGAGATCACTCGCTTGTGAATATGGGGGAAAGAACCCATTTTTACCGCAAGGATTTAATGTGATGTTGATGGTAAGTGACATGATCACTGAAAACAGATGCCATATGGAGTCTTATTGATTGATGTGCAGATCTCTGACAGCAGAAGCACAGGTTGTCAGTTTGCCTTCATGGTTGTCTTCCTGAGATCTAGTCAGGAAAGGCTCATCTTCATTGCAAATGCTGGAACGTGAATCACGCTGACAGAAGAAGACAGGGTTCTTCTAGTGGCCTTTTTATTTCAAAGTATAAGCAACAGGGGGAAATTTCTCTAGAGGTGGGACTCAGGAATTTTGAAATCTCCCTTCACAAAGTCTCATCTTTAAATGAAAATTTCCTCTTAATAGTTCACTAGGACCTGGCTTTTTGTTTTTGTTTTGTTTCGTTTTGCTCAAAACAATGTTTTGTTATCCTTTTAGACAGTTGCTATTATCTTTAAAGAGTTTGCCATCTTTCCAGATCTATGTGTGACAACTTTGGTTAACTTGGGGTTTTGTGGAATGAGGGATTACAGCCCCTCGTGCTTTTGTGTGAGTTTAGATGATGGTATAGTCCAAAGAGATAACACGACTTCACCATGTGTAGTAAAACAGGGACTGACTTAAATTAGGAAACCTCACAGGAGGCAACTAGAGGAGCCCCTTCCCCTGAACTGAGTTTGGGAGACATATGCAGTTTGCTTTTAATTGGTGTGGTCTGATCAAGCAAATCAATTGAATGAAATATTTACAAGCTCTAGAGTGAATGATATTCTTTAGACTCTCAAAGAACGATATATATAGTTAGCTACTAATTATGTGTGATTCTGTAAAAAAAAAAAAAGCACTTGGCAACAACATCAGAAATTATGGCATTGGATAACGTGATGTAATGTTAGGGCATCGGAAGCCAAAGCCCTTACATACTTTATTCCAATGGTAGATTCTAATTATATTTTCTGGATTTGTTTTTGATCAATTAGCTCATATTATGTTTGTTTTAACAGTATTTATTATTTTTAATAATATTTATTAGAGATTTTTCTACTATAAAAGCAATACATATTTTTTCATTAAAAACATGCATAATATAAGAAAAACCACCCATATTTTTATGCCCCAAAGACAACCAACATATTTTTCTGTGCATGGGTTTTTACGTTTTTAAAAAACATACCATATATACAATCCTATATTCTGCTTTTTAAACTTCACATTGTCACATAAAAAATGTTTGGTGTTAAATTCTTCTTAATTTCCTTTTATTAGCCTACAGTGGTAATTATCAAATGAATATACTATGGTATTGTTAGCTATTCCCTTGTTGATGTTTATCACTTTATCATGAGTACTACTGCAATGAACACTTCTCTGCAAACTTGTGTCTCTGCATCTTGGTTTACATTTATATAATTGGCTACCAGAGATAGAATTATTAGATTATTTTATAAGAACATTTTAAAGGCTCTTGATAGAAATTGTGCGTTTTCCAGGACGATTGTTTCAGCTTACACTCTCTAACAGAGCACGATCCTGTTCATTTCATGGCTCAATCACATGGCTGATTTCTGAAACTCTCTTGAGATTTCATGAGGCACAATGGAATTTGGAAGGAGATGTGGCTGCTGTTTGATCTCTTCCATAACTCTCCTTAACACCTCTCTGTCCAATTTTCTTCATTATGAGATTAATTACAAAATATCTCGCAAAACTGTTGTGTAAAAAAACCCAGTAAAAATAGATGGAAGATAATTCATAATTTAAAAATACTTCTTAAGTACCTGCTGTATGTGGGATTATGATGAATACAATTTTTTTTGATGGGGGACACCTAACAAATTTTAATTTTCCCCAGACGATAGTTGTTTAGGGAATGAGAGGATGAAAAGCTTTGGTCAGGGAATTAGGAGACGCATTCTCGATCTGGCTCTTTCACTAACTTGCTGTGTGACCTTGGGTAAATTACTTAACCTCTTCGGGTCTCTGTTACTTCATCAAGGATGGCATTGGATTTAACCAGATTATCACTAAAGTGCTTCTGACTCTAAGATTCTTTGATACGATCAGAACCATTTTTTCAGAAAAGAATGAATCTTCTAACTACTCCTCCTTTCAAAATCCAAATGGAGAGTGCATACAATATTTATTTCCAAAAACTTTCAGTGAGTGCAAATCTGTATTGCTGTACTGGGGTAACTTTCATGTTTTATCCAGACTTTTCTTTAAAGAAATATCATGACCTTTTCCTGATCTTTTTGTCAGTTAAACAAAAGCAGATGAAAGTTGTAACAAAGAATCCTTTAAAAATACAAATATACTGCAGAATGTGCCAAATTATACCCTAAGCTATGTAGTGTAATGGTCACTGGTTTCAGTGGGAATTTCACACAAATCTTTGAAATCAGAATTTGAGGCTTGTAAATACAGCACAAAAGATATCCTACTCTGAGCAAATAGCATCACTTTATCTGGGCTGCAACGAACACTTTGTTTATTTCATTTTTGTATCTACTCTAAAATACTGTGCTAGCAAGGAAAAAAATTATGTATTATTTCCTACAGAATATTTAGCTAGACGTGTTCTTTAAGTTTTGCGGCCAGGTGCAATGGCTCACACCTGTAATCCCAGCACTTTGGGAGGCCGAGGCGGGTGGATCACAAGGTCAGGAGATCAAGACCATCCTGGCTAACACGGTGAAACCCTGTCTCTACTAAAAATACAAAAAATTAGCCGGGCGTGGTGGCGGGCACCTGTAGTCCCAGCTACTTGGGAGGCTGAGGCAGGAGACTTGAACCCGGGAGGCGGAGCTCACAGTGAGCCGAGATCACGCCACTGCACTCCAGCCTGGGTGACAGAGCAAGACTCTGTCTCAAAAAATAAATAAATAAATAAAATAAAATAAGTTTTATTGAGATATAATTCATATACCATAAAATTCACTCTTTTTAAGGTATACAGTTCAGTGGTGTTTAGCATATTCAGGGTTCTACCACCATTACTAGAGATATGTGTTAAATACATAAAATGAAAATATCTGGACAGTGTAACTAGTGCTTGTTTCTGTTTTTGGATCTGGTATTATGTATAGGCCCTTTATTTTCTATTCAATACCTTGTTTGATTGTAAAAATTTAAACCATTCAGAGTTAATAAACAATTGGATATATGTTATGGGCACAGTTTTTGTTTAATTTGAAATCTACCATCTACCAAATCCTACTTGGAAATATTTTGTTTATATAACAAAAATAATAGTAAAATGTGTGTTTGGTGGTTTTATAATACAATGAAAGATGAGTAAGATGCTTGCAAAAGTTTATATGTTTCTGAATGTATTTTAAGTATTTAGAGTTATTTGAAATTTATGCTTCCCTCTATAGACATAATTCTAATGGATAATTAAAAATATCATGCCCAGAGAAAAATACCTGAAGATGACAGAAGGATAATAATTGTCTTTTCTCTTCAAGGCAAGGAAAAAAACCTGCTTATATCTTGAGAAAGCATAGGTATGATTCAAAGCAATAAGTAATAATTATTAAGATATTTCTATTTTATCCCGAGTATTTCAAAGGATTGATTATGAGCTAACTAGATTTTTCTGCTTAACCTTTTGCTTTGCAATAAAATTGCTACCAATTTTTTCTTAACTATTTTATAAACAAGCTGAAAAACTTGCTTCTGTACTGAATGACTTTCTAGTAATATGTACTACCAAAGCTATAAAAACATAAAGCTACCATTTTTAATTTAGATTTTCTCCATAACACTAAATAAGCTTTCCAATTTGACATCTCATTTTTCTTCTCTAGTCCATCTCTTAGGAGCTAAATGGGTTGTCACAAATTATTCTCCTACTATTCCATTTGAGAAATTGATACCCATTTTACAGATAAAAATTTGAAGTAAACCTCTCACTAGAGAGGTAAAAAGAGGAGACTAATGTTCTTGCAAGGACCTCAGTACAGATCTGAACAATAAGAATCTCTAAGTGTCTGCACAGATTACTTGAGATGACTTTGAATAAGTCACTTAACCCTTACATAACTTATTTTTCTCATCTGCCAAATGAGAGAAAAGAGTGGTTTAGTTATATGGCTTACGATGACCGAAAGTAGTTGTATAACATCAAGTAATTGTGTATGTTCTGTTGCTGGGAAGGATATCAACACACTAATATTTTTAATATAACCTATACATTTCCTGTGGTATTTTTATTCACATTTGGGAAACTAGTCAAACTCAATGTAAAATACACTGAGATGCTATGAAGGTATAAATAAGATAATTCAGATGATGATATTTTAAGGAGATTATGAACATTGATTTTTATTATTTTGTTCTTTGATGAGAATTGAGATATAGGAGGAGCAAACTTAGCTTGCGGAACATAAGATGACTCATAATGAGACAAGAAAAATTTTTTAAAAAGTGTGGGACAGAAGAGATCAAATGCTTCGCTGAAAGAAAACAAACTTGGAAACAAGTTAAAGATGGAAATGGTAGACATGTGTTTCATTTTTGTGAAATTGGTTGGTTATTTCTGGAAGGGTTGCGTGTTTTATAAATGCAGTTTATGTATTGGTTGGATGCTAATTGTTCAACCAGAAAAAAAAAATTTTCTAGAAAAAAGACTGATGCCCTCTGCTGTTATCTTATTTTCTTCTGCCTCTGTCAGAACAGAGGGAAAGGGCAAAACCCAAGGCAAAGTGGTCAGAGGGCAATCCTGTGAGTGACATTTGAAGCCAGCACCCCGGGGGCTGAATTACCTGCCTATGAATGACTGTGCCACAGCTTCACCCAACTGCCCTCTGAAGTGAGTTCGTAGCATCATCCAAGTACATGAACATCATTCTTTTGAAAAAGTTCCTGTAGTAATACCATCTAGAAATGTGTGCCATGGAACTTCAGGAAAACTCATATCAAGTGGAAGCATCTTCTGTATGAAATTTCTCTTGAACTGAAACTAAAATGGGTTCCTTTGGTAACCGGGAGAAATGTCTGCCAAAAATTCTTTTGGCACTAACGAGTACGTCCCTACTCAGGAAAGCAACTTGAAAGACCATTTAAAACGTGTGCTGGCTGGCCGGGCCTAGGATCAGTATTTGTTCAGATTATCAAAACATATGGAAAGTCCTGGCTGCAGATGGCAGCATCACACTAATGCATCCTTTCCAAAGCCTCCCAGGGCTGATGTGTGAGAAAGAGCCATAAAAGCTCTTTGGTGCCCGGAGGACTACAGTTCACTCACTTTAAAAAACAGCCAGAAGTTTTCATTTTTGGGAGTGAAAACTTGCCTCGACTCTGCAGGCATCCATTTCTAAAGTCGCTGTGATCAGACTTATTTGTGGGGCTTGGGAGACAGACACGATGAATGTGTATTTTATTAAAGCTCAATTGTAGGGCCCTTGAAAACACAGATTTGTCAGCATTTCACATTAATAGGCTTTTTATTTGTTTGTTTTTCTTCCTGATTTATAGACAGCACCCCATTATAGAGGCAATATATCTTCATTTAAATAACTTTCAAGTTATTTATGACTGGCAAGGACTTTGAGGCTGGGGTGTTTTACTTTGTTTTATTTTTATTAAGAAGTTCATTCTGGTTCTAGGGATAACAGTAGAAATAAAAGCAATTTAACAGAGTTCCCTGGATGATTGAAATAATCTGAGTTAATTGCATGACGGATCCAAATTTTTCAGGAGAATGTTTTCATTTCCAGCTATATTCTAACTTAAATTTATAATGAAAATGATACGTATCAATAAATGATGAAAGCTCATTATGTGACAGATACTATGTAAGACTCTTTTATGTCCTATTTCATTTAACTCTTGCTACACATCCATAATTATTCTCACTTTGCATCTGAGGAAGCAAGGGCAAAGAGAATCAGTGACTTGCCCAAGATCTCACAGCTCATGATGGTAGAGCCAGGCTGAAACGCAAGAGTTTTCATAAGATCAGTTCCTTCAGAGCCATGCCAGCTTCTTCTCTGAGGAGAAAGACAGGCTAGTAAGTAGGGCAGGAGAGCTTCAAGACCGAAAGTGGATGTGACTTGTAAGCACTTGAAATGGGTGGTGGGTGATTTTTAAAATTTGTTTGTTTCTTTATTCAACAGATACTTATCGAGTGTTTTGTATGTACCAGGCCCAGGATAGGAATGGAGGAAACACCAAGATCATCTATAATACACAGTTCTTGATCCTTTGTCATCCACAAGGGGAACCCAGCACACACACAGGTCATTGAAATATGGGGCACTCTGTCACTGCATTTAGTGCATTGTATTATACAACAACACGGGGACCCAGAGAAGGCAGACCTTACCTGGGGTAGAGGAGAAAAGAAGCATCCTGAAGGAGATGAGGCTTCAGTTGAGCCTGGTGAGCTAACCTGGCCTATTGGAAGGGATGGAGGAAGGGCATTCCAAACAGAGGGGCAGCAGAAACCAAAAACAGCATGGCATGCACCTTAAGTGTCAACCAGCTGCCACACTAAAGTGCACAATTTAGAAAAGAATTGTGTCAAGTTCAAAGGGAAGCATCAGAGTCACCATTCTCATCAACCCCTTAATTAACCTAAAAACTGTTATAATAATGCTAAATCTCAAGGTCAATTATACGGCACCCTCAACCACCAAAAGTATAGTGAAGAATCTGGGAGGGGAAAAAATACAAAAACTAACATTTATTGAATACTATTCATATCATCTCAGTCACTGATTCCCATTAACCCTGTGATGTTAATATTAATGTACCTTGGCCGGGTGCAGTAGCTTACACCTGAAATCCCAGCACTTTGCAAGGCTGAAACAGGTGGATCACTTGAGGTCCGGAGTTCGAGATCAGCCTGGCCAACATGGTGAAAACCCATCTCTACTAAAAATACAAAAATTAGCTGGGGGATGGTGGCGCACACCTGTAATGCCAGCTACTTGGGAGGATGAGGGAGGAGAATTGCAAGAAGTTAGGAGGCAGAAGTTGCAATGTACCTGTTCTATGATATGTCTTTACAATGCTAAGGAACTTGCTCATAGTTAAGCAACTAAGAAACGGCAGGGTCAGGGTTGAGACCCTGGTGACTCTAAAGCCCGCGCTCTTTTAATGGTTTCTTTCCTTATAGGACCCCCAAGAGGAGCATCTCAAAATCTGTGTACTGTGACTTTCTTATGCACTTTACCCATCAGAAAGTGCCTCAAACTCTAACTCCGGTGGTTTACTTTTATAAATCACAAAACTATTCCCATTGCCAAGTCCTCATCATCTCACATATTGATTAAAAATCAACCTCCCAGCTGGATGCGTGGCTCATGTCTATAATCCCAGCACTTTGGAAGGCCCAGGCAGGCAGATCGCTTGAACCCAGGAGTTCGAGACCAGCCTGGCCAACATTGTAGAAACGCCGTCTCTACAAAAAACACAAAAATGAGCCAGGCGTGGTGGTGCGTGCCTGTGATCCCAGCTACTTGGGAGGCTGAGGTGGGAGGATTGCAGTGGGAGGATTGCTGGAGCCTGGGAAGTTGAGGCTGCAGTGATCTGTGATCACACCACTGCACTCCAGCCTGGGTGACAGAGAGAGACCCTGTCTCAAAAAAAGAAAAAAAGAATTAACCTTTCAACTCCCTCTGTCCTCAGTCTCACCACTACCAGTTCAGTTTTTTCCTAAAATAGAACTAATCACATCATTTTCCAAACAAAAATCTTTACTGCCTTCCAGTTGCCTTCATAATAAAGCTCAAACTTCTTAGCATAGTACTGTGTTCATGGCTGTTCTCTTAACCCTGCGCTCATCTGTCTGTTTCTCTCCTTTTTATTTTTATTTTTTTTATTTTTTGAGACCAAGTCTTGCTCTGTCACCCAGGCTGGAGTGCAGTGGTGTGATCTTGGCTCATTGCAACCTCTGCCTCCCAGGTTCAAGCGATTCTCCTGCCTCAGCTTCCCGAGTAGCTGGGATTACAGGTGTGTGCCACCAGGCCCGGCTAATTTTTGTAATTTTAGTAGAGACAGGGTTTCACCATGTTGGCCAGGCTGATCTGGAACTCCTGAGCTCAAGCAATCCACCCGCCTAGGCCTCCCAAAGTACTGGGATTATAGGCTGAGCCACAGCGCCTGTTCATCCCACTACCTTTTACCATGACTGTAGTGACACTGGACTACTTACTGTTGCCTGAATATGGTATGTTCTGTTTCCCTAAAATGTACTTCCTATCCTTCTTAATCTGACAGGATCTGACAAAATTCAATTAATCTTTCAAGGCCTAGTTTAAATGTCACATCCTCTATGAAACCTTCTCCTATCTCTTTGCATTAAATGAATGTTCTCTTCTTTATACTCCCATGACATGATTCCCACCTTTATTAGCATATTTATCATTTTGTTTTACAATGAGCTGTGTATGTGTACACCTGTTGAATTGAGAGTGCTGTCATACTCACCATCCCGTATGAAAGTCACTTGCAATTCCTCATAAGCCAAAATAGTAGACACTCAAAGTGCTTATTGAATGAATAAAACCCACTTATCTGAATTCACAGAGGTATTAAAGATAATGAATTAGGAAGGGAAAAATGAGATTGCAAGTATGACAGGCATGCTGATTGTAGGGCAACATACAACTCTTAGCAAGAGAAGGATAGCCACATAAAACATAAATAATCAAAAATACCAGTTTGGGATTATTTGCTTTGAAGTTAAATAACCCATTTATTTTGGTAGACCTTGAGGTGGCATTGTTACTGCACAATACAATTGATACTAACAGTAATGACCCAGTATCACTATGAAAGCATTTACAATTTGTTGTACAGAGTGTGTACATCCTTATTCATGGTGGCATGAGGATTATAGCTCAATGTAATAAAATTGACAGTACAGAAATAAGCCCATGTGTCTATAGTCAATGGACTTTTGAAAAAGGTGCCAAGACCATTCCAATGGGGAAAGAATAATCTTTGCAATAAATGGTGCTGCGACAACTGGATATCCATATGCCGGAGAAGTTGGGTCCCTACCTCACACCATATATTGAAACAAACTCAAAATCGATCAAAGACCTAATTGTAGGATCTAAAACTATAAAACTCTTAGAAGAAAACTTAGGTGTCAATCTTTATTACCTTGGATTTAGCAATGGATTCTTAGATATGATACCAAAAGCACAAGCAACAAACAAACAAAAAATAGATAAATTGGACTTTATCGAAGTTAAAAAACTTTGTACATCAAAGGACAGTATTAAGAAAGTGAAAAGGCTGGGCACGGTGGCATATGCTTGTAATCCCAACACTTTGGGAGGCCATAGCCTGGGCAACATAGGGAGCCCCCATTTCTACAAAAAACAAGAAATAAATTAGCTGGGTGTCATGGTAACACGTGCCTGCAGTTCTAGCTACTTGGGAGGCTGAGGCGGGAGGATCACTTGAGCCAGGTAGGTTGAGGCTGCAGTGAGCCATGATCACACCACTGCATTCCAGCCTGAGCAACAGAGCAAGACCTTGTCTCTCACACACAAAGCAACAACAACAAAAAAAAAAAAAAAAGAAAAAAAGAGAGAGAGAAAAAAAGAAAGAAAAAAAAGAAAAAAAGTGAAAAGGCAACCTAAAGAATGAAAGGAAATATTCGCAAATCATTTATCTGATAAGGATCTAGTATTCAGAATATATATTTTAAAAAATCTTACCTTGCAGCAACAACAACAACAAACCCAATTAAAAAATAGGCAAAGGACTTGAATAGGCAGTAGCCAATAAGCACATGAAAAATACTCAGCATCACTTGTTACTATGGAAATGCAAAGCAAAACCACAAGGAGGTACCACTTCACACCCACTGGGATGGGTATAATTTTTAAAAAACAGAAAATACAAGGGCTAGTGAGGGTGTGGAGAAGTTGGAACCCTTGTGTATTGCTTCTGGGAATATAAAATGGTGCAGCTGCTGGGGAAAGCAGTTTGGCAGTTCCTCAGAAAGTTCTAGAATTTCCATGTGATCCAGCAATTCCGCTCCTAAGTACCTACCCAAGAGAATTGAAAATATGTAATCAAACAAAAAATTGTACACAAAACTTCATAGCAGCATTATTCATAACAGCCAAAAGATGGAAACAATTCAAATGTCAATCAACCAATGAGTGGATTTTACAGATGTTAACATTTTGGTATACTGGCTTCAGCAAATTTGGTGTGTATGAATCTGTCCCGTTTATTTTTATATATTTATAACATATTTGAATTTATAAACAATATGTAATATTGCTTTACATAATTTTAAAATTTTTGGCTGAGTGCAGTGGCTCATGCCTGTAATTCCAGCACTTTGGGAGACCAAGGCAGGCTGATCACCTGAGGTTAGGAGTTTGAGACCAGCCTGGGCAACATAGTGAAATTCCGTCTTCACAAAAAATACAAAAATTAGCCGGGTGTGGTGGCTCGTTCCTGTGATCCTGGCTACTCAGGAGGCTGAGGTAGGAGGATCACTGGAGCCCAGGAAGTCGAGGATGCAGTGGGCCGTGATTGCACCACTGCATTCCAGACTGGGTGACAGAGCAAGACCCTGTCTCAAACAAACAAACAAACAAATTCTATAAAAGACATCATACCTATCTCACTGTATTTTGCTTTCTTTCTTCAATATTTTAAATATATTGTAAAATTGTTATGTAATTGTAAGCCATCAAAAGACTTTCACAAATGTCTCATAACTTGATCTCCCTCCCTTGATTGTCCTGCCATCTCCAGTACAGCCCTGTTTAATTATTTGAGCAGTTGAAAATTCTAATAATCAAGGTCATATGTGACATAGTCATAATGCCTTCTGCATGTTTTTCTGTTACAACCGGGATTATAGAATTTAAGCTATAAGACACAAAGCATTAAAAAGTATTGGCAGGATCATAAACATATTTAGTATGTACACACTAAATCTGTAGATATTTAGTATCATTAGGTCAGAACTTACAACAGTTGTATTCTCAGACCAGTCCTTAGCCTTCAACAATATTTGCTTAAGAAACTAATTTTATCAAGGGGAAGCGTAGGTGTTTGACAGTTTTATATATGCTTCAGGTACCCCCATTCACCCCCCAAGTATAGCTACTTTTCATAACCTGTGGACTTCACAAAGGCAACCTCTCTTTTGATGCAGACTGGACATTTGTTCTGGCCTCGAGCGTGACGCATGTCCCTGATCCTCTCCTTTCCTACGTTCCTACTTTTAGTGCTCGACGTTGTCAATTACAAGGCCTCAAAGATTGACTTGAGGTCTGGCTCCAATTAGTATTCTCTGGCACCTGAGCCATTAGGTTAGCAATTCGTTTATGCATCTTTCAGGCTAAATGCACCTCATGACCTCACTCATAACAGTATTTCCCTGGGTGGTATTTCTGTTGTTGATCTTTATGCTTAAATACAGGTTATTATTTTTCCCTGTGAATCACTATGTCCACATAGGTGTGGTTGGTTAGGTAAACACAGAGGAGATACATGAGCTAAAGCTGAACCTGTAGAAACATTCTATTTTCAGTGGTTGTAGTAATGACTTGCACATTTGTAATATCTCTTTTTGGCATTTTTTTGTCGTGGGTATTGAGTCTGGAAGTAAAAAAAACGGAGATAGGTGGAGGTTGGTGAGGAACGCTTCCCACCAACAGATCAAGACATCTAAAGGCCTGGCACAGTGGCTCAGCCCTGTCTTCCTAGCTCTTTGGGAGTCCCAAACAGGAAGATTGGTTGAGCCTAGGAGTTTGAGACCAGCCTGGGCAACATAGTGAGACCCCCATCTCTACCAAAAAAAAAAAAAAAATTAACGGGGTATGGTGGCATGTGCTTGTAGTCCCAGCTACTTGGGAGGCTGGGGCGGGAGGATGGCTTGAGCCCAGGAGTTTAAGGCTGCAGTGAGCGGTGATGGCGCCCTGCACTCCAGCCTGGACAACAGAGCCAGACCCTGTCTTTTTTTTTTTTTTTTAAAGACATCTCAGGTATAGGTTTGCTTTTGAGTAACAAAAATGCACATGAAACACTTAAAAGAAAACAAAGTTACCTCTTAAAGATAGTTCTCAGGTAGATTAGTAACCGTAACTTTGTAATACCTTCCAAAATGTGTTTCTTCTTTGAACTTCTAATTGAAATGAAACCTGGTTTAATTAGCATGTGGCTTCTTGTCTCAGAGATCAACACTTTTAAAAACCAGGTAGAGAAGTCAATTTCAATGTTAATCTAGGGTGTTTGAAATTCCCTTTAGCTTTAAAATGTTTCAAAATATCCAACCTATCAGATCTATAGAAAAACAGATGTTTGTTAAGGAACTTTTCAGCTTGTTTTCACTTCATTTTCATTTTTAGTTTGCATAGACAAAATAGTTCCTAGTGGTAATTGTTTCCAGTGAAAAGAAGTTCAAGGCAAATTGAAAATATTTTTTGAATGAGCTCAAGCGATTTACAATTTATGTAGAATGCAGTATTGCTCATTCTGTACTCTTACTCATAAGTGATATTGTTTGATCATTGTTAGCATGTTAGGTACAAGATCAATGATTTTTGCTTGATAATACCTTGTACTTAAAAGTGTTTTTAGTGTTTATTTATCCTCTGGTTTTAATGTGGTGGAGTCATAATACATAAAAGAGAATATTCACTAGACCCATCTTTTGGGTTACACCCATTAACACAAAAGTTGTAATGTTTTCTAAAATGCCTTCATTTAATTGCCAACTATGCTGAACTTTTCACAAGTCACATCAATAGTGAGTCACTTAAATAAAAATTCACCAGTGTGTACAACAGAACAAAAGAAAGACGCAAAAGAAGTTTCAGCCTCTAGACAGATGTAGAATTTTCAAAAGGCACAAAGAGATAACTTTTTGTCGACTTCTCATCCTATAGAAGAGCTGTAAGAAAAATACTAAAGAGTCTAATACCTTGTAAACATTAATAGAAAACTAGTATTTCAGCAGGTGTGCCTGTTGCTTTTTATACTGAACACGGTAATCCTTTGATCATGTCTCTGAAAAGGTTTTCTTTCCCAGATATGTTGCAGCAACTTTTCTTAAAGGTATAGCTTCAGTTTCTGGAAATTTCTTGACATCTTTATTAGTTTTTGTTTTTTAAAAAAATTCCATAAAAGTAATTTGGAAAGTAATTATTTGCCACTGTGAGAATAATTGTTTTGCTTTTAGAATTTCTCCTGTTTAGATAAATTTACTAACATCTGTTAGCTATATCATACACTAAGATTAAGCTTTATTATAGTCAAAATTATACTTTTTCTTTTTTTTGTAAATGTTCCCAATTTCACTTTTATTTGTAATTTATTTAACATATAACTGTTTAAATTTTTTTTAATTTTATTATTATTATACTTTAAGTTTTAGGGTACATGTGCACAACGTGCAGGTTTGTTACATATGTATACATGTGCCATGTTGGTGTGCTGCACCCATTAACTCGTCATTTAACATTAGGCATATCTCCTAATGCTATCCCTCCCGCCTCCTCCCACCCCACAACAGTCCCCGGTGTGTGATGTTCCCCTTCCTGTGTCCATGTGTTCTCATTGTTCAATTCCCACCTATGAGTGAGAACATGTGGTGTTTGGTTTTTTGTCCTTGCAATAGTCTGCTGAGAATGATGGTTTCCAGCTTCATCCACGTACCTACAAAGGACATGAACTCATCCTTTTTTATGGCTGCATAGTATTCCATGGTGTATATATGCTACATTTTCTTAATCCAGTCTATCATTGTTGGACATTTGGGTTGGTTCCAAGTCTTTGCTATTGTGAATAGTGCCGCAATAAACATATGTGTGCATGTGTCTTTACAGCAGCATGATTTATAATCCTTTGGGTATATACCCAGTAATGGGATGGCTGGGTCAAATGGTATTTCTAGTTCTAGATCCCTGAGGAATCGCCACACCGACTTCCACAATGGTTGAACTAGTTTACAGTCCCACCAACAGTGTAAGAGTGTTCCTATTTCTCCACATCCTCTCCAGCACCTGCTGTTTCCTGACTTTTTAATGATTGCCATTCTAACTGGTGTGAGATGGTATCTCATTGTGGTTTTGATTTGCATTTCTCTGATGGCCAGTGATGATGAGCATTTTTTCATGTGTTTTTTGGCTGCATAAATGTCTTCTTATAAGATATTAACATAATAATTAAGCTTCACTACTCAACAAGTTTTTATAGTATGCCTATTACATACTCAAGACTGGGCCATGTACTGTGTTACATAAATATAAGAAAAGGTACTGCCTTCAAGGAGCTTACAGTTGATTTAATATTTGCATCTATTAATATAGTATTAGGATTATACATGTTTTTGATGTCAAAATTATAGCCAGGTAAATTGTCTACAATTGAAAAAGTTATTTTTTTAAAAAAACTATTAAATTGGTGATATATTACTGTGTATTATCATTGCAAACTGTATATATATATATTTTTTTTATTTTACTTTAAGTTCTGGGACACATGTGCAAAAAGTGCAGGTTTGTTACATACATATACATGTGCCATGGTGGTTTGCTGCACCTGTTGACCCGTCATCTAGGTTTTAAGCCTTGCATGCCTTAGGTATTTGTCTTGATGCTCTCCCTCCCCTTTCCCCCCACTGCCTGACAGGACTT
Source organism: Homo sapiens (assembly GCF_000001405.40). Taxonomy (NCBI): domain Eukaryota; kingdom Metazoa; phylum Chordata; class Mammalia; order Primates; family Hominidae; genus Homo; species Homo sapiens. Next base: position 61,565,566 of record NC_000017.11, on the reverse strand, counting down.
GGTGTGTGTTGTTCCCCTCCCTGTGTCCATGTACTCTTATTGTTCAACTCTCACTTATGAGTGAGAACATGTGGTGTTTGGTTTTCTGTTTCTGTGTTAGTTTGCTGAGAATGATGGCTTCCAGCTTCACGTATGTCCCTGCGAAGGACATGCTGCACATATGCACCATGGAATACCATGCAAACTGTTTTTAACAGTTTCACTTTTCACCAGGTTTTGTCAGTGCCCTATAGACATAGCCTAAGGGCAAACCTCACCATCCCTACTACTAATGCTAATTCAAACGTCCATTCTAGTTTGCTTCCCAGCTGGGCATCCTGCCCGTCTCTAACCTTGCCTTCTCTTACCTCTGTTATCCACACTGCCCCGGAAACAATCTGCCTAACACTTCCTGCTCAAAAGTCTTGGTGGCTTTTCATTACCAACTGAATAAAGTCCAAGCTCTTTAATATGCATGTAAGAGGTCTTCCCCTCCCACCCCCCATGTCTTGCTCAATCTTATCTTCTGCATCTCTCCTTCTGCTATAGAATTTGATGCTCTAGCAATATTGGATTTTTTTAAAAAAGACTGTTACATACACACAACATGCTGTTTCATACCTTTGATGTCTTTTTTCCTCATTGTGTTCCCTCTGCCAGCATGGCCCTTCCCATCTTTGCCTGGATAATTCTTCCTCATTCTTTAGGACCAATTCAGGCATCATTTTCTCTAGAGGTTCTAGGTTGAAGTTAAAAGTCCCACCAGGCGTGGTGGCTCACACCTGTAATCCCAGCCCTTTGGGAGGCCAAGGCGGGTGGATCACTTGAGGTCAGGAGTTGGAGACCAGCCTGGCCAACATGATGAAACCCCGTCTCTACTAAAAATACAAAAAATCAGCCGGGCGTGGTGGCGGGCACCTGTAATCCCAGCTACTCAGGAGGCTGAGGCAGGAGAATCACTTGAATCTGGGAGGGCGGAGGTTGCAGTGAGCCGAGATCGTGCCATTGCACTCCAGCCTGGGCAACAAGAGTGAGACTCTGTCTCCAAAAAAACTCTCTATTCAGCATATTATATTGAGATTATGCATGTATATATAGAGGACATATCTTCATTTTTGTATCATCAGTGGAGCTGAACAGAATGCATGTATTGGTAGGTCTTTTTAAGTAAACATATATAGTTCAGTAGGTATATTTTCCTGTTTACAACTTTACTACTTTTTAGCAGAGTGCCATTGGGCAAATCTTTGAAACTGTTTTTTAAATCTTTTTTTTCTTTCTTTCTTTTTAGATGGAGTCTCACTCTGTCACCCGGGCTAGAGTGCAGTGATGCAATCTTGGCTCACTGCAACCTCTGCCTCCCGGGTTCAAGCAATTCTCCTCCTGCCTCAGCCTCCTGAGTAGCTAGGATTACAGGCACCCACCACCATGCCCAGCTAATTTTTGTATTTTAGTAGAGATGGGGTTTTACCATGTTGGCCAGGCTGGTTTTGAACTCCTGACCTCAGGTGATCCACCCGCCTTGGCCTCCCAAAGTGCTGGGATTACAGGCATGAGCCACCATGCTCGGCCTTTTTTCATCTTTAAAATAAGGTAATGGCTCATAGTACTGCTATAGCACAAGTATTCTTCTAAGTATTTTGCATGTGCACGCAACAATGCTCTGAATGTTTATAGCAGCATTATTCATAAGTGCCAAAAATTGAAAGTAAGCAAGACTTTCAAAGGGTGAATGGATAAACTGGTACATCCATACAGAGGAATATTATTCAGCAATTACTGAAAAAGAACCAGGAGATATACGTATCTTCCACTCAATCTTACGGTGAAACTAAAACTACTGTAAAAAACAAACTCTGTTAAAAAAGAAAAAAAAAGAGCTATCAAGCCACCAAAAGACTTGGAGGTATCTTAAATGCGTATTGCTAAGTGAAAAAAGCCAGCTGAATGTATGATTCAGCCAGCTGTATGATTCTAACTATATCACATCTGGGAAGGCAAAACTGTAAGATGGTAAAAAGATCATTGGTTTCGCTGGAAGGAGGAAGGGGTTCACAGATGGAACACAGAGGATGTTTAGGGCAGTTAATCTATTGTGTGTGATACTGTAATGGTAAATGCATGACACTACGCATTTGTCAAAACCCAGAGAATTGTACAACAGAAAGAGTGAGCCCTAATGCAAACTATGAATTTTGATAATAATTGGTCAATATTGATTCATCAGTTGTAACAATGTATCACACTGGGTGCAAAATGTTAATAATAGGAGAAACTTTGTGCACCTGAGGCAAGTGGTATTCGGGACTCTGCACAATTTTTCTACAAACCTAACCATGATGCTATGCTGCCTCTCAAATATTACCATACATATTGTGGCCAGGCACAGTGGCTCATGCCTGTAATCCCAGCACTTTGGGAGGCCGAGGCGGGCGGATCGTGACGTCAAGAGTTCGAGACCAGCCTGGCCAACGTGATGAAACCCTGTCTCTACTAAAAACACAAAAATTAGCCAGGCGTGGTGGTGGGCACCTGTAATCCCAGCTACTCAGGAGGCTGAGGCAGGAGAATCCCTTGAACCTGGGAGGTGGAAGTTGCAGTGAGCCGAGATTGTGCCACAGCACTCCAGCCTGGGTGACAGAGCAAGACTCCGTCTCAAAACAAACAAACAAACAAACAAACAAATATTGTCTGTGTGTCCTCACTAGAGGTGAATTTTGTCACGAAAACCTTCCCACTTACATCGCTTGTGTCTGAAACTATATTTGCCTTAATCAAAGCGGGTTTATTGGCTGGGGATGGTAGCTCACAACTGTAATCTCAGCACTTTGGGAAGCCGAGGCAGGAGGATCATTTGACCCCAGAAGTTCAAGAACAGCCTGGACAACATAGGGAGACCCCATTTTTACAAAAAGTAAATCATCAGCTGGGCATGGTGGCATGTGCCTGTGGTCCCAGCTACTCAGGAGGCTGAGGTAGAAAGGCTCACTTGAGGCTGGGAGAACGAGGCTGCAGTAACTTATCATTGCACCCCTGTACTTCAGCCTGGGCAACACTGCAAGACCTGTCTCAAAGAGAGAGAGGGAGAGAGAAACAACTCCTCCCACCGCAAAAACAAACAAACAAACAAACAAACAAGCAAACACAAAGTGGGTTTATTCCAGTTGGAACCAAAGGAAAGTGTTACAAAGCAAAATATACCTGTCATGCAAGTGAGGACGTTCAGGATTGGCACCTATAAATAACCTGGTAGCCTCCTTAATACGCATGGGTTTAACAATAGAAGCACACACATATACTGAAGGTACATGTGTACATATATGAATGCTGTAATCAGTATAAGAAACCAATGAAAAAATTGATTGTGATTTAGAAGTTGAAGCATCCAGTTTCTTATTAATTCATTACTTTTTAAATAAGAAATTCCAGAATTACATCCTCTTCTGAAGAATTACAGCATGCGAATTACAGCCAGAGATATTTTTTAAAGTCTTAAATTGGGAACCACAGCTTAGCGGAAATAGGGAGATATGAGTTCCAAACGTCCTGACTGTGGGGAGGTTAGGTGAGAAAATAGAGTGATTTCATTTTAGTGCTGGTTTGTAACATTTAATTTCCTTTTATAAAAGTAGTTTGACCTTTGTGGAACACGGGAAATGTAAAGGGACTGAAAAAAAGACCCAAGGGTTCTTTCCCACCCTTCCAGAACCGTCTTCTCCAAAGGTCCTTAGAACAGACCACCTGTTTTAGCATTACTCAGATGGATGGGCTTATATCTTCTAACAGCAAAAATGCTAAATGAGGGAACTGCAGGATAATTGTGTCCTTAGCAGCTATGTACTTGGCATAATCTGGCATGTTTACCTAACAGCTTGCTGTGTGCTTAATATGTGAAGTTCCTTTTCATGGCTGTTTGCTTCTGTTGGACTGTATGTGTTAAAAATAATATAAGGTCAAATTCCATAGGAAAGCATGGTTCTGATTGAATTTCCAGTCCCCAAATCTGGACCTAAGCCAGTAGGATCTGGGAATGTGGCAAGGATGGTATGCCCTACATTGCAGCACTCAAAAGTGACTAGTTAGGGTGATTAACTAGTGACGAGGATAGGTTTGGAGAGGTATTCCAACCAGACTGATTAGCAAGTGGTCAGATGGGACAGGAACGTGGGTAAAATACATTCCCCCTGTCTGGAAGGGAGCTAAAAGAATGCCCTGGAAAAAGATGAAAAGATAAGTCAATATGTGTTCTTAAAAGTTATTTGAGTTAAAAAGTCCAAGCCCTAAATCTAAGTATTTAGCCATATAATTTTGGGGCAGTTATAGGTAATGTTGCCTTTAAGCCCATTTTGACTACAAACTAAGAATGAAAATCTGTTTTTTTTTTTTAAAAAAGCTCTATGATGTCCCTAATACTACATTAGTCTAAATTTAAGCTCTGAAAGGATCAGTTTTGTATCTTTTTAATTTCCTTTGTAAAATACCCCACAAAACACATGTCTGCATGCTGACACTTTTGGAATTAGTTATTGTACAAACAATCTGTCCAAGAAGATCACTCTTAAAAAATACATTGTGATTGTTGTTTTTGTTTTGTTTTGTTTTTGAGATGGAGTCTCGCACTGTCACCCAGGCTGGAGTGCAGTGGCGCGATCTCGGCTCACTGCAAGCTCCGCCTCCCAGGTTCGCACCATTCTCCTGCCTCAGCCTCCTGAGTAGCTGGGACTACAGGCTCCCGCCACCACGCCCGGCTAATATTTTCTATTTTTAGTGGAGATGGGGTTTCACCGTGTTAGCCAGGATGGTCTCGATCTCCTGATCTGGTGATCCACCCGCCTCGGCCTCCCAAAGTGCTGGGATTACAGGCGTGAGCCAGCGCACCCGGCCACATTGTTTGATTTCTCCAACAATCAAGATGTTAACCATTGCTCGGTCACCTTCCTACTCAATTTTTATCTATGGGATTTTGGTAATCACTTGTATTTCTATTCTCGAACCCTTTCTTTCAGTCTTCTTCCTGGAGGCTTTTCTTGCCTTTTGAGCTTAATGAAATCTTATTCATTTTTTAAGGTGCAGCTTACAAAAGATCTCCTACCGGAAATCTTCTCCATTCTCCATCCTCCATTCTTCCCAAGCAAAATTCTTCCCCCTATTTCACGGTTCTACAGGACCTAGTACTGTGTCTACTAACCATACTTGTCACATTATGTCATGGTTAGCATGTTTTTATGATTCTCTCAAATTAATTGTAAGCTTCTTGAGGACAAGAATCATCTTCTTTTTCCTGGAACACCTAATCCCCATGCTCAAGAAATCAGCATAAATGCTGAGTACAGTGGCTCACACCTGTAATCCCAGCATTTTGGGAGGCCCCAGGAAGGCGAATCACTTGAAGCCAGGAGTTCAAGACCAGCGGCGTGGTCAACATGGCGAAACCCTGTCTCTCCAAAAATATACAAAAATTAGCTGGACGTGGTGGCACATGCCTGTAGTATTCTCAGCTACTCTGGTGGCTGAGGTGGGAGGATCGCTTGAACCCGGGAGGTGGAGGTTTCAGTGAGCCGAGATTGTGCCTCTGCACTCCAGCCTGGGTGACAGAGACAGACCCTGTCTCAAAAAAAAAAAAAAAAAAAAAAAAAAAGAAAAGGAAAGAAAAAGAAATTAACATAAAGTCTTACACGTGGTTGGCACTTAAATGTTTTTTGTTTTTTTTTTTGAAACCAAAGAATCAAAAATAGAAATTTTTCTCTGAGGGGAAGAAGCATTTTTCCACACATTCTCTTGCTCTGTTATTGAACTGGGCTTTCTATTTTCCCATGTTCCCCAACAATGTGGATATGAGCTTCCCCCCTTCATATCTGCAAATTTGTTTATCAGTTTCTCATTGTGGAATTGGACATGTTCCTTCGAATCCATTTACTTATTAAAAAAGTATGTGTTGACCATCTCCTATGGTGTGATGAAACTTTCATCAACATTAACTCTTCATTTTCTTAAAATGTTGATAAATAATATCTACTACTACCATCAATGGCATAGCATTTTATAGCTTACAAAACACTTTCAGCCAGACGTGGTGGCTCATGCATATAATCCCAGTACTTTGGGAGGCTGAGGTGGGCTGACCTCTTGAGTTCAGGAGTTCAAGACCAGCCTGGGCAACATGGCAAAACCCTGTCTTTACTAAAAAAGTAAAAAAAGGAGCCAGGTATGGTGGCACGTGCCTGTAGTCCCAGCTACTTGGGAGGCTGAGGTGGGAGGATCGCTTGAGCCTGGGAGGCCGAGGCTGCCATGAGCTGTGATCTCTCCAGTGCACTCCAGCTTGGGTGATGGAGTGAGACCCTGTCTCAAAAAAACAAAACCACTTTCACAGCCATCATTTCATCAAATCTTTTCAATATGTATGAAGTGGATATTATTATTATGTCAACTTTTAAGGCACTTCTTAGATTCTCAGCTAACTTTACTGAAAAATGCTTTCATTTCACCATGTTGAGTCATAAAATATAAGATCTCTAAGGGACCTTAAAGATCATTGAGTCCTATGCCTTCCTTTTACAGATAAAATAAACGGAGATAGTCTCACCTTAACAGATGACTATAATGAGATCTGGACGGGCAAAGTGACTTAAGCTGCGACATATTCCTTTTTTTTTTTTTTTTTTTTTTTGAGACGGAGTCTCGCTCTGTGGCCCAGGTGGGAGTGCAGTGGCGCAATCTCGGCTCACTGCAAGCTCCGCCTCCCAGGTTCACGCCATTCTCCTGCCTCAGCCTCCCGAGTAGCTGGGACTACAGGCGCCCGCCACCGCACCCAGCTAATTTTTTGTATTTTTAGTAGAGACGGGGTTTCACCGTGTTAGCCAGGATGGTCTCGATCTCCTGACCTCGTGATCTGCCCGCCTCGGCCTCCCAAAGTGCTGGGATTACAAGCGTGAGCCACCGCGCCCGGCCATATTCTTAATAAATATCAGAGTTTAAGTTGTAATAGAATCTGCCTTCTGAGTCCTATTTTGATATTCTAGCCACTACCCTAGTGCCTCTAGGACAAGAAGTTTGAGTAACCGTCACCCTCATTTTTGAGGAATTGTATTTATTCACTTTTCAGAAGGGTCAGTTCTGACACCGTTTTGCAAATCTGTTCTTGTCATTGTCTTCTTCCTGATTTGTATTCTTTTTTTCTCCTTTGCCTTCACTATCCGTAGTAAAACTTATGCATACCTACACCGTGCACACAACTTTTACCACATAATTTTTTCTTTCTGGAAGATTTCATCTATGTAGCTCACTAACCTTTATTTTTTCAGATCTTCCAGTTTCTTAACCTTTAGTTCTTGTTTTGAATATTCAGAGTTAGTTGGATAGTTTAATAACATTTACCCAGAGGTCTAATGAGAGTCCTGGGTAATATGATCATGTGGGCTTTGTCATCCAGTATTCCTCCTTTCTGGAGGATTCAGAGAATTTCAAACTGGAATGAATTCTTAAAGATACATGGTCTAATTCCTTTGTCTTACAGATGAGGAAAATGATCTCCAGTGAAAAGAAACTTGCCTAAAGTGATTTGGATTCTGGATCCAAATCTAGGATTCTAACCAAGGTCTTTCCACCACATTGTACTGCTTCTTGCCTGGAAATTAGATCTCTGGACAAGGGCAAGGGCATTGGCTGAGTACGGAAAAGGGAAGCCAAAGCATTTAACTTGATATAATAATAATATCCACTTCATACATATTGAGAAGATTTGATGAAATGGTGGCTGTGAAAGTGGTTTTGTTGTTGTTGTTATTTTGAGATGGAGTCTCGATCTGTCACCCAGGTTGGAGTGCAGCGGCATAATCTTGGCTCACTGCAACCTTTGCCTCCCGGCTTCAAGCAATTCTCCTGCCTCAGCCTCCTGAGTAGCTGGGATTACAGGTGCATGCCACATCGCCCAGCTAACTTTTGTATTTTTAGTAGAGATGGGGTTTCACCATGTTGGCCAGACTGGTCTCGAACTCCTGACTTCAAGAAGGTGATCTGCCTGCCACAGCCTCCTACAGAGCTGGGATTACAGGCATGAGCCACCGTGCCCGGCCTGTTTTGTTTTTTTGAGACAGAGTCTCACTCTGTCACCCAGGCTGGAGTGCAGTGATGAGGTCCCCAAATCAGACACTCCTAAACTGGTCAAAATTTTAAATAATTCAAAACTTCTGTTTATAAAAATTGACCTTAATTTGTAACTAAACCTGAGCAGCCTGGGAAACCTTATCTCCCTATTCCAATTTATCAAACTATTAGAAATATATTTTTTTCTGAATGAAAAGTGATCATTATGTGACAATTTTCTGGCACTTTATGCTATTCTATCTCTAAATGCAAGCCCTATTATTCATTTCTCGGTACATTATAAGGAAATACTGATAGTGCCTCAGCTGAAACTAGCTGAACTTAAAACATAGTATGTGAACCCTTTATAATTTATTAACGAGATTTGAGCATAGAGCCTGATATTTGTAAAATTTGGTCCTGTGAGACAGAGTCTTTGCGTTGATTTACAAAATATCTAGATTCAGACTGAAACTTTCCAGACTTGAGAGTGTTCACATTTTCGTAGCTCAATTGTAAATCATCTTTCATTTAGAAGATTTAAAGACAGACTCAAGATCTAAATCTTTTCAGTCACCTTCCTAACTAGGAACAGCCTCTAGATGAGCCTTATTATGGTTTTTCCTAACGGATTAGAACAAACAGTTTGATAATGTTCAAATAGAACAAATACTATCACAAGGAAAACAACATTTTCCTCCAAGAGTTAAATGTAAAATTAGGTGTCATTATAGGGCATTTGGAAGATGTTTGAAAGCATCTAGCCCGAGCAGGCCAAACCGCTCCACTGTAATGGGCAGCAAATCAAAACCAGAGTGGTAGGCTTGTTGTTCCTGTATTTGTTTTGCTTCATCCTGCTTGATTATTTTGGCAAAGTCAAGCTGAAACGGCAATGCTCTGAAGTTCTGTAAATTTAAGCTTTTAATTAGGTAAAAGATTCTTTTGCAGCTCTTGTTGGGTGCTCATTTTGTGCTTGGAATGCTTTATTCTCCATACGTTGGTATGTTTTGAAAACAGTTGTGGTGCTCCAAAAACCACGAAAACCCTCCTCCACAGAGCTTTCCTGAGTTTCACCCGCTTGGAGGTTGCTCTTGTAGGTGCCTGATGCATTTGAACATCTCTGGAATTTTCTGTATAGTTGCACTGTGAAAGTGAAACTCAACTCTTTTCCTTTGCTTAAAGTCAAATCTGATGAAAAGTTTTCTATTTAAAAATTATTTTAAAATTAAAAAACATTTTAAAATTAGCACTACCCATAAATAGTAGGTTTTTCCCAGAAGAGGGTCTTTTCTCCTTTCCTTTTTCACTAACATTTTCTCAAATGTTTAACTGATTTGCACATGTTTTTCTACCTGTGGTTTTAACTAAATAGAACAGAGGAGAAAAATAGTTATCAAATGATGGTACAAGACTGTGGCTACCTTTTTTTTCTTTTAAGCAAAGCAAATTTTATAGTTTTTAAGTTAATACTTTTCATTTAGATAAAACAATCTCGAAATGATATTCTCACATACTAGGATTTTTAAAAGGTTAGACTCTGCCTTACAAACTATTCATTTAAACAATGTAGGTCCAGTCCAAGTGATATAGAAATTAAAAAAATTTTAAAAACCAATATATGGTTTGAGAGGGAAGCCTTGATTCGAATCAAATTGGACAAGTGTGTGTAAGGAAATATATGTCATTTTTAGCATTTTTGGGTACAGTTAAAGGAAATTCCTAAGCCAGTTTCTTTCTGAAATAGTAAATATATTGTGTATAAATTAGTAACCACAGTTAGAGGATACTCTATTTGTTTTCAATTAGAATTGGGTCTGCTTTTAATCTGGAATATAACATTCATCTACATTATACAAAAAGCAGCCACTTTTATGAAAATGAATCCTAAAGTATGTGTGTCAATATTCAACTATTAAGGATGTCTACATGTTTTTCTATCTGTGTTTTTAAGTTAAAAAAAAAAAGAACAGGGAGAAAAATAGTTATCAAGTGACGTTACAGAAAAAAAAATTGCCACCCACAGATGATCTTATCGCACTGATTCTTGCGAAACAGGTGTCTGAACTGATTTGGGAGCTTTGGTTTTATTTTTGTCAGTATTTAATTTCCTGCCATGCAGCTGCAGTTGGTGTTATGAGATTTATGCGATTAAGTGTGCAAAATGACAAACAAGGCTGTCTGGTGCTCGTCTTCCCTCTTTAGTCAACTAATCACCTTTGGATTCTGGGCTCTGTCAATGAGTGAGTCTCTCACACCAGTAAGCCGCATTTATCAATCTAAACATTTGATCTGCACTGACCGCATTAGTTGGAGGAGAGGTCTAAGATAAAAGTTGCAGTTTGGATTTAGGTAGGCATTTTATAATCCCAGGTTGGAAGTAGGTTCCTTGGTTAAAGTAAGCGTCTTTCTTTCTGGTTACGGTGACACCACAGTCCTGCACATGCACTTCGGTTTAGGTGGGAATCACAGCAGTGATGCCAAGATTTAAAGCCTCAAGAGTGGTAAACTGGTCAAGACCATCTCATCTCGCAGTAATGAGGTTACTTGGAATTCAGAATCATTTATTCTTGGAAGCAAAATGTTCACGGTGAAGGCTCAAGGCTTATACGAAATCACTCTGAGCTGATTTTGGGTGCAGTGGATCACACCTGTAATCCCAGCACTTGGGGAGACCAAGGCAGGTGGATCGCTTGAGGTTTGGGGGAGTTCGAGACCAGTCTTGCCAACATGATGAAACTCCGTCTCTACAAAAAATACAAACATTAGCCGGGCGTGGTGGCATGCGTCTCTAATCCCAGCTACCTGGGAGGCTGAGGTGGGAGGATTGCTTGAACCCAGGACGCAGAGGTTGCACTAAGCCGAGATTGCGCCACTGCACTCCAGCCTGGGGGATAGAGTGAGACCCCATCTCAAACACACACACACACACACACACACACAGGGGATAGAGCGAGACTCCGTCTCAAACACACACACACACAAACACACACACACACAAAACCATCCTGACACCAGTACTACAGTTTGCATCTTTCCCTTGCCCTTTACTTGACACACTTGAGGGATTTGAGGTGATTAACAGCTCTCTGTGTTCAAGGTGATGCCTGCCTTCCTGCAGGTACTATCATCTTAGTGTATTAGTGTAGTAATGACTGGGATTTAGGTAACACTGTCTTAAGGAAGATTGCAAAGTATTTTATGCTTGTTATCTCCTCCCCTTGAAGCACAAGCCAGGATTGTTCTTTAGAGCATTCTGGTGGGGAAACTGAAACGCTATTTAGAGGAGAGGACTTGACCTCGGTCCCACAGATACACAGTGGGAGGTATTTTGGGTCTCTGATCTCCCAATTGCTAACCTGCTATTTCTTCAACTCGATTATCATTTCCTCTCCATTTTTCACAGTGAATAGGAGCCATTAGCTTTTACATTTCACTCCAAGATTTTGTTTTTTGCAACAACAAAATCTCTGGACGGTGGGAAAATACATTTATGTGTACCGGCTTGCATTTGTATCATAGCATATGGGTCTCTGCATATGGTTTGCCTTTTTTTTTTTTTTTTTTTTTTTTTCTGAGACAGAGTCTCTCTCTGTCGCCCAGGCTGGAGTGCAGTAGTGCAGTCTCGGCTCACTGCAACCTCCACCTCCCGGGGTTCAAGCAATTCTCCTGCCTCAGCCTCCAGAGTAGCTTGGATTACAGGTGCCCACCACCGGGCCTGGCTAATTTTTATATTTTTAGTAGAGATGGGGTTTCACTATGTTGGCCAGGCTGGTCTTGAAATCCTGACCTCAAGTGATCCACTTGCCTCAGCCTCCCAAAGTGCTGGGATTATAGGCGTGAGCCACTGCTCCTGGCCGGTTTGGTATATCTTTTTAACAAAACAGCGTGTGACAGGATGGCCTCACTCTGAGTCCTGGAAGGCGAGGCACAGGAGCTGATGAATTTTCTTTGTATGGAGGCCCAAATGCACAATGCTGCCATGTTGTGAATGTGATTGGATAGTGTAGAGATGATGTAGGCCTTCTTTATATTTGGGGCTTCGCTTTCTCTTGTTGCCAGCTTTCATAGGATCCTTTCCTTCACCTGTCCCCGGACCAAACCTCACAATTCACATATGACTGTGGGAGTTGACTAAACTCTTTGTAATTCTATAGAATCCTTTATACAAAGCTGATTACAGCTTTGGTGCTTTGTGTACGACCAAGCCCTCTAACACCCAATTTCTTTTGTCAACATAAATCCTAATTTGAGAAACTTTCTTGTGGTAAAAACACAATCTGATGAAGACATGAATTTGGTTTGACTCACATTTGGCTTGGAAATATGTTGTTGATAAAGGATCCCCCTTAAGCGTATTTTTCAACACAGATATTTCTCACTCTGAATTGATTTTTTATAAAGGGAAGGGAAAGGGAGAGAAGGGACATTAGGAATATTGAACATTCATTTTGTATCCGTCTCTGTCTTACATGTTTTCACAAATCTAACTTGATCAAACATTTTTTAAAAAATGTTATTTCTCCCATTTGAACAGAGGAGAAAATTGAGTGAGAGGTCAAGTAACTTGAACAAGTTCCTTGGTAATAAACTAATAAATAGCAGGACCTAAATTCAAATCCTAGCATGTGGGACAGTTACTGGCCAAGGTATACCAGAGAGGTGCTTGGGTCAATTCAAACACTAATAATGAGTGTCATGGAAGTACTGGAATTAAATCTCACTTAAAGATCAAGTGCACTGGCCTGGCGTGGTGGCTCACGCCTGTAATCTCAGCATTTTGGGAGGCCGAGGTGGGCGGATCACGAGGTCAGGAGATCAAGACCGTCCTGGCTAACACAGTGAAACCCCCTCTCTACTAAAAAAATACAAAATAGCCAGGCATGGTGGCGGCCGGCTGTAGTCCCAGCTACTCGGGAGACTGAGGCAGGAGAATGGCGTGAACCCGAGAGGCGGAGCTTGCAGTGAGCCGAGATCGCGCCACTGCACTCCAGCCTGGGAGACAGGGCGAGACTCTGTCTCAAAAAAATAAAAAAAAATAAAAAGATCAAGTGCACTACATACCCAGCCATGGCCAGCCAGATATTAAATATAAACACAAAAGAAATCTCTTCCAATCCTATATCTTGTGGCATTTGAGATTACGTCTATAATCCCAGCACTTTGGGAGGCTGAGGTGGGTGGATCACGAGGTCAGGAGATCAAGACCATCCCTGCCAACATGGTGAAACCCCGTCTGTACTAAAAATACAAAAATTAGCTGGGCTTGGTGGCGGGTGCCTGTAGTCCCATCTACTCAGGAGGTTGAGGCAGGAGAATCGCTTGAACCCAGGAGGTGGAGGCTGCAGTGAGTCAAGATTGGGCCACTGCACTCCAGCCTGGCGAGAGAGAGAGACTCCGTAAAAAAAAAAAAAAAAAAAAAAAAAAAGACCAGACATGGTGGCTCATGTCTGTAATCCCAGCACTTTGGGAGGCCGAGGCGGGTGGATCACGAGGTCAAGAGATCGAGACCATCTTGGCCAACATGGTGAAACCCCGTCTCTACTAAAAATAAAAAAATTAGCTAGGGCATGGTGATACACGTCTGTAGTCCCAGCTACTCGGGAGGCTGAAGCAGGAGAATCGCTTCAACCTGGGAGGCGGAGGTTGCAGTGAGCCGAGATCGCACCACTGCACTCCAGCATGGTGACAGAGAGAGACTCTGTCTCAAAAAAAAGAAAAAAAAAGAAAGAAAGACAGGGAGAGAGGGAGGGAGGGAAAAAGAAAGAAAGAAGAATGAAGGGAGGAAGAGAGAAAGAAAAACGAGAGAGGGAAAGAAAGAGGAAGGAAGGAGAAGAAAAGAAAAGAAAAAAGAACAGAGTAAGAACAACAACAAAAAAAAAAACCTGTAGTAATCAGGCCCAACACAGACTCAAGCCAGAAGACAGCACTAGACCCTGGGCACACGGAGGTAGAGAAGTCCAGAAGGTGAGAGGAGACCTAAATTCTACCTCATACGCATTTCTGCGTAGGTTCCAGTGACACAACTATCCGTGTGCCTCTGAAAATAATTTCTGTACTTTGGGCAGACTGTAGATTGCCTATGCCTGGTTGATGTTTTTATTCCCTGAAAATTTAATCCTAGCAGTGAAGCCATTCATATTCTCAACAGTAGAGGTCCTCAGTACCATAGTTCTTCAGCAAAGATGCTGAAAAAAAAAATTCTCCAAACCTTGAATTATTTGGCGTTTATGGTTGCTTATGGAACTTAAGTCATTTTATGGATACAATTGTCTATTTTTTATGTCATTAATAAACAAAAAAATTTAGTCCTCATGGTCCGATCTTGGCTTAAAATTTCACAGTCTTTTGTAACAGCTGAAATAATGTGTCAAAAATCAGTTAACAGTGAAATAATTTGAAAAAATATATATAAAGCATTCTCTTAAAGCTTTGGGATAAAAAGACCATGAGAAAATGTTTAGAGAAGATGTTGAAATTTGTTGTGATGAAAGTAAACAGTGATTTTTTGGGAAAGATGGGGGGTGTTGGTTCTGTTTTTCTAAAAACTATCAATTTATGTCTTGTCTATTGTGTTTAGAACTATAGAGCTATAAGATACTTAGGGTTTTTTTGTTTTCTTTGTTTTTTGTTTTTGTCCCAGGGATATTTATTTGAATTTTCTACCTGTAAACACAATTTGCTAACAGCTCCATTTACCCTTTCTTTTCACCAAAATTTGACATTGTCCTTAATCCTCCCAATTCTTTATTCTCCATATAACAATCAGGAAATTTTATCATTTCTACCTCCTATATATTGCATGTCCCATTTTCCATCTCTCGGGCCCCCATTGCCCTAGTTTGGGTCCTTAACTTGGTTGTTATAATTTTCTTCTATCCAGTCTTCCTATTTCTAGTTTCATATCTTTTTAAACCATTCATTGCATATTTATAAAACTGTCTTCCTAAAATGCCATTTCCCTGCTTAACACTTCCAGTGGTTTTCCATCACTGCTGAACAAAGCACAAATTTCCTAGCATAGCCTGCCTGTTCCTTTATAACCTTGTCCCTAACTACCTCTCCAGCTCTATTGTTTTCTTCCCTTTTTACCATAGCCCTCAGATCTGTATTCCAACCACACACTGAACTGAACTACTAAGAGTTTCTCAGATGCATCAAATTGTTTCAACCTTTCTGTCTTCGCATGCTGTTTTTCTCCTGAATATTACTATTCTTTCTTCCCTTATTCCTTGTTTACCTGACCAGTACCTAATTCTTCCTTTAAGATCCAGGCCAAGTTATCTTTTGCATTGTAAAACATTTCCTGAACCTCAGGCATTACCTTCTTTGTGCCAACATTCTATATATTCTTCCACTGCCATAGACCCGGTAGTATACTAGCTATTTCTCCTGCTAAACCAATGATTCTCAGTGGTGACAGAGAGTGTGCTGGGGGCAGTGCAATTTTGCCCATCAGAGGACATTTGGCAATGACTGGATCCATTTTTTATTGTCACAGCAATGGGGTGGTGGTGGTGCTACTGGCATCTATTGGGTAGAGGCCAGAGATGCTGCTGAACATCTTCTCATGGCCAGGACAACCTCCCACAACAAAGAATTATCCAGTCAAACATGGGTAGTACCAAGGTTGGGAAACTCTGTGTCAGACCTTAAAATTGTATCTTTTTAAAAAACTTTGAATCCTTAGAACCTAGAACAATGCCAAGCAAAAATTAGGCACTAAATAAATATTGGTTGAAGGAGTGAAAAATTCCATAGAGTTATCTAAAGGGAATCCATTCAAGGATTTTAAAAATATATTATTTGGAAAAATAACCAGAGCCCAAATTCAATCACATTCAAAAGTATAATTTGACATTTATCTTAAAATTTCCTTAATAATGCATAGAAAGACTAGATTAAGATTTTGAACTGATTATATGCCTGTTTCTCCCAAAAAAGTCATAAAATGTCAAAAAACAAGAAAAAGTCTATCAGATTACATATTTTGAAGAACTCCTGAAAGAGACCATAGCCGATGGAAGGGAGGAAATAATCAAAGAAATAATAGAAGAAAATTTCCCAGGTCTGAAGGCAGATGGAAAGGGCCTGCATCGTGGGCTTACCTCAAAATACCAAGAATAAAGACAGGAAAAACCATCTACAAAAGCGTAGATTTTACATTGGCATTTCATGTCTAATTACTAGGACTAGATACCAAAATTATATTGAGATGAAATAATAGCTCAATATAATGAGGGAATATTATCTTAAAACTAAAATATTATTCCTAGTTAATTAATATTTACATAGTGAGACAAAAATTAAGACATTTGCAGACACAGTAAGACTTAGAAGTTTACCACCCACAAATTTTCTCTTTAGAGAATTACTAAAAGACATAAGCCATCCCAACCCCTGCCAAAAAAGGAATTCAGAGGACTATAAGAGATATCAGAAACAAACGGTAAGCAAAGAAGTAAAACCTAGAATAAGTCTGATGATATTCAAGCATAATGAAAAATAGTTAACAACAACCTGGAACTAAAGTACCAGATGACTTCAATGTGTGAAGTAGAAGAAGAAAGACAAAAGTACAAGAAAGAAGATGAATGTTTGCTAAGATTCGTGTTGGGGCCAAGAGGTGCCTAGATATATACACAAATGATTTTAAAAAGAGAAAAATTAGAAAGCTTAATGTAAAATGTAAAAGAATCCATTAGGAAAATGGAATATATAGTTTCCAAAACAATAAATAAAGGGAAAAAGAAGAAATAAATAAATCCAACAGAAGACAATAAAAAAAGAAACAATAGTAAATAGAAAACATAAAGTGAGGTAGCAAGATTAAGTCAAAATATACCGGTATTCTTAATAAATGTAAACCTGTTAAATTTTCCAATTAAAGGACAGAAAATCCAATTAGGTTTTAAAAAAATCTTGTCATATGTTATTTACAAGATTCATATATAAGATAAAATGATGAAGAAAAGTTTGAAGTGAAGAAATGGAAAAATCTATCCCAGATAAATGTTAAAATAAGGAAGCAGATATAGTAATATTAATTTCAGACAAAATACTAGTTTTAGTGTAAAAGATGAAAAACGACAAAAGGGACAAGGATTTTTCATTTTGGTAAAAATATAATCCATCAAGAAGAAATAAGAATTTTGAACTTTTATGAACAAGAACATAGCTTTAAAATATACATTATTCAGTAACAATTGACAGAAATACAAGAAGAAATTCACAAATCCATAATTAAAGTGTAAGAGTCTAACAACTCTCTCTGAGAAATCAGATGATCATGTACACACACAAAGTAAAGACATAAGGATTTAAACTAACAATCAAACAAACAAATCTAAACAATACACATAGAACATTATACCCAGGAAAAGCATAATACATTTATCTTCAAACATCCATGGAAGATTCTCAAAATTCAGCCATGTATTAAATTGTAAGGGAAATATTAATAAATACCAGAAAAACAGAAATCTTATGTGACATGAATTTCCAATCACAATTCAATAAAATTAGTGATTAGTAATTAATAAAGGATATTTTCCCCAAAAATCTCTCTACGAGAAAAAAATTAAACATCTTTAATGTTATTCCATCAAATTACAAACTATGTGGAAATAAAAATCAAGAAAAGCACAATATACCAAAATCTACTGGATGCAAACAAAGTGATATTTAGAGGATACTTTTAGAGTATTAATAGAATATAGAAAGATTCAAATGAGTTAATTAAGACTTTGACTCAAAGAATTAGGGGAAAAAACAATAAAATAAGCCCCCCAAAGGAGTAATGAATTAATCAAGATGAAGGCAGAAATTAATGCAAAACTCAAACTAGTAGAACCAATGAATAATACAAAAAATTGAAGTTAAAACAATCAGTAAAATATACAAAGTTCTTGCAAATCTGATCAAGAACAAAGAAAGCACAAATAAATATATTTAAAGTTTATCTACATACCAATAAAT
Organism: Homo sapiens; assembly: GCF_000001405.40. NCBI lineage: Eukaryota > Metazoa > Chordata > Mammalia > Primates > Hominidae > Homo > Homo sapiens. The sequence goes on along the minus strand of NC_000017.11, from coordinate 61,547,530 downwards.
TTTAAAATCTAAATAAAATGGAAGACTTTCTAGAAAAATGTAACTTAACAAAATCTATTCCATAAGATAAACAACTTAACATATTTAAAAATATGTTAAGTGAGAAGTCTTCCTCTACAAAATCTACAAAATCTCAAGGAATAATTGTTTCTTTTAATAGATAAAATGCTCTAGAACACAGTGAGCTAAAACTTCCTATCTCAGCCTCATAGGCAGAAACCAAATCTAGACAAGGGCAGCCTACACTTAGATATAGACCAATGTCATTTATGAAAAAGCAAAAATTTAAATAATATATTCACAAATCAAGTCCAGTGATATTTTAAATAAATACATTATGTCAAACCAGGATATATGTCAGAAATGCAAAGGTGATTTAGTAGTCTATAAATTATTTAATTAACAGAGAAAAAGATAATCTCAATGGCCCCGACTTTTAAAAAAATTTAATAAAACTCAGCACCCATTCATTCCTTATTAAATAAACAGACAACCATTTTTAGTAAATTAGAGATAAAAGTAAACTTCCTGAACTTGACAAAATTTATCTATTAAGAAATCTAATCAAATATATAAGCATTTCCTTTAAAATCTGGAACCAGATAGGATGTCCTTTATAACTACTGTTTAACGTTATACTGAAAGCCGATGCAATGTGATAAGAAAAGTAAATGAGAATAATAAATATTGGAAACAGACAAAAGTGTCATTGTTTGCAAACCATGTGCTAATTAGAAAAATCAACAGCTCTAAGAACTAATAAGAGAATGTGCAAAGTAACTAACTAAAGATCAGTGTAGAAACATCGATAGATGTCTTTTATCCCAGCAATTACAGGAAATAAATAAATTCCTAGGAAAAAACTTAACAAGAAATGTGTATGAACTACATAAAATAAACTACTGAACCTCAGTGAAAGCTATAAAAGAAGAATCAATGGAGTTAAATACCATGTTATTGGATTGGAAGACTCAATATTGTAAAGATGACAGTTCTCCTCAAATTATTCATAAGTTTAATGCAATCTCAAACAAAATCCTGATAAGTATTTCCATGGAACTTGACAAGCTGATTCTCAATTATTTACTAAAAAGAAACTGAATAAGACCATAACAGAACTACTTGATAAAGAACAATGAGGGAGCAATTACCTTACCATATCCAAAACCTGCTATAAAGATACAATAATTAAAGCATTGTTTAAAAGAATAGAAATCATGCAATGTCTGCTTTAAGACCTCAACAGAATTAAACAAGAAATCAATAACAGAAAGATAGCTGGAAAATACCAAAATACTTGGAGATTAAACTATACACTTCTAAATAACATATATGTCAAAGAAGAAATCTCAAGAGAAAATTTAAAATATTTTTGAATTAAATAAAAATAAAAACACAACTTATCAAAATTTGTGGGATGTGGCAAAACCAGTGCTTAGGGGAAAATCTATAACATTGAATGTGTACATTAGAAAACAAAGATCTAAAATCAGTCATCTAAGTTTCCACTTTAGGAAGTTAAAAGAAGAAGAGCAAATTAAATCTGAAGTAAGTAGAAGAAAAGAAATAATAAAATCTGGAACAGAAATCAATGAAATTGAAAATAGGAATTCAATAGAGAAAAATCAATGAAACCGAAAGCTGGTTCTTTGATAAGCCCCTGGCCAAGCTAATCAAGAAAAAAGAGAAAGGACACAAATTACTAATATCAGAAATGAAAGAGGAAACATCACTACAGACCCTATGGACATTACAAAGATAATATAGGAATACTATAAACTATTTTCTGCCCACAACTTTGATAACCTAGATGGAATGGACCAATTCCTTGAAAGACACAATCTGCCAAAAGTCACCTAAGAAGAAATGCTCTGGCCTATACCTATTAAATAAATTGAATTAGTAATGAATGACCTTACAAAATAGAAAGCACCAAGCCCAAGTGGGTTCATAGGTGAATTCTACCATATTTACTTTCAGAAGATAAAAGCATTATCCTAATGTCAATGCCAGACAAAGACATTAGAAAGAAAGAAAACTGCAGACCAATATTGTTCATGAACACAGATATAAAAATCTTGAGCAAAATATTAGCAAATTGAATCCAAGAATGTATAAAAAACTCTACACCATTACCAAGTGAGATTTATCTCAGGTATGCAAAGCTGATTCATCATTTAAAAATCAATTAATGTAATTCATCACATCAAAAGAAGGCTAAAGAAGAAAAATCACTTTATCATATCAATAAATGCACAAAACAGCGTTTGACAAAATGTAATGTCCATTAATGATAAAAACTCTCAGTAAATTAGAAACAGAGGGGAGCTTCTTCAATTTAATAAAGAACCTCTGCAAAAACCTACAGCTAATATCATACTTAATGGTGAGAAATTCAAAGCTTTCTCACTAAGACTGGGAACAAGGCAAGGATGTCCCCTCTCACTGCTGCTTTTTAGCATCAGACTAGAAGTCTTATTTAATACAATAAGACAATAAAAGGAAATAAGAGAGGTATAAAAACCATGAAGGAAGAAATAAAATTGTCTTTGTTTGCAGATGATGTGATCATCTATGTAGAAAGTCTGAAAGAAAAGCTCCCAACACTAATAAGCAATTATAGCAAGTTTGCAGGATATAAAGTTAACATACAAAAGTTGATCACTTCTCTATATACCAGCAATAAAAAAGTAGAATTTGAAATTAAAATTATACTTGTTTATTTTATTTAGCACCCCCCAAAAATGAATTGCTTAAGTATAAATTTAACAAAATATTTACATGATTTCCAAAACTCCAATGAAAGAAATCAAATAACTAAATAAATGGAGAGAGATTCCATGTTTATGGATAGGAAGATCAATATTGTCAAGAAGTCAGTTCTTCCCTCATGACCTATAGATTCAATGCAATTCCAATCAAAATCCCAGCAAGTTATTTTGTGGATTTCTACAAACTGATTCTAAAGTTTATATGGACAGGCAAAAGACCCAGAATAGCAAACACAATATTGAAGAAGAGCAAAGTTAGAGGACTTCCACCGTGCAATTTCAAGACTTACTACAAAGCTATAGTAATCAAGACATGGTAGTGATAGTATTTGGTGAAAGAAAAGACAAACAGATCAATGGAACAGAATAGAGAGCCTAGAAATAGACCCACATAAATATACTCAACTGATCTTTGACAAAGGAACAAAGACAATACAGTGGAGAAAAGACAGTCTTTTCAACAAATGGTCCTGGTACAACTGGACATGCAGAAAAATACATTTAGATATAGGCCTTTCACTCTTCACAAAAATTAACTCAAACTTTATCACAGACCTAAATGTAAAACACAAAACTATAAAACTCCTAGAAGATAATATAGGGGAAAATTCGATGACCTTTGATTTGGCAAAGATTTTAAATATGACACCACTGCATGAGTCTGAGGTAGGAGGATTGATTGCTTGAGCCCAGGAGTTTGAGAGTTTGAGACCAGCCTGAGGAACATAGTAAAACCCCGTGTCTACAAAAAATACAAAAGCAATTAGCCAAGTGTGGTGGCACATGCCTGTAGTCCCAGCTACTCAGAAGGCTGAGGCAGGAGGATCGCTTGAACCTGGGAGGCGCAGGTTGCAGTGAGCTGAGATCATGCCACTGAACTCCAGCTTTGGCGTCAGAGTGAGACCCTGTCTCGATAAATAAATAAATAAGCCGGGCGCAGTGGCTCACGCCTGTAATCCCAGCACTCTGGGAGGCCGAGACGGGTGGATCACGAGGTCAGGAGATCCAGACCATCCTGGCTAACACGGTGAAACCCCGTCTCTACTAAAAATACAAAAAATTAGCTGGGCGTGGTGGCGGGCGCCTGTAGTCCCATCTACTCCAGAGGCTGAGCCAGGATAATGGCGAGAACCCCGGAGGTGGAGCTTGCAGTGAGCCGAGATCTCGCCCCTGCACTCCAGCCTGGGGGACAGAGCAAGACTCCGTCTCATAAATAAATAAATACACCAAAAGCATGGTCCATGAGAGAAAGAACTGATAAGCTGGACTTCATTAAAGTTAGATTATTCTGTGAAGGACACTGTAAAAAAAAAAAAAAAAAAAAAAGGCAAGCCACAGACTGTGAGAAAATAGTTGCACAAGACGTATCTGATAAAGTACTGTTTTCTAACCTATACGAAGAACTGAAGAACTCTTAAAGCTCAAAAATAAGAAAAGCAACTAGTTTTTTTTTTCTTTGAGACAGAGTCTCACTCTTGTCGCCCAGGATGGAGTACAATGGTGTGATCTTGGCTCACTACAACCTCTGCCTTCCGGGTTCAAGCGATTCTCCTGCCTCAACCTCCCAAGTAGCTGAGATTACAGGCACCCACCATCATGCCCAGCTAATTTTTGTATCTTTAGTAGATACGAGATTTCACCATGTTGGCCAGGCTGGTCTTGAACTCCTGACCTCAGGTGATCTGCCTGCCTTGTCCTCCCAAATTGCTGGGATTACAAGCATGAGCCACTGCACCTGGCTAAATTTTTAAAAAAGAACCAAAGACCTTAACAGACACCTCCCCAAAGTAGATATGCAGATGGAAAATGAGCATATGAAGAGACGCTCCACATAATATGTAATTGGGGAAATGCAAATTAAAACAGCAATGAGATACCACTGCAATTATTAGAATGGACAAAGCCCAGAACACAGACAGCACCAAGTACTGACAAGGATGAAGCAATAGGAATTCTCATTCATTGCTAGTGGAAATGCAAAATGGTATAGCCACTTTGGGAGACACTTTGGCAGTTTCTTACAAAATTAAGCAAATGCTTACCATGCAATCCAGCAATTGCTCCTTGGTATTTACCTAAATTAGTTGAAAATTTATGTTCACACAAAAACCTACACACAGATATTTATGGCAATTTTATTCAAAGTGCCCAAACTTGGAAAATCAAAATGTCCTTCAGTAGGTGAATAAACAAACTGGTACATCCATACAATAAAATATTATTCAGTGCTAAAAATAAGTAAGCTATTAAGCCATGAACAGACATGGAAGAAACTTAGATGCATATTACTAAGGGAGAAAACCTAGTCTGTAAAGGCTGCATACTATAGACATACCCCAGAGAGATTGTGGGTTTAGTTCCAGACTACCGCAATAAAACAAATATCACAATAAAGTGGGTCACACAAATGTTTTGGTTTCTTAATGCATATAAAAGTTACATTTGCACTGTACTGTAGTCTCTTACGTGTGCAATAGCACTATGTCTAAAAAACAATGTACACACCTTAATTAAAAATATTTTTTTGCTGGCCAGGTGCAGTGGCTTGCGCTTATAATCCCAGCAGTTTAGGAGACGGAGGTGGGCAGATCATTTGAGGCCAGGAGTTTGAGACCAGCCTGTCCAACATGGCGAAACCCTGTCTCTACAAAAATTATCCGTGGTCCCAGCCACTCGGGAGGCTGAGACGTGAGAATTGCTTGAGCCCAGGAGGCAGAGGTTGCAGTGAGCTGAGATCAAGCCACTGCACTCCAGCCTGGGTGACAGAGCAAGACTCTGTCTCAGAAAAAAAAAACCCAAAAAACTTTAATGCTAAAAATGCTAATAATTATCCAAGACTTCAGCAAGTCATCCAGTGAGGGTTGAAATCAACTTCTTCCAAACTCCTGTTAATATTGATATTTTTATTTCCTCCCATGAACCACAAATGTGATTGCATCTAGAAGGGTGGGTCCTTTCCCGAAAGTTTTCAATGTACTGTGCTCAGATCCATCACAGAAATCACTATCTATAGCAGCCCTAGACTTACAAAATTTACTTCTTAAAAAATGACTTGAAAGTTGAAATTATTCCTTGATCCATGAAGTATAGAATGGATGTTGTTTTAGGAGGCATAAAAATAACAACAATCTCCTTGTACATCTCTATCAGAGTTCTTGATGACTAGGTTAATTGTCAATGAGCAGTAATATTTTGAAAGGAATTTTTTTAATGAGCAGTAGGTCTCAACTGTGGGCTTAAAACATTCAATAAGCCATGTATAAAAATGAGCAGCATTTCTATACACCAACAATAGTCAAGCTTAGAGCCAAATCAAGAATGCAATCCCATTTACAATAGACACACACACACATGCGCACACACACACACACACACACACACCCAGGAATACATAAAACCAAGGAGATGAAAGATTTCTACAAGAAGAACTACAAAACACTGCTGAAAGAAATCAAAGATGACACAAACAAACAGAAAAACATTTTATGCTCATGGATTAGAAGAATCAATATTGTTAAAATGGCCATACTGCCCAAAGCAATCCACAGATTCAACTCTATTCCTATTAAACTACTTATGTCATTTTTCAGAGAATTAGAAAAAAACTATTCTAAACTTCACGTGGAACTAAAAAAGAAACTGAATAACCAACACTTTTTGCTATCCTAAGCAAAAAGAACAAAGCTAAAAGCATCACATTACCTGTCTTCAAACTATAGTGTAAAACTATAGTAACCAAAACAGCATGGTACTGGTGCAAAAATAGACACATAGATGAATGAATCAGAATACAGAACCCAGTGTATAGTCACACACCTACAACCATCATATCTTTGATAAAGCTGTCAAAAATAAGCAATGGGGAAAGGACTCCCTAGTCAATAAATGGTGCTGGGGTAACTGGCTAGCTATGTGCAGAAGAATAAATCTAGACCCCTACCTTTTACCATATACAAAAATTAACTCAAGATGGATTAAAGATATAAGTGTAAGACCTCAAACTCTATCCTAGAAGAAAACCTAGGAAATACCATTTTAGACATCAGCCTTGCCAAAGAATTCACGACTAAGTCCTCAAAAGCAATGACAACAAAAATTGACAAGTGGGACCTAATTAAACTAGAGAGCTCCTGCATAGCAAAATAAACTATCAACAGAGCAAGAAGACAACCTACAGAATGGAAGAAAATATTTGCAAACTATGCTTTCAACAAAGGTCTAATATCCAGAATATGTAAGGAACTTAAAACAATTCAACCAGCAAAAAACCAAATAGCTCCATTAACAAGTGAGCAAAGGACAGACACTTCTCAAAAGAAGACATACATGCAGCCAACAAGCGTATGAGAAAAGGCTCAACATCACTAATCATCAGGGAAATGCAAATCAAAAACACAATAAGATACCATCTCACAGCAGTCAGAATGACTATTATTAAAAAGTCAAAAATAACAAATGCTGGCAAGGCTACAAAGAAAAGGGAACATTTATACACTGTTGGTGGGAATGTAAGTTAGTGCAACCACTGTGGCAAGCAGCTTGGAGATTTCTCAAAGAACTTAAAACAGAACTATGATTCAACCCAGCAATCCCATTACTGGGCAAAGGAAAATATCCAAAGGAAAATAAATCATTCTACCAAAAAGACACATGCACTTGTATTTTCATCACAGCCTATTCACAATAGCAAAGATGTGGAATCAGTCTAGGTGCCCATTAACAGTGGACTGGATAAAGAAAATGTGGTACATATACATCATGGAATACTATGCAGCCATAAAAAAGAATGAAATCAGGTCCTTTACATCAACATGGATGGAGTTGGAGGCTATTATCCTAAGTGAATTAATGCAGGAACAGAAAACCAAATACCACCACATGTTCTCATTTATAAGTGGGGGCTAAACACTGGGTCCACATGGATATAAAGATGGGAACAATAGACGCTGGACACTACTGGTGGGGGAGAGAGTTGAGACGAAAGGGCTGAAAAACTACCTATTGGGTACTATGCTCACTACCTGGGTGATGGGATCATTCATACCCCAAACCTGTGTTATGCAATATACCCATGTAACAAACCTGCACATGTATGTACCCCCAAATCTACAATAAAAGTTGAAATTATTTAAAAAAAAAATTCTGCCAGGCACAGTGGCGCATGCCTGTAATCCCAGCACTTTGGGAGGCCAAGGCGGGTGGATCACCTGAGGTCAGGAGTTTGAGGCCAGCTTGGCCAACATGGCGAAACCCTATCCCTACTAAAAATGCAAAATTAGCCAGGCGTGGTGGCACATGCCTGTAATCCCAGCTCGGGAGGCTGAGGCAGGAGAATTGCTTGAACCCGGGAGGCGGAGGTTGCAGTGAGCCGAGATGGTGCCACTGTACTGCAGCCTGGGCAACAAGAACGAAATTCTGTCTCAAAAAAAAAAAAAAATTCACTAAACAATGTTGTAAATAGATGTGCGCTTTATTATTCCATCTGTAGTACACAGGCAGAGTCGATTAAGCACAGTTCTTAAGGGCCCTAGGATTTCCAGAATGGTAAATGAGCATTGGCCTCAATTTAAAATCACCAGCGGGCAGGGCGCGGTGGCTCACGCCTGTAATCCCAGCACTTTGGGAGGCCGAGGTGGGTGGATCATCTGAGGTCAGGAGTTCGAGACCAGCCTGACTAACATCATGAAACCCTGTCTCTACTAAAAATACAAAAATTAGCCAGGCATAGTGGCGGGCACCTGTAATCCCAGCTACTCAGGAGGCTGAAGCAGGAGAATGGCTTGAACCCGGAGGCAGAGGTTGCAGTGAGCCAATTGTGCCATTGCACTCCAGCCAGGGCGACAGAGCGAGACTCCGTCTGAAAAAAAAAAAGAAAAAAAAATCACCAGCAACATTAGCTCATAACAAGAGAGTCAGCCTGTGAAGCTGTAGTGCAGGCATTGACTTCTCCTCTCTAGCCATGAAAGTCTTAGGTGGCATCTTCTTCTGATAGAAGGCTGTTTTGTCTACATTGAAAATCTGTTGTTTACTGTAGCCACTTTCATCAATGATCTCAGCTAGACTGCCAGATAACTTGCTGTAGCTTCTACATCAGCCCTTGCTGCTTCACTTGCACTTTTATGTTACAGAGACTTCTCTCTTCAAACTTCATGAACCAACCTCTTACAGCTTCAAACTTTTCTTGTGCAGCTTCTTCACCTCCCTCAGCCTTCATAAAAGAGAATTAGGGCTTTGCTCTGGATTAGGCTTTGGCTTAAGGGAATGTTGTGGCTGGTTTGATCTTCTGTCCAGACCGTTAAAACTTTCTCCATATCGGCAATAAGGGTGCTTTGCTTTTTTCTTTTAATTTTTTTTTTTTTTTTTTTTTTTTGAGACGGAGTCTCACTCTGTCACCCAGGGTGGAGTGCAGTGGCGTGATCTCGGCTCACTGCAACCTCCGCCTCCCTGGTTCAAGCAATTCTCCTGCCTCAGCCTCTTGAGTAGCTGGGATTACAGGCCCCCACCACCATGCCCAGCTAATTTTTGTATTTTTAGTAGACATGGGGTTTCACCACGTTGGCCAAAAAAGCCAGGCTGGTCTCGAACTCTTGACCTCAGGCGATCCACCCGCCTCAGCCTCCCACTTTCTTATTATTCATGCATTTTCAGGAGTAGCACTTTTAATTATCTTCAAAAATTTTCCTTTGCCTGAGGAGAAGGAGAGAGACAGGGGAATGGCTGGTCAGTGGAGCAATCAGAACACATACAACATTTATTGATTAAATTTGCTGTATTAAATGGACATGGTTTTGGTGCCCCAAAACAATTACAATAGTAACATCAAAGAACACTGATCACAGATCACCATAACTATTATTATCATATAATAATAATGCGGAAGTTAGAAATATTGTGAGAATTACCAAAATGTGACCCAGAGACACAAAGCGAGCACACGCTGTTGGAAAAATGGTGCCGACAGACTTTTATGATGCAGGGTTGCCACAAACCTTCAATTTCTAAAAAACGCAATATCGGTGAAGTGTAACTAAAAGAAGTATGCTTGTATTGATTTTAATCATACGACATTCCAGAAAAGGCAAAACTACGGAGAGAGTAAATCGATAAGTGGTTGCCAGGAGTTGAGGGGGACGGGGGAACAAATAGGTAGAGAACAGGGGAATTTGAGGGCAGGGAAACTACTCTGTATGGTACTATAATGGTGGATACATGTCCTTATGTTTGTCCAGATGCATAGAACGCACAATACCAGGAGTGAACACTAATGTAAACTATGGACTCTAGGCGTAATGATGTGTCAGTGTGGGCTCATCAATTATAATAAATGTGCCATGCAGGCAGGGGATGTTAAAAGACTTTTTGAAAGGCAATTTGAAATGCCCACTCTCATCAACCTGTTACTTAAGTTTCTTGGGTTTTATCCTAGATAAATACTTACACCTGTATACACTGACATACATATGAAGATGTTTACTCCAGCATTGTTTATAATAGCAAAAAAAAAGATAAATAATGTAAATATTCATGGAGCTGACTATGTAGACTAAGATTCTATGGATTCACAGAATATAATCCTATTTATGAACAACATTTTAAAATCAAAATTGAAATATATTTACGTGTACGTATATATACAAGATATATAGAAAAATTATCAGAAAGGATAAACCAAACTATTAATAGTAGTCACATCTTGGAAAGGGTGTGGAATTGGGAATAGAGATAGGAAGGAAGTACTTTCAATATTTATGCTCCCTACTTAGATATTTTTTAAAACTTGGGGAATATATTTCTTGTATAAATAATTCAAAATTGCACAAGTGTTTGAAATTATACCCTTATTATGAAAGCAATACATGTTTATTTTAGAAAATTTAGAAAATTCAGAGATGAAAATATGAAAATAAACATTAGCCTGTAACCCAGAAATAGCCACTATTAGCATTTTGATGTACAGATGGTCCCTGACTTATAACAGCTGGACTTTTGATATTTCACCTTTACGATGGTGCAAAAGTAATACCCATTCAGTAGAAACCATAGTTCGAATTTTGAATTTGGACCTCTCCCCAGGATAGGGATATGTAGTATGATACTCTCTCGTGATGCTGGGCAGCGGCAGGGAAAGTGAACAACCAACACACCCACTCTAGCTTTCACTTTCAGTACTGTATTCAGTAAATTGCATGAGATATTCAGCACTTTATTAGAACATAGGCTTTGTATTAGATGATTTTGCCCAACAATAGGCTAATGTCAATGTTCTGAGCATGTTTAAGGTAGGATAAGGCTAAGCTATGATGTTCATAAATCGAGGAGTATCTGTATAGCCTACCAATTTTTCTCCACATCTTTGCATTTTAAAAATAAAAATAGTGGCCAGGAGCGGTGGCTCATGCGTGTAATATCCCAGCACTTTGGGAGGCAGAGGTGGGTGGATCACTTGAGGTCATGAGTTCAAGACCAGCCTGGCCAACATGGTGAAACCCCATCTCTACTTAAAATGCAAAAATTAGCTGGGCATGGTGGCGGGCACCTGTAATCCCAGCTACTCGGGAGGCTGAGGCAGGAGAATCGCTTGAACCTGGGAGGAAGAGGTTGCAGTGAGCCATGATCGCACCACTACCTGGGTGGCAAAGCAAGACTCCATCTCAAAAATAAATAAATAAATAAATAAATAAAATTTAAAAAAATAAAAATAGGCCAGGCGCAGTGGCTCATGCCTGTAATCCCAGTACTTTGGGAGGCCGAGGTGGGCAGATCACGAGGTCAGGAGACCCAGACCATCCCGGCTAACACAGTGAAACCCTGTCTCTACTAAAAATACAAAAAATTAGCCGGGCATGGTGGCGGGTGCCTGTAGTCCCAGCTACTCGGGAGGCTGAGGCAGGAGAATGGCGTGAACCCAGGAGGCTGAGCTTGCAGTGAGCCGAGATTGTGCCACTGCACTCCAGCCTGGGCGACAGAGCAAGACTCTGTCTCAAAAAAAAAAAAAAAAAAAAGTATTATATATTATGACCATTTTCCCTAGCACATTTGATTATGAGTAAAGTTTGAATTAGGGATATTAACTCATTGACCATGTATTTCAAATATACATAACAGAATATTTGTGTACACCATCCTTTTAAAAGGGATATAGATATTTCATTTGTTCAATAGGTTCGAGGGATATAATTGTGAGTGTAAGTACAGTGTATATAACCAATCCCTTGTTGAGGTACTTTTAGTTTTTTCCCAATATTTCACTGTTAGAATCAGTGTTGAAATATCTCCATAACTAAATTCTTACTATGATTGTTTCCTGAGACTAGACTCCTAAATTGCTGGAATTGTTATTGCTGGATCAGAGGTAATGTGCATTTTCTAGGCTTTTGATATATCTTTCCAAAAGCCCTTCGGAGAACTAGTATCTAATACCCACTGGCAGTGCATGAGAGTGCCAGTTTCCCAGTGCCCTGACCAATATTAGATATTATGATTTTTTAAAGTTTGAATTTGATAAGTAAAACCTGGCATTTTGCTTTTATTTCTATTTATCAATTCTTAGATTCTAAATAAAGTTTAAATGAGGGATATTAACCCTTTGACAAATGTTTCAAATATATGTAAACTTTTTAGCCCCCAAACCATAAACTGAGATTACATTTGATTGTCTTTAGAGGTCTCAGTTGCTTAGTTGCTTAGTCATGCTATTAAGCATATAGTTTATATTTTGTGTGTGTGTCTGAAAAGCATCACGCTACATACCAAAAATAACAGTACGATTTTGGCTTGTGATAGACTCTCATATTTCCTTACAGAAAAATAAATTTATTTTCAATCAACTAATGATGTTTTAAAAATTAAAATGTTTTCTGGAAAACTCCATTCTTTGGGAGAAAGCTTTCTTTATTCAAGATTAAAATCTGCTTTAGAGTTTTATGTGGATTAAGTTTTAAATTAACATAGAAGAATAACAATATGAATCAATTTGATCAAAGAAAAAGTGTCACTAATTATTTAAACAAGACACTTACAACGGGGATTTAAAGGCAAAGAAGCGGATTTCCCTTGCATGTGGATCAAATCAGAAGTATCCCATAATTGACTCTTTACAAGACCCTGCTTTAGTGTAATGGACTAGATATTAAAGCTCTAAGTATTTAAAGCTAGTTTCCGTCTTTCTCTAAATGGAGGCCCGCCACTAAGAGCTATTTTACAAGTCTGACACATTAGTTGCATCACGAGGAAAGACCCTGGTTCTGCTCCTATGGTCCGGAATTTCAAGTGCTTTCAATAGTTAAATGGTGTGAAATGGGTAACATTGAACCTGTGAGAAGCAACGAGCGTCTTAAAAAATAAATTCCAGATGGGAAGGGATATAGATACTGTAATGGTTCTTTTCAATGAATTAATTCCAAAAAGAGCTCATACATTTTTTGAATTTTTAGCCAACTTATCTGTGAATAACTTTGGGGGAAAAATAGGAATTTTCCCCTTCCATTATTTAACATTGTCTGGGACGAAGGGGGTTTTGTAAACTTTTACTGTCAGATCAAACATGGTAGTAGAAGAAGAGGAGTCAGATACTGAATGTTTTATAACTTTCTTACGGCAGTATAGTCTAAAGGGTCAGGTCAAGACAACGGATCTTCCTTAAAGTGCTATATTACACTAAATAACCTTTTCATATTTTAGCATTCCCACTACAAAATGGAGTTCTGGTACCTACCACTATATAGTACATCATTCAGGGAGACATAATGCGTTTTAACATACCCAAATGTTTTGATTTCACAGCATCTTTAGTAGTTCACATACAAGATAACTCCAAAAAAGCGTTACAGTGTATTGAAAAGGGCTTTATTGTTTGACTAGATGTGGACTCAAGTCCCAGATCTGCCACTTAGGAAAAGTGTGACCTGAATCAGATTACTAAATCTCTCAGGGCCTCAGTTTCCTCATTTATAAAACAAGGATAGTAGTCATATCTTTAGGAATATTAAGAGGATTACACAATTCAATGTCTGAAAAGTCCTTGGCAGAAGGCTAAGTTGTAAGCCCTCAAAGATCATAGTTATTATTATTCATAGTGAATGCTTGTTGAATTAAGTTTCTTGTAATTTTTCTTCCCCATAATCAAAATATAGTACTGGACTAACACTGGCCATTCTTTCTTCTGTATGGAATACAGACTATTGAAAAATACATGTCTGCTTCTACCATTCAATATAACACATGGAATAGAGCCAAAGCGATACCCGCAGAGTGGGCCTCTGAAATTCTAGCTTCATATCTTCCCAGCACAACTGCACCAACCAGCAGCTCCCAGGCACTACCACGTCCCATTAGGGTGAGAGTCACATCAGCCCATAGGAAGGGGGACTCACTCTGCAACTTGCCAGTGCTCCATTTGGCAGTAACTTCTCGTAAGTAGAAGGTGCTGGAAGAGACAGAATGGCAATCTGGCACTGACTCTAGTTAAAGTTCTCCGTGTTTTCATTACCAACTCCATTTTTATGGTTTAGGCCTTGGCTATAGTAAACTCCAGATTGAATAGATGCCTCAAATATACATCTGAGACCAGCATTTCGCCTTAAATAGCAGTCAAGTTGCCTGCAGATGCATTGTTTTTTGAAATGGAGCATAGAAAGCGTTTTAAAAAAAAATGTCAGGCGTCAAGGAGCCTCACAAATCATTTTTATGTGGCTTCCTGGACCTTTGTTTTTAGCAAATCCCTCAACGGGGGATTGACTCATTTGTGTATTTCTTCAAAGGAAGGATTTTGCAGGTAGCTCTTCATGAGGCCTGCTGCCTTCTAGGATTTGGGAGAAAGAGTTTTAAAAGAGCAGATATGTTTATTTTTGAGAGGTCATTGTTTGGTACCTGCTGCCATTAGCTTGGTGACTAAAGTGCTGGCAATCTCTGGGGTAAACGGATCTGTGTACTCCTGTAACTCAGCACCACAGGTCTGAGATCCCAGGGCCGAGCTGGAGGCCAAACTGTGGTGTTTCAGGATCTCATTAGCACAATTAATAAATAGACTTGATTGTATGCTAACCTAAGAACTGATTGGGTCTTATTTTGTAAATAGAAATTCTATCATAGGATGTCTGTTTTTGAAAGCAAAACCACTTAAACATTATAAAATTGTTTTTTGTCCCTTTGTGTTGTGCTTTTGAAATGAAAATAAATATGTAATTTTGATGGCGTGTGCCTCTAACTAAGTTAAAACATAAGCAAATCTACTTAGCCAAAAAACCAAATTTATTCTTATTTTATTAGGCAGGTGGTGTACATATTAGATGATTTCCCTCTCGGGTTTTACATTTATTTCATGTGTTTTTCTCCAAAGAACAGGAGTTATTCTGTCAAAAGTGGGGAGGTGAAACCTCGGTTAAGGGGATACTGCAAATTCTACGCTTTCAGCAGAAGTAATTTATAGTTTCATAATATTCCAGAGTTTCTCTTTGTCTTTTACATGACAATTTATGACCAAGGTATTTTCATGTTTCCCTTACTCCTTGCTACAAGACTGAACAAATAAACTGTGGGCATACAGGGCCTGTTTCTCCATGCTATTTTCCAGATATGGTTATTTCTTTTTTCTTCCCTTGACCCCACGTGACATAAGCTAAATTCTGCACTGCATTATTTTAATCCAGAAGGCAGATACTGTGAAACTTAACTGGTGAGAATGAGTTTTTGTGTTATTTTGTCTGAAACTATGCCTTAAAGTAATCCAACTGATGAAAAAAATCAATATTCTGATTAAAAAACAATAGAAGAAAAAGGTTTGGCTGCCCAGAGAAGATATATATCCTTGAGACGCCTAAAAAAATATTTTTCAGACATTTGCCCTTGGGTTTAAAAAACATTATGTCATAAAAAATGTGTAAAAAATAGTGTGGCAAACACCTCTCTACCCACAGCCTAACTTAAGAAATTAAACATTAGCAATAAAATTGAAGCTCTCTGTGTGTCGCCTTCCCTAGCTGTAGCCTCCTTCCAATCCGCTAGATGAGGGAATCTAGCATTTTATCATTTCCAGGCACTTTTGTATATTTTACTATATATGTATTGTATCTTTAAACAATATATAGTATTAATATCCATTTTTAAACACCTTATAGAAACGTAATCTGTGTGTATGCCTATGAAAATTGCTTTTTTTCTGTCAACATTTTGTGTCTTACAGCAATCCACATAGATACCTGGAGCTCTCACTAATTTTCACTCCTCTATGTTCTTGTATTGCATGGTTATACCACCATCTACTTTTGAATTTCCTGTGAACGGACATTTAGCCTACCTATTATTTTTTACGATTATTAACGTTGCTAGTGTGAACATTCTTGTGCATATCTTTTTTGTGCACATGAACGAGAACTTCTCTAGAACATATCCGCAAACTGGAACTGGTGAGTCGTGGCATGAATGCATAATCGCTTCTTCTATTTATTATCAATTTATTTTCCAAAATCATTGAGTCAAATGACATTCCCACCAGCAGGGTCTGTTTCATTATCTTCCCAACACTTAGCATTAAAAGACTTTTTAATTTTTGTTAATCTGATGGATGTGAAATATCTCATTTCTCTGCCTATTTAGTGAGGTTTAATATCTATTTATTTACCACCCATGCATATTTCAGCTTCTGTGAAATATAATTTTCTATCTTTCATCCCTTTTTGAGGGATTATTTGTCTTTTTCATAAAGATTTGTAGAAATTCTTTGTGTATCCTGGGCACTTATCCTTTGTGGGTTCTCTAGATTTCAAATATCTTTTTCTAGCCTGTGTCTTGTCTTTCATTTTTTCTATGGTAGGTCATTTGATAAACTTAAGTTTTAACTTCCAAAATAGTCAAATTCACCAATCTTTTCCTTTTTAGTTTATGATTTTTGTGTCTTAAGCATTATAACTTTACAGTATCAAGCGTCAAAATGTTAGATTTTTTTTGCCAGGTGCAGTGGCTCACACCTGTAATCCCAGCACTTGGGGAGGCCAAGGCAGGAGGATCACTTGAGCCCAGGAGTTCGAGACCAGCCTGGGAAATATAGTGAAACTCCTGTCTCTGCAAAAAAAAAAAAAAAAGGCCGGGCGTGGTGGCTCACGCTTGTAATCTCAGCACTTTGGGAGGCCGAAGCGGGCAGATCACGAGGTCAGGAGATCGAGACCATCCTGGCTAACACAGTGAAACCCTGTCTCTACTAAAAATACAAAAAATTAGTCGGGTGTGGTGGCGGGCACCTGTAGTCCCAGCTACTCAGGAGGCTGAGGCAGGAGAATGGCGTGAACCTGGGAGGCAGAGCTTGCAGTGAGCCGAGATCACACCACTGCACTCCAGCCTGGGAGACAGAGTGAGACTCCGTCTCAAAAAAAAAATAAAAAAAATAAAAAAATTAATCAGCACGTGTGTGTGGTGGCACGTGCCTGTAGTCGAAGCTACTTGGGAGGCTGAGGTGGGAGGCTCACCTGAGCCCAGGAGGCAGAGGTTGCAGTGAGCCGAGATTGTGCCACTGCACTACAATCTAGGTGACAGAGTAAGACCCTGTCTCAAAAAACAAAACAATTAGATTTTTGGCAGGACAAAGTTCCCCACTTTGTTTTATTTTGTTTTTCAAAATTATGCCCTGTATGCTTACTCTTCTTTTCTAATAGTATGACTTTGAATATCAATTTCTAGCCATCTGATGATTTCCATGAATGGGCTGAATATATCTTTTCAGAGTTCATACCATCACAGCCTCCTCACCCCACTCTCTGCTCCTCCCCAGCCCATCTCTGTCATAGCTTCTCTTCAGCCCTCTCTGATTTGCAGAGAAGTGTAAAAAATGATGGTTATCAATCTCGATATAGATTGCTGAATAACTGGTCAGTAGCTCAATAAAGAGCTAAGAATCAGAGATCATTGACCTAAACCCCTTTATAAATTTGAAGATAAGAGAAATTGTAACTAAATCAAATTTCCCTAAGCAATAGAAAACGAACCCATGATTGAGTACAAAGAGCTTTAGATTCAAACAGGTCTTCTTAGTACCTACATTTTTACCCTCTCTAAACTATAAAATTAATTTGCACAGTTTTTGTAAGCATTAAATGTTAAGTATCCAGTATAATGCCTGAAATACAGTAGGCACTTAATGTTATTCTCCTCTCCCTGCTCTCCTAACCCCTGCCCATGATGATAAGTACAATGCAATGGGAATTTAGTCTTAGGGGATTTGAGAACACTTCCCAGAAGCATGCGTAGAATTAGGAGTAGGAGATGGCCAAGGAACATCCCAGACCCAAGGAACAACATGCATTTGAGAGCAGTTCACAGAATCTAGGTTATTCTGTCATAGGCCACAGATATCTTTTCATAATTGATAAAGAAAAAGGCTTCCTTGCAGGTTTATACTGTGGTGATGAGTTGGAATGAAAGAGTTGTCCCTCTTAATGAGTTTTAGCCTTGAGTTTCTTGTTAAGCATTTCAGCTGGTTCTGAGCGTGTTAGAGCAAAGGTGGTATAGAGCAGTGGATCTTAAAGTGGGGTCCACAGACCACTGAGGGTTCCCAAGGTCCTTTCAGGGGGTCCAAAGGGCAAAACTATTTTCTTAATAATCTTAAGGCATAATTTGTCTTTTGCAGTATGTTGACATTTGCACTGATGGTTGAAAAGTAATGTTGGTAAAACTGCTATCACCAAACTGTACTGGTTAGTAGTCACTGCATTCTTCATCGCAATGCACTCACATTAAAACCAGAAACAAAACAACAAATAGAAATAGCCAGTTTCAGGCCAGGCGTGGTGGGATTACAAAGTGCTTGTAATCCCAGCACTTTGGTAGGCCGAGGCAGGCGGATCACAAGGTCACTAGTTCAAGACCAGCCTGGCCAACATGGTGAAATCCCCATCTCTCCTAAACATACAAAAATTAGCCGGGTATAGTGGGCACCTGTAATCCCAGCTACTTGGGGGAATTGCTTGAACCTGGGAGGCGGAGGTTGCAGTGAGCAGAGATTGTGCCACTGCACTCCAGCCTGGGCCACAGAGCGATACTACGTCTTGGAAAAAAAAAAAAAAAAAGCCAGTTTCATTTGAAAATATCCTTGATGAAGTAACATTTATTTTTCTAAATCTCATCTCTTGGTAAAGGACTTTTTAAGGGCCAGTGTGGCAAAATGAGAAGCACACATAGGCACTTGTGCTGCATACCAAAGGACAATGACCATTTCAAGGAAAACTATCTTGTAATCATTTGAGTGGCAAATTGAGTTCACTGCTTTTTTTCATGGCACCTTATTTTTACTTGAAAAACAACTGACAGACAAGTTTTGGTTACTCAGATTTGGTAGACATTTTCTCGATGATGAGAAAACAAGCCTGCCACTTCAACAAAGCATATAGTATTTGTTGCCAACAATAAAATTCCAACTTTCAAACAAAAACAGAATTTCAGAAAACTTTTCAGTCATTTTTGATCACGTGAATGATGACATTAACAAATATCACAAATATTAACAAATGTGATTTGTTGATAATGTATAAGGAAATGTGCCAACATTTGGAGGATCTGCATGACTTAGTGAACTAATGTTTTCCAAGTTACCAATGAATTATGTGACAAAATCATTCATGGAGAAGTAATCCACTCAAAGTATATGAGAGGCCAATGATTTTAATGTAAAGGAATACAAAATTTTATTAATAAGGTTTTGCATTCTGCACTGCAACTAATCATTAAGAAACTATCAATTTATTTAAAGAAGTATCAATTTTTGAAAGAAATATCAATTTTTTGGTGTAACATTTAAAAATAGTCACAATGATCTCCAAACGTTACTTGAAACACTCGTTCCTTTTTCAACCACATGTCTGTTCGAGGCTACTTTTTCTTTTTCTTTTTTTTCTTTCTTTCTTTTCTTTTTTTTTTTTTTTTTTGAGATGGAGTCTTGCTCTGTTGTCTAGGCTGGAGTGCAATGGCATGATCTCAGCTCACTGCAACCTCTGTCTCTCTGGCTCAAGCAATTCTGAGTAGCTCCTGCCTCAGCCTCCTGAGTAGCTGAGATTACAGACACCCACCATCACACCTGGCTAATTTTTGTATTTTTAGTAGAGCTGGGGTTTCATCATGTTGGCCAGGCTGGTCTCGAACTCCTGATCCGCCCACCTCAGCCTCCCAAAGTGCTGGGATTACAGGCATGAACCACAGCACCTGGCTGAGGCTACTTTTTCTTCATATACTTCAACCAAAACATTTCACAACAGATCAAATGTAGAAGCAGATATCAGAATCTGCTGTCTTCTGTTAAGCCAGACAATAAAGAGATTTTGCAAAAATAATAGATAATACCCATTACTACTCTTCTTGATATTTTTGTTTTGGAAAATATAGTTTAAAAAATTAAATTTGTTATTTTGTTAACATGTAATGGGCTTATTATTTTTTCATGAATTAATACAAAGATATTTAAATTTTTTCTCAATTTTAGTTTCCAGTACACTAAATACTGATAGATATAATTCACATACATAAAGAACTCTTTGGGATCATCAATATTTTTTAAGAATAAAGGGTCCTGAGGCTAAAAAGTTTGAATAACTGCCAGTATAGAGGGAGAATCTTTGGGATCTAAAGAGGAAAGTATCAGAATTACAAACAATGAAATTAGAATTAGAGGTGGGCAGGTGATTGTAGATACCCAAGCTGTGAATTAGCATGGGTGATGAATTATATTGAATTAGAGCAGGACTATGATGCATTAAAAGGTAGCACAGTATAGTAAAAAAAATTTACTGGACTCGGAACTGATTTCTCCTTCTAATTTTACTATTAAACACGGTTACTTCAAGTCAAGTAACTAGAAGTCACTTCCTTTTAGAGTTGCCAGACTCGGCAAATAAAAATACAGGGCGCCCCGTTAAATTTGAATTTGAGATAAACAACAAATTATTAGGGAGCATAACTATGTCCAGAATATTGCATGGGATTCAAATTTAATAGGGTGTCCTGTGTTTTATCTGGCAGTCCTACTTCCTTTTCCAGCTCTTAATTTTCTCATAAGTAAAATAAAGGTGTGGGCTAAATTCCTGTACGTCTGCCCTTCTACTGAAGTTGGTCTATGATGATAAAAAGAGAAAAACTAGGGAAATATAGTGTGTTTGTGTTTGTGTGTGTGTTGATATAAAGTTGCAAATGGTCCTTTACTGAGAAGGACTACTGTGTATTTTGAGGTTGTTCTTCCTACCTCTTTGGCGTTGTAATATCCCTGCTTTCATGGGATGACAAATGTTGTTTTTCTAGTGTTCTTTCGGCCAAATATGTAGCTGATCCTTAAAATTGTTTTGAAATTTTACTTGTATATGAAATCACCGCACTAGATGGTATCTAAGTTTTCTCCCAGCTTTCGCGTTCCATGGATTTTGTCTTAGCAAAGGCAAAAAAGGCACACAACTCTTCACCTAACATCTGATGTGACTCTAACATCGTTTCTTTTCTAGGACACTTTTCCTCAATAAGTAATATATAGAGAATAGCTCTGCTCTTCTCTCCCACACTGTTAGTTGCAGGGAGAGTAAATGAAGTCATGTCTGGAAAGTGCCCCGAGCTCTTCAGAGAAGAACCTAGAAGGGGAGGGAAGTGCCATTGCCCTGAATTTGGAGCAATCGTTGAGTTTTTAGAATGAACTGAAAAGCTGAGAGTATGTTTAAAGTATTGTTTTTGATTTGCACATCTTCAGTTTGATCCTTAACAACATGTTTGCTATGATTCCAGGAGTTTTGTAATCTTAGTTCAGTGTTGACATTTTACATCCTTCCCAGGACTCTAAGTACTCTTTAAAGAATGTATGGTTAATGTAGTAGAGAGAAAAATCCAAAATCACACTGCATCTGAGAGCCAAGAAGTCCAGCCTTTTTACTGGCCACCAATACTGGCCTTAAATAAACATGACTCGTTTGTCTGGAAACACCTGTTAACCTAAAACATGCAAGGACAAAGCCAGAATCTTCAAGGCTCACCGAATAGCTAAGTCAGACATCATTTCTATTCTCCAAAGATTGTGATTGTTTACTTATTTTTTCATACAATTTCTTAGACTAGGCTTTCACCAAAAATAAAAGCTAAATATGATGCATCATGGGCAGAGAATTCTTAATCCAAAGCCCCAGAGATTACCTGACTTGATTATTCCACATACTCTGTATTCTCAACCAAAATAGACTTCTTTTTAAAGAGAATCCAATTTCCAATGGGTTTAACCTAGAAAAACAGCAAAAAGCTAATAAAAGCTCGGAGGCTCTTCCAAGGAAAGCATTGTGGCTGCTACACGTTTGGAGTCCTGGTCTAGTGTAGAGGTTTGGAAAAGCTGCCAATTCCTCTAGTGAATTTGCTGTTCTGGGATGTGGGATGGGGCACCTGGTAGACTCCTAGTAAATTCTTGACTAGGAATAAATTATCCTTGACTGCATTCCTGCATTGCCAAAACCTGGCCTAATTGAGATAGTGGAGTTGTTAACAGACTTAATCTTTGGAAAGAAAGAGTGTGTGAGTGTGGAGACAACTTCTCCAGCTTCCACCTACTCACTCTTCACCACTCTTTGTGTTCCTATTTTGTGGCACAACTGAGAACCAACTTTCTTCAAAGAAACATAGCTTAAATACCTGAAGTAATGCCTGCCATTTTCCCATTCATTCTCTACCATAGTATCCTATGCCAGGAGTATCTTACCAAGAGGGGCTTTACCCTACAATCACTATTCACACCTGAGTTGATTCTTCAGGCGTCAGTAGCTGGATAACCTCAGTAAGCATCAGATGAACTTCCTTTCCTTTTTCCCCCCAAAAAATGACCTTTCCTTTCCTCTCCCATATTTATAAGATCTATAAATTTGGTGCCGTGAGTTCTATTCTCAGATTCAGCCCCTCCTATTTCCAGATATTGCATGGTCTTGATGGAGGACAGGCAAGCCCCCAAATCAAGGTTTAGCCTGGGAGGGTCCTTGGCTTCACCCAGTAAAGAATTCAAGGGCGAGCTGGTGGTGTTAAACAGCAACTTTTATTGAAGCTGCAGTGTACGGGTCCTTGCAGAGCAGGGCTACCTCATAGGCAATGTGCCCAGAGTAGCAGCTCAGAGGCAGGGCTGTACTATATTTATACCCACTTTTTAATTATATGCAAATTAAGGGGCAGCTTATGCAGAAATTTCTAGGATGAGGGTGGTAACTTCCAGGTTGTTTGGTGGTTGCCAGGGAAAGGGGTGGTAACTTCTGGGTGTTGCCATGGCAATGATAAACTGACATGGCACACTAGTGGCCATGTCTTACGGGAAGGTGCTTCTGCCCTGGATGTTTTAGCTAGTCCTCAATTTGGTCCAGTGTCCAAGCCCCACCTCCAGAGTAGAGTTCCACCTCCTACATCAGTCTGATAGAATTTCTTCTTTCTTCTTCCCTGCTGGGTTTCAAAATCGATCTTGTTTGCTTTATGTTCAGGTGGAGTGACTGAAGACAAGGAGCTCAAAGAAATTAAAATGAGAGGGTTTATGAGGCTGGATTTTTAGGACATACCATGTCCTAAGGCTTCCCTGAGACCCAGGTTTCTCTGGCTGCTTCTCCACATCTTAGAAAACTTGATTACACACCCTGTAGGTGAGAAGTTCTACCTAGTATAGAATTATAAAGCAAATAGTTATGAAATACCATGATCTCTGAAGAGGAAAGTAGACATCAAGTACAAAACAGAAAATGTCATTTATGTAAGAAGCCTCATTGAGGCTCAGATTGATGCTACGATGAAATGCCTCATTCTAGTATATTATATACATGGGATCCTGAAAGTGGACCATAAAAGTGGGCCAGCACAAGCCACATCAGCTGGTGGCTTTGGGGAGCAAATGCCAAACAGATAAGTTTTTGTATGAGGTGAACTTAGCCTGTTGTGTTATGGTGGACCATAGGACAAATAGAAAATTTTCATCATTAAAACAACAACAACAAAGCTCATTTATTGAAGGGCTACCATATGCCAGTAATTATGCATATGTTATTCTATTCTCAAAACAACTCAGGAAATGTAGGTATTATTATCCTAATTTTAGAGATAAGGAAACTTCGCTCCAGAGAGATTAAAGGATTTATTCAGACTAGTGAGAGAATTGGATTTTTTTTTTTTTCTTTTTGAGATGGAGTCTTGCTCTGTTGCCCAACCTGGAGTGCAGTGGCATGATCTCGGCTCACTGCAACCTCTGCCTCCCGGGTTCAAGTGATTATCCTGCCTCAGCATCCCAAGTAGCTGGTAGCTGGGATTACAGGGCTCGCCACCACGCCCACTAACTTTTATATTTTTAATAGAGACGGGGTTTCACCATGTTGGCCAGGCTGGTCTCGAAATCCTGACCTTAAGTGATCTGCCAGCCTTGGCCTCACAAAGTGCCTGGGATTACAGGCGTGAGCCACCACACCCAGCTAAGAATTGGAATTTAAAACCAGCCCTTTAGCCTTAGAAGTCTTCTAGTCTAAACTGGTCTTCTTTATACAAATAGGGACACTGAATCCCAGAGAGGGAAAATGGACATTCCAAGGCCATATTGTTGCTAAACAGAAAAGCTGGAGTTAAAACCCAGTTTGATGGTGCTTCTTTCTATCATATTCAGGCTCTTCATGATCTAAGGAATCTGCAGCTATAGCTTAAGAAAAGTGGACCAGCATAAACCATATGCTAGACCGGGATAAACCATATGCTAGACCATAAAATAAGCCTCAAAAAAATAAAAGGATAAAAATAACAGGATAAAAATAGCACCAAGTTTGTTCTCTTACCACAATGAAATGAAATTAGAAATCAATAACACAAAGAACTTTGGAAAACTCATAAGTATGGGGATATTAACACATTCTTAAATAACCAATGGGCCAAGGAAGAAATCAAAAGGGAAATTAGAAAATGCTTTGAGATAGCCAGGCGCAGTGGCTCATGCCTGTAATCCCAGCACTTTTGGAGGCCGAGGTGGGCGAATCACGAGGTCACAAGTTCGAGACCAGCCTGGCCAACATGGTGAAACCCCTTTTCTACTAAAAATACAAAACAAACAAACAAACAAAAATTAGCCAGGCGTAGTGGTGGGTGCCTGTTATCCCAGCTACTTGGGAGGCTGAGGCAGGAGAATCGCTTGAACCTGGGAGGCAGAGGTTGAAGTGAGGCGAGATCGTGCCATTGCATTCCAGTGAGACTCCATCTCAAAAAAAAAAAACAAAACAAAAAAAAACGAAAATGCTTTGAGACGAAGAAAATTCAGACATGACATACCAAAACTTATAGGATGCAGCTAGAATAATGTTTAGAGGGAAATTTATAGCTATAAATGCTTATATTAAAAAAAGAGGAATCTCAAGTTCATAAGCTAACTTTCCACTTTAAGACATTGGAAAAAGAAGAGCAAATTAAGCCTTAAGCAACCAGAAGGAAGGAAATAAAAAGATCAAAGCAAAATTCATGAAATAAAGAACAGAAAAACAACAGAGAAAATTAAATAAAACAAAAAAACCTGGTTTTTGAAAAGATTAACAAAATTAGCAAACGTTTGGCTAGACTGACCAAAGAGGAAAGAGAGAAGACTCAGATTACTAGGATTGGAAATGAAAGTGGGGATTATAAAGGAATACTATGAACAAGTGTATGCCACTACATTAGATAGCCTAAATAAAATGGAAAAATTCCTAGAAACACAAAAATTATCAAAACTGACTTAAGAAAAAATAGACAATCTGAATAAAATGATAACAAGTAGAGATTGGATGAGTAATAAAAAAAAAAAAACTACCCACAAAGAAAAGCCCAGAAAAATGTCTTCATTGGTGAATTCTACCAAACCTATAAAGAAAAATTAATACCCATTCTTGACCAACTCTTCCAAAAAACAGAAGATGAAAGAAGAACTAAATCTATCCATATTTGCTGATGATATGATCTATGTAGAACATTCTAAGAAATCCACAAATTATTAGAACTAATAAATGAGTTTAGCAGGGTTTCAGGATACACAATTAACATACAAAAATACATTTTTTTTTTTAAACAGAGTCTCGTTCTGTCATCCAGGCTGGAATGCAATGGGGAAATCTTGGCTCGCTACAGCCTCCACCTCCTGGATTCAAGCAATTCTCCTGCCTCAGCCTCCGGAGTAGCTGGCACCACAGGCACATGCTGCCATGCCCAGCTAATTTTTTGTATTTTAGTAGAGATGGGGTTTCACCGTGTTGCCCAGGCTGATCTTGAACTCCTGAGCTCAGACAATCTGCCCGCCTGGGCAGCTGGGATTTCAGGCATGAGCCACTACGCCCAGCCTAAAACTGTATTTCTATGAACATTTCTTGCAATGAACAATTTGACTAAAATTTAAAAAGAATTCCATTCACAATAGCATAAAAAAAATTCATATTTAGGAATGAATTAACAAAAGATGTATAAAACTATACTCTGGAAACTACAAAAATGTTTTGAAAGAAAAATGTAAAGATCTAAATAAATGAAAAAACATCTCATATTTGTGGACCAGAAGACGTATAGCTAAGATGGCAAGATGCAGCACAATCCCTATCAGAATCTCAGCTAGTTTCTTGGTAGAAATTGACAAACTGATTCTAAAATTCATGTAGAAAGTTGATGGACCCTGGAATAGCCAAAACAATCTTGAAAAAGAACAAAGTTGAAGGAGTCACACTTCCCAATTCCAAAACTTATTACAAGGCAACATTAATCTAGACAGTGTGGTACTGACAACATTAATCCAGACAGTGTGGTACTGGCAACATCAATCCGGACAGTGTGGTACTGGCAACATTAATCCGGACAGTGTGGTACTGGCATAAAGATACATTAGGCTTCATAGGATTTCTAGATTTTCAGTTCTATTCTACTGACGTATATTCATGATGTAAATATTGATGTAAAATATTGTGTTGTTTTATTCTCCCACAGAATGGGATAATATACTTGCAATCATATTTCTGATTAGGGACATGTATCACAATAATAAAAAGATAACTCAATTTAAAAATGGGAAAAGGAGGCCGAGGGCAGTGGCTCATGCCTGTAATCCCTGCACTTTGGGAGGCTGAGGTGGGTGGATCACAAGGTCAGGAGTTCAAGACCAGCCTGGCCAACATGGTGAAACCCCGTCTCTACTAAAAATACAAAAATTAGCTGGGCATGGTGGCACATTCCTGTAATCCCAGCTACTCGGGGGGCTGAGGCAGGAGAATTGCTTGAACAGAGACCCAGGAGGCGGAGGTTGCAGTGAGCCAAGATTGTGCCACTGGACTCCAGCCTGGGCTACAGAGCAAGACTGCGTCTCAAAAAAAAAAAAAAAAAAAAGGAAAAAGATCTGAATAGATGTTTCTACAAAGAAGATATACAAATGGCCAATAAGCACACGAAAAGATACTCAACATCAATAGTCATCAGGGAAATGCAAATCAAAACCACAATGAGATATCACTTTACTTCTACTAGGATGGCTAGAATCAAAAAAGACCCATGAGTGGAATTGCTGGGCCATTTGTTAACTATGATGACTGAGGAACTTCTAGACATTTTGCCAAAGCAGCTGCACCATTTTACATTCCAAACCAGTGTGTGAGGGTTCTAATTTCTCCACATCTTCAAACAACCCAATACTTGTTATTGAATATTTGTATCTGGTTTGCACTTGAATGTCTGTAACAATATTATTCATTATACCCCAAAAGCAGAAACAATGCAAATGTCCATTAACTGATGAATGTTTAAACAAAAGTAGTCTGTGCATACAATGGAATAGTATTTGGGTATAAAAAGGATGAAGCACTGATACATAGTATGCCATGAACAAACCTGGAAAACATTATGCTAAGTGAAAAAAGCCCGTCACAAATCACATATTGTGTGATTGCATTTATATGAAATGTCCAAAATAGGCAAATTTATAGAGACAGGAAGTAGATTAGTGATTGCCTAGGGCTAGGAAGCGTGAGGGGAAAAGGGAGTGGGAGAGAGAGCTAAAGGGTATGGGGTTTATTTTTGAGGTGATAAAAATGCTCTGAAATTGATTGTGATGATAGTTGCACAACTCTGTGAATACACTAAAAATCATTGAGTTGTACACTTTAGGTGGATGAATTGTGTGGTATGTGAATTATATCTCAATAAAGCTGTTAAAAATGCGTTAGTGACAGGCAGTATTAAAGCAATTACTCCTGTTGTTACAAAGCTAAATAAGGAAGCATAAAATAAAAGTTCTCCAAAGGTTTAAAAAAGAAAAAGAGAGAGGGAAAAGACAAAGCTTAAACCTAGAAAAAAACAAAACAAAACAAAAGTAAAGTAAGGTGCAAATCTGAAAGCTCACTAAATCAAGGATGGCTGAAATCAAATCACCTAACGTAGGTTCTCATCCCCTTTGTTGAGACCTTTGTATATATCACAAGGGCTTCCTTTGTCAGTTTCAAGTCCTGTGTTTCTTCACACTTTAAAAGTTTTTGACCAAGAGTTAAGAAGTTTAGTTAATAAAAGCAATGAGAGAAGAGGGTGAATATCTTCTCTGTGTAGTGGCAGAAAGCAGAAAGGGCAGTTAAAATCCACAAAGGTTTACCAAAAGCCTACTATGTGTTCTTGTACTAGACTTTGTAGGGAAAATAGGGATGTATAAAATATGATATCCTTGCGCATAAGGAGCTTACAGACTCTCTGAGAAATTCAACAGAGTAAGTGAACGAGCTATTTTGGCTGGAGAGATGGAGAGAGGAGAGAAGAATATCTACCCTGCAGCTTCCCGGCAAGTTTGCATGTTTCACAAGATTAAAAATATTGGAAAATACTGACCCAACTAGTTAGGTTCACGACACTGTGTGACAGATGACCCGTCTTCGCTTCTCTGGTCAGGTCAATCTATACTTTTAGTATTTAGACTAGTCTTTTAGAAGATGACTACTTACTACTTACCTTTCAACCTTTAAGGGATTTGAAGGATAATTTATAACTACTTTCCCCTCTGATAAGATCATTAGATGTCATGAAAGGTACTGCTTCTGCAGTCCACAGATTATTATTCATAAAATGTGCTTTTATGAATAGTACTTCATAAATTATGTGTATGTGCAGATTCTACTAATGAATTGGTGGTTCAATAAAGTCATTGCCATGAAGGTGTGACAATGCACATTCCAATTGAAAATTGTACCATTCTCTTCTCTCTCATCTCCAACAAATGCAAAAATCTGTCTACACGATGTGGTTTCTCCTTACCCCCCTCCCTTTTATTCTGCATTTTGTGGTGATCTCCCCACATCTAAAATGGAGGGCTCAGAGCAGAGTTCTTCCTGAGCTTGATGCTATCCAGCCCTGTCTCCTAGGACAATCACAGTCTACTCATGGAAGCCCCAAATTGGCCACTTGTTGCATACAAGGTTTCTGTTGAATTTTTTTTAATAGAGCCATTAATGTTCTGGATGAATCTGAGCTTAAGTCTGGTCTGACCCTGCACCTCAGTGGTTTTATTAGCTGTGTGTTTGGCTCTGGGAGCCTTTCTCTAGCTATTGTCATTATGGAGACTACTTGTGTCTCCAGAGAATCTCTCCTAAATCCCTGGCTGTTATCTGGCCTGGGTATGTGTGTCTACGAACTGAGTGCATTCTTGTCTGCAGTACGTCCTGACTGTCTCTGATAGCAGCCATGGCTGACCTAACTTTACTAGGTACTCAGATTGATATGATTAAGATTAATGAGGCCCACTCTCAGTCATGAACCTATTCAAGGATAAACTTGTAAATCCAATGAGTTCTGAAGATGACTAGTTACTACTTACCTCTCAACCTTTAAGGGATTTGAAGGATGATTTATAACTACTTTCCCCTCTGACAAGATCATTAGAAAGATGTCATGAAAGATACTGCTTCTGCAGCCCACAGATTGTTATTCACAAAATGTGCTTTTATGAATAGTACTTTATAAATTATGTGTATGTGCAGATTCTATTAATGAATGGTGGTTCAACAAAGTCATTGCCATGAAGGTGTGACAATGCACATTCCAACTGAAAATTGTATCATTCTTATGCTTACTATGTAAGTACATCTTCAAGAAAGAGACATGACAATTACAAAATTACACTCATGTAAAGGTAAACTTGGGAAAGGTGTAGGTAGCTCCCCTGTTATTATGTATCTGGACATTCCAAAGAGCTCAGTTTCCCAGGTAGCTGGGTGCTTGCCATTTAAGTACACTTTTCCACCAGTTTAAGCAATGTAATTTCCCTGGCTTCTTAAAGGGCTATAAGTTAACCTTTTTTAATGACTCAGCGCCATCCCTATAAATGTGGAGGCAGCATGACAGTGGAAAGAACACAGACTCCGAAGTCAGCAGACCTGTGTTGGAATATTGGCTCCTGCTGTTAATAGCTATGTGACCTTGGGCAAATTTCTTAATGTTTTTCAGCTCCCATTTCTCATCTGTAAAATGGGAGCGCTAGAATCAAACTTCATAATGATGATTTGAGAATTATGTGATAAAAGGTAGTTTTTTAAAGTACTGTTCACCCGAAAATTCTTTTTACAAGTGAAATTAATGCAGAGGCCCATTGTGAACAAATAATAGTGGAAATGCTCTGAGTTTTAAAAATCATTGTGTCTAGCACAGAGCCTGACACTTAGTAGGTACTATTTAGATGATAGCAGTTGTTAGTATGAATATCACTTAATGTGAAGCTTTTGTTAATTTTTATATGCTTTTATTCTTATATCTTTTTTTTTGTTTTTGTTTTCATTTTTTTTGGAAACAGGGTCTCACTCTGTCACCCAGGCTGGCTGGAGTGCAAAGGCATGATCACAGCTCACTGCAGCCTCAACTTCCCCGGGTTCGAGCGATCCTCCCACCTCAGCCTCCCTAGTAGCTGAGACTACAGGTGCATGCCACCATGCCCAGCTAATTTTTGTATTTTTTTTGTAGAGACAAGGTTTTACCATGTTGTCCAGGCTGGTCTGCAACTCCTGGACTCAAGCAATCTGCTCACCTTGGCCTCCCAGAGGGCTGGGATTACAGATGTGAGCCACCACGCCCAGCCATATCTGCTTTTGAATGTGGTTTTTTTCTTACTATCAAGCTGCCATCTGCCTCTTCTCACTGTAGTCAGTGCACTTGCTCACAAAATCCTCCCTCATCTTTTAATTTGCTACTTCTTTCTAATTAGCTCTAGGCTTAGGAACCAGACAACTGTGACTCACAAGTTCTATGTGAGGGTTTTAGACTAGCTATATGAGTAAAATAAATCATCATATACCTTGGGTTCATACTTTGCAACACAAGTCTTGATTATTCAGATAAAGTTTTGGAAAGCAGTGTGGTGCAGTGGAAAGAATATGAGTTTTGGAATCAGACAGACCCAAATCTGCATCTTAACTCCTCTACTTGTTAGCTGTGTCATCTTGGGCAAGTTGTTCAATCTCTCTGAACCTCAGATTCATCATCTGATAGAGTAAATAAGACTGATATCATACAGTTACAAAGATTAAGTGAGGAAATATATATAAAGTATATAACAGAGTTCTAGACACATAGCAGGTGATACATAAAGCTTCATTCTCTCTCTTTACTTAACCCTTCATTTTCCCTTTCTTCCTGGTTTATAGCTGTGTTTCTGGAGAGACTGAGCTCTGACTGGCTCAGGGGAGATATATGGCCTAAAATATGGAATGTATTAGGAAAGGAATAATGGTGAGACCATAGGAGTCTGAGATCATGAGAAGCTGAGAGACAGAGTACGGCTATAATTTCTTACCAGTAAAAGAAAGAGGGGCCGGGCATGGTGGTTCATGCCTGAAATCCCAGCACTTTGGAAGGCCAAGGCGGGTGGATCACCTGAGGTCAGGAGCTCGAAACCAGCCTGGCCAATATGGCGAAACCCCGTCTCTACTAAAAATGCAAAAATTAGCCAGGCACGGTGGTGGGTGCCTGTAATCCCAGCTACTTGGGAGGCTGAGGCAGGAGAATTGCTTGAACCTGAGAGGCAGAAGTTGCAGTGAGCCGAGATCACGCCACTGCACTCCAGCCTGGGTGACAGAGCGAGACTCCGTCTTTAAAAAAAAAAAAAGAAAGAGGAAAAATCCCAAGATGAGAGAGAAATTTTGTGAATGCCACAGCATAAAGAGTCATTAACACAAACCTGACCACATATAAGCAGTTGCAAGTGTGGTTCACCTTCATCAGGCACTATTCTCAGCTGTTTTGTCTTTCTTGCCAATTTTTGGCATCAAAATCCCAGCCTATAGTTGGGAGCTGGAATCCACTTGGTTCGAGTATCATGAATAGTTAAAGGATTTTGTCTGTTCGAACTCAAGACTTCATAAAGACTTTTTTAAATTTATTTTTTATTATTTATTTATTTTTTTTTTGGAGTGCGGTGGCACGACCTCAGTTCACTGCAACCTCCCAGGCTGGAGTGCAGTGGCGCGATCTCGGCTCACTGCAACCTCCGCCTCCCGGGTTCAAGCAATTCTCATGCCTCAGCTTCCCGAGTAGCTGGGACTACAGGCGTGCGCCACCATGCCCAGCTAATTTTTTATTTTTAGTAGAGACGTGGTTTCACTATATTGGCCAGGCTGGTCTCGAACTCCTGACCTCAGGTGATCCACCCACCTTGGCCTCCCAAAGTGCTGGGATTACAGGAGTGAGCCACCGTGCCTGGCCCATGAAGACTTTTAAAAGGATCTCATTGATCCTTTTAAAGGTTTGACTAAATGTATATTATATAATAAAATGTATATTATAGGACAAAATGTACATTGTAGAATAAGCTATATTTTATTATTTAATTTAAACATAAATCTCTAAACTCAACTATAATCATCAGTTCTTTTATACAATCATACAGTTTCAATATTAAGCACCAATCATTTTACACTAAATAACTGGTGGGTTGTCTCTCTCCTGGTCCGACTCTTTTGTTGTGTACATTGACTGCTGACTTTCTGAGCTCCATGCTGTCTTATGTTCCTACTGGTCTACCTTGTCCAGATGCTTTTAACTATTTACAGAAAATTCTCAGCTTCTCTGTCTGCAGTTGCTGAGAGTTTGGTCTGTGATTGCAGTCCTTCGAACTGTATTTCCATAGCACTAGCAAAATTGTTCCCCATCTGCTCCTGAACAGAACCATTTAAAGCTGTTACAAATGAAAGTTCACTTTCTTTCACTCTCCGCCCTGCAAAATACATGCCACAGCCACTCTCTCTCGCACAGCTTTGATATCTGTTAGTCTCTTGCTTTTTTTTTTATCTTCTCTCCATTTCTCTGTTTCCTTTTTTTTTTTTTAGGAAGAGAACAGAACAACCTGAAAAAGTCTTCTCCAACGTGCAGAAGAAATGACAGTTCTTGGGTTACATCACACCTTCCTTTGTGACTGTAGCAAACTAGAGTTTTGTTACTTAATTATTTCATGCCCACATTTACGTGGGGGTTAGATATCTAAGCAAATTAGAAAGACTTTCTTTTTTTTTTTTTGAGACGGAGTCTGTCGCCCAGGCTGGAGTGCAGTGGCGCAATCTCGGCTCACTGCAACCTCCGCCTCCCGGGTTCACGCCATTCTCCTACCTCAGCCTCTGGAGTAGCTGGGACTGCAGGCGCCCGCCACCAAGCCCGGCTAATTTTTTTGTATTTTTAGTAGAGACGGGGTTTCACCGTGTTAGCCAGGATGGTCTGGATCTCCTGACCTCATGATCCGCCTGCCTCGGCCTCCCAAAGTGCTGGGATTACACGTGTGAGCCACCTTGCCCGGCCCCATGAAACACTTAAGCAGCTTCCATTATTTTTATGCTGTTTTACTCTGTTGTTTTGCAAGTAAATTCTGACCATGGATGGAAAGGTATTATGAGAATCTCCAAGAAAAAGAAAATTACTGAAGCTAAAATTGGAGAAAGTATAAAAGAAAGAGGAATTAAGTTAGAAAACTCAATTTAATTCCATTTTAAAACTAATATGCTCAGCTGGGCGTGGTGGCTCACGCCTGTAATCCCAACACTTTGGGAGGCCGAGGCGGGTGGATCACCTGGGGTCAGGAGTTCAAGACCAGTCTGGCCAACATGGTGAAACCCTGTCTCTACTAAAAATTCAAAAATTAGCCAAGCTTGGTGGTGGGCACCTGTAATCCTAGCTACTCGGGAGGCTGAGGCATGAGAATTGCTTGAACCTGGGAGGGGGAGGTTGCAGTGAGCTGAGGCTGCATTATTGTACTCCAGCCTGGGCGACAAGGGCGACAAGAGTGAAACTCTGTCGCAAAAAAAAAAAAGAAAAAAAAATGCTCATTGGAGCCTCACTTGTACTAACTCCAAGTTACATGTTCTGGAGTCCTTAGTGATAAAGAAATGGAATACACTTTCTTTAAATAATGAGTCATTTTTTTGAAGGTATAAAATCAGTCTTTTAAAATTAAGAACCCATAAGGTAATGAGGACTCCACTTTTTTTTTGAAATTTTTTATTTTTATACAGAGTCTTGCTCTGTCACCCAGGCTGGAGTGCAGTTGCGTGATCTCGACTAACTGCAACCTCAGCCTCCCAGGTTCAAGCAATTCTCGTGCCTCAGCCTCCCAAGTAGCTGGGATTACAGAGGTATGCCACCATGCCCAGCTAATTTTTGTACTTTTAGTAGAGACAGGGGTTCACCATATTGGCCAGGCTGGTCTTGAACTCCTGGCCTCAAGTGATCTGCCTGCCTTGACCTCCCAAAGTGCTGGGATTACAGGCATGGGTCACTGCACCCGGCCAAGGACTTCACTATTACTCCCACACCTTCTAGTTTATCATGAAATCTATGAAACAGAAGAAATCTGTGAAGTCGTGGAAAGAGCACCAAACTTAGAATCAGGACGTGGTTCAAGCCCTGGCTTTTCATTTACTCCCTGCATGACCTTGTCCAAGACGCTTAACCTCTCTGAGCCACAGTCTATAAAATTGAGATCATCTTCCTTAGAGGGGTGCTCTGATTAAATTATGAGATTATACACTAGGAAGCACTGTGCAAATACAATTTTATTTTGAAGTCATCAATTTCCATTCTTCTCTCCCTTAGGTTCATTCATGTGCAGGCCTCTCAGAACCAGTCCTCTCAGTTCCGTACCCTGTCTCTTGCTTCAAGATAGAAGACCACTACCTTCACTCAATACTTGCCTAGGGCGTGTCGCACACTTTGCATATATCACTTTTATTTATTTATTTATTTATTTATTTATTTATTTATTTATTTATTTATTTTGAAACAGAATCTTGCTCTGTCACCCAGGCTGGAGTGCAGTGGCATGATCTCAGCTCACTGGCACCCTGCGACCTCCACCTCCCGGGTTCAAGCGATTCTTGCACCTCAGCCTCCTGAGTAGCTGGGATTACAGGCGTCTGCCACTACACCTGGCTAATTTTTGTGTTTTTAGTAGAGACAGGGTTTCACCATGTTGGCCGGGCTGGTCTCAAATTCCTGATCTCAGGAGATCTGCCTGCTTTGGCCTCCCAAAGTGCTGGGATTACAGGTGTGAGCCACCACTCCCAACCAACCTCATTTAATCTTCAAAACAATCCTGTGAGGTAGGTATTTGGAAGATTTGAATCCAGGCAGTCAGACTCAAAGTCTGTAAGCTTGAAGCCAAGCTGATCTAGGGTAACTTTCAGACAGCAATCACCATCTGTCACTTTACTGCCATGAAGGAAAAAGTTTTTAATAGAGGTTTTCCTTTCAGGAGGATATAAACTCAGCACTCAGCAAAAGCCACTAGTAAATCCAGCGGGAGCCCTGGATGCCTCAGGAATGGTTCCATTCTGCAGTCATAGAAGGGTTCACAGGAAGCTGGTCGCTGGCCCTAGAAGGAACATAGCCCCAAGCAGTGCCTTTCAGGGGCACTCGGAAGGTTTGAGGCCAGGAGGTCCTGGCCAGCAGTCCAAGGCAGCACCAGAGAGCTTGAAACCAGTAAAGCTTCCCCAGGCTGGACTCCACAGCCAGTTCAGAGCCTGACCCTGAACATCTGCAGATGGGCTTATATCTGAGCTGTGTTTTCTAGCCAGGCCAGAGGGAGGCTTGGAGAAGTCTAGAAGAGAACCAGAGGCCCCAAAGTAAAGAAAGCTGGACAGGAAGTTTCCTAGCCCAGCAGGGGCCAGCAGCAGTGAGCAGAGAGCACTACCCCCACCAGCACTTGATGTTCTATGAAGTGCAAAGATTGTGTCAGCATTTCCATTTTAAACCCCTAATTTCATAGGTTTACAGTGCAAGTCGTAAAAATTCACTCTGGGCTGAAGTTTGGCATCCAGTCTCTTAGCTTTTTTAAAGCTGTGTGCTCAAAAATGGAGACATGTCTAGTTTCAGACATTTTGGGGACCCCTATAAACACCCCCAAAGCCTTGTTTGGTAAAAATGGGCTCCTAAATTGTGATTCTATGATGCAGCAAAGCCCTGCCTCTGTGAATGTGCAGAAAATGTGTTATGAAAAAGTAATATTGTTCCTCCAGAAATACAGATTCCCTACACACTGAACTAGAGCAGTGAAAATAAGTAGAATCTAATGTTGTTGCATCTTCAGAGCAACATGTCACATGACCTTTACCGTTACCACTGGGGCCTGAAGCTGTTCTTG
This sequence comes from Homo sapiens, assembly GCF_000001405.40. NCBI lineage: Eukaryota > Metazoa > Chordata > Mammalia > Primates > Hominidae > Homo > Homo sapiens. The sequence goes on along the minus strand of NC_000017.11, from coordinate 61,511,158 downwards.
CTTGAAAAGACATTTCAATTTCCAACTGGAGGCAGCTTCCTAGAGGATTGGAGTCAGCAGCTGATTCAGGTTTTTACAGGTTCTGTGACCTTGACCAATATGTATTTAAACCTCCATTTCTTTTGTTATTAAATTGGAGATAATTATACTCTCCGTTCAGTTTTTCTGTAAACAGGAAAGATCATATATGTCAACACATGTAATAGACTGACTTTTATTGGTAGCAACATATAGGTAACTCAGAGAAGTGAAGGTATCTACAGTGATGATTAGTGGAAAGCTCTCTAACCTCTTCATTTTCAGATTTCCACTCATTCCACATCCTCTAATACCTCTCACTGGTCACTGAGGCTGGTAAAGACATTCAAAATATGAGCTACATTAAAGAATAAATCCCCAGGAGAAAGCTCCCAAGAATGACGTTATAAATCCCAATGTTTGAGGAATCTGACGTGGCAAGAAGCTAATATTTCATAATTTTGCAAGTATCGCAGGGGACCCTGAGAGTTGTGAGAGCTTGAATCACATGACTTAGCTCGGGTAATTAATACTCAGGCAACTTGGCACTCGTACCAGTCTGCTTGATCTGCAAGAAGTTCAAAGAGCCTCATCTTCCCAAGTGTTGGGGCTTTGATAATTTCAGGAAGAGAAGCGAGAATAGTAGCTCAGGCGTATGTCCCCCTGAAGGAAAGGCAGAGCAGCAGCAGGGCAACCACCCTATGGGACCTCCCTATTCCTGAGCAAGAGGTTGTCCCTAGATCCCAAATAGGCCGAGAGACTGGGGGAGTCGAGACTTATCTCAGGGGAGCAAGGGAATGTCTGGCTACAGTGCCTGGTTTGGAAACAGGGAGAGGAATCCATGGCTCTGAGCCCAACCCCAGGCCACCAACATGATTTCTATCTCTGGAAACAAGGATTCTGTTAACAGAGGGACTTTCAGAAACATCTTCATTAATACTGGTACCACCGAAATGCCCATGGAACACTTAGGGGTCAGTCAAACCTGAGGTTTAACTTTTCCTTTTTAAATGTCAGCAGCAAACTGCTGATCTACCAACAGTTAACAATTTTACCTGCTGCTGTCTAATCCTTTATTCACCACAAATCCATTCCAAAGGGAGTCAATAAGGCAACATAAAAGTGTTCAATGCATATTAACTGATAAGGAGGAGAAGTTAGTGAAGTTCCTCTTAAAGCCAGTACATTTCCAAGCTCTTAGTACTGTTTCATTCTCCATGTTTTAAAATTATACAAAGTGTATATTAGGCAAAAGAATAGTAAGATAAAAACTTATGCACCCAAAACACAGGCTAGGAAAAAAGTCACTCACACCACCAAATAATCTTATGCATTCCTCCCCAACTTCAAATTCTCCTCTTATACCTTGCAGGCTGCACTATCCTTACTGGCATGTTCGTTACATGTGGCTCACCTACGTAAGTCTATGTAAGTATGTAAACCTAAACTACACTGTTCAGTTTTTTGTTTTGAGCTTCATAAAAATGGTATCATAGGCCAGGTGTGGTGGCTCACCCTTGTAATCCCAGCACTTTGGGAGGCCAAGGAGGGCGGATCACCTGAGGTCAGGAGTTCAAGACCAGCCTGGCCAACATGGTGAAACCTCGTCTCTACTAAAAATACAAAAATTAGCTGGGTGTGGTGGCAGGTGTGTGTAATCCCAGCAACTCGAGAGGCTGACCAAGAGAATCACTTGAATCCGGGAGGCAGAGGTTGCAGTGAGCCAAGATCGTGCCATTGCACTCCAGCCCGGGCAACACTGCTAGACTCTGTCCGTCTCAAAAAAAAAAAAAAAAAAAAAGGTATCATACTGTATGTACCCTTCTGCAACTTCTTTCATTCAACATGTTTGCAACATTCACTCATGTTTAATATTCCATTGCTTGACTATACTGAAATGTATTTAACAAGCCGTCTCTTGATAGATACTTGGATTGATTCCAGTGTTTTGCTATTGCAAACAATACTGCTTTGAACGTTACCGTATCTGCCCCCAGGTAACATGGCAAGAATTTCTCCAAGGATTTCTTTCTGCTGGATTATAGAGTTTGTACGTCTTCAACTTCCCAAATAATGCCAAATTGTTTTCCAAATGGTTGTACACAACCACCAACAGTGTGTATTTGTTTCAGTTGCTCTATGTTCTTTTAATTTTTGGTTTTATTTGACTTTTTATATTTTGACAATCTAGTAAAGGTGAAACGGTAACTCTTTGTGATTTTAATTTGCATTTTCCTGATTTTCAATGAGATTGAGCATCTTTTTCATACATTTATCAGTCAGTCCTATTTGTTCTTTTGTGAAGTACATGTTTGATATGGTTTGGCTCTGTGTCCCCACCCAAACCTCATCTAGAATTGTAATCTCCATGTGTTGAGGGAGGGACCTGGTGGAAGGTGATTGGATCATGGGGCGGTTTCCCCCATGCTGTTCTTGTGATAGTGAGTGAGTTCTCATGAGATCTGATGCTTTAAAAGTGACAGTTTCCCCACCCTCCCTCTCTCCTGCCACTATGTAAGACATGCCTTGCTTCCTCTTTGCCTTCTGCCATGATTGTAAGTTTCCTGAGGCCTCTCAGCCATGCAGAGCTGTGAGTCCATTAAACCTCTTTTGTTTATAAATTACCCAGTTTCAGGTAGTGTCTTTATAGCAGTGTGAAAACAGACTAATACAATGTTCCAGCCTTTTGCCCAACTATTTTTTTTTAAGAGACAGTGTCTTGTTTTGTTTCCCAGGCTGAAGTGCAGTGCTATGACAGGCACGATCACAGCACACGGCAGCCTCAAGCTCCTGGGTTCAAATGAGACTCCCACCTCAATATCTTGAGTAGCCAGGACTACAGGTGCATGCCACAGTGCCCATCTTTTACTGGTTTTCTATGGAACTGTTTGTCTTTTTCTTATTAATGTATAGACATTCTTTACATGTGGTATATCTTTGTTAGCTAATGTGTTGCAAATATATTACCAACTTATCTTTTCACTTACTTATGCTGGCTTTTGATAAGCAAAAGTTTTAATATAGTTTGTAATTACTATCTTCATACTTTTCTTATATAATTGTTTCTCGTAGGAGGAAAAATAAGCTGGGATTTAGTTCACCCTTAGTGAGTGCCTCCCCCGGTGCCTGTTGAGTAGTACTGGTTGGGAGGAATCTGGAGTTGATTCAGTTTATTTCACACACATTTTTTTTCAAAGCAGGAGTCTGTCTCTAGAGGCCCCCAAAAAGCACAGGCTTTGTTGATAACTTTCACCTGTTCTAGGGGAATTTTGCTTAGTGTCAAACAGCTATCAGAGTCGCAAAAAGATTATTTATTCTTGAGGGTCAATACGAAATTGTTAAAAGAAATCCTTACCCTTACTTAGGGTTCACTGTGGAGCTGAACAAAGCTGGTATCTAAACCAAGTTCCAATCCTTATCCACTGTGTAAGTTCTCAGACCCTCAGTCTGCTGTCTGTTAAATGAAGATAATTGCACCCGCCTCAGTTGCTTGTGAGAATCTATAAGACGGTCCAGATCAACTGCCTACATGGCACACAGCTCTCAGCAAATGTTCCCTTTGCCTTAGGAAGTGTAGCCCTTCGCCAGCAGTCAAACTGCTCAGCCCATCTGCGATCTCTGCCACAAACGTGTCCTCCGCCAGTCTCCCCCAACTCACATCCACACATTTGGCCCATGTGAAGACTGTAGCAGAGAAATAATTGTTGGCCTGGGGTCTGATTCTTTTCTTTAAATACTCAGGAATATTAGCACCATGTGTTTAACCATTCTAACTCAACTCACCACGTCCCATGTATTTGTCATATGAAAAGCCAATATTATTATTTACAAGAACAAAATTTTAGGCCAGGATTATACAAAGTACAATTGGGCGCTCCAATTTTTATTTTGTTAATCACAAAGTTTCACTCAAAAATGTCCCCTAGACCTTCATTCATATTATCCTCCCCCATCCCTGTTACAGCACACAGACCCAAACCCCAAACACACATGTGAACACAACACACAAACACACACACACCCCCTCCTGCACAGGTTTTTCTCTGTTACTTTAATATACTCGGAGTAGCCACCTATGATCAGAATGAATCAGGAGGCAGTTGCAGTGGCGTTTGGATTCAAACCCTCCAATTCTGTCTTTACTGCTCTTTAGTGCAGAATTTAAGAATCTTTCTAAGGTTTTTCCCCCTCGGTTGATCTTTTCATCAATTGACCTTGACCTGGCTAGTACCACGTACATGATGTTGGTAAAGTAATTAGATGCCCTAGTGTTTATGCGGCTTGTTTCTTCATTAGCCAAATTTATTTTTCAGTACACATACTAATTCAAGATCTCAAATATTCCTTGTAAGCCATTCATTCCTTTATTTTACAATCTTTCCCACTTGATCAGCTACACTGGTTCATTTATCACCTTCCCATTCTGAATTACTTTAAGCAGATTCTTCATTCATGCATTTAATCAGCAAATATTGAGTGTTGTGTTACTTTTTAAAATGTGCTCTTAAACTTGCCAAAGCCATTGTTATAGTGTTTAGTAACTCGTAGCCCATTGATCTGTGTTTGTGTTGTTGGTGTGCACGTTGCTTTTGTTATTTATATTCAGATTTTATTTTATTTTTTAGAGATGGGGTCTCGCCCTGTCACTCAGGCTGGAATGCAGTGGTGTGATCATAGCTCACTGCAGCCTTGAACTCCTGGGCTCAAATGATCTTCCTCCCTCAGCCTCCTGAGTAGGTGAGATTACAAGTGTGAGCCACTGCACCTGGCATTATTCAGATACTTCTATCTCACTCCATTTTCATGAATATCAAAGGCCTCCCCAGACCTGGTGATTTTCAGTGTTTCTGTTTTCCTCTAATGAACTCCAACTGTCTTTTGCATGTACCACTCTGTGGCACCTAGCTGACACTGCTTTGTAACACAGTTACAAAGTGCACTAGAGTGAAAGTGCAATCCAAGTGTCTGCCTGCCCCCTTTCAAATGTCACTTTTTTTCTGGTATCCTTGAGGAAAGGGGGTTTTGTTTCAAGGGCACAGTCCTAAACTGTCCTTCCTCCACGCGGTGCTGCTACCAGCCACGCTGGCCTCAGGGAGGGGTGATGTGGAGGAGGCTGTACTTCTTTTTATTGCCCTCACCCTTCGTTTCCTTCAACACCATCTACACAGGCTGTTAGGGATAGTATATTTTTACGGGAGTCATAGAAGGGCTAACAAGGTGGTAGAGCAAACAACTTGGGAGTGAACACGAGACAGCAGGGTCCGAAAGTCCCCAGGCCCTCCCCACGACAGAGAATTTTTCCTAGGAAGAAAGAGAAAGAAAAGAAAGAGAGAGAGAGAGAGAGAGAAAGAGAGAAAGAAAGAAAGAAAGAAAGAAAGAAAGAAAGAAAGAAAGAAAGAAAGAAAGAAAGAAAGAAAGAAAGAAAGAAAGAAAGAAAGAAAGAAAGAGAAATTCTTCTATCCTTTGATTCTGGCTTACTGCCGTCTTTTTTTTTTTTTTTTTTTTTTTTTTTTTTGAGACGGAGTCTCGCTCTGTCGCCCAGGCCGGACTGCGGACTGCAGTGGCGCAATCTCGGCTCACTGCAAGCTCCGCTTCCCGGGTTCACGCCATTCTCCTGCCTCAGCCTCCCGAGTAGCTGGGACTACAGGCGCCCGCCACCGCGCCCGGCTAATTTTTTGTATTTTTAGTAGAGACGGGGTTTCACCTTGTTAGCCAGGATGGTCTCGATCTCCTGACCTCGTGATCCACCCGCCTCGGCCTCCCAAAGTGCTGGGATTACAGGCGTGAGCCACCGCGCCCGGCCACTGCTGTCTTTTTAAGCCCTCTTTTCTCCCTAATTCCTTCTCATATATCCTTACATCTCTGTCATCTCTGATTGCCACCCATCCCCTTCACACTGATTCTCTGCAGAAACTCAAGTCTTCTCACTTTATTCCACAGAGAAGTTCAGCTCTCTCTCTGTCTACCACATCTCAGCTGTGCCTTTCTCAGCCAAAAAGTTCCATCAGGTGTTTTCCTAAACAATAATGTTATCTACCCTGAAAATCAGTTTTGTAACTTTTCTGTAGAACTGTCTGCTATCAGTTTTTGTTTGAAATAGCAGTTTCCTTTCTTACTACTACAAATGTGGGGACCATATCTTATTTCACATCATTCATAGCAACTTGCACATGAAAGCTTCTAATTTGCTGTTCCACTCTTTGGACCTTGTTCAACAAAAACACTTGCATTCCAATCATACGTGAAAAGGAGAGGGAGGAAAAAGATGAAGCCAACATTGACTCTGAGGTTTCTCGCTTAGATGACCAGATGAATCATCAACCTCTGCTTAGCACACAGAGGAGGAGTTTTCTGTTTGTTTGTTTGTTTGTTTGTTTGTTTTGGAAAAGAAAAGAGTTCAGTTTTGAACACATCAAGCTTGAGTTATCTAGAGGACATCAAATAACAATACCCAGAAGGCAATAGGAATACAGAGGTTGGTACTGGAGAGACAGAGAGACGTGGTTTGTCTCTTGATTTGTACATCCTTAGTGTCTAGGTTAACCTAAAACAGAAATCACTCAGAATGCCAAGGGAAAAAAAATTAGGAATAAGATGATAAATGTAGAAATCAGTAAATAAATAATGTTCTTGAAGATCAAATGGAAACAGATACAATCATCAAACATATAATAAAAGAAAATATAACAATAAAACACTAGAAGAATTTCAATAAAACAGTCAAGACAAGAAGGTCATCTATCATTGCATTTATTTATCATTAGCGTTAAAGTAAGTTTCATCCAACAAAAGATAGAAAGGAACAATGGAATGAAGAGAGGAAGAGAGGAAGGAAGGAAGCAGAGAGGTTGAAATATCAATACAGTTGACATTTCAGTCAATGACCTACTACATATGCTACGAGGTGGTCCCATGAGATTGTAATAGTGCTGCAAAATTGTATGTTAGGTAGCCACCCTAATGTCTGAGTGCAACACATTACTCGGATGTTTGTGGTGATGCTGGTGTAAACAAGCCCACTGTGGGGCCAGTCATATAAAAGTACAGCACATGCCATTATTCACAGTACATAATATTTGATAATGAGCCACTGTGTTATCGGTTTATGCATTTACTATACTTTTTATCATTATTTTACAGTGTACTCCTACTTATTAAAAAAAGTTAATTATAGAATAGCCTCAGGCAGGCCCTTCAGAGTTATTCCAGAAGGTGTTGTTATCATAGAAGATGATAGCACCCTGTGTGTTATTGCCCCTGAGGACCTTCCAGTGGGACAAGACGTGAAGGTGGAAGACAGTGATATTGATGATCCTGACCCTGTGTAGGCCTAGGCTAAGGTGTGTGTTTGTGCCTTCATTTTTAACCAAAAATGTTTTAAAAGTAAAATAAATAAATAATTTTAAAAATAGAGAAAAGCTTATAAAGATAGAATGAAAGAAAATATTTTTGTACGGTTGTACAATGGGTTTGTGTTTTAAGCTAAGTATTATTTATTACGAAAGAGTTAAAAAGTTGAAAAAATTAAAAATTAAAACATTTACAAAATAAAAACCTTCAGTTAACTAAGGTTAATTTATTATTAAAGCTGGGCATGGTGGCCCACGCCTGCAATCCCAGCACTTTGGGAGGCCGAGGCAGGCAGATCACTGGAGCCCAGGAATTCAAGACCAGCCTGGGCAACATGGCGAAACCCTGTCTCTACAAAAAATACAAAAATTAGCCGGGTGTGGTGGCACACCCCTGTAGTCCCAGCTACCCGGGAGGCTGAAATGGGAAGATCAACTGGGCCTGGGAGGTCAAGGCTGCAGTGAGCAATCATCTTGCCACTGCTCTCCAGCATGGGTGACAAAGCGAGACCCTGTCCCAAAAAACAAAATTATTATTAAAAAATAAATGTAGTGTTGCCTAAGTGTACAGCATTTATAAAGTCTACAGTAGTGTATAGTAATGTCCTAGGCCTTCACATTCACTCACCACTCACTCACCCAGAGCCATTTCCAGTCCTGCAAGATCCATTCATGGTAAGTGCCCTACACAGGTGTACCATTTTTTTAAATCTTTCATACTATATTTTTACTGCACCATTTCTATGTTTAAATATGTTTAGATCCACAAATATTTACGATTATATTCCAATTGCTTATATTATACAGTACAGTAACATGCTCTACGGGTTTGTAGCCTAGGAGCAACGGGCTGTTTCACATAGTCTAAGTGTGTAGTAGGCTATTCCATCTAGGTTTGTGTGAATACACTCTATGGTGTCTGCATAACAACACCTTTCTCAGAACGTATTCCATTGTTAAGTGACATGTGACTATAATTTGAAAATGACAAGATTAACTAGAAAATCTAAAGGAAACAAATAAAAACTTCCAGACTCAAGAGAGTCATAGTAATCCTTTACAAAATAAAAACCGTTTTCCTACTACATCTCAGAAATAACCACTTAGAAAATAGAGTGGAAAAGTATTAAATACCACGCACAATAAAAACAAATAAAGAACGAACTAAGTTTGGAGATGCAGAGGAAGGAAGTTAGGGGAATTTCTTTCATATGGCCAATGTTGTGGGTGGTAATTATACCCCTCATTGTTGCCATTACTGCTACTTCTGAGTCCGCAGTTGAAAGAACATGCTCCTAGACTACAGGACCATGTCCGCCTTCTGTTTCCCGTATGAAATATACTAGAGAACTCAGCACAGAGGCAGAGGACTGAAACTACCTGATTCATCCTGGTTTTGGACATTTTTCTCAATTTGACTAAAACTTTAAATAGAGACTCAACAGAAAGAAATAATCACTTTATGACCTAATGAGAAAGTATCTCTATATCAATATTAATCTAACCCTCTCCCTGCCAACCTGAAGACTAACAGTTCCACAAGATTTAGTGTCCGTATGCCTATTAAATTTCTTTGCTCCATCTCAGCACATTTTATCATCAGGCCTTTCAAAAATGAATCTGAACCAGCATTCTCAAACACACTAAGGCCAAAGGAAAGAGAAAGCAAACTCTTTCAAATCAGAGTTCCCTCTCTCCTGTCATTACTCTCTCCCCACCTTTTCGCGGACAGATAGGTTACCCGGTACAACAAGGAAGGCACTTGGCTCATCTGTGAGTCCTGGGTGACGTTTAAAGAATCATCTGTGAACTGAAGACTATTCTAAATCGCCAGTGTCTTTTGCCTCATGGTTGACTCAGCTTAGATCCCTGTTTCAGTTACAACAGAGCCATTTGGGAAGTAAAAATGCTTACGGAAATTTTAAAAAACAGGGGCATAATGGTATGCATTGTGGCTATGATTTGTATTTCCCTGATGACTACTGAAGTTGAGCACCTTTTCATAGAAGACTTCTGATTTTGGCAATATTGTGACTTAGATAACCTGAAAATACTCCTGCTCAGAAACCTCTTGGAAGATGGATAAAAATATAGCAGCATTCACTTAAATATGCAACTGAACTTGCAGGAAAGTAAAAGAAACCCTCAAAGTCCAAAAATGTACAAACTAAAGGAGTTTAAGCTGATGCTGGGACTACCTGGGGTTAGAGAACCTGTGTTATTAATAAAAGGGCTTAAATTTTGTTTTTCTATTAATAATTGGTTAAGGATTATGGTTATTATTGTTGTTATTATTTAGAGACAGGGTCTTGCTCTGTCACTCAAGTTGGAGTGCAGTGGTGCAACCATAGCTCACTACAACCTTGAACTCCTGGGCTCAAATGATTCTCCCACCTCGGCCTCCCAAGTAGCTAGGACTATAGGTGTGTGCCACTCCGACTGGCTATTTTCAAAAAATTTTTAGGAGACATGGGGTATCTCTATGTTACCCAGGCTGGTCTCGAACATCTGGGCTTAAGTGATCCTCCCACTTAGGCCTCTCAAAATGCTGGGTTTACAGGGGTGAGCCACATCACCCAGAAGATTATCTTTTAAAAATAAACTTATTTTGAGTAAAGTTTTTTTAAGTGTAACAGGCATTCAAAAATTTTCTCAAGTTAAAGTTGTACACCTGGATGTATTTTCACAAAGTGAACACAACCATGTAACCAGTACCCATACCAAGAAACAGTCTTTTACCGCCACTCCAGAGGCTCCCCCTTGTAACCTATTCAGTCACTACTCATCCCTCCAAGGAAATCTCTATTCTAACTTCTAACAACATTGAAGGAGTTCTACCTGTTTGGAGTTTGTATAATGAAAACATGAGGTGTGTACTCATTTAAGCCTGGCTTCTTTCGCATAACATGATGTTTGTAAGATTTAGCTATGCTTTTGCATTTAGTTGTAACTGATTCATTCCCACTGCTGTATGAATTCCGCAATTTATTTATTCTTTCTACTGCAGATGAACATTTGGGTTGTTCCCACTTTTGTATTATAATGAATAATGCACTGTTAGTATGCTATACATGCCTTTTGTAAAGAATGTGTGTGCATTTCTTTTGGATATAACTAAGAGGGAAGTTGCTTGGTCATAGGCTATGTTCCTACTAAACATAGTTATAGGATCCTGACAGTTTAGTAGATACTAACAAACAATTTTCCAAAGTGGTTGTACCGATTTACATTCCCACCAGCTGTGGATGAAAGTTCCACTAACACTCAGTATTACCTTCTTTTATTAGCTATTCTGGTGGGAGTATAGCAGTATTGCAGTCATACTTTGCAATTTCCTGATGGCTATTGAAGTTGAGCACCTTTTCATATGTTTCTTGGCAAGTTGAGTATTCTCTTTTGCAAACAGCCCTTACAAGTCTTTTGCCCATTTTTCTATTGGGTTGTCTGCATTTTTCTTACTGATTTACAGAAGTTTTTAAAAATACGTTCTGGATTTGAGTCTTCAATATCTTCTATTCTGTGCTTGTTTTTTTTTTTTGTTATCTTAGTGGATCTTTTGATACACATACATTTTTATTTCAATATAGACCAATCTGTCAGTTTTCAATTATGACAGTGTTTTTTGTGTCCTCTTTAAGAAATCTCTGCTTAGCCTAAGGTCATGGAGATATTATCTTATGTTTTCTTTTAAATATTTTATTGTTTTCAGTTCATATATAGATCACAAACAATCTGAAAGTTATTTTTGTGTATGGTATGAGTCAGGACTCAAATTTCATTTTGTTCCATAGGGATATCCAATTGGCCCAGCACCATCCTTTTCCACTGCAATGCCACCCTTTTCCTAATTCAGGTATCATATGTGTGTGCATCTGTTTCTGGACTTTCTGTTCTGTTCAGTGGCCCATTCATCTACCTTTGCACCAGCCTTAACTGCTATGGCTTTATGATAAGTCCTCTTGTAGTATAAGACCCCTCCAGTTTTATTCTTCAAAACAGCCAGGAGCTTGAGTCTTAACTGACATGTGGGGAAAAGAAATTAAAGGAGTCGATACTGAGACTTATGAATAGCTGAAACCCCCCAAAACTCCCACGCCAGCCAGGAGCAGTGGCTCACGCCTATAATCCCAGCACTTTGGGAGGCCAGGGCAGGTGGGTCACTTGAGGTCAGGAGTTCAAGACCAGCGTGGGTGACATGTGGTGAAACCCTGTCTCTACTAAAAATACAAAACTTAGCTGGGTGTGGTGGTGTGAGCCTCTAGTTCCAGCTACTTGGGAGGCTGAGGTACGAGAATTGCTTGAACCCAGGAGGCAGAGATTGCAGTGAGCCGAGATGGTGCCACTGCACTTGAGCCTGGGCAACAGTGTGAGACTGTCTCAAATAAAAATAAAAAATCAAAATAAAAAAAACCCTCTCGCTCAGCATAAGACAAAGAAATTTTGTCCTCTGTTGGCTTTGGCGTCTGAATTTATACTTCCTGCATAGTCTAAAAATCTCCGAACTAAAAATCAACATAAAAGGTTAGTCTTCAAAAGCAAGCAAAACTTTTCTGAAGGAATCTGACAGGAGATAAAGCCTAGCTTAGGATGAATTCTCATAAAATTATAAAACAATAAAAGATAAATATCTGTTGTGAAATATCAGTAGACCCAATAAATGGCAGTTAGATTAGTCACCCCTCCCCACAAGAACCTCAGATAACAGAATTATCATCTAGAGATTATTTTAAAATTGTTTAAGATAATTAAATACAAAAAAGAAGAGATTGTGAACATCAGAAAAAGCAATAATTTTTAAGACTAAGCTGACTTGAAAAAGAATCAAATAGAGTTTCAAGGAATGAAACATACAATTGTCCTTGAAATTCAGAGTATTCATTGATTCCATGAAAGTGGAAAGTCTTAGTTAAATAAATGACTGGTTCTAACCATAGAAGCATAAACATGACCCCTGGTTAATTGTCCTTTTGTACTGCGGCCATCAGACAACCCTCCATCTTTGGTTGTGACGTGCTTAACACCAGCAGACATGGAATAAGCAGGAATGTTCTGAATGGGCTGGACATCCCTACAAACTCCTTCCCAGGGTATTTGTCTGTCTGTCTTAAATACTAAATGTGGCATTTTTAGTGAAATACCACCAAAAGGGTAATGCTGAAAAATGACCTAGCAAAATAGAAATTCAGAGGGAGCTTCCTGGTGGCTACACAGTTACTATTGGAGGGTTTTTTTTTTAATGCTACCTACACAAAATGAGCCCCATCTGGCCTGGTTCAGGCTTAGGCTGTGTTGCAGGCAGCTGACATAATTCCCCATGTTTAATTTCAACACTTTCCCCAATCTGCATAGTGGAACCAGCCCTTGCAGATCTTGGAGTCAGATTGGAATTTAAATTCTAGTTTCACCGCCTACCACTGTATCTGGCCCAGAGTTGACACTCAGTCTCTGAGACCTCCTTTCCCCTCCCACCTCCAGAATCTTTATCAAAGCCTCAGGACACACAGTGGCTGTGCTTCTGCTCATCTGAGTCCTAAGGACCCTCAGGAAATGGAGATAGTAGCTACTATTTACAATTACTCTTGCCAGTCATTGCCCTCTGTGCTTTATATACGTTACTTCATTTCTTTTTCTTTTTCTTTTTCTTTTTCTTTTTTTTTTGAGACGGAGTCTCACTCTGTTGCCCAGGCTGGAGTGCAGCGGCACAATCTCGGCTCACTGCAGCTTCCGTCTCCCAGGTTCAAGTGATTCTCCTGCCTCAGCCTCCCAAGTAGCTGGGATTACAGGTGCCCACCACCAAGCCCAGCTAATTTTTGTATTTTTAGTAGAGATGGGGTTTCACCACGTTGGCCAGGCTGGTCTCGAACTCCTGATCTCAGGTGATCCACCTGCCTCGGCCTTTCAAAGTGCCGGGATTACAGGCATGAGCCACCGCGCCCAGCCACGTTACTTCATATCGATTCTCACAACTACCCTGAGACATATACATATATAATTTTCCCCATTTTTTAAAATAAAGAACCTGGTACTATTTTTTATTTTTATTTTGCCCAAGATCACACCCTACAGCATGTCAGAAAGGAGATTTGAACCCATGTCTGTTCTAGGTTTTTTCCATAACACTAAGTAGCCTGACTTGTGGCTTATGGTAATATTTTCTAAATCCAGCTTCTTTCTGAAAAGACTTCATTTTCACAAAGGTTTAAACACTTGCAAGTAAACAAAAGGGGTGGGTTCTGTGGTCTTCACGACAGCCATGTTCCCACTACAGGCCTGGCTGCTCCCTCAGCTGGGAGCTGCTGCCCACTCTTATGGAAACTGCATCCAGGACAGGCTTTATTGATGCTGCCTTCAAAGCCAAGGCGGCCATCTGAGAGGATGGAAGAAACCAGTAAAGTATGGGACTCTGGTGAGCCATCCCAGGTACAGTTGTGTTTTTATGCACCAGCACATTTGTGGAGCAAATTTGGTGTCCTCATAACGGCAGTTCATGAGTACAAGTGAGGTTCAGTTCTTTGTGTAAACAGGGGAGAAAGCCTGTGTCTGAATATAATTCCGACGGCATCAAGGTCATTTTAGAGCTGGTGGAGCTCTATTTGTCTTAGGAAATCTCGAAAACTTTTATAGGGAATTCGGAAAATATTTTCGGCCAGCAGGAAAGATAAAATCCCTGCACACAAAGTGCAGGCATGGGCCCAGAGACTGAACAGACAGACTGCTGTAAAACCCCTGTTTAATAAGGCATTAAAATGCCATCGACCTGGACACATTTTTTAAAAAAAAAAGAGCTATGAAAACAAATACCATTCAAATAATTAGGATCTTATGCCTGAGGCCAGCCTTGATGCCAAGCAGGGACTTCCCTGCAGGAATCGGAGCTGAGCCTGATTCCCAAAAGGAGGAATCAGCCAAGACAAAGGCAGCTCTGGGCCTGGGTTTTTTCCCAGCCCCCTTCGACTGCCTGCCTCTAGATGCTGAAGGCAGGGTATCTACAGTCGTTTCCCTCCCCACATCTTGGGTAACTTTCTAGTCCAGTAGCTCCAGTGGGGGTCGTGTGCCCCCTGAGGCTGACTGACCTGCCTTCAGGAAGGCCCGCGGGGAAGGCCTTGAAGGCTGAGCCCTTGTACCTTTCTGCTCCATAAAGGACAAGGAGGCATTTGAAGGCCTGCTCTATTGGGAACTATGTGCCAAATGGGAGTGAAGGTTGGATAGTGAACATTTGTTTATGAACGTAGCTGTGAGGGGGAAAAAAGATGTCTTTTCATTAGCTCCTGCAAACACGGAAGCTGCCGCTGAGCTATTTCCTGCCACCGTAGCTTCTGAATAGTTGAAGGCCAGGTGCCCAGTGGCACATTACTTTACCACCCCTAATATCGCCCCCCCAGGGTAGTTTCCAAGGGCTAAGCCTCAGAAATCTGAAAAATAAAGAACGTGTCATTTTATTATTTCTGAAATGGTTGTTTGTTTGTTTGGGGGGCACCAGTATTGCACAAGACTGATGCTTAGCAGGTCTAATTGAAGGAGCTTTCATAAAATTGAATGTTAAATCCTATTGTGTCTCTGGTACAATTTGAGAGGACCTCTTTATTTTTTGCCTTTTCATTCTCTTCCTTTAAAAAATTCTCATATGAACTTGTATCAGTGATGGGTAACTCTGCTTAAGGAGTCCCATAGAGAAAGTTGTAACTATCTGAATATATTTCTCATGTTTGATTTCTTCTTCCTCCTGTACATTTCCTTTTCTTCCAAGAGATTGTAATCACAGCAAAATTTCAAAATGAGAGAGCAGAGAAAGAGAGAGAGAAGAAAGGCGGGGGGAAAGAAAGAAATATAAAGCCCTCACATTTTCTGGGGTTAATTTGAATTGAACCAGTTGGTTTCATTTTGCGATACAAAAGAAAAATTCAGGCCTTAGGGCCTAAGACTTTCATTAAATTCAGCTTTGGCAAGTTCTAATAATACAGGGGTTTATTAAAAGCGTGAAAAATGTCATTGCCGAAGCCTTTCCTAAGCCGCGGCCTCACCTCTCAAGTATGACTCACGCTTCCTCCGTGGCCGCCTGAGCTGTAAAGTTGGGGGCAGGATATTTGAGGTCCAGGGAACCGGTTCCTTGAATCTCTCTTGCCATTTGGCCAGGATCACGTCCCAATTAGCGACCTTGCCATACAGAGCAGTAGCTGGACAGCAAAAGTGAGAGAGGGGCTGAGTGCTCAGGCCTGTTGTAAACGATTAGTCCAAAAGAGTAGCGCGAAACTTAGAACCGCTGTCCCCGGCAGGAGGAAATGAAAGGATCAACACGAGAGGAGCACTGTGGCCAATTGTTCCCGGCCACAGCCACAGGCTTTTCTGTGTGTGCCGGAAATTGACCTCCCCAAAAGCCGAGGATGCAGGCGGGGCAGGGAGATTGATAAGGCAGGTGATGCTAAATCATCCCCCTCTCAGAGCTAATGGGATTGGTCAGTGCCTTGCCAATCATTCCCCCTCCTTACCCTATAAAAATCAGTGGGTCTTTTCGAGAAGAAATGAGCATGGACTGGCACTGATTGGACCAACAAGAAGCTTACTCATCGCAATCCTTTTCACTTCTTACTACGTATTTTCATTCAGAAGCATCTCATTTGGCCTGTGGACCAAGGCCAGGAGGTTGGCAACACAGATATTACTCATCCCTTTTTATAACAGAGGATGTTGAAGCCAAAAAAGATAGAGGGACTTGCCCAAGGCCTCCAAAAACACAGCAACAAAGCTGGGACTTTCTTTTGACAATAGATGTATCCCAGTGTCACCGAGTGTGGCAACAGACTTGGAAGGAGGCAGCAAAGCTCAAGCCATCCCTTCCTGGGGGCACTAGTGAGGATGGCTGGCTGACCTGCTGGAGGCACATTCTTTTCTAAGTGTCCTTGAATGCTGTCCTGTGTCCTGGATGAGCCCCAAACCCCTGGCAGTGGGGGGCGCTCAGAGGGCTGGGAGGACCAGGCAGGAATTCCCCAGCGTCACTCTCCTGCCGCTGGCCTTGTGCACCTAACCGCACGTAGATCTGGACTTTGGCGTCTGGTAAAGGAGGCTTAACTGTGAGACAGGAGACGCAATAAAGTCAATAAACAGAATTTCCCAGAAAAGAAAAATCTCACTCTTTTAGACATCTAAAATGAGTCCCGTGCAGACAGGCAAATTATGTGGGGGGAAGGGGAACAACTTGAACTGAGCACACGTTTCATCTCTATCGTCTCATTTAATCTTTTCTATAACCTTGAAAGATAAGGAGTATTTTATTGCCCCTAATTAACGTGGAGAGACAGGCTCACAGAGATTAGGCAGGCATCTAATGAGGAGTGAAGCTCCAGGCCTCTTCTCTTTCCACTCCTGGGCCTGGCCTCTCCACCCAGAGCTCTGGTGATCCACCTCTGGGAGGACGGTGGAGAGCCCAGGGCATGACAGGAATGGCAGAGGTCCCAGCCTGTGAGCAGAGCCTCATGTTGACTTCCCCATCCCCCTGTGGTCTCCATACATTTTTAAATCTCACCTCCCTTCAGCAAAAAGCCTTAAGGCTGGACGAAGTAGCTCACACCTGTAATCCCAGGACTTTGGGAGGCCGAGGCAGGTGGATCATGTGAGGCCAGGAGTTCCAGACCAGCCTGGCCAACATGGTGAAACCCCATCTCTACTAAAAATTTAAAAATTCGCTGGGCGTGGTGGTGTGCATCTGTAGTCCCAGCTACCCAGGAGGCTAAGGCATGAGACTCGCTGGAACCTGGGAGGCAGAGGTTGCAGTGAGCCGAGATGGTGCCACTGCACTCCAGCCTGGGCAACAGAGCAAGACTCCATCTCAAACAAACAAAGAAACCTTAAAGCACAAGCTACCAATATCTTATTTACAAATTGATTTACAAATTATACATATGTACTACTATACAAATATAGACATTCGATATTTGAAAAGTATTAGAATAAGTTTAAAATGTAAGATAAATAGAGAAAGAAGTTCTACCTCCTCCGTCCCTAACTTTGCTCCAGAGAGGTCTGCTATAGATTGAGACAGAGCCCTGCCATGGCTGAGAAATTCGTGATTGCAAACATGATTTGGGAATCATCATCCTTTAGCGCTGCAAGCGTTGTGAGGAGCTGTGCGGAAGAAAAGGAGGCTCAGAGAGAGGGGAGACACGGCCAGCATGTGACAGATGCGACTAGGACCACATCTTCTCATGCTGAGTCCCAAGCTCCGTGCTCTCCTCTACACTGATAGAAAAAGAAGCCAAAGGTTCATTTTCTTGGGCCAGAAAATTACATTTGGGTCTTTCATGGGACAGACTGGAGATTAATGCCTGAACCTCCTACGTTGTGTCCCGCATACATTCAGGTCCACAGCCGCCCTGAAGAGACAACCACTGGCTTTTCAGTCTGGGCCACAGAGCATGTGGGCCAGGCTACCAGCACGTGGGGGCTAGGGAGAAGGAGGACTGTGCTGTGCCATATTTGATGCTATTAAAAGCAGCTCGCATAGTTTCCATCATTCCTCATGGAGCTGCGTCATTTCCCAGACCCAGCTCTTGCTTCAGGCACCCTAGTTAGGAATTCTGGAAGTTAAAGAAAAGTGATTCCCAAACAAGTCTCTTCTAAGTCATCCCAAGGAAGCATATTTTGACCAAGAGTTGGAAAGGCAAGGAAAGGACACCCTAGCTTTGCTATCCAAGCCAAGTGGGGCTTGGGGACATCCCCAAAACACTTTATTTTCCCCCAGACACTTTAAACAGTTGTTTTCGAGGTACCTGAACTATTTCCTGACTCTACCAGCTTGGGCAGAGCTGACTCACCCACAGGGGGAGGGCGAGAGCTAGTGCAATGACAGCCCCTCCTTTGATCAGCCCCTTCTCTGTGAAGTGGAGGGCAAAAGACAACCCAAGTTCATGGTCCAGTGGGGATGGGTGGTTGGAGTTGGTGGAGGTGACTATAAATTATCATCCTCTAAAAGGGTAACCCTCTGCCATTTTGCATGCTTCAAGTCATAAACTTATTTTACAACATGTTTGTTTCCTTTTTGTTAATAAACTCAAAGTCACTAAAAATACACATCGATTGGGTCCAGTGGCCTCAGAGGACAAGGGAAGAAGGCAAGACCAGCACAGAACACGCAGTGGTAGTGGTGATAATGGCAGCAGTAGTGGCATCTTAGAGAAAAAAGCGAAAGCTTTGGGTTGGAGAGACTTGGGTTTGAAGCCAGTTCTGACCCTTAGCCCATAACCTCGAGCAAGTTTCTTCACCTCCTTGAGCCTCAGTTTCCTCCTCTGTGAGGCAGTGGTGATAATGCCTCTCCTACCAAGTTGTGGGGAGGATTAGATATAATAATCCTAATATAGTAGAGTGCCAAGTCCAATGGCTGATGGCTGATTACTAACAAACTCAGTGTAAATGTCTTTTTCTTTTCTCATTTTATAGATGGGAAACCTAAAACTCAGTTCAGATTCAACCCTCCTTTTCTGAATCTGAAATCTAAAGCAATGCCCTTCCATAAGAGGGGAAGGAAGGAGGGTGGGAACCAGCATTTGTTGAGTTCCTGTTTAGTATCGGAACATCAGGGACAGAGAATGTGCCAAGCCCTCTCACATATGTTATTTTAATCTCCATGATCACAAGAAGCAGATGTTATTTCCAATATTATCTCCATTGCATTGACAGGCACAGAAGGAATGGCTATACTTACAGGCACAAACCAGAAAGTGACAGAGCCAAGTATCGAACCCAGGATTTCTGGCTTAAGAGGCAGAGTTGGTGCCACTAACTCACGGATGCTGAGACATCTACTTCAGTGAGATAGCATTTACCCCTGAGGGGAAAAGGGGAGATCAGAGTGGAAAATTCAGCACCTATTCTTGGTAGAAGGCTAGAAAAGAAGCAGCAGCAAGGTAGGTCTTAAGTCATCAACTCTTTTATTTTTTTATGAGATGGAGTCTCATTCAGCCACCCAGGCTGGAGTGCAGTGGCCTAATTGTGGCTCACTGCAACCACCGTCTACTGGATTCAAGTGATTCTCCTGCCTCAGCCTCCCAAGTAGCTGGGATTACAGACACCCGCCACCATGCCCAGATAATTTTTGTATTTTAGCAGAGATGGGGTTTCACCATGTTGGCCAGACTGGTCTTGAACTACTCACCTCAGGTGATCCGCCCGCCTTGGTAGAAGTCATCTTGCGCCCGGCCAAGTCATCAACTCTTAAGGCTGCAGGTAGCCAGGAGGCGTAAAGGATAACTGGCCCACGGGCGCAGTGGCTCACACCTATAATACTAGCACTTTGGGAGGCCGAGGCGGGCGTATCACCTGAGGTCAGGAGTTCAAGACCAGCCTGGCCAACATGGTGAAACCCCGTCTCTACTAAAAATACAAAAACTAGCTGGGGGTGGTGGAGCATGCCTGTAACCCCAGCTACTCAGGAGGCTAAGGCACAAGAATGAGAATCATCTGAACCTGGGAGGTGGAGGTTGCAGTGGGCCAAGATGGTGCCACTGCACTCCAGTGTGGGTGGCTGAGCGAGAACTTGTTTAAACATAAATAAATAAATAAATAAATAAATAAATAAATAAATAAATAAAACCTGGCTCAGACTTTGTCAAACCTGATGCTGGAGGATCCTCTACAGAACTCACCAACCAAGCCTCCAAAGACCCTCTGGCCATTGGCCTCCCCGTTTTCGATCAGCTCCCAATTCCAAAGAGCCCTACTTGGGACTGTCCTGCCTGGCCTGGAAAAGGAGGAGGCACACAAAGCTGCCTTACATTCTCAGAACCAGGGGGTCTCTGGTGGCTCTTGCTGGGATGAGCATTTCTCCTGTTGAGGGTGTTTCTAAAAGAGGAAAGCATGACATCTGGGAAGGGTCTCAGAGGAGCCTCAATGTGCTCAGTCATAAAATAGGAGTACACTTTCCACCTTCCCATTAGAGCAGTGCTCTCTAAATGCCACAGATGATTCACTCAGTTATATCTGGAGGAGTCTCACAATTCCTTACACCCGATGCCGGAGGTTTATATTAGCACATGCTGAGACACTTGTCTTGCTCAATAGCTTATCTTCAGGCAGGCTGACGAGTGGCTCCTCCTCTGCTGTCTGATGGCCCGTGCAGGTACCTGCTAGGCTTGGAGAGAGGGAGAGAGGTCAGGCTGTGAAGGGATGAAGGATGCAGGGGCACTGTTGTTTCCCAAAAGCGTGCCCTGTGCCAGGCCCTGTGCTAGAGGCTTTACACAAGGAGCCATATTTGGGGGCTTCTTGGCCTTAGTTTGGTTTGTTTCAGGCTTTTTTCCCTTCTTGAGAGAGAGGGAAGGCCAGTCCCATCTTGGCATAGACTGAGTGGCCTCCCATGGAAGGGTTTGAAGGAAGAGACCATTTGGAACCTTTGAAGGAGAAAGAGGCGTCAGGGCTTGGGGGTCAGATGCTGGAAAACCCTGATCCAGTACTCCCAGGCCCACCTGCCCCTAGGAAGCAACAGGCCTCTCCAGCAGCCTGTGACCCTGGGGGATGGCCTGTAGCAGTGCCCTGCTTCCTCACCACGCGCAAGGTGGCAGCCAGAGTACAAGATTCAGGCCACGCAGAGCTGAAAGCAAGGTCGCCAATGAAGGCAGCAGTCTTCTCATTGAGTGGCCTCGCATCTGCTGCTTGGGCAGTTTCCTGGCTCCACATGTCAGAAAACCATCACTCCGTGAATGACAGCTTAGGGCCCAGGAGGACCGTTCACAGCAGCCCCAAGCTCCATAGCCTTACACAGCTGACATCTTGGCCTGCCCAGACCCAGGAATTTGCCGTTATAGCAAACACTGCCAGGCCTGCTGGAAGAGAGGAAACGTGTAGAGATGTAGAAAATCTTTAGGAGGTAGAATCTGCAGTTTGGTGAGCATTTGGGGTGGGCAGGTAGGGAGAGGAGGGAGTTGGCGCTGAAGCCCAGGCTTCTGACTTGAGCAACTGGATGCTGGCTGGTGGTGCCATTACCAAAACGGAGGATGTGAGGGAGGCCTGGAGGGAGAGTCTGGGTTCCAGTCTGAATTGGAGGACTTAACATCTCTTTCTGGCAGAGATGTCCAGAAGATGGTATCAGGAGACCGAAATGAGATCGGACTTGAGGTTCGTTGGCATATGTTGGTGAGAGAAGCCGTGGGAACAGATGCCGTCACCCAGGGAGAGGACCTAGGGAGGAGTGGAAAATGCTAAAGCCCCAGCCTGAACAACAGCAGCATTGCAGGCCTGGGCAGGAGCAGGGTGTCTGAGGCGGACAGCCAGGGAGGGGAGGAAAACAAACACGGGGAGGAGGCCCAGAAGTCAACCTTTGTCCACCCGGGCAGCGATTCAGCAGATCCAGCACTTCCTGACGTTACTGCCGTTAGCACTGGGCACAGTTTCTTTTAGCCTTTCTTCTTTTTCTTTTCTTTGGGTACTTCTACAATCACAAGTTTTTTTTTAATTTAATTAAATCTTTTAATTGCAGAAATAATACGTGCCCATTGTAATAAGTTAAACGAAACAGAGATATATGAGGGAATCATCATAAGCAGTTTCTTCTAAATCATGTCTGTGTCCCTAACACACACACACAAATACACGTCATACACATACATCATACATGCATACATCATATACACATAAATGCACCCCATCTCCTGGACATTTCTGCTTAATCGATGTTGGGACCTCCGGAGTGTTTTTTTGTTTTGTATTGCATACACATGGGAGACCATATGTCAGGAACTTTTTTTCACATAGTATTTCATGTATATACAGATATAGTTCATCCCCTTGTTAACTGCTATGTAATGATCTATAGTTTGGCTACACACCAATCTTTTTGTTTTCACTTCAAATGTTCTTGAAATTGTACTCTATATTAGGATCCTTTTTTTTCACTTAGTTTTAAATCAAGTCTCATATCATTAAGGGCCCTTTGTAAACATGATTTCAATGACAGCATCATATTCCAGAATGTATCTCATAATTTACCAATTTACTTTCAGCCAGTTTGGGGCTATTAAAAAGTAAAATCACAATGAATATCATACAGTATTAAACTATGTCCGCATTCCTGGTTATTTTCTTTAGGGAATGAACACTTTTAGAGTCTTTGTCCATGCTACCAAATTGCTCGTTCCAGAAAAACCATGTCAATCTGTACTCCCACTAGCAATGGCTGAGAGAGGCTCCCAACCCCTTTTCTTAAATGTTCACTAATCTGGTAGATGAAAGTGGCATGTTATCACTTCAATTTGCATTTTAGATGACTAGTGAGGTTAATTCTCCATTTGTGATTCTTCTAAGAATTATCTGAATATGCACCCATTGCTCTAGTTTTCCAAAGAGGAGGTGGTCAGCCTTCCTCCCTCACCACCGGCCCAGTCCCAGCCCTGAGCCCTCCTGCCCCAGAGGTTTGGACCCACCCTTGACTTCAAAATGGCCCTTTTCCTCCTGGTTCTGCGTCCCTTGCCATCTGTTCTCAAGCCTCTTCCATCCCCTCCACATCCCCATGGCTGGCCTCTCTCTCTCGGCTTCTGTGCCTGTGGGTGCCCCTTGCTCTGCACCCCAAAACCCTGGCACAGAACAACCAAACACAAGCCTAGAATGTTCAAGCAGGCTGCCAGGGCCTGCCATCAGACTGGGATCAGTGCTGACAGGCCAGCAGACACAGCAGGCACCCCTGCTGCGCCAACCTGGGCCAGGGAGAAACGGGGGGCCACCACGGGGGCCTCCCCTGCAGGGACCGTGCACAATCCCCTCGTCTTTTCCTTTCCCGTTTTTCCTCCTCTCCCCATTATTCTGACTCAGGCTTTAACTTTCACAAATGATGCAGTCTGCTGGTTTGGGGTTTCCGCAGGAGAATTTCTGTACTCCTGGGGGCACTGGGGCCTGTTCGCCCTTGTTACAGAAGAGGAACCCTCGATGCTCTGCAGACCCCGTCAGGCTGCTGTGATAAGCAGGGCTGTTTGAGCTGCATCATGTAAACCTGGCCCTTCCGAGTGAGACTTCGCAGAAATCCCACTGGAGATTCTTCCGCCCCTGCGCTGTCTACTTTCCTTCATAATGATAAATGGCTGAAAAGAAAACTATCTAATCTCCAAACTGCTTGCTTTTTTTTTCTCCTCTTTCTTCAAGGAGAGGAGGAAGAACACAGTCACATAAAACAGAGTCCTTCATCGCCTGCTTCTCAGGAGACGGTTCTTTCCCTTTTCATCCCGGGCCTGTTTCTGATCTGTGATGGGCTCGCATTGAAAGCTCCAGCCCGGTCCTCCCTAATCAGCTGCGACAGCCGCTGCGGTTGCTCGGGTTGCCCATCGAAATTGAATTGATTACCCGGCCGCTTTGCCATTTTGTTCGGCGCACAATTGCTTAATAGCTGTCACCTTGGCTTTCAGTCCAGGCCGGCTTCAGGCTGACTGGTTCCCATTACTCGGGATGGCCAGTGCAAGTTCATCACCTTGACAGGATGTCCCTGATTGGTTCCGTATGCCTTGGAGACCTGTCATAGATTTGCGTGGGGGGAGAGAGGGCTTGCCGGGGGATGGCATGGAAATCTCTTGGCTGCAGGAACAGCCAGGTTTCACTGCAGGACTCACCACGTTTGAATCATTACCAGGTCTTCTTGTCAGGAGTGTGGCCTCTGCTGACATAGCTGCTAATGAATTTGTAAATTTTTAAAAAATACAAAACAACCCAGACTGTTCTAACCTTTGCTGTCGCCACCTGCCGCCTGGGTGGGGGTGGCAAGCAAACAGCCTCTGCCCCCTCTCCCCCGACCCCGCCAACCCCTTTCCCCTGCTGGCTGAGCTGGAGACCCGGGCTGGGACAGAGACATCTTTCAAGTGAAATCCTTTGCGCTGGGAACTACTTCAATTAGACAGCAGGGGGAATGTTAACATGCCCTCCGGCCTTTTAAGTGGGTTTTAATTTTATGTTGTAAGATAAGACACTGCGAGGCTGGGCTGCTACTCCTCCAGCAGGCTCCATTAGTGGGGCGAGCCGAGGCCTCTTGACCCCCTGAGGCCCAGCCAAGGCTGGAAGTTGGTTTGGTTTTTTAACAATTTGTCAGTCTGACCCAGCTTCTCTTTCCCTTCTCCCTTTTGTTATTCCAGGCTCTTCTACGGTTGAGGGCCAACTGTCTGTGGCTGAGTTGCTGCTGAGAGGCCTGCCCTGGCTTCTCCCCAGGGGCCTGGCCCTGGGCTGGAGAGCACAGCCCCCAAGGCTGCCTTCCCGTGGACATGCAGCTGAACGTTAATTGGCTTTTGTCCCCTTCCCAGGCAGGGCACAGCAGAAGCAGACCCTTTTCATGTGGCAGGTTTCTGGCCGATGATGTATGACCTGTTGGCGCTCCTGAATGGTGCCCTTTGTTTCAGGATATCCCATGTGCCCCCTTTTTATTGAGCTGTTGATTCAGAGGCGCAGGAAAGTTCCACAAATCCCACTGCAGGCCCGGCTCTGGCCATGCCCAGGTGGGGAAGCCCAGGGACCTCACGCTTCCCAGGAAGCTGGCAGGAAGCCGTGGGCTGCCTCGAGGCAAAATACCCCTTTAAGAAGTGGCTTTCTTCATGTCAGACTCAGCCAACCATGTGTTTGGAGAGAACCTGGGAACATCCGCGTTGCCCCCAGCCCTCTGCCTGGGCTCTAGAAGGTGTGGAGTGTCCCAGATGTGCTGTCTTCACCCAGAAAGAAAAGAGCGCAGCAGGTGGGAGTTAGGAAGAGCCCTCTCACTTCCCTGTCCCCTGAGCCAAGCTCAGTTAACATCTTTCTCCATGACCAAGAATCCCAAGGTGTGCGCCAGCAGCTAAGGGAGGATGGAGCTTGGCTTCCTGTTCTGCAGGAAGAAGTCCAGCCAGAGAGCAGCCTAGAGCCACAAAAGGACTCTGGAGAAACAGGAGACAAGGTTGAGTCTTTACCCAGCAGGAAGTCTCATCTCAGTCCTGACAGGGCAAGGATTCAAGGGCATGCCTCCCTTGCCTTCTCTTTTCCTGGGTTCCTAGACCAGCCTGCAGTGGAGATGGTGGATGCGGGTAAGCAGCTTTGGGGAAGGAGCAATGAGGGGCAGGGCAGGTGGCAAGGCTGTAAGGAGGGAGACCCAGCAGCGCCTTCCTATGCCTGCCTCTTCCAATCTAGGGTGAACCTGGGCTGGATTTCACCTTGCTTTTCCTCTCTCCATCTTGTGGCCAAGCTTTAGGGACCTGGCAAAGGTGCAGGCGAATGGGGACTTTGCCAGGCCTTGACTCACCCATTCTGGGGTGATGGTGGTGATGAGCTCATGCCCCTGACTGCTCCAGGAAGCCCCCCGCACTGACTCAAACCTGCTCTTCAGTTCCTTTTCTGAAGCAGCTGCATAAATCCCACCAGGAATTCCCTACTTACGAGACCACTTCCCCCAAATGGCCAGCTTATGTGTTGACTGCTGAAAGGAGACAGATTCCTGCTTTACTGCCTGCCCGCCCTTCTGGGGTCTTTGTGGACCCTGGAGTCCAGATTCATAACCCAGGGAGTAGCATGAGATCAAAGGTGCAATTGCTCTGTGGTCCTAGGTGACTTCACTGTGAGCTCAGAGGCTCCACGGTACACATGTTCAGAGGTACTGAGGGCCTTACCTGACACTTGAGAAAAAGAATACCAGCAAAAAAGAGGCAGAGGCCGTTGCAGAGCCAAGAAATGACAAGTCAGTAATAAAGAGCATCCACACACTTCACAGTTGTAAAATGGCTTTATGTTCCGATATGCAAAATAAAACATCCATGCTATATAACAAAACACTTGAAGTTCCATATCACCTGTTAGCTAATGTGTTTTCTAAAAAAGCCTTATCTGTAGTGTGTGTGTGTTTATATATATATATATATATATATATATTTATTTATATGTTTTATCTAAACCATTCTTAGTTTTTAATATCAAACATGTAATAAAAATTTAAATAGATGTCTTTCCAAATACCCCCTCCAACGTTTATTTTTATTAAGTTCATTCATTTGTAGAAAGCAAAGCTGAATTTGACATGTGGCCTGCATTTGTGAGAGAGAGCGATATATAATATATATATTTATTTATTTATATAATATATAAATAGCTATTCAGCATGCAAAGAGTTTAGTGATTTCCCAAGTTTGATGGAGAGTTCACCCCAGCCACACTGATGGCCTGGTGGTATTCAATGCTAAAACGCAGGGCTGAGGACTTTGTGAGCGCCACACTGGAGAATTCTCTTTGCTCCTCTGAGCTCACCGGCTGAATTTACTGGAAGAAACAAATTTTTTTCAACTATCTTTATTTCTGTTGGCCTTTCTCGCTCCAGAAGCGTAGATTTTCTGAGAGCAGAACAGGCCCTGGAGATGCCAGACATCAGCTCCAGTGTGGCCTCCTGGGGATGATGCCAGCTGAGGCGTGTTTCATAATTGCCCATCATCATAGGATGCAGATGGTATGGTGCCTGGGAGGCTGACTCTCCACACACCAGAGTGAGAGACTGTATGTTGGGGACCTAGGGGGAAGGGCTCTGTACTTTATTACAAAATCTGAATGATGACAGAGATGCTACTGGTTGCATTTTCCCTCCTCTTGAAGGGAAAAAAAAACCCTTTAAAAATACCCCTCAGGTGACATTTAGCCCATGACCCTTTCCGAACGTCATCCCTCAGACCTCAGAGCTCCAGTCATCAATGTCTAGGCCACTCACTGAGCAGCCAGCTGTACTATCAAAGTACACATTGTGGCTTAGCTGAGCCCACCTCTCAGGCAGTCTCACAGACTCTCCAGAAGTCAAAGGAGTGGGCCTCCTGCTACCAAAACCAGATTCTCAGCTCCCCTTGCAAAGAGAAGGCCAGGAACTCTAAGGTGTGCACAGAGTCCTCACACCCCAGCAGCGAGAATCTTCCCACCCCAGCAGTGAGAATCTTTCCCCATGGGAGAGAACTCCCCACCTGGCCCCTGAGTAAATCAACCATTATAAAACCCTCTCAATAACTCATATGAACCCTCCACTCCCATCCCACCCACGGGCATGTCAAGAGATGTCAGATAACAATAGACCCAGGTCCTGCAGCCAAAATCACTTCTTAGATAAATGTGGTGTTTTTTTTCCTTGTCATGACCTCAGTTGTATGTCAGAAGATGGATGCTCTCCAAATACATACATGCTCGTGTATACACACACACACACACACACACACACACACACACACACACTGGAATACCTTCCTGTGTTTCTTGGTAGAGTGCAGGCCACCCACAGAGGTTAATACTGGAGCAACACGGTCCCGGGGCTATGGAGGAGACGTGAGAGTCATCCGTCAGTCCAGTTCTCCACAGTCCCCATTCCTGAATGGTACTGTAAGGAAGATTCTCGGGACAAGGAGAAGGTTTGAGAGTAGAGAAACTCATTGGCAGCATTTAGATGTGGCGAGGGTGGCTTCCTCTCACACCCTTGGGGGAGGCCGCGCTCTCTTGGGAATGAGGCGCTGGGCCCCCGCTCTCGGACCTGAGACTGGGAGAGCTGATTGTAGACACTAAAGTGGGCATTTCCTGGTGGCTGGGAGCTCTGAGCGGAGAGGGTGGGCAGCCGCGGCATCATGGTGGTGGCGGTGAAGTGCGTGGGGAAGGGCTGGTACGGCACAGTCTCCATCGTCTGCACGCTATAGCTGGTGTACGGCGACACTGAAGTCCACATGTTACAGCTCAGCGGAGGTGGGGGCAGGTCGTCCACCCCAGACACCCCGGCAATCTCGGGCCCTGAACCTGAGTACATACATGCTTCTCTGGGGGTCACCTCACTGCAGTAGGAGGGGCTCAGCATTTGCTGGTCGTAGGGAGGGGGGGAACGGAAATAGTGATCCTCCCCCACCGAAGAGGGGGCTTCCAGATAGGATCGCTTGCAAGGTAAGTCCAGGTGGCGGGTACCGTCTGCTGAAAGACAAAGTAACATTCAGGAAGAACCATTTCCACCAGCCCAGGCCCCAGAGCACCCTGTTGGATGCTGGGACAGCCTGTCCTTGTCCCTCTGCGCCCGCCCTCCCCATGTTGCCATGGCACTCCCAGAGCCATTTCAATCAGCCACGGCTTTTATAGGGTTGCAGGCACCAAGAAGTGGTCAGATTACGGACCCTACTCAGAGGCCACGGGGGACACCACATCACCGGACACTGAGGGCCAGGCTTAGCCAGGCAGCACTCGGCTTTGATCCTTCGCCAGCCTGACTCTTGCAGAGTGAGAGGCCCTGATGTGCAGTGGCATTCTCAGGCTAGGCCCTCCCTGGCCAAGGAAAGTAGAGGCACTTGCCAGGCCAGCCCATGCCCAGAGGCCACATCTGTCTGAAGTAGCCAGAAAATTAAGGCCATGAGGTTTCTGCCTCCATCCTCAGCTCCCAGGAAGACCTCAGGGAGCCAAAGCCACTTGTAGGCATGTTTCTGTTGCTTTTAGAAGATGAACTAACCTCACATGTGTTTAAAGAAGAACCATCAGATTTTTACTACACAGATTCCAACACCACAGTGTCTACCAAATTAAGAAATAGAACTGATAATAAGTGAAAAAGGTGACATACTTTTCAGGCTAAGCAGATACTCTGGGGAAAGATGACATCAGATGCCACAAATCATGTATGTGTGCCTTTCGACATCCTCCACAAGGAGGGCCTAAGTATCTGGAGTGGCATGACCTCCCCTGGGATCCAGGGCTGACCCAGGCCTGAGGGTTTGGGGAGCAGCCCACTGAGCCAATTTAAGAACACTCATCCGGGCTGGGTGCAGTGGCTCACACCTGTAATCCCAGCACTTTGGGAGGCCAACGTGGGCGGATCACTTGAGGTCAGGAGTTCGAGACCAGCTTGATCAACATGGTGAAACCCCATCTCTACTAAAAATACAAATATTAGCTGGGCATGGTGGCATACACCTGTAATCTCAGCTACTGGGGAGGCTGAGGCAGGAGAATCACTTGAATTCGGGAGGCAGAGGTTGCAGTGAGCCCAGATTGCACCATTGCACTCCAGCCTGGGAGACAGAGAGAGACTCCGTCTCAAAACAAGGACAACAACAACAACAAAAACCCCACACATCCATGGCTCATCTTGGCCTCCCTCCTCCTGTTTTCTCCAGGGATTCATTCGGGGAGCTCTGTGTGTGCACCCACGGGGCTGGAAGCAGAGGGGCTAAATGGGTGTGAAGGCCTCTGCTCACCTCTCTCCTCTGCCCCTGCTGGTGGCATCTGCCCTGCCCAGGGAGACCTGCTCCTCTCCCTTGCCCAGCTCTCTCCTTTGCCCCTCACTCAGCCCGATTCTCCGTCTTCTCTCCAAATCCCTCTCTTCTCCCTGAGCTAAGCTCTTGATCCTGGCAGGTGGCCTACTCACTCTAGGTCAAGACTGGGCAAACTTTTTCTGCAAAGGACCAGATAGTAAATATCTTAGGCTTTGTGGGCCGCAGGGTATCTGTTGCAACTACGAAACTCTGCCGTTGTACCATGAAAGCAGCCGTAGACAACCTGTAAGTAAATGGGTATGGCTGTGTTCCAATAAAACTTTATGGACACTAAAACTTTAATTTCACATAATGCTCACATCTCATGAAATATTCTTTTGATTTTTTTCAATTGTTTTGAAATGTAAAAACTATTTTGTACAGGTAGCAGGCTGGGTTAGGTCCGAAGGCCACAGTTTGCCAACCCGTGCTCTAGGTCATTGAGTTCTAATGAGACTTGTACAGGGGATCTCGGAGCTCTGCTGGGCTAGTCCCTAGGACCAGGGCTGAGGGAACATTCCGGAAGGCAAGCAAAAGTCCCCAGGCTCATTCCGAAGGGAATTTCAGCAGCCCCATGAGGTCTTCTGGTGGAGTAACACGAATCATTGCAATTCTATCCATGGAGGAATCAAGACCTGGCACAGAGCACAGATGTGATGGTGCCCAGCTCCGGGCTCCTCCTCTTTACGAAGAGGCCTGGCACAGAGGGTGCTGTGGCTTGTCTTCCCAGCCCCCACCTACATCCACAATAGCTCATCTCAACTCTCAAGCAGCCTCTGCAGATCCTGGAAGGAATGATTGGGTGGAAGGCCCTGCACGTGAGACACCAAGTCCTCCCTGTTCTGGAATTGAGGTTGCTTTGACAAACAACAGCCCCAATCCCAAAACCTCTGGACTGGGAAGTGTCAGCCTCTTCCTGCACTTCCAGGCAGAGCCCAGCTCACCCCACGAGGCTCTCAGAGCAGTGACTGCAAAGCAACACTTGGAAAGGTGTCTGGGGACACCGGGGCTACAAGCTGTCTGTGAGGGTTCCAAAGGCAGCATGAGAGATGAGAACCAGCATCCCTGCACTGGAAAAGATGGCCCTGCGCCCAGCTGTGATCCCTAACCCTTCAGGCCCACTCTCCCAGGCCACACAAGCACGAGATGAGTGTGTGTGTGTTGGGGGGGGGGGCGCTGCAGAGTGGTTTCGGGGAGAACCTCACCGCTCCTCTTACCCTCTAGGGCTTCTAGACCAGGAGAGCCCTACCTCGTCTTTTCAGGCAGTGATAGAAGAGGCTTGAGTCCCTCTGGGTGGGAAAGGTGCTGAGGGGCAGGTCCTGCGGCTCCGCGAGCTGTGAGTGTGCCCCGTTCTCGTGCTGGTAGTGCTGGAGTGCCTGGTGGGTGCCGAGCAGGGGGCCCACGTCCGGTGTGGCTGAGAGCTGGGGGGAGATGAGCCTCTGCCTCATGATGCTTTTGGAAATCACGGGGTATTCTTTGCTGAAGGGGTGGGGAGGACAGGAGGAGAGACAGGAAGAGAGTGAAGATACATCGAGGGTCACAGAGGCCACGTGCCTGAATCCCATCTGCCCGCCCCACCCCCAGGCTACGCAGCCCCACCTCTGCAGTCGGGCCACACGCAGGTCACTGTCATCACTGCCCCGGAATCCCTTGGCAAAAGGGTTGTTCTCAATTTTCAGCTGGGTGATCTGTGGGGAGAAAACACATAGGGTCACCAGTGTGAGGCACACAAATGTGTCTCAGTTTCCACATTTGTAAATGGGATCATAACATGTAACCTCCCTCCCTCAGGGGTCGCTCTCCAGCCTCACCGCTTCTCACTACCCTCCTTGGGGAGGAGGGTGGGACTGGACTGGCCTCTGGCCTTCCCTCCTCCCCAACCCCAGGCACAGGCAGAACTGGGGCAGGTCTGGGGAAGTGGGCCTTGCCATTCACACCTGGTTTGTCCCTGGCTCCCTACTCCTTGCTCTCCACCCTCTGATTCTTTCTCCTGCTCCCCAGCCCTCCGCACTGCCGGGCTTCTGTCCCCATGGGTCTCTCCTGGGGACCTGTAACATCTTCCCAGTGAGCATCCCGGGCCTGCTGCCTGAGTCTGTGCAACTACATCAGGCTCTGAGTGACCGTTCTAGATGCAGTTCCGACTCTGTCACTCTTCTGCCTAAAATCCACCACAGCCACGGCCCTTCCCCAGTGACCCCTGCCCACCTTGCCAGTCCCTGTGTGCATACTGTGGAAAGCAGACGGGCGGCAGAGCACGGCTGTCAGTGACTGGGATGCAGTGGGGGTGGCCGGGCTGGGGAGGGCAGTAGTGAGTGTGGGAGGTGGCTGGGGCACCTCCTATCACAGCCTGGGAAGGGCCTCCGCTCAGGCTCTGCTTCCACACCCCAGCTGACAGCACCCCAGGGCTCCTATCCCCATTCCCTACCCCTGTCTCTGAAGGCACCAGGAGATGAACCAGGAGAAAGAACATTGTGGAATGAAAGGGCCCAATGCTCAAACCACAAGGCAGACTCCAAGCTCCTGGTTTTTACAGTTGCCAATTTTCTCCATTCCCCAAAACACAGAGACCGTAATTCCTCTGTGCTGGAGATGGACATATCTAGGGTCCTTTTCTGTTCATCATTCGATTTGCTCGCGGCTCCGAGGGACTCTAGGCTTCTGAGGTCCCTGCACTGGGCCTGCCCAAGCCCTGCTGGGACTCTGGCTTCACACTCTGCCTCTCTGCCTGGTGGAAGAGAACGCAGGGTGGTGTTAAGTGGGGCTGTGGGGCAGTGGGGCAGTGGCTGTACCTTGTGATTCTGGTAGGAGGTCACAGAGATGAAGGAGGTCTCTGGGAACACGTGGGTGCAGAAAGCAGTGTTTTTGGAGCCGAAAGCATTGTTCTCATCAGCCTTAACGATGTGGAGCCGCGGCTGGTACTTGTGCATAGAGTTGAGGATGATCTGGAAGAGAAGGGTCTCATGCTGAGCTCCAGGTCCCCATCCGCAAGCCCCAGGCCCTTGACCTCATTCTTCTGGCCCTGGCCTGGTTTTTCTCATTCTCCTCAAAGCCCAGGATCCGGGGCCTACCGACCAGGACTGGAGCTCCCAAGTGAAGAACCAGGCCCCTGGGCCCCAAACTCTCCCCACCCCAGCCCTACTTAGCCTCTCTGCACCAGCACTAATGCCCAGCTCCAGGCCCTCCTTGATGTGACCAGTTGATTCACTGTGGTAATGGAGAACTTGAGTCAGCCCTTAACACTGTCAAAGCCCACTGTGAACTCAGCACAGTGTAGCAGGTGGAATTGTGAGCTGTCAGCAAAAGTCCAGGGTGCCACCGAGTCACTGTTTGATCTCAGACAAGTCACTGGGCTTCTCTGTGCCTCAGTTTCCACATTTGTAAATGGGATCATAACATGTAACCTCCCTCCCTCAGGGGTCCCCCTCCAGCCTCACCTCTTCTCAATACCCTTCTTACACATGACCTGCCTCTTCTAGAAATACTTGGGTTTTGCAGGATGAGAGAGAGGGAAAAAGCTGAGGAAAATGTCCCACTGTAACTTTTTTTGTCACATTGCTCATTTGTTCATGCATTTCTTTTCTTTCCTTTCTTTCTTTCTTTTTCTTTTTCTTTTTTTTTTTTTTTTTTGAGATGGAATCTCACTCTTGTTGCCCAGGCTGGACTGCAGTGCCGCAATCTTGGCTCACTGCAACCTCTACTTCCTGGGTTCAAGCGATTCTCGTACCTCAGCCTCCCAAGTAGCTGAAATTACAGGTGTGCTCCATCATTCCCAGCTAATTTTTATATTTTTAGAAGAGACAGGGTTTCACCATGTTGGTCAGGCTGGTCTCGAACTCCTGACCTCCAGTGATCCGCCCACCTTGGCCTCCCAAAGTGCTGGGATTACAGGCGTGAGCCTCCGCACCTAGCCTTGTTTATGCATTTCTCAACGTTCACAGAGGCCTGCTGACGGTGTGCTGGGGAGACCCAAATGTATCCTGCCTTCAGACCTGCCTAAGGCCGCTCCCAGCCCTCAGAGAAGCTCTTCAAGCGTTCAAGGTGCCAAGGTAGGAGACGGCACAGTTTCCAAAATAGTGCCATAGAAGGCAAGAGGCCCCCGATCCCAAGGGCCCTTGAGGATGCCGTGGGCTGGGGGAGGCGGGTTGCCGCGGCTGGACAAAGCTTAGCAAAGCGCCCTGGAGGCGCGGCTGCCAGAGCCCCCGGGGGCCGCTCACAGTAGTTGCTGCTCCAAACCTGCTTCATTTGGCTGCGCCCCACGGTAGCAGCTGCATCATGTGCCATTAAAATGTATTTTTTATCGTTGACATTTGCCAGACGCCCTCCCCATTGAAGGCAGGACCAGGAATTTGGGGCATTTTATCAGCCCTGCGGCTTCTGTTAACCCTTCGGTTTCTGTCCTGGCCAGGCCAGGCGGGCCCTCGGGTCCCCTTCCCCTCTGAGCTCCCCTCTCCGTAGCTGGCAGTGCCCTTTCCTTGGGTTGGTCGTTGGGCTGCCACCCTTCTAGGTTCCCAGGGATGGGACCTGGTACTGACGCTGAATGAAAGGTTTAACCTGTTAGTGACCAGAGTGCCAAGAGAAAGGCCAGAGTCAGGCTCTTTTATGGCAAACCTTGGCCAAAGTCTTAGTCTGGGAAGACTCTGCTCTTATCGTGCCCTGGGGCACAGGGATAGCCTAGAGAGCCAGCTCAGCTGAGGAATGGGTGGGCCAGGACCTGGGCTGTGGGTACTGGCCTTCCCTGGGCTCCTCGGTTGAGCTGGGTGACTCCATCCAGCAGGAACCACACTTTCTGCCTTCTGCACTGGCCACTCCCGCCTCAGCCCTCAGTGACAAACCTCCAGACCTTCACGAGGCAAGTACATAACTCCCAAACCCCAAACCAGGTCCTGCAGCTGGGGACCTGCTGCCCGACTGGGGGCCTGCCAGGTGAGGAATGCAGAGTGAGGCTACAGGACACAGGTCCCGCTCAGAGAGGCCTCGATGTCTGTCCCTTTCCAGGACGCTGGGGATGCTCCTGTGGCGAGAGGAACTGGGCCTGGAAAACACCTCCCAGCCCCTTTAGGTGACTCCATCACCGTGCACTATTCACAGAGCTGCAGGCATCCACAAAGGACCCACGTTCCCGGAAGATCCAGCAATGGAATACCTGGGAGGTGGCCCGATAGCTCCAGGAATGCCCAGTTCCTACCTGTGCACCTTTGCACATGCAGGTCCCTCTGCTGTCTCGATCTTCCTTTCCCATTCTTTTCTCACCTTCTGGGCCTAACATCTCTTCTAGGAAGACCCAGATCTTCCAGGAAGTCTCAGGTACAAGGGCCTGCTCTGAACGCCCAGTTCTGAAACTTACTTCTCATGTGTTATCTACCTGGTTGTCATTCTGCATCCTAGTGGCTTCCTATTTCTTCTTGTCCCTTCAATTAAACTCTAAACTCCTCAGGAGAAAGGGCTATACCTTTTATCCTTTTGTACCTCCAGGCTCCTTTGCCCCCAGACAGGATCTAGTGAGTGCAAGGTCGGGTTTGAGAGTGGGAAGATCTGGGCCACGACCACAAACCCTCCGTGGGAACGTGGGCAAGTCCCCTCCTCTCTGGTCTTTGCTTGCTCACTAAAGACGAGATCATCTCTAAGGCATTTCCTAGGTCAAAAGTGGTGATGAAACATGTGCAGAGATGATCTCCCATGAGTTCCCCGATGTGCCAGCTCCTTGGCATGAAGGCCTCCCCCAGTCACTCTAGCTCTCCAAAGGTGGCAGCGCAAAGGGAGAACAAAGACCGTGGGCTGAGAGAACCCAGGACAGAGCCATAGGCACCAGCACCTCATGAAGGCTGTGCAGGACACTAGGACACATGGCAGCAGCCACCCTGCTCCTGTGACACCTGGGCAGTCACAAGCAGTCGTGGGCTCGTCAAAGCCCTGGGTATCATCATCAACTCCCCTCCTCCTCACTGTCATCCACCTCCAGGTCCACTCAGTGACCGATTCCTGTGACTCTATCTATAAAACAAAAGCCCCTCCATTCCTTTTGCACACCCCTGCTTCAGGCCCCACCATCTTTGGCTGGGCTGCTAGGACAGCCTCCCCCTACCTCCATCTACTTTCTCTCCATTTCCTCCTGAAACACATCCCATCAGTTCACTCCCCTGCTCAGAACCTTCTGGGAAATTCAGGAAGATGTGCATTGCTTAAGAGCAGGGCCTTTTGTATTTCCTCCTCTTTCCCCCACATCCCCTCCTACCACTGCTGCCAGTATATGGGGCTCAGTAAATGCCTTATGTACACAATCCACCTTTGATTGTTCCCTCTTGACCCTTGGAATAAAGGCCAAACTCCTTAGCCCGTCAGACAAAGTCCCTGATGACTAGGGTGGAGAGAGTGCCCAACACATCTTCCGAGGCAGGGAACCAGCCAGGCTCACAGGGAAACCTGCAAAGAGGGAAGCTGCCAGTCCTACAGGGGCAGGTGGGAGCCACTAGGTGAGGGTAACCCCGGTCATAGAGAAGTCAAGAAGGGTGCAGACGCCGTCATGATCTCTGTTCACCAGCGTCAAGTCCTGAGCAAGCTCTTCTCCTTCTCCAACCATTGGGGTCCCCATCTATGAAGTGGGGCCTTTGACTAAGTGGTCCCAAACACCCCTTCTGACTCCGACAGTCTAGAACCTGGACAGGTATCTGGAAGAAAGTCCCACCCATTGAGCCAAGACAAGTATAAACTTGAGCCTTAGTCCCATCAGCCGGGAGAATGTGAAACCAACTCAGTGACTCACACACCTGGCTTTGCTCGGAAGTTCCTCAGGCGCCACATTAAACTACTTTGCCAGAGTTTCACATTTATATTTGCTGCAGAGGATATGGGGCCAAATGGGCCAGCCACGTCAACAACCCCACTACATGACTGGTTCCGTCATCATCGTTTCACAGAAATGGGATTCATTATGTTCTGGCCACAATTCAGAAGCCTGTTCTATTTTAACAACTGCAATTGCGCCAAACATCCCTCTCCTCAAGAGATCGCCATAGCGTGCTTGGCCAATAAAGCCCAGATCTATCTACATTGGAATCACAGAACATTAGGGCATGGAGAGGCAGGCCATTGAGATCATTCGTGTCCAGCTCTCTAATTTTACAGATGAGGAACAGAATGCTGGTAGTGGAGACGTGACTCGCCCAGGAACACACAGCTGGTTGGAGACACAGTCTGGAGCAGGATCCAGATGGCCTGTGAGAGAGCACACACTGCTCTCAACAAGCTCAGAGTTAATGAGAAGGTGCCAATTAAACACTGTAAGGGACTTGGGTCAGCAGGCCCTACAGAACACAGAACACATGTTATCTGGATGCTAGCCCCTCAAAAGTGTGGCTAATGTCCATTTTGTCAGATACTAAAACCAGATTTACCCTGCATCATAATTTTATTTTCTGTGACTACCTTCTCCATCATCCTTCTGATCCTCCCCAGCCCTACAAAGAGGTTAGGACAGTGACAGGATCTCAGCTTAAACACCAAAGAAGGAAAGAAAGAAAACTGAGACCCCGGATGATAAGAGGTGCATCCAAGGAAAATTCAAACTAGATCTAAGTCAGGGAGCCCATCAGCCCACTCAAGAGGCCTTGCCCAGGGAACCTTAGGCATCACTCCCATGCGAGCAACACTGGGGTGGTACCGTGGGGCCTCCAAACCTTCCTGCCTTCTGCCACAGCAACAGCAGTAACAGCTGGCACTTACTGAGCATAGCTTATGTGCCAGGCCCTGTGCTAAGCCATTTACATTCACCATAAAATTAATCTTTACAGTATCCGTATAAAGTAGGCATTAATTATTATTGCCCTTATTTTAACAGGCAAGGGACTGAGGGTCAGGGAGGTGCAGGCATTTGCCCAGCATCAGACAGCCGATTTCAGGCACAGCCAGAATTGGTACTAGTTTCCAAGCCTGAGTTCATACCTTAACCTGGCTGGGGAGGGTGGGACCTGATCTGGAGTTCAGGGCTTGCCACATTGTCAGGGATCAGCAAATGTGGGAGGAAAGGAGGAAAGAGGGAGATAAATAGCTCTGGGTCCCCACTGGCAGATTAGCAGCATAAGCTTTGGGGGGACATCTGCCCCTGGCAGGGGAAGTGGCTTTGCTGTCTGATTACCACCCCCTTCAGGAGTTTCTCATGCACTTACCATCCACCAGCACCCGCTGGCTTGCCAGACACGGTGGCTAGGCACTAGGATGTCACAGTGATTGGAAACCTCATGGTTTACTATCTGGTGGGGCAGTCACATAGTAACTCCGAAAATGAGCAGAAATAAGTGGTGAGAAAATGTAGTGAAAGAAAGGCTGCATTTATCATGGTAACAAATCAGGTGACACACCTAACAAGAAACGTGCAGGGCCATTTCAAGGAAACCTGAATACGTTTTGAAGAACCAGAAAACCCTCAGCAAATAGAAAAGCCTTCCTATCAGTCTTCTCTAAGTAAATTTATAATTTAAGGAAAATCCAATAAAAATACAAATAAGCTCCTTTTTTAACACTACAAGCTTATTCTAAAATTTATGTGAAAAAATAGACAAGACTAGCCAAGAAAACTCTGAAGAAGATCAAGGAGGCCCAGTCCTGCCAAACACTAAAACCTATTATCCAGTCTCAACAGTTAAAAGACTGGCGTGTGAACAGGCACACATTCATATAGGGATTTAGTGTTCAGAAATAAGGCACCTCAACCAGGGGAGGAAAGGGGACAACTCAATTAGTGATGCTGGGACAACTGGATAGCTCTGTAGAAAAAAAAAAAAAATTGGATTCACACCTCAAATCAATGCCAGGATAAATTTCAAAAGGATCAATGGTTTAAATGTAAAAATAAATCCATAAAATACTAAAAGAAAAGTCCCTTATAAGTAAGGAGGGGGGTTAGGGCTTTCAATAACTCAAAATCCAAAATCTATAAGGAAAAGACTGGTCAATTCAATCAAAAGCATCGGTGTGGGAATATCACTACAGGCAAAACCAAATGACAAATGATAACCTGGACATGTGTAACTCATCACAGATAAGAGCTACATCCTCCTAATTTATAAGAGTTCCTAGAAATTGATATCAAAAACCTACAAGAAAAATGAGCAAAGGATGAGAACAGCAGTTCGCAGGAGAGGAAATTTATTAAAAGAAGATGCTTAACCTTACTCATAATAAAGGAAATGCAAATTAAAGCTAACACTGATATCCACATTTCACCTGTCAAACTGACAAAAATCCACAAGTTTGCTCTCCCGCCCTTATTGGTAAGGCCACAGCAGTGGTGGAAATATATACATCAGTACAGCTCCCATGGAGGGGAATTTGGTGATATTTTCAAAGTTACAAATCCACGTACCCTTTGAACAGGCCATTTATCTCACAGATATACTTGGCACAGCATAAAATGGCATATGTACAAGCTTAATCAGAAGAGCAAAGAATAAAAAAACATCTAATTCCTTCAACAAGAACTGGCTACATGATTTCTGAAACAATCATTTTGATAAAATTCTATGCAGCTGCAGGCCGGGCGCGGTGGCACACGCCTGCAATCCCAGCACTTTGGGAGGCCGAGGCAGGTGGATCACCTGAGGTCAGAGTTTGAGACTAGTCTGATCAACATGGTGAAACCCTGTCTCTACTAAAAAAAAAAAAAAAAAAAAAAAAAAAAAAATTAGCTGGGCATAGTGGCAGGCACCTGTAATCCCAGCTATTCAGGAGGCTGAGGCAGGAGAATTGATTGAACCCGGGAGGTGGAGGCTGCAGTCAGCCAAGATCACACCATTGCACTCCAGCCTGGGCAACAAGAGCGAAACTCTATCTCAAAGAAATTAAAATAATAATAATTCTGTGCAGCTGCAAAAGGGATGAGGAAGCCCTCTCTGAATAGACTATTCTCCAAGAGATATTATTAAGTTTACAGAGCAAATGCAAAAAATGTTTCTATAGTATGCTACCTTTTGTGTGTAAAAGAGGGGATTCCAGATTACACATTCTGCCTATGTGCAAAAAAAAAAAAAAAATGCTGAAAAGAAATTGGTAGCCATGGTTGCCTGTACTGGGGGTTGAAAGAAACAGTGGATCAGGAACAAGTAGAGAGAGATGTCGTATTGTAGACATTTTAATTTGTTCAATGATTTATGTTTAAAGCTTGTGAAAGTATTTCCTATTCATAAATAAAATGTTAAGATGCAAATAGGTATAAAATTATAACCTTGGCAAGTACTAGCATGAAAAGGTGCATAGTGCTCTGACAGCATGGAATGAGGACCCCAACCTTTCTCTCTGAAGAAGGTGCATTTGAGCTTGGATCTCGCAGCTCAGGAGTAGCTACCTAGGTGAAGAAGGTGGGAAAATAGTCCCAGGCCTAAGGGTGTGGCAGTCAGGCCTATGCCAGTTATGAAGCCCAGTGGCTAGAAGGAAGTCGCATATTAAGGGGACTAATGCGTGCTACTTTGTGACTGAGGAACTGCAGCCCACACCTCTAGCCCAGGGGCTAATGCAGCCCCTCCAACAGTTGGACTCACTGCGTCAGAAATCATAAACTGGCCCTCCCTCCTCAGCAATCTGGGATACCTGCATGCCACCATTTCCTCATCGTGCTACAGGATACAGGTCCCGCCTATGCCCCAGTGAGGCCCTCCCTGACTTCCTGAAGCCCAGGTATTGCTAGAAGCTTATTCAGAAGAGGAGAAGAGGAAGAAAGCCGAGGGAAGCAGTTTCCTTTCCCATCTCATAGTCGCCGGGCACAGGACCCTGCTGGGCGTGGGAGGTAGTGGCAGGCAGGAGGGACAGTGGGCAGGCAGCTTCTGTGGCCAGCAGAACAGCAGAAGCAAAGCTGAATTCAGGCCACCTGGAGGCAGCTCATCCAGCCCCAGCCCCTTGGTCCTTTCTGCTCCCGCCTGGCCCAACCTCGGGACTGGAGCTGACGCCCAGGTCTGAATCTGCCCTCCTGAACCTGCCTTCCAAGGTTCAGACTGGAAAATTCCTTGTGGATTTCTGCTGTGAAGGCTTTCCTAATCCCACAGCAAAAACCCACAAGGAGTGTTGTTCTAGTGGGAGCTCAGTCCTTTTAGGAGGTTCTGGCCATGTGGTCTGAGAGGTTCCTGTTCCAGGGCCCCATGTGCCATACAGGACAGGCTACCAGGCCCAAGACTTCAATCTAAGGTCCTCAGACTTCAGAGAAGAGCAGCATTCATGGAAGAAAGGAATCTTGAATGATAGGAAAACCCGGATTATCCCAAAATAGTTGTTCCACACCCCCTCCCCGACAGTCAGGGCTTCCTGCTCTTTGAAGCCTTAAGGCACCAGCAAGCAGACACATGAGCCACCCTGCTCATCTCCTGGGATGAGGAAATGGGATGGCTTGGGCCCAGGGATCTCCAGGCTAGAAGGACACTGAGTCCACCTGTTGGACCCCAAGATGATACCACAGCCACTCTCATGAGCTCTCAACTTGCCCTTTCGCGAGGAGAGAGCCCACCCTTTTGGGCAGGAGTTGGGGGTGAGGGCTGCCAATAGGAGGCAGCTGCTCAAGCTCCTGGGATACCGTGAGGATCCCCAAGAAAAGTCCAAGCCCATGTGGCTGGAGAAAGTCCCTTGAGGCCTGGAAGCTTTCAGGGCAAGCTGAAAACGTAGAAGTGGTTGTGCAGAAGGAAGGGCAATTCCCAATACAACGTGGCTTTTCCCCAGCCTCTTGCACTGAGAAGCCAAGAAGGGTGACTCCTTCATCCTTCAATGGGAGCTCACCACTCCCACGGGCACGGGCCAAGAGGCAGAAGAAAATCAATGTCCAAATGGGTTGCTGTGCCCTGATATGTCTCTCCACAGCCCTTGTCTGAATGGCCAGAGGCTGCTCCCTCTTCAAGGGTTCTCTAAATAGGTGAAGATACCGCAGCGAGAGCCCTGGGTACAGAAAGGCAGTGGAGAAGCCCAGAGACACTGGACCTGGAAGCAGAAGGCCTGGGTCTGAGACGGTACCTGGGCCCTGCCACACCCACAGGGCTGTTGTAGCCAATAAACTGCAAGTACTGGGTAAGTGTGGGGATGAAGGGAGAAGGAAGATGCTCTGCGTCCCACTCATCCAGGGAAAAAGCTGAGTTCCTGTGGGTAGTATCCCTATCATCAAGGCAAGGGAAGCGCCAGGCAGGCACGGCAGATGCAGCCAGGGGCACCCCCAGCATCACAAGCCCATCAAGCAGCCTCACTGGCCCTGACTTCTATGCAGTTTATCACAAACCACTCACAGACCCAGGGAGAGCTACTGAAGAGGTTAGCCAGGCTGTGAAAAGCTACTGCTGGGCTGTGAAGGCCAGAGCGCTCTCTCCCACTTCCTAAAGAAGGCGCAGCTTTCCAGCCCTTAACTCCCTCTGCTCTCACTTTCTAGAGGTCAGGGAAGCAGAGGTGTCCTCTGAGACATCCCTGCAGCTGGCAGCCCTGACAACAAGCTGGCTCATCCAAAATCCTCTCCAGGTTTGGATCTCTAGGGACAAATGGCCACCCAAAGATGCAGCTCCCCACAAGCTCTGTATTCGCCCCCCATGGGGTCTGTGTGTGTGTGCCGTCGTGGGCCAGGTTCCCTAGCCTCCCCACACAGAGACCCTCCCTACCCTTTGAGGCTGGTGCCACAGCCTGGCCAAGCATAGGAAGTTGGGTAGGAGTTGACTGGGAACAAAGTCTTGACCAGGATGGTGCCCAGGGAGACCCAGGAAGCCCCTCTGCCTCTCAGCTGAAATGCCTTGGGGCTCGGGGAGGTGGGAACTTGGCTGATCCTCCCCATTGGGAATCTGCCTGCCCTGTATGGGAAACCCAGCAA
The DNA here is from genome assembly GCF_000001405.40 of Homo sapiens. Taxonomy (NCBI): domain Eukaryota; kingdom Metazoa; phylum Chordata; class Mammalia; order Primates; family Hominidae; genus Homo; species Homo sapiens. The sequence continues at coordinate 61,468,751 of NC_000017.11, read as the reverse complement.
AGGGACTCACAAACCAGATAAGATAAGTCAGGAGTTGACTGCATTAATTAAACATTCTCCTAGCTGCTTGTTTATAGCTCACCAATGACTCAGAAGCGAACTGAATAGATTCTGAGAAATTAAAACTAGAAGCTCAATGCCAGTTACATACCCATCAATCAGAAAAGAAGCATGGCTGGAGTTTTCCATAGGAACTATGCTTCAGAGCTGGGACGTAAAAGCGGGACATACCTGCACATCTCGTAACCCCAACAGCCACACCTGCATCTCAAAGCCTCCACTGCCCCTGCCCTGCACTTCCCCAGAAACCACGGGCAGTCTCGAGGGGAGGGGCCTGTGCCCTGGCAGATAGTACCAGGTCCCCAGACTTCTGTTTGCCACACACTTGAGCTAAAAATTTCCACATAAAAATCTCTTTTTTGTGGACTTTCCAGGGCCAGATGGGGAAAGAATGAGCTTGGGCTGCCTGGATGGGGCGTCAGCAGCATCCCTGGGGCTTCAGAATCTCTTCTGTAAGGACCAGGCCAAATCCAGCAGGAGCTAACATGTGAGCCAGAGCAAGGTCTTTTCTCCCAGAAGCAGGCGGCTGTCAGGCCAGGCAGACGGTACACACCAAAGAGGGGCTTTGGAACATATCCGTGACTCTCGCTCGAAAAGGCTTACCCCTCTTGTGTTATGTTCCAGCAAGGCAAGATTTTGGGGAACTGAAGCTGAGATCTGACCCGTCACCTTTATCATCATAGCTGCCATTTATTTAGCCCCTCCTACGTGCAAAGTGCTTCCGGTAAACCCTCTCATTTAAGTCTCACAGCCATGAAAGGTACATGTGGTCATCTCCATTTTCTAGACAAGGAAAGTGAGGCTCAAAAAGGCTGAGACGATTGTCCAGAGTTACCCAGCCAGTAAGTGGCCGGGAAGGAAGTCCAGCTCTCTGCAGGCCTCAGAGGCTTGAGCTCCTTCCCTAAACTGGTCAGTGAGCGCCAAAGCCTGGAGCTGGATCCCGGAGTGGATTCTCCCTATCCCCATCCTGGCCTGTCCCACCCCTAAAACTGCCCCAGACTTGCCTCCTGGGGCCAGGCAGCCCCCATGCTTACATGGCCAAAGGGGTCCAGGTGGTTGTTTGTCAGCTTCAGCTTCTGGAAGGAGACCAGCTGCCGCATCCAGTGGGCTCCTGTGGCAGGAGAATCCGGGTGGACATACAGCCTTCCTGGCATGGCTGGCTCAGCCTTCCCTGCCACCATCCTGCCAACAGAGCAGATAAGAGCAGGTGATTACTCCAGGGGCTGGTGAGGCCAGATTCCCCGTCCCCTCTTGGAGCAAACCCCCATTGACCAGAGGAAAAAATAGCTGCTGGTCCCACCACATTGTCAAATTAGTACTTCAAGGGTAGGAGTGTGAGGTTCAGAGGAGAGAATGCTGAGGAGGAGAGAGCAGTTCTGAATCTCCTTTATTTTACTGCAGTAGAAAAGAAAAGGGAGGTTACAGGGAAATGGGATCATTTAATTGAAGGACTGGGGCTAATCACAAAGATATTGTGAGGAGATTTAGGCACTTCTATGTATATTTACACTTATGATTTAAAATTTTTTTTTCTTTTTAAGAGACAGGTTCTCACTCTGTCACCCATGCTAGTGGTATGATCATAGCTCCCTGCAGCCTCCAATTCCTGGGCTCAAGCAATCCTTCTGCCTCAGCCTCCCAAGTAGCTGTGACTACAGGCATGCACCTCCATGCCCAGTTAACTTTTTACATTTTTTACAGAGACAAGGATCTTACTATATTACCCAGGCTGGTCTCAAACTCCTGACCTTCAAGTCATCCTCCTGCCTCTGCCTCCAGAGTAGCTGGGATTACAGATATGAGCCGCTACACCTGGTATGATTATGATTGTCACATGTTATAAATTATATTATTTAGAGGGAGCTTCTCAGAGGACCTAGACAACTCTCAAAAGGCTTGTCCCCAAAACAATGGTAAGAAATTAATTGGTAGCTCTCCCCGCAGCCAGAGCCTGCTCTGAGTTCTAGCCCAGAGAGGGAGAAGAAACAGAAACATGGCCCTTGCCAGGACGTGGCCACCAAATCCTGCCTGCTCGGCCCAATCTCTCCAGCTCTGTGGCTCACTTGCCACGGAGCCCAGTGTCCTGGCTGGCTGCTCGCTCCTGGAGCGCTGTTCCGAGCTCCCAGGCAGTCAGGGACTAAGGAGTTGGCTTCATGAAAGGTAGCCCAGCGTTTATTTACCTGGCCCCTTTTGGTTTTGTCCCTTTACCTCTCTATGTCTCCCAGCCCCTTGCCAAAGGGTCCCATCCACCAACCCCCTGGTGGAGCCTCACTTCGTCTGGATGGCTGGAGGGGCCTGAAGCCAAGGAGAACATGGAGAAACAGGCGAGTGCCCCCACACAGCAGGTAATGGCTTGCCCTTAAAGTCCCCAAGAGAACTGCTCCCATCTTCCCCACAGTGAAGCACTGACAGTCTAAATCTGGCCAGTGTTAATGATTTGTCTGTCACCTGACAGCATAGTTACCAAGTCCTGACTACCCACGGCCATAAGGAGAGTACAGACCCTTGCGATCCACCAAACTCCCAAACACGCAGCTGCTTTTCAGCCCAAACCCAGCCCCACCTGAAGCAGGCATGCAGACATTCGCTGACCACCTCAGCCTCCGCACAGCCAGTTCCAGGCAGTGGACTCCAGCCTGCAGACCTGGGCAGTCACTCAGGTAGCTAAGAAATCCCCCGGACAAAACACTAGGTGGGGGCGTGGCAAGTGGGCAGTTGAGGGAACGTGGGTGATGCGGTCAGGGTCCACTTACCATTTGTTGTCACAGAACTTGTAGCGATGGTCATCGGCAGGGACAATGTCAATCAGCAGGATATACTTGGTCTTGGGGTTCATGCCTGTGACTTTTACCTTGTAGCTGGGGAACATCCTCCTGGGGGAGCCGAGGGGTGAGGCGGAGCGTGTGGACAGAGCACCAGGAGAGATGGAACAGAGTGAGCAAGGGGGCAGAAGGCCGCTAACAGATGCTGCCCTTTTGGCCAGCGATCCTGGCATTGGTCACAGCTGTGTGACCTGCACAACTCACTTCCCCCTCTGCCCGAGCTGCACAGTGAAAAGGTGGCACTGGCTGCTGTCTCTGAGCCCCTGCAGCTATCAGTCTGTGTCTAGGAGGAGAGTTTACACCATTTCCCAAATTCACTTATCCCCTCCCCCATAATCCCCTAAGACTTGGGGCTAGTGCCCATGAGCAGCTGAAGCACAGAGACCCCAGTCAGGATTGTGGGAGCAGATTCTGACGCCAACCTTGCTGCCTTAATTTCCCTCCTGTCCTTTGCCAGCCCACACACAAGTGAAGTTCTGGGGTGCAGTTATAGGGGGACGGAAACCCCCGTCAGCTGCTTCCATAAATAATGAGCTGCCTCCTCTGGGTCATGCCTCTGTGGAAATCCTTAGGCCTAAAACCAGCTTGCAGGAAAACAGGAGACTGCTGTCCAAAACCCTGCTAGGTTTGGGTTCTTCCAGTGTGTCTATCGGGGGTACTTCTCCCTGTGAACACCTCACCTGGACCTGTGCACCCTGAGTATCAGGGGAAAGTCGGTCCAGGAGCCTCATGGATAAGAGAGGGCATGGATTCTGAAACCACCTGCCATGGTCACAGCCTGGACCCCACTGATAAGCCTTAGGCAACTTGCTTGAACCTCTCTGTGCCTTGGTTTCCTTATCTCTAAAATGAGGATAACATTACCACCTATCTCATAGATTGCTGCGTGAATTACCACGGACCCCTGCTGCACTCCTCCCTCAGCAAAGTAAATGGAGAAGTGGTATGACCTACTTCTGTGAAAATGGATTCACCAAAACCCAGAAAGTTTGTCATTTCCTGCAGCCCATGCTGAGGCTGTCAAGGGCCCTGAGGTTCGAGGCACATTCTAGAGGGGGCTTCCGCACACCCCTCAGCACATACGCACACACAACAGCACAGCGCATACACAAACGCTCTGGGCACAGCTCCCTCCCCTAGTCACTAGGTCCCTGACTTCACCAGAGGGAAGAACGGAACTTCCCACGATCCTCCTCAGACTCCATCCCCCACCCCAGCTGATCTTCCACAAAGGTGTTCCCCAAGAGAAACAGGATCCAAACCTAGCTGAAGACACAGTGAAGACACTAAGCCCCACTGAGCTGTGCCACTGCCCGGCTGGTCCACTCTGGGACAACCATCAGGTGGTTCTCTGCCTCTCACTAACCCAAGACAGTACGGGACCCTGGAGAAGCTGTCCAAGATGCCACAAACAGCTGATCAGAGGCCCCTATTTTGTCACCAGGGGCACCAGCTTACCTGGACAGAACAGGGCTTCCAGAAAGGATCAAGGCCTCTATAAGCTGGCGGGCCCTAAGCCCAGGCGAGGACCCCGACCGAGGTGGAGGGTTCACTTCCTTGCCAGCCCACGCCCCACCCAGCCCCGCCTGTGCCCCTCTCTTGCTGGAGGAGAGGCCTGTGCAAGCACTGCAGGGCGGGGACGTGGGGATGTGGGGTGTGTGTGCCCAGGCGCATGTGAGCGGTGTGCAAGTGCGCATGTGTGGATGTGTGCGTGCCTGGAGGGAGGAGGGAAGTTCTAGCTGCAAGTCTAGGGACTTATAAACCTTGTGGAAGAATTTGTCTCAGATGTCAATTGAAAGCATTTTCAAATACCCACCCCACCCCCTCTCCAGGAATGGGGGAAGTGAGGGGCTCAGGAACCCAACCCTGCCTCCTGCTTACCAGCCCCCCTATGGGGCCTGGGGGCGCAGCTGGATCTTGCACCACCCTTTCCCGGCCCTGCCTCTCTCCTGGTGGGCCAACAGCTGAAGCAGGGAGGGCAGCAGCTGCCTCACCTCCCCCTTCCCTGGGGTAAGGCCAAGAATCCCGCCCCCTGCAGGCCACCATTTTGTAACTGCCACAGAAACAGCCACAAAATGGGGCAGCCCTGGCCATACTTGGGCTGGCCTGGCACCGGGGGCCTGCACTCAGCTTGTTTCCTGTCATCATTCCAGGTGGCAACAGCAGAGGGCAGCCATGGCTTCCCTCCAGGGCCAGTGTCCACATAGGGGGCCAGGAGCGAAGGGCTCACTGCCACTTTGGCACGCGTCATAGCCTAGGCTGAGAGGAGGCTAAGGGGCCCTGGCCTTCCCCTCTCCTTCTCCCTGCTGGGCTTCATTTCCACAGCCCAGGGGGCCAGGCTGACACTAACTAAGTGCTTTCTGGAAGGCCTTTGAGGAGCCTGTTCTCTGCAGCCCCAGCTGGTGTCTTGGGACCTGGCCCCTGCTGGAAGCTGATCGTAGGCCAGATTCCTGACTGATAAGGAGATGTGGGCGTCGGCACAGGGAAGGGGAGTACCTCCCAGCCTCGCCTCCCCTGCCCACCAATTCCCCTCTACCTAAGGCAGCAGCGCTCAGAAGCCGAGGGACAGGGACGTAGGATGTCTGGTCTGAATGGGGAGTTCAAAAGCCCTCTGCTGTGGCCTGAACTGCCTCAGGGAGTTCCATTGCCTTCAATGCAACAGATGTCTAGGTCTTGGCAGGGTCTAGTTGGGGGACTGCTTCTGAGCCATGCAGAACCCACTCTGGGGTGGGGTGGGGGGCCCTAAGCACTACCGTTTCCCTGCCTAGGTGGCTCCAGAAGGAGGAAGGGTCCACCCAGCGTTGGGAAAGGGCTGCCTGTGAAAGTGAGGCCCCCTCTGTCCCCTCCATTGGCTTCCTGCCCAGGTCGAGGGGAGAATTCAAGGCCCCTTGGGCATCTGCCCTTGGGTTCTTGAAGGGACTAAAGTTGGTGCCTAGACGCCTGACTTGGGGGTGTTCCCCAGCGTGGCATGCCTCAGGCGACAGAGGCCAGGCTGGGTTTGGGAGCTGTGACTTCCTGTGAGCTCTGCCTCTCTCATGAAAGGTTTGAAATGATGGAGTGAGATGTAAATTGTTTCTGTGATTTATGACATAGAATGTACCTGAAAACCAACACCCTACGGTGGAAAGCAACGCCTCCCTGTTTGTGTGTTGGGGTGGGGGAGGTGACCAAGAAGGAAGACACTGTGTGTGCCGCCTGTGTCCACGCAGGCCCTGCCACCAGCGCTGGCGGTGAAGCCCGCCTGTCCCGGGCACTCTGCGCTCTACCTCTGGGTCCGCCCCAGCCAGCCCCCTCCTTGCGCGCTCCCCCTCTCCCCTCCCTGCACCCTCTCCCTATGCCCCCTACCCTCTCCCTGCTCCCACCCCGTCCTCCTGTCCCTCCCTCTTCCCAGCCCCTCGGCACGCTTTCCACGTGCCCCGCACCTTCTCTCCGCGCCCCAAGCGCCCTCTCCATGCTCCCCCAGTTCCCCTCGCGCCGTCGGGCTCCCGCGCCCCCAGACAGATGGGGGCTCCCCCGCCCTCCCCACGGCACACGCGGAAACGGCTCCGCCAGGGGAATAAACAAGCCGCCTGCTCGCCGGCCCGGGAGGAGATGAAAGCCCGGGGCTTCTCCTCTGATCATGAAACAGGCTCTGAAAGGGTGCGGAGCTGGAGCCTTTATCTATTCATACTCGGAAATGGCTTTAGAATGAACTGCTAAGATAAGCTTCCTCGGACGTTTCTCGGTGTTGGAGGCGCGCGGGGCGCGGGGCAAGGGTTTGGGGCTTTTTTAATTCTGGCAACAAACCCGTAACTGCGAACTCACTGCTGAGGGAACACGCAAGTTCTAGCTGCGCTGCGAGAGCCGCGGGAGCTCCCCGGCCAAAGCGGTGGCCAAATTCAAGGCGCTTACTCTCAGCCCCTTTCCTGGGGAAAGGGACAGAGACTAGGGGATACCCCTAGATTCTCTCCACCTGGAGGGTCCCCCAAGCCCCAACCCCGCTGCAGCCCCGACTTTCTCGGAGGTCCCTGGGGACTCCAGGAACAGCTACACGGACCCTCCCTTAATGTAGGGGAACACCAGCCAGAAGGGGTCAGAAGTCTAGAGAGCGGTTTCAAAGGTGGGGATGGCTCTGACTGGGCAGGCACACAAGAAGGATTCTGGGGCGGTGGTGGTGATGATCTATTTCTTTATCTGGATGAAGGTTACACGAGTGTGTTTATTTTGTGCAAGTCTGTAAAGCTGCACCCTTAAGACCTGTGGACTCTTCTGTAGGAATGTTCCACTTCAATACATTTAGGTTAAAAATTATATATGTGTGTACACATACACAGGCGCCTTGGAGCTCAGAGTCTGAAAAGAACCCTACAGCAGTGAAATGGCAGGGGTCCCCTTAAAACCCTTTGTTTCTCCAACCCTGATGTCCGTGGGGGCTTTTCAGGAGGAATCCTGGGTGTACGGGGAAGAGGCCAGGGCCCAGCATCCAAGGCTGGGGTTAGGAGTGGGGCTGCTGGTGCCACCTACACTGAGACCAAGCCTTCTGTAGCCAAGTGAGTTCTGATTTTGAAGATAATAAATCGATTTCCACGTTTCACACACATACATAGAGGCATACACACACAGTTTTCTAATTCACCCAAAGCATATTTAAGAAATCTTTTCCCTGAGGGAGGGGCAGGGGTGAGAGTGTGTGGAATGGATGTTGTTTTGGAAGATCGGTTGCTTCTCTTAGATTTTTTTTAAAGGCACTTCCTTCTGATAGACTTTTGCTTTCAGAAAATACTTTAAAAAGAGATCAAAGCACTCTCTCCCCAACCCACTTTCCCAGTGTCTTCAACCCTTACTTCTCTTATCATCCACGCCACTGGGCTCTGACGCTCTGTATACAGAGTGAGGGCAATTGGCTTTGAAGCCCCGGATTAAGCCGGGCCAAATCCTTGCCTCAGAATAACAAACAATACAGGTTCAACAGGAGTTCTCATCGGTAGTTCATTTTTCAAACGCAAATTCACTGTCACTAACACAAGCAACATTGAACTCAACAGGCTATGAAGGCTGATAGTGGAGATTTATCTGGTGGCAAAACCCTGACCTAGGAGTAGGGCAGTGAGACAGTTAGGCAATTTTCATTTTGGGGAGGTTTATATTTAAATTTTTTTGTGGAGCTCACTTTTATCTATGTTTGGGAGAAAATGCAGTTTCTCACATGTATCAAGCTTGGCAGGGATGTGGGGAGGCCAAGAGAGGGATCTGCTGTCTGCGGCTATCAGCACGAACCCTCTGGACACAGAGACCCAAGAGACTGAGACGGGCTGCGGAGGGCTGTGGCCCCCATTTCACACCTGACATGGAGGTCGCTGAGTATTCAGAAACTGGTGGCTCCCACTGTGGTTGGCATTTTATCCACCAGGCCAAATTGTTTGGCAGTTCAAAGTCACTATCCAGTGAAAGGGATTCTTCTCTCTGTCAACCTTCAAGACTCTCAAGGACCCAAAGGGCTAAGGTAGGAAGGAAACTTGTGATCTGAGAACTCAACCTGGCTTGAGAACATTCTGGCTCCCCTTTTCCAGGGCCTGCTCCTACCCAGCCAGATGGCAGTTATCGTGTCCCTAATCAGCCAGGGTCTCTAGGGCAGAGCCACAATCCACACTGAATAGGACCCCGTAAAAAAGCAATCAAGGGAACTTATCAAAGTAGGGGCTGTGTTCTGGGGGTGGGGTGTCTCATCTGTTTTCCTGTGTGGACCTGGTAACTGCCTAACTTCCCTTCTCTGGGGTTTGGTTTACGTTCTCTTGGTTCTCCTCCAGCTCTAGCCATCTAGGAAGCTATGATTCCAGGTTTAGCAGCAGGGCCCAGGCTGACAAATGGACGTGTACCAAGAAGGGTTCCAGTAGAGGCACACAGAATTTGGGGAGCAGGGAGAGGCACTGGACAGGATGTTGAAGAACCACAGCCTGAGTAACGTAGATCAGAGCAATACAGTGGTTGCTGAAGGAGGGGGGCAGCTATGAAGGAGGAAATGGGGTCTGTGAGGGGTGAGGGGTTGGGGGCATGAGACTAGTGATTTTCTTAAGAACCAGACCCAGTGCAAGGATAACTTTCTGCCAGAGAAGTGAAAGGCTGTGATGGATCCATAATTGGCCAACATCATCACAGCCATTTTAGAAATATTATCATAATTCCCTAAGGTCCATCTCTAAGCCTCAACTAGGATCAAGCACAAACATCTGCCTGAAGCTGGCCACCTATGGAAGTATGTGTATAAGTGTATGTGTTGGGAGAGGGAGGAGGAGGACCCATGCAGATGCAGGAAACACTACTGAGGAAAACAAACAAACAAAAATGCCCTTTGTTTAAAATGCCAAAGGCCAGACATGCCCAGAGAACATGCTGGCCAGTTATTTTCAAGAGACAAGGTTATTTCTGCTGCCTAAAAATGGCAGTTCTGAACCTTTCTCTTTCTTACCTTCTTTCCACACTAGCAGGCACAAGAAATAGCCCCATTCCCCTTCGCACTTGATCAAGTGGATTATCCATTTACCAACCATCATCCACGTGATTCCCTGGTTTGAGTTTCACAGTGATAGAAAAGGAAGGGACAGCAGATAGGTCTACGGTCACCATTTCCCTGACACCACTGAGCTACAAGGAGACTGTGACTTGCCCAAGTACACTCAGCCAGAAAGAGGCAGGGCCTGTGACACCTGGCTTCCACTGTCCTCAATGCCTGCTCCATGTCGCACCCTCTGCCAGCCCCTTCATGTGTCTTCCTTCCCTATCTCCATCCCCAAAATACAGCAAGCTCAAGCCCTAAACTAAACCTACTTTCTCTCCTGATAGAGGCCCTGAGTGGTGATGCCACCTCCCTGGCTAAGGCCTGAGGGTGGCCAAGTGCCCAGACCTCCACCCTCAACAAAAGAAAGGAAACTTTATAAGGCCTGCCAGGGAGCAGAGAGGAAGGACCACAGCACCCCATACGCTGCACACAGCAAACCAGCCGGCTTTTTGTTTCCTTTGAATAGTCTATCATTCACTAAGTGGTTCAGCAGAGCTGAGTTCTCTAAAAAGTAGAAGAAAATACTGAGTGGGACGCCAGACACTTCTCTAATTATTGCTAATATTATTCGCTAGCACTTCTTGTGTGCTTGCATGTGACAGGAACTTGGTGCTTTACATACAATGTATGAGGCAAGACCTGTTCTTTTACAGATGGAGTGGGGAGGGAGCAGAGACCATTAAGCACCTTGTCTGAGGTTGCACAGATGAAAGTAGCTGAGTTGGAACTGCAGCCCTCACCCACCGTGGTCTGACTCCAAATTCCTGGCACTTGAGCCTTCATCATCTTATTCCTTCAAAATCCCAATTATGAGACACATCCAGGCAAAGGGACATTTTCACACCTAATCTGTCCTCAGGGACAGAAATCAAGTGTGTGTATGTGCAGGGGATAGAGTGGGTGGGGAGGGAGTTCCTGAACCTGAACTTGCCAGCGTCTCTGTCTACAGCAATCCACCTTCACCTGATAACCGTTCTCCTCCACACTCCTGCCCCCACCCCACCAGCCCCAGCGAATCTCTCACTCACCCCCACCCCCGCCGTGAGTCTTCCTCCTCTCATCCTCTCCTCCCTGTTCTCTCCCACAGACACCAGCGCATTTTAAAGATGTTTCCACTTTATAAATCATCCTTTTCTGGCAGCCACCGAGAGCCGCTCCCCCAACAACACACACGGAGCCCAACGTAGTGCTTTCCCGTTGGCCAGAGATGGGGATGGAAACAGAAGAGCGGCGCCCCTGGGATGAAAAACTTGGGGTTCGAGTCACTCACGAAAATGTATGAAAACTGAACAGCATAGTCTATTTCCCTCTCCCCATCTGCTGAGAGGCATCTCTGGGTCTCCAATCAATGCATTCCTGAGAAACCTCCTCAGGTCCTCAAAGAGAGGAGGGCAAAGCAGCCCCCCAGGGGGCCAAAAGTGCTGGAGCTGGGACTTTTGAGCGTCGCGATCCCTGTTTGGATTCATTTGCATAGCGCTGCCCCTCCCCTCGGTCTTTCCCGCAAGGCCCGCGCGGCTGCGGTGGCCCCCTGCGGGCTTTGGCGGCCCAGTCCCAAGCTGCGAAGGGAGGTGGCACTGACGCCCGAGGAGGCAGAGAGGCCTCCCACAGGCCACCAGGCCGGGGCCGAGAGGACTTCTAAGGGACCTCCCTGGCCCCCCTTGCTCCCCACCGCCATCCCCGGAAGTAAATCTCCCAGCGCTGACCTGCCAGCCTTAGTGATGATCATCTCGGTGCCCGCCTCGTGGAACTTCTTCCAGAGCTCCTTCTCATGCAGCCCCACCTTGATGTTCTCGATGGTCTGGGGATGGGAGGGAGAGAAACTTGTGTCTGCCAGGCCCAGGGCTCCACGCGGAGCCTGAGGAAAGAAGAACCAGACCCGAAGAGCTGTGCGGAACCCTGCCCGCCCGGAGCCCATGGCTCCAGATTTCGTTTCACAGAACGATTTTGAACTATTCGTGAATATAAAAGAATTAATCGGTGGCTAAAACTTCCTCCTTTAAAGCTGCACCTACGGAGGAACCCTCAGAGGACACACATAGTGGCCAGCGCAGGTTAGACGACACTCCTGCTCACTCATGAACATTTCTGTGGCGGGCCATCGCCACAGGCTCCCGGGGCAGACACAGACAGGGAGAGGCGCACGCACCCTCGGCCAGGCGCGCGCCTGCAGATAGTGCACACAGATCCCCAGGCGGCATCCCGTGCGCTGTGATCGTCCGATTATCACTGTGAAGCCCTCGGCGACGTCCCAGAGGCCTCGGATCCCCGCAGCGGCTCCCGTGCGCACCGGCGGGGTGGCCTCCTCCTGCCCCCTCGCCGTTGGGTCCCAGGCCCTCTACGGGTTGTTGGAGCTGGACACTTGGTCCAGGCTCGCTCAGATGCTACGGGGGTCTCCCTCTCTCTTACCGCCCTCTCCTCTATCTCTAGCTCTAGCTCTTGCTTGTCCCAGAGTAGCCCCGAGGGCTCAAAGTGGAGAAGGACCCAAAAGGCAGAGAAAGCGAGCCATGTCCAGTGGAGAACGAACGGGCAGACCGTCCTGAATGCAGCCAGGTCCTCCTGAAAGCGAGTCCTGCCGACAATCGGACGGAAAGACGGACACAGGCGGCCCCGCAGACAGACCGACGCCCGACTTCTACCCGACGGCTGGCGCAGCCCTACCTGCTCCGCGGCGGCGGCGGCGACGACGTCGGCCCCGGGTCCCGGGGGGCTGCCTAGCGCGGCTCCGCTGAGGCCCGGCGCTGCCAGCGCGGGCTCGGGGGCGTTGGCTGCGCTGGCCTCTCCGAGCGCTGGGCCCGGGGCCCGGAAGGCCTCCTCGCTCTCGGACAGGCCCTTATCCTGCAGCATCTCCTGCGGGCACAGCACACAACGAGTCACTCGCCCAGGTCCACACTCGCCAGAGGACCCCTGGCCCTCTCCAGCCGATTCCGGGACTTCGTGCGGGGCGCGGAGGCAGCCCTGGAGCACGTGGACCCCGCCCCCTCCTGAGCTGGAGGAGGGAACCCGCAAGGAAGGCAGGTCCCTCGCCTCCTCCCTTCAGGCTGTGGACCTGGGAGGGTCTGCGGCAGTTCAATGTCTGCCTGCCCCTGGGTGTGGGGTTCTGTGATGAGTAGGTCTAGGGGAGGGACCGCCCTCTCGGCATTGCCACAGCTGCACCCCGAGTCCCTCACTCCTACTGAGCTCCGGTGGAGCCTGAGGCCTGGGCCTTCTCGGCTGTTCCCCAATAACTGGGGTCCAGGCCTCTCTGTGGGCCCAGGACAGCCAGGACACCTCCTGGCCATGCAGGAAAGGAGAGCCAGGCTGGAGGGCAGGGCCCAGGCTCCTGCAGCTCCACACCTGTGTGCAGAGAGGGCCTCAGGACCTCAGGCCCAGCTCACCCATCTGCCCTCACCCAACCCCTCAGACAGCACTGAGGTAGAGACTTCCTGAACCAAAGGCTTTCACTCCAACACACTCCCCGTCCACACACATCCTCTTCCCGTTCTGGCACAGACATCCTCACACCCAAACACAGCCCCTCACACAGCATCCCACCAGCCTGAGCAGCCACACTCTCCTGGGTGACTGATCCAGGCTCTGCCCTCAGCCCAGGCCTCCCCTACCTGGTGCTCGAGTTCGAACCTACAGGCTCACTCAGGCACACTTTAGCGCCACAGGGCTCTGCTTTGGGCCTAAAGACCCACACCCTTCCCAGTGAAGGACCAGGCCAGCAGGCTGGGCCCATTCACAGGAACCGCTTAGCCCTGCCTGGCACAGCTACATTTCTTCGGCTGTCTTGGCTGATTCCCTCGCCTACTCAGGTGCCTGCTCCCTGCCCGAAGCAGGTCCTGGGGCCTCGGGATGAGAGCACAGCCTGAGAGGCCAGCCTGCCCGCATCCCTTAAGGGTGTGCCCCGCTTGCTCCGCTTCCCCTTTCCACCTCCCTGCTCTTCCCCATCCTGCTGGACCTGGGCGCTCCAGCGGAGCTTTCTGTAGGTCTGACGGCCCTTCTTGAGGCGGAATGCCCCGCCTTTCTCTTCCTACCTTCTTCCCGCTCTCCCCGGGCCCTCCCGGAGCATCCCCGGGCTCAGGCCTCTCGCCCATCTTGTTCAGAGGCCTCCTCATCCCGGGCTTAGACTTCGACTCCCAGGACCTCGCAAAGTAAACAAGCCAAGTGCAACCCAGGAGATAAAAAGGGGCCGGGGCCAGTCTGGGTTGGGAAAAACCCATAAAGATAAGGTTGACAGGCGGACCAGTCTTCGGCCACAGCCTGCAGGGAGTGAGACTCGCTGGACATGGCCAGCGCCAGCACCCGCCTCGGGCCACGTGCGAACGCGGGCCGAGCCTCGGAAACCTAGGAGTCCCCACACAGGGCCGCTGCGCCAGTAGGGTAGCTGCCCGCTCCGGCCAGCGCGCTGGGTCCAACTATATCTAGGGCCCCGGCGGGATCGGCTCCAGCGACCAAGCGATCCGCTGGTCCCAGATGTGGCGGCCTGCGGGGTCGCAAGGAGGGGCCGTCTCGCGCTTGGCCCGCATGGCCATGGGGTCCTCTGCTGGGCTCTTGTCACACCCGGAGCCGTGCAGCGGAGCCCTGCGGCTCGCGCCCTGCGCTCTCAGTCCTACGCGCTCAGCCCTGCCCTGTGAGGAGCTGGTTCACCGCCCGCGTCCACTGACGCCGGTCCCGCAGCTCGGACTGGGGACGAGGCCTGCTCAGTGCTCTCCCTCCCGGGCTCAGGGTTTGCCTCTTCCTTTTCTCTCCGCCACGAAGCCACATCCAGACCTCGGGACAGCTTGCCCCCTTCCCAGCAATTTCCTTTTTTCCACGCCCGGCTGGCCCGGGGCGGCCGTCCTCGCGGTCCTCTCGGACCTCGAGCTTGGGCGCGCTCGGCCGCCGCCAGCACCGCGGGGTCCCGCACTCAGCACCGCATAGCGGTCCGCTCTCGTCCTTCACATCCACTCCTCCGCGGGTGCGGCCCGCAACCTCCGCTGCCTTTGCGATGGGGTCTGTTGCTTTCAGCTGCCTCGTTTTCCAAAGACGACAGCATTTCTCTTTTCATTTTTAGGTTACTGGGGATATGTTTCTTGCACTAGGGGAACTGTTACTATTTCGTGCTTTTTAAAATATTTTAATTGTCCTTATTACCATAGTAGTATTTTGATCAGTTCGGGAACTTTGAGAATATCCTATCGCGTGGATTATTACTACTTTGTATCTTTAATACTGTATGGTTAAAGCCCTGCTTTGATTCGTTAGCTTACTGTTACTAAATTTGTTGTTTTCCTGTCACTGTTCCATCATTTCAGGGCCGCCTGGCACATTCATAATACTATTTCCAATATCGAGGTGACATAGTGAACAATAGGTCACGTTAATCTATTGTAATTTTTTATTCTTGCTTTGTATCCCTAATACGTTTCCGTTGCTTGCTCTTCATTTTGATTATACTTTGTCACGCTGTTTCAATAACTTCTTGTTTACCATAACTTGTTATATAATTGTTCTCAAAATTCATGTTAATTTCCCTCACATCCTTATAATACTTCTTGTTATCTAACCACAATTTGTTTTGTTAGGCTTGCTCATAACACTCCAGGTATTATTCTTCAACACACCCCGACAGTATCTTGTTACTTTGTCATTATTTGTAATGTTACAGATCTGAACTCGCTAGTTACTCATCACATCATTACTTCTTGTTATTTTGTCATACTTTGTAATATTGTTGTAGCTCTTAATACTCTGATTATTTTTCATCACATTGGTACAATACTTCTTATTACTCAACCATTATTTATAATGTTCTTGTGACTATTAATACATTGGTCATAAATTGTCATATTACTCCAGCAATTCTTGTTAATATGTCTTTATTTATATTACTATTGCTCCTAAGATTTTAGTTAATATTTCTTTTAATAGTTCACTGTAGTATCAATAATACATTATATTATTATATCACTACCACTAATAGTATTTCCCTTAATAGTATTTTCATTGTTCATCTTTCTCCTACAGTTCGTTTGCTAGTTTCCTACAGTTTGGTAATTTGTTACACTATTACTATATGTTATATTAGTGCAATTGGTTTTAATAAACAGTCCTTACATTGTTCCTCTATTTAGAATTACTTTGTCTTTAATCCTTTTAAAAATTGTGATTACTATTTTCACTTGATTCTGAAAGTGACTATGATTGTATTATTTGGAAGTTCACGTGTTATATCAGTTATGCCGATTAGCCCTTTCTTTGGTAATTGTTCACATTCCAATAATCTTTAATCATCGATCATTATTTATATATAATGTTCCTTGCTTTAATTTTGACTAGTCTATTGCATCAAAGGCTCTGAGTCTAGTGTTCTGATCACTCACATATCTACACGGATTTTCGCTCCAGTACCGGGGCCCTCTTCCTTGGCCTTGCATATTCTGCAAACACCAATTTCCAGGCCACCGCTCCGCCTGTCACGGCCTTGTTCTTAGGGTGCTGGCGCTGTCGATATTTCTATGCTCTTGGATCTCTAGACCCAATTCATCGCGTTACTCAGAGAGGAGGGCTCGTGCCCCAACTACTGGGTGTCGGGCCGAGGCGGCGGCCCGACCCAAGGCACTTCGCGCCGCCTTCCTGCAACTTTGACCGCCCCTGAAGTTCTTCCCCGGGTCGCGTGACTCACCCCTTTCCAGCTCATCCTCCTGTCCGTCCCCGCAGCCTAACCCTGAGCCCCTGTGGCCCCAGCCCCGCACGCCCAGCTCGTCCCCACTCGGCTGGAACCCACACTCACCCTAATTGCGGTGCCGCATGCGGAGGCGCCAGCGGCCCGAGGTCCCCTGCAGGTTCGGGTCCGAGGAGCGCGGGACGGCCGGGGCTCCGACTCCGCGCCGCTGGGTCAGGGTCCAGCTGCCTGCCGTGCCCTCGGGGCTGGACACATCCCGGCTCTGGAGCGGGCCCTTGATCTCCAAGGCTGCACTTTGGGGCCTCAATTCCCTCCTCCTCCCTCCCTCCCTCTGGGGCCGCCCCCCCTCCGCGCTGACGTCGCCGCTGTCAATCAGTCTGCGCCCGCTGTCCCCCGGGGAGGGGGGCTCCAGGGTTCCCCGGCGTCGCGGTCCCCAAGATCCCGAGCCCCACGCGAGCCGCCGGCTCCTCCACCGCGCGGCCCAGTGCCCTCCTCTTGGCCCTCGGGCCCCGCGAGCCGGGTAGGGGCTGGGAGCCCCGCATGGTTTAGATTAGAGAGGCGGGAAGCAAGGGCGAGCAGCCCGGCTCTCAGCCGAGGCTCGACAACCAGGAGGGCTCGCCTGGCCCCGCCGTGCCCGAAGACTAGGACGCTCCACGACCGGGTCTGGCCACCCCCTGCCGGCGCCCGCTTCCAGGCAGCGGCTTCTACGGATCCCCGGCCGCAGAGCCCCGCTCCCCAAGCCCTGCTCCCAGCTGTGCGCGCTGTTCATTTGGGAGCCCCGGTCCCGAGGTCGCAGGCGCACACGCGCCTCACAGGCCCACGCTCCGCTTCCCTACCATGCCCACCACGCGGCCTTGCACTTCCAGGCCCTGGGCACGGCCCTTCTGCTCACCCGCCCTCCTTGTCCCGGCCCAGGGGGCCGCGGGCGCTGGACCCGGCCTGGCGCGCCTCGAAGTCGGCCGCGGAGGTCAGGGGTGAGGACTGGGAGGAAGCCCGGTGGCCGGGTGCGGGGCGGCGGCGGCAGGGAAGTGCTGGGCCGGCCTCTGAGTGGAGCCGAGTCCGGCTCGGGCCTTGACAGAGCCCAGGCCGGGCTGCAAGGTGCCAGGCTTGGCAGAGCCTCCTGGGGAAACTGCGGCCCAGGGCCAGGATTCCGCGGCAGCTCCTTGAGATCCTGGAGAGCTGAAGAGGAAGCCCAATGCCTGCCCTAGTCTAGGAAGTGGAGACTGGGGAGCGTCCTGCTCCCAGCCACCCGGTTCTTTCCGCCTCAGAAACGGAGTCCCGCTCAGCACCTAGACCTCCCTGCCCAGCCTCTGAGCTCTCTGTCTCCACTTACCTCTGTTTCTCTCTGTCTGTACCTCCCACAGGACGCTGCCTTTCCACTAGCAGACGGACCCATGCGGACCCCAGCCCGTGCCCCAGCCTCCCCGCCTGTCACATGCCCAGAATCCTGGGGCAGAAATAGGCCTGCCCACCCATCTGCAAAGACAGCAGAATCCTCATCAATAAGGATCCCCAGAGTGGTCCCTTAGTGCTTAGCATGGGCTGCATCCCTCCCTCCACCAGTGTCCTCAACCAGCCTCTGTCCCTTTCCAGATTCTGACCTCAAAATCAGCTTGAAGGGGAGAGGACAGGGAAATTCTTTTCCTGGATGGGTCTGTCCCTGTTCTAATGCTAGGAAATGGAAAGCCAGCATCAATGCCTTCTTTACCACCCTGCACTCAAAGGTGGAAGCAAAAACGCCAACTCAGAAAAGCCAGTCGCTGCTGCTGTCAGGAGCCTGAAATCCACCTCAACAGTGGGCCGCTGCTCAAGTCCCTATCACCATTGCAGTACCAGGTCCCACCACCCTATCACCATTCCTCTCATGGAGTCTCAAACCAGGGAGGGGAAATAATATCTAAGAGGAGTGGAGGAGCAGAATCCTTCCCCAAACCTGCGGACTCCTGGAATGGAGAAAGGGAAGGCCCTGGCGTTTCAGGAGATGCCTGGGGAGTCGTGTTTCCTGTGTTAGGGAGACCTGGATGACATGCCTCAGCTTCTGCTCGCAAGCCCCCTCCCATGACCTCTCCAACAGCCTGTAGGGAAATCCCTTGCAAATAAATAGTATACAGACTAAGCAACCAACTACTGTGTGGAATGGTGAACAGGGAGGGCAGTGAATCACCAGGTACTATGGGAAGACTAGAGCTAGGCCAGACTCTGGAAAGAATTTGTTGACAGTCATTGGAGGAAGTTCATACTGAGATCGTATCGTATAGTTCTTTAATAAAACAAACAAACAAAAACAAACAAACTAGACTGGAACCTTCCTATAAGTGCAAGGCTTTCTGGAGACTGATGGCAGACAGTCTAAATTAATATCAACAGGTTCATGATGACATGGAGAAATGAGATATGGAAGGGACAGGTAAGCTTTTGGCAGTAAAAAGGAAGGGGCAAACCAGCCAGCAAGTGAGTAAATGAGAGCGGTTCTGTATGCACATTCCCCATTATTAGAATGGAATACCTCATTTAACTGACTCTAAGACACACATTTTTCACATTCTGGTATCTCTGAAACTGAGATGCATCTGATAGCTAGCGGTGTGTCATAGCTTAATTAGCAGCGTTTTTTCTTCTTAGTCGTATGTAAAATAATAGAAAAGCTTATAATGGATGCTGCATAGTATTTGCTGAAAAAGAGCCTGTGTAGAAGAGGAGAAGACCAATTTTTTTTTCTCCAAAACTACTTTGAGGAGTTCAAAATATGAAAACCCTCCTCAACTAGCTAAACAAATAACTGACGGTGCCACACATCGGTCACACTGATTTGGGTTGGCTTGGGGGAAAGTGCTCAGGTTTGGTAGCAGGCTCACCTTGGTTTTGAAACCTAGCTCTGATTCCTGGCTCACCATTTTGCAGCTATGTGACCTTGGGCAAGTTCATTAATGCTCATATAAAATGGGGATAATTACGCCAACCTACTAGCTTATTGTGAGGATTGCCTATATTAATGCATGGTTGATAAAGGCTAGCTCCCAAGTATTTTAAAAATTTATTCTACTTTTCTCTTTTCCGCAAAAGGCTTGAGGTGGTTTATAACCAGAATTAGCTAATAAAAACACAAGTAGAAAAACACATTAGGATCAAGGAAAAAGGAGTAAGCATATATGCTATCACTAAGTGCTGACAAAGTTGCTATAATTGAGAATAAAATCTGGCTTATGAGCCAGCAGAGCAACATGGTAGTTCTCTATATCAGAAATGTGGAAACAGTAACTCTTTGGTGAATGGTGAAGGAACAGACTTTGTCCTGGCCCTAAATTTTAAAAAGTAGTTTCTCGGCTGGTCGCAGTGGCTCATGCCTATAATCCCAGGACTTTGGGAGGCCTAGGCAGGCGGATCATTTGAGGCCTGGAGTTCAAGACCAGCCTGGCCAACATGGTGAAACACTGTCTCTACTAAAAATACAAAAATTAGCAAGACATGGTGGCGCATGCCTGTAGTCCCAGCTACTCTGGAGGCTGAGGCAGGGGAATCACTTGAACCTGGGAGGCAGAGGTTTCAGTGAGCCGAAATAGTGCCATTGCACTCCAGCCTGGATGATAGAGTGAGAGTCTGTCTCAAAAATAATAATAATAAATAAAATTTAAAAATAAAGAAAAAATAAAAGTAGTTTCTAATGTAAATGTTTATTGTTATATCGTACAGTGTTTTACCATTTACAAAGTGGTTTCACAGCTGCCATCTCATTTGATACTGTATTAACTCCATTTTTTTCTCTATTTTATGGATTCATTCATCCAAAGAAATATCAAATGCTTACTATGTGTTAGACACACAAACAGGAGGAAAGGCCAACTGACCATTCTGTTAGTTACCCAACTACTTGACTAACCCATCACTAACAGCAAATTCATTAATGAATGACCTGCAAGCTGAGTAATTAATCACCTAAATAATCAATCTCAGAGACAGCAGGGGCTACAGGATAAGTTGGGGATGCCAGTCAGCACAGTAGGGTGGCTCCCTAGAGCCTGGGGTGGCTTTGGTTGAGGATGACCTTTTGGTGGAGGATGAGCTGGCACCATAGTGTAGTGAAAAGCAATTACAATTTTTTAAAAAAATTAGGTTTTTGGAGCACTTAATAAATACCAATGCCAAGCTCTAACCCAGACCAACTGAGTCAGAATCTCTGTGAGTAGAGCCAAAGCCGGACATGGTGGCGCCGCTTGTAGTCCTAGCTACTCAGGGGGCCAAGGCAGGAGGATAGCTTGAGCCCAGGAGTTCCAGGCAAGGCTGAGAACCACTGGTCTATGAAAATCCTGTTCTCTGCTCTCCTAGTCTCTCTTGTAGCTAGAGATGGCCACGTAATCCAGTGTTGGCCAATAAGACCTAAACGGAAGACTGGAGGGGAGAAAGGTTGTGGGAAATATTTTGCTTTCTTGATAAAGGGGAAGATGTGATCTTCCTTTCCCCTGCAGATGAGATCCTTGAAGTTCTCACCCTCTAGAGACCTTAAGGAAGAAGGATGAAAGTCAATATGTTAAGGATATCCAAGGAAAAACAGAAAGGGCCTGAGTTCCTTATGGCATCATTGAGCAGGTAAACCAGTGCCAGCCTGCTTCTTATACATAAGAAAAATAAACCTTATTTCTTTTCATCATTGTTAGTCTGGATGGATCTCTGTTACTTACAGCTAAATATACTCCTGAAGCATATGTAAAAGTTCCCAGCTCAGTGTTCCTTTTTTTTTTTTTTTTTTAAAGAAACAGGGTATCACTCTGTTGCCCAGGCTGGCATGCAGTCATAGCTCACTGCAGCCTCAAAGACTCCTGGGCTCAAGCCATCCTCTTGCTTCACCAGCTCAGTGCTGAGTGCCTTCCTCCATAATGAAAGATACTTACCTGAGTGCGCATGTGCTCGTGTCTTCCCATTCAAAACCAGGACACAAAATCCCTCCTCACTTCTTTCCCAGCTATGTTTTTCTGTGTATGCTGTGGTCTAAGGCCTAGGATCCTTATTAACCTCCAAAAGGGAAAGGATGGATGAGGCAGCAGGGAATTGATCTGTCCCCTGTAGCTTTATTGTCCTCCTGTAGCTTTATTGTCACCCAGTAGCCCCAAGTCTTGGTTCCAGATTCCTCAGCCCACATCCCATTCAGATTAGCAAGCTCAGGAAAGCTGTGGGGCAGGAGCTTGAGCTCCCTCTGGGAGGTTGGAGAAGGACCAAGCAGGGGATGGGTAGAGGTGGCAGCTGCTGCTACTGCAGGTGCTTCCCCTCACACCACAGATGCAGGTCTGCTCACCTGACCTCTCACCCTGCTCTCTCAGGCCTTCTCCTGTCAGGCAGAACCAGAAACTTCCAGGTAGAAGGAACTGAGGACTGGGCTGCCTTCATCTCTGAGCTGGGTGAGGCAGACTGGTCTGAGCCCCTTTGGGACTGAGGGCAGAGACAGTGATTCACCAACAGCACAGGTGGATCCCTCCTTTAACTCTCATTTGAGACACTACAGAGGTAAGGAATGAATGATCAAGTCTGGGTTTTGCATAGCCTGAGCAATCTAGACCTCCTGATCCAGAGACCTTTTTCTTTGGTGGATTTTCTCTAGAAGGTCAGCTTCCCCTCCCCCATCCTTACACTACATGCTCCTGAATCCTCACTTCCTTCCATTTCCTTCAGTAAGACTTCTCTGAAATATATGCTTATTTCACTACCAGAGGAAGGTATATCTCCTAGGGTTGTGCTAGGTGAAAAAAATTCCTAAATCAGAGATATTATTTAATTGTTCAACACTTCCCTTTTTTTCCTTTCTCCTTTGCATTCTTCCCAAGCATAGATAATCCAAATTTGGCTTTAAATTCGGCTCCTTGGGGATATTTCTGAATGAGGGGCTAAAAT
Organism: Homo sapiens; assembly: GCF_000001405.40. Classification (NCBI taxonomy): domain Eukaryota; kingdom Metazoa; phylum Chordata; class Mammalia; order Primates; family Hominidae; genus Homo; species Homo sapiens. The sequence continues at coordinate 61,446,805 of NC_000017.11, read as the reverse complement.
AAATTAGAATTTAAGAATGGGAGACTATCAGAAAATGCTTGGAATTTGAAGTTTAAAGGCCTGAATTCAGGTCTACAGCATGTTCTAGGTCAGAGTTTTAAGGCTAGAGCAGAGTTTTAAGGCTCTGCTTCCTCATCTATAAATGAATTTAATAACAATAGCCACCTCATAGGGTAGCAGAAAGGATGAAGTGACAGCACATAGATAAAAGTACTTTGAGGGCTCACAATTATAGCTAACATTTATCAAACACCTACAATGTGCCTGGCAGAATTCTAAGAACTTTATGCACATTATCTCATTTCAGCCTCACTACCTTATCAGGTGGTTACTATCATAAACCCAATTTTACAGATGAAGAAACTGAGGTCACATAATTTGCCCAATGTCATACAACCAGGAAATGAAGTCAAGATTTAAAGCCAAACTAGTTTGAATCTTCAGTGCCTATGCTTTTAAGTAAACTGCTCTCCAGTTTCTTAGCCTAAGCAGGTTTTCTTTGTTAAACAGGGATAACACAGCCTCCTTCACGTTGTTGTTGTAAGAGTAACATGTATAGTGCCTGGCGCATGGTAACACTCAAATACAGGTATCATTATAAATAGGACTTGACCAAGGTCTCACAGTAAGTAAAGAGGTTATTGGACCTATAGGGCTCAAGAGCCCAAGATCATAACCTATTCATTATTATTATTGTTCATTTGCTAAAAAATAAAATACTCACCCAGGGACCAAAAACTTAATCATCTCTCTCTTCAGATTTCCAAGAGAGGGCACTTCCAGTATCCTTGATGTTCCTAAGAACATCATTCTCTGTCTCCTGCGGGCTCCTACCACGTTAGCTACTGGAAGAAAGCCAGCAGGACCCCAGGAGTGGGGTGCTCATTCACCAGGACACATTGCTAACGGAATGAAGAGCGAGGGTTGTACACACAGACTCTGCTGCAAGCTTTTCATGTGTAAAGATGATGTTGATGGCCCTTTCTAGCTGAGAACACAGCCTTGGACAAAAAAAGGCAAATTAGGCCAGCACAATGGCTCAGGCCTGTAATCCCAGCACTTTGGGAGGCTGAGGTGGGAGAATTGCTTGAGCCCAGGAGTTCAAGACCAGCCTGAGCAATATATTTAATAGCAAGACCCTATCTCCACTGGGCGCGGTGGCTAACACCTGTAATACCAACACTTTGGGAGGCTGAGGCAGCTGGATCACTTGAGGTCAGGATTTGGAGACCAGGCTCGCCAACATGGTGAAACCCTGTGTCTACTGAAAATATAAAAATTGGCCGGATGTGGTGGTGCACTCCTGTAATCCCAGCTACTTGGAAGCTGAGGCAGGAGTATCGCTTAAACCCAGGAGACAGAGGTTGCAGTGAGCTGAGATTGTGCCACTGCACTCCAGCCTGGGTGACAGAGTGAGACTCCGTCTCAAAAAACAAACGAACAAACAACAAACAACAACAAAAAGACCCTATCTCTATAAAACACAAATTTTTAAAAAGGGAAATTCTTGACTACATCAGAAACAAGTGACGATAAGGAAAATTGTGCTTTCATCTGGAATAAAATCCTTTATAACAGGCCACCGGGCAAAGAACCCTCTTCTCCTACCCCACACCCCACCTACTTGGCCACAGACCTACTGCCCCAGAGGCAATCCAGCCCTGGGTGTGGAGGGACACACCACAGGGTTGCACCGGGGGCTCAGAACACCATTCTCTCTCCTTCCTTGAGTCTGATTTATTACTATGAAGGCACTATATAAACACAAAGCCAAATGACTCATGGCAACAAAGCTGAATGAAACTCCAACAAAAGGCACGTCCTTGGTGCCTTCCGCTCCTTCCCCACATCACAGGGCCCTTCTAGCAGTCTGTACCAAGCTCAAGCCTCTTTTCCAATTGCCGTCCCAAGAAGCGTGTCCTGGAGCTTCCTGAGTGCCCCCATCCCATGTCACCAAGGCCTTCTTCTCCCTGCTGCCCTCTTCCTCAAACGTCCCCCATCTGCCTCCGGCCCCACTCACCCAGAGCTGCTCTCTGTGCTTGGGTTTTTCAATCCCCAATTCTAAAGGGGCAGGCACAGTAGAAAAGGGAATGGAAGGAGGCTTGATGTGGGCATCAGTGGGAAGATTTGGAAGAAATTGGAGAAGGGACTTTGCTTACTGCTCAGTCATCAAAACCGTTCTATAGCAGATTTCATGAAGAAAAGACACTCAGCTGAAGGCCTACGGGAAACTTCCTTGTCTCCAAGGCCCATAAGCTCTGTCCATCAATCTGTTTGGGAAGTGCCTCCTCACATCTAGCTTCAACCCCTCTTGCTGCAGTTGGTCCTTTCTCTAAGGAGTCAGAGGCACGCTGGGGCTCTGTTAACTGGTCAGGCCTCCACGGTAAGACTTTCCATTCCCTCATTCAGTCTCCAAAGCTGGGGGGATGCAGCTGTCCAAGGAGTGCTGTGCCCTGGAGCTATGCCAACACTGGCACGGAACAGGGTGCAGACCCGAGTGGGCAGGTTGTGAAAGGCAGGCCCGGGGCTGTGGCTCCTCTGGGAGATTCAACAGGTCCCCGACGAGAGGACAGGAAGGAGTCCCCAGGCCCGACCACCACCCCCGCCTCCGGCGTCCTTGCATTTTCTGAAGTTTCTCCTTTGAACACGCTCCTTTATTTATTGGGCCTCGTTTAACCTCAGCCATGTCCTCCCAAGATCATTTATTTGGTAACTGTCACTCAGCCTGCTCTGGCATTAACCTCGTAATCCTATTGATTTCCTCCAAGGTAGTTGGAGGTTTTTCCCGTCTTCTTGCCGGGCAGGTAGGGACTGATTCTCAGTTCCATTATCGAGGAAGACGCCCCAGGCTGGTAAGGGGCCTGCCCGGAGGCCGTCTGGAGTTTCCTCGTTCTCACTGTGGCTCTCGCCAGCCTGCGGGAGACCGATTCCTGAGGTCACCTCGGCTGCTTAAGTGTGAGGTAAGGTGGCTGAGCGCCCACCACCATCACCAGCATGAGCTCCCTGAGTGGCTACTGAGGCTGTCCTTCAGCTCAAAGGGCCTGCATTCCACCAATTGAAGCTCCGATTGCCCTGGAAGCCCGCCCCCCCCCCACCATCTTGGATTCCGGAAGGGGAAGGGGCCCAATCAACGAGGGGGAAGCGGGTGAGGGTGGGGCCGAGGCCCAAGCTCGCGCCCACGTGGCCACCAGGCCTGCGCCTTCCCGCCACCTGTGGCCGGCAGCCTGGCCCCTGTTGAGCTGCAGCTGCAGCTCCCAGACACCAGCCCAGTCCGTCGCCAGGGGATTAGTGTCTGTCTGTCGGTTGGGACAGCCTCAGTGGGGGTTGTCCCGGCCCAGACAAGGGCCTCCACCTCGCCTTTCCCCAGGACCACCCCCCCTGAGTCCAGCATGGGCAGAAGGGATTGTTTCGGGGGGTCTGACTGCCTGGAGTGCTGATCTCTCCCAGAGCTGAGGTGTGGGGTGACCAGAGTCCCCCTCCCTGCCAAGGCTGAGCCACATGTGCTGGGAAGTTCATTTCCCCTTGTTTTCCAGAAGGGGCTCCGGGATTGACCCCGGGAGTGACCCCAGTGTCAGGAGGCATTAATGATCTCCATACGGGCAATAAACAGGCAGACCGGCTGGCTGGGTGTGGAGGTGCCCTGGAATGGGGCTGCCTTATTAGCCTCACATTCACTCGTGGGTAGAGGCTTAATTAGGAAGGGCTCCCTCCTCTGTCTCCCCCTCCCCCAAGCATCCTTGACCTCCCTGGGAACTGAAGTCTTCTCACTGGTTCCTCTGCCCCTCAAGGGCTTCCTCAAGAGGCAGCTTCTTCAGACGTCAGCTCAGCCATTTGTCCGCCTCTAACAGGACTTTCGACTCAGCCCTGATAATAAGGTCTATCTTGTTTGTAAAAGTCTCCAGAGGCAAAAAGTTCACAAACGTTCTGAGTCAGCTCACTTTTTTGTCTACCAAACCCAGGAACAAGAAGGTCTTTCTCTTCTTTAATTTAAATCCCTCTTGACCATTTAAGTTTGAGCCTGTTGAGCCTTATTTTCTCAAAGTGCAAAGGGAGATAGCTGGTGACCACCCTTTACTTCCAGTCTTTAGCAACTGCCTAGATGATTACAAAGCCCAATGTGATTGATCACAACTGTCTCTCCAACTTGATTGCCATTAGGGAGGTTGCTCATTCTAAGTGTGCAGCTTGTTCTCCTTGGGCTTCAGTTTCCTCATCGGTACAGCTCACTTGAAATTCACCAAACACCACATGCTAGGCACAATGCTAAGCACTAGGGCAATAAAGCCAAGGAAAACTCAGGGCCTACTTTAGAGGAGCTCCCAGTCCAGTGAAGAAGACAGACTTGTAAACAAACGCCATAATAAAATGTGCTCAGGGCTATAATCTTAAGTCCTTACTGAGTGTGAAAAGAGTACAAAAGAAGGATTAACCAACTCATCCTGGCTTGTTTGAGGAAGTCTCCATGAGAGGTGAGATCTGATGCTATCTATGAAAGACGAATATGAATGGGATCCTTCGAGACAGAGAATGTGGGAAAGGCATCCAGGAGAAAGGAAGAATACAGACATAGGCATAGAGAGGCCTGTTTCAGGAGTAGTGGGGCTGGAGTGGTAAATGAAGCCTTGTGGAAAGATAAGGCTTGGGAAGGACCTTGTAAACCATATTAAAAACTTCAGCTAATGGCAATGGGGGACCATAAAGGGTTCTTTTTGGGGGCAGGGGGAGGGAAGGAGAAGCTTGGACTGATCAGATTTTATTTTATTTTATTTTTTTATTTATTTTATTTTATTTTATTTATGTTATGTTATGTTATGTTATGTTATGTTATGTTATGTTATGTTATGTTATGTTATTTTTGAGATGCAGTCTCCCTCTGTTGCCCAGGCTGGAGTGCAGTGGCGCAATCTTGGCTCATTGCAACCTCCACCTCCTGGGTTCAAGTAATTCTCCTGCCTCAGCCTCCTGAGTAGCTGGGATTACAGGCGTCCACCACCACGTCCAGATAATTTTTGTATTTTTCATAGAGACGGGGTTTTACCATGTTGGCCAGGCTGGTCTCAAACTCCTAACCTCAAATGATCTACCTACCTTGGCCTTCTGAAGTGCTGGGATTACAGGCGTGAGCCACTGCGCCCAGCCCAGAATGTATTGTAGAAGATGACTGGTAGTGGGGCAAATAGATTTGCAGGTAGAGACTGGCAGCAAGGAGTTATGAGGGCAGGGAAGTTATTAGAAAGATATTTAGGAGAAGTGAAGTATGGAAGAGGCAGGAGTTAAAGATGTTTCTGGGCCAGAGTATGATGGACAGTTGTGATATTTTTACACCCAGACTTCATCCCCCCCTTTTCAGGTTCAGAATGCTCGTTGAGTTTTAGGAGGAAGAATCATTCTCTAGAGGCTTTTAAAAACAAGATTGACAATATCAGGATTGATTTACAATTTGTTAGGACCATCACTGAAAGGGTTGTGCTTACCCCCAGCTAAGACCATGTGACCCTAGTTAGTGCATTCAGATGCTTTCTTCCTGTAATTCTAATCTCGAGCCTAATGGCAGAAAGAATGAAGGGATGGAAGTTGAATCATCCTCTTTGGGCCTCGGCTTCCTTAACTGTACAGTTCATTTTAGATTCAACAAACACTACATGGTAGGTAATGTTCTTCTACTACATTCTTCAGTCTTCATTCCCCAGGGAAGCCATTCACTTGTATCCACTGTTCAGCTTCCCAGAGCTGCTCTGGCCTTCATTATTTATGAGTCTTGACCTTCAAGAATTTTCTTCATGTCAGTGAATTGCCCCATGCTTCCAAAAAATCCCCTCTCTGCTAAAACCAACCAGGTACATTGTCACAGCTTTGACACAGAACCTTTTGTGGTTGTGATGACATTAAGTGAGAGAATAGGCAGTGAGTATGGGCAGAGATGAGTTTCATTTTAGTCATGATAAGAAATACAGGGTCTGGAGATCACAATTTGAGACACATGAGTACACAGTGGGCATTCATACTGGTAGTTGATGAGGCCACTGAGGGAGAATTCATTGAAAAAGAAAAGGAGACCAAGAATGGAATCTTGGAGGGTGTGGAAAAGAAAGGAAATCAGCAAAGGGGCCTGAGAAGAATCAGTTAAAAAACTGGCTGAGAGAGTGCAATCCTGGTCGCAAAAGAACTTTTTAGGAGCAAGGGAGAAGTCAGCAATGTAAACTACTGGCAACTGTATTAAGGAGGATTCGAGGAGGAGGAAGTTAGAGTCACTGGTGACATTAGGAAGAGCAGATTAGTGGAGGGAAGATAAGAGTTCATCTCCATTCCAGGCTGTTGGAGAATCAAATGAGCTGGCTACCATAAATTGGAAGGACCCACCAAATGGGAGAGGCTCACACTCTGGTTTTCCTGGGCTTCTGGAAAGAACCATAATGCTGGCCTCCTGTGCCAGCTTCCCTCTCATGGGCATTGACTAAAACTTGCCAGCAAGTCACTATACACCACTGGAATCCTCACCTGCCCAGAGGGCCTGTCTTGGGGAGCTCCCTCTCTCAGACTCACTCAAGAGTCGGGCCTAGAGGCCCAGCAGAGTGGCTGAAGACAACCCGACAATCATGCTGTATTTTTGCAGTGGATGACTCTTCATAGCCCACCCTCCTTATTTCACTGTCAGTAACATCCCAGTGCATCACCTGACATTAAAGTCCTCCAGGATTTAACACCAAACCTGTTTCTACCCCAGTCCCACTGCTCCTCCTCAGGAACCAAATTCCCTTTCACACAGCTCCCTCACAATGGCCTTCACAGTCCTTTTAATGCACCTTTGTTCACACAGCATCTCTTTGATATCTCTCCCTTGATTTCCTGCCTACCTACATCCTTCACAGTTTATGTAACATTTTCACATATACCTGAGCTCATAACAACCCTGAGGAGTAGGAAAGAATACAGATGGTATCACCCACATTTTACAAATAAGGAAACCAAGGCGTAGGGGAGGTAAGGGACTTTCCCAAAGCCACACAATTAAGAGGGGGCCTCTTCAGACTTTTGGAATTCCATGGCTTCCAGATTCCAGGTTTCAGAATCATAAAGCTTAGTGCAATTGTCACCTCCTTGTCAGCCTGGGACAGGCTGTAAACTATGTGCAATTTGGCCCAGAGGGTTTGAGGACAGCATGACATGGTGGTTGAGCTTGGCCACTGGGTCCATACATCTCAGGTATTACCTTGGGTGATCTACTTAGCTTCTCTGGTCCTCAGTTTCCTCATCTGTAAAATGAGCAAAATAATACTCATTTACTTCAAGTTATTAAATATTTGGGAAGCATTTACAACACTACAGAGTAAATAGATTTACTTGAAAGTGAAATGAACTTGATTGAAAAAGATTAGACTCATTCATTGTCCATGGTATTACTACTACTTTAGAGTAAAATGTCCTCATTGGAAAGAATCTGGTAATTATGGCAGACTGCAAAGAAAACAAAAGAGATAACCACTTGACATTTTTGCCAGAGTGATGACAGCAAGCTGGTGGAATAGGAGACTCCAGTCCTCATACTTCCATAGAAACATCAATTTTGACAACCATCCATGGACAAGAAGAGTACCTCAAGTAGGAAACCAGGAGTCCAGTGAAGCAATTATAGAACTCTGTTTAAGCCAAAAAAAAAAAAAAAAAGAAAGAAAGAAAGAAAAGAAAAAACAACTAAGACTAGATGCGTTGATGAAGGTAAGAACACAGTGGCTCGTGCCTCTAATCCCAGCACTTTAGGAGGCTGAGGCAGGCGGATCACCTGAGGTCAGGAGTTTGAGACCAGCCTGGCCAACATGGTGAAACCCCGTCTCTACTAAAAATACAAAAAATTAGCCGGGCGTGGTGGCACACCCCTGTAATCCCAGCTACCTGAGAGGCTGAGGCAGGAGAATAGCTTGAACCTGGGAGGCGGAGGTTGCAGTGAGCCGAGATCACACCACTGCACTCCAGCCTGGGTGACAGAGTGAGACTCTGCCAAAAAAAAAAAAAAAAAAATTACCTGGTCATGGTGGCAGGTGCCTGTAGTCCCAGCTACTCCAGAGGTTGAGGCAAGAGAATCACCTGAACCCAGGAGGCGGAGGTTGCAGTGAGCTGAGACTGCAGCACTGCACTCCAGCCTGGGCAACAAGAGCGAGACTCCACCTAAAAAAAAGAAAAAGAGGAAGAACAGTTTCACTTAACCCACATCACCCTACTCCCAAGGCAGCATGGCTCAGTGCCCAAGTCCACAGTTTCTTCGATGGGGGATAGTGAGAGTGAAGTGAGTGTCCAGCTTCCCCAGCCTCACAGGTTGTTACCCAAGAGGCTCACTTCTGCCTCACCCCACCCAGATCACAGAAGATCACACAGCTAAAAGTCTTGGGGGAGGTAGGAGCAACCACAAAGTCTCAAAAACCAGCTGTAGACCCTATTAATTGGTTTGAGACTCCACCAGGAGTCTGAAAACCATGAAAACCCTGTAGGATGCCTCATCTTCAACACCTTCAATTGGATGACTCACACCCTCAGCACTCTGCATGTGCCCCTGAAATGGCACATGCAAAAGTCCTCAGATGGCATTTATGCGTTCCTGAGACAGAGCACCTGAGCCTCCACAGATAGTGAGTGCAAGCCACCACAGAGGACACATGCAAATCCCCACAGACAGCACATAGATATCAGCAGCTATCTCAACTTTGCAGGGTTGAGAGAAGGTGCACAATCTTGAACACTTCAAGGCACTTTCCTGGAGAAAATTAAGAGGAGGCCCTCCACACCTGGCCTGACTTTACAGGATTGAGAGTAGGCACACAATCCTAAGCCTTACCCCCACAAGGGGGAACAAGAGAGTGGGGCAGGTGAATCCATAGAAAAGGCCTGAAAGACGTCAAACTCTTGATTGTCTGGTGAATGTCTTTCTCTTCCAAAGCCAGTTAGTAGAGACTGGAAGAGGAGACTGCTTTTTCAAAGACAGAAATGCAACACTTCAAGGAACAAGAAGAATTAAGAAAACATGACACCACCAAAGGAACAAAATAAAGCTCCTGTGGCTGATCCCAAAGAAATTGAGACCTATGAATTGCCTGATAAATAATTCAAAATAAGTGACTTAAGCTCACTGAGGTACAGGAGAACACAGACAACTAAACAAAATCAGGAGAACAATACAAGAACAAAATGAGAAATTCAACCAAAAGATAGAAATCATAAAAAAGAACTAAACAGAAATTCTGGAGCTGTAGAATATGATGAATGAACTGAAAAATTCAATAGAGAGCTTCAACAGGGGACTCAAGCAGAAGAAAGAAGCAGTGGACTCAAAGACAGATCATTTGAAATTATCCAATCAGAGCAACAATAAGAAGAAAGGATGAAAAAGGCCTGTGTAACTTATGGGACAACATGAAACAAAACAACATTTGCATTATGAGTTGATGTTCTAGCACATTCAAAGTGCTGAAACAACAAAAACAACTGCTAACCAAGAATATTCTACATAGGAAATCTATTTTTAAGAAAGGAAGGAGAGATACTTTTCCAGCTGAGGGAGTTCATTACTACTTACAAGAAGTACTAAAGAAAGTTCTTCAGGTTGAAATGAAAGGATATCAGCCAGCACTGGAAAGAAGAAGAAGAAGAGAGAAGGAAGAAGGAGAGGGAGAGGGAGGAAGGAAGAAGGAAAAGAAGAAGAAGGAGGAGGAATGAAAGGACACTAAACATAAGAAACATATGAAAGTATAAAACTTGCTAGCAAAGGTAAATGTATAGTCAGATTCAGAATAGTCTAATTCTGTAATGGTAGTATGTAAATTGCTTTTACCACCAGTGTAAAAGTTTAAAGACAAAAGTATTAAAAATGACTATAGCTGCAATAATTTACTAATGAATGCACATTATAAAAATGTAAACAGTAATATTAATAATATTAAATGTAGGGGAGAAGAAGTTAAAGTTTTTGTATGTGATCAAAGTTAAGTTTTTATCAGGTTAAAATAGTCTATTATAACAATAGAATGTTTTCTGTAATCCCATGGTAATCACAAAGAAAAAATTCTGTAGGAGATACACAAAATACAAAGAGAAAGGAATCAAAACAAAATACTATAAAAAATTATTAAATCACAAAGGAAGACAACAATAGAGAAAAGAGCAAATGAATTGCAAAACAGAAAACAACTAGATGGCAATAGTAAGTCCTTACCTATCAATAATTACCTTACATATAAATGACTTAATTTCACCAATCAAAAGACAGAATAGCTGAATGACTAAAAAACAAGATCCTGCTATATGCTGCCTACAGGAGACTCACTTTAGCTTTAAGACACACACAGGCTGAAAGTAAAGGGGTGGAAAAGGCTATTGCACTCAAATGGAAGCCAAAAGAGAGCAGAGGTAGCTATACTTATATTAGGCACAAAGGACTTTAAGTCAAAACCTGTCACAATAGTCAAAGAAGGTCATCATATAATGAATGATAAAAGGGTCAGTTCACTAAGAAGGTATTACAATTGTGAGTATACATACACCCAACTTTGGAACACCTAAATATACAAAGCAAATAACAATAGAACTGAAAGGACAAACAGACAGCAATATAATAGTAATAGAAGACTCCAATATGCTACATTCAATCTTGGATAGATATCCAGACAGAAAATCAATAAACAAACAGCATTCAATGAAATACTAGCAAGCTGAATTCAATAGCACATTAAAAGGATTATACACTATGATCAAGTGGAATTTATCCCTGGGATGCAAGGACAGTTTGACATATACAAAACAATAAGTGAAGTACACCACATTAACAAACAAAGGATAAAAAATATATGATCATTTTAATATATGCAGAAAAAACATCTGACAAAATTCAATATCCTTTCATGATTAAAAACTCTCAACAAATGAGTTATAGAGGAATGTACCTCAACATAATAAAAGTCATATATGACAGCCCACATCTAACATCATATTCAACAAAGAAAATCTGAAAACTGTTCCTTTAAGGACAGGAACAGCACGTTGTGCACATGTACCCTAAAACTTAAAGTATAATAATAATAATAAAAAGAAAGAACAGGAACAACACAAGTGTGCCCACTCTCACCACTTCTATTCAAAATAGTACTGGAAGTGTTTGCCAAAGCAATTAGGCAAGAAGAATAGATAAAAGAAATTCAAAAAGAAAGATGTTAAATTGTATGTTTGCAGATTATATGATCTTATATATAGAAAACCCTAAATACTGTTAGAACTAATACACATCTTCATTAAAGTTGCAGGATAAAAAATCAACATATAAAATACAGTTGCATTTCTATGCACCAACAACAAACTACCCAGAGAAGAAATTAATAAAATGGTCTCATTTACAATAGCATCAAAAAAATAAAATACTTAGGAATAAATTAACCAAGGAGGTGAAAGATCTGTACCCTGAAAACTAGAAAACATTGATGAAAAAAATTGAAGAAGATACAAATAAATGAAAAGATATACCATATACATGGATTAGAAGAATTAATATTGTTAAATTGTCCATACTCCAAAACAGTCTGCTGATTCAATGAAGTTCCTATAAAATTCCAATGGCATTTTTCACAGAAATAGAAAAAACAATCCTAAAGTTCATATGGAACCACCAAAGACCCCAAATTGCCAAAGCAATTTTGAGAAAGAAGAACAAAGCTGGAGGAATCACACTCTTTGATTTCAGACTATATTACAAAACTATGGTAATCAAAGAAATATGGTACAGGCACACAAACAGACAATGACAAATAAAACACAATAGGAAGCCCAAAAATACACCCATGCATTTATAGTCAACTAATCTTTCACAAGGACACCAAGAATACACAATGGGGGAAAAGGATAGACTCTTCAATAAATGTTGCAGGGAAAACTGGATATCCACCTGCAAAAGAATAAAACTGGATCCCACTCTTAAACCATATACAAAAATTAACTCAAAATGCATTAAAGACTTAAACATAAGATCTGAAAATGTAAAACTCTTAGAAGAAAATATAAGAGAAAAGCTCCTTGACATGGGGCATAGCTAAAACTTTTGGATATGACACCAAAAGCACAGGCAACAAAAGCAAAAACAAACCAAGTGGGACTCCATCAACCTAAAAAGCTTCTGCATAGTAAAGGAAACAATCAACAAACTGAAAAGGCAACCTATGGGATGGAAGAATATATTTGCAAACCACATATCTGATAAAAGGTTAATACTCAAAATATATAAGGAACTCACACAACTCAATAGCAAAACAAAAACAACAACAATAAAAACACAAATAACCCGATTAGAAATGGACCAAGGACCTGAATAGACATTTTTCCAAAGAAGACATATAAATGGCCAACAGGTATATAAAAAAGGTGCTCACTAATCATCAGAGAAATGCAAGACAAAGCCACAATGAGATATCATCTCACACCTGTCAGGATGGTCATTACAAGTTGAGCATCCCTACTCTAAAAATCCAAAACCTGAAATGCTTCAAAACCTGAAAGTTTTTGAGCATTAACATGTCACCACAAGTGGAAAATTCTACATCTAACCTCATATGATTGGCCATAATGAAAATGCAGGCACACAACACACAGTTCATTCAGCATCCCCAATGGGGAAGCCACCCCCATCCCCCTTCAGCTGTGACATGTCTTTTCTGTACATGTCCAGATTTTCGCATGTAAGCACATCCACCAAGGGTTATAAAATGGCATAACCCATTTAAAAACCCATTTTTAAAATGGTGTGGAGGCCAGATGCACCAATTTCAGGTTCTCCACAATGCCCCACATGGGGCCAATACCTATGTGCATTACTTACTGTGGTATTTCTTTTGGCTTATTCTCTGCTCTGTGGTGTAAAGATATTATTGAAAATGTCAGAAAGGCCTACAGATACTCCTGTGGGCAACACAGGAGAGAAAAAGAGGACACAGTTATGTTTATCTATAGCACAGAAAATCAAGCTATTGGAGAAGCTGGACAGCAGTGTAAGTATGAAATGTCTTACAGAAGAGTATGGTGTTGGAATGACCACCACATATGACCTGAAGAAACAGAAGGATAAACTGTTGAAGTTCTATGCTGAAAGCAATGAACAGAAGTTAATAAAAAAAAAAACAAAAATAGAAAAACAGGCTGGGTGCAGTGGCTCATGCCTACAATCCCAGCACTTTGGGAGGCTAGGGCAGGCAGATTACAAGAGCTCAGGAGTTCAAGACCAGCCTGGACCACATGGCAAAACCCCATCTCTACAAAAAAAAATTTAAAAATCAGTCAGGCATGGTGGCTCATTCCTGTAATCCCAGCAGTTTGGGAGGCCAAGGCGGGTGGATCACTAGAGCTCAGGAGTTCGAGACCAGCCTGGCCAACATGGTGAAACCCCATCTCTACTAAAAACACAAAAATAAGCTGGGTGTGGTGGCATGTGCCTATAATCCTAGCTACTCGGGAGGCTGAGGCACGCAAATCACTTGAACCTGGGAGGTGAAAGTTGCATTGAGCCAAGATTGCACCACCGCACTCCAGCCCGGGCGACAGAGCGAGACTCTGTCTGAAAAACAAAGAAACAAAAAACCAAAAAATTAGCTGGGTGTGGTAACGCGTGTCTGTAGTCCCAGCTACTCAGGAGGCTGAAGTGGTAGGATCGCCTGGGCTGGAGAGGTGGAGGTTGCAGTGAGCTGAGATTAAGCTACTGCATTCCAGCCTGGATGACATAGACACTGTCTCAAAACAAAAAAAAACCAACAATAACAAAAAGAAAAACAGTGCATAAAGTTAATAATGAAGATCTCGATCATGTATTGAAAGAATGGGTTCAAAAGTGTTGCAGTAAATACTGGTTGCTGATCATGAAACAAGCAAAGATCTATCACAGTGAACTGAAAATTGAAGGGAACTATGAATGTTCAACAGGCTGGTTTCAGAAATTTAGGAAAAGACAGCATTAAATTTTTAAAGATTTGTGGTGATAAAGCATCTGCTGATCATGAAGTAGCAGAGAAATTCATTGACAAGTTTGCCCGAGTCATCACTAACAAAAATCTGACACCAGAACTAGTCTATAATGCTGATGAAATATCACTGTTTTGGCATTATTTCCCCAGAAAGACACCGACTACACTTGATGAGACAGGAATTAAGGATGCCAGTGATAGGCCGGGCACAGTGGCTCATGCCTGTAATCCCAGCGCTTTGGGAGGCCAAGGCAGGCAGATCACCTGAGGTCAGGAGTTTGAGAACAGCCTGGCCGACATGGTGAAACTGCATCTCTACTAAAAATACAAAAAAAAAAAAAAAAAAGTAGGACGTGGTGGCGCATGCTACTGGGGAGGCTGAGGCACGAGAATCGCTGGAAGCTGGGTGGCAGAGGTTGGCAGTGAACCAGAATTGCGCCATTGCACTCCAGCCTGGGCAACAGAGCGAGACTCCGTCTTAAAAAAAAAAAAAAAAAAAAAAAGATGCCAAGGATAGAGTAACCCTGCTGGGATGTGTTAATGTAGCAAGCATCTATAAGTATAAACTTGCTGTGATTGGCAAGAGCTTGCATCCTCACTGTTATCAAGGAGGAGATCTCTTACCAGTCTACTATTATGCTAACAAAAAGGCACAGATCATCAGGGACACCTTTTATGATTGGTTTCACAAACATTTTGTACCAGTGGCTAGTACTCACTGCAGGGAAGCTGGAATGCGTGATGATGTAAGACTTTGTTATTCCTTGATTACTGTTCTGCTCATTCTCCAGCTGAAATTCTCACAAAAAATAATGTTTATGCCATGTACTTTCCCCCAGATGTGACTACATTAATTCAATGTGACTAGGGTATCCTTAGGTCAATGAAGAGTAGATGTAAAATCACTTTATTGAACAGAATGCTAGCAGCAGTGAACAGAGGCATGAGTGCAGAAGGTTTTCAAAAGGAGGTGACATGAAGGACGCCACATATACTGTTGCCAGCGCTTAGAACACAGTGACTAAAGACATAGTTGTGCATGCCTGGTGCGACCTCTGACCTTTGACTATGTTCAGTGATGATGATGAACAAGGTGGTGACTTTGGAGAATTGTGTATCAAGTGAGAAAGAACTGGTGTCAAGTGAGAACAAAATGATATATGGCTTTCTTTCATATGCAAAAAATATACCTTCAGAGTCTGCCAGTAAGTTAGAAGAAGTAGATAGCAAAGGGCTTTTTGACATTGATAATAAGGCTCCAGTTGTTTACTCATTGGCTGATGATGAAATAGACACATGGCTCCAAACCAAAGTGATCATGATAATAGTGGCAATGAAGATGACATTGTTAACATTTTTTGCAGAAAAAATGTCTATAGATGGCATGGTGAAAATGTGTGATGGGCTTATTGAAGGACTAAAGCAGCATACATTCACAACAGAACAAGAAATCGTGTTCATTTATAAAATCAAAAAGACACTTCTAAGACAAAATCTGTTGTTGGCTGGGTGTGGCGGCTCATGCCTCTAATCCCAGAACTTTGGGAGGCCAAAGCAGGAGGATCGCTTGAGCCAGGAGTTCGAGACAGGCCTGGGCAACATGCTGAGACTCTGTCTCTACAAAAATAAGAAATAAATTAAAAAAATTAGCAGGGCATGGTGTTGTGTGCCTGTAATCTCAGCTACTTGGGAGGCTGAGGCGGGAGGATTGCTTGAGCCCACGAGGTCAAGGCTGCATGGAGCCATGTTCCCACTACTGCCTTTCAACCTGGGCGACACAGTAGCAAGACCCTGTCTCAAAAAAAAAAATGGTAAGTCATATTTTTTACTGTTAAGTACTTATCTGTGAATAAATGTAAAAAAATGATTGTTTAATTAGTAGCATATACATTCAGATTCAGGCATGATGATGATGCCAAACAACCACAGATTATCCACATTGGTGGCAGAGATCGTGACACTTTTGCTTTCTGATGTTTCAGTGTACACAAACTTTGTTTCATGCACAAAATTATTTAAAACATTGTATAAAATTACCTTCAGGCTATATGTATAAGGTATATATAAAACATAAATGAATTGTGTGTTTAGACTTGGGTTCCATTCCCAAGATACCTCATTACATATATGCAAATATTCCAAGCTTTTAAAAAAAATCCAAAATGCGCGGCCGGGCATGGTGGCTCACACCTGTAATCCCAGCGCTTTGGGAGGCCAGGGCAGGTGGATCACGAAGTCAGGAGTTCAAGACTAGCCTGGCCAACATGGTGAAACCCCGTCTCTACTAAAAATACAAAAATTAGCCAGGCATGGTGGTGGGTGCCTGTAATCCCAGCTACTTGGGAGGCTGAGGCAGATAATTGCTTGAACCTGGGAGGTGGAGTTTGCAGTGAGCCAAGATCGTACCACTGCACTCCAGCCTGGGCAACAGAGTGAGACTCTATCTCAAAAAAAAAAAAAAAAAAAAAAAAATCCCTTCAGATAAGGGACACTCAACTTGTATTAAAAAAAAAAAAGTGTTGGTGAGGGTGTGGAGAAAAGGGAACGCTTATGTACACTGTTGGTGGGGATATAAGTTGGTATGGCCATTATGGAAAATAGTATGAAAGTTTCTCAAAAAATTAAAATAGAAGTACCATATAATCCAGCAATCCCACTTCTAGGTGCTTGTCCAGAGGAATTGAAATCAAGGTCTTGAAAAGTTACTTGCACTCCTATTTTCATTGCAGCATTATTCAAAATAGCAACGATATGAAAATAACCTAAATGTCCATCAACAATGAATGAATAAGGCCATGCGCGGTGGTTCACTCCTGTAATCCCAGCACTTTGGGAGGCCGAGGCCAGTGGATCACTTAAAGTCAGGAGTTCGAGACCAGCCTAGCCAACATGGTGAAATCCCATCTCTACTAAAAATAAAAAATTAGCTGGGCATGGTGGTGGACGCCTATAATCCTAGCTACTCAGGAGGCTGAGGCAGGAGAATCACTTGAACTCGGGAGGCAGAGGTTGCAGTGAGCTGAGATTGTACCACTGCACTCCAGCCTGGGTGATAGAATGAAACTCAGTCTTAAAAAAAATAAAAAATAAAAAAATGAAAAAAATGAATAAAGAAAATGTGGTGCATACATATACAATGAAATGTTATCCCACCTTAAAAAAGAAAATAAAATCTTGTCATTTGCAACAACATGGATAGACCTGAAGGACATTATGCTAAGTGAAATAGGCCAGACACAGAAAGACAAATCTGTAAGATCTCACTTGTGTGTGGAACCTAAAATAGTCAAACTCTTAGAAACAAAGAAGAGAATGATAGTTACCAGGGGCTGGGGGAAGGGAAAGATTACACGATGTTGGTCAAAGGGTGCAAAGTTTCAGTTATGCAAGATGAATGAGTTCTGGAGATCTAATATAAAGCCTGATGACTATAGGTAACAATACTGTACTATATGCTTGAAATTTTCTAAGAAGGCAGATCCCAAGTTTTCTCACCATGCACATGAAAAAGGTAACTATGTGAGGTGACAGATATGTCAGTTGTCTTTATGGCAGTGATTATTTCACAATGTATATCGAATCAAATGGTACACCTTAAAATATACAATAAAAAGGATAAAATGATGCTCTCAAAATAGACAAATAAATAAATACTTTTTAAAAAGAATGCACAGGTAGGGATAAAATGCCTATAGTAATCCATTGAGCAAATTTAGCTTTTTAAAAAAATTCTCATCATCATAAATAAATGAAGTTTTTAAGCTCTAAAAACAAATTTTGCCAGGTAATCTTTCCCTCTTTACTTTAAAAAATTTTTTTAAATTATGAAATAAAACAGATCTAGAAAAGAAAAGTCGGCCATTGGATTTTCAGATAAGGTCATTTTGATTAACTACTGAGCATCCTCCGTGCTTATTTCAGCATTAGTGTCCAGTTTTTATAATTTTTCAGGGTTTTCTTTTATCTTCCTAATTAATGCTTAGTCCATTACTTGTGCTCTTGCCTATTTGTAAGAGCAAAGAGTTAGAACAACCTAAATATCAAATAATTTATGTGTTACTTAAATAAATTATGGCCATTTACTGAACTGTATGTATGGAGTGATCCAAGCTTTATAAAAATTAATGACACCTTGGGAGGGATCCACAGCAAGGTGTGACCAGTGGTTCTCTCTGAGAGTGTAGGGTCGTGGATGTTCTTCTTTGGCTCATTTGTAAATTTTTCTGTAATGAGTATACACTGCTATTTTAATAAGAAAAATGTATACTCATATACTCAATAAGAAAAGTAGAAATAAGAACAATAGTAATAAATAATAGCTAACATTAAACACCATATACCAGTGCACCAAATGCTTGATATAAATCACTTATTGAATGCAGCAACATAATGTGACACTATTACTTACTTTTAAAAAGAAACTCATTTTTAGAATAGATTTATAGAAAAGTTGCAAAAACAGCACATAGACTTCCCATATTCTGCCTCACACCCAGTTTCTTCTATTGTTAACATCTTACATTAATATAGTATGTTTGTGTACTAGTTCATTCTCACACTGCTATGAAGAAATATCTGAGACTGGGTAATTTATAAAGAAGAGAGGTTTAATTGACTCACAGTTCTGCATAGCTGGGAAGGCCTCAGGAGACTTACAATCTTGGTGGAAGGCACCTCTTCACAGGGCAGCAGGAGAGAGAATGAGTATAAGCAGGGGAAATGCCAGAAGCTTATAAAACCATCAGATCTCGTGAGATTTGCTCATTATCACGAGAACAGTATGGAGAAAACTGCCCCCATGATTCAATTACCTCCACCTGATCCCTCCCACAACACGTGGGAATTCAAGATGAGATTTGGGTGGGGACACAGCCAAACCATACCAATTTGTCACAACTAACATCCACACTTCTTTCAGACTTGCTTAGCTTTTTTTACTGAATGTCCTTTTTCTGTTCTAGGATTCCATCCAGGAGACCACATTGCATTTTGTTATCATGTCACCATAGGCTAATCATGGCTATGCCAGTTTCTCAGACATTCCTTGTGTTTGATGTCCTGAACAGTTTTAGGAAGTGCTGTCAGGCATTTGGTGGAATGTTCCTTGACTGGGGTTTGTTTGGTATTTTTCTTATGATTAGGCTGAAGTTATGGGTTTGGGGGAGGAAGGCCAGAGAAGTGGGGTGTCATTCTCATCAATCATATTGAAGACATGTTATGACTTCTCACTAATGATGCTAGCCTTGGTCACCAGAGTGAGGTAGTGTTTGCCAGCTTTCCACTGCGAAAGGTTTCCTTTTGTCCCTTTCCATACTGTAGTAGCTGGAAGGAAATCACTGGCACAGCCCACGCTTCAGGAGTGGGGAGTTACACTCCACCTTCTTAAGCATGGAGTATCTACATCAATATTTGGAGTTCTTCTTTACAGATTTGTCTATTCTTTCCCATTGATTCACTTATTTCACTCAATCATTTATTTGTCTCAGTATAACTCCTGGATCTTTGTGTTATATGTTGGGTTATAATTCAGTAGTACGTTATGTATTTTGTTGCTCAAATTGTTCTAGCTTTGGCCACTGGGAGGCTGAGGTGGGAAGATCACTTGAGCCCAGGAGTTTGAGTCCAGCCTGGGCAATATAGCAAGACCGCATTTCTAAAATTTTTTTTTTTAATTAGCTGGGTGTGGTGGCATGCATCTGTAGTCCCAGCCTGGAATGGCTGAGATAGAAGGATCACAGGAGCTCTTTCAGTGGGCTCCTGCATTCCTTTGGCCCCATCACTATGACTCACCTTCTGTAAATGAGAAAACTGAAGTAGAGAAAAGCTGAATAACAGCCCAAGGGTCACACTCCTAGTCAGTGAGTGTCTGTTTCTAAATTCTGGGCAGCAAATGTGACCTCTGTACTCCAATATCTCGTCTAAAAAAATTACACACTTGTAGTCCCAGCTACTCAGGAGGCTGAACCCAGGAGCTGGAGGTGGCATTGAGCCGAGATTGTGCCACTGCACTCCAGTCTGGGTGACAGCGAGACTCCGTCGTCTCAAAAAAAATTACAACAAAAAGCAAAAAAACAAAAAATTTTTTTTAAATTAAAAATTATACACACACACACGCACACACACACACGGATGCTTTTAGGACTTTCAAATCTAATTTATCTTTTTTTTTTTTTAATGGCATCTCACTCTGTTGCCCAGGCTGGAGTGCAGTGGCATGGCCTTGGCTCACTGCAACCTCGACCTCCTAGGCTCAAGTGATCCTTCTATCTCAGCCATTCCAGGCTGGGACTACAGATGCATGCCACCACACCCAGCTAATTAAAAAAAATTTTTAGAAATGGGGTCTTGCTATATTGCCCAGGCTGGACTCAAACTCCTGGGCTCAAGTGATCTTCCCACCTCAGCCTCCCAAAGTGTTGGGATTACAGGCTTGAGCCATGGTGCCCAACCTCAACCTGCTTTTGGCCAAATACACGGAGCCCACCTGCTCCAGCACATCATTCCCTGCGCTAACCTCCAGGCAAGAGGCCTGGGTGCACGTCCAGGCTCATGTAGGCCTCCTGCTCCCTCTGTCTGAGAGCTACAAAGGAAAGCAGCGCCCCCAAATGGGAGGCTCCACATGCTGCCCGGCACTATCTTGCCAGCCAGTCCTTTTCTGTGCTCCAGGCACACCAGTTGTCTGCACATCACTGTAACTAGAGAGCACGCACTCCCAGCGTTCCACACTCTTCCCTTGGCCCAGCCCTACCCTCTCCCAACCTGCCAGCCCAGCTGGGGCCCTCCTAAGTCAGCATACACAGCAGGGACTCCACAAGTTGCTGCTGCCCAGCCTTAGTGCTTTCCACAACCCTGTCCCATCCTTCCTCTCCCTAACCCTCACAATAACCCTGTTTAGAACCTGTGCCCAACGGACAATGCCTCTGAGGCACAGAGGCTAAATGGCCAGGTTAGGGGCGGAGTCAGACAGAGTTGGAGCCTGCGCCTCTCCCTCTAAATCCAGTGCTCCTTCCCACCCTCTTGCTGCATCCGGTCCCTGCTTTCATCTCCCCAGTGGGAGATGCTTACTCAAGACACCCCCTGCCCCTTGCCAGGCTTGCCTTGGTATCTGGGTCACCTCTTCAAAGGTAGTCATCTCCCTGCATCTGCCAACAAAAAAGGAAGCAGCAGAGAGCTGAGGGGTTCCAAGCCTCTCCCCTCTGACAATAGTGTCACAGACAGTACCAAAGTAGACATGAAGTACGAGGAAAAAACCAAGGCTGGGCGGACACCCTGGGGTGCACAGGCACAGCCCCAGAGAGCGGAGAGCAAGGTTTCCCAAACTCGACACTACTGACATTTGGGGCCTGAGAATTCCAAATTATGGGGGCTGCCCTGTGCATTGTAGGATAGTTAGCAGCATCACTGGCCTCTACCCACTAGATGCTGGTGACAGGTTGTGAAAACCAAATATGTCTCCAAACATATTGCCAGATGTCCCATGGGGTCCAAAATTGCCCCTGTTTAAGAACCCCTGGCCTCACATTTCCAGGACAGAGTCACTTTAGCTGCACTCTTTTCAAGAAATGTATTTAATATGTAACGGATTTGACTTGGATGCTTTTAAAGGACTTTACACATCGATCAATTCACAAATTATTTATCAGGTCTGCTGTCCTGATTTAGGATTTTAAAATACGATCCCAAAGCATATGCTCAAATAGAAGACAGCTACCCTCTTCTAGGTTGGGAAGAACAGCTGAGGCCTGAACTCTTGCCCTCTGCCCAAAGGCCTGGCATGCTGGGGATGCCTAAGTCAGTGCCAGCCAGCCTTAAGAAGAGGTCTAGTGGCTGAACCCGAGGTGCCAGGTGATCTCTGGCTGAGACACAGACCGTCTCTCAATGTCTCTGCCCACTGTCCACATATGCCTTCCCCGTTCCAGAGCTTGGCCCATGAAAACAAAATGGATGCCCAAAGAGTAGCAGGTGCATGGTGACCTCGGCTCCTGAGGCCTGAGTGAGCAGAGGGCAGAACCTCTCCCACACACCCCCACACCCACCATTCTCAACATGGTGGATGTGTTCGCCAGGGGTACTGGGTTAGCGTTGAGTTTTCAGGCCAGAGGAGCAGAAATACCATCTACGCAAAGGATCAGTACTTTGCCCAAATTGCAGAAGCTTTTAATAAGCCTTTACGCTTCTGAAAGATGGTGAGACGGAGAGGGCGGGAGAGCTGTTTTCTGTTTCTCCCAAGATGGACACAAAGTCTGAGCTTCTCCTGAAGGAGAGCTTTAGACAGGGCAACTTCTGGCAGCCAGGGCATGAGGCTCTAGGAATGGAGAGAATGGAGTTGGTGAATCCTCACTGGCCATGGGCAGGGAGGAAGCTGCGCGGCCCTTCTCACTCCCTCCTAGTTCAAGTCCTCTGGCTTGGATTCCCACCTGGGAATGGAGATCCAGCCAAGCACGTTCAGACTCAGTAGGTCAGGATGGAACTTGGATGACGTTAATGCTTTTAATCAACGCCCTGGGCAGTTTGGAAACACTGAGGAGGCAAATTCATGTTCTTTGCTCTCAACATGTCCTTCTCATCCAGCTCCCCTCTCTCTTTGAGAACTTGGCAAGCTCCACTGCAGCCCCAGGCCCCCTGAGGGCACAACTGTGTCATGGACCTCCCAGTGCCAACCAGACGACTGCATTGAATGCTTGCTCAATATATATTTGTTGGAAAACAAATTGTCAAGTAGACCTCTCTATGTGCAAGATGCATATCCTTTTTAAATTTTTTAGAGCAGTTTTCGCTTGACTGCCAAATCGAGAGAAAGGTGTTTGTCTATTCATACAAATTTGTTCATTCATAAGAGGTTTCCCATATTCCCTCTGTACCCCACACATGCACAGCCTCCCCCATTTTCAACATCCCCAACCAGAGGGGTACATTTGTTACGTTCATGCCCTATTTTAATTTTAATTTTATGATTTATTTTTATTTTTTATATTTTATTTATTTCACTCTGTCACCCAGGCTGGAGTACAGTGCAGCTGCTCACTGCAACCTCTGCCTCCTGGGTTCAAGCGATTCTCCTGCCTCAGCCTCCCGGGTAGCTGAGATTACAGGCACCCGCCACTACGCCTGGCTAGTTTTGTATCTATAGTAGAGATGGGGTTTTGCCATATTGGCCAGGCTGGTCTCAAACGCCTGACCTCAAGTCATCTGTCCACCTCAGCCTCCCAAAGTGCTGGGATTACAGGTGTGAGCCACGATGCCCAGCCCCCATATTTTTAATGTTGGGACAAAATATACATATACAACATAAAATTTCCCATTTAAACCATTTTAGGTGTACAGTTTAGTGGCATTAAGTACATTCACATTGTTATGTAACTATCACCACAATCTATTTCTGAAACTTCTTATCATTCCAAATGGAAACTCTGTACTCATTAAGCAATAACTCCTCATTACCCTCTCCTCCCAGCCCCTGGTAACCTCTACTCTCCTTTCTGTTTCTGTGACTTTTCCTATTGTAGATATTTCAGCAAAGCACAATCATACAATATTTGTCCCTTTGTGTCTAGCTTATTTCACTTTAGCATCATGATTTCAAGTTTTTTCTATATTTTATAGCATGTATATACAATATAGAGCAAATAGCATGTATCAGAACTTCACTTATTTGTATGGCTGAATGATATTCCATTGAATGTATATACCACATTTTGTTTATCCATTCATCTGTTAATGGACATTGAGATTGTATTCAACTTTCAGCTACTGTGGATAATGCTGCAATATACACTGGTGTACAAGTATCTGCCTGAGTGTCTGTTTTCAATGCCTTTGGGTGTACACCTAAGAGTGCAATTGCTGAACCACGTGGTAACTCTATGTTTGGCTTTTTGGAGAACCACCATACTGTTTTCCACAGAAACTTCACCATTGTACATTTTCAACAGAATGTACGTGAGTTCCAACTGCTCCACATGCAGGGCTGGTGTGGTGGATCATACCTGTAACCCCAGCATGTTGCAAGGCTGAGGCAAGAGGATCACTTGAGTTCAGGAGTTTGAGATCAGCCTGGGCAACATAGTGAGACCTTGTCTACAAAAAATCAAAAATTAGCCAGGAGTGGTAGTGCACACCTATAAAGCCAGCTACCTGGGAGGCTGAAGCAGAGAGTCACTTGAGTCCAGGAGATTATGGCTGTAGTAAGGTATAATTGCGCCACTGCCCTCCTGCCTGGGCGACAGAGTGAGACCTTGTCTCAAAAAAAAATTTTTTTTTCCTTCACATCCTTGCCAATTTGTTTGGACTTTCTTTCTTTCCTCCTTCCCTTCTCTTCCCTCCCTTTCCCTCTTCCCTCCATCCTTCTTCCCTCCCTCCCTCTCTCTCTCTCTCTTTCTCTTTCTTTCTTCTTTCTAGTACAGATGGTGGTCTCACTATTTTGCCCAGGCTAGATTATAAATCCTGGGCTTAAGTGATTTTCCCTCCTCAGCCTCCCAAGTAGATTGGATGACAGTTGTGCGCTGCCATTCCTGGCTCACTCTCTCTTTAAATTCTAGGCATCCTGGTAAGTGTGGAGTGATATCTCGTGGTTTTGATTTGCAGTTCCTTAATGACTAATGATGTTGAGCATCTTTTCATGTTCTTACTGGTCACTTGTATATCCTCTTTGGAAAAAGTGTCTATTCGAGGTCCTTTGCCCATTTTGTAATTGAGTTATTTTTCTTTTTGTTGTTAAGTTGTAGAAATTATATATTTTGATATTAAATTCTTGTCAGATATATTATTTAGAAATCCTTTTTTCCGTTCTGTGAGTTGCATTTCTACTTTCTTGATAGTGTGTTTGGGTGCACAAAAGTAATTTAATTTTGTGAAGTTCAATTTATCTGTTTTTTCTTTTGTCATCTATGCTTTTAGAGTCACATTTTTTAAACCATTGCCAAATTCAAGGTCATGAAGATTCCCCGCTGTGATTTCTTCTAAGAGTTTTATAGCTTTCGCTCTTAAGTTTAGGTCTTTGATGCATTTGGGGGTTAATTTTGTATATCATGTAAGGTAAGGGTTCAACTTCATTCTTTTGCATGTGGACATCCAGTTTTTCCCACACCATTTGTTGAAAAGACTATCCTTCCCACACTGAATGATCTTGGCACCCTTGCCAAAAATCAAACCTTGTTTGGATTGATGATTTAGTATGACACTTGGAGTCAATGACCAGAGACCCTTTCAACCACGGAGAGCTGGTAAAGGATCTTGTCTGAGAGTGCGGCCGACCCCACCTCCCAAGCAATCCTCTCTATGGCAGTTGCTGCAAGGGGTACTGGGAATGATATGGCTGTCTACAGGAATCTACTTCTTCAAGGGATATTTTAACTCAGCACTTTAAAAGGAGGCAGGGTGGTTTTCTGGGAAGAGATGACAGATGTGCGTTTGAATCCTGACTGTCTCTAGCTCTACGGTACTGGAAGCTACCTTATCTCTCCAAGCCTCATCTGTGCAATGGGATAGTCCTATAGCTGGCCACATCCAATCAGTCTGCCCTGTCACTACTCCAATGGCATTACTCCTCACAGCTCTGTCTCATCCTCTTGCTGCAGGAGTGGGCACATGACCTGACCTGGCCAAATATGGTTTTCTTTGTCCTGTTCCCTGAGTAGATATTGGACCCTCATGGGAGCCAACCAGTCCCCCGAGATAGTTTGCTCTATGCACAGAAAGCAGTCTCCCTTTTCCCCTGGGAATAACGGCTCTAAAGACCATCTGAGCCTAGGCTGCCCTAGTCATTTTTTCTTGCTGCTTGGGTAGGATGTACCTGAGAGCTGAGCCAATAGAGAGGGAAGTCTGGCTAAGAGCTGGAGCCAATAAGAGCCCAGGCTTATTTGACTCCCTGGAACCAGCTATGCCTGAAGTCTACTCCTGCTTTTATCAGTTATGTAGAGTAATACATTCCCTTTTTGGCTTAAGCTCATTTGAGTTGGGCTTTTGTCAGTAGGAGCTAAAAGAGCCCTGACCAGTATATATTTCTCCAGAGCAGTTGTGTGGATTAAGAGAAATGAGGCCAGGTGCGGTGGCTCATGGCTGTAATCCCAGCACTTTGGGAGGCCCAGGCAGGAAGACTGCTTAAGCCAAAGAGTTCGAGGCTAGCCTAGGAAATATGGCGAAAGTCCAGTCTCTACAAAATTAAAAAAAAAAAAAATAGCTGGGCATAGTGGCATGTGCCTGTAGTCCCAGCTACTTGGGAGGCTGAGGTCGGAGGATCACCTGAGCCCAGGAGGTTGAGGCTGTGATGAGCTGTGATCATGCCACTGCACTCCAGTCTGAATGACAGAGTGAGACAGAGCCTGTCTCAAAGAAAAAAAAAAGAGAGAGAGAGAGATTGCAAAGTACTTGCCAGTCAGCACGCATTTTGAGAGAGAGAGAGACCAGCAAGCCTGGTTTTCTGGTGTAGCCACAACTGACAATAGTGGCAAAGGAGAATGGGTTGTTTGTATGGAGGGAGGTGGGCATATGATCCCAGGGGGCCAATCCGAGTGTTTCCCTGTGATTGTTCTAAGTAGAACAGCAGAGCCATTTCCTTTCCTTTTAAGCCACTAAGCTGGATTTCTGTAACCCACAGCTGCCTGCAGCCAAGCCCCCTGCCACATGAAGAAGCCCATCTGTGGTAGGAGAGAGTGATGCCAACACACAGAGAAAAGAAACGAGAGAGAAAGCAGAGAGAGAGAGACAGAGAGAGCGAGCATTCTGAAGGCCAGCTCCCCTTCCCCTGTGCTTCCCAGGTCCTGTGCTTGCCAATAAACTGCCCTTTTTCTTCAGCTTGAGTTGGATTTCTGTCCGTACGACTGAAGGATTCCTGACTAATATGTCCAGAGGCCAGCTGAGGTGAAGCCATAAAAGACCCACTGGGTTGGCTGGACAGCCAGGACTGTGATCCTCACTCCTGGCATGGGAAAAGGCCAACATCTTTCCCTGCTGAGCAGCTCTCACATCTGGGTCTCCAAGGCAGACTGAGACCTGGATGGGGACAGACAGGGCTGACGCAGGGCACTGACACACTTGAATACCCTCTCCAATTGCCACCCTTCAAATCCTTTCACTCAGCGATTGCACTGTCTACAGCCAGTAGACAGAACTGTCGTGATGACTGTGTGGCTAACTAACCTGTTTCCCGAACCCTTGCCTAGTTTGAGGGAGGAGGCCCAGTTCTTCTTCTCTGTTGGTCTGATGAGGGTGAGAGCATGGGTGGTCCTGAACCCCCATGGCCGACTCAATAGGTGAAGAAATGTTCAGGCAGGAGGCCTCAGTGACACTTGGTTTACCTCCCTGTGGCCTCGGTAGCACTTGGTCCATTTCCATGAGTTCTTATCATGCTATGCCTTGTGTACCCAGCATGGCACCCTACATTTCTTGACTAACTCATGTTACTCAATAAACATTGATTGAACACCTACATGTGCCAGGTATATTCTAGGACTAATGATAGAACAATGAACAAAGCTCCATTCTAGTGAGGGAAAGCAATAAACAAAATAAGTAAGTAAAATAGTCTCAGCGCGTCCAGTATCAACAACCAAACAGAGGAAGGGAGGAAGGGAGAAAGGGAGTGAAGGGGGTGAAAGTAGGCTCCTGTTTTACATCAGATGGCCAACGATGGCCTCTCCAAGAAAGAAGTCAGGGACCAAGGAGGGGTGTGTCTGGTACATTCAAGAAATGGCAAGGAATTGCAGGTGGGAGGGTACCATAGTACAGGCACTTTGATAAACAGTTTGGTGGCTCCTCAAAAAGTTAGCATTAACTGCTTTGGATGCTGGTGGGGAAAAATGTTAGAGTTATTATTTGATCCAGCAATTCCACTCCTAGACATACCCAAGAGAAATGAAAACATATGTTCACACAAAGACTTGTACATCAGTGTTCATAGCAGCATTATTCATAATAGTCAAATGTGGAAACAACCCAAATGCCCATCAACCGATGGTGAATAAATAAAACATGGTATCACCAGGTAATGGAATATGATTCAGCTGTACAAAGAATGAAAGTATCAATATGTGCTACAACATGGGTAAGCCTTGAAAATATTAGGCTAAGTGGAAGAAGCCAGTCACAAAAAAAAACACAGAGTATATGATTCCATTGATATAAAATGTCCAGAATGGGCAAATCCACAGAGACAGAGAGTGGATTGGTGGTTGTCAAGGGCTGGGGAGTGACAGTGGTGATTGTTGTGCAATCTTGTAAATATAGTAAAAAACCAGTGAATTGTACCCTTTGATAGTACATTTTATGCAAATAATTTTTTTTTGAGACAGAGTTTCACTCTAGTTGCCCAGGCTGGAGTGCAATGGTGCAATCTCGGCTCACTGCAACCTCCGACTCCTGGCTTAAAGTGATTCTCCTGCCTCAGCCCCCCGAGTAGCTGGGATTACATGCACATGCCACCATGCCCGGCTAATTTTTGTATTTTTAGTAGAGACAGGGTTTCATCATATTGGTCAGGCTGGTCTCGAATTCCTGACCTCAGGTGATCCTCCTGCCTCGGCCTCCCAAAGTGCTGGGATTACAGGCATGAGCCACCGTGCCCGGCCTCAATTTTTAAAAAGAAAGAAAAAATGGCAAGGAGTCCAGAGCACGTGAGAGAAAGAGGGAGGATGCGCAGCACATGACACTGCAGCCATTGCTCAACACATACTTGTTGTCGTGATGTGAAGGCAAGAAGAGTTAACCCCTTCTTAACCTCTGTCTTTCCACCCTGGGGAAGAGACCTCTGGCTCCCAAAGGGGTGAGAGTCAGGGAGGGCAGCTCCCTCTGGGCGCGGCAGGTTCCGGTGTCTGAACAGATGGGGACTGTCATACAAATCCCTCCTATGTCAGGGGAAAGATCAACGAGGCATGGGAGAAGGGGACACCTGAACCAACGTGACCAAGACCAAGACTGGTGACTTAGAAGGAACAACCCCAACCTCCATGTTCCCTTTCCCTGGGCCAAACCTTCCCTTTTCCCCACAGATAGAACCTGTCCTGGGTTCTCTGAACCTCAGTTTTCCTGCCTGTGAATGGGGGAGAAGGGAAATTATCCCTCAGCCTTGACCCAGAGCCTGACGGAGGAAGAAGAGGCAGGGCCCTTGTGTGATGGGCATGGGGGGGTGGGGTGGGGACAACTGCGCCTCTGCAATGGTGCCCCTGGGACCCAGGCCAGATGGGTCCCCCACTCTGGCTCAGATGGAAGCTGCAAGCACAGCACCTGGAAAGGCAGTGCATTAAGTCAGATGGGCCCCTCTCTCCCAGCAAGGTCCCCAGGGAGGGAGCCCTGGAACAGGTAAGTTTCTATCGGTGAGACAAGAGCATGAGGAAGTCTTGGAACACAGGTGCTGTCCAGGTTAGCTGTCCTATGTGAGGGATCAGACGACAGAACACTGTCCATTCCCCCCACTCTGGGTGGCGATCAGGGCAGCCACATTTCCTCCTGCCCTTTGCAGAATGAGTAGACGAGTCTATTTTAGAGATGAGGAAAGTGGAGGCCCAACGAGCCAAATCCCCAGAACCAAAGGTGCAGCTGGGATTTGAACCCAGGCCCCTCGGGCTGCACAGTCGGTGTTCTCATTCATTTGCCTCAATGTTATTCTCTGGCAGCAGGACCTAGCTAGAAATGAGAGTGGAGGCACAGAGCGCGGGCCCAGTGCCCGGGAGGCGGCAGTCAGGCAGGCTGGGAAACCCTGGCTGGCGGCAGGAGGGCGAGGGGCTCCAGGCCTGAACCCAAGCCCCGGACTCCTGGTTTGAACGACTCCAGATCCCCACCTAGTGGTAGGAGGGAGCCACTGCCCGCACAGCGCAGGCAGTCCACAGATGACAGTAATCCGGCCGGGTCACCAGCAACCGTCCTGCGGCAAGAAACGCCCCTCCCCTGGCCGCGCTTCCCTGGGAGAGGGAGGAGGTGTCACCAGCGCGCGTGCGCACGGAGGCTCATTGCCCTCAGGATTTCGTCGCCCTTCATCTGAAGACACCCAGCACGCAGGCCTGTCGAGCACCCCTCTAGTCTCAACCCCCCAGGTTTAGGGCACATTCAGGCAGGGTCTCCTCGGCCCGCGCCTGGCCTCCAGGAGGGGAAGGGGGCAGGCCCAACCCTGGCCGCCGCGCTGGGCTGAGGGGAATGTCCCCACTCGCAGAGCGCCCCCAGGCCCCATCCTCAGCCGCCCTTACGGTCCCCCAAAGGGACGGGAACCATCACTCACTGGTCCAGGCTCCTGGCCGGCCCCACTGTGAAACACCATGAGCAGGTGCTGGTATCCCCACTTTGCAGCGGTGATGGAGGAGTAACTTGCCCAAGTCCATACATTCGTTGACTACCAACACGAAACAAGGCGTGCGTGGGCACCCAACTCAGGAGGAAGAAGGCAGAGGAGTTCCCTGGAGAAGGAGCTAGTGGGCTGAGTTTTTCGGAGGAAGGCAGGAAGAGCACTCCAAGCCCAGGAAAAAGCATGTGCATATGCAGAGGCCAAGATAAGGCCAGCAAGATTAGCCTAGAGGTGGGCAGTGGGGATGGAGTCCTGGGGAGGGGGGCGAGTAGGCAGGACTCACACAGGCCCCAGTGCCAGGCTAAGGAGGCTGGGCTTGACCCCAAGAGCAAGGGAAGGCTTTGGGAGGCTTTAACCAGGGCAGTGACTTCATCTCAGCTGCATTTCAGGAAGGCTGTCTGTGCCACAAGAAAGATTGTGGGGGAAAACATGCTAGGAGCTTCCCCAAGGGACTCAGATAGAGAGGTCTGCCCTGGCCTTGGGGAACAAGGTTGTTGCTCCAGAGTCCAGAAGTTTCCAGACCCTTAGAGAGCAGAGAATCACTGGCACAGCTGGAGAGCAGGGTTTGAGGGCTGGGAGTGTCTGTGGATGGCCTGTAACTTTCTCCTGCAGAGGCAAGTCCTCAGGCAAGACACACACACTCCCTGGGCCTCAGTTCCCCAGGAGACAGAGGAGGCCTGGATGGGGAGACCGGAAGCCCTCTGGAGCTCTCCACAGGGTACTCAAGTGTACTTGGAGGAGGGGCCTCTGGCCCAGGACCTGGGGGTGGGGGGGCTATCCTGGAGGGACCAGGTGCACTTCATTCACTCATCCAGCAAGGGCTTTCGGCACTCCTGCCATGTGTTATGCACATACACATGCACCTACCACACACAGACACACACGAACACACAAAGACATGCCCATATGAAGATGCTTGGTGGGGTAGTTTCCTTGGGAAACCAGGCCAGTTGCCAGCTCCCCAGCCTCTCTGAGGCTCTGCGGCTCCTCTCTGCCCCCAGTTTGCTGGGGCTAAGCCTTTTCGCACCCCACCCCATGCACTGCCGTGTCTTCTCTTGGGAAGGGATATATTCCTTGAATGTCTCTATCTTCTACCAGATCATTGGCTCCCTCAATGGGGGTGCTGGTGTCTGTTTCACTCATTGCTGGGTCTCCTGGCCCAGTGTAGGGGTATGTGTGTGGTGATGGCAAGGTGACCTATTGGGTAACTTGCTCAGACCTGAGGGGTCTCCCAGAACTCAGGATGCCAATAGTCAAACCAGAACTGTCATGGGCAAACGGGGACAGTTATGGGCAGGCAAAGCATGGAAGTGTTGGACAGCCCCCCAAGAAGGAAATAAATAAGACCCAAAGTGGGAGCTGGATGAAGGAACTGACCAGCCAGTCCAGGGCTAAATGTAAACCAGTCCCAGGACAGCCTGCCACAGGGCTGAGCCAAATGCCAGGGGGACTTTGAAGCCCAGGCGTGTGGAGCAGGAACGCCAGGCTCCAGGAAAGGACACAGGCCTGGGGTCGGCCAGAGCCTGGTGTGGCCCTGTGACCTGCTTCTTTGACGCTGTATGACCTTGGGCCATTTTGTCCTCTGTAAAATGGAGATAATCATACCAGCCACCCCGTGCTGAGAATTCAATCAAATGTCTGCATGTTTATTAAGCACACAGTGGCTGTTCCACAGCTGCTCCTGTCGGGCTGAGGAGCAGGCACCATGGAGCCAGAGGACATCCTGCTTGTTCTCTTTGGGAGAGAAATAAATAATATTGAGAGCAAACATGAGCCATGCCCTGAGCTAAGCACAGGATGCAGCCCCCTCTCGGGTAATCCTCTCAACGCCCCTGTTAGGGTTTTACACTGAGAAGCCCCTGCCCGACCAGGGGTCCTTGCAGGCCCAGCTGGGCTGACTGGAGCCATGAGGCCACCCTCCCCCGGGCCTGCTGGACTTGGGCTCTGAGCCAGGCTGCTTCTCCCACGGACACACCTCCTGGCCAGGACATCCGGGCACTCCCTCCCCTGCCCCGTTTGCCCTTTTCCTGCTGCAAGCCTGACTCTCACCCATCATCACTTCATCAGCGAAAGTTTCCAAGGGCCAGGCCCAAGGGATTGTGAAAGAGCTCCGTCCTTTATTTACTGGATGGCCTTGGGCACCTCACTTCATTTCTCTGAACCCCAATGTCATGTCTGTGAAACGAGGACTCATAGTCTCCACCCGGCCAGTGAGGGTCGGGGAGAGGCCACATGTGAAAGCGCATTGACTGCCATGAAGGCTTCCTCGCAAGTAAGAAATTAGCCTGGGGGACCCCCTTAAACATGGGTGCCTGAATGGCCTTCATTGGTATCGCTTTCTCTCTTTGGGGTCTCTCTTTGGAGAGAAGTCACACACAGTCAACAAATTGTAGTGCTGGGCACCAAAGTCACCCCCGCCCCCCCGCCCGCAACCCACTAGTCTGCATCTCTCCAAAAGCAGCTTGCTCGAGGTAGAAGGCCAAGCTGTGACTGACAATCGCACCCCACAGGGAATGGAGGCAGCCGGGACTTAGAATGTAATTTCCTAATTGGGAATTCATCCAGGCCACCAACCCAGTCCCCCACCCCAAGAATCTTGGCCAAGGTCCTCAAGGTCTGTGACTCCACCTATCCCTCTGGCTCAGGTTCCTCAAGCATTAAATGGGAACATGGCTCTTCTCTGAAGCAGTTGAGGCTGGGGGCGGGACGGGGGGGAAACTGGACCCAGGTCAACTGGCCATTCGCAGATCAACTGGATTTTAGTCCAAACTACTTATTTTGCAGATGAGGCTTCTGCAGCCCAGAGAATAAAGTCACATTTTCAAAGAGCACTCACAGCTCTAGAGGCAGAGTTCGACCTTGTACCTATCTATCTCCTGTCCAGTTTTCCTACCAAGCAGCTGCTTCAGCCATAGATGAGCATGTAGATAATTATTAAATCACCAAAGATTTGGTCCTATTCTCTGCTACACTGTACTTTGAAAGAGAAAAGAGCTGAGAGCCTAGTGCAGGGACGACATCTGGCCTGGGTCCCATCACCCAGCCGGTGACTGTATTGCAGTGGAAATGACCCTCGACTGGTGTTAACTGGGCTGCTTTCTAGCCGTGTGCCCTTAGGAAACGTGTGTAGGGTTAATCTCTGAGGGTGCCAGAGCTCATCTGGGGACATAAAAGGTCAGCTGGAAACAGGCTTCTAAGCCCCACCCCCTCCAACTCTGGCATTCCCCAGCCAACGGGTCTTACATCCCCAGCCTCCCATTGAGACTTGACCCAGAGCATTGGTGGCTTTTAATCCAAGGGCGAGATTCTCAGGCTGACCCCTGGGCCCTCCCCAGTCCCCACCACCTCCCGCTGGAATAACGCAGCCCAAAGCCTCCCCTATGGAGGCAGGAACTTAGGTGAGCAGCTCCACAGGGCACATCCTGCCCTCGACCCTGAAGACCCCGCCCTGAAGAGCCGGATGAGGGTGGTGAGGAGGGCGGGTCGGAGCCGAGGGGGCCCTCTCCGCTGGAGGAGCGCTGGATCCCCGCCGATCCTTCCCCTATCCCGCCCGTAAGTCCTCACCGTCGAGTGGGCCCCGCGCTCCTAGGGCCGTGCGCCCCGCGCGCTGCGGATGCCAGCCACAGCCCCCTTCGGAGGGGCCCAGGAGGCCGGAGGCCGGCGGCTCACTTCCCGCAGAGAGAACGCGAGGGCCCAGCCCCGCGGGCGCGCAGAAGAGGACAAGCTGGGGTCTGCAGCAGCCTGGAAGGTCGCCGAGCTGGCGCTGCCGGGCGGTTCTGGCAGCAGGGGAGAAGGCCCCACCCCGAGCCTCAAGCCCTCCGCTCAGTGTGTCCGCAGCCCCGGAGTCCCTCGGTCCCTCGGCGGCCTGTGCCGGGCTCCGGACCCGGCTCTGCCTGTGTCGGTGGCTGTGCCTCCGTGCCCCGCTTGCCGGGGTCCGCAGTCTATCTCCCGCTCTCGCCCGAGGCGGGCTGTGAGGCCGCGGCCCGGGCCCTGGCCTGCAGCGCCATCTCGTGGACCTGTGAGGAGTTGCCGAGGCCCGAGGCCTGGGCGGGCTCTGGGTTCGCTCCCACTCGTGCTCCCGGCGGGGAGCTGCGGGAGCTGCCAAGAGGACTCGCTGGGAAACCAGGCGCGGCCGTCAGCGCTGGAAATCGGTGCTTCCGGAGTGGGTTTGGGGTCCCCGGCCCCATCCAATAGGAGGAACAGATATGCGCCTCCGGAGAGCCCAAAAGGAAGTCCAAGTGCAAAACCGCCCCGGGCGTGCTCGGACACGTTCAGCGCCCGGCAACCAGCCTCCACCCCGAAGGCGCTCCCGGGAGGGTGCCCAGGAGACCCGGAGCTCGGGCTTCCTCCCAAGAGGGCGGGGGCTCCCTCCGCTGCCGCCCTGTCCTGCGAGCAGGGAGCGCTCGGCCTCCTGCGGGATCCCGCCTGACCGCCGGTGCTCCGCACCTCGGGGCCAAGGACAGCGAAGGAGGGGGAGGAAGCGGGACTGGATTTTGGGTCCTTCCCAGAGCGGAGGAAGGCAGGCTCGGGGTATAAATCCAGGGCTCGTAGAGGCTGTCCCTCAAGGGGCCGTCCCATAACCGGGAAATAGGGGGTCCCGGCCTCAAGCCGGGGCGCTTGAGCGTGAGAGTCCCGGGGAGAGCGAGGCTGAGCGCGCCCCTCCCGCCCCAGGAGCACCCCACGCAGGAGTTCGCGGTCAGCTGGGGAGGCGGGCCCGGGAGCTGCGGCCTTCGGGAGGGCAGGGCCAGGCCATACCGGTGGCTCCGGTTCTCCACAGCAGCGGCGGGGGAGTGGAGGAGGAAGGGCTTGAGGGCTCGGAAGATTCCGATTAACCCGAGAGGAAATGAGGTCCCCTGGGCCTTGGGATCCGGGCGGCTTAGCCGCTAGGGGTCTCTCGGAGCCCCTGCACTCACACCCTCCATCTCCGAGTTCCTCCGGGAATCGCACGCGCCACCCCACACCGACACGCACAATTCCCTCTTAGACCTCACACGCCCCACACGCGAGAGCCCGAGGCGACAGGCTAGGCCGCCAGCAGGTATCGCCATCGTCCCAGCACTGGCCCTCCTGCCACGCGTGTGCCGGCGGCTC
Organism: Homo sapiens; assembly: GCF_000001405.40. Lineage (NCBI taxonomy): Eukaryota > Metazoa > Chordata > Mammalia > Primates > Hominidae > Homo > Homo sapiens. The sequence continues at coordinate 61,411,462 of NC_000017.11, read as the reverse complement.
TGCCGTCCAAGGACCCCGGGCCAGGCCCTGAAGGGTTAAGGAGGCCTTGCGGCACCGGAGCGGCGGGTACGCCGGGCGCCTAGGCTAATTGGCGACCCCGGGGACAATGAGGGCTGGGAGGCCGGGGAGGAGGGTGGCTTAATTGGACATGGGAGTGGCCTAGCCTTTGTCTGGGACAAGGCCCAGCCGCCGGCCGCGGGTTCCCGCAGTCGCACTCAGGCTACCAGCTGGGGCCCCGCGGAGCGCCGGGTGGGCGACTCGGAGGGGACATGTGCGGCGGGAGGTGGCGGCGAAAGTGGTGTGGGGGATCTCGAGGCCCTGGAGTCCCACCCCACCCCACCCGGGTTGCTGCAGCAACGACGCGGCCTAAAAACGGCCGCGACTAGGCCGCCCCGCCCGGCCTTCGCAGGCACCCGCCTCCCCCGCGCCCATGCCCGCACCCGCACCCCTCCCGCGACCCTAAGTCGGTGCTGCCCCCTGGTGTCCGCAGCCCTGTACGTAGGCCGCCGCGGGCGCGCAGCCGACTCTCGTCTCCCTCCTAATGTCCTGCTGAAAGTGAGAAGCCGCGGGACGCAAACGCGCCGCTCCTCTAGGAGTATGAGAGGCGTTTCAGCCCAAAGCGACCTCCAGCAAACGCGCTGCCCACGAGCTTCTATTTAGGCTGGAAAACGGGCTTCTCTGTCCCTGTCGGGTTCCCGGACCTGCCCGCAGGTCTGAGGCAGGGAAGCCAGAACCCACCCTCTGGGGTTGGGATACGTTCTACTGCAACCTCCCACTCGTGCACTGGCTGAGTCCCCTCCCTGCTCCAGCCGCATTCGGCGTGGCCTGGGGGCAGCACCATCCTGAAGAGGCGGGCCTGGTTCTCTCTCTCTCGCTCCTTGCAAATGTATCGGCCCACAAAGGCGTCCTGGGAGTCTGGGGGCCCAACTGTCCATTCCACCTTCACCATCACCGTTCCTCCATCTCAACGTCCCTGGTGTTTTGGAAGCCAGCACCCTCCCCAAGCCCCACCCTGTGCAGTGCCCAAGGTGGGCAGCCTGTTGGGGCAGGGCGTTCAGGGTCCCCAAGGCTTAAAGAGGAGAGAACTGGGAAGGAGGTGGCGTGCTCGGTGACCGACCAGACCCAGGGCTAAAGGAGTGCCCGCCCAGCTCCCACTGCTAGAAGTGGGGGCTGGAGACACCTGCTAGCTGGGCAAGGAGGGGGAGCTCACCGGCGCGGGGTGGGAGGCAGCTGTCCTTGCAGGAGTGGGTCTCGGGGAAGGACCAGCCTAATGGAGACTGACACAGCTGGACCCCGGAGAGACCCCAGCCAAGCCCATTATTATACAGGGGAAACTGAGGCAGGAATGGAAATAGCCCACTGACCCCACTCTCCACTCTCCCAAGAGGGATTTAGATAGATGAGTTAAAGTAAGACCTTTTAGTCCAGATTTTGCCACTCTAGCCAACAGCCCTGACGCGGAGGAAATGTTTGTCTTTGAGGTTCAGGAGGCAGAGAGAGGGGAAAGAATTCTAGGCTCAGCGATATTTGGCGGGGAGTACGGGGGTGGGACACAGCCAAACCCCTCCTCCGAAGGGAGAGGTTGGACAAGGAACACCCATCCTCCCAGCCCACCCACCCAGAAGCATTGAAAGGAGATGGGTTTCCAGTGTGGTTTCCCGGAAAGGGAGTCAGAAGCCAGGAGTCCAGGCCGCTCGGCTGCTCTCCTCCCGGCCCGGGTGGGTGCCCAGGCCCGTTGCGCGGAGCTGCGGGAGCGGCCGGCAGGGGGAGTCCAGCCCCGGCCTGGGACGCACCCCGCGTCCCGCGCCGGCGCCGCCCGGCCTCGCGGCTCCGCCAGCGCCCCAGCCGCCCTGCCGCCGTGCCGCCCTGCCGTCCCCGGGGTGCAGCTGCCGCCGGGCGAGGGGCGCGCAGCCTTTTGTCCCCGCCTCTCGTCCCTCCTTGCGCGCGTGCAGCGCCCCAGCCCCGCGCGACCCACAGAGCGCACAGCGCCGTTCACTTCGCTTTCTAGCGTTTTATTGTTTTCTTGCGTTTTTGTCGTTTCGTTCTCGCTCCGGAGCGAAAAGTGAAAACCTGAGGTGGAGCCCGCGGGCCGGGCGAGCCAAACCCGGGCGGAGGGGCCGAGGGGCCGAGGGGTCGAGGGGCCGGCGGGGTGGTGGCTCCTCCAGGGCTCTGGGCCTTCTCCCGCAGCCAAGGGCCCCCCCAGCCCTGTACAATATAGATGCTCACGTAAAATGAAAAAAACTTTAAATGTATGAGTTAATCTCTAAATATATGTACACAGCAATGTACACCTTTGAATAAATTAATACCAATTTGCATATTCTGGGAACCTTAAAGCTTATTTACACAAATTACCATTTATTTCATAAATATCTTTTTTTTTTTTCCCCTGGGGACTCAAGGCAGAAGTGCCACTCCCTCCGTTGACCACGGCTGGGAGGGGTGCCTGTCTCTTCAGGGAAGAGGTGGGGAGACTAACAGGTTCCCTCCCAGCTCAGGTCTACACTGACTTCAGTCGTAACTGGTTCCAGCATCCCTCAACCCAGTTTTATCACGCGGTCTAGGCCCAAGGTCCAGGGCTCTGGGACTCCCTCCGATGCTCCCACCCCTGGCCCCTGCACCTTCTGGCTTCTGCAGGGACCGCTGGGCCCTGGATGAGGCCTCTCCCACCTCGCTGGAAGACCAGAGACACCTTCGGATGCCACCTTGACGCTGGAGCGGATCTGGACCTAGCCCAGCAGCTCCCAAGTGACTGTGTTTCCAGCAGCCTGATCCTTGTTGAGGCCCAGGGAAGTGTCCCAGGCCCCGACTTGCCAGACGAGGCTCTATTCCGGCTGCTGCAGCCCACTTTTCTCCTTTATTTAAATAAATACTCATTCTGTGCTGTACACGTCCCAAGCAGCAGGGGCAGGCAGCCCGGGTGGCCTGCGTGGCAGGGGAGCAGCTGGGCAGCCCCTCACTTGGGCGACTCCCGGCCTGGGGAGAGGGCTCGCTGGCTCTCCAGCCCACTCACCAGTCTCTGGATGCTCTGCAGTTCATTGGCCGCCTCCTTGGCCGAGCCACTGGGCGACAGGGCACCGCGGGATGGGGCCCCTACTTTGCGGAGAGCCAGCTCGGGCAGGGGGCTAGGCTCCCGGCTGTTTCCACCAGCGGCCTTGGAGCCCTCAGAGGCCAGCCCGGTGGTGAGGAGGCTAGTGCTAGGCGGGATGGTGACCGGGATCTGATAGGGGCTGAAACGCAGTCGGGGCCGGGCACTGCCCAGGAAGGGGCTCCGGGAGAGGGAGCCGGCGGCTGCGGCGGCGGCAGCTGCAGCACTAGTGGCGGGCAAAGCCGAGGCGGCTGCGGCTGCTGCTGCCATGTAGGTGTAGGGGTAGGGGAAGAGGCCTCCGAAAGTGGGCATTGGAATTCCCTGGAAGAAACAGAACAAGACGAGGGTTAGACATCTTGCCTGAAGTCTTTCTGAAGTTGGGCTGGGTGCTATCCCCTGGACACCGTGCCCTTCTGTTTTAGGGATGTAAAACCACAATTCGCATAACTATAACCACAGGCAGCACAGGTAAGCATGAGCCAGTGTGCCTGTGGCCAAACCCAGTTAGAAGGGTGAGATCGCTTCAGGCTACCATGCAAAGGCCTGCCATCAAGTTCTGTGCTGGGCATTACAGCAGGGGTAATGGAAAGGACATTCCAGGTGACTGCCCTAGCACGGGTGAAGGCCTTGAGGGAGAAAACGGGGCAGGCATAGGGCCAGGTGGCAAACAGGCAGCTTTGGGTGTCTTGGAGGTTCTGCTCATTGAGAACAGTGTCCTCGCCACCCCTCCTATCTGCAGGCTCTGAAGGGCAGAGGGCACACATGCTGGGGAAGGCACTTTGCAAAGTCTCCTTCTGCCTGCTCATGGTTCTCCTGCCTGGGCCAGGAGGAGGACACGGGTGCCAACCAGTTCATAAACTGGCCTGAAAGTTCTACAGGGAATGCCTGGCAGCACCTCACTGGCAGCTGAGGAAGGAATGCAGTCTTTGCCTGTGAAGGGCACAGCAGCCAGGAACTCCTGGACAAGCACCTTCCTGAGTTCATGAGGTCTGGCTGGTGCACGGCCTGACCTTTGAGATAATGGCTTACTCCCCAGAGCTAGTGGGTATGGGGAGGAGGGCAGGGGGCTGATGATTGCACTGGGCTCCCAGGGAGCCTCAGGCCTGGCTCTAGCAGGAAGAAGAAAAGAGGCAGCTTCATCAGGCCTGAGAAAATACCCCCTCCTGAGACAGTCAGGTCCTACTGGGCATTTCAGACCTGGCATCCCAGGTTGGGAGGAAGGAGGGAGGCTTCAGTTCTCTTGGGATTTGGCTCTACCTGATGTCTGGGATGGGCTGCACTGGCCTGGGAATGTAACCACCAGCAGCCCTACCAACGGATGCCTCCCAGGTGCTGGTATTCTCACCCGGGTCATGCACCTGTTGGCCAGGCTGTGTCTAGAAGCCCTGACTTCCTCATGACCTCTGTGATGCTGGTGATTATTACCAGTTTGTCTGGGGAGGAGGCATTCATATACACAAATAATCAGGGGTGCAGATTAAACCTCTGGGCCCTGAACTTTCTCCAGAGGCTTCCCTTCCAGCCCAGAGCCCCAGATGAGTGATGGTGATACCTCAAACACTCCACACACCCTAACACTGAGCTGTGTGTAAAACTCATTTCAGAATCGCCTGCCTCCCAACCCCCCACCCCCCCACCCACCAACCCAACTTTTAAAATATTTGCTGCTGAAGCAAAGGAGCTTTCTCAGACCTGAACTGCTATTTTCCTTCCCTTGAGATAAGATCTCAGGGGTTCAATTTGCCAGAAACCTCAGAGGGAAGAAAATGAATGAAGAGATTCCAAATCTTTCCACAGGGAATATTCCACCCAAGCAACCAAAGAGGCCACTGTCCCCATCGGATCTCCTTACTGTGCCCCAGCCACATTTTCGTCAACACTCCCCTGGGAGCTTGGAATTTCAATGGGGCCTGAAGAGCTGAGTTCTCATCCCTGACATGTGGCTGGGGGTGCTGGGAACTCAAGGTAGGGGAAAGACCAGCCTTGTCCTTCACCAGGACAGAGGACTTCGTAGAAGGCCTGGGAGGGGCCAGAGACCTCTGGGAGGGCTGGTGGTCAACTGTCCAGAAAATAATGCAAATGTTCCTTCTCCCTTTGTCTGTCTGGCCACCTTAGCCTTTCAGAATGGACAGGGAGCCAAGGGTCTTTGTTCTCAAGAAAAATGTCCTGAGGCCAGGAGAGAAGACTTCACAAGCCAGGGGTGGCCCTGGTCTGTGAGGGTGAGAAGAGTCTCGATGGGCACCGCACTCCTCGCTGGGGCTATAGGGAAGGAAGCAGGCCCAGAGAGGGTCAGGGACTTGCCAAAGGTCACACGGGAGTCAGAAGCGGCGCCCTGGCCAGCCCCTGGACTTACAACACAGTCCTCGTCTCTCAGAACCCAGGTGTCCTAAAGGGCATCCCGGGGCCTCCCCTGGATGGAGTTCTTGCCTGCCAGAGGATCCCAGCGACCCTGGCACCCCTCAGGCCCTCCGCTGGCCTCGCCGCCAGCTCCCTGGGCCTTCTCCCTCGCTGGCGCTGCCGCGGGGTCACAGGCCTTACCTGAGATGCCAGCATGTGCTGGGAGAGGTGGAACGGGAAGGGCGCGGCGGTGCTTGCTGCGCTGGCCGCGGGACCCAGCCCGCCTGCGTCCAGCCCCGCGGCGGTCCCAGGCCCGCCACCTCCGCCGTTGCCGCCGCCTGCCACCGAGGCCAGTAGGTGACCCATGCCCATGGCGGAGAAGGCGCCAGGGCCCATGGTGAACTGTCCAGGGTGCAGGAAGAGCGGCTGGCCGGCTCCCAGCGGCCCAAAGAACTGCTGCCCGTGCAAGTGGCTGGAAAAGGCCAGGCCGGGCAGGTGTCCGGCGCCCAGGGGGGACGCACTGTCTGTCTGCACCACCAGCGGCGCCAGGCCCTGCTCCTTGCCCTCGGCCGCCTCCTTGCGCCCCTCGTCCTTCCTCCGAGCTTCGGCGCGCTCCTTCTCCAGGCTCCTCAGGCCGAACGGGCCGTCCCCGCCGCTCTCGGCCGGCTCCTTGCCCCTCTCGGGACTACGCCGCTCCCGGGCGCGCTCGGGTTCGGTCAAGCGAGTGGGGCTGGCGCTGTCTGGAGCCGGGCTGCGGCCTAGCGGCGCCCCCGCACGCTCCTCGCTCAACCGCTCAGGCTCCGGGTCGCTGTCCGCGGCGCACGACTTCTCCTCAGCTGCGGGGAGAGGGCGCGCGGATTACAGGGGCCTGGGCGGAGGCCGACGAGCAGGATCAGGGACACTCGGGAAGGGCTGCTCTCGGGGAGGCCGAGTCGGAGGAGCTGCTGGAGTCGGGCAAAGGGCAGCTGCAGGTCACCTAATCCAAGACCCCAGATTTACAGTGGAAGGAACCCAGCCCTGGAGAGGAAACCCTACAGCTATAGAATTACACGGCGCCCAAGGGGCCAGGCTCGGAGTCCGGCCGGATCTTCTGGCTACCGGGGACCGCCCTCGTAGGGGAGTCCCGGGACGGAAACCCCATCCCAGACACTCGCCGACGTTTCCTTCCTGGCCTTTCAGGTTAGCGGGTGGCTCAGCAAAAGACCAGCCCAGCGACCTGAGGACCCCCCGCCGCCACCTCCCTGTCCCTCCTCCGGTCCGACCCTCACCTCGGGCCCGGTGCAGGCGCAGCGGACTGGGCGCTGCGCCCGGGGAGGTGGGTGGTTCCCGCGCGGGGGGAGGGTCGCACGACGAGGCGTCTGACTCCGCGCCATCGCGCTCGGGTTTGCAGTGCTCCTCGTACAAGCGTAGAGACGGCAGCGTCAGCTGCTTCCTGGGGATGAGCGGATGAACCAGGTCAGCGGGGAGCCCATCCCTCCATCCCTCCTGCTCGCTGCTCCCGCGGGCACCCGCCACAGGGCTGCTGTCCTCGGCCTCTCACCTTTTCTCCCGCCGGCCGTTCCCGGTGTCCCGGAAGCCCTTGGCAAACGGGTTGTTGTCGATCTTCAGCTGTGTGATCTGCGGGGACCAAGGGGGCGGCGCTAAGTCAGGCCGTGGCTCTTCCAGCGTGGTCGGTGGCACCCCGAGGTCAGCGGGTGCTGGCCGCAGAGGGAAGACCCGGGGAGCGTCCACTTGGTACCCACCCGCCTGGGATGGGACGCCCCGAGCTGAGGCCGGTGGGAGGGCCTCGCGGAAAGCGACGGGGTCTGTCCTCCAAAAGCTTCATTCGAGGAATTATCCCTAGACAGGCCTAGACAGCCCCACACAGGCCTAAAGCAGTGCCACAGTGTCGGAACCAGCCCAAGCATGCACACCCGCCCGCGGGCTTGCGCAAGTTAAACGACTCCGCACCCGAGCAGGCGCGAACAGAGACTGCAGTTCACACGCAAGGCTGCAGGTACACACAAAGCCAAATCACACTCACGGGCTCGCACACACGCAAGTGTGCACAGACATAACAAACGCCTACGGAACCAAACGAATTCACATGCCTCCACAGGTATCCAACACACCCCAAACGGGGCACGCACAGCCCAGCGTACACCTTGGTTCACAAAGCCACAACGACCGGCACGGACACTCGTACCCTCTCTTTCACTCGACAGTGGCGCACAAGGGCACAGGCCTAGAGGGGTGATGCTCTGCCCCACTAGAACAAGGGTGGAGAAGCCGCAAGCAGAAAAAGCCCTTTGATTGGAAGGTAATTCTCTAAGCGCCTCCCAAGGGGTCTGGGGCCTAGACTGACCCAGAGCAGTAGCCAGGAGTGCTTTGGGGGGCTGTGTCACCTGTCCCACCCTCTGGCTCCCCCCGAGAGAGTGAAAACTGGGCCCCGGGTTCTGAGCATCGGTAGAGCCTGGGCAGATTGCCTCGGGCGCCCTCTCTTCACTTACATTCTCATTCCTGAGCCAAGAAATAAACGAATAAAATGTAAAAATGTCAGCGCGGGCCCGGAGTCTCAGCTAATTGTTAAGTAAACATCTCCATCAGAACGACGGCCCAGCTGTTCGCTCGCCCCAGGGGAGCCTGTGTGTGCGCGCGGTGGGATTGAGAGGGCGCCTTGAGGACTTCCGTGAGTGCTGCGCGTATGGATGCGAGGCTCGGTGCTCGGGGGCGGGCCGCAAGAGCGCGGATCCCGTGCAGGGGGCTTCGAGGGGCGATGAACGGACGGTTGGGCCTGCACGTGTTGAGGGGCGTCAGTGCAGGGGCTTAGCCCACCGCCCGCCGCGCGCACCTTGTCATTCTGGTAGGCAGTGACGGCGATGAAGTCGGTCTCCGGGAACACGTAGGTGCGGAAGGTGCTGTAAGGCAGCTTCAGGATGTCGTTGGCTCGCACTATGTGGAAGCGCGGCTGGTACTTGTGCATGGAGTTTAGGATGGTCTGCGGGGAGGGTGGGGGTCAGCCGGCAGCCACCAGCCCCGGCCCGAGCTTTTCTATTCTTTGGGTACCTGACCTCTTCCTCTCCACTTTCTCTCTCTCTCTCTCTCTCTCTCTCTCTCTCTCTCTCTCTATCGGTTCTTCCTCTTCCCCATTTTCTCCTGTCTCTGCTCTTTTCTCACCCTTATTTCTTTTTCTTCTACTTTTCCTCTCGCTTTTCTCTTTTCACAGCTTCTTTTTCTCTTGCCATTAAAAAAAATTTCCCAGTTGGAAACAGAAATGAGACAGAGCAAAAACAAAACAAAACAAAAAACAAAACAAAAAAACCAACCAAAAAACAACCCCTCCCCACAAAAGAAACCCAAACAAAATAAAACAAAACAGAGCCCTACAATTCCACTCTTAACACTCTCTTCCTTTCTGGCACTGGTAAACCCCCTAACCCCACAAAGAGGAGATTCCAACCTTCGGGGGCTCACCAACTGCCCTACCTCAGAATGGGCAGTTCCTTTTACCCTATGAAACACCACCCCCGTTCGCTGGGGCCTTGCTCAGGCATAAATGGAGAGAACCCCCAAACCCTCTCCTCCTAGTTGGGCATCTGCCTGTGGGAGGAGGGAAAGGTCTTAGGGAGGCTGGGGGGGTGGGTGGGGAGGGTGGTTTAACTTTTAAATCCCCTAGTCTTGGGGGAGGGCCAGGGACGCGGGTCTTGGCAGAAGGGTGATGGACAAGTTGAGGTCATGGGCAGGTCTTCCAAGCTCGGCACCTACAGGCCAAGAGCAGGGTGACCTCCGTGGTCCAGCACTGCAGACCCAGTCCTGGCAGCACCTGCCTCCCTATTGACGGTACAAGGGACCCTCCACGGCCTGAGGAACTGAGATTGTGAGCTGCCAGCCACTGACCCCACCATTTCCCAGGCTTGCAAAGGAGAGCGCTGGGGCCCAGGCCCAGGCCCAGCCCACGTAGACCACAGGGCAGTGACCCGGGCAGGGGCACTCTGGGGGTTTGCCCAGCGCTTCCCCCTGGGAGATCCTGCCGCCCTGCTCTCCTGCTCAGCTGCAGTGCTGGGTCAACAAGCTCCTGCACCGTCCCCACCCTGCCCCAACACTCACGAAGCCGTGCTTGTCAGAGATGTTGTTGGTCAGCTTCAGCTTGTGGAAGGCCACAGGCTTAGCCATCCACTGCTCCCCCGTGGCTGGGCTGTCTGGGTGGATGTACATGCGTTTGGGCATCTCAGGGTCGGCCTTGCCCGCCACCATCCAGCGCGAGTTGTGGAACTTATAGCGGCAATCGTCAGCGGCTACAATGTCCATCAGCAGGATATACTTGGCCTTCTTGTCCAGGCCGCTGACTCGCACCTTGAAGGGGGGGAACATCCGCCTGGGAGGGAGGGAAGGGAGGAGATCCCATTGGAACCGGCTGTTCTAGGTTCCAGGACCCCACTCCTCCTTTATTTATCCCTCCTCGTTGCGCACACCGCTGCCGCCTGGCTGTTTCCCCTGTGGTCGGCTGCTCTGCCCTCTCATCACTGCCCGGACGACCCCACCTGTGGTTGTTGCTCCCAGGAGATCCCATTTCTGCCTGTCAGACCCTCTCCTAAACAGCCTCCTTTAGGCCTTGTGCTCAGATCTGGGGACCCTCTTTCTCCCTGATCTGAGATGAAAGCTGATGCCCAGGAGAGAAGTCTAGGCCCTCTAGAAATATTCTCGCTTCTCCTTAATCTCCCCGAAATTCGTTCAGGGGAAATACCCACTTGGGACGGAAGCTCCCAGAAATAAATCTGGAGGGTGTTTGTATTGGGAACTGGGCTACAGAGCCTGATAAGACATCCTGGCCGTGCAGTTCGGGGGAAGAGGGTGAACCCGAGGCCTGGATTCTCGGTGGCTGAGTCGAAGGGTGGAGGGGCCGGGGCTGTGGCTTTCTTCAGGCTTTAAGGCCTGGGGCGGCGGATGCGTCCAGGGCTCGGATGCCCGCGGTGGAGAAAGGGCTCCCAGCCCGGTGAGGCGGAGGGCTCGGCTGACCCGGGGCTCGCTGCCAGGAACCGAGCAACCAGCGTGGGGTTAGCTGGGCCCAGGTCCCACTAGGGGCTTCGGGGTCGGAGCAGAGTCTGAGAGAGGCTGAATTTCCCCCGAGCTCGGAGACGGACCCGGACGCAGAAGAGCGAGAGCGCGGGGCGGAGGAGACCGCCAGGGCCAAGCCGCGGGGCCTCCTCTGCGCTGGGACTCAGAACGGTTGGGGCTATTCTTTAGCAGTATGTTTTCGTTTTATTTCATTCGGAGGATTTTAGCGTTTTTGTTTTAAAAAAAAATCGCTCCGGTGCCAAACGAGAAAAGTCAACTTGGTTGTCCGTGGGAGCGAAGCGTGGCGTCAGGGCCAGAACCTGGAGCCGGGAGCCGGGAGCCGGGAGTCCCCAGCTCTGCTCTGATCCGTGCAGTCCCGTGCCCCAGCCCGCCCGCCCGCCCGCGCGCCTTCCAGCCGGCCGGCAGCCCTACCTCCCGGACTTGGTGATGACCATCTCCGTGCCTAGCTTGTGGAACTGGTCCCACAGCTCCTTGGCCTCCAGCGTCACCTTGGGGTCGTCCTCCACCTCGTCCTCGGGCTCCAGGCTCTTGAGGGAGCGCAGATGCGCGGCGGGCGGGTGCGGGCCCAGTGCCGAGACGTGCAGCCCCGCCTCGGCCGCTGCTGCCGCCGCCGCCGCCGCGGCCGCCGCCCCCGCCAGGCCCGGGTCGGGCAGCGGCTTGGCCAGCGCGCCGGGCGGCAGCGCGAGTGCCGGGAAGAAGGAGGGCTGCGCCGCCGCCAGAAAGGCGGACATGGGGAAGTCGGCGGGCCGTGGCGCGTGGAACGGGTGGTAAGCCATGGCGCTGGCCGCCAGCGCCGGCTCTCTCATCGGGACATCCGGCCCAGGCGCCCGGGGGCCGGGGCCGGGGCCGGGGGCGCGCGGCTCGGACCCCCGGCCCGGGCGGCGGCGCGCGCGGTGGACGGACGACCCGGGTGGCGGGCGCAGCAGCTGCTCCTCGGGGCTTCCCGTCCGGCGCACCGCAAGGGGCACCCGGCTCTGTGCGCGGGGGCGGCGGGGGCTCTGCGCGGGGCCGGGCTGGGCCGGGCTGAGCTGGCCCGCTCCGGCGCCGGGGACCACGCGCGACTGGTTAGATCTTGTCGTGATCTCTGGAAAACTGTGACTATCTCACATGTCCTGCCCAGCTCGGATCCCCTGCGCTAACGAGCCAGGCCCCCCTTGATTGCTGATTTTACGCTTTTTGGACCAATTGTGGGTCTCCGGGGGCGGGGTTTTGACAGCTCAGGCCAAGCTCCGGCCGGGAGGGGGGGCCTGGGAGAAGGTGTCGGAAGCCTCAGCAGTAAGAAAACATGTCAACAGAATAAAATATTAACCAATGACGGGCCGCCGGGCCCCGAGACCCCTCCTCCTGCCCCGGCCCCCACCGCCCGCCCGCGCCTGCGGCTGCCTGCGCCGGACTGGAGAGCGCGGAGGGCCGACCTGACCCGCCGAAAGGGCCTGAGGCGAGGGGAGCCCGGGTCCCGGGGCCTTGGGGAAGGACCCGCAGCCGCACGCCGGCCCCAAGTGCAAAGCATTGACACGACCCCGAGCGGAGAGGGGGCGCCCTCCTTCTCCCGCGCCCAGAGGCCCGGCCGCTCTGGCCCGAGCCCCAGCCTGGCCTCCGACCCAGCTCCGGGTCGTGGCGCCGCCTGGGGGTCCCTGCGCCCCGGAAAGAGACAGCAGGCACTGGAAAGCGAGGCCGGTGGGCGGGCGAGTCGGGAGGCTCGGGCGGCCGAGGTCCGGGAGCGGATCCCAGGTGGCGGGAGCTGGTGAGTGGAGCCATGGCCGAGCCCTGCTGGGGCCGGCGCGGGCGGGAGCGGGACGCGGCCTTGCGCTGGGGAAACGCGGGGACCCCCTACCCGCGCCCGCCTTCACCGGAAGACTCGGAAGGAACCTGGAGTTCTCCGCAGGCCCGGGCCCCGCCCTGAGCTTTCCAGCGGCCGGGAGGAGCGGATCCTCGGGGCCAGGAAGGTGAGCGCACCTTTCGCTGAGCACAGGGCGGCACCGCGCGGGCGGACCCCGGATTCTCCACCCGCGACCCAACGAATTTTCGCCCTATCCGGTACCGGAGACGAAAGTCTCCTTCTTCCGAAATACCGGCTTCCTCTCTTCGCCCTGCCAACCACTTTTTTAGTTTCTTCTCATCTCTCGGAAGCGCACGTCTCCTAAGTTAAGGAGTGCTGAGTAACGCGTGAGGGAGTTGGGGTGTCTGCGAGCACCTGTGATTGAAGCCCCCTCTTCTGTGATCAGTCTTCGTTTTCTGTCTTCCGGCAGCCTCAGTTTCCCCCCCATGAAGTGATGGTGTGTGTGTGTGTGTGTGTGTGTGTGTGTGTGTGTGTGTGTGTGTCGGGCCCCGTGTGGTGCCCTCTGTGCGCAGCGAGAGCTATAACTCAAGGTGTGCACGGGGAGAGTGAAGCGACCACGCACCTGCTTCCAATCGGGCTCGGGCGCGAACACTCAGGCTGATTCCTGAAGGTCGTTTTCTGAAGGAAAAGACAGAGCATGCACTAGCCACGGGTGACATTCCCACCCGTACAACCGCGTGGTGGGCGCGTACATCCAACATTGACCCATGCAGGCGCCCGCCCACTGCGCACACCGGTCGCAGGGCACTTCGTTGTTGAACGTTGGGAGCAGCGTTTGAAGGCCGGATCTCTCCTGGCAGTGCGGATTCGGGACCGGCGGAAGCAGTATGGCCTCTGCGACCGTTATCCCTACTTTTCGGGGCCGACCCCAGGGCCCTCACAACTCCTCATCACCGCATATGTGAGCGCCGCCCCCACAGGGTTTTCTCCACGACCTCGTTCTTGGCTAGGTCGCACCTCTCTTAGTACCTCCTCTCTGGCCAGAACGAATCTTTGACTCCGAGCTGCGCAGTCTACGCAGACGGGGCAGGATCCACTGCAGTTTTCCACAGGCAAATACCTGCTGGCTCCACCTTAGGCGAGATGTGGCCTCTCGGGGAGGGACCCGTTGTGGACACGTTTGCGCAGCCGGTGAGGTGACCAGATAATAACCAGGGCAGCTTTCCTTAGCCGGGAACCCAGGTACCGGCCTAGGAATCCGTGAATACATTCGCAAAGTCGCGCGCGCGCGCGCGCGCGTGTGTGTGTGTGTGTGTGTGTGTGTGTGTGTAGACACATACTTTTGTCCTTGTAAGAGTATGTGTACATCTAAATGTGTGCGTTTTAGACATTAGTCCATTTCATTAGTCCATCCATAGCTGGTCCAGGGGTCCGAGGCCTGAAGAGTTTGAAACACTCAGGCCTGGGTTATTTGACCGAGAAACCTGGCGGCGACAGTGCAGCGGCTGCATCTGGGGACGGCGACCCCACCTACAGTGGCACCGACCTTCCCTCTGGCTTTCCGGGGCTCTGTCCGGGCCAGGATCCCACCACTCGCCCCGCCCCGCGGTCCCGCGATCACCCTGAGGTCCTGCTGCAGCCGCTCTGAAGAGTCTGTAGCGACCCCCAGCCAAACTCTCCAGCTAGGAATGCCCGAGGCTCACCGAAAGCTGGCGCTGGGGAGGCCTGGGAGGCCCTGGAGCGGCGCCGTGAGGCCTCCGCTGGGCCCCTCCCCCACCTAGGCCGGCCCCCTCCCCCTTCCCAGGAACCCCCTCCCCTGGCGGAGCCCCGGGGGCCGAGTGTGCGTGTTCCTTTAAGAGGCCCCGGGGGGCGCCTCGCGGGCCGCCCGGGGCTGGAGGGGGAGGGCGCGGGCGGGGGCGGCTGGCGCCAGGCGGCCGAGGCTCCACAACAAAGCTCCGGCCCCTGTCACTTCGCATCGGCCAGGTCCCGCAGACAGGCGGGGGACGCGCGCTCGGCCGCCCCTCCCTCTCGCAGGCGGTCTCCGGCCAGGGCGTCGGGCGGGCTTGGGCTGGTGGCGCGCGGTCTGTGCGCCCCGCGCTTCCCGCAACAGTGAAATGGGGCGGGAGCGGGGACGGCCTGGGCCGGGTGGGGCCGCGGTCCTGAGCCTGGCGTGGCTGCCCTTCCGTCCTCCGGCCCCGTCACCTCTCGCAGGGTTAAGGGGCACTGCTGGGACCTTCCCCGGGTTGAGCCTCCAGGTGGCAGGGGGTCCCCGCCGCTTCCTCCTCTGTGTGCAGGGCCGGGGTTGCGTGACCCCGCGGGCAGTGGGCAGCAGGAAGCTCGGGCTGTGCGGCCGCGTGGCAGAGCGGACGACGGACTTGCGTCCGAGTGACGGGGCGCGGGCTGCAGACTGGCTTAAGCCCTCGGTGGCAGACGAATGTGCCCAGGCTAAGCTCAGGGGACGTGTGTGGCCCCGTGCTATGGGCCCGCTGTGAGGGTGCCGCCAGGCCGTCGATCACTGCCTGGACGTGAGGAGTGTGGTGGTGAAGGACACTCCCTGGACAGAGTCGCTTCCCATCACGGCTTCCCCGCCGGACCGCACCTCCCGGAGCCCTGGCGCCAGCCAGCCCGGTTTAGCGGCCGGACCGGGCTCCCCCGCGGTCCCAGGTCTGGTTGGGGTGGGGGCCGCGGCCTCGGTGACCCCAGCCCGCAGCGGCCCGGCCCGTCCCGTCCACTTAAACAAATTGCCGCTGACAGGCGCGCAGTCTCTCTGGAGCCGCCGCCCTCCCGTCGCCTCCCTCCCGTCCCAATTATCCCGCGCAGGGTGGGGCCAACTGGCTGGGATGGGGCGGGGGACGCGGGGAGAGCGGGCGGCTCGACTCCCTCCTGGTCGCGGGGTGGCCCGGGGAAGCGTCTCCGCAGCCACGGCCTGTGTGGCCCCGTCCCTGGTCTTCCCGGGGGATGCGAGGGCAAGGCCCAGCCTGGCAGCTGTGGGCCCTGGAAGGGCGTCGTTCTGCACCTAAGGGCGAGATCACGCGGCCGAGAACCAAGGCCGCATCCCGGATGGACTTCGGGTGACTTTCCCGGAGTTCTGGGGAATCCCCTAACCCGGGGAGCTGCAGACGACTCACTGGCCCCGGGCCGCGGTTCCGCGGGTGGCCGCTGTACGCTTGAGACACCTGGTCCGCAGAAGTCAGGTGCACGTCTGTGCACCGTCGTGCGTTGGATGTGCATGGAGGCGAGATCGTGGTTATGGATGTCTGGGATCACGGGAGCGTGAACGGGGCGATCGACTGAGTGACTTGAGAGACGGGGTAGAGCGCAGGAAGGACCCCTAGGACGGGCCCACCTGCGACGGGCGGCGGTGGGGGAGTGGGGGGCTTGCCGGCGCGTTCACAGGCTCTGGGTTCGCGTTCGGAAACGCTTTCGCAGGGAGCGGGTCGGGATTCCCCGGAGCAGCACGGTGACGGCGTGCCACAATCCGGGCTCCAGCTGTGCCGCCTCCGCCCTCCCCATCCCTGCTAAGGGGCACCTGGCCTGGCTGTCAACTTCCCCTCGAACCATGGGTTTGCCTTGTGGACCCGCAGCTTCCCCTCTGCCTGCTTCTGCTCTGTCGCGCCTTCGGAAGGGCATGCTGCTCTCTCCCCTCCACTCCCTCCTTTACACATGAGGACCCTGAATCCCAGAGGTGCAGTCATGTACCCAAGGCCACGTACCTGCTGGTGGCAGAGCTGGGATGGGACCCTGGGACCTTAAAGAGAGCAAGTCCAAACCCACTCCTAAGAAGCCGGTGCTGCTGAGCTGCCTACCCCTGCTCCTACAGCAAGGTGATCCTGAGATGCCAGGGCTGCCACCCTCCCCTGGGCTCTTGCTCTGAATTCGAGACATACAGGATGCACTGTCCCTTTGCCTCTAGAGCCTCCAGTTCTAGGTCTGCAGTGGGAGGGCTGCCTTCCAGCTACACAGGGGCAAGGGAGCAGCTGCAAATTCAGTCTCTCAGCCCAGGCAGGAAGCCTGATGGAGTCAGGATGGGGATCAGTGGGGTCAGCATTCTGGATGGGATAGGGGCACAGGACAGGGAGGTCAGTTCGGATTTGGGTCCCTCTAAGGGAACTGGCCAGGGTGTGAAGCAGCCAGGTGCAGACAGGGATAGGCTCACTAGGCGTGTGACTTTGTGACCTTGGGCAAGGCCCTGCCCTTCTCTGGGGCTCAGGCTTGCTTGTCATCTGCAAAAAAAATGAGGCTCGAACAGAACTCTCAGGTACTTTCTAGTTTCATGAGTCCCTGAATTGTGAAAATAAAAAATTACCACTGAGAAACCATATACACTTCCAGACTGGTGGCTGCCTAGCCTGGCCTCTGCTCCTTGACAGAGGGGCTGGCCCTGGTGTTTGAGCTTGTGTGCTTGAATTGGCCTCAGGCCCACCGTGCCTTTTCTCATCTCAGACAGTACTCTTGCTCCTTCAGTTGCCACGCTGGCTCCCACCGGCCTCTTTCCAGATCATGAAGGTATTTTTCCTTCATCAAATTGAGAGGAAGTCCGTAGTAAAGCTGCCCGTTGACCAGGTAGTGCCGAGAGAATCGGTAGGTCACATGGATTCCTAAAGGTCCCCTGATCAGCCACAGTTTGATTCATGTTCTGATGCCCTCCCAGATGATGCCACCATTAGGTCTGCTGGGGCTGGGGGTGAGTCCCAGATTGCCCTGGATGTTATCTGTAGAGGATAGGAAGCGGCTGCTCTGGGGCCAGTGGCCAGTAAGGTCCCCAACCCTGGGGCCCAGCTCTCCCTTCCAGCTGATTACAGGCTATGGCAGGCTCCATAACCTCCCCAATTAGCCGGAGGCCAGGCCCAAGGCCTTTCTGATAACCTGAGCTCCAGTGGCAGCCGCTGTGGGGCCAGCTTATCTGGTCTCTCTTATCCTCACCCTTCCCCCACATACTCAAAGAGTTGCCCTGACTTCAAGCAGATGAATAACCAGATTGTCCTGCAAGCTCAGCCGGCAAGTCCAGCCCTACACCCACCACTTTCCCTGCCTGGGGGAGGCCACAGCTGTTTTGCCCCTGCTGGAGGGGAAGGGCCGGGCCAGGGAGGACTCCTGACTCTGTAAGCTGCCAGCCAGTTCCCTGAATGGTTGAGAGAGCCCCTGGCAGCAAGGTCTCTGCCACATCCACGTGTCCTGGGGTGGTTTCAGAGGGGCTCATGCTTCCTAGGGCAGCTGAACCCATCCCCAGGAAGACAGGCCATGGGCAGCATGCACAGGTAGCCTGGTAGCACTCTCCTCCTTGTCCCTTTTTGATTGAAACATGGCTGTAGCTGGGGGTAGGGGCAGTGCCAGGCCCATCAATAATTCAGCAAGATGGGGAAAAGCTGCAGCTCCTCCAGCACCCCCTGCTGCTGGGGCCAGGCTAGTGTTCGCAAGCATGCCTCAGTCTGGCATGTGACTTCTCGCCCTGCAGGTGCCCTGGCAGGAGGGACTGGCTTATGCCACCCTGTGCAGGATCGTCTTCTCAGCTTACAGAGCCTAGTGTGATTCAACAACCCTCCATCTCTGCCCCCAACATGCCCAACTGATCTGGTGGAGGGAACTGAAGATGAAGGCCTCTCAGGCACCATGGATGGGATGGGTGTGTGTGAAGGGGGCAGGGTCCCCAGGAGCTGCCCCAGGTCTGGCTGGACAGTTGCACGGGAAGTCCTGTTTGTGAACTCAACGTTTCCACGGCTTTTCCATTAAACTTTACCCCAAATCACACCTGGCTCTGTGGGTTTCCTTCCATTCTCCAAGGCCTCCCTGGGGTCTCTGGGAAGTGTGGGCCAGGGAAGGGGGCAAAGGACTAGCATTCGTCTCCTTCCTGCTCAATGCACCATTTTTTCTCCCTGTTCCTGTCTCTGTTGCCACTTACTTTAGGTCCGGAAGTGGTGGTGGTGGGGCGGGGGGACAAAATCAGGAACGTGTCATCTGAGGGTTCCGGCCAGGTTTCATGAGATACCCACCTTCACCTGACCACCCTTCCATCTTCTGAGTTAAAAAGAGGCAATTACAACAAGGTGCCCCCCAGATGAGGCTTTGCCAGACTCTCCCCTTGACAGCAACCCACCAGCACATGGCAAGCCCTGATCCCCAGGGAGGAGGGTCCAACCCTGTGGCACCCCAAGAACTCATTGCCTCTGGTAACAGGCAAGATGCTTAGAGAATGGGCTTCTTAAATCAGGCCCCATCCAAATTCCAGGACAAAAGTTCTTCCCATTCCAATCCTCCACTGACTCCTTCTGCCCCCAAGTTGCACATGAAAGGGGGTGTTGGGATCCTGGGCACTCAGGCCATAGGACTCTGCTCAGCATTTGGAGAGGACCCTTACCCCAGCAACTCAGGGATGGACACCAACTGCAGCGTGATTTATTGGACAAGACGTGCACTTTTCAACAGGGCCTCAGTAACCACGGTTTCCTTCACTGATCAGTACAGGACCAGGGTAAAGGGGCTTAAAGATAAGAAAGACAAACTCTTCCCATGAACAGATGGGGAAAGAAAGGAGGAAGAAGAGGCATGTCCTCCCTTCCTCCTTCCCTAGTACTCTGGGCCTCCGTTCACCCCGTGCTGGAGTGGGGCTGACCAAGGGAAGCTGGGGGCAGTGTGTGTCACAGCCAGACATGAGCTGAGGCTGTGACTGTCCACTCAGGGTCAAAATGGCCAGGTGGACGATCAACTCTGTCCCCACTCAGGCCCCCAGATCTGGTCACTGTTCCAGGCTCCCCCCACCCGCCCCACCGTGGGTATGGTTAAAAAATACAAAAGCGGATCCAATGCAGGATGTCATATGCAAACATACACAGGGACCGAGCTTCTACAGTCTCTCCTGGCCACAGCCTCCACCGACAGGTGTGGCAGAGGGCAAGTGCGCTGAGGTGCTTGGAGAAGGGTCTCTTCTCCATCCAGGTAGGATGGGCGGCTGCTGTCACTAAGCTTGGGGAAGGTGGTTGATGAAGGAAGAGCAGAGACTGAAGGGTAGGACCAGAGCGGGGCTTCTCCCCTCCTCCAGCAGGGGAGGGGGCTGGCCAGTCAGAAGCAGGTTGCTGGTACCTACGGGAAGCCAGTCGGGAAGAGGCTGAGGGGCTGGCTCTCATTGGTGGGCAGCGGAGATCGGTAGCCATCAAAGTTTCTTGGTATGCTGCCGCTGGTGGAGCCTGAGCTGTTACTCAGAGTCTCGATGCTTCCCTCTCGCTGAAGTTCTGCAAGACACAGGAGAGGGCCAGGCCTGGTTAGAGTTGGGTCTGGGGAGTGGGGGCACCATCTGGGCCAGGCTGCCTGCCTTGAGGCACCATTCTGGGTTCACTTGTGTCCTTCCGCAGGGGGATCCCCGCCTGCTCCCTGGATGGGCAGGGGGCAGCTCAGGTCACAGGAAGGCTCAGCCAGGGGAGGGAAAGCCCCCTGGCTGGCAGACTCTGGTGTGAGAGCACCGTCTCCCTGCTGCGGGAAGCCCTTTAGGCCCGAAGCACGGCCACCCTGACGATGTGTGTGGACTACACAGCTCTTCATGAGCCCGTACCCACGCCTGCACACACTCATGCTCAGCCAGCATGCCCCCAACTCCACAGTGCCTTCTGTCCCGGCTCTACAGGGGAGGCAGGCGGGGAGAAGCTAGGACACGGGAGGGCTTGCAGCATCCCTGCCTGATCTGTCCCCACCTCTCTCCTGCCCTGCCTGTGCCTAGAGCTTCTGCCTGGCTTTGCCACTCACTCATTCACTCATGCTCACCCACACAGTCCATCTGCTGGCCAGGTCTTGGCTCATCTTTGGCACCTCCTGCCAAGTGTCCTGTTTCCCTGGGAGGGGATGCCTGGTTTGAGAGGGGCCTGCTCCAATGAAGAGAGGGTCCCTGTCTGCCTGAAGTGCCTCCTTTCTCCTTTCCTCTTAGGCCCCAAGTCTCCTGGAGGCCCCTCAGCATCAACCTGAAGGGCAGGCAGGGAGTCCCGCCCTCCTCCTCCTCTGCCTCCCTGGCCCTGCACATCCATGTTGCCACCTCAGATATGGCAGCTTGATCCATCTAATTCAGCTGTGGGCCGCTCAATTGTCCTACCATCTCTTGACCCAAGTCAGGTCCTGGGGTAGGTGGGTTGGGAATGGAATTCCCTGCTTGCTGAGTGCAAGGAAGAACCAATTACTTCTTGGCTTTTTGAAGGTGGTCAGTTCCGATTCCCTTTCAGTCTCCCCCGGGGGCTCTGACATATGGGCACACACACACCGGGCAGTCTCTGGAGCCTGCCCCAAGCCAAGATATGTAGACCTGCAACCTTTCCTTCTCCAAGGGATGCCTGCCTGTGACTGAAGGAGTCTGGCCTGTCCACCCAGGAGTGCAGGACCTCAAAGCAGTCACTTGAAACAGCAAGATGTGCAAAAACGTTGCACTCGTCTGGTCTGGCTTGAGACCTTGGTCTTCATCCTGCAACCGCTCCCAGGCCCCCTGCCACCACACGCGCAGTACAGCCGGCTCTGGTTAGGGAATGAAGGGGTCATGGCCTTCACTCCTGGGCTGGCCAACACCAGCCAGCCAGCAACGAACCACTGACCCCGACTCCCTGCAGGCCTGCAGCAGCCACAGAGTGGAGTGGGGAGGAGGCGGGCACCTGGGCCTGGGGAGGGGAGGGGCCCTTGGGATCCATCAGCCGAGTCTGTCGCCGGGGTCTCGGTGGGACAGTTCACTGGGACACCAGGGCTTCTTGGCAAATTGGGGAAAGTAGGGGGATGGGACTGTGGACAGGGACCGAGGGCCTGACTATGGTCCCTGACCTCCAGGGGACATTGGCTGCCTGGGAAAGTCAAGAGCTATCTGGATATGGATAGAAAACAAGGCAGATAGGATCTTTTTCTCCTGCTCCTCCTTCAGTATCACCCTAATCTGGGGGGACAGGCCATCGTGCCATGAGATGGAGAGGGTGGTAAAGCCAAGAGTAGACCCTGGGGATTTTACATGGAAGCTCCAGACTCCAAGAGACCCCTCTGTTGCCTTATTTCCCCAAAAGCAAGCCGAGGAGTTGTGGGCGATCTGTCCCACCGCCCTCATGCGCGGCCGGCCCGGCACTAGGGGGCGCTGACAGCAGGGCCAGGCGGGCGGGAGAAGAGCACCGGCAGGCGCAAGAAAAGCAGGGGCTTCCTTAGGATCGGGCCGCCAGGCCTAAGGAAGAAAGCCCCCGAGGAAGGAGCAGGCAGGGCCACCAGGATGGGGAAGGCTGGCCCCTTTTTACAGCTCAGGGGCAGCTTTAACGGCCTTGATGCAAAATGCCTCCACATCCACACTGCCAAGGAAGCCAGGAAACGGGAGCCCGGGCCCAGGCATGGCACCCCCACCGTCCCTTGGCATAGGCCCCCAGCAAATACCCCAGCAGCCTCGGTGGTCCCACCAATGAGTCTTCGTGGATGCACCCCAGCCCATCACACCACAGTGCAGGGAAAGCCACCCAGGGGCTTACAAGATGAATGTCCTGTTCTTGGGGGCCAGGGACAACCTGAGCGCCTTGCTCGCATTTTCCCTTTGCCAGTTAGACCCGGGTAAGAAGGATGGGGGCAGCGTTCTCCCTCGCCCCCGCATCCCAGGGTAAGGTAACCAAGGCTCTGCTGAACTTCTCCCTCCTCTGCCTCTGCCCTGGCTAAGCCTGCCCTGTGCGCCTCAGTCTCCTGACTCCAGGTCACCCACCCTGTGCCAAAGCCAGAGTGGGCTATGTACAGCACAGCCCTCATCTTGCTTTTCCTCTGCGTAAAAGCCTTCAGCCACTCCTAACAGTTCCCAGGGCAAGGTCTGAACTCCCCAGCACTGTGAAATGGCCCTCCATGACCTGCCGCCAACCCCTCACTAGTGATACCCGTTATTATGTCTGAGACACAAAAGTGATGAAGCTGTGTGGTGTTTGGACCCATCCAGGTGGTTCTAGGCCTCTGGGCCTGTGTTCATGTAACTTGCTCTACAAAGCCCCAGAACACCTACTCATCTTCCAAAGCTTAGCACGAGTGTCCACTCCTCTGTGAGCCCGTCCTGTCCCCCGAGCAGAGCCTGCCAGACCCTACCCTGCGCTGTGCTGACTCCTAGCCCAGGCCCCCTCATCGTCCCATGTGTCTCATCTAGGGGAGACCCCCTCGGGGGGGTTCTGTGCCTTAACTCTGTATCCCTAGTGGCCTGGAAAATCATGGGTGCCCTAAACATTTCTAGCATGAATGAATGAATGAATGAATGAATGAATGAATGAATGAATGATGTGGTAAGGGGAGGTGGGGGCCCATTCTTCAACACAGACTAACTGAAAGAATCGGGGGCCTGCTGGCCCCGGGGCAGCTTTGTGGGCGCTTTTCTCCACGCCTCCTCTCAGACCCCTTCTGCTCCTCCCCCTGCAGGCAGGGGTGTGTGTGGGAAGTGGAGGGGAGGAGGGCTGCTCAGATTCCCCCCTCCAAGTCATCCCGGCCGCCCAGCCCTACGAGCAAGCGGCAAATGGAAACGTGTGGCCTTACCTTCCTCCATCCCGAACGCATGCTTTGTTACTGTTGGGTTGCTCACGGACGCTGGGCTGTTGGCATTGTTTTTTTTTTCCTTTTTTTTTCCCTTTTGAAAAGAAAAGCATTGAGGAATCTTTTTGGAAAAGATATGGACAACGATTGAGAAGTACACTGATCTCTGCAAGCAGGTGGAGAGGTGTCAGGAGGCGCAGGGGCACACCGTGAGGAGGGGGAGTTTGCAGTCAAGGAGGACAGTGACATGCATGTGTAGGGGCTGGGGACCAATCTGTCTTGGGGGTCCCAGAGATGGATCTGCTGTGACAGAGGGGGCCAAGACCCCGTTCAGAGTGGGGGAGGGGGAGAGGAGTCACAGGTTCAACATGAAGAACAGTTTTAGGAAGTGGGAGGGCTGGGGACCTACGGCCCATGCAGTGCCAGATGGGACCCCATGCAGGTGGGTTGCTGGAGGAGGACAGGGAAACAGACTGCAGTTTTCAGGGATGCCCTTGGACCTTCTGACTCAGTGGCCCAACTCCTGGCTGCTGCCCTCCTCCCCCACTCCCAAGACCTCCAGGTCTGAGCAGCTGTCCTGCGGTTGAGGTGGACCTGTTGGGGAAGTCCATCAGGAACCTGCCAGGGCCCGAAAGAGAGTGCTGGGGGCTCTGTGGCAGGAAATGAGGGAAGTGTCCCCAGCCACCTCCCCCCTTAGAGGTGTGGAGATTCTGGTCAGTGGGAGAAGCTTTAAAAGAGCTTGTTCTCCAGGCCCCAAAGTAGGGCAGGAGAGGAGGAGTGGCTTCCAGGCAAGTGGCTAGACCCAGTCACCTCATTGTGACCTTGCACTCTCCAGGGATGTGGTCCCCTGGGTGGTGGGAGCTATATACCCACATTGCAGAGAGCAAAACCAAGGAAGACGAAGCAACCACTAGCTCTGGTTCTTCACCTCCCACCCCCATCCCCCAAGAAAGAACGGGTGCTGGTGCGGGCCACAGGGTGCTGGCAGCTCCGGCATCACTAAGACCGGCCCCCATGCCCATGCTGGAGAGCCATTCCCTGTTGGCTCATATTGGAAATGGGCCTGTTACCCGCAGCTGCCCCTCTATGCCTTGGGCCAGGATGGACAGCCCCCAGGGGTAGGGGGATGATGAATGAGTAGCAACTGAAGGAAAGGTGCCTCCGCTCTCATGAAACAAGTGAAGGATGAGACAGCCGGATCCTTGGCACTACTGTTCTCAGGGTGAAAAAAAAGCAAGCTGGATCCTCATGCTGCCCCACTCCATATGGAGCCCATCCAAACTCAGAGGTGTCAGAGGGGGCAGAAAGAGGGGACTGGCCTTTTTAGAGAGAAGCAACCCTGGTCACTTGGGAGCGTGTGCCCAGGGAGATGGGGTGGGGTGGGGTCACTCTTTGTCTGTGAGGAGGCAAGGGCATGGCTGCCCACACCTTGTCCTACTCCTGAGCTGGGCCGTGCAGCATGGGCCCATGCACCTCCACCCACAGTGCAGTGTTGTGGCCCCTTTGCCAGGCTGTGAGTTGACGGGCAGCAGACTCCCCGGGAGGGGTGAAATGCGGAGGGCACAGGGCCTGTGTGAGACGCAGGGAAAGCTGGAGAGGCCAAACCAGGGGCCCCAGCAGTAGGTCGGAGGTGAAGTCGGGCCAGGTGCAGTGGCTCACACCTGTAATCCCACACTTTGGGAAGCCAAGGCAAGGGGATCACTTGAAGCCAAGAGTTCAAGACCATCTTGGGCAATACAGCAAAACCGTGTCCAAAAATTAAAAGATTAGCCAGGTGTGGTAGCACGTGCCTGTAATCCCAGCTACTCAGGAGGCTGAGGCAGGAAGATCCCTTGAGCCCAGGTGTTCCAGGCTGCAGTGGGCTATGATTGTGCCACTACACTCCAGCCTGGCATCTCAAAAAAAAAAAAAAAAACAAAAAACAAAAACAAAAAAAAACAGTAAGGAAATCCTGCTTTGGGCTTGGTGTTCTCTGGGTCTCTTCCAACCTGGACGTCTGGCCAATCAAAGGCCCTGCGAAAAGCTCCTCTGGCTTCGGAAGTGGGGGCATTGAGCCCTAGTCTCAGGGACCTGAGAGGGGCCAGGGAGGACAGTGCTCTGTTTGTGTTTAGGAAGAGGCTGCCTGGGGCCCCTGGTTCACCCTTTGGGCAGCTCTGGCACTTCCGTCACCACAAAAGGAGCAGCGTCCACGGCTCTGTACATGAGCATTGATGCTGCCCACTGAAGGGATTGGCAGAGCACTGTGACTGGGCCCTGGCTGCATTTCTCCACCCACGCTGACTGGTGGGAGTAGGATGAGACCTTAGGGTCCAGTCTGACCCTGCACCCACAGCTCTGCCTGCTTCCAGCAGTGAGCAGGAGGATGAGGATGTTTCCCCTGGCCAGTCCAGCCCCCAGCCTCAAGAGAACCCGAGAAGGCAGAGGGGCAGTGTCTGCCCATGTTGGTGGAGGCGTTTAGGGAAGTGGTTAAGAGCACACCCCCTGGCCACCTGCTACCTGGGAGACTTTGGGAAAGTTACTCGAATCTTTGTGCCTCAGGTTCCCGAACATGAGGTTAACGATGTCTGTGTCATGGCCTGGTTCTAAGAATGAAATTAAATAATGCATGTAGAGTGCATCACAAAGTGCTTAACGCTTCCAGTCAGCAAATGTGAGTTACTATTATTGCTGCAATCGGATTAGTCATTGTGATGATCCACAGGACTACAGGGTCCCTCTCCAGCCTCCCTCCCCAGCAGGTGTCTCTGCCATCCAGGCCCTCACCAGCTTGGCTTCCACCGGAGCTTGGGAAGGATTCTTTCTTTTTAATCAAGAAATGGCCCAGGGAGGAAGATGGCAGATGTGTGTTTACAGCTTTTCATTTCCCTCCTCGCCTCTTTGCAAATACCCTCTTCCAAAATGGAAAATAAATTTCCAACCCTGTTGACATGCATCGATTTTTCCCTCCTGCATCCACCTCTCAGCTCTCCCACATCAGCAGGGACTGTGGTTAAGACCCTTGCTGGGGCTGGGTTCCGGGGTGGCCCAGGGGAGCGGATGGCTTCGCGGCACACAGCAGCCAGCCGAGCTGCCCGCGCTTGCCCAGTGCCTGGCTTTGAGAAGGTTTGCAACCAACAGCTTCAGTACCTTCTGCCTGGGGGTTCCTGAATGGGCAGTGAGGTACGTAGTAGGGGAGGTCCTCTCATTAGGAGGTCGGGCATTTTCTGCATTTTCCCTTGATGGGACATGTGAAGAGGAGACCAGCGGGTCACGTGACTGCTCTAAGTTCAGCAAATGAACCATATGGGGTCTGCCCCAAGCGATCAACTTGGTCAGCAAGGGGCCTGCACCCAGGGCCCTTATGTCCTGCAAACAGGACCAGCTATGCAAAATGGGGCTTGGAGAGAGAGAGAGACTAAGTGGAAGGAAGACTTGAGCAAATTGTGTGGGGTTGAGCAGGGCTGGCAGCCTCCTGGTGCTGGCGCTGGCACCTGGAGAGGTGGTGGCCCAGGCAGACATGGCTCCAGGCTGCTTGTCTTACACCAGTCCTGTGCCTGAAAACAACTGCTGTCTCTTCCAGAGCGTGGCTGAGGAGGCGGGGGCCTGTTCCGTGAGACAGAGATGGAGTTGGCTGAGATTGGCTCTAAGCCCCTGACAGCCTTGTCAGAGACCACACTCTGGGATGGAGCCAGCCTCAGCCCCCAGGGCACTTTTTAGGAGGTGAAAAGTGCAGCAGTTAAAGGCAGCCCTGCTTCCCACCACACTGAGCATACACCCACCTCCCAGGCTGCCTGGCTCCCCTGCGCTTTCCCTCTTCCCCAGGCTTCACCCTGCAGTGTGGGGCTCCCCTCCCCACCAGGTTCCTCCCTCAGGCTTCAGAGCTGGCTGCCAGGCCCACAGACCAGGGGTCCTCTTTGCCTACCAGCAGTGAGCGCTTGGGAGGACGGGGGTGCTGGGGCTAGCAGGGACTGAGAAAGGAGTCCCCTTTCTCCCCTGGCAGAGTACATGCGGTCACCACATGCTATACCAGGGGAGAGAAAATGCTGTGCTGACCCAGCTCCTCTGTCGCTGGTTTGGATGTATCTGAGGACTGGCTGGAGCCATGCTCAGGATCGGCCAGATGTGGGAGAAGCCCTGCCCTACCACTCCCTGTGGATGGCCCAGGGAGGAGGAGGACTGTGCGAGGAGGCCGAGACTTCACTCTGGCCTCAGTTCTGTCACAGATGTGCCAAATGACCTGGGCAAGTCACTTCACTTCTCATCTGCGTCAGCATCTGTGGCACAGGAGGGGAGGGTCTGCTCTAGTGACCTCACTGGGCGTGTACGGCTCTAATGAGAAAAGCAAGTGGGGGGCTTTAAGAAGCAGAACCCGCACTGGACACACACGTGAAACTGGGTAAAAAAATACGCTTTGCTGCCTCTGCTGTCTTTAGCAGCGGAGGGCCCTCCAGGAGCGGGGCTGAAATGTCTCTCCTAGCTCCAGCTACTCCATGCCAACCTGGGGGCAGAGCCTTGGCTGATGCCATTTAGGGTGGACTCAGTGCCGAGGGGCATGGCAGGTGGGCTTGGGGGATGGAGAATGCCCGGCCAGGTGCTGCCACGCCACCACTCTGTGTGGATGCCAATGGGGGGCCTGGAGGAGTCTCAGGCACCGGCACACAGGCCCGCTCTGCCCGGCTATGAAGAGGGGACAGGGCTTGGAGACTCGTCCTTGGCACTAGGTGCTGGCAGCTGGCCTTGACCTGCCTGTGTCCTGAAGTCCAGCCCTGAAAGCCTGGAAGACCCACCCTAGTTCCCAGGAAGGGGTCTCCCCGAGCTACCCTCCAGCGTGACGAGATAGCACTGAGCCCTGCAGACCACAGGAGAGTGGCTGTCCTTTGAGAGCTGCTGGCCGGCGGGCCAGAGCCACATCTGCTTCTCATTCAAATGTCCAAATGTAATTAAATTCCCTACGACGCAGCGGAAGAGTTTGGTAAGATGTGGCTTTCCCCTTTTCCATCAAGGTTAAGAAATCACAGTCTCTCATTCCACAGGCAGACGCGCGTTCCTCCCTGCCACTGGTCCGTCCTATTCTGCAAAGGCAAAGGCCTGTGCTCTTATCTGTTTTCTAGAGCTTATGGGGCTGGGGCCAGCATGGGATACACGGATCTCCCCCACCCCCGTGTTCCATTTACCCACCTGAGAGGATTAACAGCTGAGGCCAAAGCTGCGGGCTTGCAGCCGAGCAAGACAGTGTGCTGGGGGTTCAACAGGGGTGGGGGTGGTGAGTTAGTGCCCCTACTCCTTCTGAAAGTGTCTCCCTGACCCTGAGGAGACAGCACTGTGCCCAGGCTCACCTCAGTGACACACCAGTGTCCTTCCACTGCTGGGATGTGAGGGTGTCATAATACCCTGCTGAGGAGACCCCGGCTTGCTTTGTAGCTCCTCACAGTAGGAAGTGCTTGAGGGTTACGATTCTGGAGTCTTTGGGACAAGGACCTCCCTGTACCTGGCCTGGCCCGGCCCTACAGCCCAGGACACGGTGAGGCCCTTCCCCACCTCTTACTTCTCACCTTGGGGCCCTGGGACTGCGGCAAGGAGGCGCCCCTCTCCCCGCCCCCTCCCTGTACACGAAGGAGGAGAGGTATGAGAGATGGTGGAGGAATCCGTCTAACAGACAAGGCCCAGAGTGGTGCCTGGCCCTCTCCAAGAATCTCCAGGACCTCCATGTCTCTCAGGACTGTTTGCCACTTCTGGCCTGGAAGGGCTCTGGACAGCTGAAGGGACAGCAGGGTCCAAGGTGCAGTCCTCTGTGAGAGGGGGTGCCCTGTTTCAGGCTTCAGTGCCTCTGCCCCTCGGCCTCCTGCCCAGGACTTCCCCATATCCAAATCCAGGCAGAATGGTCCCTGGAGGGCTGCTTTTCCCGGCTTCCCTTCCCACTGGAGGATCTTCTGTTCATGGTTTCTTTCAGTTCATGGCATTTATGACTTTCATGGTAATGGTTCCATTCACCTTCCCCTATGCCAATTTTTCTAATCATTGTGGTACAGGCTTTATGAGAGTTTCTTTCTTTCTTTCCTTCTTCCTTTTTTTTTTTGGAGGCAGGGTCTTGCTCTTTCACCCAGGCTGGAGTGCAGTGGTGCAATCTCAGCTCACTGCAACCTCCGCCTTCTGGGTTCAAACAATTCTCCTGGCCAGGCGCGGTGGCTCACGCCTGTAATCTCAACACTTTGGGAGGCCAAGGTGGGTGGATCACCTGAGGTCAGGAGTTCGAGACCAGCCTGACCAACATGGTGAAACCCCATCTCTACTAAAAATGCAAAAAATTAGCTGGGTGTGGTGGCGGGTGACTGTAATCCCAGCTACTGGGGAGGCTGAGGCAGGAGAATCCCTTGAACCTGGGAGGCGGACATTGCAGTGAGCTGAGGTCGTGCCATTGCACTCCAGCCTGGGCAACAAGAGTGAAACTCTGTCTCAAAAAAAGAAAAAAAAAAGCCAAAAAACAAAAACTGATTCTCCTTCCTCAGCCTCCCAAGTAGCTGGGATTACAGGCACGCGCCACCATGTCTGGCTAATTTTTGTATTTTTAGTAGAGATGGGGTTTCACCATGTTGGTCAGGCTGGTCTCAAACTCCTGACCTCAGGTGATCCACCCTCCTTAGCCTCTCAAAGTCCTGGGATTATAAGCGTGAGCCACCGCGCCCGGCCCCAGGCTTTATGAGAGTTTCTTAATAAGTGGGGGTATTTTTCATTTTGAAACAAGCTGTCCTGAAAGTTAATGACTTATTGCGGCTGTGGCTGCTACCCAGAGACCAATGAAGGTTGGGGAGAGGATGACCAGTTGGGGATAGGAGAGAATTTTCTAGATTAATAATGCTGTGCTGAGGTTGAGGTCCCTTTAAGACTCCTGGCCAGCTCCTGTGTTAGAGTCCCACATGCTGCTCACAGCAACCCTACCAGAGAACCAGAACCACATACAGGCACACATGGCATCTGCGTGCTGAAGAATGCTGGCCCTGGGGACAGGCACACACACGCAAGTTGGTGTGAACCAACCAATCCCAATGTCACTGACCTGGCTCTAAACAGGAAGAGCTTTTTCGGTTTCCAGATGGTAAACCTGAGTTTAGTAATAGATTTAACTTCTCGGTGGCATTTAGCGTCTGGTAGCCTTGACATCAGTGAACAAGGTTTGAAGTTAAATAACCCAGTTCTTGGTCTAGTGTTCTAGGCCAAGCCTAGCCAAAGGAATGGTGTTGGGGCACGGCCTCTGTTGCCCTCTTTGGGGTCCCAGCCTGTGTCTCAAGCCCACACGCCGCGGCTGGGAAAGGATCACAGTCTCAGCTAATTGTGGTGGTGCCGCCGCCCGTCCAGATGGAAACGGCCTGGCTGATGCCGGTCTGCCTTTGTGCGGTGCTCACAGACTGGCTGCTGGTGCCGGGGCTCTATTCATTATTCAATTCAGCTGGCTCAGGCGAGCCTTTCCATTTGCTCCTCCAGGAGGAATAACAAATCTAGAAATGCAATTCCACTTTGGTGTATTAAGATATCGATTTGCCTGTCGGGTGGAAGTGCATTTGTTCTGTCAGTCCTCCCGTGGGTAGGAAGGGGTTAACCAAATGTTTATCACAAGGCTGGCTTCAGAGTTGAAAGTAATGTGATCAGTAATGAATTTTGTGTTACATTAGGTTGTATAAATGGACAGACAAGCGCAGACAACAAGTGGCCAGGAGTCGGGGCTAATCTAATGATGTAAAAATAGAGACAGCACCAATTATACTAGGGGCCAGCTCCAGGCTCCTGCAGGGACTGCAAATGAATAGGTACAAATCAAATTACTCACTAATAGACGCACTACAAGAGGGGCAGTCAATGGTAAATGCATTAGAGCCTAGTGACCTCCCTGCTCTGCACAGCAGAGTCCGAAAATTTCACTTCCATCTTCAAAGTGGGGGGCAGGGAGTGGCGTTCTCAAAGAAACTCTTGTTGGGTGAAGGATGACAACCACTCCCCATCCCAAACCAGTCCCCTTCCAGAAGAGACCTCCCATCTGAGCTGACCCCTGCCCTCCCTAGAGTGCTCCTGGGCCTGGGCACGAGGGGGTAGGAGGGCACCCTCTTGAGGGACAAAAGAAGCAACGGGACAACCCCTTCCACATAGGCAAAGATAGGACGTTACATACCAAAACACTTCACTGCCACGTGTCTCTCAGGGGGGAAGGTTTTTACTGCTACG
This sequence comes from Homo sapiens, assembly GCF_000001405.40. Taxonomy (NCBI): domain Eukaryota; kingdom Metazoa; phylum Chordata; class Mammalia; order Primates; family Hominidae; genus Homo; species Homo sapiens. The sequence continues at coordinate 61,380,518 of NC_000017.11, read as the reverse complement.
TCAAGGGCTGTGTCTGTATTGAAAATAAAATATTCCTTTAAAGCGGATCACAAACTGGACCTTTAAGAGAGCAGGAAGAGCTGAGATCAAAGTGAGTCGATACCCAAATCTGGTTTGACCACTGAGAGCTTTGCGGGGGTGTTCATGGTCTGTTCCCAGGCACAGCACATCTAGGGTTTTACAGATTTCTCACTAGCCTAAACTGGTATCATCCTTCCCTCTCTCCCTCCTCCCCAGTCCAGCTGCCTGAGTTCCTACACTCCTGCCTGCTGCACAGGGCTGGGGTAGGGAATGATGTAGAGAGAAAGCCGGCATCCTGGGTAACCCCTCAGATTTTCTTCCTCCTCTCAGCTTCCGTGGATTTAGAAACCAGGTCTGAAGTTCAAAGCTGCATGGCAGTGTGTGGTTGGGCTGCTTAGAGAAAGGTCACAAAGACCAGCTCAAGGGCACTAACCACAGGATCCTACTCAGCTCTCAGTGGTCGGGGATGGATAACGCATGAAACCGAGAAACTCCAGGCCTTATAAGGCCCCAGCCCAGGCTCGTACTCCACCAACCCACCCCTCGGGTCAGCACCAAACAGTCACACACACCAGCATGGAGATGGCACGCTGGCCCTGGCCAACTGGAGCTGGGAGATGATGGGAACATTCCAGGAAAACGAACACAGCGGGCGTGGAATGGAAAAGTCATCCTGAACAAATGACACGACTGGATGGCGCTTCTCCCAAAACTCAATGAAGGGTGCAGAGGGGTGGAACTGCAAGCTAGCGGGCTACACCCCATAAAACATATGTGGGTAACAGGGGAGGGCTGCGAAGCCTGGTGCTGGGGGATTTTGCCAGCAAATTAAAAAATGTCTTATGCAGTGGGCCGGCAGGTCCCCGGGGGCAGGGGTGACGTGGGAGGAGGAGTGGGCAGGAAGAAATAAGTAAAAGGCCAAGGCTGGAAAGCTGTTTCCGGGATGGGCTCCAAAATGCCTTCTTCTACTAGGGAACTTCACTTCTCCGTTAAGTTCAATCGGATGGGCTTGGCTTGGCCTTCTTGGTACAGTGCTCTATGGCTTCTAGGAGCCAAGATTCTGGATTCCTAAAGGGTCAGAGGGTCATTGCCAACTTTCATTTTCTGTGAGCAAGTGTGTCTCCCTCTCTCAGCAGCCACCACATCCAGGGGGTGGCCTCCACATCTCGGGCCATGTTTCGAGAAGGCAGAGGGGCAGAGGCAAGGGCAGAAGGGAAAGGTGGGAATTTAACCATCCATGACCGCGTTCAACTTTGTTCAGAATCTCACGCCTCACAGAAAGGTCAGTGGTTAACAGTCAATACTGTGGCAGAGGAGGAGGAACAGGGAGAAATCCTCCCTTTTGTTAACCATTTACCTATGTTGATGCTTCCAGAGGAGAGCCTGGCTCTGGGGGTCCAACAGCCCTCCCCCAGCCCCTCAGTCCAAGCCTGTGCCTATCCACAGTAATTCCTGCTTTCATGTTGGGGCAGCACCTGGAGAGGGGACTCTGAAGGGTCACAGAGGTCGCACTGGCACTTCCTCCTTGTTGATAGGAATCACTGTGCCTTGGTGAAAGAGTTGAAAAGTCACTTTAGACAACTAAGAAATATGCAGAGGAGAGTCTCAGCCCAAACTCCCATTACAGCTCTGCCCCTGGCGGGGCTTCCAGTAGCCTTAGTGACGAAGGTGGGGTGGGGGAAATGATCTACCCAGAATCAGATTTGAGACCTGGCCAGAAATTAACAAGTGTGACTTTTAATCAATAACTATTCCCATTGCTTTGACTGGCTTTCATTTACCTCTCAGGGGCCACAGAAACCCATCCAGTCACTCAACAAACATTAACTGAGGCTCAGCCTGGCTCTCCTTCCAGTGCTGGTTGCTGGGCAGGGAGAAGGCTGGTGGTTGGGGATAACAAAGATGGTTCAGACTCAGTTCAAAGAACCAGTAGTGGGTCAAGACACTCGTGGGAGTATGGGTGAGGGAGGGGCTGAAGGGACCACCAGGGCCGGCCCTTTTCCAATGGCAAAACGAAGGGAATTGGTGAGCAAGTTAATGGAAAAGGCAGCATACACTCTTTGCCCAGGGCCAAGTATCCAGCAAGTCGGTGGTGCAGAAATTCAGAGACAGAGAGAGTTGCACACATTTGGCTTCATGGTCAGGGAAAGCAACACAGAGGAGGTGAGATTTGAGCTTGGCCTAAGACGACGACTGGGCAGGATGGGAGGGCAGCGGTCCTGAGGGGTGACCAACATGCACCAGGGCCAGGTAACAGGGTGCATGCTGGGGATGCTGGGATCCTATATTGGCAAGAAGGTGGAGGAGGTGAAATATGCAGAGGTTACTGCAGAAGGGGTGGGAGGTCAGGCTGGAAGGGAAGGTGGGGAAGGCCTGTAAGAGACAGAAACATGATGGCAAGGAGCCTGGGTGCAATGTGCAGGCCTGGACACTTTCTGAGCAGGGAAGTGCAACGGCAGTCAAGGCAGGCCCTGCTAGTGACAGTCCCCTTCCTCTGCTGGATCCCTACTTATTCTGAATAAAAGGTGAGAATAACTGATAAAACTCCAACCCTTCAGACCATGGGAGACCGGCAGGATCTTAATAACTGGAACCTCTTCCCAAATTTCTTATTTTAATCCCACATCTTTTAGTTATACTCTCACTTCAAATCTTTCGTTTCCTCCTTTGTAAACTGGAGAGGGGAAGGTCTACCTGGCAGTGCTCTGACAATTAGAGGACATTTATGTGGCAGGCAGAGTCTTAGGCGTACAAGTCCCACGGGAGGTGTGGCCACTGCTATCGTGGAGAGGAGTAAAAGAGAGAGACCGAGTGCTCCCTGCAGCAGCCAGGACATCAGAGTTACAGGAGGCCAACGATTACTACATTTACTAGCTCCTCCTCCCCACACTGTGTCACAGAGGAAGAAACTGGCCCAGAGAGGGAAAGGCACTTGCCCAGGGTCACAGGTTTACCCCATTGCTTGATGAGGGCTTCAAATCCCATCGAAAAGGGGAAAAAAACACCACATTCTTCCCAATAGCGGGAGCTTGGTGCTGGGAACTGAAAGGACTCTCAGATTTGGCCTCTCCTGCCAGTGGAAAATAGCTAGGAATAGGCAATCCGACACTGAACCGAGACACAAATAGCAACACCAACAACACCACCCCTGCCGAGGCCACCGGCTGTCCCACAGTCTCGCTGGCGCAGCTGCTCCCTCTTGTCCCGAGTAGGGATGCTTGTGACCTGCTGGTGGGACTGGGCTCTCTATCTGGTGGCCCTGTGCCTCTGGGGACACTTTCTTCTCTCACCCTCAGCAATCAGGGCATTAGGCACTGGGGAGTTCCAGCTTTGCCTCCGCATCCTAGAAAGACCATGCCCTGTGGGCAGGGGAGCACTCCTGACTTCCACTTGGTCCAGCTCAGCTAGGGAGGCCCAGCGGGAAGCTGGGGGTAGAAGTCAGAGAGAAACAGACCCACCGTTCAGTATTGTGGCCTCCTCTGGGGCTTTAATCTCTTTGAGGGTAGGAAACTTGTCTCTCTTATTTTTCTCCAGCCTATTGGGGAAGAAACTGGCAGATACCGATGGAGACCCTGCCTGCCCCAACCACAGAAAGAACACGTTGGGCCACTGATGAGGTCATTAAGAGAAGACACTGAGAGAACTTTTGTAGATGCTGTAGAAGGAGGAAAACTCCAGGGCCCAATTAGATAAGGCAGAGGAAAAGCCCTAGGTTCTGGCTAAGTTGCTTGGGTGATAGCATTTGCTGAGACAGGTGCAATTTTAGGAGCACTGGGCAATCAGAGATATTACCCAGAGAAGCCTAGAGACTTTGGCAAGAGAGCCAGACCAAGCCAGAAGCTATGGCTTGCACAGATGAATCACCCTTGTGCATCTTGAGAAGGGGACCCAGGAAGTTGGAGAGGTAAGGCTTGGAGGAAAAAATTAAAAGACAAGACTGGGTCTCATGGGCGGCCACACTGGGGATCCTGGAGAGGAGAGCGATTCCTACTTTCAGGAGGCCGAAAGACTAACCCTTCCTGGGTATCTGGGGTAAATACCAGTTTGCCTGATAGAGTGGCTGTAGGAAGAGGAGAGAAGATTCTCTGGAAAGATCAAAGCAGCTTGGTGGTTGTGTGTGGTAGGGAAGCAGGGAATGTGACCTATGGGGCTATGAGCCACGATGGCCCTGTGAAGGCAGCATCTTCAGCTCACACAACCTCCGGGTTTGCTTAGGACAGGAACAGTGTGGCTAACCCAGGACCCATAAAGGAGGCTCACCTTTCACTTAGAATCAGAGAATCTCAGGTTTGGGAAAGGGACCTGAGAGGCCCACATAACACATGTAAATGTCACTTCTCCAGCTTTCTGGGGCAACACTGTCAGTTCCTATTTCCATGGCCTTGCAATGAGTTGGGCCAGTAGGATGCATCTATCTACCCCTAGGGCTGGACTGGATAAAGTTCTCTCTAAATTGCAGATTTTAAAAATATGTGGGATGCAGAAAATTCTAACCACCACCACATCTTCTGAAATGTCTGCAAAGTCAAATGTGGTCAACTACTTTCTGTAGCGAATACTGATAAATCAATTATCTGCTTTTAAAATGAGACTGACCAGAGAGTAGGGATGGCTAAAAGATAATTGGCCCGGTGTGGTGGCTCATGCATGTAATCCCAGCACTTTGGGAGGCCGAGGTGGGTGGATCACCTGAGGTCAGGAGTCTGAGATCAGCCTGGCCAACATGGTGAAACCCTGTCTCTACTAAAAATTCAAAAATTAGCTGGGCATGGTGGCGCATGCCTGTAATCCACGCTACCCAGGAGGCTGAGGCAGGAGAATCGCTGGAACATGATGGGAGGTGGAGGCTGCAGTGAGCTGAGATTGTGCCATTGCACTCTAGTCTGGGTGACAGAGTGAGACTCCATCTCAAAAAAAAAAAAAAAAAAGATAATTAACACATGGTACTGGTGCCTACAATTATTGTCATCTGATCATGTGGCAACCTGGTATGGGATGGGGCTAATATGATCCCTATTGGAAATGTAGCCTTAGATTGAAAAAGTTCCCAGCCCTCCATACTGACCCAGGCAGGAGTTCCAAGGCCCTTTGGAAGAGCTGATTCTAGAGGCAGGAGAGGGGTCCAATACACTGAGATATTTGGATTAGTTATTTGGTACATATCTGATTGACTCCAGTAAAAACAGCTCATATTTGTTGGGAGCTTACTTTTTACAGTCTTAAAATGAAAGACTTTATTAGTACACACACACACACACACACACACACACACACACACAAATAGTGCTTTTAGGTCATCTTTTGCAAAACATAGCAATCAACAAATATTTGTTATTAACTTGCTGAAACCATCCCGTGATCACTTAAAAACTGCCTAATGTTCAAAGTGTTCTTTTTATGTTAACAAGAGAAAAAGAAAGGCGCAGCCCTTTCAGTACATAAAAGTAGCTTCTGACAGAAATCTTTGGAAGAGCTTTAGTTGAACATAATCTTAAAGCCTTTTCTGCAGAGTAATTAATACATAAATGGGAAAACTCAGAGGATTTAGGTGAACAAGCTAGAGCATTGATTTTCAAAGCGCAGATTGCCATTCACCAATGTATTGTGAAATCACTTTAGTGGGTCACGAGTGCATTTTTTAAAAAATGAAATAAAATAGAAAGTACAAGATAATTCTTAGAATAATAGAAGAAAAGGAAGTACTAGAATGCACTGGCCGTAATATTGTTTTGTGAAGGGTTATAGATGTGGGTGAACTAGGTCAGGAAGTAAAATATGTATATGACAGAAGGTAAGAGGCAAAGACTGAGCCCACTATGTTATCCCCAAGAATAACTACTTCTGGCTAGGGCAGAGACTGTTAAAGAGACGGCAGGCAGGAAAAGATGAAGCCTTTTCCTATCTTTAATGCTGTCACTGTAAAGAAGAATCAGTGAGCCCGGGGCCGCAGGAAGGAACAGTCACGGGGAACAGACAGTCTCCCGGACCCTGAGAGCTGACTCTGTGAGCACTTAAGAGTCAACAGCAGGCCGGGTGCAGTGGCTCATGCCTGTAATCCCAACACTTTGGGAAGCTGAGGCAGGCAGATCACTTGAGGTCAGGAGTTTGAGACCAGCCTGGCCAACATGGTGAAACCCTGTCTCTACTAAAAATACAAAAATTAGCCGAGTGTGGTGGCATATGCCTGTAGTCCTAGCCACTTGGGAGGCTGAGGCATGAGAATTGCTTGAACCCTGGAGGCAGAGGTTGCAGTGAGCCGAGATCGTGCCACTGCACTCCAGCCTGGGTGACAGAGAAAAAAAAAAAAAAAGGAAGTTAACAGCAGCAAACAGATACTCAGATACTCCTGCAACAGAGATGCATCAAGAATACTTTAAATGGGGGCCAGGAACTGCGGTTCATGCCTGTAATCCCAGCACTTTGGGAGGCTGAGGTGGGCAGATCACTTGAGGCCAGGAGTTTGAGACCAGCCTGGCTAACATGGTGAAACTCCGTCTCTACTAAAAATACAAAAATTAGCTGGGCATGGTGGCGCACGCCTGTAGTCCTAGTCGCTCAGGAAAGGGCCCCAGGAGAGGAGGCTGAGGCATGCGATTCGCTTGAACCCATGAGGTGGAGGTTGCAGTGAGCCGAGATCGCACCACTGTACTCCAGTCTGGGTGACAGAGCAAAAAAAAAAAAAAAAAAAACAAAGAAGAAGAAGAAGTTAACAGCAGCAAACAGATACTTCCTGCAACAGAGATGCATCAAGAATACTTTAAACAGGGGCTGGGCATCGTGGTTCATGCCTGTAATCCCAGCACTTTGGGATCACTTGAGGCCAGGAGTTCGAGACCAGCCTGGCCAACATGGTGAAACCTCGTCTCTACTAAAAATACAAAAATTAGCTGGGCATGTTGGCACACGCCTATAGTCCTGGCCACTCAGGAAAGGGCCTGAGGAGAGGAGGCTGAGGCATGAGAATCGCTTGAACCCATGAGGTGGAGGTTGCAGTGAGCCGAGATCGTGCCACAGCACTCCAGTCTGGGTGACAGAGAAAAAAAAAATGTTAACAGTAGCAAACAGATACTTCCTGCAACAGAGATGCATCAAGAATACTTTAAATAGGGGCCAGGCACCATGGTTCATGCCTGTAATCCCAGCACTTTGGGAGGCTGATGCGGACAGATCACTTCAGGCCAGGAGTTCGAGACCAGCCTGGCTAACACGGTGAAACCCTGTCTCTACTAAAAAATACAAAAATTAGCCAGGCATGGTGGTGGGTATCTGAGTCCCAGTTACTCGGGAAGCTGAGGCAGGAGAATTGCTTGAACCCAGAGACGGAGGTTGCAGTGAGCCGAGATCATGCCACTGCACTCCAGCCTGGACAACAGAGCGAAACTCCGTCTCAGAAAAAAAAAAAAAAGGAATACTTTACACACGGATCTGGACCCATGCATAAGGCCTGGGCTTTTGATATCAGATGTGTGAGAGCACTAAAAAGAAAGACAAGGTGCAGCTACAGTTATTGAAAGAGTTAAAGTCGAAAGAGAAAATGTACTTAATATGTACACAGGTGTTTATTTAAAAAGCTTTTTTACTGGTATTAAGTTATATCTTTACCTAGACACAAAACAGTTGGAATAAGTCAATGTTTTGTTTACTTTAAAAATTCTATTTTTCTAGAAAAGGCAATATTGAAAGGAATGTCTGCTAAGCAGGAATTAGTCAAGTTATTTTGAGGGGGGTAACAGAGAGAGGAGGGGGCTTTGAGAGACAGCATTCCAGGCAAAAGGAAAAGTATGCACAGAAGCCTCGCGGGCAAGAGACTGCGTATGCTCGGGGACCCTCTGGGAGTTTAGCTTGGCTGGAGCTGGCCCAGGGCAGCAAGAGATGAGTCTGGAGCGAGGGCAGTGGCTGGTCTCAAAGGGCTTTGGACACCGGGATGGGGAAACTCGAGAGAAGGAAAGGGCCCGAAGAGAGGAATTCAGTTCGTAGACATGTGGATATGTCAATAGGTAGCTGAATAGATGGTTCTGGAGATCAGGAGACAAAGCCAACTTGGAAATTATTTGGAAATCATCAGTTTATGGATAGTAATTGGAGACACGGAAGCAGAGATTGCCAGGTACTGAGAGAGAAGAGACCAGGGCCAAGACAAGGCCTTGAGAAATACGCCTAAGGACGACAGAAGAAAAGGACTGAGAAGTAGCCAGAGGCTGAGTAAGAATTCATCGTCTCTGCGTCTCTATTGCAGACACTGCGCTAGGCACTGTCTTTTGCTGCAAAAGATGGGTGCAAACTGAGAATGGGGGCGGGGCTATGAGGAAAACACAGAGCAGGCTCCAGTGGAGAGTGGAGACCATGGATCTGTAGAGGCACCAATTGGAATAATAAGTGCTCTTTCTTCAGGAACCCAGGTGTGAGAGCAGAGTTGGATTGAGCTCGAATTGGAGTTTGCCGAATGGAAAGATGGAAGGGTGACGGGGCAAGGGGCAGAAGGATATTAGCAAAAAGGCAGTTCAGCCAGTTGTCTTAGAACTGGACTTGCAAATCACATAGGTGATTGAATTCAACTATTTGGTCGGCATCCATCACGGACCAAAGAACTGCCATCTGTCTTATAAGTTAACCATAATTTAAAACTGACCTTCTCAAACTTCAGCATGCGCAGGGATCCTGCTGAAATGCAGACCTCGGCTGAGCAGGGCTGGGCATGGCCTGAGGCTTTGCATTTCTCACCGGCGCCTGGCTACGGATGCTGCTGTGGGTCTGAAGACCACACTTTTAAAAAAATATATATTTTTTAATTGACAAATAAAAATTATATATATTTATCATGTACAACATGGTGTTTTGAAATATGTATACATTTGGAATGGCTAAATCGAGCTAATTAACATGCATTACCTCACATACTTAACATTTTTTGTGTCGAGAACACTTCAAATCTGCTCTCTGAGTGATTTTCAAGAATACATTGTTATTAACTAGAGTCACCATGCTGGACAATACATCTCTTGAACTTATTCTTCTCATCTGACTGAAACTGTGTATCCTTTGACCAAAGCTATCCTTCAACCCCCAGACCACTCTGAATAGTGAGGTTTGAAAAGGTTTCACTTTACTTTGTGGGGAGCTGACCTGCCCTAGGGTACAGCTTACCAACCAGGTGCTGGAGTGCACAGACTGTTACATCTCCAGAACCTCTGTTAGCTAGCTGACACTGTGTGACAGGTTGAAATTGGCCATAATAGGAGTTTTTACATTACAGAAATCCACAAATCAAGGCTGGCTACACCTATGTAACAGTGAGGCGTGCTATAGAATAGGCTTCTGTGTCAGGGATCATGAGAGCAAGTTTTCAGTTGCTCTCTGTGCTTCATTCATACTTTGATAAAGAGGCCATGGGTCCCAATTGCTGTGTCACATGTGGTGCCTGCTGCAAAGCATTAAGGGAACTGACTTAGCTCTGGTGCATCAGAGGACCTATCAGAGGCAAACACTTGGGGATACCTCATTTGTCCTATAAGCCACCTAGAGAAGTAGAGTTGTGGGAAGAAAGAGGGGGACTGAGATGTTGCTATAGGCAAAGAGTGGCTTGCTGGAAATTCTTACCCACGTTGCACTGTATTTCCCCAACTACCTCCGGGCAGTAGGCTGACCTGGGCACGGGTGTACCAGGGTGCCCTTTCAAAGTCCTGGGCTGCACTACCAGGCTGATGCTTTACCTCTAGTTGGAAAATGTGAAAAGTGATTCTCAGCCATGGAAACTGGGTAACTTCCATAACATCTGCTTTGCTTACTGGCCTTTAAAATGGGAGTAGTTTTAGGCTGGGCATGGTGGCTCACGCCTGTAATCCCAGCTCTCTGGGAGGCCGAGGCAGGCGGATCACGAGGTCAGGAGTTCAAGACCAGCCTGGCCAACATGGTGAAACCCCGTCTCTATCATAAACGCAAAAATTAGCTGGGCGTGGTAGCGGGCGCCTGTAATCATAGCTACTCAGGAGGCTGAGGCAGGAGAATTGCTTGAACCTGGGAGGTGGAGGTTGTAGTGAGCCAAGATTGTGCCATAGCACTCCAGTCTGGTGACAGAGCAAGACTCCGCCTTAAAAAAAAACAAAAAAAGAACAAGTTTTTTCTTAAAAATAAAACATACATCGAATATGGTCAGAGAAAACCAACTAAATTCCTTTTGGTGACAGTTTGGGGAGGACAATGAAATCCCTCTGCTAAAAAAAAAAAAAGGGAGTCTCCTATTTTCTGACCTGTGGGTCATGCAGTTTTAATTTCCTCTACCTTTTTTTCTTTCTCTTTTTTTATTCTTTTTAATTTCATGAAACTGCTTAAGGCCACAAAGCCTCTCCTGAATCCCTCAGCTGTCTGGCAGATGCATTGCTGCCAGGGCTGTGCAGGTTACTATGCCAGGCTGAAGTTCCACAGCTGTGACTCAATGCACCTTCAAATCCTCTTGCCGGATGACAGTGAGATGCTCCAAGGGGCTCCTGAGAAGGCGGTGGGAGAGAAGAGCCACCCGGGAGCTCCTCCAGGCCTCGGAAGAGGGAGGCTGCCGGGGATGGGTCCAGTGGCACCGGGCTCCGGTTTATGTGAGCCGAGGCTGGCTAGGGACCCCAGAGATGCAGGCAAAAGCCTGTGCCGTAAGCCACATTCCTCACTTAGGCCCCCTTCCAGGGGAAGCGAAGTCAAGCCCTGGTAAATGCTTCTCATCTCTGGGTCCAGCTGGGAGAACAGTGGCATGATGACATGCTACCCATGTAGCCAAGCTCCCCCTCTTCCTCCCTTGCACCTATCGTTTCCATCCTGTTCATTTGCCAGTTATTACAGGAGCACCACGGGCAGGCCACACAGCTAGTGCTGTGGAGATGACACGTCTTAGTGAAGGAACGGAGGGACCGGCATGGGGATGGATGAGGGAAACGCCTGACCATAAACCTAAACATCTAAAGATCTGGAGGAGCCACGGGGAAGTGGGACTGTGTGATGATGTCAGACATTTCAAGCCCTGCCTCAGTGCTCTGACTCTGAATCTTGCTGGTCCTGATCAGCGCCTGCCCCATTGTTGTAAGTTTCTCCTTACTGGGGTTCTTTGCAGGGAGGCATGTGGAACGGGAACGGAGCAGTGCACAGCAGAGTGACAGAGTCTTGAGAGGACTCAGGCAAGCAGGAGAGAAAAGGCCTCTAGCCAGAGTCAGCTGCACCCAACAGAAAGTTCCCTCTGAAAGGAGGGAAGAGGCCTGCTGGGGCAGCCTCTGTCAGCACAAAAGCAGGGCTAGGGCAGTCACTAACAGCACAGCTATCTAGAACAAAGAAGGGTTTTGGAAAGAAGAGGCAGGCTGTATTACAGCTGTACTGGAGATGGATGATTGGTGGCTTTCCTGAGTGCATGTTGTGTGTGTGTGTTTGCGTGTGTGCGCACATGAACATGCACTTGCCTGGGCCAGGGCTCCCTCATCATTTAAGGATGTCTTCTGATTGCTCTGGGATGCAGGAAGCCACCCAGACCCTAGTTGCTGGACTCGCTCAGAGGCAAGAATGCAAGGCCAAAGGCAGCATGAGGAAAAGCTGGTAGGGGCTGAAACCAGCCCAGCCTGCTTCATGCTTACTCCGCTCAGGTTGGCAGGCCCTACTGAGACTTGCCAATCTCTAAGTCTCCAGCGTGTCTGAAGAGGTACAACCTGAGGACTCAGTGCCTGAGCGCTGCTGGAAGACGTGGGGACACCCCCAAAGGAGGAAAGTGTCCTTCTGGGAGCCACTTGCACAGTGGTGTTGATCATGGCAATCCTGCATGTGGTATTCCACGTGGGAGGGGCAGTTCCACTGGGAGCTCCCCTTTACACAGGGTTTCCCAACACCAGAGCTCCTCAGACGGATAGCCACTGGAGTGCTAACTAAAGAAACCAACAGCAAAAACAAACATATGCCCACAAACGATTCCAGAGAAGCTCTGCACCAACAGGTGCTGGTCCTGACCAAATCAGGCTAGAAGTCTGATGACACCTTTACCTGTTCCGGATCCCACGACGTCCCGGCTAGGTGACTCGGCCATGGCGTCGGCAAGTCGCTCCCGGAGGCCCTCCTCCGTGTGCTCCATGGAGGACATGTGCCGCAGCCCGAAGCCCTCAGGCCAGCTCCCGCACACCTCCAGCAGGGTCACGCTCCTGTCAAAGGTACCTGTGGCACACACGGGACATCTGACGTTGAGTCCACACCTTCAGGGAGCAGGCCATTCTTGTCTACCTCCCACCCGCTCCTCTCCATACCCAGGGTCCATTGTAGCCTTCCTGTAGGATGGAAGCACGCCGCCAACAGACTGGGTAGCGCAGGAGAAATAGCTCATGCCGCTGAGAGAGTGCAGACCTCTGGAGTGACTTCCGTGACACTGAGGCTGGTGGTTTTACAACTGTTTCTGAGGAGCTACAGGGTTCCCCTGGTCTTCAGGGACCACCTTAAGAAGTGGGACGGGGAAGGCAACCCCCTTCCCAGGTTCAACCCAAACGGATCCCTACTTTCCTCTTTTTGATACAATGGGATTCCATCTACAATTTCATTTAGGGCGGGGAGTGGTGCCTTACACCTGCAATCCCAACACTTTGAGAGGCCAACGCGGGAAGATTGCTTGAGGCCAGGACTTTGAGACCAGCCTGGGCAACAGCGCGAGACCCTGTCTCTACAAATAAATAAATAAATAAATAAATAAATTTTCATTTAAAGAAGGGGTTATATAGCCTAATGTTTTTAAAGCTTTCTTAACCATTATATTCTATAACCTATAACCAACTTCCTCATTTTATAGTTGGAGCTCAGAGAAGTTATGGCCCAAGATGGAAGAGCAAGTCTGTGGCAGACGAGGTCCAAGAACTCGCTCTCCTGATGCCTCAGTTGAGAACACGTTCTACTTCACTACCTGGTCTCCCAGCTACCCAAGGGCATATGAACAACCAGGGAATTACTTTGGGGGATACCAGCAAGGAGGTGGGTGATAGCATCTTCGGCAAGGGTCTGTCCTTAAGCCAAAGCTGCTCCCCAATTCCAAAACGTCTGTGGTGTTCTGCTGAACGCTAAGATTAGATCTTACATGTGAGATCACTTCAAAGTCCGAACTTGAATTATTCTACTTTATTATACAGCAAGTCTTCTGTGAAAGCTTATTTCATCCACTCTCTCTCGGAAGGAGATTATAGTCACGCTCTGTTGCTTTAAGCACATACCATTTCCCCAGCGATTAGGTAACTGAATCCACTGCATTTATTGGGCTTGGTTCCTGCCAGCATCGGGAAGATGGGGAAAAAATGCAAATGCCAACGTTTCCCAAAGTTAAAAGTACACGAAACACGCACTCTTTATCAGGCCTTGCTTCTCCTCTTTGATCAGCCGTCAGAAACTATCTTCGCCAGGCAGTGAGGGCTGGGCAGTGTCAGCACACACTCCCTGCCAATGACAGGTGGTAATAGAGAGGGTGCGAGCCCCAGCCTCGGCAGGCGGTCCTGCCTCTGATAATGGCCACAGCATTGAGGTGATAACCGTTAGTAAACACTCCGACAGCCGGTGACTCCATACATCAGCAAAGAGGGCCAGATAATCCTGAACTCTCCTGGCCAGACAAAGGCCCTTGGCCAGCCTGCTGCGATTTATATGTGTGGCAAGGGTCACTACTGGCTCCTGAATTTCGTCAGCCAAGTTTGGCTTTGATTTATCTCGTACCTAATTGTAGGGAAGATTCCTGGCACTGGGAGAATGGGCAGCATCTATAAGGGCATCTCCCCAAGAAGAGGCCCACCTTAGGAGTGGGTTGCTTGGGATCAGCTTGTCAGGTAGGACTTGAGAATGGGGAGCTCCCTCTGCCACCTCTCCATCAAGTAGGGTCAGGCTGTAGATCTGGTAAGCTAGGCTCTGGAAAATGGGGGTGCACGGCTGGGTGTCAGATAATTCTCCCAAGGCCTGAACTGTGCTAGAGCTGTGCACTGGCAGTGCCAAGCTCAGAGCCAACACTCAACCACCCTTGGCAACAACTCCCAGGTGCCTAGCTCCCCAGGGACACACAGGACTGCTGACATCCACTAAGCTTCTGATTCTGCTGCCGACTCACTGCATGATGCACAGCCAGTCCTTCTAGCTCCTTTTCCATCTCTAAACTAGAATGAATAACCCTTTGCCCTGTCTCACAGGAGTGAAGAGATTAAGCAAAGTCCCCACTTCCAGCACTTCCCCCACTAGACCTTATTTGACAAGATCTAGTGCTACAGTGCTAAAGCATCATCGTTTCTCTGAAGGGTCTGCATGCGACGCAAGGACTTAATGATAACAAGAAAACGTGGGCCCTCCTCCTCCCTGTTGGCTCAACTTTTTTTTTTTTTTTTGAGACAGTCTCACTCTGTCGCCCAGGATGGAGTGCAGTGGTATGATCTTGGCTCACGGCAACCTCTGCCTCCTGGGTCCAGGCGATTCTCGTGTCTCAGCCTCCCGAGTAGCTGGGACTACAAGCATGTGCCATCATGCCTGGCTAATTTTTGTGTTTTTAGTAGAGACGGGGTTTCACCATGTAGGCCAGGCTGGTCTTGAACTTCTGATCTCAAACGATCCACCTGTCTTGGCCTCCCAAAGTGCTGGGATTCCAGGTGTGAGCCACCGCACCTGGCTGCTATACACTCAGCTTTCTTATGGACAGAGATGTTTCAGAGCCTGGAAAATTGGGAAGAGAATGACCATTTGTTTTCTCACTTCACAAGAGCAGGAGGTCTGTCTCTAGAAAGGAGCTCAGTTAATGTTTGCATTACTGTGTTCAGAGGTCAAGGCAGGTGGGGTGACAGCGGGACCAAGAGGAATATCAAAAGCCAAAGCAGGAAGAAAACAAACAAAAGAAATTGGGCCAGGCACGGTGGCTCACGCCTGTAATCCCAGCACTTTGGGAGGCCAAGGTGAGCAGATCACTTGAGGCCAAGAGTTTGAGACCAGCCTGGACAACATGGTGAAACGCCATCTCGACTAAAAATACAAAAGTTAGCTGGGCATGGTGGCGGGCACCTGCAATCCCAGCTACTCGAGAGGCTGAGGCAGGAGAATCATTTGAACCTGGGAGGCAGAGGTTGCAGTGAGCCGAGATTGAGCCACTGCACTCCAGCCTGGGTGACAGAGTGAGACTCTCAGTCAATCACTCAATCAGTCAATCAATCAATCAATGTTATAGCAAGAAAGGTTAGGGTAAGATGTTGGGCCCAGTCCATAAGAGATGGTAAAGGCCAGAGGAATATGTAATATTTTAAGGGATAAAGTAACAGTACGCACGAGAAAAGAATCATGAGCTAGTGTCATAGTGGTGGATGGAAATAGGCCTGGACTTCAAGAAAGACTAACACGTGAGCTGTATGATTCCAGGCATGCGTCTCTGATTCCTCATCCATAAAAATGGAAAAACAATACAACCACATAGGATTGTTGTGAGGACTGCAGTAGATAAATGTAAAAGACCTGACACACAGTGAGTGTTCTGTATGTAATAGGTGTGTTCATGTATATGTTCTTAATGACAAATATGTATGCCTTTATACCACTTGGGGCATCATCATAAATTCTGACTATCATAATGATCCTGAGAGGTCGTAGAGGTACTATCCCCCATTTATGGTGGTGAAACTGGAAGCTCTGAGAAGTTACGTGACATGTTCAAAGTCTCTGAGCAACAGATCTGGAACAAGGGTTTCTAATTCTTAGCTTGGAGCTCATTCTGTCAGCTCACACACTGTTTCCCTCAGCAACACCTGCAGTGGAGAACTGTTTTGTTTTGTTTTGTTTTGAGACGGGGTCTCACTCTTTTGCCCAGACCAAAGTGCAGTGGTGCAATCACGGCTCACTGCAGCCACAGCCTCCTGGGCTGAAGAGATCCTTCCACCTCAGCCTCCTGAGTAGCTGGGACTACAGGTGTGCACCACCATGCCCAGCTAATTTTTTGTCAAGATGGGGTTTCACCATGTTGCCCAGGCTGGTCTCAAACTCCTGTGCTCAAGTGATCCACCCACCTTCGCCTCCCAAAGTGCTGGAATTACAGGCATGAGCCACTGCGCCTGGCCAAGAACCACAATATGTGTAAACCACTTCTATCTTTCCTACCATTTTGAGAACTCCTGTCACCTTCAACCAATGACATTTAAAAACCCTTCCCACTCCCAACCAGCCCGAGTTGCTTGGAGTTTGGTGGTGGTGACGATGAGTCACCATGTTTACGGGATGGCACACAGGAGAAACACAATTTGATAGTGGGTCTGTTCTCTCTTCGCATGCGCACAGCTAGGAAGTTGAGGAGCGAAGATGGGAGATATCAGAAGTGTTCAGCAAAGAAGCACCTGATCATTTCTACCGTCCTGAGACGTCATAGAGAGGATACAATCAGTGGTCCTGCTTATCCTGCTAGGAGTCCCATCAGAGGCTCTGCCATACCCGCTGTCTCTTTCCCTTCCACACCTCGTAGCCTCTTTGCTGAGGACAGCAAAGGTGCTCCTGGAATCTCCCTGTCCCAGAGTGAGAGCAAGGCTGCAGGTGTGTTTCAGCAGGCACTGGGGTGAAGAGGCCAAGCCCTTGGAGGGTGAGGTCATCTCTGGGCTCTTGGAAAACTGCACATCTTGTCCATGTTGACAGCACAGCTATCATTCATCTGACCAGCCCAGGGACACTCCATCAGATGAGCTGGCCCTTTGAGTCCCATTACAGGGGAAAGGGTCAGTTTCAAGCAGGGAGAAGACGCTCACTTAGCGCAGGCTGTTTGCAAAGGACAAAATACACACTCTTGGCAACAGACATCTTTTGTTGAAGCAGTGCTCTGCTATTTACAAAGCCCTCTCACATTTGCTATTTCAGTTAACTCACACATATATCAAATATTAGTTAGTGTCCACTATGATATGAGTCGAGCACTGTACAAGGTTCAGAGTGAGTTAAAAAAAAAAAAAAAAAGAGGAGCTTATGTGACTTCACCAAACTATGGGAAGCAACAATGATCACCATTGTATAGGTTTCCATCTTACTGAGTTTCAGAGACATGAGGCATCTGGTTGTAAGTGCAACAGTCTTCGCAGGCTATCTCCTGGGGATTCTTGCCTTTCAGGGCTGCCTCCTGCCCTGAATACTATTTTCTAAGAATGAGTTCAAGTCTTACCTGCTCAACTACCGAAGGTATAAAGACTACTCTTGCTCAAACTCTAACGGCATAAAAGGTGCTCTATCTTTCCAGGTGAAGTTGATGAAAGCTAAGCACTTACTCAAAAAATGTGTGCTTGCATACATAAAATTATGCGGGCAATTTTGGGGCATCTATGGATGCCTCTGAAACCCACCTGTGGACCCCAGGTTAATTAGATCATTCCTGTGGCCTTATTTCCGTACTGCCTTACACTGTTCACATGAACTGCTTTTCTAACTAGTTTAGAAGCTCCCGAGGGCATGAATTCCTCCATAATGAAAATAGGCACCGAACTTTGTACATCATGCTTGCTCAAAACAGGTTCGTTTATTGACTACTTATGAAATTTGACAGTCAGTTTGCAGTCAACACCCTTTGGGTGGGGTACCAGAGCCTGAATATCTAGGGTCAGAGTAGGCAGAAAGTGGAGTTAAAATTAAAAGAGAGGAAGGAAGAAGAAGATAAGTGAGCAGAAAACAATGTCACAATTTTACTCTACTGCCTTCTGTGCACTTATTTTAGATTTGGAGATCCTGGAAATTGGAAAAAACAAAACAATCTGTCTAGGACGGCAGAGAGAGCTGGTCTCATCCAGGTGAGTGTCCCGAATCCTGCTTCCCAGCTTGGCATCCTGTGTTATACTCTTTCCCCAGAGGAGAAATGGGTCAGGTTCTTGGGTTTCACAAACCCATTAAAGGCATGCTGTGACAGCTGGCAAGCTGGTAGCTCCTGGGGAGGCTGGGGGAACACGTGCTTTGCCTTTGTACACCATTGTTAAAGAGGCAAGGAAGCCTAGTGACTGCAGGTGGAGGGGGACAGGTAGGATGCTCCTCTAAGCTGATAGTGTCTAATCACACTCTAGCTATTTAAGAGACTGTGGCACAGCCTCCGCTTTGCGTTAATGAGGTTCTGCCCAGGTTTGGATTTTGCTGAGAGCCTGCTGATCAGATTTCTAACCACCAGGGAGGCCAGATACCAAAAGCAAAACCTGCATTAAGCAGTGCTTTGCAAGATGTAAGCCCTCCTTGGTGAGAGGTTGTGATGATGACGTCTACAATAACTAAGAAATGATCCCAGGCATGATGAGGGGAACCAGTGTAGAGGGGAGCCTCCTTGGCAAGCTTACCAAACTGCTCACCAAACGGAGCTTAAGAGTGCTGCTGCGGGGAGCACCCCTTTCTCCACACTACAAGTTGGTTCCCATAAGCACAGGCTGAGGACATTAGCTCTTCTTGGTGCAATGGTCAATTTCATGTATCAACTTGACTGGACTAAGGGATGCCCAGATAGCCAGCAAGGCTTATTTCTGGGTGTGTCTGGGGGGTGTTTCTGGGAGAGATTAGCATTCGAGTTGGTAGACTGAGGAAAGAAGATTGCCCTCACCATTGTGGGCAGGCATCATTCAACTGAGGGCCTAAATATATTAAAAAGGTGGAGGAAAGGCAAATTTGTTCTCTCTGTCGGAGTTAGGACACTAATTCCTGCCCTTGGACACTGGTACTCCTGGTTCTCAGGCCTTTGAACTTGGACCGGGACTTACACCATCAGCTCCCCTGGTTATATACCACCAGCCTTCTTGGTTCTTCACCTTCAGACAACAGACAGTGGGACTTCTTGACCTCCATTTCCAATTCCCAAAATAAATCTTCTTATATCTATGCATCTCTGGAGATATCTCTTTTATTAGTTGTTTCCTTAGAGAACCCTGGCTCATATAATTAGCCATCAGATGTGTCCACAGATATATTATATATACCACAGCTATATTATATATTATACCTGTGGACACATCTGATGGCCAATTATATGAGCCAGCGTTCTCCCACAGTGAGATAGATATAGATATAGATCAGATATTATATTATGTTATATATTATGTGTATCATATCGCATGGTCCTGAGCCAGGGAAAAGGAGTTCAATGGCAATTGGACTAAGAATTTCTTTGCAATCTAACACAGTTATTTTGACAAGGAGACCATTTTCACAACTGCAAAATATGCAATTGCATAATGCACACTTTAAAGCTTAGAACATAGATTACATCTGAGTCATAACTGGAATTCTCCCATTAACTTTTCTGGTTACTCTGGGCAAGTTGCTACTCCGTCTGGGTCTTTTCTTTTTTTTTTTTTAATTCTTTTTCTCTCTCAGCAGAATCATCCCTCTAGGTCTTAATTTCCCCATTTATGACACAGAAAATAAATAAATGATGCCCATTTAAGGGGTTCACATTGGCACTAATAGTTTCAATGTCGTTAACAATAGTATACTTCCAGAAAATGGTGTCTGATATTTGAGGTATCCTAGGGTAAAAGCTACCAATTTCATTTTCTACAAACCAGATAACAGTCAGCAGTTATACCATAAGAGTCTTGTTTTTACCCAATTAAAGGCATATGTTAAGCAGAAGACCTGGGTTCAAATGCCAGCTCTTGTTACTTTCTCACTGCATGACGTTGGAAGAGTCATTTTCCCTGTTTGAACTTTGCTTTCCTTATCCACTGCAATGGGTAGAATGGTGTTCCACCCCACCACGCCACCCAAAAGATATGTCCAGCAGGAGCCTCAGAATGTGGCCTTATTTGGAAATGGGTCCTTGCAAATGTAATTAAGGATCTCAAGTTGAGATCATCCTGGGTTTAGGGTGGGTCCTAAATCCAATGACTGGTGTCCTTAAAAGAGAAAAGAGGGGATCAGAGACACAGAAGGAAGAAGCCCATGTGAAGACAAAGACAGATGTGAGTTATCCTGCCTAAGCCAAGTAATGCCAGGAGTGGTGAGAAGCCAGAAGAAGCAAGGAAGGACAGCATGGCCCTGCTCACACCCCGATTTCAGAATGCTAGCCTCCAGAAATACAAGAGAATACATCTGTTGTTTTAAGTCACCAGGTTTATGGTAATTCCTTAAAGCAGCCTAGGAAAATAATAAACCTATAAAACAGGGAAACAAATATTTGGCTTCCAGAGCTGTTGTGAGCATCAGACCAGATAGTATTATGAAAGACTGTATTAAACAAAAGTTGGTTGGGCATAGTGGCTCACACCTGTAATTCCAACACTTTGGGAGGCCAAGGCAGGTGGATCACCTGAGGTCAGTAGTTTGAGACCAGCCTGACCAATATGGTGAAACCCCATCTCTACTAAAAAATATAAAAATTATCCGGGTGTGGTGGCGTGCATCTGTAGTCCCAGCTACTTGGGAGGCTGACAGGAGATTTCTTGAACCCAGGAGATGGAGGTTGCAGTGAGCCGAGGCTGCGCCACTGCACTCCAGTCTGGGCGACAGAGTGAGACTCTGTCTCAAAAAAAAAAAAAAGAAAAGTTATGGGAGGCCACTGTTTTGAACTGAGCTCCTGCACTAGGCCCCACACACCAGACCAAAATGAAATGGAATCACCCATGCTAAATGCCACACAATCAAACTGAAACTTTAAGGAAGCAGATAGATCCCAAAACAGACCAGCTATTCCTGAAAATGGGAGATTTCAGTCTAACTGAGTCAGGGTAGCCTTTAATCCTTTACAAAAAAAGAACCTGGCCAGGCGCAGTGGCTCACGCCTTTAATCCCAGCACTTCGGGAGGCCAAGGTGGGCGGATCACCTGAAGTCAGGAGTCTGAGACCAGCCTGGCCAACATGGCAAAACCCTGTCGCTATTAAAAATACAAAAATTAGCTGGGCATGGTGGTGCATGCCTGTAATTCCAGCTACTCAGGAGGCTGAAGCAGGAAAATCACTTGAATTTGGTGGGCAGAGATTGCAGTGAGATCCGCGGCACCGCACTCCAGCCTGGGCAACAAAGAGAGAGTCCGTCTCAAAAAAAAAAAACAAAACCTTGAAGTAACCTGATGTTAACCAATGAGCTTTTTTTTTTTTCTATTGTTTCCTTGATCTCACCTTAAAAAACCCGCTGTTCTACCACTGCCCAGTGGGAGCTCTCATTCTATTTTGTAGAATGGAGGCTGCCCAGATTCATGAATCACAAATAAAAGCCAATTAGATCTATAATGAAGTTTGTTATAATTTTGTCTTTTGACAAGTGCTTTGTAAGCTACACAGGCCCATTCAAAATTAGAGGATTACCCCAGGGCTCTGTAAGCAGCTCTTCTTTGGGGCAGTGGGATTCTATGAAAGGCTAAGAGAGTGACTGAGGGAACACTGGGCCAGAGGCAAGCAGCCAGAGGAGAAATACTGGAGCCTGGGCAATGCCACCGGTAAGGCTGACTGGTTATGCGTCAATTACATAGCAAGGGCCTTTGGTGGGGAGTGAAAGCGTATGGTGAGTATGTGCACCCCACTTTCTCTGAGGATGCCTGCAGGGGGCACAGGAGAGTAGGAGAAGCAACCTCTTAGCTCTGATCTCCCCACATCTGAGGGTGGGGATAGAACTTTTTAGCTCCCTAAATTCTTCGATAAACAAGCAGAGTTATACTCAACACGCGTAAGAACGGAATGAGATTGACTGTTTCGGGCAGGAATATTACTAGTATAAGCTATCTGACGGGCAATTTGGCAATATGCATTAAGAATCAAGGCCAGACGCGGTGGCTCACACCTGTAATCCCAGCACTTTGGGAGGCTGAGGCAGGCGGATCACCTGAGGCCGGAAGTTCAAAACCAGCCTGGCCAACATGGGAAAACTCTACTAAAAATACAAAAATTAGCCAGGCATGGTGGTGCATGCCTGTAATCCCAGCTACTCAGGAGGCTGAGGCAGGAGAATCACTTGAACCCAGGAGGTGGAAGTTGCAGTCTGCCAAGATCGTGGCACTGCACTCCAGCCTGGGTGATGGAGGGAGACACTGTCTCAAAAAAAAAAAAAAAAAAATTAAAAACGTGCCCAACTACTGACCTAGGCAGGGATGCCACTTCCAGAAATCTAGCCAAAATAAATAACCTAGGAAGCAACAACCGTCATGCATAAATACGCTCATTGCCATTTTAACACAGCCCTACAATATGGTATTTGTTAAGAAAGTTATACTTCATTCTTGCAGTAGAATGTTAGGTAGTCATAAACATGATGTTTATAATTAGAATTCTTTAAGATACAATGTTAAATTTAAAAAGACAAAAGTATACAGTTATTATTATTGAACAATGCAAAAGAAACATGGAAAAACATTCTAAATGATTCACGACAAAATGTTAACCACGCTGTCTCTGGGTAGTCAGGCTATAGGGGACTCTTCTGTTACTTTATATTTTTCTATATGTTTCCCACAATTTTTTTTTTTTTTTGAGATGGAGTCTCACTCTGTTGCCCAGGCTGTAGGGCAGTGGCATGCTTTCAGCTCACTGTAACCTCTGCCCCCCGGGCTCAAGTGATTCTTGTGCCTTAGCATCCCAAGGAGCTGGGATTACAGGCATGTGCCACCATGCCCAGCTAATTTTTGTATTTTTAGTAGAATGAGGTTTCAACATGTTGGCCAGGCGGGTCTGGAACTCTTGACCTCAAGTGATCCACCCGTCTCGGCCTCCCAAAGTTCTGGGATTACAGGCTTGAGCCACTGTGCCCAGCTGTTTCCTAATTATTTTTTTGTATTTTATATTTTTTATTATTATTTATTATTTTAAAAAAATTTTTGGCCGGGCATGGTGGCTCATGCCTGTAATCCCAGTACTTTGGGAGGCTGAGGTGGGTAGATAATGAGGTCAGGAGTTCAAGACCAGCCTGGCTAAGATGGTGAAGCCCCGTCTCTACTCAAAATACAAACATTAGCCGGGTGTGGTGGCAGGCGCCTATAACCCCAGCTACTCAGGAGGCTGAGGCAGAGAACTGCTTGAACCCAGGAGGCAGAGGCTGCAGTGAGCCGAGATCGCGCCACTGCACTCCAGCCTGGGCGACAAAGCAAGACTCTGTTTCAAAAAAAAAAAAAATAAAAATTTTTTTTTTTTAGAGAGAGGATCTCACTCTGTCGCCCAGGCTGGAGTGCAGTGGTGCAATCATAGCTTACTGCAGCCTTGAACTCTTGGGCTGAAGCAATCCTCCCTCCTCTCCCAAGTAGCTGAAACCATAGGCACCTGTTATTTTATTTATTTATTTATTTAATTAATTAATTTATTTATTTATTTATTTATTTTTTGTAGATATGGAGTCTTGTTCGTTGCCCAGGCTGGATCTCAAACTGTTGGCTTCCAGTGATGCTCCTGCCTTGGCCTCCTGAAGTGCTGGGATTACAGGCATGAGCCACTGCACTTGGCCTACAGTTTCTGTAATCAGTTTTTTAAGAAAAAAAAAAAAGAAAGAAAGAAAAAGTCGAGAGACAAAAAAATGCCTCCTGGGAGAAGCACTCATGCTGGGACCAGGTGGGCCCATAAGAAGCACGGGAGGCACCTGACCTTGCTGCGATGCCTCCTCTGTCAAGTCCTGTGCTCGGTCCTGACTCAGCCGGGGGCAGGTGAGCCTGCAGCTCCATGGCCCATGTCTGACTCTTCTCCCAGTGGCCATGGCTGGCTGCATGCAATGTTGACTCATCCCTGTGTACACATGGCATATTTATTTTTAATTCATATTAGGAATGTGCACCAACTTGTGTGTGAAAAATGGCAGAAACGATTCCACCTCTGTACAAATTTCATACATCAGATCAGAAAGGGCTAGAAGAACAACTCTGGAAGGAGTTGATTTTAAAATCAAGTCCCTTTACCTGTCCTCTTTGTCTCCCCTGCCTACAACTAACCTCTGGATAAACAGGCCCGGCTTCCTAGGAGACACCTTTTCATGACTGTCAAGAAATGGCTGAGGCCCTCACACATCATGAGGTCATTGAGCAGGGCTGTGAGCCCAAGAGATCAGTCATCAGTGTAGGTCCCAGTAAGGAGAATCTCGACTGGCTCCACATTCAGAACAAACATGGAGGTGCTTCAGGGAACAAGAGAGCTTTCCAAGTCAGGCTGAAGCTGGCATTCCCAGACTGGACGCCAGAGACCCTTTACTCTTCTGTTTTAAACTTGGCACACTCATGATTTCTCCCCCTCCAAGGAGGAAGAGAAGAATCATTTTGTAGCTGGGCTGCAATGACAATGTTTCCTGGCCAGGTGCGGTGGCTCACGCCTGTAATCCCAGCACTTTGGGAGGCCGAGGCGTGTGGATCACCTGAGGTCAGGAGTTCGAGACCAGCCTGGCCAACACGGTGAAACCCCGTCTCTACAAAAATACAAAAATCAGCCGGGCATGATGGCAGGCGCCTGTAATCCCAGCTACTCGGGAGGCTGAGGCAGGAGAATCACTTGAACCCGGGAGGCGGAGGTTGCAGTGGGCCGAGATTGCGCCATTGTACTCCAGCCTGGGCCACAGAGTAAGACTCAGTCTCAAAAAAGAGAAAAGAAAAAGAAAATGTTTCCTGTAGGCTGCTCTGGCCTGCTTCTTCAGGTGGATAGAAAACATACACATAGAGCTGTGATAGGATTCCTATGGCAGGGCTCAGAATACACTGCAAGACAAACTATCCTCGGAAACCTAGCAATTCCTTCAATGGAAAAACAAGGAACTGAATCTCTCAAGACAGCAAGCATACAAACTGGGTTTTCTAGGACAGTCCTCATTCCAAATAATTAGTCTGTGGTCAGGTATCAGGAAAGGTAAGATAACTAACATTTGTCGGGTGTCCACTTTGCATCAGGCATAGCTACTTTATACACACTATTGCACTGAAATCATCCCAATAACTTATGAGGTGGATGTTATTGTTCCAATTTGTACAGTTCAAGGAACTGTGGCAGAGAGAAGTAAGATTGTTGCTTAAGATGACAAGGTCAAGGGTACAGTCAGGATTAGGATCCTAGGTTCATTTGGCTCCAAAGCCTGTCATTTCTCCACTAAAACTACCATGCTGAATTTTTTTTTTTGAAAATATGGCTGGAGTGCCAGCGAGGGGGTTTTCAGCTCAGTCTTTCCATTCCAGAATTTTTAAGTGTTCTTGCAGTTGGGTGGTAGGGGGTGGAGGGAGCAACCCAGCTAAATCCTGTGATTTCTGTGCTCCACAAATAAGTCAAACACGAGGCTCTCAACTGAGAACTTTGAAGTCTGAAACCTGGGGCCAAGAAGTCTTCTGTTTTTATTAGTCAAAGAAGATGTTTCAAAAACCAGATTTATCATGACTGGATTTCAGATGTGAAACCCAATATACACACAGACACGAGTGGCTTGTCCTCTTGGATTATTTCTGACCTTTTACTCTCCTCTGAGGATCTGCGTTTCCTCAGAGTGCGAACTCTCTGCCTCCCCAGCTGGCGGAGGTGTCTGGAGGCCCAGCTTTGCAGGCCTGGGCCCCCTGCTGGCCTTGGGAATTTCAAAGAGCAGGGAGGGATGGGTGGGCACACTGGCTCTGATCTGGAGCCAGGGGCTATTTGTTCCTCTAAGGCCCTGGGACAGTAGCTGCGGGGAAAGGAAAGGAGGAGTCCACCTGCCCTGAAGGGGAGGGTCCCGGATGTGCCTGCCGGTACTGGAGTTGACCCGTTTGATACCTGACCCATTTTTAGCTTTGTTATTTTGGTAGTCTCCTAACTATGTGGGCTTTAAAAATGGTGTTCCCAGCTTGGGCAATAAACATGTGTATTTGGAGTGTGTGGTCAACCTTCCACCTCTCTCAACCACCTAAACCCAAGAGCTCTCACTCCAAAGGACAAACCTGTACCAGATTTTCAGGTGCAGGGTCCTTGGGAAGAAGATCTGGGCCTGGCCTCCCATCCTGACTGGGGGCAAGGTACATTACAGAATCCCGACTTCCCAGGTCCTTGCACTGAAGCTGTTCAACAAAGACTTGGCCTGAGAAGAGCAGGCTAAGCAGCAGCACTGTTTTGGACAATGGAGGGGTCACTTACTAGAGTGGCTGTGGATGGTTTCCATCAGGCCTTGAGGCTTCAGGTGGGCAGAGGACCTTGCACCTTGCACAGAGGGGTGATGGGCTGAGCGTGAGTGTGAAGGCCTGGATGTTCCCCACTCAAGGGCGGTGGAAGAGTCCACTGGAACAGGAAGTCTCTCATGAAAATCTCACATATTTTCACAGAATAAGTACATATTTTTCTCATAATTCTCTCTTTCCTTTTGGTTGTGGGATCACAGCAATTTTTACCACAGGCAGGACAGATGCTGTCAACTCCATTTCATAGATGAGGAAGCCAAGGCTCAGGGTGGTTCAATGACTTGCCTCAGTCACCTTAGTTTCTCACCGTCCAGGGTGGTTGTGCGACCTTCTGTGAAGGTCTCAGTGAACAAACTGGCATGCTGCAGAAGCATCATGGCTGCCAGAGGTGGGTGCGGAAGTAGAACCAGCGGGGTGGCCTGGTGAGTGGCCTTGCTACAGTCTGGCCAGTGCTTGCTCAGGGCCCTCGTCTCACAGGGACTTCTCTGACTTTCAGCCTCATGTCCTAGTCTTGCAGCCTAAGGGGGTGGAGGTAGAGCTCAGCCTGGCGTTACTACAATTTATCACACAAAGTGTGTTCGGAGCCTGTTCCACACCTGAAACAGAGGGCTGCCTGGGAACTGTCATTTCCTGCCTTGACATGTCAGAGCATCTGTTCAGCCCTCGCCAGCCTTGGCCGGTCCGCCTGACTCAGCAGCCCAGGCGTGGAAACCAGGGAGAAAGGAGGGAAAAGTTGAGAAGCTGCAGGATCACACAGGGTGAGCAACGAGGCGTAGACGTCTTAACAATGATAATAATCCCTCACGCCGCACACTGCTCTACCCTTTACAAGGTGCTTTCACAGCCATTTGCTCCATGAATCCTCACAACACCCCTAGAGAGGAAGACAAGGCAACGATTACTATTCCCCGTTTCACGGTTGAGGAAATCAGGGCAGGGAAGTGAAGTGCGGGGCAGAACTTAGACTGGAGAACCCCATTTTGCACTCAATACCTTCGCTGTTCAAAGTGTGCTCCACCCACCAGCAGCAGCAGCATCACCTGGAAGCCTGTGAGAAAGGCAGCTGCTCAGACCCCTCCCCAGACCGCCGGCGTCACCAGCTGCATTTTAATAAGACCCCCAGGGGATCTGTGTGCACGGAAGCTGCAGAATCACTGCCCACACCCTACTCCCCTCCCCCTGGCCTGTCCCCAAAAGCATTTTTTGGCTGTTGGTCCCCTTAGAGTATATCTGGTTCTATCTCCTCTTTTAAACACAAGGAAATGGAGGCCCAGGGAGGGGAGGGGACAGGACATGGCCTGTGACAGAAGCAGGAGCAGACAGAACCTTGGTCTTGCACATCGGTCTTGGGCCTGTTACATCCGGCTTGTCTATCCAGCAGACATTCAACTGATGTCTCCCTTTCCTCTCCTCCCTCTCCCCACCCCATGAGGTCAATCCTCAAATTGCCTTCAGCTGCCAGTCCCTTGGCCTCTCCCTGCAGTCCCAGCCTTGTGTTAGGCATTAACATGAGTTCCAGCGACGGGGGTTAACACTCCATTAAAGCAAACAAGAGAAATTCATACCTCCCGCTAGCAGCCTAGGAGCCGAGCAGGAGTGTGGCGGCACCAGGCCTTCTCTGCACAGCTGCAGAGGGCAAGCAAGACTTGGGTCCATCTCTGCCCTTTTCTCTTACAGGCCTTACTGCCTAGAGGAGAGGGGTGGGGAGTCCAGGCTTGCCTGCAGAGAAGGCTCCACTTAGGCCTTGTCAAAAGCCCACTCGTTAGTAAGTGTGAAAAAATGCCCAAATCACTGTGTTAATCTGGTTGTGATTTCCCCTCAACTCACAGACTCATTGTGTGCCAAGTGTGGCGCCTACGGGTAAAGAGATTCCGAGGCTGTGGCTCGAGTGTGGGGTCAGCATCACCCCTCCTTCCCTCCACTTCTACTCCACCGAGGCCAACCAGGATGTTATTCATTTCCCTAGCTGAGAAGTAAGTTCAAAAAGGCCAGTAGAGCCTCCTCTCACCCCTTCCTTGTGGAAGAAATGCCAATTCCTCCCTCGAGGAGGAAGCAACATATTTTGTTTCTGCTATACTCAGGCAAGGAGCAGATTTATAGTCAGCCCAGGGTGTGTTTGTGTGTGCAAAGAAACCTATCTTTTTATCTTTGGGCCTAAGGTACATACTGGATTAGAAGATTGGATTCATCCATGAGTAGGGAAAAAAGAAAAAAGCCAAAGCACCAAGGGGCTCCCAGGAGGGGCCCAGAGACCTCTTGTTACTACGTCAGCTGGACATGGACCTGTCATCTAACTCTGAGTTAGGGCTAACAGCTGAACGAAGGAATTAATTTCTCACTGTTTCATTTTAGTTTTAGAAATGCCTTTAGGGTTGAAAAACTACTAGAATAGTTTTCTTGTATCCCTCAGATTGGGGAAAAAAATAGGTAAAGAAGTAAAAGCAGTGTTTGTTGTAGAAATACCTAACAAACAGCTCAACGAGCTGGCAAAAAGTCAGTAGTCCTTTCCAGGCCTCCCTCTAAAGGGAAGAGGCCTAGAGACGAGCTGTATGTCCTCTGATGTAGGAGATGGCTCTCCAGTTGTGAATATCTGAAACGAGTGGTGGAGGATGAACCAGCCCATCTCCTTCCACTCCTGCCCTTGGAGCTACCCTCAAGCAGCAGTTGCTTGTGCCTTTTCACCTAGCTGCAGTCTCTTCTCTTCATTTAGCACCTCCTTACATCCTCCTGGTTAAGCCATTCTGAGATGCGGAAGGGGGAGAGATGAGGTGGTTATAAGGCCATTGAGCTCTGTTGGCAAAAAGAGCACTCAATCGAGAGTGGGAAACTTGTGCTCGATCTAGCTCTAGTATGTCCTAACGACGTGACCTTGTGCAAAGCACTTAACCTCCTGGAACTTCAGCTTTCTCCACTGTATAAGAGGAATAATACTGCTAGTTACTATTGCTAATTGTAAGTTTCAAAATCGTGCTAAGATTCAAATGATAGGCTCTATGACAGATCATTCAAAAATCGAACGTGGAATCTGAATGTCAAGTACTGATTTTACTCCCAGAAGCCAGCTGGCCTTCGGTTGGTGCTTTCACCACTTTACACCAGGTACTTTGAGATGTAAGGATAATTCCCATGCTGTTTGGCTTCTTGAGGAAGGGAAAAAATAGTTCAGGATGCAGCTAAACTGGAAATGGGAAGTCACCAGCAATGCCTTTACAATAGCTTTAATATTGCACGAGATACTCAATTCCTGTCCTCCAGGATCAAACTGAGCTCACCCTGAAGTTATTTTGATGTCTCAAAGATATCTAAGGACAAAGAAAGTGCCCAGCACAGATCTTGCCACATAACAGGTGCCCAATAATTGTTTACTGAATGAATGTAGGAAAGAACAAGCCTTTGCTATATTTAGATCTGAAGTACGTATGATGGGTCTGAAAGGGACCACCAGACAGCACCATCCTTCAATCTCTCATTCTAAAATAACTCCAAGTTGTGGCAAATGGCAGGATCTCCTTCTTTTTTAAGATTGAAGGCTGGGCATGGTGGCTCACACCTGCAATCCTAGCACTTTGGGAGGCTGAGGCAGGGGAAGCATCTGAGCTTGGGAGTTCAAGACCAGCCTTAGCAACACAGGGAGGCCTCATCTCTACTAAAAATAGAAAAAAGTAGCCAGGTGTGGTGGCACATGCTTGTAGTCCCAGCTACTCAGGAGGCTGAGATGGGAGGATCACTTGAGCCTGGGAGGTTGAGGCTGCAGTGAGCCATGATTGTACCACTACACTGCCACCATGGTAACAGAGCAAGACTCTGTCTCAAAAAAAAAAAAAAAAGACTGAATAATATTCCATTGTGTACATACACCACAGTTTCTTTATCCATTCATCCACTGACAGATTGTTTCCATATCTTGGCTTTGTGAATAATGCTGCAGGAGCATGGACACACAGGTATCTTTATGAAGTGATGATTTAAGTCCCTTTGGGCATACCTTAAATACATACAATAAAATTTATTTATTTATTTATTTATTTATTTATTTATTTATTTATTGAGACAGAGTCTCGCTCTGTCGCCCAGGCTGGAATGCAGTGGCACGATCTTGGCTCACTGCAATCTCCGCCTCCTGGGTTCAAGTGATTCTCCTGCCTTAGCCTCCTGAGTAGCTGGGATTACAGGTGTGTGCCACCATACCCAGTTAATTCTTGTATTTTTAGTAGAGACGGGGTTTCACCATGTTGGCCAGGCTGGTCTCAAACTCCTGACCTCAGAGTGGAGGGGATTACAGCACTCTGTAATGCCATGAGCCATGGCACCCAGCCAAAATTTATATATTTTTTAATGAAATAAAAGAACCCAAAAAAGGAGAGGTCCCTAAGTTCCTTAGAGGCACATTCCTGAGTTTTCTACTCAGTAGGTCCCTTCTCTCTGCAATATTTAAATGAGTATAATTTATGTTTCTATTTTTCCTAGAAAGACAATGTCCCAAAGCCAATTGTTCAGGAGAGATTATTGATCTTAACTATTCAGAAATGAATGACAATGTTTGAATTTCACAAATTTGCAATTTCACACAAAGGGCACTGGCCTTCTGAACTGCTTCTATGCTAATACCTTTGGTAGAGACGAAGGCCTTATGTACAAAATCACTCCTGAGAGCAGATGTATTAAACATTCTTCAAGAATTCCACTGCTGGGGACATGAAGCAGTGTTAGGTCTTAAATATATAAAAAAGTAGAGTTAGCTCTTTCCATGGCAATTGCCCAAAAACGTCTTCTTTGTCTACATATGGTACCTCTTCCACACTTCTTTAATAGTCAGCTTTGAAACATATGCTAGCTTTAAAAAACATGTTGGATTACAGTCAGGTCCATTATTCCACAAAATGGAGTAGGCAATCAGACTGTCTACACCAGGGGGCAGTGAGGGGCTCTGGTCTAAAAGCTTTCGGAGAAGCAGAGCTGGACCAATAATCTAAGTGCAGAATTTCCACTGGACCAATAATCTAAGTGCAGAATTTCCCACTCAGTTGTTCAGAAACTCTGTTCGGTCAGTGGGTTAGCATTTCCATCCCACACATCTGAGGGATTCATGACATGGTTCCATCAGTAACAGTGGCTCATGATCATGGGGATTCTCAAGAACTTTAGGTTGGAGGGTATTAGGGTGTAGGGTGGGAGAGTGGGGGTGTGATTTGTGCAGTTGGAAAGAACCTATGGTCTGGAGTCACTCCCAGACTTCCCTCATGAGAAGAAGCACTTGGAATGCTTACTGAGCAAATGAATTCTCAGGCCCTTCTGGATATTCCAGCACAGTGATTCTAGGGTAGGACTGGATTCTTATCCAGGGATTTTGGGAACCACTGCTCCAAAGCACGGGTCCTCAAATCCAGCCTTAAGAATCTCTGCCCAAGAGGGCCGGGCACGGTGGCTCACGCCTGTAATCCCAGCACTTTGGGAGGCTGAGGTGGGTGGATCATGAGGTCAGGAGATCAAGACCATCCTGGCTAACACGGTGAAACCCCATCTCTACCAAAAATACAAAAAGTTAGCCGTGTGTGGCGGTGGGCGCCTGTAGTCCCAGCTACTCGGGAAGCTGAGGCAGGAGAATGGCATTAACCTGGGAGGCGGAGCTTGCAGTGAGCCGGTATCATGCCACTGCACTCCAGCCTCGGCGACAGAGTGAGACTCTGTTTCAAAAAAAAAAAAAAAAGAATCTCTGCCCAAGAGGTTGCAAGAAGCACGTGACTGTCCTCCCATGATCATGGCAGCTTAGGTACAATGATGTGGTCCCTTGTGGGCAACCCAGACTCTATAAAGCAAGTTGACTTCATTGGGAAATTGCTGACTACTCCCTAGCTTCCTCAGTTTTCCTCTTCCCTCTCTGACCGCTCCCAAGTCTCTCCCAAGGCCTCGCTTTATTCTCTCTGCAACTCAAATTTTGGTGCCCTCAGTCCTCTTCTCTTCTTTCTCTGTAAACTATTCTTGGGTGAGTTCAGCTACTCTAACGCTTACAAATACCCAGTACTACCTATATGCTACTGACTTCCAAAACTGCACCTCTAACTCAGGTCTCTCCTGGGCTCCAAAACCATCTGCGTAAGACCAAGCACCCTCACTTGGATGTTCCACAGGCACCTCCAACTCAACATCTCCCAAACAAATTCATGACCTAACTTCTCCAGCCCTTGCTCTTCCTTCTCTATCCCTACTTAGGTGGGTGGCAACACCATCTTCTCATTGGCCCAAACATCGCCCGTCCATCCAGCTGACCAGTAAGTCCTGTGGATTTTACTTCCCAAGCCCTCTTGAATTTGTCTCCTACTTTCCTTAGCCACTGGGCTTAGGCTCTTACCAGTTCTCATTGGGATTATTCTAGCAATCTTTAAACTGGTCTTTCCGCCTATTAATGTGGCTTCCCTTCAATTCATTCTTCCTAGTGCCACCTGGGTGACCTTTTCTACAATGTGAATCTGAACATTTTACTCATCTGCCCTCAGGATTAAGCCCAATCTTCTTAGCACAACTGTCTATCATCTGGCCTCTAGCAGCTTTCCAGACTCTGAACGCTACACCCCACCTTGCGCCTTGCCCCTGTGTCTGTGCATCTGCTGCTCCCTCTGCCTGGAATGCCTTCCCTGGTGAAGTCCTATTCATCTTTGAGGACTTAGGTCAGCCGGAAAAGTCTACCACTCCCCTTCTGGGTCTGACTTAGGTCTTCCTACCGGCCCCCACAACACCCTAGGCTTACCTTCACATAGCACCTAGAGTCACCAATTCCACAACAGACAAAACAGATGTCTATTGTGCACCAGTCGCTATGCTGGATGATGGGAAATTTGGTAAAGGAGACAGACAAAAGCAATAAAATATTTTATGGCCCTATTCTTCCCACTAGACTGTAAGTTCCTGCTGGGCAGCATCTGGCTTTTCATTTTTTAGATCTCTGTCCCCAGTGCACAGCACAGTGCCTCAGTTCCTGGCACCTAGCAGGAAGAAGGGAGGGAAGAAATCAAGGTTGTTTAACTTGGGGAAGACAATATGAAAGCTACAATTTCACTATTCAAATATCTGAAGAGTGATTCTGGCCGGGTGCGGTGGCTCATGCCTATAATCCCAGCACTTTGGGAGGCTGAGGTGGGTGGATCACCTGAGGTCAGCATATCGAGACCAGCCTGGCCAACACGGTGTAACCCCGTCTCTACTAAAAATATAAAAATCAGCCGGGTGTGGTGGTGCATGCCTGTAATCCCAGCTACTCGGGAGGCTGAGGCGGGAGGCAGGAGAATCGCTTGAACCCTGGAGGTGGAGGTTGCGGTGAGCTGAGATTGCACCACTGCACTCCAGCCTGGGTGACAGAGCAAGACTCTGCCTTAAAAAAAAATTTGTTAAAACAAAAATCCAATATTTAGAGAGTGATTTTATAGAAAAGGGAATCAATTTTTCTGTGTCCCCAAGGGGCAAAACAGGACACAGGGAGAGGTCAGTGATCTGGCATATTTCAGACCAACATGAGAAGAGGTGCCAAGTGACCAAGTGACATGACGAACTGCCTTCTGCAGATTTGAGACTTAGCCCAAGTGCAAGCTCCTCTGGGAAGCCTTCCTGGAGTCACCCTGGATGAGGAACCAGTCCCTCTACCACATCCCCACAGCACATGCTAACCCTCTAACACAGCGTAGATGAGACTGTGGTGAAGTGGCTTGCCTTCATGCCTTCTCCTACACTTGGCACTGATTGCTTTATCTTATTTTTAGATTTGCAGAGCCTAACAGAGGCAGTATAGGAAATGGTTAAAGGCTCAGGCTTCAAGGCCCTTGTTCTGTCATTTAATAGTTACATAGCCCTGGGTAAATTATTTACCTCTCTTGGCTCAATTTATACAGCTATAAAATGGGAATACTAAAAATAGTAAGACTTCAATGAACATGCTCAGCACAGCACCTGATACACAGTCAATGCTTGAATGTGCTGCTATCCCACAGAGCCTCACAACAGCCCCAGGCAGCTCTTCCGTTTCAGAAAGAAGCTGAGGTATAAAGTGACTTTGTATTAGGCCACAGAGCTGGAACCGGAGGCCAGAACTTTAGACATCTCATATAACATTCCTTTCAGGCATTTAAAAAAGTTTTCTCCTGATTTTTCAATCATGCTAAAATGACCTGACAATAAAAGGAAGTACTTCTTCTCCAAAGGAATACAAATGCTCTTTGTGGATGACATCACCTCTTCCAAAGAAATGATCTTCCAGTCAGGAGAGAAGCTCAGAGCTCACAAAATCTGTCCCAAACATCCTTGTCACTGGACTCTGCAGGCCTTCTAAGTCAACTCCTCGACTTCAACAAGGATTATGGCACCTACCCCGCTGTTACCTTCTCAACCACTCCTGCCAAGCACTAAAAGTATGATGTCAGGTGCATGACCAAGCCAACACCTTTGGCCTTAAATTCACTGACCTCCAGTCCGCACACCAACGACCTTCACCTTCACTCCAGCAACTCACTCAACTCACTCATCGTCTACAATTGGCCCTTCTAGGATTTTAAGCTTAGAAAGCCCACATATTCATCATAAAACTTCCTATTTGTCTCTCCCACTCACTTCCTTATTCTAATCATGCTGTTTGGCCTCAAGGAGCCTGCTTGCCCCTGGAGTCCTCCCTATCATCCCAATCTACTGGCTTCCTCCTGGTGCCACTCCTTCACTGCCCATCCCCGTGTTTGGGGCTCATAGGTCCTCTAACACCCTCACTAAGTCCACCGTAAAGTCCCCACCTCTGCTCCTCCTAGCCTATCTGCCACTTCCGCTTTGCCAAACCCATCAAGATGAACCATCCAGGCTGCTGAGCTGTGCTACACAAAACGCACATGCTGTGTCAAATGGCACCATGACAAATTTAACAGCTAGGCGCTCCCTGCTCCTCAGCCTACCCTCCTTCTTTCCCTTCCTTCCTCCCTCCCTCCTTCATTTTTCCATGGGTTCCCGGCTACTTCCCTCCTGTATTTCTTCCTCTCCTCAAGCTCCCCAAGCCTGTCACAACTCTTTCCTCATTCTCAGCAAACAACCTGCCAACTAACTGCCTCTGAGATTCCCTTGCTCATTCTTTCCTTTAAAGATTCAGCAGTCCACACATCCTAAAAGTGACCCAGGGCGGGAGTGACAAGCACAAAACACAGCCCCCAAAGAATCGCCCAGCCAGCCAGTCAGGCATAGCGGAAGCGGAGTCTCCTCTGATGAGAGCAGGCAGGAGTGTGAGTGTTGGCTGGGAACAAGAGAACAGCTCTTCCCGGCTTTAGTTTCCCTCTGAATACATTCTGGAGAGTTTTTGATTTTGCCCTTGTCACTTCTTTTCTTCATCAGAGAGCTGGTGCTGTGTGAGGCTGAGTGGCATCCCGAGGTGGAGGAAGATGATGACAGCAGGCGAGCTCTGCCCCAGGCGGATGGTTTATAATCCAGATTACCCTGTGCTTCCTCCGCATGAGAAGGGACAGAGTGGCTATTTTTCTGTGAGGGGTGTGCGTGTGTGTGTGTGTATGTGTGTGTGTGTGTGTATTTCCGATCCAGGAATCATAAAATACCTGTCCATGGTGGCAAACAAGGGGCTGGAGTGACATTGCAACTCCTCGCCATGGTTGTCCCTTACTTAATGACCTGGGCCCTGCTGGCTTCCCATGGCTCATCTCTCCCACTCCCTTCCTTTTGGTAAGCCATGATGAACCTCCCTCAGTCCCTCCAACAACCTCCTTCCTTTCACCCCAGGGCCTTTACATCTTCGCCTTGCTCATCCCTCAACTGCAGCTTAAATCGAACTTCTGGGAAGCCTTTTCTGATCCTCTCCTAGGTTAGGTCAGGTGCCCTGAACCTGCCCTATCAGCATGTAACACACTACTGCCACTGCTGGCTGTTTCCTCCTCTAGAATATAAGCCCCATGGGGGCAGAGATATCATCTACTTTGCTCTCCATGGTACCCTCAAAACTTAGGACCCACCTTCTTTAAAGTCTCTATAGTGGTCTCAGAGAATCAAGGACTTAAATGACAACGGGACACTAACATCAGTGCACAGATGGAAGAAAGTCCCCGTGAAGATGAAGCTGGGCCTAAAAGGAAATTAGTCTTGACAAGAAGACCCAGAGACTTGGTTGAAGAGGCCCATGTCTCTGACAAAAGAGAAGCAACTGGTAAGAGGTTGGCTCTTTAAAAGCAAGGGGATTTTTTTTTTTTAATGTCAAAGGATGATTTTGGCAGGTGAACTCAGGTTCTCCTAAGCAAAGAGGGTTTGCATATTCCGCCTCCTTATGGGTATCAGTGAAGCCTCTCTTAGACTCAGCTGCATGCTCTCTGGGATTGGGGGCTAGCCGGCATCCTTAGCCTGTCCCACGCTCCTGGCCCTAGTCTTCTACTCTCTGATCTTATTACTGACTCTTGCCTGTCTCAGCACACTCAGGACCTTCTTGCCAACCACATTTCATCTGGCCAACTCTACCCAAGCCCACATCCAGCCAGGTCCCCAGTCCTGCTGGGATGCAGGTACCTAACAAAGCACTGGACTGTGTGGAAGGAAGCGAAAGGGGAGGAGGTGGTCCAAAGAGAGAGGGTGTCGCCATGGGGGCTGCAGAGCAGAACTGAGCAAAGAACGCTGACACAGATTTGCTTCTCTCTCTCCAGGCAAAATGCCCAACGGGCACTGTTTTTAGAGGAATTAAGCTGCT
This sequence comes from Homo sapiens, assembly GCF_000001405.40. NCBI lineage: Eukaryota > Metazoa > Chordata > Mammalia > Primates > Hominidae > Homo > Homo sapiens. The sequence continues at coordinate 61,343,756 of NC_000017.11, read as the reverse complement.
TTTGACTTAGACAGAGGATAATCACAAGTTCCTGGAGGATAATATTGGAAAGGGAATCTGACAGGAGAGACATCTGATCACACTCAGAGGTGGCAGAGGAACGGCAGTGGGATGTCTGTTGCCTTGCCATCCAGTTGTTTGGCTCAAACCTCTGCATACGCTTCCTCAACCAGTACTTCTCCAAGGGGCCTCACATCAAGTGAGTTTTTCAAATGCATGGAGCTACAAGGCCCACTCCAGACTAGAGTCAGAACTTCTGGGGCAAAAGTTTGGGGCCTGGGCATCTGTATCTTTAAAAAGCTCATCAGGTGATTCTGATGCACTCCCTGTTGCTATAAACCATGGCCAGATCGCTGCTCCTGCCTGGGTCGGTGTGTCTGCCTGACCATTGGTACTTAGAGAACAGGACGGAGACCTGTGTAATTCTCTCCATTCAGAAGCTACTCTGGCACCATACACAACGGTGCACAATTGAAGGGCTTGTTCTGCTCCTCCACATGGCACCTTTAGAAACGTCACTTCCCCACCTTGTGTGGCAACAGCCTTGGCCAACGTGCTTATGAAGAGCCATGGCAGAGAGGGATGATAGAGGCATTTGGTGCCACCCCTCCACGAATTGACCCTCCTCGGTGGCCCAGGAGCCTGGGAAAATAGGATAAGGTGGCCAAGAAGTTACTCTCTCACCTTCCTTTAAAAGAAAATCTCGGCTGGGCTCAGTGGCTCACGCCTGTAATCCCAGCACTTTGGGAGGCCGAGGTGGGTGGATCATCTGAGATTAGGAGTTCAAGACCAGCCTGGCCAACCTGGTGAAACTCTGTCTCTACTAAAGATACAAAAACATTAGCTGGATGTGGTGGCACATGCCTATAATCCCAGCTAGTTCGGAGGCTGAGGCAGAAGAATCACTTGAACCCAGGAGGCGGGGGTTACAGAGTCGAGATCCCACCACTATACTCCAGCCTGGGCTACAGAGGGAGACTTTATCTCACAAAAAAAAAAAAAAAAGAAAAGAAAATCTCTTCATACAGTACATGATAGAAACCTCTAGCCCTTTACTGTGTTTATTTCTGTAGTGTGGTGCACATCTCTGTCTGCCCAGGACTGTAACAGGGGGTCAGCATACGCCTGCTGCATGACTGAGCAACTGAGGCTGCTAGCCTGGGCTTGGGCTCTCTACCTGTGTAAGCATCTGCCCCAGCGAGGAAGGAGAGAGGATGTGCTCGGCGTTGGGAGGTCCTGGACTGCCACACTGCCTCACTCACTGGGCCTGAGGATCAAGAAGGGAATGGCGTTCTTAAGAACCAGGCCCTAGGCTGGGCACGGTGGCTCATGCCTGTAATCCCAGCACTTTGGGAGGCTGATGTGGGTGGATCACCTGAGGTCAGGAGTTCAAGACCAGCCTGCCATGGCTCTTCATAAGCACGTTGGCCAAGGCTGTTGCCACACAAGGTGGGGAAGTGACGTTTCTAAAGGTGCCATGTGGAGGAGCAGAACAAGCCCTTCAATTGTGCACCGTTGTGTATGGTGCCAGAGTAGCTTCTGAATGGAGATTTAGTGAAACCTCGTCTGTACTAAAAATACAAAAATTAGCCAGGTGTGGTGGTGCATGCCTGTAGTCCCAGCTACTCAGGAGGCTGAGGCAGGAGAATTGCTTGAACCCTGAGGGGTGGAGGTTGCAGTGAGCCGAGATCACACCACTGTACTCCAGCCTGGGCGAAAGACTGAGACTCTGTCTCAAAAGAACCAAGCCCTAAACCACTGTCCGAAGTTCATGATTGCCCCCACTGCCTGTCCACGTCTCATAATCACTTTTCTGTCTATCATATCTAGAAAGTTGTGGCCTCGGAACTTTCTTAAAACTATGATTTCCATCCAAAAATTGCTATCCAAATCATCCCTGAAAGGGAGTACCCACTTGTGTCCTAGTACTGGCTACTGACTTTAAGATATTTTGGGTATCGCAGAGAAAAGGCCGGATGATTGCCACTCCCTGAACCCATCTTTGGGGGCTGAATCTCACTTTATGGAAGCAGCGTGATAACAACCATTGCGGCTTTGGACTGGGTGTGCTTTTCAGTTGCAACTGTCAATCGAGTGTGATTTTAGGGGTTCTGTGGAGGGACTGCTGGCCTCCTAAAGGCAGGCAGTATGATGCTGTGGAAAGAGCACTGAACTTGGAGTCAGAAGACCAGGATCCATCAGCAGCGGGCTGAGTGCCACTGCACCAGTGTTCCGGCTCCACCAGCTTCAGTGTCTTTATGTGCCTAACAGGGATAATGTACCTGCCTCTCCACTTGAAGGGTTACTGAAAGGATCAGATAGAACAGGAAGTGTCCATACGCTCACTCTCTCTGTAAATTCTAAACTGCCGTATTTGGGGAAATACCAGGCTCTCCTCTGAGGACACCGCCTGCCCCGGAGTCCTCTCCTGTGGTGGCTGACTTCTCTCTCTCATCCCTTAGACCAGGGTGGGAGCTGATGTTCTTTTTGCTCCTCGTAGATGCAGACTTTTCTTTCTTTCATAAAACCCCCAACTTTGACTGTGTTGTAAGATTATTCCACCCACTGCCCCTTCTTGTTACAGTCTGTTCCTGTGCCCGCCCCATGCCCTCAGCACACTCACACTCCCTATTCCTTAACGATTCCAGCTTCTGCTTCACTGCCACTCTAACAGTGTCACAACACTAACCCGATCATACTCACACAGATGACCCTGTCAGCAACCTGGCCTCTCAGGCCCTGACCCTCCTCCCTTCCAGCGCCCTTCTCCATCCCCTCTGCCACTCACTGCCATGGCTCTTCCTTTGATGGAATTAACAATAACTGCAAATCTCATCACAATCCTAATCTCATATATCCCACACTGACTGTTGTCTCTTCTCCTTCTGGTTCTCTGCCTCTGCTAACCCAATTCCAAGCAGCCTTCAGCCTCACCAGGGTGTATAATACATTGATCCCGCCTGCTTTTCACTATCCCCCAACTCCATGTCCTCTCTTCCCACCACATCCAGTTGTTAGACTCAGTCCCTTGCACACACTCTCAGCTTCTGCATCCCTCTTTCCCTTGGCCATACCGGCCTGGTGAAACCACAACCTTGTTAAATCCAACTTCTACCCACTCCCCGTCCCCCGCAGCGACTCACAGCAGGGAGGAAAGCACACCATGCTAACGGGTCTGAGCCTGACCTGATGATCACTCACACCAGACGGACCTTTAATGCTGCCCTCCAGTGCTATTTCCTGAGCGCATTCACTCTTTCACCCTCCTAAATGATTACTTCATCGTTTCTCCTCTACCCTCAAACTGTCAATATCTTCTCCACCATTCTCGCTTTCAGTGGAGGGCTTAGATGACGGCTTCATCGAGAAAATGGAAGCCATCAGAAAGGTATTTAAAGTCCTGTCCTGGAATCCACCCACCCCCTGCATCTGTGTATACACAGTCCCCCTTCCTTCTACCAAGGTCAATCCCTCCATGTATGCACCAGCCCCCACCCCCTCTTGCCATCACTATGCTAGTATTTCTTCCATTAAAAAGAAAAAAAGAAAGACCTTCTTGACCTCATTTCCTCTTCTAGTTACCGCCCCCATTTCTCTCTTTCCCTTAATCAAAACTCCTTGAAAGAGATGTCTGGACTTGCTGTCTACAACTGCTTTCCTCCCTTTCTCTCTTTGAACACACTCCAATGAGGCTTTGCCCCCTCTCTGTACTGAAACCGCTCTTCCAAAGTTAATGTCGTCCCCGTTTCTTTTTCAACAAATCAATTAATGCAGAGACTTCCACATTATTGAATCCCACAGCCATTTCTCAGTTATCATCTGGCCTCATCTTTCAGCAGGTCAAGTGTGCTTTCGACATAGTTGACCCTCTCTCTACTTGGCTTTCGGGACAGCACACTCACCTGGTTTTCCTCCCATCTTTCCGGCCGCTACTTTGCAGTCTCTTTTACTGGCTCTTCCACTCATCTCCTTGGTCTTTTTTTTTTTTTTTTAGATGGGGTCTCGCTTTGTCGCCCCGACTGGAGTACAGTGGCGCGATCTCAGCTCACTGTAACCGCCACCTCCTAGGTTCGAGCGATTCTCCTGCCTCAGCCTCCCGAGTAGCTGGGATTACAGATGGGCACCACCACGCCCGGCTAATTTTTGTATTCTTAGTAGAGAAGGGGTTTCACCATGTTGGCTAGGCTGGTCTCGAACTCCTGACCTCAGGTGATCTGCTCACCTTGGCCTCCCAACTGCTGGGATTACAGGCTTGAGCCAATGTTTCCAGCCTCCTCAGTCTTTAGATGCTGAGATTCCCTAGTTTACCTGCAAAGCCTTGGTCTGGTCAAGAAAGGAATAGAATGCCAAGGGAAATGCTAGTTTGAGCTCCTTTAGGCGGCTTCATGGGCCTTCCCATTGTATCCTTATCCCCTGGATCCAAGGGAGCCAGTGCACTCACCAAACCAAAACCCTTTCTTCATTGGCTTTTGGGTGTGACCTGGGATGAAGGAGAGGTGGGCACTAGGGGCAGGGAGTAAAACCGACCAAGGGCAAGTGGCGCCTGCCACTGTCAGAATCAGGGTTGAAGCCGAGAGCTGGGAAGATGACTGCCAATCGTCAGTTTCTGCATCCTCCACAGAACAACCTTCCCAGGGGGTCACATGTCACTGATTGAGTAATAGAGTCCAAAAGAACATGAGAAAATGGGAGAGGCAGATGGGTCTTTGTGAATTTTTTTTTTTCCCAAAACCAAGATGTTAAACTTTGGCCCACTAAGAAATGGGGTATGAAGAGGGACTTGACTGCCATGAAGGGGGAGAAAGAAGAGTTCATCTTATTTGCTGTTTTTCCTTTCTGCTTTTTTTTTTTTTTTTTTTTTTTTTTTTCCCAGTAAGGGCACCAGATAGGCTTCCCATTTGAGGACTGATAAGAATTTGCCTTGGGACACTGAAAAAAAATAACTTTTCAGTGTCACAGGGGAAAATGTATTCTTCCTAGGAAATGGAAAAGGCGTTACTCAGAGTGAGGACACAGGGAGCTACGACTCCCACGCGGGCCTGCACTGCCAGATCCAACAGTGATGGGCAGCCTCCCACCCCTGGGACAGCCTTCTTCTTCCAGGCTGGCTTTGGCCTGACTCACAGATCCAAAAGCCCCTACCTCCACTCGGCAAACAATGCCAGAACAACATCTGCTACCCCTAACCTACTTCCCAAAAGAAATGATTAAAAAGTTAAAGAAACACTTCCATATGGAAGAATCCAATCCCAACAGGTCACCACAAAGATACTTCAAACACAATAAAACAGGAAGAGCTAAAAAAAGCAGAGAAGTTCACAGAACCCACACAATCTTTTATATAAGAAAAAAAAAAGCGACTCTGGTAACTTTACACAGTTCAGAACACCATTTGGCAGTTAAGTATGTCCTTAATCTGCTGAATTTGCTTATTATAGTAAAGGTTTAGAAGAATTTGAGAGCGGTGGCCAAAAATACTGCAATAATCTCTACTCCTAAAGTAAACTTACAAAGTGAATTAACTTCTTCAACTGAAATATTTCAAAGTTGAAAGTGTTTGTCCCCTACCGCCCCCGCCAGAGACTGGCCACAGGGATGACACAGTCACTTAAAATCAGAACCACTTGAGTGGATTTATGGTTATTCATCCAACAAATATTTATGGGGCACCTAACATAACATAAGCCGGGCCCAGGGTTAGTCACTGAGATACAACATTAAGCGTGACATTCGACCTAACTTTGAGTTGCTCACAACACAGAAGGGACGCTGCAGTTCCTAAGTCAGAACCCAGACTAACAATACCCTAGAGCTGTGGGGTACTGGATGAAGCGCTTTACCTCACCGAGCCTTGGTTTCCTCAACTATAAAATGGGATAGAACTATCTTCCTTGCAGGACTGGTGGAAATATTCACAGGCACACCACAAATTCTCCATAACAAGGAGGCTTTCTCTGTCTCTAACACCTTGTGAAATGCTGAAAGGTTTCAGCCAAGAACCTAGTGGACACTTTAAGGCTAGAGGAGAGGGAGTAGATCAGAAACGACCTTTAAGGGGTGAGCGCAAAAAGAAAAAGGAAAAAAAAACAATAAAAACAATCCCACCAACATTCAGTTTAGGTGTACTAGAAACTGTAATTTTCTTCGGAGAGTAACAGACGCAGAGGCTGTTCACATGGAATTTGGCAAATCAAAGGCGAGGGAAGCCTGGCAGGATCTTGGCAGGAGGATCCCTGGGAGCATTTTGTTGCTCCAAGAGGAAGACCTGGGGCCGAGGGCTGTGGGCAAAGCCAAGCGTCTCCTCCTAGAGGCTGCAAGCTGACTTCTTTGGCCACCTCTCTTGGGCCTTAAATTGCTTCCTGAGGTGAGGCCCCCAGCTAATGGTTTATTTACAACGGAAGCAGCACTGACCTGGGAGAACACTGAATCACAGACCCCACATTAGCCAGGAACACCAGTGCTCTCCACCAATAACTTCCCAAGATACGTGAACCTGCAACTGCCTCTATTTACAGACACTGACATGGCTCACGTCCCTGTTCCACTCGGGTGAGGCGATTTAAATAAAGTATAAAAAAGGGAGCCTGGGCAGAAATATCAGGCTTGGAGTTCAGAAAGGATAAAGTTTGTTGTTGTTTTTTTTTGAGATGGAGTCTTGCTCTGTCACCCAGGCTGGAGTGCAATGAGGCAATCTTGGCTCACTGCAACCTCCACCTCCCAGGTTCAAGTGATTCTCCTGCCTCAGCCTCCTGAGTAGCTGGGATTACAGGCACGTGCCACCAAGCCTGGCTAATTTTTGTATTTTTAGTAGAGACAGGGTTTCACCATGTTGGCCAGGCTGGTCTCAAACTCCTGACCTCAAGTGATCTGCCCGCCTTGGCCTCCCAAAGTGCTGGGATTACAGGTGTGAGCCACCACGCCTGGCCAGAAAGGATAAAGTTCTGCTGCTGCCTTTTCTGTGTAACCTTGGGCAAGACTTTTCCTCTCTGGGCAAAATGACATGACACATTCATGCCCCCAAATCTAGCTTTCCCCAAACAAAGTTGTCAGTAACATTAAGACAAACAAACAAAAAATGGATACAGCACCCCTGTGGATGAATGAAATGAAGCCCCAGTACAAAGTACAAAGGATTGTGACTGCGGGGAAGCCAGGCTTGGCATGAACACAGTGCACCTTCCAAACTAGAAAGCCTGTTATGTGAAAACTGGCAAGGCTGCTGCCAGCGTAGCTGGGCTAGAGGTGGGCATAGGTGGGTAAGGTTTCTAGAAAGACCCACAGAGAACAGGAAGAAAGCTTGAAGCTCTCCGTGGGAGGACGCTGACAAAGACCAGGGGAAAGAAGCCTAAGAGAATGCAGGCTGTCTGTTCCGATATTTAATATCCAAGAACTAAAGGCAGAAGAGGTGCAAAAAGCTTAATAGTATTTGTAGTTCAAATTAAAGTGTTCAAAGCCCCGTTATAGAGCAGGGTAATGTATGCAATGACATCTGGGACTGTAATCAGCAAAGTGCTTTCAAGAGCTGCCAAAGCAAACAGCCAAATAACAAATCCACTTTACAGATCATCAATCCGGTCCTGGACTTGCCAAGGTAAATAGTAAAAGGCTGAAGTTTGCTTTGCAAACCAGGGAGCTGGGAGTTTAGCGAGGCCTTGATCCAGAGCAGCACCACTGGGCCAGGGCCTCTGGAGCTGGAGGCGCGAAAGGAAAGCCGACACGCCCTGTATCTGAAAAGTATGGAAAGGGGGCTGGGAGCGAGGGCTCCCCGAGGTGGGGGGCTGGCAGCCCCTTGGGGTGAGGTCTAAAGACAGCTGTCAATCTGGCAGGCAGCCACAGCTGCTAGGCTGGGCGGTACCCTCTCAGGTGCCCACTCTCCAGCTCAGACTCTGGTGCTTTGCGTTTTTGGCCAGATTGGAGTTTATAGATTTCTGAGAAGAAAATACAACCAGAAGCTGCTTTTTCTCCCTTGCTTCCAGTTTCTATGAAAGGCAATTAACTCTCAAAGCCAGAAAGGCAATTCTTTTTTTCTGATTTTTTCTAGAGATGGGGTCTTGCTTTGTTGCCCAGGCTGGTCTTGAACTTCTGGCCTCTAGCGATCCTCCTGCCTCAGCCTCCCATAGTGCTAGGATGAGCCATTGCACCTGGCCCAGAAGAGCATTTCTCAGAGAAGTCAGTCAGCACCCAGAGGAGAAGGCACAGTCCTAGGGAGTGGATGCTCTCCTGCAAAACCTGACTCACAGGGACCCTGACTCCCCGGAGCTCTGAGCTGAGGCAGCTGTAGAAGAGCAGTGGCCAAAGGGCATCTTGGCGTCATTGCTGAGAGTCTTACAACTGGAAAAAAGGCCCAGACCCTTTGATGAGACCCAACAGGCAGAAAATAGTAGTTCTGAGTCAGAGGGGAAGAAGTGCTCCTGCAACATTAGGGACCTTGACTATAGACACATTGCGAGTGTGCCCTGGAAAGGACGATTCAGCATGTTAGGCCAGAGGGGAAAGTCCCCCTCCTAGCCCTGGGAAGGAATCGCTGCTGTGAACGTACAGAGCACACACAAGGCCTGCGGACTTTAGTGGAAGCAGACTTGCCTAAAGGGCAAGGGAACCTAAGGGAAGTTTGCTGAGTCAACTTGGTGAGAAAAAGAAATGGGCTGAAAATGACACCAGGCTGAAAGCTGGGGCAGTGATGTGCCTGAGGAAGAACTCCGGTCTGTTCTGGGTGCCCCTGGGATGACCACAGTGGCCAGGTAACTGAGGTCCTGTGCTCAGGTTCAGGACCTCAGTCAGGTTCAGTCCTCAGGCAGGTTCAGGCTCTCCCCATCCACAGACCAACTTCTGCGAAGGCCAGGTGCAGTAAAGGTCTCTCAGCCTTAGCTACTGGGCCAAGGCCCATCAGTGGGTCAAGCATTTACTGGGCACTAATAAATACCGGTTGCTGTTACAGTGAGCTGTTCCTGTGACACTTAGGTTTCCCAAAAATACAATTCAACATTTGTCGTGGCTCCTTTGCCCTCTTAGGATCTATTATGTGTAAGACATTGGCTCAATGACTGGATACATCGTTTTCTTGGTGTTTTTTTTTTTTTTTTTTTTTTTTTGAGATGGAGTTTTGCTGTTGTTGCATAGGCTGGAGTGCAATGGTGCGATCTCAGCTCACCGCAACCTCCACCTCCCAGGTTCAAGCGATTATCCTGCCTCAGCCTCCTGAGTAGCTGGGAATACGGGCAGGGCCACCACGCCCAGCTAATTTTGTATTTTCAGTAGAGACCAGGTTTCTCCACGTTGGTCAGGCTGGTCTTGAACTCCTGACTCAGGTGATTCGTCTGTCTTGGCCCCCCAAAGTGCTGGGATTACAGGCGTGAGCCACCGCGCCCGGCCCATTATTCTTACAACATAACTCTGCAACATAGGTTTTATCATCCTATCTTATAGATGAGAGAATTGAAACTCAGAGAAGTTACATAACTTGCCCAAGGTCATCCAGCTCACCCTTGTCTCCTACGTGCTTTTTCCATGACTTCTAAGGAAGTAACTATTGATCCCCATATCCTCCCTCTCTCATCTGTGTTCAAGGGAGATGGCTTTGACATGAGCTCAGAAGCTCTTTGTTGATACTTCTACTGTATCATGATCATCTGTCTACATATCTGTCTCCCTTGCTAGGCTGTGAAGACCTGCAGGGCTGAGATTGTGTCTGATTACCTTTCTGAGTCTCTAGGGCTCTCTTAGGGACTCATCAAATTATATGTTGAATTAATATCTGAATGAATGAATGAATGAATATATGAATGCTGACTCATCTCTCAATCAGGGAAGCAAATGACCAGAAAGGTTCAAGAACTTGGCAGGGTACCATGGCTCATGCCTGTAATCCCAGCACTTTGGGAGGCCGAGATGGGCGGATCACTTGAGGTAAGGAGTTTGAGACCGGCTTGGCCAACATGGTGAAACCCCATTTTACTGAAAATATAAAAATGAGCTGGGTGTGGTAGTGTGCCCCTGTAATCCCAGCTACTCGGGAGGCTGAGGCAGGAGAATCGCTTGAACCTGGGAGGCAGAGGTTGCAGTGAGCCGAGATCGCACCACTGCACTCCAGCCTAGGCGACAGAGCGAGACTCTGTCTCAAAAAAAAAAAAAGAAAAAAAAAGAAAGTTTCAAGAACTTGATAAAGCTCTAGTGCTAGTTTAGTGGGCAAGAAAGGGGCTGTTGGGCTCAGGAAGGCAGTGAGCGCTGGCAGACATTGCGTGGTTTGCACGGGATTGGCAAGGGTCGGGGGCGCCACAATGTGAGTGGACAGGAGGGTGAGCTATTGGTGATGCTGAGACAGAGGCCTGCCTGCCTCACAGGACGTCTCCACTTTGTCCTAGGCCTGGCTTGAGGTCATAGACAGCTATTGTCTGGTAAGAACTGGTGCCCTCTGAAGATTACAGGCAGAGATCAGCTGCTGGGCACAAACCCCTCTGAAGATGGAGCTTTTCCAAGACCGACAACCACCGCAGAAGTGGCTGGCAAGGTCTGAGGGACCAGCTGCTCCCTGTGCATAACTGCACTTGCTCCTCTCACCAGACTTTGTTTCTCTGATCACACAGGTGTCCTCTCTGACCCACCTGCCAATAAAGGTCCAGAAATAGGTGTGAGTGGGGTCCAGGGAGAAAGCACCTTGCTGGGGTCTATGAGAAAGGGCTTGTGGAACCTCCAGGCTGCAGCAGTGTAGGTTTAGGGAGGGCAGTATTCTAGAAAGGTTACTGAACTCAGAGTCAGGAAGCCAGAATATAGTCCCCGCTCTGCCCTAGACTTGTAATATGACTTCTCTGAGCCTTAGCTGCCTCCTTTTTAAGATGGGGATAGGCCGGGTGCCATGGCTCACGCCTATAATCCCAGCACTTTGGGAGGCCAAGGCGGGCAGATCACCTGAGGTCAGGAGTTTGAGACCAGCCTGGCTAACATGGTGAAACCCCGTCTCTCCTAAAAATACAAAAATTAGCCAGGCGTGGTGGCAGACGCCTATAATCCCAGCTATTCAGGAAGCTGAGGCAGGAGAATGGCTTGAACCTGGGAGGTGGAGGCTGCTATGAGCCGAGATCATGCCATTGCACTCCAGCCTGGGTGACAGAGCAAGACTCTATCTCAAAAAATAAAAAAAAATAATAATAAAAGATGGGGATAATAATTCCTATGTCACAGGGTAGTATAGAGATTAGCAGAGGCAATCAGTTGGAAAGAACTCTGTAAAACTGCAACAGTCTCTTTAGGAGATTCTTTTCTTGCTGTCAAATTGTTTCCCTCCTTTCAATATGGAGCCATAAGCCCTACCAACCAGTGAAGTGTTTGCCCCTCACAAACATGGCAAGCAGGGGCTCCCATGGTGAAGGAAGCTGACCTCTCGGATGGTGGAGGGAGGGGAGGGGACGCTGTAGTCAGAGCAGGATGTTCAGGGCCTGGATGACTAGGTGTCTGAGCGCTGGGCATACCTTAAGCCTGCTGTCCTAGTAAGACTGTTTTAGGTGGGTCACCAGGCAGTATCTGTTCTAAGAATGCCTTCTTCTCATGTCCCCGAAACATAGAAGAGAAGCCATCCAGGTGTCTCTCTGCAGAGCCTTTCCAGAGAGAGGAGCCCGTGGCCCAGCTCCAGAGCCCGGCGGGCTGGGTGGCAACTCTCTGCACTTGTCTGAGGCAGCCTCGCCCTGCTCATGGGAGGTCGAGACCCACATGCCAAACCAGACACGCATATGGAGAAGATTAGCCCAAACATGCAAAAGAGACAGACCAGCACAGGATGAAACAGGGAAAAAGGCCGGTTTGGTACAAACCCCAAAAAAGCATACCACTCGAGCCCATCATGGGCTCAGTTATGGGCAGATAAAGCTCTTGCCAGCCCTGGTGATGGGCTGAGGATTCAGGCAGGTCATCACCTCAGGCCAACAATCACACCTGCCACGTGCTGAGTACACACTGAGAAGCCACGCTCGACTGGAGTGACACAAATTTGTTCTGTGTTCATGAGTTCTCGTCACAAGAATTCTCCTTTCACTTTCCCACACTGCTAGGAGTGGGATGTAGGAAGGATTATATTATTTGAACCTTTTTCTTTTTTTCCTTCCATTTAAAAGAAATTAAAAATAAAAACTTAAAAATAGAGATGGGGTCTCACCCTGTTGTCCAGGGGGGTCTTGAACTCCTATGCTCAAGTGATCCTCCCACTTCAGCCTCCCAAAGTGCTGAGATTACAGGCATGAGCCACTGTGCCTGGCCTGGACCTTTTCCTTGAGGCTAAAGTTTTGAACTAGTTCTGGGCTTGAACCTGGTGACCTCCTCCTGTGCCAAATAAAGCGACAGGGGCATCTGGCTGCTTGCCAACCCTCTCCCCACTCCCAAAGAAATTTTGGAAGCTCCAGTGATCATATCCTGTCAGAAACAGATCCAGAGAACAGAACGTCCCAGAATGAAACAAGGCAAAGCACTTGTCACATGCTTTGTGAAAGGAAAAACTCTGAAGATCAGCAGGAACCTTTGGCAACTGTCCAGCCAAAAAGCCCCCCTCCCACTCTAGCCCCCATCTTCTCCATCCCCTACCCCTGTGTGCTGAGGCTTCTAGGGCTGCTACTGTTTCATCTGTTTCATGTGTATTTCTCTGACCTTTCTGGGAAAATTGGAAGCTCCCAGAACGCAGGACATGGTCTTATATGCTTTTCTCACCCCTACGGAAAGCACCTATAGTAGTTTTCAACAAGGAGTTGCATTTGTTCAACAGCTCCCCTGGCACTGTGCTAGTGCACACTCACCGCCCAGAGAGGCCCTTTGGGAGGTGGTTTCACCTGACCTAGTAGAGAGATGGCAGAACTGTCACACAATGACAATGATTACAGGATGTCAACGCTGGCAGAGACCATTCACCACCATTGGCTGATTCTGCAAATGAGGAAACTGAAGCCCAGGGAAAGAAAGTTACTTGTTCCCAGTCATGCTATGGAGTACAGTGATAGTGCTGGGATTAGAACTCGGGTCTCCTCATTCCCTGGCCATTGCTGCCGGAGTCCTCTGTGCACTTCAGGTGTCCCCTGTGTGCTCACTGGTGTGTGTTTCTGAGGAATAGCCAGATGGGCAGGGGGACTCCTGGGGGCCTGTGGCTGTGGAGGTCTGAGAAGCTATGGAGTCTATAGCGTGGGAATGTGAGTCTCAGCTTCATCATGGACTTAGTCCACTGGCCGCAGAGGCACATGCTGACCTCTTTCATAAAACCTTCCACTGAGAAGAATGTCCTGCTGCCCAGGGAATGAAGGCCTGCATTTGGGGGCCCAGGCCAATTCAAAGTGAACACTTGGGAAAGTGAGAAACTACTGGCTGGGCATGGTGGCTCATGCCTGTAATCCCAGTGCTTTGGGAGGCTGAGGCCAGAGGATCACTTAAGGCCAGGAGTTTGAGGCTGCAGTGAGCCGTGATTGCGCCACTGTACTACTCCAGCCTGGGTGACAGAGCAAGACCAGGTCTCAAGAGAGAAAGAAAGGAAGGGAGGGAGGGAGGGAGGGAGGGGAGAGAAGAGGTGGAGAGAAAAGGGAAGGGAAGGAAGGTAGGAAGAAACGAAGAAATAAAAAACCTACTCTTAGCCCTTCTCTCAGCCTATGAAAAGAACTAGAAATTTCAGAGACCATCTTCAGTGAATTGAAGGCTTTTCAACTCAGAAGAGACCTCCGGGCATCTAGACTAAATTCTGTACTGCAACATTGGTTTACTTGGCAATTTCTCCCCCTCAACAATAAGTTCTGTTAGGGCAGGGACGGTGTCTTCTTCATTTTTATATTTCTAGCGCCTAACAGTGTCTGCTAAAAGGAAATTCTCACTAAATGCTCGTTAAACAGCCACTCTGAACTTCATAATCAGGGACAGCTGCTCGAAGACTGAGCAGGTAAGCGGCGTCTTGCGGTCTTCATGGATAAGTGCAGCAAAGCCCTGCAGGTAAGCTTGGAGGAGGTGAGCGCCGAGGACGAACGTAGGATGGAACCCCTTTTCCTCCTCCTCACCCTCACCCGGAGCTATTCCATAGTCAGTCACCATTCCTGCCCTCTCACTTCTGTTCTCTTCAAAAGTCTTTACTATTATTTCTGATTAGAAAAATAACAACATAGGCCGGGCATGGTGGCTCACGCCTGTAATCCCAGCACTTTGGGAGGCCGAGGCCGGTGGATCACAAGATCAGGAGATCGAGACCATCCTGGCTAACACGGTGAAACCCCGTCTCTACTAAAAAATACAAAAAATTAGCCGGGCGTGGTGGCGGGCGCCTGTAGTCCCAGTTACTTGGGGGGCTGAGGCAGGAGAATGGCGTGAACTCGGGAGGCGGAGCTTGCAGTGAGCCGAGATCGCGCCACTGCACTCCGGCCTGGGCGACAGAGCGAGACTCCGTCTCAAAAAAAAAAAAAAATAATAATAATAATAATAACATGGCCTGGATGTTTGTGTCCTCCCAAAGTTTATATTAACCCTAACCCCTGATGTTTTGGTATTTGGCGGTGGGGCACATTTGGTCACAAGGGTGGAGTACTCATGATAGGATCGGTGCCCTTAGAAAAAGAGCCTGCTTTGGCCAGGCGCCTGTAATCCCAGCACTTTGGGAGGCCGAGGCGGGCTGATCACCTGAGGTCAGGAGTTCAAGACCAGCCTGGCCAACATGGTGAAACCCCATCTCTACTAAAAATACAAAAAACTAGCCGGGCGTGGTGGTGGGCACCTGTAGTCCCAGCTATTCGGGAGGCTGAGGCAGGAGAATTGCTTGAACCCAGGAGGCGGAGGTTGCGGTGAGCTGAGATTGCACCACTGCACTCCAGCCTGGGCGACAGAGCAAGACTCCGTCTCAAAAAAAAAAAAAAAAAAAAAAGAGCCTGCGTCTTCATGCTCTGCCATGTGAAGGCACAGAAAGACGATGGCTACCTGTAAACCAGGGAGTGGGTCCTCAGCACACACCAGATGTGCTGGCATTTTGTTTTTGTTGTCTTGTTTTTTGAGACAGGATCTCACTCTGTCATCCAGGCTGGAGTGCAGCAGCACAATCAGGGCTCACTGCAGCCTTGACCACCCCTGGCTCAGGTGATCCTCCCACTTCAGCCTCCTGAGTAGCTGGGACTACAGGCGCACACCACCACACCTGGCTAATTTTATATTTTTTGTAGAGACGGAGTTTCGCCATGTTGCCAGGCTGGTCTTGAACTCCTGGGCTCAAGTGATCCGCCAGCCTCGGCCTCACAAAGCGTTGGGATTACAGGTGTGAGCCACTGTGCCCAGGCTTGCTGGCACTTTGATCTTGGACTTTGGCTTCCAGAACTGTGAGAAATAAACTTCCTGTTGTTTAAGCCACCTAGTCTATGGTATTCTGTTATAGCAGTCTGAATTAACTGACAATGGTAATTGTAAACTATTTTAACTATATAAAACCACAAAACAGAGTGAGAATTCCCTGTTTGTTTTTGTTGTTTACTTCCCCAGAGACAAGCACTGTTAATGGAGCTTTATGCTTCTACTAGTTTTTTCTTTCTCTATAGGATCATATTATACACATTGTTTTTCACCTGCTTTTTTAAAACTTAAAAATGTTATTAAGGTTTTTTTTTTAAAGCTATAGGTTATTCCACGATATGTGCATACTAAAATTTATTGTTACTCTCTCTGCAGACCAATAATTAAATTATTTCATTTTTTTTCCTTTGCCGTTACAACAGTGCTTTTGTCTATACCTTAATAATTTTACCTATATTTTTGTGGAATAAATTCCTAGAAAATAAATTGCTGGGTGAAAAAGAATAAACTATTAATGTATAATGGTTACTACCAAACTGCCTTCCAAAAAGGGTGCACCAATTTACACCAACAGTGTCTGATCAACCATTGCAAACCTTAAAGTCACACCTACCACTAAGTTCCTTGAACTGGATGTCACCTTTGTGTTATTCAGTCAGATCTTGGGCAGGGCGCAGTGGCTCATGCCTGTAATTCCACCACTTTGGGAGGCTGAGGCAGCTGGACCACTTGAGGCCAGAAGTTCGAGACCTGCCTGGCCAACATGGTGAAACCCCATCTCTACCAAAAATACAAAAATTAGTGGGGTTTGGTGGTACATGCCTGTAATCCCAGCTACTCGGGAGGCTGAGGCAGGAGAATGTCTTGAACCCGGGAGGCGGAGGTTGCAGTAAGCCAAGACTGTGACACTACACTACTCTCCAGCCTGGGTGACAGAGTGAGACTCTGTCTAAAAAAAAAAAAATTTTGCTTCATTTTCTATTTGCTCCCTCATCTCCACATACTTGCCTGTTATCTAACCCTCAATATAGTCTCATTACAATTCTATGATGTCATAAACATTTACATTTATTATATTAACTTGTAAATGTCTCCTTGACTCTGTAGTCCAATTGCCTCTAAAATTGATTTTTTAAACGTTTGTTTATTTTTATTTTTATTTTATTTTATTTTTGAGACGGAGTTTCACTCTGTTGCCAGGCTGAAGTGCAATGGTGCAATCTTGGCTCACTGCAACCTCTACCTCCTGAGTTCAAGTGATCTCCTGCCTCAGCCTCCCTAGTAGCTGGGACTACAGGCGCCCGCCACCACACCCAGCTAATTTTTGTATTTTTAGTAGAGATGAGGTTTCACCATGTTGGCCAGGTGGTCTCAATCTCTTGACCTCATGATCTGCCTACCTCGGCCTCCCAAAGTGCTGGGATTACAGGTGTGAGCCACCGCGCCCGGCCTGTTTTGTTTTTTAATTAAAAATTTTATTGCCCTTTTATATTTCCTTTAAAAATATTTTTCCTTCTACTATTTGTTATTTCTTTTTTCTTTTCTTCCTCTAACAACAAATACAAATAGATTTTGAGTTGCCTAAAGGGAGAGATGGTGTCCAATCCATCTTTTTATCACCTCCCATTCTTCTCTCCCCATTCTTTCCTAAGGAAACCCCTAGACCAAACACCTCTTCTGTGCTGAAGACCCATAGATCTGACTGTAGATTTAACATCTTCAAATCCACTGGAAATGTAATGTATCCAAGCCTCCTCCTCCATGTGACTAGGAGCTCTTAGTGAATGACATCAAATGAGTGAAGTAAGCCAGAAAACTGGGGAGCATCCTTAACATCTCTTCCTCTCCACCCACCCATGTCCACTCCGTAACAAAGCCCTGTGGAATCTACCTCCTAAATAACACTCATTACTGTCCACTTCTATTTGCTACTGGGCCAGCCTAATCCATTCCATCATGTTCTACTCGACTTCTCTAACAGTCTCCTGTCTTCCACAGTAAGGTCAGAGTGATCTTTTCAAAACTCACCCTCTGCTGAAAACATGCTTCTCATTTAGGATAAAACTAAAGTCCACATGAGCAGCAAGACCCCACAGTCACCCCAGGCTATTGTCCCGCTTAGGTGCTGAGCTCCAGCCACCCAGGCCCTCTTTCAACTCCTTAAGCATTTCTTTTTCCTCTTCCCCTCTTACTCCCTTTGCTGATTTATCTCACCCATTAGAGCCAAGCTTAAATGGGACCTCCTTAGGGAAACTCTCCCTGCATACCCTTTTCAGATGCTCTCATACCACATGGAATTTTTCCTTCATTATACTTCACACAATTTGTAATTATGTTAATTTGTGAGATTATCTGATTAATGTCTTTTCCCCTCCTAGACCACAAACTTCACAAGCTCCACTGTGTCCGGGCAGTGCGCATTTAATAGCACACACAGTTAGCATTTATAGAGATTTGATGGATGCCAAACAAATGAATGGTGGGTGCTTAGTAATGTATGACAACACGATTTTTCACTCTGTTCTCTGCCGAGGCTTCCCTGCAGTATATATTAGCCAGATTTAATCTGGATACAGATACAGTGAGTCTCTAGTGAGAGAAACATTCAGCATGACTGGGTCCCAGATGACTGTCCCCAGGGACCACCCTATCCTGTTTATCTTGCCACCAAGACCAGGAAAAATGGAGACACTCATTTCAAAAACACCTCCCTAAAAAAGCCCCTGCTTTGTGGAGTTGGCCCATCTCTCTCCTGCTGGTCATCATCAGGCCTGTTACTCCTGGAAGCCAGCCAGTTATTCTTTGAAAACGGGGCCCTGTCACTTTAAGATTTTAGTCCCTTGCTTGGGCCATATATCAATGCTCCCTGCGGCAGTGGCTGTGCTGCCTGCTGTTCAAATTTGTCCAATTAGACACAGCCCCATGGGGTGGAATTCAGTGTGAAATGTGCCTGCCACTGACCAAGAATGAATTGGTATGGAAAGCCCTCAGGGAGAGCCAGTGCAGGTCTTCCCAGGAAAGGCTCACCACCCTCCAGGCAGTGCCCATATCCCTGGAGCAGAGGGTCACCCTGCAAGCCCTGTGAGCCCTAATAACTGTTCAGGGCAGGGTGGGGAGAGGCCACGCCGAGTATGTGCAGGACAGGATGGAGGTTGAGAATCAGGCCCCACAGATATGAAAAGGTCAGGGCGCTATTTGTACGGTTGTTAGTTACTTGCAATGGTCTCTATCAGCCACACAAGTGCGATTCTGTCACTTCATAATGTAAGTTAAATGCTAACTGTGTAACAGCCTGTGGTCCTGTTGTGGTCCACAGAGACACAGAGTCAAACATTCAAAAAATTCCCATCAGCAACTCATTTGGCAGTGGAGGGAGCGGGGTTTTAAAGCCCAGGCTAACTGTGCATGGTGGGATGGCCTCTAGTGGAAATGGTTTTAAGAGAAGAATTTTCAGTGTCTCTAACAAAAACATCTCCTTTGCAAGAACTCTCTAACTTAATTTTTAAACTGTTTCCTCTTTCTCCTCTAGCAGCTCAAACTTTTCTTCTAAAACTCTTAGAAGTCTTCGAAGGTTAGACTTTTGAACATGGAGAAATTTCAGAGATCACACAGTCTACATCTTCTTTTTTGTTTCTTCTTTTTTTTTTTTTTTCATAGAGATGAGGTCTCACTAGGTTGCCCAGGCTGGTCTTGAACTCCTGAGCTCAACTGATCCTCCCGCCTTCTGAGATTATAGAAGTGAGCTACCGTGCCTGGCTGGATACCATTTTATAAACAAGGCAAATGAGATGAGGGAGAGGAAATGACTCAGCCAAGGTCAAACAGCTAGTGGCTGGCAGGGCTGGACGCCAGGCTGCTGACCCCAGGCCCAGCCCTTACTTTACTGTCATTCAGTGCTGCCTTCCTTTTGGAGGCGATTTCAGTTTGATTTTTTAACACACAGCCAACCCGGGGTCAGGATATATATAGATATACCATAGTCAGGATATACTAGAACTGGGATTAAACGCACACAAATATTACATGTACATATATTAATACTACCACACATACTCGGGGCAGCCTCTCCCTGCCCTGCCCTGACAGTGATCAGCCTTGCAGGGGTCAAATGGGTGAATCTCTGCCTTAGTCTAATCCTAGTTCTAGTATCCTCTGTGTGATCACCTCACATATTAGCTCTAGGCTTCAGTTTCATCAATGTGTATGATAAAGGAGGTAGGGTCTCTCCCGCCTCTAATTCACTCACTGATTGAAACATTTCTCGAGTGCTTAGCATATGTCTGGCACTGGGGATACAGAGAATCAGAAGGATGGGGTCCCTGCCTCTGGAGGAGTTTGCAGCCTGATGGGAAGAGTCCCAGTATGTCCCATGTGCTAAGTGATCTAGCAGAGGGTTACAAGAGCACACTGAGAACACAGAGGAAGGCGGCTCCAGCCAAAGAAGTGTGAGGATTCCAGCTGGAAATCCCCAAACATCTCACAGACACTAACAGTTCTTACCTCGTCTCCCGCCCAACCTTTGACAATGAGCTATCATTTTCCTCCAGGAAGAATGTGCAAACAAGAAGGGAAGAAGCGTCTGGGAAAGACGAGAAACACGGAGCCAAGGAACCCACACAGGGGCCAGGGGGCCATGGATAAGCCAGGGCTGCCTGCTTCTGCTGGATCACTTACCAGCAGCTGAGCACCGCAGCAGGCCACTGACCTCCTGGGGACTAGGCACCACGGTGATGAATGGTCCCTGAATCCTTGGAGGGAAGTGGCCTATTAAGGAAACAGAGGCTCAACTTTTGACAGAGATGCCATATGGAGGAAGGAACTGGAGACCCTTGGTCACCAATTTCTCCCCAAATTCACCAACCCCCTCCACACTCCCGAGTTTATAATTTTGAGAACAGCTAAGATATTTCTCAAAGCATTTTTACATTATCAACAACTTTTCTCTTCCATATCAATCCTCCCAGGTAGGAGAAATTAGCTTCAGTTCACAGAGTAGAAAACCAAATCCTAAGTCCGTTCAGGGCCACTCCTGTGATTATACAGCTTACCAGGGAGGGTCAAAGCTGAGACTAGAACCCGGGGCTGGAACTCCCTTATGCTAACTGCTCACTGCACTACTTATTTCCATGTTGTAGCTGAGTGCTCCACATAAATTCATATTCAACCAGTGAGATTTCAGAGGAGAAGAATAATCAGAACGGGTTATAAA
This sequence comes from Homo sapiens, assembly GCF_000001405.40. NCBI lineage: Eukaryota > Metazoa > Chordata > Mammalia > Primates > Hominidae > Homo > Homo sapiens. The sequence goes on along the minus strand of NC_000017.11, from coordinate 61,323,265 downwards.
TGAGTCCTTCCCCCTGGGGAAGTTTGGGCTCTAGACAAAAGTCTTCTCATTTTTAAAAGCCTCCCCTTTGTGAAATGAACAATCTGGCCCGTGGTCATCAGCTGCCTAAAAGATGGCTGGGTTACAGCGAATTCCCCGTGTGATGCTAAATCCATGTGACCATTCTCCTTTTTCTTTCATTTTTTTTTTAAACCAACTGCTTAGCAGCTCAATCAAATTAACTGTGGCACTTTCAAAAGGCATCAAAATAGCCACAACACGCCTTTAAAAAAAAAGGAAGGCGCCTTGTTTTCAGAAAAAGATATAAAGTCCTCACCCCAGGGTGCTCAAACAGATTCTTATTCCATGACGATTTGCCCCTGTCTCCCAGAGGACCCCCCACCACCTCTCTCTCTCTCTCTCTCTCTCTGTCTCTCTCTCTCTCTCTCTCTCTCTGTCTCTCTCTCTCTCTCTCTCTCTCTCTCTCTCTCTGTCTCTCTCTCTCAAGAGAGGCTTAAAAATATCAACACCAATGAGACTATACTTTTGGCTTACTTCTGCCAAATTTTATTTTCAGCTTTGGGTAACTGGGAGTTCTTTATTGTCAAGGACAAAAAAACAAGAGGCTGGAAAAACCTCATTAAAAAACCAACTAACACAACTCACTTGTTTGAAATGAAGAGAAGGCAGGAGAAAGGGAGGAAAAAGGAAAGAGGGGTGGGAGGGAGAGTGAGGCCATGTTCTTGGCTGTGCCTCAGAGGCGAAGAAATGTCACAGCCCAATAGTGGCTGAGTTACAATCTCACTTCTTAGAGGAGGGCGGAAGGCTTGGAGGGATGGGTGTAACCCTGGCAGGCAATGCTGGTCCTCACCAAGGGTGAGGGGAGAAAACAATTCTTTCTGATCTTAAAAACTGCTCAGTTTGACAGGTCCCCTAAAACAGTCTCCCAGAGCCTAGCCCCTTCCTTCAGAGCAGGTCCCCTGCATTTGAGCAAAGCACCTTTACACATGAGGTCACTCACGCCTCCCAATACTAATCTGAGGAAATAAGTGGGGCCGGGTGTGGTGGCTCACACCTGTAATCTCAGCACTTTGGGAGGCTGAGGCAGGCAGATCACCTGAGGTTGGGAGTTCGAGACCAGCCTGACCAACATGGAGAAACCCTGTCTCTACTAAAAATACAAAAAGTAGCCAGGCGTGGTGGTGCATGCCTGTAATCCCAGCTACTCGGGAGGCTGAGGCAGGAGAATTGCTTGAACCTGGGAGGCGGAAGTTGCGGTGAGCTGAGATTGTGCCACTGCACTCCAGCCTGGGCAACAAGAGGGAAACTCCGTCTCAAAAAAAACAAACAAACAAACAAACAAAAAACGGGATAGGTGTTAGTATCCACAATTTACTTAAAAAGGAACTAAGCTGAAGCTCAGAGATCAATAACTTGCCCAAGTTCAAACAGACTACAAGGATTAAAATCCAGCCCTCCAGGGTTCTCCCCACTATCCCCTCATTTCCCAGCAGAAGCATGGCCAGATTGGAGAGCACTAGGTCAGCGTTGTTCTCAGAGACTAGAACGATTTGCTGGCTCGCCTTCCTAGGGCTTGCACTATTGTGAAGAATCCCTGATGATAAAGACCAAATGCCAACCCAACTGTCAGTCAACAAAGCAAGGTTCCCTGAGGGTGAAGGGATAAGGGCACAAGCAGCCTGGCGGCCTGCAGGGGCATCCAGATGGCCCAGGGAGGAAAGTGCTTCCTGACCACAGCCTCTTACCGCCCGACATCAAATGGCCTCTTCTTGAGGTCATCAGCCACTCACCATTGCTGCTTTTGCTCATGCATTTCCTCATGGCCCAGGACTACAATCAAGCTCTTTGAAACAGGTCATGAGCTTCCCCAAGAAGCCACAGTATGAATGGTGAAGGGAGATGGGAGGTGGGGTAGAAGGAATGCGAGTCTCTCAGTCAAATATAATCAGGATCTTTCTTCTTTTGCTAACGCTCTGTCCTTACTTGGGTTAAAAAGGTGCTACCACTTTATTTCATGCCATATCTATTCAGAGGATGGGATGTTACAGCAAAATGAAGAATCTGCCTTAAACAAATGAAGAGGTAAGGGAAGCTGGAGATATATTTTTAGTTATGTTTGTAAATCTCATTAGAAAAAAAAAGAAGGCCAAAAGACCCTAGATTAAGGATTCAGAAGACATGAGTTCTAGTCTCAGCTTTATTATTTCTTAGCTGGATGTTATGGAAAATCTTAAATTCTCTGAGTCTTTTTAAAAAGAATCCATTAAATGAACTAATAGTAATAATCCTTGCCTATATCACAGCATGCTTTAATGCTCATCTGAGATAATGTATATGAAAGCCCTTTGTAAAACATTACACACGTGCTATATTATTACTGTGACTGAAGAGCTGATTACATGTGTTTCGGGCAGACTGAAGAAACCCTCTACACTACTTAAGAATATATATGAAACATACATCCAAAGCAAGTATTAGAAAAGGTTTAATTATACCCTCTGGGTAAAGTAGGTGAATGTTTTGTGACTCAAGCAAAAGAGAAATAGGCTGAGAAAATTTGTAGTTGAATGTATTCTTTTTTTTTTTTTTTGAGACAGAGTCTCGCTCTGTCGCCCAGGCTGGAGTGCAGTGGCGCAATCTCGGCTCACTGCAAGCTCCGCCTCCCGGGTTCATGCCGTTCTCCTGCCTCAGCCTCCCAAGCAGGTACAGGCGCCCGCCACCACACCTGGCTAATTTTTTTGTATTTTTAGTAGAGATGGGGTTTCACCGTGTTAGCTAGGATGGTCTCGATCTCCTGACCTCGTAATCTGTCCGCCTCTACCTTCCAAAGTGCTGGGATTACAGGCGTGAGCCACGGCGCCTGGCCTTCAGTTGAATATATTCTTTCACCATATATTCCTTAGCTAAGAGTCCAAGAGATGAGTGAGGAACCCAGGTCTTTTGGTTCATAGTGCCACTGTCTAGGAATGGACCATCTGATGCAGAAGGAAAAACTGGGCTTTGGAGTAAAAGAGACTTGAGTTCAAATTCCACTGGAAAAGTTCTCATAATAAATGCATAGAAAAAAGACTATTCTGGCCAGGTGCCGTGGCTCACACCTGTAATCCCAGCACTTTGGGAGGCCGAGGCGGGAGGATCACCTGAGGGCAGGACTTCGAGACCAGCCTGGCAAACATAGCAAAACCCTGTCTCTACTAAAAATAGAAAAATTAGCTGGGTGTGGCGGCACGAGCCTGTAATCCCAGCTGCTCGGGAGGCTGAGGTAGGAGAATGCTTGAACCCAGGAGGCAGAGGTTGCAGTGAGCCGAGACTGTGCCACTACACTCCAGCCTGGGTGACAGAGCAAGACTCTATCTCAAAAAAAAAAAATAAAAAATAAAAAAAAGAAGAAGAAGAAAGAAAGAAAAAGAAAAAAGACTATTCTATGAAAATTGTGAGTTTATGCACAAAGGAAATTTAAAGCCTACCCTCAAAGACACATACTACTTCTTATTCTAATGTCATGATAGCTACTGAGTCTGACTAAAGGCTAAAAGAGATACAGTTCTGCACTAAGGAGTAAATAAATTACTTTAGTTGATGTCAAAATGACAAGCCATCAAAAAATTGTGGTTTATTCAGGAAAAAAAAAATCTCTTAAACAGACCTAGATGGCCTGGCAAACTTTTGAATTTAATCTCGTGATATATTGAAAAAAAAAAAGCCTCTATAGCATATCAAGCAAATGTATAAAAATATGATCAATACATTCGACATATTATTTAATTATAATCTTCAGTGACAGAGACAATATGAAATTCTAGAGTCAACATTCTGACAGTGGAATAAATAGATATAATTATTCCTCATACTAATCCCAGCAGAATTGTAAATTATCAAGCTAGATTGTACATCCGAGTTCTAAGGTTTCCTTAATATAATGGAGTTTAATGTAGGGGGTGTCATATCACCAAGATTATGCCCTTTTATTAGAATAGAAAGCTCTCTGAGGATTTCAAGTTCAAAGGGTCAGAATGATCCTGAGCTCTCTACATATTGTTAGTATTCTCTGACCCTGGCTACCTACTGGGATCAGCATGTGGAGAAGCACTGTAGCGAGGGGTGTAGGCCCGGGGTAGAGGGAGAAAAAGGAGTTGCGAGTAACTGTGCATTCTCCCAATCTTGGAATCACAGATTTGGAAGTGGAAGGGCTTTAGAAATCCTCTAGCCCTTACCCAGAATTGTACAGAGCAGAAAAATGAGGATCAGAAAAGAGAATGAGCTTGCTCAAGATCACATGGCTTCCTGGCAGAACCAGGTCAAACCCCAAGTTTCACGATGCACAGTACAAAGCTCCTTCTATGTCACTCCGGGAGTGAAAGCAATTGCTGAGGTGGTCAGCTAGCACATGGCCAATATAGCTGCGGCTATTATCATACCAACGGGAAGGAAAGCACTCTCCAGCAAGGGCCAAGAGAAATTACAGTTAACATTTAACATGATGGGACCAACTTCAAAGACACGCCAGCTGGACTCTTAATAATGGGAGATGAAACTGCTAACCCTAGCAGAAAGTTGCAGGTGGACAACTCTGGCTGGAAATAGCACATGTCCTCCGAGCAGGAGTGCTCTTCAGAAACCCCAACACAAGGCTGCTGCCTCACTGCAGGGTGGGGAGAAACACGGGAAATAACCCGTCATCTGTTGGCAGTTCCACCTGTGATTAAGCGGTGTGTCCCTTGTTAATGCCATTAAGACACTTGGAAATGCCCACATTTGTCAATTAGGGGGAGGGGGAAGAGGGGCTGCTGATGTCACTGGGAGAGGGAGATGGTGCCGTCTTCAAGAAAGACTACATTTGGTTCTAACAGTAGGCAGGGAAGACAGGAGAGGGCTGCTGCTCCATCGCCACCAAGGAGTGCAGACAGGACACTGCAGATTCTGGAGCCTGAGAAGAAAGTTTCCAACTGAGAAAAGTCAGTTAATTTTGGAACTTCTATTCCTGCCTAGATGGACGTCACCTGTAGAACCCTCAGTAACTTTGGGCCACAGCTTATATCTTAAATGAAGAGCTGATTCCACCTTGCAGAGAAATAGTCCTAGCCATCCTTTTTTGGTGTGTTCTAGTCGCCTCCCAGGGCCCTGACTCCTGGTGTGATGGTGGCGGGGAGGAGCCGAGGAGCGGCATGTAGCTCTAGCAGGAGAGGCGGCCTCTGGCCCTGCTTCCTGCACAGCCTGGACACCTGCAGCACAAACCCTGTTCTTGCTGTGCTTTCACTGTTGGTCCTACGCGTTACGCCTGCCAGAACAGCTTGCGTATGGCATTCGTTCAGGCTCTGCCTGGACCCCCACCCACAGACCTCACCAGGGACCTCTGTTCAAGTCTGCCCTCAGGTGGCTAAAAGGGAGGAGATTCCACATCAGGCCTCCCATGGCAGGGCCCTTGGCTGGCTCTGACACCGTGTCTCTGCTCTAATTACTAGGCTTCTGTCCTATCCCTGAGGTCAAGTTCCCCAATCTGGGTATTGGGCCCTTGCCTTGATGGGCTTTAGTTCTTAGGAACAACTGTGCCCTACTTACCTTGCCAACTACTACTCTCCCACCCCACCCAAATCGGTCTTGTCTCGCTGAATTCTCAAGGTGCTATTGAGGCCTCACTGCCAGTTGCCCCTGATGGTGCTACTACCCCACTGACCCAGGTCTCTACGCCGAGCCCTCTCCTAGAGTGACCTCACCTCACCGTCAATGAAGCCCTCCATGTTGCCATGAGCTGCATTTTCCTGGTCCAGGCCCCAAACACCAGGAACTGTCTGGTTCTCCCGGCTTGACTCAGCCCAGCCCTACAAAGCAGGTGTGTGGGAAAGGCTTGTTTCCCAGTAAAGGCAATACACTGCCAGTAGATGAAATAATTAAAGCATATGACCTGTTATTTAAGAAGCATGCCTTTACATTGTTTTATTCTATCATACTGTATATTGTGTGTCCTGGGTGGGCTCTGGAGGAGTCCCCTCTCTCTGGCCTTTCTACTTTGTCTCAAGCTAGTGAGGACAGCAAGAAGACGTGGAGCAGGAGTCTCTTAAAAGCTTGGCAATGAAATGCTCAAATTGATCAAATACCTAGGGCATAAGAGCTAAATATAATATGATGGATATAATATATAAGTATACTAAATTTGGATAGAAGACACTACTCTTTAGAACCCTAAACTTTTTTAAGAAAACAAAGCAGTGAACGGAATTTTTGTATATGCTACACCTATCTCAGAACTGTTGAAGCCTCCCGAACTCTAATAGTACCATCAGTGTCTGAGGTGAGAGGGAATTCTGGATCATATAGTAGCCATTTTACAGAAGGGCTGGCAATGGCTGGAGTTAGCCTCTTGCACAAATCGATCAAATACACGAGGAATTCCTTAGTGGGGAAACCGCTAAACATAAATTGCAACTGTTAATTTAATAAACCTACATGGCAGGAATTATTGTACATGACCCCGAGGAATCTAGCACAGCACATACAGTTGAGCAGATGTTTGACTAAAAAAGGAAGGAGCCACATCATTCCGAGGGCATGGATTTCTTTTCCAAAGAATTCATACCTCTTCTTTTCCTTTTATTTTATCCTCCTTCTCCTTCCCTCTCTCCCTCCCTCTAACCTTTCCTTTATTTTATCAGATACCAGCTGCAGGCCCCTCTGAGTCTGCCTAGCAGCGAAGAGGAAAGCTGTGCAGAGGGGTGCTACTGCAGGGGAGCTGTGGAAGGGACGCGGCGGCATGTGGAGGCAAATAGGAGGGCAGAGGTGCTGGGTGAGGGGCATGTCCGGGGACATCTCAGGGACCAGTACCAACAAAGGCATGGGGCATGAACATCATCTCTTCTGCTGCTCTAAGAATGACATCTTAGGCTTTCCTTAAAAAAGACGTCTCCCACATTCAGCACACATTTACTAAGTACCTGCTATATTACTATTAATATTATTATTATTGAGATGGAGTCTCACTCTATCACCCAGGCTGGAGTGCAGTGGCGTGATCCCGGCTCACTGCAGCCTCCACCTCCTGGACTCAGGTGATTCTCCTGCCACAGCCTCCTGAGTAGCTGGGATCACAGGCATGCACCACCATGCCTGGCTAATTTTGTAATTTTTAGTAGAGATGGGGGTTTCGCCATGTTGGCCAGGCTGGTTTCGAACTCCTGACCTCAGGTGATCCACCTGCCTCGACTTCCCAAAATGCTGGGATCAAAGGTGTGAGCCACCACGCCTGGCCAGCACCTGCTATAGATGGTCACTATCCTAGACACTGGAAAACACACATGAAAAGGGAAAATCCTGGTCCTAAAGAGGTTCAGTGAGATAGAGAAGTAGGTAGGTGGACAATAGAGGTGACTTTAAGATGTCAGCTGTGGGTCCCTCTGAGCCTGGCTAGGAGTAAAGAGGAAAGCTGTGCAGAGGTGTGCTACTGCAGGGGAGCCGTGGAGGGGACGCAGCGGCATGTGGAGGCAGATGGGAGGGCAGAGGTGCTGGGTGAGGGGCATGTCAGGGGACATCTCAGGGACCAGTACCAGCAAAGGCGTGGGGCATGAAACGGGGGGTCAGTCAGCCTGGTCACATTCCAGGACCCACATGGGGAAGCATCGATGGGTGAGGCTGAGGCTGTAGAGTCCTTGGGGACAGGAAGAGGCACCCCAGCATCATTGGGGTTCACTGGCCCATACCTGGGCTTTGCCATTAACCAGCGACGCTGTGCAACCTCTTCCATGGGCTTCTTTGCTCTAGGAAGCCTGAGGCGAAAGCAATGGCACCGCTGCCAGCTAGCGTCCGCTCCGAGACTGCTCTGCATGCCCTCCCGTGTCTCAGAACAGGAGTGCGTTGGCTGGGCGCGGTGGCTCACACCTGTAATCCCAGCACTTTGGGAGGCTGAGGCGGCCGGATCACCTGAGGTCAGGAGTTTGAGACCATCCATCCAGGCCAACATGGTGAAACCCTGTCTCTACTAAAAATACAAAAATTAGCCGGGTGTGGTGGTGGGCGCCTATAATCCCAGCTACTTGGGAGGCTGAGACACGAGAATTGCTTTAACCTGGAGGCGGAGGCTGCAGTGAGCCGAGATCACGCCACTGCACTCCAGCCTAGGTGACAGAGCGAGAATCTGTCTCGCGAAAAAAAGAAAAAGAAAAGGGAGTGTAGGCTGAGCAGTGTGGCGTGTGGAGGAGACTGCCCCTGGAATGCTGGGGAGAGGATTCAAGGCATTTTCCAGGCACACTGTTCCTCGGATGGGTGAAGAGGAGTTCCAACATCAGACAAGCGCGGTGACTGCTAAGAGCATTCAAATTTGGAATTCCCTCTGGTGGCTGAAATCAACATTTCTCACAAAGGAAACCTGGACAAGTCCGATCTGTAAAGAGCATTATCCACTCCCTGTGTATAGTTTATTGGTCCAGAATATCAGGTTAGCAAGCTGAAGTAATTAAACATCAAGCCAGCTGTTTTAGGCAATTAGGTAACATTTTTCATTTAGGAGACCACACAACAGAGGGGAGAGAATAGGGAGATAAGACCTGTGTTTTGATTTACTAAAGTCTCTGCTGCAGATAAAGCCCAGCTTTTTGGAACCCTTCAGGCAATTACTATTTCAGGCTTGGCAAGCACTTGAGTCTGAAAGTAACTATTGGGCTTGTCTTGGCAAGACTCAAAGTCACTGTAGCTGTAAGGTTGTCCCAGGCAGCGGTGGAGGGGAAAGTCAGTGGCAAGAGGAAGCCAGGAACTGTAGAGTCATTAGGAGGGCTGTTGCAGGCTTAGAGCTCAAAGGAGGCCAAATTCAGTTCTCCCACAACATGTTCTTAGAGAGGGAATGCGGTCAGATGGTGAAGGCCCAGGCCTGCTGGGCGGGATTCTGCGGTTCCCTTTCTGGCATCTGTACTTGTCAGCTCTGTGGGCACTGTTTACACTCCCTGCCTCAGTATCTTTTCCTGTAAAAGAGGAGAAGGACCGAGGGCTTTTAGGTTTGTGGGAGCAAAGGGAAGAGGTGCAAATGGCAGGCTGCTAATGGTGCCAGCTTAGTACAAAGGGAGAAGAGAATGCGGACATTACAAGATCAAAACGTGAATCTCCTCCCTGCCACGAACTGACAAGGTGACTCTGCTCAAGTCACTTCCCCAGTGTGTGCCTCGGTTTCTAAAGCATCAAACCAGGGAGCTGGACTAGGCTAGATGATCCCTAAGGCCCTTCCAGTTCTGACATTCTACTATCCTAAGATGCCAAGCAAGATAAATTGTTGGGCAGAAGGCAAGTAAGATTTTCTTTGAATGGAAAAGAGGAATGGCCTGTGTGCTGCCAGCCGGCTTCCCCCACGAGACTCTGGAGCCAGCACTAAGTATGGGGCCGGGCGAGTGGGGCTGGTGGAGGAGACAGCAGGCCCACGTGTGGTCACTGGCTCCGCGGCATTGAAACATCTCTTGCTTGAGCTCTTCCACTTAATTGGGAGCTTGCCTTTCCAGTTGTATATTTTTATCCTGTGCCCTGGAACCCAAACCATTAGCTTTGTAGCCAAAGGCTGCTTCTTGTTTAATCGTTAACTGCCTCAGCCTAGAGGAGCTGTACCCTGGCCGGAAAGTCCTCCTCCAGATGCTGTACCTCTTCAGCGAGCAGGACCCGAGGGAGGACGCCGAGCTGGACCCGAGTCCAAGCTCTGTCCTCCAGCCTTGGAAATAAATCCCCTACATTGTCTGGCCCACACAAATCCCCGTTCAGCCAGGCCTCTCCTGTGGGGTTATTCTGGTAACAAAATGCTTGAGATCAGCAATTCTTTTCTACTCTTACCCGCTCTCAGAGAGGAGCCAACTGGGCTATTCCTTAGGCTCCACTTTCTGTGTCTGAAATGTGGTTGAAAACTAATATTCCAGATGTTTCCTCATATTTTAAGTAGAACCGCAGATTAAGCTTCCTATAGGAAGGTAGTAGGGCATGGTGGAGGGAAGACAGTCTTTGGAGTAGAATCATGGTGGTGTAATCGTGGCCACACCCTTTACCAGTTATATGGCATTGAGAAAGTATTGGTTCTTTGAACCTTAGTTTCCTCTTAGAGCAAAATAACAGCATTCGCTTTCTCTACCTGGCAGTAATTGCCATGAATCCAAAGACTGTTTTGGTCATCACTATGTAGTCTAAGCCTAACACGGAGTAGATTTCTCAATCAATGCTACTGAGTCAGTGATTAAAAACCTCACGGGATTTTGAGGCGATCAACGAGGTGAAAGATGGGAAGTGTCTAACTTTGTACCTGGCACTTGGGAAGTGCTTATTCACAGGCTGGCAGTGCTTGGAGACACATTTCTTCTAACTGAGTGAGGTGGATGCTCAAAGGGGAATGCAAGTCTTCGGTTATGCCCACTTAAGTTGTGAAGAGGCCATCTTGTGGGAGAAAGGGCAGGCACTTAGAAAGCTCTTTGGTTGTAACCAGTCCTGACCCCGAGGCTACTGCTGAAGCTCACGCTCTGACAATCAGATACAGAGCCACTGATGTCCCCGATGGTGGTAGGAGGCCCTGCAGAAATACCGATGGCTTCCTGGCCTTTAGGGTCTTCCAAGGAGATTCATAAAACTAGACCAGGGCATGGAAACCAGCATCCCGAGGGCCCCTGGTACACTAGACTATTGTTCCAGGACAGAAGCAACTCAGATCAAAATGGTGAGTGGGATTTTCCTTGCATTGGCCACAATACATATGTTTGTTCAAGAAAAAAAAGTTGGAGCAAGAAGACATGAACGTCTGCTGTTAAAGAAAAGCCTGTTTGTGCCAGCCACAGTGGCAAGATTGTTCGGAGAGTCCATCCTGAAAGTCCAATTACCCCAACAGCATGGCCAAGGTCAGTGTCAATTTGCGGTGTGCCAACTGCTCTAGCCACTTCAGTACCAGATGTGAATCACACAGGGGACCTGTCTTTCGGGAGAACTGGCATCTACTGGACTTGCTAGCCCCTCTGAGCTGACACCCTCCCCCACTCCTTGCTCCCTTCCCCTTCCTTGGAGAGACCTGTCTAACAGACCCTCCCACAGAGAGCAAATAAGCACAACATGCAGAATCCCAGACTTGCTTATGGAGAGTTGGATCCACTGTCACCTAGGGGGTGAATGAGGGAGAACACTGGGACTCGGCAAGGGCCAGTACCTCTTACTGACGGCCTAGGGCCCACATTTTAGGAGCAAGAGATCAAACGATTCTCCCCTCCTGTTTTGTTTCTAATAGGACACCCAGAAGCCACAACAATCTGCAGAAGTACAGCCTGATGAGGTTGAGATGTGGCATGACCTACTTACCTCACATTTGACTTAAAAACGTATCTTTTCAACACAGGGTGCCAAGATCCTTTCTGTCATATATATATATGCTTTTTTTTGAGATGGAGTCTCGCTCTGTCACCCAGGCTGGAGTGCAGTAGCGTGATCTCAACCCACTGCAACCTCCGCCTCCCAGGTTCAAGAGATTCTCCTGCCTCAGCCTCCTGAGTAGCTGGGACTACAGGCGCCCGCCACCATGCCCAGCTAATTTTTTGTATTTTTAGTAGAGACAGGGTTTCACTGTGTTGGCCAGGATGGTCTCGATCTCCTGACCTCGTTATCTGCCCGCCTCGGCCTCCCAAAGTGCTGGGATTACAGGCGTGAGCCACCGCGCCTGGCCTCTGCCCTATATTTTAAGGGGATTTAAGAGCAACAATTTACCCCCCAAGTTCTTCAAGCAGCCTAGAAATTAGTACATACTAATTTCTCCAAACACTGAATAACATGTCCTAATATGGATTTAAAAAACAAATATCCAAATGTTTCACAGACCAAACAGCCTGACTGGAGATCTCTAATTTGGACCGTGCTGTGAAGGATGTAACTCCATCAACCACAGCAAGATCCAATCTTGGAGAGGTGCCCTCACATAGAATCCCCAATGTCTGATGAGGCTGGAAAGTTTTTCAAAAGAAAGTTGGTTTTAAATTAATGTCTTAAGGTACATCTACATGTGCTGATATGGAAAGTAAGCTGGACTCTCTGTATAGTATGATCTCAAATTTTTAAAAGGAAAAATATATACATATCACATTTAGGCACATTCACATAAGATATGTGAAAATAGTAATAATTTTAAAGTAACATCTACATAGCATTTACTGCCAAGCAGTAATTTTAGGAGCAGGCAGTATTTTAAGTGTTCCACACATATTAACTCACTGAATTCTCACAGGAACCCGAGGATGTAGGTATACTATTTTACACATGAAAAAACCGAGGCACAGAGAGGTAAGTAACTTGCTCAAAGTGACACAACTATTAAGAGACAGGGCTGGGATTTAAAATGGAAGTGAACTGCTCCAGCTCCAAATTCTTATCTCCTGAGCTCAACAGCCACTCATGTCATAGAAGATCCTCATCGGCATTCTACCTGCCTCCCAGAGCCTCCCCTACACACACAGGCCAAAACAACTGGTCATCCTTTTTCTATCACGGTTTTTATCACTATGATGATCTGTTTACACATCAGTCTCTAGCACTAGATGGTGAGCTCTTGGAGGGCGGGGCACAGAGGCCTGCCCCCCTTCATGTCTCTCATACCTCTAATTTTTGGTTCATAGCTCGGCTTAATACTTGGGCTCAGGGGGACAGATTAGTTTCTGGGCGATGATTCGCATGCAGGCTAGAGACAGATTTGAGAGTTCATTTTTTCTTTCTTTCTTTTTTTTTTTTTTTTGAGACAGAGTCTCACTCTGTCGCCCAGGCTAGAGTGCAATGGCACGATCTCGGCTCACTGCAACCTCCGCCTCTTGGGTTCAAGGGATTCTCCTGCCTCAGCCTCCCAGGTAACTGGGATTACAGGCATGCACTACCACACCTGGCTAATTTTTGTATTTTTAGTAGAGACGGGGTTTCTCCATGTTGGCCAGGCTGGTCTCAAACTCCTGACCTCAGGTGATCCACGTGCTGTGGCCTCCCAGAGTGCTGGGATTACAGGCGTGAGCCACTGTACCTGGCCAGAGAGTTCTTTAGATGGTCTCCTTCCAGATTATTCAAAGGATCCTTGGGGTTAGTGGGCCAGAGATGAAAGCTCATACGCATAAAAGCATAGCAGGAGGAAAGGACCGGAAAGATGGAAGCAGGGAGAAAGAAGGGATCGCCTTTGATTCATTCACCCAGCAAACCCATAGCAACTCCCACTGATTCATTAGCCTCTAAATTCCTACATTTATTATTACTACCCATATGGAAGGCAATGACTAATTCTTGCCACATGGCTGGGATATGGCTTCCTATTAAGGAAACACAACCTGGTAGCCTAAATGCTGTAGTTTTTCAAAGGAAAACTGCTTTAAGCATAAGCGTTTCCCTTCATTTTCCCCCTTCATCTTTTAACTACATTTGCTAGTTCATGGCTTCCTTAAACAAGCTGTCATTTGACTTCATGGGCTTCTTCTCACAAGGGTGCAGACAGATTCATGGGGGGCTCTCGGGCTCCCTCTTGTCACCCTGTACTGCCTCCTCAACCCATAAACAGGCCACTACTTTTCCACAGCAGCTGTTCCGCAATCCCAAAGACCCTGGGTCATCTCTCCAGTTCCAGGCTTTGCTCACAGTGCCTTCTGGATGTGTGTGTTTTCCTTGGGACGGAGAACACGCTTCAGGAAAGGAGGCAATACTCGAGATAGAAACTGTTCTTTCTCAGGGAAAACAAACAAATCAAAATATTCTTCCCAGCTATGGTGAAGCTGGGAAGTAGAGGGCAAGTGAGGCAGGGAAGGGTCAGGGCCGCATTGCCGGGACCCCTCTGATGTCCACTTTAGGTCCACAGTTATGCCCCTGTCGGTGGCTTCCTGCTTCCTCTTCTACAGAATGGCAACATGGGGAGTGACACGGTAGTGTTCAGTACTCAGGCATGCTCATCTGCCCATACCAGTTCCGTCAAAAAATGGACACCGCCTCTCCACCAGCCCTTATTACCCTAGAATGAATGGGGAGGACGAAAGGGGACTCTGGGTCTCTTTTCCATCTTGACAATTTTGAGGTGTTTGCAAATCACGTAGAGAGTTATCTAATTCCCTTATACGTATCCTCACATGAGCTAACGTTCTTTTTTCCCTGTCACTAAACCCAAGGCTGAAAAAAGTATTACTCCTTGACGGGCATGGAGGTAGGGAACTAACCCTTGTTTCAGTCAAGAATCACGGACTCCTGAAAGAAAGAGGATTCCATGCTGAAGACACTCAGAGGAGGGGACAGATAGGTCCTCAAAGCCTCTGCTGGGGGAGGCCACATGGCTGGAGAGAGGAGACACATATAATATTCTCCCAACCTACTTATACTTTGGTACATAAACTTTGTAAGTATAATGTTGGCAGATTCCAGTGCATAAAAAAGTAGCTGAAAAAACTCAAACCATAAATAATGCCAAGTAATAAAGAAGGTGAATGTTTCTGTTATGAGATTCTTTCATTGTATAAATCTGTTTAATAAGCTGGCTAGGAATCACTGATAGAAAACAGACTTAGTATGGTGTTACAGACCAATCCGTTCTAAAAGGCCAGTATGGGAACTCATGCCAAGTTATATTTTTCTGTTCTTAACCAATGCAACTTAATATGTAATTGTTGTCTCCCTCCTGCCTTCCCTTAACTACCCCCACCCCCCTGCCTCTGCAGACTCATCGTTTCAAGGCACTTTACCATATTTATAGATCACGCTGCCTTTTGTCTTACTCACCGAGAAGAGCTGGGGTCTGTGTATGACTCCTGCTTTTTTAGAGTGCTATTTCTCAACATTTGTAAGCATGTGTTTAGAGAAATTCCTCCAAATATCCTCCTTTGACCCAAGACCCATGGTAACCACTTTAGCTGCAGAAATTCACTGAACACTAGAGGGGGCGGTGAGGGGGATGGGGTGGGAGTGGGATGGGGGTTGGGGGGTGGAATGGAGGTCGCTGGGGTCACATTCATCTTCCAACACTATGGCTGCTAATGCTTGTTGATGTTTTTCTGGGGTTGGTTACTATCATCATGATGGGCTGTAAAATGAAATGCTGTAAACTAGCTGAAGGCTTGGGTAGAAATATTTGCCAGACGCCATAAACAACAACACCAGGAGTCCCCACACACTTGGCCAGTTGTGCCCATGCTGTTGTTTACAGTGCTGGGATGCGTGAACTCCAACGCCTGGCTGGTCTAGTTTCTGACCCGAATTCCCAGGTCCCTTTTTAGGAGGTCCACATATAGCTCTCTCTGATAAAGATTTGCTAAATACATAAAACGAAAGGTTATTGGATGAAATAGATTACTTCTCTGCTCAATTTAATGAGTGCTTGGAAAATCTTGAGTCTCCACATTGTCAAGGTGTATACTGTTTGGGGTTGCTCACGTAACATTATTTGTGTTAGATCTGTAACCATATATCAGATGTTTTGCTGTGCATTTGACACAGGTCATATGGAAGTGTCTAACAGAAGGTATTACAAAAAAATGAATTAAAAGTATGAATTAAATACACTTAACTTGATTATTTCTTGAACTGGCCATTAAGACCCTACTCAGGAATGTAACCCTTTCTAGAACACTTGGGAAAAAGTAATTTTATTTAGAGCACTTGGACATAAAATTAGTTAGAGTCCTCTCTACAGTTTCTCAGATTTATATAGCTCCTTTTATTTATGAACGCTAATTTATTTTGGTAAAATCTCATTGAGAAGATTGGGATTATTCCTATTTTACACAGGTAGACACCAAACACAGAAGACACAGTTTAAAGGGGAGTGCTTACATGTTGGTTAAAAGCTAGTGAAAGTTAATTCAACATTTATTATCGTTGTAACTGTAGTAAATGCAATGGGAAAAAGAAAACATGGGTTAGATTCTTCTCTGAGATTATGCTCAAGGAACTTGAGGAAACCTCTAGTAAACTCTAGTAAAAGTAGACAGGAAAAATTACAGGTAGTTTTTTTCGTTCCCCAAAAAGTAAATTAAAACTGGCAGAAAAATCTCCTTCTGGGGAACAGTCCCAGAGGAACCCACAGCTGAGGTGTAACTGTGGGGTATTCTGGGGCCACAGGGCTGGAAACCAATGTTCAGCAAGTCCCAACTTGGGCCGGCACTAGGCTAGGCTCTTCACTTCAATCATCCTTTTCTCATTCTACGGTTTGTGGGGAAGCAGTAAAAGAAAACTTGAAGGACTCAGTGGGAATGACTCCCTGATCAATACTGAAAGACCTTTGAGAGAATCACAGAAGCTGGGGGCAAAGGCCCAGAGCCCTGATGCCAAATTGGCCAAGAGACCCAGAGCTGTTCCTGGAAAGATCTGAAGCCAGGAAAATCACAAAGAATTAGAAATAACCAGTGTACTTAAGCCTGGGGAAAAATCCAAAGTTCTATTAAGGAATGATTAATAATAGTGATCCAAAGGTAATAGTACCTCTAGGCTTAGTTTCAAAGAAATATTTTAAAGAAAAGAGCTTTGTTTTTTTTTCTTTTGAGACAGAGTCTCACTCTGTCACCCATGCTGGAGTGCAGTGGTGCAATCACAGCTCACACAGCTCACACAGCTCACCGCAGCCTTGAGCTCCTGGGCTCAAGCGATCCTCCTGCCTCAGCCTCCCGAGTAGGATCTACTCTAAGCATGTACCACCATGCCCAGCTAATTTATTACTTTGTGTAGAGACTGGGTTTCTTCACATTGCCGAGACTTGTCTTGAACTCTTGCATTAATGCGATCCTCCCACCTCAGCCTCCCAAAGTGCTGGGATTACAGGCATAAAAGCTTGGTGTGCTCAGCCAGGCTTCTTGAATTATATTTAAAAATTAATATTTGGTGCTATTGAGTACTTTCCACTTCTTAAGGGGAATTGTTTTTTCATTTAAAAACAAAACAAAGTGTGCTATTCTCTAACTGCTATACTTAAGCCTGCAGTCTAGGTAATAAATAGTAATAACCAAATCACCATTATAGTACCAAAGTACTTTAATTTGTAAGCGAAGTGTTGATGAAGAAATACAAATAGCTCATGGGATCTTTAAAGCTCAGATGCAGAGATTCAAAGGAATGTACCCAAGATCACACTGTTGCCAACAAATGACTCAGGTGTACACCATTCTTCACACTGCACTGCTTTTCCACATATAGAATTTGCGGCTTTATCATGTTTTTCTCAACTGTTGGAAAACTGGAAACATACTAGGGTGTTTGAGGCTTCCTAAGTCAGAAGTGTTCCAGAACTCTGGTTAAGGGCATTCAGGTAGACTTGGGGCCAAATTCAGTGAAACAAGAAGGAAGCACACAGGATTATCTCTTGTTTCTACTGCACAATGACCATCCACCAGGGGATCAAGACAGGGGAAACAACAACAAATGCAGCCATTATTATTATTATTTGAGATGGAGTCTTGCTCTGTTGCCCAGGCTGGAGTGCAGTGGCATGATCTCAGCTCACTGCATCCTCCACCTACCAGGTTCAAGTGATTCTCATGCCTCAGCCTCCTGAGTAGCTGGGATTACAGCCGCACGCTACCACACCCAGCTAATTTTTGTATTTTTAGTAGAGACGGGGTTTCACCATGTTGCCCAGGCTGCTCTCAAACTCCTGACCTCAGGTGATCCGCCCGCCTCAGCCTCCCAGAGTGCTGGGATTACAGGCATGAGCCACTGCACCCAGCCACAGCCATCATTATTGGTCACTTTCCATGAGCTAGTGGCTCTTCTGAGCAGACAACATATATGACCTCATTTAATCCTTACCACAATTCAGTGTAAACGATTATGCACATTTAACAGATGAGGACAGAGCTTAATGAACTTGCTCAAGTTCACACAGTGAAGAGGCAAACAGTGGATTTGAACCCAGGCTGACCAATCTTTCAAAGGCCATGCTCTTTCTAGTATGCCAGGCTTTTCTTCTGACTGGGCTCACTACTGCTTTGGGCTCACTGGGCAGGCTGTGAGTGGTACTCTGCTGCCTTTCCCACTCCTCACACCATACTAGTGGAAAGGAAACTGTTAACCCAACTAAGCAGCTGAATCAGAGGTTTGGCTGATTGACTATGCACCGGGGTCATCTGGCAACCCCAAGAGATGTTGCTTCATTCATTGACTAAGGCCAGTATTCTATCTTCAGAGGGATAGAGCCCTATACAAATGGTAATCCTCCTAAAAAAGGTCACATTTACTTGTTAGTTCTATCCCAATATGAATAAACACTTTAGAAAAGGACTGGGGGCCAGGCATGGTGGCTCATGCCTATAATCCCAGCACATTGGGAGGCCGAGGCGGGCGGATCACCTGAGGTCAGGAATTAAAGACCAGCCTGGCCAACATGGTGAAACTCCATCTCTACTAATAATACAAAAAAAATTAGCTGGGCGTGGTGGTGCACGCCTGTAATCCCAGCTACTCAGGAGGCTGAGGCAGAAGAATCCCTTGAACCTGGGAGGTGGAGGTTGCAATGAGCTGAGATTGTGTCATTGCACTCCAACCTGGGCGACAAGAGCGAAACTCCGCCTCAAAAAAAAAAAAAGGATTGGGAAGGAAAATAGAATTCAAGGGTATTAGGGAACTGCAAAGACATGTTGGATGTTCAATTCACTATGGAGGTGACTACCTGTGTCAGGGACATTGAGGTGTGTACAGAGCTCTATGAAAGTCCAAAGGAGATGTACCTTAACCCTTCCTCTTTCCTCCCTCCTTCCTTTCATGGGGGAAATAAGGTTAGACGAGGCTTCCCAGATGAGGTGACGTTACGTGCTGAGTCTCAATGAGTATGAATGGGAATGGAAAAAACAAGAGCAAGAAGGACACTCTAGGCACGAAATAGTATATGACTAATATGGGTAACTACAAGAAATCTGGTGGCACTGGAACATAAAACTCAAGGCAGCAAGTGGTCAGAGCTGTGGATACAGGGGCAGGCAGAAGCCTGACCAAGGAAAGGTTTTGCAGGCCTTGCTAAGAAGCTTGAGTTTCTTACTGTGGGCAAATGCAGCCTCTCAACAACTTTAGATGGGTAGTGACATGGCCAGAGCAGTGGTGTCACAGGACAGGTGAGTGGAGGCCAAAGTAAAGGTGGGAAGACCAGATAATTAAATTACAACAGTGAGGCAATGAACTTGGGGGTGGTAATAGGGATGAAAAGGATAAAGAGCAAATTTGAGAACTATTTAGAGAGAAACAATCAGCAGGAACTGGTGACTGGTGTGTGTGAAGTGAGGAAGGAGACAGTGTAAGGATGATTCCCCCATTTCTAGTTTTGTTGATAGGGTGGATGGTGGTGTTACAGACTGGGATTCAGAAAATAATGACAAATGGCACTGCTGGGAGTGGAGGATGATTGGGATGGGTTAGACTAGGAACAATATGCCTACTCTTCATCTATCTCTCCAACAAATGCTGCTGAACACCTACTAAGTGCCAGGCACAAGACTTGGTGCTGGGGTCACAGAGATGCATTTGCAGCCTCTGCTTTTCAGGACTTCACAGTCCAGAAAGAGGTCAGAAATGTAAGCAGAAAACCACAGTACAGCACGGTAAGTGCTTGCTGTAAGGGAACAAAAGGGATGGGGAAATATCAACTCTGACTCAAGCCATGCAGAGCCAGAAATAGGCAAAAGAAGAGAGGGTGCACACTGCCGTGTACCTGTGTCCTCTTCCTGGGGGCTGGTCACTCCCCACTGTACCCACTCTTCTAGAAAGAAGTCAAGGGCAGTAATGAGAAATGACAGCAGGAGGAGAAAGTGCCAAAGTCCAATGAACAACAGGTGGTAATACTGTCAGTTCAAATCACCATCCCGGAAGCTGAGTGGCGATGGAGCTGAACCTAGATCAGTACTCAAACTCTATTAAACCTACAGCACTAATTGCTCGGTGAAGCCCATGTGTTCCTTCTCACCCACTGGATGTTTCTCTGGCCGTTCAGAAGTTCCAGGCCGCTGCTGTATCCCCAAACACGGGTGCTTGTTTACATTCTTCCCCACGCTCATAGATGAGGGACTATTTTATTCTTGTTTTAGGCAGCTCAGAAGATGCCCACAGACTGGGCCTCCTGCAGCAGTGTGCGGCTCTGGCTCCCCATAAATCCTCTTCATTCTGTCTCAATGAGATGACATGCTAATATTATCTGGAAAATCAATACTATCCCCCAGCTTTGCTGTATCAGCAGAGCTGCTCAGCACACAGGACAAGGGCTGAAGTGCTTCGGGTCCATCTCAGAGGTCCTGTTGTCGGACAGGCCTTTCCCTTCCATGGCCAGTCTGAAAGGCAGACAGGGGAACTCATCACAAGTTGAGCTGCCTCAACTATCTTTTGCTTTGAATATCCTAGAGCCATGGATGGTCAGATGGCACTGGAAGGGACCTTAGAGATAGATGGTCTTCTCTCTCAAAGCCCGTATTTCGTGGAAAAGGAATTTAGAAAGTGATCTAGACCCTACATCCTCCCTATGGCCAGAACTGTTCCGTCTCACTGCCTTTCTCTACAAAGTCTGAACTACTGTAGGATTCTCTTAGATAAAAACACATCCAGAGGCCGTAGCTGATATTGTAAATGAAGGATCAGATAAAGTGGGGTTGTCTGTTCTTTCAAAGCTGAAAAAAAAATATGAATTCTAGAATTCTGTCACTCATCAATGTAACCTAAATCTTAGTTTCCTTAGCAAGAAAATGGGAGTAATAATGATATGCACCTTGTAATTATATTGTCAGTATTAAACAAGATAGCCTAGGACTTCAGATAAGGAGACTATCTAAAAATAGTGTAACAATACTCCACATCTTAATTTCCAGTTCTTAATTCATAATAAAGAGGATATTTCATTCCTCAAGAATCTAAAAATGACCATAGTAAAAAGGCAGGAAAATTTGCATTTCATTATTGGAATAGTGTGGTTAGCATGTTGAAGATTCTATTAGATGGTACCAATTTTCACATTAAGTGGACATGAGTTATTGCTGAATACTTGAAGTCGTCTCTGGAGAATAAGACATCATAGCCACACAAATGGCAAAGTCAGATTCCGTGGTACATTCTGATGTGACATTAAGAGACAAGATGAGGAAAGTCAAGTAATACACCAGAGAGAACAGGAGAACCCTGGGAGTCGGGGGAGGGGGGAGTTTTTGGCTCTTTCTCCTGGCATGGCAAGAGTGGGACAGGGAGGAGGTAATGAGCTGACTGTATGTGTAGAGAATCTCAACTTTTTCTTAGGACTAGCTGACAGAACTAGCCTTTCCTCAGCAAGCCACTGGGTCTCTGCAGAATGGGAATAAGCGTTCAAAGTGGCCGTGCTTCACCTAATTCTAGAGATGATCTGATGTCTTTTTCATTGATATGAAAATATGCAGACATTTGTGAGGGGGCGGAAAGGGTGCAGATTCTTTACACTGTAAAGAAAGTATCTATTTGTGCTGAAAGGCTCTTTTAACTGTAATCCCATTTGGTGATTACTAACCTGGGGTCCACAGGCCTCCATGAGATCTATGAATAGAATTCAGGTGGTCCATGAATTTGGACTGTGAAAAAAATCACTCCTATGTTTTTGTTAACTTCTAACTGAAATTTTGCATTTATATCAATTATAATGTAGGCAGAAAACAGTAGTTAGCAACCTGTGGCTGTAACCAAGAGAAATCAGTCTTTTGTTTTGTTTTTTTGAGACAGAGTCTCTCACTGTCATCCGGCTGCAATGGTGCAATCTCGGCTCATTGCAACCTCCACCTCCCGGGTTCAAGCGATTCTCCTGACCCAGCCTCCTCAGTAGCTGGGATTACAGGCACCTGCCACCACGCCCAGCTAATTTTTTGTATTTTTTTCCAGCAGAGATGGGGTTTCAGTATGTTGGCCCGGCTGGTCTCGAACTCCTGACCTCGTGATCCACCCGCCTCGGCCTCCCAAAGTGCTGGGATTACAGGCGTGAGTCACCGTGCCCGGCCGAAATCAGTCTTTTCATTGCACATTACTACTGTTGCAATTTACACCAGGGATTGGGAAACGTTTTCTGAAAGGGGCCAGATGGCAAATATTTTAGACTCTGAGGGCCATATGACATGAGGCCAGCTATTCAATTCTGCTGCTGTAGTGTGAAAGCAGGTATGGACAATATGTACATGAGTGAGCATGGCTATGTTCCGATAAAACTTTATTTACAAAACAGTCTGTGGGCTGCAGTTTGCTGACCCCTGGTGCACACACATTTTGACTTTGAAAGTACAGCAGTGATGAATTCTGTTTAGTTAATATGTTAAAAATAAGTACATATATTACTATATCATAAATGTGTGGGCATTTAAAATATTTTGGTAATTATGTTCCTACACACTTTATTTATTTAAAAATATTCTGAGAAAGGGTCTGCAGGCTTGGCCAGATTGCCAGTGGTCTGTGGCACTAAGATGAAGATGTCCTGTCACAAATATATGTGTTTGCCTACAAATGATTCCTGGGCAGAGGCTAGAAGAGGGAGGGAGGAGGAAAGCTGCTGGAACAAAATCAGAGTGTAGAAAACATTGTCAATTGAAGCTAATCAGATATGAAATAAAAACTTCTCTGAACTTTCTGTGGTAGGTGATGAGGGAAAAAAAGGTATTCTTTTCCCTATTTTCAGCTAATGCAGAGAGTTCCACATTTTGTACATTTCTTCTCTCATTGTTTGAGTGTTCACTGTTCCCAGCTTGCCCTCGCATGGCATTACTTACTGCCATACATTTTTCTTTTCTTTTCTTTTCTTTTTTGGCCAGGAACACTGCGTCAAGATGCCATACATTTTTTCTAAAGAGTCTGCAATGAAATCTGGTACTTAAGCACAATGGGTTTAAATGCCCTAAATTAAAACTTGCCCTACTGATCATTTCCTTCCCCAAATGTCACCTGAGTAATGCCTTCTGGGAGCTTAGGGAGCAAGTTTTCTCTTTAGAAAACTGAAGTTGAAGGGGCAGGCGAGGAGTTAAAGGGGAGGAGGGCGGGCATGGGGACCAGACACTTCTCTGTGCTTCATCAAGGTCAAAGCTCTACGAAAACATCCTTAGGGTCTCGGGACAGTGAAACCAACTGGGACTGTATGTGGCAAGTGACATCTTTCTCATAGAAGACTGGCTGGCTGTTTTGTCCTTTCAGTATAAGCTGTATTTACTTCTAATAATGCAACAGCAAAATGTAACGTGAGGAGAAAGCACCTTCTGCCTAGTACTGTACTAAACAGCTCTGGGTTACATTTACAATTTTAATAAACTGATTTGTCAAAACTGTCAGAATCAAGGGAGATCATCTGGATACCAGATGAATGAAAATATCTGTAATTATAAGTTGTCCATTTTTCTCTTTCATCTTCTATACACGTATCTGTGAGCAGCCACATATTTTCATGCACGTGCATACACATAAATTTGAAATCATTTTTTAAAACCTGTCATAATAGAATTCAGGAAAGTAGAAAATACAGTTCTCCTGGGATAACAATGGGACTCAAAGGCTAAGCTGCACTCCCTGTCCTAGGACCCGCATCCTTTTGCTGAACTATGCTGTCAGAGCCAAAACATTTCAGTTTCATTACCACCTGGATTGTTCCTAATCCTGGCTCATCACTCACTTGCTGTGTGACCACAGGTAAGCAACTAAACCTCTCTGGCTAATAGCTGTGTGTGAAGCAACCATTTTGATACTCATTAACTGCCCCACACTAATAGCACAAATATTAATGAGATTCTTTGGGCAATGAACGCCAAACCCTCTAAAGAATGCTATGAAATGGCTATGAGTTGGCATGAATTTATTTAAACGCCTTATCCCAAGTTTACTCAGAATCCCATCTTTTTTCTTTTCTTTTTTTTTTTTTTTTTTTTTTTTGAGATGGAGTCTCGCTCTGTCACCCAGGCTGGAGTGCAATGGTGCAACCTCAGCTCACTGCAAGCTCCGCCTCCCAGGTTCACGCCATTCTCCTGCCCCAGACTCCCAAGTAGCTGGGACTACAGGCGCCCACCACCACGCCAGGCTAATTTTTTGTATTTTTAGTAGAGACAGAGTTTCACCGTGTTAACCAGGATGGTCTCAATCTCCGGACCTCGTGATCCACCTGCCGCAGCCTCCCAAAGTACTGGGATTACAGGTGTGAGCCACTGTGCCCGGCCCTCAGAATCTCATCTTTTGCTATCTACATTTAAATTATAGGCCAGGCACGGTGGCTCATGCCTGTAATCCCAGCACTTTGGGAGGCTGAGGTGGGAGGATCACCTAAAGTCAGGAGTTAGAGACCAACCTGGCCACCATGGCGAAATCTCATCTCTACTAAAAATATAAAAAGTAGCCGGGTATGGTGCAGGGTGCCTCTCATCCCAGCCACTCAGGAGGCTGAGGCAGGAGAACTGCTTGAACCCAGGAGGCAGAGATTGCAGTGAGCCAAGATTGCGCCACTGCACTCCAGCCTAGGCGACAGGGCAAGACTCCATCTCAAATAATAATAATAATAATAAATAAATAAATAAATAAATAAATAAATAATGGCATGTGACTACTTTGAACTGGAAGGCAGCCCACACTTGAGGGCACTGAACTCTCTGTTGCCAGAGAAGGGTGAGAAGGATGACTGAAAAGGTGGAGGATGCAGGGTGTGGGACGTCCCCTTTGGGGGCTTGGATTCTGGCTCCCTTTTGGAAGTAGATTGGAAAGGCAGTGGGCCTTCCCGAGGATCTCTCTCATCATTATTCTCAGGGCAGAGAATGTGAGCTAGAGGATCAACTCACACGGAGAGTGATGATGCTCAAGAGAGCCAGCCTTTGCATGGTCACAAAGACCAGGGCATTTGGAAGAGTTTCCACATACTAGAGCCAAAGTCCTTTTCATTTTATTTCCTTTTTTATTTTAAGATCAATGAGAAATGCAGTCTCTAGATGAGGCTAGCTAGGGAGCTGACTGGGTGGGGAGGGGCCTGGGGGGACAGCTGATTTTTAAACCTGACATTCTAAATGACCCCTAATGAGTTAAGGGCTGTAGTGAGTGTCTCTGTGGCAGTTTTCCAGCCCTGTTACACACTAGGCATAAAAGTGTGTTGGGAACTACAATTTACTGAAGTGTTTTGCTGATGTCCAGGCCTATGTCTTTGGTGAGTGAGAAGAAGCTGCCATTCTAAGTGAGACTCGTGGCCTTTTCAAACCAGTAATGAACACAAATATAGAAGGATCATGCTGAAAGTGACTCTAGAAACCTGCTAGGATAGGTTCCTTAACTTTATGGAGAAGAAAGCTAAGGTCCAGAGAGAAACCTATGACTTGCCCAAGGCCCCACAAAAAGCTACTGATGAAGCTGCAGGGAGACCCAAGTTAGCTGCTCAGCTGCTAGTTCATTTTGCTACAACAAAATACTAATTGGTAGTCGTTTGATACTATTGGAAACAGTCTTTTTAGGGGACGACATCCCTTAGAGAAAGAAAAATACTTGGCTATAGAGAAAAGTAGAATGTGCTACCAACAGTGGACGGAATAAAAATACCGTTGAGAGCATAGCTGTTAGGTAGAAGTTATTCTCACAGTGAACACGAACACCTGTACTTTTCCTAGATTTCCGATTTCACCCTCTCCACCAGACTCAGCTTGCTTCATTTTGACTCTGCCCATCGACCACTGAGGACCCCCATCACACTGACCTCCCTTCAACAAGAACACCTGGGCTTGGCTTTCTCTGCAGTTTTGCCCCTTTGCTTATTTCCACAGGGGTCTAGGTCCCCGCTGACTGCTGCTTTAATCATTTGTTAATTTGCTTAAACATCTGGTCAAATTTTGGAAATAACAGGAGGGTTTAGGTGAACTTCTCTTGGATGCTGAGAGTTTTCACGTGCCCATCTCTGCCCTCCCCCGGCATACACACACACCACTAGATCACCAGACAGTCTAAGCCAATAAAGAAAAAGTCAAGGAGTATGACTTTGGCTTCCCTTTCTCTCGGCTGTTCTTTAGGCTCCTTAACTCAGTATGCTCCAAAGTGAACACACCTTCTCTCCTCCATCCCCAGCCTCTTCCTCTGTGACTGGTACTGCTTTCTACTCAGTTATCAAGCCAGAATTTGAGTGGCATCTTAGACTCCCACCTTTCTATTGCATTCTAAATCCCATATGCATTGACTGTCATGGAGCCCCTGAATTTCCTTTCCCATGTTGGAGCCTCCTCTCCATTCCTCCTATCCCTACCTTACGGAAGGCATTCATCACTCCTCACTTCGATAAATAATTGGTACCTGGCGGTTTCCTGGATCCAGTCTCACCCCACTTCAATCAATTTTCCACACTGTAGCCTAAGTGGGTTTTCCGAAACACGTGTTGATCATATTACCTTGTTTAAAATTCCAAGGGGACTCCCCAAAGCCTTCAGACTCTCTACCATGAAACCCAACCTCCCCATGATCAGCCCTTTATTTCTCCTACAACTCCAAGCATTTATGTCTTATGTCCTGGCCATCCTGAACTAAACACAGCTCCTTGTTTGTGCTCTGTCTCCTCTTGTAAACGGACTTTGCAAGTGCTATTCCCTCTTCGCTGCTGCCTGGCTAATTGCAACTCATTCTTCAAGACTTGGTTTAGTCAATAATTTTTCCAGGATGCCTCCTCTGCCATGTGGTTGGTGCTTAATAAATTTCTGTTGAATAAATAAATAAACCAATAAAATGGTAGAAATATGTTCTAGTAAATACATCTTTTCCTACAGAAAAACATAGTAATAACTGCAAGAGGGACAGGAAAGAATTCACACTGGGGAATGAGAACTTTGGCTGGAGATGATGTCAATATTCGGGCTCTATTTCATGTACCTTCGTCAAAATTACCTTTTTCAAAAAGAGGCAGAATTCTGAAGAACAGCCTCTCCACAGAGAACCTGAAGTTTGGAAAAATATTATTACTGCCTGCCTTGGAACCACTGGGTTCCCTCAAACCCACTGGATGGGCCTTTGGGACCATCAACTCATAGTGATCGTGCTAGTTGCCTTTGCTGATTTTACCAGCAACTGTTTCATCAAATTGTCATTAGGGCTAACTCAAGGTAACCACCAGGAACTTGGAGAATGCATATGACCTCTGGGTAAAGCCTGTTTAACCTGACTGGAAGAATGAGAGAGTATGGAAACAGACATCTGTCTCTTATGGTAATGATACACATTTACATTCTATGTCGCTAGGAAGAAATTTTGGAAATATTTTTCTAAATATCACTGGCAAAACCAAACTCATTTTCAGGGGAGAAAGAAACTTTTCATATCCCTTTTGGGCTGATGCAGGAGCTGTCTAAGCAACTGTTGTGTTGAAAATTGTGATGACCTACGGAAATTTCTTTCTTTTTTTTTTTTTTTTTGAGACGGAGTCTTGCTCTGTTGCCCAGGCTGGAGTGCAATGGCACAATCTTGGCTCACTGCAACCTCCGCCTCCCAGGTTCAAGTGATTCTCCTGCCTCAGCCTCCTGAGTAGCTGGGATTACAGATGTGCATCACCACGCCCAGCTAATTTTTTTTTTTTTTTTAGTAGAGACGGGGGTTTCACCATGTTGGTCAGGCTGGTCTTGAACTCCTGACCTCGTGATCCACCCGCCTCGGCCTCCCAAAGTGCTGGGATTACAGGCATGAGCCACCGCGCCCCGCCTGACCTACAGAAATTTCAAACGGCAACCATGGACATCCCAACACGACAGTTTTTTGACCTGAGTGGTATCAGAAATAGGCTTTACTATAACCAGGTAAATACCTGAACAAAGGAACCCTCATCAGGAAGGCACTGTCACTCTTGGCAGCAGCAATCCCACAGGAAAGGAGTTCCCCTGGCAGAGACAGAGAGACAGCTACTCATCTGACAAAACTCTCTCAGTCTGTCCTTTGCCTTGGGGATTACGCTGGGCATTTAGTGTCAGAGACAGGGGTTCTCTGCTCATCCTCCCCAGGAGCCAGGCTGCTCTCCAGCAGAAGTCTCCATCACCAACGCCTCTTTGCGTATCACCTGCTCCTTATAAACCACTTCTCTTGAGAATAAAGTTTAAGGAAGGATGAAAAGCGTTGCTGCCCAGGCTCCCTAGTAATCCAGCACAATCATTCCAGATGTTGTGACCCACCATTTAAAGGGAATTCCTTGTCTGGACTGCCTCTCTGGGGCAGCTTATTAGGGAGCATACCCTCCAAGGGCTTAGAGAGAAGCCTCGGGACAGCACATCTCCAATCAAGACTTCAGCACTTAGCAGGGACTGTTTAGAAGGTGCGATTCTCAGCTTGTCTCCTTCATAAAGTGACACCAAGCCCTTCCTGCCAGACACAGTCTTGAGTAGTGATGTCATCAGAGGCTTGGAGGCTGTCTTTGTTTCCTGAATTACTAAGGCAGCTGATGTTTAACTGACCTGT
Organism: Homo sapiens; assembly: GCF_000001405.40. NCBI lineage: Eukaryota > Metazoa > Chordata > Mammalia > Primates > Hominidae > Homo > Homo sapiens. The sequence continues at coordinate 61,294,924 of NC_000017.11, read as the reverse complement.
CATACTGAAGGCACCATAGGGGCAGAGAGGGCTGACTTCGGGGCAAAGATCTCAAGAGTAGCAATGGACCAGAAGTCTCAAGAGAAACTGCCTTATGATGGTTGGGGAAGACTGAGCTCATCCCAAAGACCAGCTGCATCAAATACAGACTAAATCCCAGCAATGGAGACTGGATGGAGCACGTCTTAATGTTTTTAAGTGACAAGACAATGTTTTGAGAATCCAGACAAATACAGGGACAGAAGAGATGAAACAGAAGAGTACTCAATGAGGTAGGGCATTTCTGCTACCCAGCCTGGGCCTGAGACTCAACTATGTTAAGAACTCAAGGCCTTTCAAGGCCAGTTTGCCCACCAACACCTGAAGAAGTGTGTTAAAATAGCACTAGACAAAAGGTCTATTTCTTATCCCTCCTCAGGCTTCCTGAACTCATACAACCAGCATGGAATTTTTTAATAACAAAAGGAATTCCAAATACCACGCTGTGGCTAGCATAACTCTGCTTGTTCCTTGTAGGACTTAATCAAATCAAATGTTTAAAGATACTTAGGATGGATGATTTTCCCTAGGCTGGTGGGAAGTTCCTTGTCCCTCAAATAAAGAGGGAAAGGACCCGTGAGTAGGGACATCACAGTACTACCACCTATTTGTGGGCCTGGAATAAAAACATATGATATTATATTGCAAGGCTTTTTTCAAACATGATGAGTAACTCCATTATAAGTTTAACTACAGTAGTTGGGATCTGTTCTATACATTTATTGTATTTTAAAATAACTTATTTTGGAGACTGGAAAATACAAGGATGAAATACTCTATTGCTTAACTATTTAACTAGAGATACAACAAACTACTTTGCAGAAAAATGATGCTGTGGCTCACGCCTGTAATCCCAGTACTTTGGGAGGCCGAGGAGGATGGATCCCTTGAGGTCAGGAGTTCAAGACCAGCCTGGCCAACATGGTGAAACCTCTCCTCTACCAAAAGAATACAAAAATAAGCCAGGCGCAGTGGCATACACCTGTAGTCCCAGACACCTGGGAGGCTGAAGTGGGAGGATCGCTTGAACCTGGAAGGCAGAGGTTGCCGTGAGCTGAGATCGTGCCACTGCACTCCAGCCTGGGTGACAGAGTGAGACCCTGTCTGAAAAATAAAAATGAGGTGCTATTTCCAGTAGATCCTGCACATAATGGAACTTAAGGATATGACCCTATATAGTTCCTCATAGCACCAGCCCCATAGTCTTCTCTCTTTCATACTTGACAGTGCTGATCCCTGGTCATATGGCAACAGCATGAGGGTTGTGATTTAATGTCTTAGAAATGGCTGGGTCCATATACCTGTCACTTCCAAGTGACAGAATATGAAGACCTTGTTCTGCTATCCTCTACGGGACTTCTCTGGGCCCTAATAGTCTTGTCTTAAAAACGAGCCAAGAAGGTTAAACGTGCAGTTCTTAACTTTTTTTTTCACCATCTCAACATATCTGATGATAGGCAGCTCTCCTATTAGTAAGAGTGAGAATGATTTTCAAACTGGGGTGAGGGAGGTAAGGCAGGAGAGAAGTTATCAGAATCTCTTGGAGTAGAGGGGCAGGAGGATTTTCTCAAGCTATAAGTGAGATTTCCAACCTGCACGATTTCTAATATCCCTTCTAAAGATGAAACTATGACTATTTCCACATCTACCCTTTAATTTTCCCTCCATTTGTTCCCAAATGAAGTTGGGGCCACCTCCTGTTCAAGATTACATCAGTAATAATTTTTACGAACATACTGGTGGTCTCTGAGCTTGCTTACAGAACATGAGTCCACAGAAGAAATGTGCTGGTTGCCAAATTTCAGCAGTTATTGGCATTTATACTCTGAGAAAACTTTACCAAAAATTTTATACATATGTCAAATGATACACTTGTCAAGAATAACCCCCCATAAATAACCTTCTTCTGGCTTATTTGAACATTGGTTATTGCTTACGTTTATATGATTTAATTGGAGATTTTTAAAGTTGAAGGGTTCAGCTTTGCAAATATTCTGTATGTATTGATGAAAAACAGACATCCTAGGCAGATTTTTTAAAAATGAAATTCACATACTTCGTTACTTGCATGACATCATGTAAGTGATAGTTTGCAAGGTTGTGGCAATCTGTTTATGAAGTACACATATGGGCATAAGAATAGGGGACCCTCTGTATTCTCCCAACCTGGCCACACCTGCCTGACCCCCAAGCATAAAGGACCCCTCACCCCTCATTTCTTTTTTCTTGTTTTTTGAGACGGAGCCTCGCTCTGTCACCCAGGCTGGAGTGCATGGCGTGATCTCGGCTCACTGCAACCTCTGCCTCCTGGGTTCAAGCGATTCTCATGCCTCAGCCTCCTGAGTAGCTGGGATTACAGGCACCCACCACCACGCCTGGCTAATTTTTGTATTTTTAGTAGAGATGGGGTTTTGCCACATTGCCCAGGCTAGTCTCGAATTCCTGAGCTCAAAGTGATCTGCCCACCTCGGCCTCCCAAAGTGCTAGGATTACAGGTGTGAGCCACCATGCCCGGCCCCTCATTTCTTTTCAAATCAAACTAGGGGACTATCCTTTTCTCTTAATTCTCTGCAAAACTACCTGGAATAAAAAAGAAAAATACAAGAGCTGCTGTGAGAATGTTCAATGGCAAGGAAAGTGGGGGTGGGGTGGGGTTGGAACTCATCTAAAGAAAACATTGGGGTGATCCTAGAATCTATCCCCTGAAGGCGTGGGTGGGTGCCAAGTTCTGCATTTCTCCTAAATGATCCCAGCAGCTGCTCCACGTTACATGTGGCAAGTCTTCTAGGATCTCCAAGGGTTTTCAAAGTCATGCTGGCAGCTGCCTCCTGTCGCCCCACTCTATAATGATTGAACCTCTTGTTCCTTTTATAGAGTTGTTCTCTCCTAATAAAACACTAAATGCTGGTCTGAGCAACTGTTCCAGGATCACTAGATGCAATCCTCCCACCCTCTTCCTCCTCACCCTACATGCCTTATATTTTCTATCACAGTGGACCCCTGTGTAAACTGCTCTGGACTGACTCACAGCAGCACGGGCGTGCATACAGGCTTGCAAGTGGGCACACACCGACACACGCACAACCACCATCAGCCCACTTTCAACCAAACCTGAACTCCAAATCCATTTCCAGCTATTTTAAGAGCTGCTACTTTAAAACTGGGCAACCATCCTAAACACATGAAAGTGTACACGAAGCACAAACTGCCATAAATGAAGAACCGCAATTCATTGTGTCAGGAGCCTGCAGAGGTGATACCTTCAAGCTGTTAGTCAGAATAAAAAGCTGTGACTTGTCAGCTCTTGGATGGGAAGCACAGCAAAACAAGCCATTTTTTTCCCGGCAAATATGAACCACATTTTAAAGGTGTGAACCCTTTCCAAACTTCAAAATGCAAATGGAAACAACATACCAATCTAGCAGTTGGCTTGAAAACAGTTCCTAGCTCATCTCAAATCTCACAATCCTTCTCTAAGTCATAATCCGGGAGCTACAGAAAGCAAGCTCAATTCCTCTCCCCACATCAAGTATAGTAATGTTTAAAAGTGGCCTTTATTTTTAAGGTTTCATGCTATTTTATATGTAATCGTGTTTTAAATATTTCCTTTTAAGATGGTAAGTTTCTCCAGAGTTGGAGCCTGGGTTATTCGTTTCTTTTGTTTGTTTGTTTGTTTAAATCACCAATAGCTAGCAAAGTACCTGGTAGGCTGTAGTTGTTCATCAAATGTTTGCTGAATAAACAAGTGAAACCCTAAACACAAAATGGACTTGGTTCGCCAGTGCTTGGCTAAAATAGGCAAACTAGGCCGGGCGCGGTGGCTCACGTCTGTAATCCCAGCGCTTTGGGAGGCCAAGGCGGGTGGATTATGAGGTCAGGAGATCGAGATCATCCTGGCTAACATGGTGAAACCCCGTCTCTACTAAAAATACAAAAAATTAGCCGGGCGTGGTGGCAGGCACCTGTAGTCCCAGCTACTTGGGAGGCTGAGGCAGGAGAATGGCATGAACCCGGGAGGCGGAGCTCACAGTGAGCCGAGATCACGCCACTGCACTCCAGCCTGGGCAACAGAGCGAGACTCTGACTCAAAAAAAAAATGCAAACTAAAAAGTCCCTTGACCACATTTACTCCCAAGATTTTCAAGGCTTTTTTTTCTGGGCTCTTAATGATGGAATCCTACCTTCCTGGAACAATTCTGTTGAAGTAATGGGCATTTGACTATAAAGGAATAAACAGAAAGAAGCTTCAAGCCCTAATGGGTAGTAAACAAATTAGAGGCACCCAAATTCTCTGTCGTTTTTCGTTATCTAGATCTCTCTGAAAGTATAAATTAAAAAGCTATAATTGGTGATTTAATATTTTAGCTCACATTGGTTTATTTTTGGTTAGTAAGTGCTAAGCATTTTATTTAAACTGATTTGTTTTTCTATTATGAACATCTTAAACATATATAAGCAGAGAGAATGGTATAATAAACCCCACTGCCAGCTTTAACAAATAACCAATTCATGCCACTCTTTTTTCATCTATATAATTTTTAACTTACGTTTTGTGACAATCAGACTTCTGCTTACTGCTCCTCAATTAGCTTATAATTACTACCAACTTCTTAGTTTGAGAAAACTCCCACCCAGAAGGTGGACGTTTTGAGCCAAAATATGACATTTGACATGGGTGCAGCTGCTTAAAATATGTCTTCATTAAAGTCAGATGAAGGAGATAAGCTTAGTTTCGGCCTCCAAAGGAACACAAAGTTTGCATTTTTTCTTTTAAGTATAAAAGTAGAACTCTTTCCACCACCACACTCCCTTCCCATGCTCCCTTTACACACACGAACCCAAGTAAACACCCTAATTTCTGAAAAATTTAGTGTCCCAGACCTTTTGGCTATCAGCACTCACATCAGTTTCCCAGTTGCTTTGCTCACACTTTGAAGGAAACCTGGAGGCAAGGACACGGGGCAAAATAAACACTCAAACAAATTGATTCTAAGGAACAGACCTTTATACCTCTCTTCGCTTTTATGGCTTAAGATGGTGCAAAAATGTTACTTACTCCCTAAACAGTTATTAGTCTCTGTAATGTAACATAGCAGATACTTTCTAAATCCTTTTAGCCTTCTCCCCCTTACTGGAAAGATCATCATTTTTTTTTTATTTCAAAGTGGATTTAATAAAGAAAAGGAGTGCTGTTAGAGTAATACGTGAGGCTTTGACATTAAGCAGTGCAACCCTGTGGAGTCGGCAAGAACGGGGTCTCTAATCTCCAGTGATTTATAGAGGCTCTTCCTTCATCTCTGTACTTGGGGAGGGCCAAAAAGTTTAGAGACAGGCTGGCGTCCCTCTTACTCCACACCACTAACTCCTGCTGGCCAGCCTGCCTGCTCAAACTTTTAACCCTTTAGCTGTTACTTGACAGCATACCCATTAAAGCCAGTTTATTTGCTCTCAGAGGACAGAGTGGTTTCACATGGCAGTAATGTACGTGGAGGTAAACAGCCATGTCTGATGTTGAGAAATTACAAGCGAAGAGCAAAAAGGAAGCTAAAAATCAAACTGAGATCATGTGAAGATGTCTGGAAATGGTCAGAAGAGAGACCCCTTTCCATGAGTGACTAGAGTCTGTTGGGCCAGCACCCCCACCACACCCCGCCACTCTGAGTGAGCCAGCTGAGTCGCGGGGGTACATTCTCTCCCAAGTAATGCTTAGTACTTGGAATTATAACTCAAGGTCAAAGTCAAAGTTCCAGAATATGGTTAGAAAGATTAGACGACATGAAGAGTCTGAAACAAGTTGTTCCAACAAGTGGACTAAGGGGTGGAAAGGAGGGTGCACTTGTGTTGGGCCTTGCCCAAGAGGAAATGTGCAGAGGGGCCATTAGGCCTGCGCGGCCCTTCCCGAATGGGACGGGTCATTTTAAACATTGTATTGGTTATAGATAAATACTATGAGCATGTTTTCATGCTCCACCCCTGTCCTCCAAAACCAAAATCTGCTATTCTAAGGCTTTTTTGAATACCAAGGTACCTGGAAAACACCAGCCACCATCCTGGCTAGGCCAGGATTTGGTGGTTCTCAGTACAGCCCTTTCGCCCATGGCTGGGTACAAGGCCTGCTTGGAGGATTGGCATGTGGGGTGGTAGCTTCTTTCTAGGCATCTCTGCATTAAAAACTGTCAAGAAAATTTCCAGTCCTTCAGTGCGCCATATCTTGTGGTTGCTGCCGACTTGGTTCCTTGTCTCTATCAGTCAGACAAGAAAGCACTCCTCCTAAGCCCACTGGGAATGAAGGAGAACTTGACCTTGGTCAAGGTCTTGGGCTGAACTTCAACTTTTAAAAGATCAAAGCACCACATTTGCCAACAAGGACTCACTGGGGATCTGAAGTAGAAAGTGCATGCCAACCTAAAGCTAGGACAATCTATAGCAGAGATGGCTCTGGGACAAAGCCCTTGTACTTGATAACCTTGGGCCCTTGCTGCCTGGATCCACTCCCAACAAAGAAACATACAGAGCCCCACTTTAAGAGGCTTTCTGGAATCAAGCACCCAGGTCAAGAAGTAAGACTGACAAAGATCAACACTACATACTTTAGGGCCAGCAGATGACAAGTCAAGGTCACAAAATTCACTACCGATAATAGCACAGCAAGCCATCAAAGACCTTACACTTTCCCTCCCCACAGCCCATGTAATTTCTTTGATTCAAGTTGATTGAGTGCCTCATTTAATGGAGTGGTTAAGGAAGGAACCAAGGCAGAGACAGGGAGTGACTTGCTGAAGAGCACACAGCCAGTTGGTAAGAAAGTCAGCAACAGAGCCCAGGGCTTCTGACTGTCTTTTACACTTTGGTGTAGAGTAACAAGCTAGAGTTGTAAAGATATCAGAACCAAGTTCGAGTCCCGATTCCTCTGCAAGTTACTTAATCCCTGCAACCTTCAGCTTGCTCCTCTTAAAATAGAAATAATGGTACCTTTTCAATGCTGTGACTATTACATGAGAAAATGAACAAAAATACTTAGAACAATACTTGGCACATAGTATGTACTGAACAAATGTGAATATCCTATTGTTGTTATTACTGCTTTTTCTTCAGAAAGTCAATAATAAGTGTACTTTTTTGGCTTGTTGGTGTTTTTTTTGTTTTGTTTTTTGTTTTTTGACACAGGGTCTCACTCTGTCACCCAGGCTGGAGTGTAACGATGCCATCTTGGCTCACTGTAGCCGCCACCTCCTGGGCTCAAGTGATCCTCCTGCCTCAGCCTCAGTAGTAGCTGGGACTGTAGGTGCCCATCACCATGCCTGGCTAATTTTTTGATTTTTCATAGAGACGAGGTCTCACTATGTTGCTTAGGCTGGTCTTGAACTCCTGGGCTCAAGTAATCCTCCTGTCTTAGCCTCCCATAGTGCTGGGATTAGAGGTGTGAGCCACCACGCCCTGCAAAGTACACTTTCTTGGAACAGCATGTGGCCCTCAAGCTGACTCCACGTTGCTCTGAACAAATGCAGTATGGCAGACAATTTTCCCCAAGACAGCCCCTACCGCAGGCTTCCTCCTCTCTGCTGCAGCATCTACCACATTTGGTTCTCATTTATCTCTATAGAGATCTGTTCCCCAACTCCATAGAGTTTTTTTTTTTTTTAAGAGTCTGGCTCTGTTGCCCAGGCTGGAGTGAAGTGGTGCGATCTCGGCTCACTGCAAGCTCTGCCTCCCGGGTTCACGCCATTCTCCTGCCTCAGCCTCCCCAGTAGCTAAGACTACAGGTGCCCGCCACCACGCCCGGCTAATTTTTTGTATTTTTAGTAGAGACGGGGTTTCACCGTGTTAGCCAGGATGGTCTCGATCTCCTGACCTTGTGATCCACCCACCTCAGCCTCCCAAAGTGCTGGGATTACAGGCGCGAGCCACCACGCCTGGCCTCCATAGAGCTCTTTAGGTGTAAAGACCATGGCATCTTTCTAGTTGCATCTCTGGTGTCTGGCTCAGTAGGTGGCCCATAAAGTTTCAGTGAATGAATAAATGAATGAATGCAGTATAAAGGTCCTAGAAAGCATTCTCTGTCTTTCCTCACCCTGGCCAGGATCTCTGTAGTGTAATTTGCCTCAATATGCTAACTTCTCACTCTGGTAAGCCCGTGGCAGAGTTTAGAGACCAAACATATTTACAGTCCAACCTACTCTGAAGGTGACATGCTCCTCTGGCTGCCCTGGGAGCTGCCTTCACAACGGTGTAAAGCGAGTATTTAACTTAGCCCTGCTAACAGCGTGCCCACAGATCCTGGCACACTGTTAGCACTCTCTGCTGGTGTGAAAATCCCTATTCTGACATGTTACTTTTTGGTCGTGCACCAAGCAGCAGCATGCTAACGTGAGAAAATCTGGAGAAACCCTTCTAGGTCCAGTTATCGATGGCCTCCAGGGTCATAAACACCACGTCGGATTTCTATCCTGCTGGCCATTTACCAGCCTCCCAATAACCAGAGGCCTCTCCACACGCCAGACTTCACCAGCACAGGAGTGGGCGCAGACATCAGTATAAACCCAGCAACCTCTGCTTCATCTGCTCACGATAACTTTCAAATGCAGATTCAGAGAACTCAGAAGCAAGAGGAAATGTCTCATATTCGGCAGCGCCCCACCCCCGCAGACCCTCCGCACCCCGCCCTGCAGGCTCCCCAAGGGATGGTTGCAAAGATCTACCCTTTGAAAGCTGCAAAGAAATCCCAGAGGAAGATGTGTGCAGAGTTTAAGCTACTTTGTAGCAGTCTGTTGACTCACACTCACACACTGGGAACTCTCTGGAAAAAACTTCCCACCAGTTGTTTCCTTTATGAAATGTTTCTGGTCCATGAGTAAAAAGGTGTCATGATATTGACAGTCAAAGCCTGGGGCTGGTTTTAGGTCTGAGGTTTCACAAGACAAACTGCAATATTCATGTATTCACGTAACTTGAGTGTGTGTGTAAGCTAAGTCTTGAAACTAAAAAAAAATTGGTAGAGCTTTAGAATTTAGAGGACTAAAGCTGATTCGCCTAAAGTAGGGACTGGAGATGGGAGGGAAGACATGAGAAACTCGAGGCTCAGCTGCAGGCTCCTTTACCTTTGGGAAACTGCAGATCCGCAGCTCCTAGCTCCTAGTCTCTTGTCTCCTGGATAAACAAGCCTTATCGGCCACCCACAGTACTTCAGTTAGTAAAAGGGCTTAGGAATGTAAATCACACTGGAGTGAAGTGTGATTCTAATTTGCACTTAATCAAAGCCAATTAGAAGTACATTATTTACACAAAGTCCATGCATCTCAATTATGCCTAGCACAGCTCAAGACAGTTTTGAGCCCAGACCTTAATTCTGCTTAATTAGAGGAGTAAACATTTTCACTGCGTCAATCCTCTAGTCTAGTCTAGTCTAGATCCTATGGATAAACCAAACCAAGCATGTAGAGCTTTTCACTTTAGGGCCAGGTAAAGTGTAACTGACACCTGTTGAAAATCTGCAGAAAACAAAGTATTCAGACCTGGAAGTTATGTTGGAGAAGCAGCACTCAGTTCTTTTATATACATTTATTAGCAGGGACTCTGCCGTGCACTGTTGTATTTGTTTCCCCTTCCTTTGCTGCATTTTAGCAAGAAACACACACACACACACACACACACACAACCTAGGAGGAGGGGAAAAGCAAAACACCCCAATTTAGTTCTCAAGTGATACTTTTCATTTCTCTGGTTCCTGTGGTCCCTGGTCTGCCCAGGTGGAAGCAGTTTCAGGATAGCTGGTTTGAATCACTAGGGGACAGAAGAGACCCCGAGGTTAGCATCAGTCAGTAGGCATGGTCCCAACAGAGACCAAGGACAGGAATTTAGGGCAGCAAAGCTTTCAGAAGCCTACAGACAGGAGAACCAGGAGAGAACCTTGATGACACTTGCTTGAAAACTTCACTTATACATTCATTCAACAACAGGCACTAGCTAGGTGCTGGGGAAGCTTCTGCTGTCCCTTCTGAGGTGGCATCAGGTCACTGTGCTATGCCCTGCCATGCCTGGGCAAATCTCCTCACTTACTGTTGAGTGGAGGCTTTCCTAAGCAGAGACCCTGAGAGCTCTTCTGAGGATTCCTTCTCTACCTTTGCAACAACTGGCATGGCCTTAAGGGAACAAATAAATGCCCACATAGGCTGAAAAGCTAGTTAGAATGAAGCCTAAACAGCAGGAGGGAAAAAAAAAAAGAGTAGAGGAAAAAAAAAAACGCAGTTGTGGGCTGCACTGCTAATTGCAAAGAGCCCAGAAGCAGCATCGGAGGTGAACAAGTCTTCAGATTGTGTCTGGAATTGGTTCCTTCCGGTGGGTTCTTGGGTCTGGCTGATTTCAAGAACCAGCCGCGGACCCTCGCGATGAGTGTTACAGTTCTTAAAGATGGTGTGTCTGGAGTTTGTTCCTTGAGATGTTCAGATGTGTCCAGTGTTTCTTCCTTCCGGTCGGTTCGTGGTCTCGCTGACTTCATTCTCAGGAATGAAGCCACAGACCTTCCTGGTGAGTGTTACAGCTCATAAAGCTAGTGTGGACCCAGAGTGAGCAGCAGCAAGATTTATTGTGAAGAGTGAAAGAACAAACCTTCCTGACATAGAAGGGAACCTGAGCAGGTTTGCGACTGCTGGTGTGGGTGGGGGAGGTGGCCAATTTTTATTCCCTTATTTGGCCCTGCCCACATCCTGCTGATTGGTCCATTTTACAGAGTGATGATTGGTCCATTTTTACAGAGTGCTGATTGGTGTGTTTACAAACCTTTAGCTAGACACAGAACGCTGATTGGTGCATTTACAATCCTTTAGCTAGACAGAAAAGTTCTCCAAGTCCCCACCCAACCCAGAAGCCCAGCCGGCTTCACCTCTCAAGATCGTAATACCAAAGATACAACTAAAGCTGCCCAGGTGAATCAGTTCAAGTTCTAACTGCTTAAAAATCAATTTACAACTGGGTGTGGTGGCCTGCTGTCTCAGCTACTTGGGGGGCTGAGGCAGGAGGACTGTTTGAGCCCAGGAGGTTGAGGCTGCAGTGAGCTATGACTGCGTCACTGCATTCCAACCTGGGTGACAGAGCAAAACCCTGTCTCTAAAATTTTTTTTTAAAAAATCAATTTACGGCCAAGTGCGGTGGCTCACGCCTGTAATCTCAGCAGTTTGGGAGGCTGAGGAAGGTGGATTACGAGGTCAGAAGATTGAGACCATCCTGGCTAACACATTGAAACCCTGTCTCGACTAAAAATACAAAAAATTAGCCAGGCATGGTGGCGGTCGCCTGTAGTCCCAGCTACTTGGGAGGCTGAGGCAGGAGAATGGCGTGAACCCAGGAGGCGGAGCTTGCAGTGAGCTGAGATGGCACCACTGCACTCTAGCCTGGGCGACAGAGCCAGACTCGTCTCAAAAAAAAAAAAAAAATCAATTTACTTTTGCAACCTCATTTTGGTACAAATCCCCTCTAAATTCACTTGGTCTTCCCTTCATCATCGCTGATGAACTAAATAGGAGAGTTAACTAAATATAATAGGGAGAATGAGCTAAACGTAACATAAAGTACTTAGCATAGAGTGGGTGCTTAATGTCTGGTGGATGAAGCTAACTAGTTTGAATGTGTTATAGTCCTCCAAACCAAGACTAGTTGAATTCATTGGTACTTTTCCAGTAAAAATGGTCACCTTTGTATTAAAACATAAATAAAACGGTAAAATCTCTGAAGGAACTAGGCAGCACCATTGAATGTCATGGCTGCCCAATCGTTTTCAATACAAAAAGGAGCAACGTGGAGCAAAAAAAACAACACAACTTTTAGTATTACAACATCACGACATCATAGTATTATTTAAATAAAAGATGCCATGGGCTGATTTATTTTTAAAGGGGGAAAATCACAGTGAAAAAAATTTATATATAAAAATATAAAATATGTATTATATATAATATACAAATATATTGAAAATATATATTTTTACTGTGATTTCTCCCCTTCACTAAAACTCATTTAATTACTTGCACATTTAAGCTCTGTGCATTTCCCTCTGTGAAAAAATTATCTGGATAAAAAATGTTTAAAATTCACATTTTGGGTAGATAAAGGGATGATGCAATGTGACCAACTCATTAAACCAAAATGGAAATTCTCTCAAAGTGAGGTATAGAGACTTCTGGAAGGGTCTGATTCATAATCCTCTGTGTTGATGGGCTTCCTTCTTTTTCAAACACCCCAGATACTCTGTTTTATTAACAACGACCAATACAAACATAACTTTCTATAACTTGGGCATTCAACTTGTCCTTGGAGCCTCCCTCGCTGACACAGGAAGTCACATCTGTCTAAGAGTAAGCCAACGAAACCAACTTTAGTTCCCAGAAGACTTTGCCTTTGAACTCTTTCAGCCCAATAAAAGTGAACTCTCTGTCCTGGAATATTATGCAAATGTCCTGCCCACTTTTTCCAACCATCCTACTCTTAAAAGGTACTAGTTTGGACACTTGGGGAGAACCTTTCACCAGAGGCCCAATTGCCCCTTCTCATTCAGCTCCCAACCAAGGCTCAGGAAAGCCTTCTCATCGGTAAGGTATTCCCAAAGAAGCAATAAAGAAAACCCCACATTTATGAGCTTTGCTTTTTCCTAGAGACAAATTTTATTTCAAACCTGAGACCAATTAGGGAGAAAAATAATAAAAGCATATATGAATGTGTTCACTGAAAAACTGTCCCAAATAATTTCTTTATACTTTAAAAAGGACTTTCTCATATATTAAATTCACTTGATCTTATTAGATATTCACAAAAATGCAGGAGGCAGGTACCTAGTAACTAGTTTGAATGTGTTATAGTTAGTTGTCAATGAGGTCTTCTGAATCCAAATTCAGTCTTCCTCTCATTACATGAAACAGCCTAAATTGAAATAGCTGTTTAGAAAAAAGTCTTGAACATCTATTATGTGCACAACAGTCTTGTAAAAAGGAAGTAGCGGAAAAGAAAGTAAAAATTTACCATAAAACGAAGAATTTTTTTTAAAAACAGAGAAATGAGAAAGCTATACTTAATATGATACAAACCCCAGAAATTATTGATAAACACATAAAATTTAAAATTTGTATGGCAAAGATACTGACAAACTTGGAAAAATATTTATAATATATATGATAGAGTGCTAATTTGCTTAGTATATAGAAAGCTCCTCCAAATCAATATGAATAAGATAAAAAACCCAGTATAAAGATGGGTAAAGACCATGAACAATGAAAGAACTAAATATGGCATTTAAATTTGTGAAAATACGTTCCATGCCAGTCTAAGAGAAATGCAAATTTAAATTACAATAAAATGACACATTGAATCTGATTTGCAGAGACCAAAAAATCTGATAACACACTGTACTGGCAAGGCGTAGAGAAATAAGTACTCTCATACCTGGGGGTGGGAGTATAACTTAGTATGGTGACTATGATGGAAAATTTGACATTAAATAATTAAATTACAAAAAATTCCTAGGTCACTTATCCTTTGACCTGGGAATTCTACTTCTAAGAACTATTTATACAGATGAAATTACACAAATGTCCTAAGATATAAAATATTTACTTTAACACTGTTTATAATGACAAAAGATTGAAGACCATCTATACATCCAACAATAGGCATTGTGAAATAAATTGTGGAAAACTATGTTGTCTCTAAGGAAATTCTATAAATACTAAAAAAGGAAAAATCTCCAAGATGTATTGATATATGGAAAGAGTGTGCATAGTAGTGTATTTTTTCGATGCAAAGAAAAAAGGATGCACAGAATATCTTTGGAATGATACACAGTAAACTGCTGACAGTGATTGTTTCCTCTGGGCAAGGATTGGGAGATAAGAGTAGGTCTCTTTTTATACCATTTTGTGCCTGATTTTCTTTTTAAACCACATAGTATGTAATACCTTTTTAGAAGGCTTAGATACTGCGGGAATACAGCAGGCCAATCAGTTGGGACTTGTTGGAGAAAGCCTTCAACCTGTTAAGGGTCGAGACATTCCCAGATAGCTCCATCTTTGCTGCCCAAATGATCAGGCATGTGTGAAGAGAACTGGCGGAACCTTTAGCTCCGGCGCTGCCCACTTTAAGCACTAATCTGTCATAAGAATACACTTGGAGGGGGTCACTTCTTGCTGAACACACACACAACAATGCCAATCTTTTCATGTGAATACACCTTTTGTTTCAAGTTAAAATAAGCTTTTACTTTCATTATTTTATCAAATCTATACAACCACACTCCAAGGTAGGTACTGTTACTCCTGCTATATAGATCTATTCATTGAAGCACAGAGAATAAATTACTCATACAAGATGTGAAATCTTTAAGTGGCAAAGTTGTGACTCAAACCTGAATCCTGATTCCAAATTAGACACTTTCTACCAGGTCAACTACCTCACATTCCCCTCCAAAGACAAATCTGATGACCTCCCCAAGTTGGACTCAGTGATAACCAATAGCCTCTTGGACTTTAAGAAACAATAACTGTCTTTGAGGTGGACTACTGTTGATCCTATGTCTGTATCTATCACAAAGATAATTGCAAGTGGTTGGAATTTGCTCAGAATCCTGCTTCTTTCTGTAATGTCTTTCTTCATTCAAAAATGGAAAGAGTACTGAGCCATGAGTGAGGAGATAATGGTACCAAATCCCAGGCCTAGCCTAACTTGGTGGGTAACTTTGGCATAATACTTCCTCTCTCTGGGCACCAGGGTCTTCGAGTATAAAGGAAGAGGTTTGGAGTAGAAGAGTTCTGAGGTCCCTTAAACTCTACTCTTTGTTGAACCAGAGGATTTCTTGAGTTCTGCTGACAGTAGGGAGAAAATTACCCAAGAGATAAATATTTGACTAAAGGAAAGTACTTATGGTTCTGGAGCCAAGCTAAACAAAGAGTTAATGTAGACTCAGCAGGAGCAGGATTGAGAGAAAAGAAAGATGTAGAGACATGGAGAGGGAGAAAAAGTGAGCCAAAGGAGATTTAGCAAAGCTGGTACTGCCACAGTCATCCAATCAGCCTGCAGCAGCCAAGCCCAACTTGGCTTGTGGTTACCTGCCTAGTTTTTTTTTTTTTTCTTCACTCAAGCAGAGGGACCAGTGCCACCTCACCATGGAGGCCCAGTGGCTTAGCCCACTATTTTAAACATGGTTTGTGGTCTACACCAGGATGGACTGAACAACTCTGTGTCCTCCAAGGGATTAAGACTGAATGTAATATATGCTTATCCCAAGGCAGTGATGAGGCCTGGTGTACAGTCACTGGGCCACATCAAAATTAGACCCACAGCTGTTCTAAAAATATCCTCTGCTGAGGCCCCAAGGGAAAGTTTGCAAAATACAAACTGGCTTGTGAATCTCTTAGCCACCATGGGCTAGGCAGAAGCTGCTCTTCAAGAAGAACCCAAATAATAAGGAATGGAATGGAACCCCTGATCTGTGCACAAACCTGCCCACAAAGGGCATCACTGACTGATGGAAAGAGAAGAAAGAAGCGAGAGCTTCTGTTCTATTAGGTGTGTCAGACCTAGGCTGCCTTAAAAAAAAAAAGATTTATTGAGATATAATTCACCTAACATACAATTCACCCACTTAAAGTATATAATTCAGGCTAGGTATGGTGGCTCATGCCTGTAATCCCAACACTTTGGGAGGCCGAGGTGGGCGGATCACTTGAGGTCAGGAGTTCAAGACCAGCCTGGCCAACACAGTAAAACCCCGTCTCTACTAAAGATACAAAAATTAGCCAGGCATGGTGGCACATGCCTGTAATCCCAGCTACTCAAGAGGCTGAGGCAGGAGACTCACTTGAATCTGGGAGGAGGTTGCAGTGAGCCCAGACATGCCACTGTACTCCAGCCTGGGTGACAAAGCAAGACTCCATCTTTAAAAAAAAAAAAAAAAGTACATAATTCAATGGCTTTTAGTGTATTCACAGAATTGTGCAACCATCACCACAATCTATTTTAGAAGATTTTGATTGTTCTGAAAAGAAACCCTGTACCACTTAGCCACTACCTCCCAATCTCCCCATATCCCCAAGTCCTAGGAAACCACTACTAATCTACTTTCTGTCTCTATAGATTTTCCTATTCTGGACATGTCATATAAGTGGAACCATACTGGCTGGTTCTTCCAGTCACAAATATTTTCAAGGCTGATCTTTGCTGCAGTATGTATGAAAATTTCATTCCTTTTTATGGAATATTTTGTGTTCCACTGTAGGAACACACCACATTTTGTTTATCCATGAATGTGTTGGAATACTTAGGGTGCTGGCATCTTTGGGCTATAGTGAATAATGCCACAAGGAACGCAGAAGCATCTGTTCCTGTTCCTGCATTCAATTCCTTTGGGTAGGTCCATCCAACAGTTGATAGAGGCTGGGCATGGTGGCACACACCTGTAAACCCAGCACTGTGGGAGGCCAAGGTGGGTGGATCATGTGAGCCCAGGAGTTTGAGATAAGCCTGGGAACATGGCGAAACCCTGTCTCTACAAAAAACACAAAAATTATCTGGGAACGGTGGCTCATGCCTGTAATCCCAGCACTTTGAGAGGCCGAGGCAGGCGGATCACAAGGTCAGGAGTTCAAGACCAGCCTGGCCAACATGGTGAAACCCCGTCTCTACTAAAAATACAAAAATTAGCTGGGCATCGTGGCATGTGTCTGTAATCCCAGCTACTCGGGAGGCTGAGGCAGGAGAATTGCTTGAATCAGGACCCGGGAGGCAGAGGTTGCAGTGAACCAAGATTGTACCACCTCACTCCAGCCTGGGCTACACAGTGTGACTCCGTCAAACAAAACAAAACAAAACAAAACAAACCATTTTTTGTGTGGGTATGTTTTCATTTCTTTTGGGTATACACCTGGGTGTGGAATTGTTGGATAATAGGGTAACTCTGTTAACCATCTGAGAAATTGCCAGTTTGCTAAAGGAGCTGCACCATTTTACATTCCTGCCAGCAGTGTATGAGGGTTACAACTTCTCCACATCATTATCAACACTTGTTATTATCTATCTTTTTGATCATAGTCATCCTAGTGGGTGCCAAGTAGTATCTGCTTGTGGTTTTGAGTTGAATATCTCTGATGGTTAATGATGTTGGGCATCTTTTCACGTGATTATTGGCCATTGTGTATCTTCTTTGAAGAACTGTCTATTCAGATCCTTTGCCCATTTTTAATTGGGTTATATATCATTATTGTGTATGTATGTAGTAGTTCTTATATATTCTAGATATAAGTCCCTTATCAGATATATGATTTGCAAAAATTTTCTCCCATTTTGTGGGTCATTTTTTACTTTCCTGATGTGGTTCTTAGAAGCCTGAATGTTTTTTAGTTTGATAGTGTCCAGTTTATTATCTATTTTTCTCTTGTTTGTACTTTTGGTGTCATATGTAAGACACTACTGCCTAATCCATGGTCACAAAGATTTACTCATATGTTTTCTTCTAAGAGTTTTATAGCTTCACCTCTTACATTTAGGTCTTTGATCCATTTTGAGTTAATTTTTGTGTATGGTATGAGGTAGGGTCATGTGGATATTCAGTTGTCTCATCACCACCTTTTTTTTTTTTTTTTTTTTTGATACAGGGTCTTGCTCTGTCACTCAGGCTGGAGTACACTGACATGATTACAGCTCACTGCAACCTTGAACTCCTAGAAAAAGCGATCCTCCTGCCTCAGCCTTTTGAGTTACTAGGGCTATAGGCACACGCCACCATGCCCCTCTAAATTTTTTTTTTCCTATAAGAGACAAGGTCTCATTATGTTTCCCAGGCTGGTCTCAAACTCCTGGCCTCAAGTGATCCTCCTGCCTTGGCCTCCCAAAGCATTGTGATTACAGGCATGAGCCACCATGCCCAGCCTACCACTTGTTGAAACTACTATTCTTTCCTCATAGAAAATGTCTTGACATCCATGTTTAAAATTCAATTGACTGTAAATGTGAGGGTTATTTTTGGACTTTCAATTCTATTCCATTATGGTATATGTCTATCCTTATGCCAGTACCACACTGTCTTGATTACTGTAGCTTAGAAGTATATTTTGAAATTGAAAAGTCGAGGCCTTCAACTTTGTTCTTTTTCAAGATTATTTCGGCTTTTCTGCACCCTTGAATTTATATGTAAATTTTAGGATCAGCTTGTCAATTTCTGCAAATAAGTCAGCTTATTTGATAGAGATTTTGATAGAGATCATTTTGATAGAGATTGTGTTGAATCTGTAGATCAATTTGGGGAGCACTGCCGTCTTAACAATTTTGTCTTCTGATCTATAAACATGGAGTATCTTTCCATTTATTTAGTTCTTCTGTAATTTCTCCCAGTGATTTGTAGTTTATAAAATTTTTACTTCGGTTAAATTTATTCCTGAGTACTTTGTTCTTTTTGATGCTACTGTAAATGAAATAGCTTTCCTAATTTTATTTGCGGTTTGCTCATTGCTACTGTATAGAAACACAAGTGATTTTTGTTTGTTTGTTTGTTTGTTTTTGAGATGGAGTCTCGTCCTGTAGCCCAGGCTGGAGTGCAATGGCATGATCTTGGCTCACTGCAACCTCTGCCTCCCAGGTTCAAGCGATTCTCCTGCCTCACTCTCCCAAGTAGCTGGGATTACAGGTGCTCACCACCATGCCTGGCTAATTTTTTAATGTATCTTTAGTAGAAATGGGGTTTCACCATGTTGGTCAGCCTGGTCTTGAACTCCTGACCTCATGATCCGCCCACCTCAGCCTCCCAAAGTGCTGAGATTACACGCGTGAGCCACCGCACCCGGCCAACACAAGTGATTTTTATATACTGATAGTATATCCTACAACCTTGCAAAATAGGTTGCCGTTTATAAGGTTTTATACCTAAGGCTATCAAAAAACTATTAAGTATTATAATGACTTTGTACTGTATCAATTTAGCTAATCTGGAACTACGATTCAGATAATTCTCTTCCATGTATGATTATGAGTTGGGGTTAATCATAAGAAAAATTTCCATGAGATTTGGAAGGTGGAAGATGGCAGCAATCATTACGCTCTGAAGGTTAAATGTAGGGCACACGGTGCTGTGGCAGTTTATGCTTACCGTCACTGATGTGCTGGCCAGCCTGCCGGGCTACATGTCTTCCAGCTCTCATGAGATAGTCTCCTTCAAATTATCTGACTTCTGGGCCAAGTGCATGTGCACCTCTGTAGTGAAGAGTGCCAGCTCCTTCTGCAGGTCAGTCAACCATTTTATCAAGGCTAAAGGCACTGACAAGGCTGCAGTGAGCCACTGCTCACTGTGATTGTGCCACTGCACTCCAGCCTGGGCGACAAGGTGAGATCCTGGCTGAGAAATGCACATGGGTTCCAATTTGCCCTTTCTCTCTGCCGCTAAACACTGAGCTTTCTTCCCAGCTTCAGCCCTGCACAACATTCAGGCCCACCAAGAGACTCAATGGCAACAGACTCTTCAACAGCACCAACAATCACATAAGGCCCTGTATAGACCTAATCCCTATAATGAATCCTTTATTCTATATACTTCCATTCAAGATCTATGATATTTACTTATTATAAATGGTATTGTTTTAAAATTTCAACTTCAGATTATTTGTTGATAGCACATAGACAATTCAATCAATTTTTACATATCGATCTTATGTTCTGATGCTGTTAAACTTCTTATTAGTTCCAGTAGCTTTTCAAAAACAGATTTCAGGGTTGGGTGCAGTGGCTAATGCCTGTAATCCTAGTACTTTGGGAGGCTGATGTGAGAGGATCGCTTGAGCCCAGGAGTTGAGACTAGCCTGGGCGACATGCTGAGACCCCATCTCTACAAAAAAATTAAAAAATTAGTGAAGTATGGTGGCGTTCATCTGTGGTCTCAGCTACTCAAATGCTGATCATTACTTGAGACCAGGAGATAGAGGCTGAAGTGAGCCATGTTTGCACTACTGCACTCCAGCCTGAGTGACACTGCAAGACCCTGTCTCCAAATAAATTAATAAAATTAGATTTCATGGGTTTTTCTACACAGACAATTATGTTTCCTAGCAATAGAAACAGTCTTACTTCTTCCCTTCCAATTGAGATGCTTTTGGTTTATTTTTCCTTAGTGCACTAGCTAGAACCTCCTGTACTTGGGTGAATAGCAGTGGTGAGAGTGGACATCCCTTGCTGTGTTCCTGATCTTAGGAGAAAGCTTTCAGTCTTCATTATGTCTGGTGTTGGCTGTAGGTTTTTAATATAAGGAAGTTCAAACAGCTATTAAAAACATGTTCAGGCCGGCACAGTGGCTCACACCTGTAATCCCAGCACTTTGGGAGGCCGCAGTGGGTGGATCACCTGAGGTCAGGAGTTTGAGACCAGCCTGGCCAACATGGTGAAACCCCATCTCTACTAAAAATACAAAAATTAGGCAGGTGTGGTGGCACACGCCTGTGATCCCAGCTACTCAGGAGGCTGAGGCAGAAGAACTGCTTGAACCCAGGAGGCAGAGGTTGCAGTGAGCAGAGATTGTGCCACTGCACTCCAGCCTGGGCGACAAACTGAGAACTTGTCTCAAAAAAAAAAAAAAAAAAAAAAAAATTCAAAGATTTTAAAGAAAGTGTGAACACAACCATCATTCTCAGCAAACTATCACAAGGACAAAAAACTAAACACCGCATGTTCTCACTCATAGGTGGGAACTGAACAATGAGAACACATGGACACAGGAAGGGGAACATCACACACCGGGGACTGTTGTGGGGTGGGGGGAGTGGGGAGGGATAGCATTAGGAGATATACCTAATGTTAAATGACGAGTTAATGGGTGCAGCACACCAACATGGCACATGTATACATATGTAACAAACCTGCACGTTGTGCACATGTACCCTAAAACTTAAAGTATAATAATAATAAAATTTAAAAAATAAAATAAAATAAATTAAGCCAGTGGGGGAAAAAAAAAAGAATGAAGATAGGAAACGGGAGATATATAAAAAGAACCAAACATAACTTCTAAAAATAAAAAATTCACTAAATTGACTTGACAAAAGATTAAACACTACAGAGACCTATACACTTGAAGATACAGCAATAGAAACTAAACTGTAGTACAGAGAAAAAGAAAACTTCTAAGAAAAAAAAAAAAGAACAGAGCCACAGTGACCCATGCGACAATATTAGTGGTCTGATACATGAAACCGGAGTCTTAGAGGGAGGGTCAGGCATTAAAAATTTTTGAAAAAAATAACCAGGAAATTTTCAAATTTGATAAAAATGATAAACTCATAGAACCAAGAAACTCAACAAACTATAAAATAGGATATACATAAATAAAAGCAATCCAGAGCACATCATCATCAAAATGGTGAGAAACAGATAAACAAATCTTAAAAGTAGCCAGAGGTAAAAGACATATGACATACAGAACAAAGAATAACTGCTAACTTCTTGTCAGAATCCACACAAGCCAGAATGACATCTGGCTTTTTAAAAAATGGTATTTTTTAAATGCAGCATTATATTCAGCAAAATATCCCTTAAAATAAAGGTAGTCAGTCTGGGCAACATGGCAAAACCCCATCTCTACAAAAAATACAAAAAATTAGCCAGGGGTGGTGGTGCGCGCCTGTAGTCCCAGCTACTTGGGGGACTGAGGTGGGAGGATCGCTTGAGCTCGGGAGGTTGAGGCTGCCAGTGAGCCATGATCATGCCACTGCACTCCAACCTGGGTGACAAAGTGAGACCATGTCTCAGAAAAAAAAAAAAATAAAATAAAGGCAAAACAGACATTTTTAGACAAAAGCTAAGAGAATTCTAGCTAGCATACTGGTATTTCAAGAAATGTTAACAGAAATCTGGGTGAAGGAAAATTGAAACTCAGATCTACATAAAGGAATTACCAAGGCAAGGAAGTAAGCCAAGAAAGAACACAGGGGATACAGGAGGGCATAGGAGATCTAATGCAGAAGTGAGCCAAAGGGACTCCCCAGCGTGACAGTGAAGAGAGACCACAGACGATGCTGTTTCAGGTATGAAGGTCAACACATCTAGATTGGGGCAGATATCAAGAGATAAAAAGGCAAAATTGATACAAAATGTAATGTATCTGAACAGGAGTAGATCTAGTTATGGATAGCCTGAAACTTACACACTACGACTTATATATGAAAGTAATTTTTACTTAGAATGAGGAGAGATGATCAAAATTGCTTTTTTTTTTTTTTTTTTTTTTTTTTTTTTTGAGACAGGGTTTCACTCTGTCACCAGCTGGAGTGCAGTGGTGCACTCCCGGCTCACTGCAACCTTGACCTCCTGGGCTCAAGCAATCCTCCCACCTCAGCCTCCCGAGTAGCTGAGACCACAGATGTGGTCTCATGAGATCATGCCTGGCTAATTTTTGTATTTTTTGTAGAGACAGGGTTTTGCCATGTTCCTGAGGATGGTCTCGAGCTCCTGAGCTCAAGCAATCTGCCCGCCTCAGCCTCCCAAAGTGCTGGGATTACAGGCATGAGCCTCTGTGCCCTGGGCAAAATTACATGTTTTTAAACACTCACAAACACCATAAATATCACCAAATCCTAAAAAACAACCTAGTATTTTTCATTAAGCACCCAAAAAGATTCTAACATTCTTATTTTCTTATATTTTGGCTGCATACTCATTGATTGCTTCTGTATACAATATGTTTGAAGTGCTTTTCTATAGAAGGAATATATTTCAGTCTTTTCTTTAAAACGTAATTTGATGACAGTCTCTTCAATTAATGGTAGCCAGGCATGATGGCTTACATCTCTAATTCCAGCACTTTTGGAGGCCCAGGTGGGAGGACTGCTTGAGGCCAGGAGTTCAAGACCAGCCTGGGCAACAGAACGATACATCATCTCTACAAAAAATAAAAAAAATAGCTGGGCATGGTGGTGTGTGCCTGTAGTCCCAGCAACTTGAGAAGCTGCGGCAGAAGGACTGCTTGGGCTCAGGAGTGTGAGGCTGCAGTGAGGTATGATTGCACCATTGCACTCCTGTCTGGGCAACAGAGAGAGACCTTGTTCAAACAAAACAAAACAAAAACCCCAAATGGTTCTAGGAAAACTGGTTAACTACATGTGAAAGAATAAAGTTGGGGCCGAGTGTGATGGCTCACACCTGTAATCCTAGCACTTTGGCAGGCTGAGGCAGCTGGATTACTTGAGGTCAGGAGTTCGAAACCAGCCCGGTCAACATGGTGAAACCCCGTCTCTACTAAACACACACACACACACACACACACACACACACACACACACACACAGAGCTGGGCGTGATGGCGGGCGCCTGTAATCCCAGCTACCCAGGAGGCTGAGGCAGGAGAATCACTTGAACCCAGAAAACAGAGGTTGCAGTGAGCCAAGATCGCGCCACTGCACTCCAGCCTGGGTAACAGAGCGAGACTCCACCTAAGACAAAAAAAAAAAAATCCGGGCATGGTGGCTTACACCTGTAATCCCAGCACTTTGGGAGGCTGAGGCAGGCGGATCACGAGGTCAGGAGTTCAAGACCAGCCTGGCCAACATGGTGAAACCCATCTCTACTAAAAATACAAAAAACTAGTCGGGCGTGGTGGCATGCGCCTGTAATCCCAGCTACTTGGGAGGCTGAGGCAGGAGAATCACTTGAACCCAGGAGGCAGAGGTTGCAGTGAACCGAGATGGTGCCACTGTACTCCAGCCTGGGGAACAGAGCGAGACTCCATTTCAAAAAAAAAAAAAAAAAAAAAGAATAAAAGTTGGATCCTTCCCTTACACCATGTACAAAAAACTGAAAATGTGTTAAAGACCTAAATATACCCAGGTGTGGTGGCTCATGCCTGTAATCCCAGGACTTTGGGAGGCTGAGGCAGGCGGATCACGAGATCAGGAGTTCGAGACCAGGCTGACCAACATGGAGAAACCCGGTCTCTACTAAAAATACAAAATTAGCCTGGCATGGTGGCATATGCCTGTAATCCCAGCTACTCGGGAGGCTGAGGCAGGAGAATTGCTTGAAGCCTGTAATCCCAGCTACTTGGGAGGCAGAGGTTGCGGTGAGCCGAGATTGCACCATTGCACTCCAGCCTGGGCAACAAGAGCAAAACTTCATCTCAAAACAAACAAACAAAACAAAACAAAAAATATAAACCTGAAACTATAAAACTACCTGAAGAAAACATAGGGGAGAAGTTTCATTACATTTGGATTTAGCAATGATTTGTAACATATGATAACAAAAGCGCAGGCAATGAAAGCAAAAGTAGACAAATAGGACGACATCAAATTTAAAAACTGTGTCGCAAAGGAGACAACAGTGTGAAAAGGCAGCCTATAAAGTGGAAGGAAATATCTGCAAACTGTGTATCTGATGAGGGGCAGCATCCAGAATGTATAAAGAGCACCTACTACTCAACAACAATAAAGCAACCTGATAAAAAAATCGGCAAAAGGGCCAGGCATGGTGGCTTATGCCTGTAATCCCAGCACTTTGGGAGGCCGAGGCAGGCAGATCACATGAGGCCAGGAGTTCGAGACCAGCCTGGCCAACATGGTGAAACCCCATCTCTACTAAAAAAAATACAAAAATTAGCCAGGCGCGGTGGCGGGCACCTGTAATCCCAGCTACTCAGGAGGCTGAGGCAGGAGAATCGCTTGAACCTGGGAGGCAGAGGTTGCGGTAAGCCGGGATCGCACCATCGCACTCTAGCCTGGGTGACAGAGCCAGACTCCGTCTCAAAAAAAAAAAAAAAAAAAAAAAAATGGCAGAAGGCCATGCCTGGTGGCTCACTCCTGTAATCCCAGCACTTTGGGAGGCTGAGGTGGGTGGATCACATGAGGCAAGGAGTTTGAGACCAGCCTGGAAAAAATGGCAAAAACCCGTCTCTACCAAAAATACAAAAATTTAGCCAGGCGTGGTGGCACGTGCCTGTAATCTCAGCTACCTAGGGGACTGAGGCACAAGAATCGTTTGAACCCGGGAGGCGGAGGTTGCAGTAAGCCAAGGTCATGCCACTGCACTCCAGCCTGGGCAACAGAGCAAGACCTTGTCTTAATTAAAAAAAAAAAAAAAGAAAGAAAGAAAAAGGCCAAAGGAATTGAATAGACATTAATCCAAGAATAACTGCAAATGGCCAACAAGTTGTATGAAAAGTTGCTAGCAGAACATTACTATCATCAGAGAAATGCAAATCAGAATCACAATGGTAGATCACCTCACACCCATTAAGTTGGCCACTATCAAAACAAACAAACAGACAAACAAATGTAACAGAGAGTAACAAGTGCTGGTAAGGATGTGGAGAAATTGGAACCCTTGTGCATTGTTGGTGGGAATGTAAATGGTGTAGTCACTATGGAAAACAGCATGGAGACGCCTCAAAACATTAAAAATAGAATTACCATATACAATCCAGCAATCCCACTTCTTGATATATATTCAAAAGAATTGAAAATATAATGGCCGGGCGCGGTGGCTCATGCCTGTAATCCCAGCACTTTGGGAAGTCGAGGCAGGTGGATTACTTGAGGTCGGGAGTTCGAGACCAGCCTGACCAACATGGAGAAACCCCATCTCTACTAAAAAACACAAAATTAGCCAGGTGTGGTGGTGCATGCCTGTAATCCCAGCTACTTGGGAGGCTGAGGCAGGAGAATTGCTTGAACCCAGGAGGCTGAGGTTGTGGTGAGCCGAGATCACAGCATTGCACTCCAGCCTGGGCAACAAGAGCGAAACTCCATTTCAAAAAAAAAAAAAAGAAAAGAAAATACAATTTCTAAGAGATGTTTGCACACCTGTGTTCACTGCAGCATTAGTCACAATAGTCAAAGAGATGGAGGCAACCTAAATGTCCACTGATGGATAAATGGATAAAGAAAATGGGGTATATACATATATATACAGGGGAATATTATTCAGCCTTAAAAAAAAAGGAAATCCTGCCATATGCTACAACATGGATGACTCTTGAGGACATCATGCTAGGTGAAATAAGCAAATCATAAAAAGACAATTACTGGCTGGATGTGGTGGCTCACGCCTGTAATCCCAGCACTTTGGGAGGCTGAGGTGGGCAGATCATCTGAGGTCAGGAGTTTGAAACTGGCCTGGCCAAAATGGTGAAACTCCAGCTCTACTCAAAATACAAAAATTAGCTGGGTTTGGTGGTGCATGCCTGTAATCTCAGGTATTCAAGAGGCTGAGGCATGAGAATTGCATGAACCCAGGAGCCGAGATTGTACTCCAGCCTGGGCGACAGAATGAGGCTGTGTCTCAAAAAACAAAAAAAACAAAAAAAACCCAGAAAGACAATTACTGGTGGGGATGGGAATTGTTTAATGGGTATAGAGTTTCAGTTTTGTATGATGAAAAATTCTAGTGAGCTGTTGTACCATAATATACATACGTATTACTGTAGTGGACACTTAAGATGATAATGTTATATTTTCTTTTATATGACAATTTAAAAAATAATTTGAATCTGGCAAATAGAAAGCAAAAGAAAATGAAAAAATTGTGGTAGTGGTGGGGGTCGGTGGTAGTGATTCAAAAAGAGAGGGATAGACAGGCAGAAACACTATCATTGACTGTAAAATTCTACTTTCCCAACTAGATTGAGGAATATACATTAAACACAGAGTCTATGTCTTATTAATTTGCAAGTCTGAGTAGTCAAGCAATCAATCCTTAGCTAATAGAAAATACTGAATGAATAAATGACAAATGCAAAACAGACAAAGGTGGAAGAAGCAGAGATGCAGAGTCCCCAAGATCAAATGTGACTAAGGATACTGTGTCTTCAGTGAATGACAGTCTGTCTGTGGCCTGAGTGACATCTACAAGTGAGTAACAGTTTCTCTCTAGGCACCAAATGTAGGACATTACATTAAATATTCAAGAGATATGTGACCCAGTTTTCTCGGGGAGGGGTGAGTATGGGTTTTCGGTGAGCTTTGTACACACGAAGACCTATATAGGACAGGTTCTCGGACGTGGAGGAGAATAAAACAAAGGAGGGCAGAGTCTTCCCCTACGGTCATGTTGCAGATCACATGGTCCTTTCTTACACAGTACTTCCTGGCTTTGCTCTGGAAAATTCCATGTTTCACCTTCTTGCCACCTTTCTTCTTTTCTTTTCTTTTTTTTTTTTTCTGGAGACGGAGTCTTGCTCTGTCGCCCAGGCTGGAGTGCAGTGGCACGATCTTGGCTCATTCTGCCTGCTGGATTCAAGGTGATGTGTGCCTGTAATCCAGGAGGATTACAGGCACACATCACCATGCCCAGCTAATTTTTGTATTTTAGTAGAGACAGAGTTTCACCAAGTTGGCCAGGCTGGTCTCGAACTCCTGATCTCAAGCAATCCGCCCGCCTTGGCTTCCCAAAGTGCTGGGATAACAGGCGTGAGCCACCGCACCTGGCCTAAATTAGTTTTTTCTTTTCAAAAAATAAAAGTCTTGACATCATGACTTAATATCTTTTAATTTACCAACCACTGTGGCAATTTAAAAATTAACTTTCCAGCCAGGTGCAGTGGCTCACGCCTGTAATCCCAGCACTTTGGAAGGCCGAGGGGAGCGGATCATGAGGTCAGGAGATCGAGACCATCCTGGCTAACACGGTGAAACCTCGTCTCTACTAAAAATACAAAAAATTAGCTGGGCATGGTGGCAGATGCCTGTAGTCCCAGCTACTTGGGAGGCTGAGGCAGGAGAATGGCGTGAACCCGGGAGGCGGAGCTTGCGGTGAGCCGAGACCGCACCACTGCACTCCAGCCTGGGCGACAGAGCGAGACTCCGTCTCAAAAACAAACAAACAAACAACAACACAAAAAATTAACTTTCCTATCCTGGTAGAAAGGGGACAAGAAGCAAAGAATCTCACTTTGGAATTCTGGTGCTATAAAGAAAGTATGGAGGGTACCCTTTTGACTATATCTCTGGCCAGAGATAGTGCATGTCTGGCAATGGATGAATGTGCGTGTGTGAGGACACTGTTTATTCTAGCCTTTCTGAAATTTACAAATTGAAACAAATAATGGTGGAGACATTTGCAACTATGGAAAAAGGGTGTTTACAAAGTGGGAGAAAATAGACTAAATAGGCTTACATTACAGAAAATTTCTAACACGAAATGGGATGGACTCCATAACAACAGAAGGTGCAAAGGGCTGTGAGTCATACTAATTGTGGCAATTAGATATTTTTAAAGATTTCCTAAATATGTCAGTTTTGGAAAACAGTACCTACATGTAAGGTCAGCTTGGTAAACCCTGAGGACACTAGGCAGGAAAATTTTCCTAAGCCTCTTATTTCATCTCTCCACTCTTAGATACAGCTTCTCAGATACCAAGTCTTAGTTCAGTGTTAAATCATTCAGGCCCAAGGTGCTTCTCATAGGTTTCTTTGGAAACTAATTCCCCTTTCCCAAGCCTTGCCTGAAATGAAATTGCTCAGGATGAATTTTCTTGTGAGAAGCATACAAGAAAGATCGTCCTTTTAATTTCCACATACTGGCCGTTTTCTCTGTCCACTAATGATCATGTGTGTGGATGGTGTGTGTCTCTTTCTCTTTAAGCCATTTGTCTCCTTTACCTATTGCACAGTCTCTTCTTAGCATTGCATGTTTTACTCTAAACTCCCAAGTACTAAGGTAAAAATAAGATCAAATCCTGAAGCACAAGGCTATATTTGCTAATTTGGTTGTTACAGAAGTATTCATAAGAAAAGTATTCAGTTGCTCGTTAATGATCAAAAGAGGTATGCCTAGAAGAGATATCATTTTAATGAACGTGAGGACAGGCTTCCCCCTTGGAATAACTGACCCTGACCACAAGAGCTTTCATATGGATTTCATATCTTTATAAAAACAATAACCAAACAGGAAGTCTCATTAGAAATGAAGAAAGGAAATATTTTAGTATCTATGAAAGGTGACACTGGATTTTCCACAAGATAAAGACATTTGTCTTTTATATAGAGAAAGAAACAAGCAACTATTCTCCTGCTCAGTTAGCAAGAGAAGGTGTGAGTTTGCAAGTGTTTATTATAAAAATGGTGGAGTCAAAGATTTTTTTTTTAGAACAAAGGTAAGGTCCATGGTCATTAAATCTTTGCTATACAGAGTCCAGGACAGTATGACACACACAAACCCTGGCAGATATACTACTTGATGGGGGGGAAAAAAGAATGATGGTGTTACATAGTTAAATCCTGAAATTCATTTCTTTATCAAGTGAGCTTGCTTCACTAAGTTTGGGCATGAATTGGCAATCCTTACGTAAAGTCAACATGAATTGTAGCCAAACAAGATTGTAGAAACCAGGCCCACAGAAGCAGAAATTTGGTCTAGAGTATTTTCCAAGGGAGATGTTGATTCGTCTTTTTTCTTCCTTGTATAAGAGGGGAAGGAAGGGAACAATTATTGAATATCTGTTATGTATCAGGTACTGTGCTTTCTTTTTTTTTTTTTCTTGAGACAGAGTTTCACTCTTGTTACCCAGGCTGGAGTGCAATGGTGCGATCTCGGCTCACTGCAACCTCTGCCTCTCGGGTTCGAACGATTCTCCTGCCTCAACCTCCCGGGATTACAGGCATGCGCCACCATGCCGGCTAATTTTGTATTTTTAGCAGAGACAGGGTTTCTCCATGTTGGTCAGGCTGGTCTTGAACTCGCAACCTCAGGTGATCTGCCTGCCTCAGGCTCCCAAAGTGCTGGGATTACAGACATGAGCCATTGCGCCTGGCTGGTATTGTGCTTTCTTATATATAGTACTCCATGTAATTGTCAAACTAACCCGGTGAGGTAACTAATGTTAAATAATTTATATAAGATTACACAGCTAATAAAAATAAACAGTGGAATTGAATACAGGGCTGTCTGCCTCCAAAGACCACACAGGGCAATTTCTCTGTAGAGCAATTTCTCTCTATCATACTTCTAATATCCCTTTTATATTTCTAAAACCTGACCATAATTAATGGCTTAGCTCTCTTTTTGGCTCAGATTTTAGAAAATGTTTGAAAGGTATGAGATATTAGAGATAGGGCTGAAATCTCTCTGTGCCATTTCCCATTCTCATGTCTCCTGCCTCCTCAATATCAGATTATTCATATTCCTCTGCAATCTGGTTTTATTTCACTCTCAATATGTTTTTAAGGCTTATCTATGAGGCTGGGTATGGTGGCTCACACCTGTAATCCCAGCACTTCGGGAGGCCGAGGTGGGTGGATCATCTGAGGTTGGGAGTTTGAGCCCAGCCTGGCCAACATGGTGAAACTCTGTCTCTTCTAAAAATACAAAAATTAGCTGGACGCGGTGGCACATCCCTGTAATCCCAGCTATGTGGGAGGCTGAGACATGAGAATCACTTGCACCAGGAGGCAGAGGTTGCAGTTAGCCAATATCATGCTACTGCACTCCAGCCTGGGCAACAGAGTGAGACTCTCTCTCTAAAAAAAAAAAAAAAAAGACTTACCTATGTTACTACATACAGGTTTACTTCATTCATTCTTACTGCTATACAATGAATATATCATGATTTTTTTCAGCTGCTTTTTTGTTCATTTGAAATAAACATTATTGAATGAGTCTTCTTTTATACACAAGTCAGAATTTTCTCTGGATTACATACTTAGAAGTAGAACTGCAAGATCTAGAAATAACAATAATAATGACACATTTAAATAGAGCTTATTTTGTAGTAACCATTGTTCCAAGAATTATATCTATATAATTTTATATATATATAAACTCATTTAATCTTCACAATAATCTTCTGAGGATCACTTGTTAACCCCATTTTACAGACAGGGAATAGTCTGGCTCTAGAATCCACATAACTTTACTAGACATTGTAAATTACCCGCTGATAGGATTATGTCGATTTATACTTCTACCAACAGTGTATGAGTATCCAACCCTTGCCAACATGCATGGTCAGAATTTTTTATTTTTGCTACCCTAAAATGAAATCCTAAGTTTTTCCTATGTGGATAATCATTTGTCGCAGCACAATTTACTGAACAGTCCATCTTTCAGCACTGGTTTGTAATATATCAAGTTTCTACATATATGTACATTATGTTCCACTGTCTGTCTTTCTCTGAAACAATACCATTCTGCTTTAATTATTACAGCTTTATAATACATGTTAATATCTGGCAGGAAAGAAATTGAGATTTTAAATAAAAGTCATAATAGGTCTGTTGCTTCAAAAACTTTCCTTGCTGGTTTTAATCCTCCGATCTTCCACATGAAGTTCAAGATCACCTTGAAAAATACTATGAAAAACACCTGCACTGGATATTCTCTGATTGCTCCTTCAGAAACACTTTCCACTCTTCACCTTGTTCTGTGTCCCATGAGGCTGACCTCTGCATGGGCAGCATCGACTGGGTCTCTCCTTCTTATATTCAGCTAATGAGAGTCAATGGAAAGAGAATGAAGGGCAAAAGGAGGAACAGGTCAAGGTATTTCTCTCCTTGGCTCTCTCACCCCTATGTCCAGGTTAGTAGCAGCTGTTCCTCTACCGAAGGCCTGCCAGGTGGGCCTCTCTACAGCTAAAGCTAGAGCACTGTCTGGGTTCTGATAACGGTTCCATCTGCTTGCAGCTTCAGGCCCAGGGGTGCTAACAGTGCTTCTTTGCTTTTGCTAGCTTAGGGTGCCTCACCTTCCCCTGTTGGTTTCTTGGTTTCCTTAAGCTTTGTCCACACCTTTGTAAACAGGTCCTTCATTGACTCCCCTCGGTGAACACTTCTGTGTGTGCCATTGGTTTCCTGCTAAGACTTTGAGTAATTCAAAACTTCTTAGGATGTTCATCTGAATTTCATTTAATTTCTAGATTAACTTGGGGATAATTGACAGCCTTTAAATATTAAGTCTCCTGGGCCAGGCACAGTGGCTCATGCCTGTAATCCCAGCACTTTGGGAGGCTGAGGCGGGTGGATCACCTGAGGTCAGGAATTCGAGACCAGCCTGACCAACATGGAGAAACCCCATCTCTACTAAAAATACAAAATTAGCCGGGGGTGGCGGCACATGCCTGTAATCCCAGCTACTCAGGAAGCTGAGGCAGGAGAATTGGTTGAACCTGGGAGGCAGAGGTTGCGGTGAGTCAAGATAGTGCCATTGCACTCTAGCCTGGGCAACAAGAGTGAAACTCTGTCTCAAAAAAAAAAAAAAAAAATTAAGTCTCCTGGCCGGGCAAGGTGGCTCACGCCTGTAATCCCAACACTTTGGGAGGCCGAGGCGGGTGGATCACCTGAGGTCAGGAGTTCAAGACCAGCCTGGTCAACATGGCGAAACCTCACCTCTACTAACAATACAAAAATTAGCTGGGCGCAGTGGTGCGTGCCTGTAATCCCAGCTACTTGGGAGGCTGAAGCAGGAGAATCGCTTGAATCCAGGAGGCGGAGGTTGTGGTGAGTGGAGATCGTGCCACTACACTACAGCCTGGGCGAAAGAGTGAGAATTATATCTCAAAAAAAAAAAAAAAGTCTCCCTATCTATGAATATGTTATGTCCATTTATGTGGGTCTTCTCTCATTCCTTCAACTTTGCCTTATACATTTCCTGTAAAGGTTTTGCATATGTTTTCTAAGGATTATTCCTAGCTTCTTTGTGCTTTTGATTATTATTGCAAATAGGATCTTTTTTTTTTCTAATTGGTTATTACCATCATGAAAGAACATCCTCAAATTCTGTATCCAGCAATGTTGCTGAATTATTTTATTAATTCTAACAGTTTGTTCATTCTTCTGGATTGTCTTTGAAGCAAATAATATAATCTGCAAATAAGGTCAGCTGTGTCCTATTTTCTTCCAATTCTTATTCCTCTAATCTGTTGTTCTTATTTCATTGCTCTGGGTAGTACTTCTAGTATAACACTGAATAGAAACGGTATTCGTGGACATCCTTGTCTCATCTCTCTTAGCTTTCTCTTCACTAGGAAAACCATCCTAAATTCTAAAGCTCTGCCCCCAGCTTCCATGTGTCTTTAAATAATTATATTCAAATTAAAGTGCGCAGGAGTCATACTAGACAAAAAAATTCACGTTATTGCTATGCGCCCTGGAGGGAATGATATAACCATTCTGATACAGAAATGAGAAGTCTTGACAATCTCAGTCTACAGTGAAACAGCCTCATATGAGTTGTGAGCTTTGGCTGGGGTATAGCTAATTTAAACAATAAGGTTCAACCAATTCCTGTATATGCAACCATCAATTTGTACACTAGAAATCGTGGAGATGGTCACATCAAACACCACATGATTTACCATTTTAGCTTTTGAAACTAGGGGGAAAACATGCGGAAAAGAAATAAACAGCTCTTTTTTCTAATGAATGTAATAACAGAAGAGTAATGAGGTTGGAAAACAGATGTGGACAAAATGCTACAGTGTGGCCCACACAATCTGGAAAGGAATGATAAAAAAAACTTTACAAGCTGTTTTGAGCCTTGAATTAAAAGGAGTAATCAAGCAAGGCTGACTTATAAAGGGTCAGGGGGTAGCATCCTGCAGCAGAGAATAAGCAGAACTCTTTTTACTTAACTGTCCCTCGCCCAGCTAAGACTGGGAGGCAGGATTTCCCTGGGTCGCAGCTCCTCTAAACATATTCTTGAATCAGTGTTTAATAACTGCCATCAAACCTTCTTTCCCTGTCCACCCGCTCCCCAGGGAGGTACTTCCCTAATGGGTTGGCCCTTTTTAGTCTGGTTTTAAGTTTCTGACTCTTTATATTCTGATGGGGGCACCTCAGTCTTCTTCTATGACTTCCAGGCAAAATGTGTCAAATTAGATAAATGCGTTTGATGATAGTTTGGGAGAGCATTCACCCTTTAAATAATTTCTTCCCACACCCTTTTCACCATGTCTGCCTCCTAGAGTCAATTATAATGCATATAATAAAATAGTTCCAACTAAATCCTCATCTAGAGTTGTTGCTTTTCAACTGTAACAGTACACTAGAGTAGAGCAACATCAAGAGGTAAAGGCAGCATATTGGTAAAAGGAAGATAAAGCCTGATCCTGTTTCCAAGATTAACCACACAAAGATCATTTTCTTCTGCTCCTATAGGCGTTGTTATTAATGGCGTTTTACGGCAAAATTGCCAGACACTCATCGGTTTACTAAACTATGTTAGTCGGTACAAAGTGTCTCTCAAACTGGTACTGTGAGAAAGCAGTCTGCTGCAGTTGTCTGACTTGGCCTCTGAAAGCTTTCAAACTCAACTACTGACGTCCAGCCAGCATCTAATTTTACCCGTGAGTTTCAGGAGAGAATAAAGCTGGTGGGAAGATTACAGAGTTCCTTGAAGCTCTGACCTACAACAGGAAGAGAGTTGTCAGCCTTCATGTCTCTCACTCTAAATCCCAAGGAAAACAACAGTGGCAGGGCATTTTATAACACGTTCCCATTGTAAAATTGCATATTTCAGAAACATGATGCCAACTCTCTCATTTTCTATAGACCTTGTGTCAGTATAAACAGATGACCTTAAAATGAATATTTTTTTACTTAAGCGTTTCAATTCCAATTTGTCTAACGTACTATGGGTTTCTCTGGGTTTTCTCATAAAACTGTGGAACTCCACTGTTTTCATATTGGGTAATGCTCTACACACTAAACTCAGATCCCTGAATTAATGTCCTGGGAATTTCTGGTAAGTTAGTGTGAAATACCACAGTGATTTCAGAGTTTCAGGGGCATTTTGAGCTTTCTGTAAATAAAGTGGAAACAGGGCTTTGAAGTTAAGTCTTGACTTCGGCATTTAGTAGCTGTTTAAACCTTCGGCAAGTTATTTAACTTATCCAGTACTTATCTGTAACATGGGCATAAGAATACCTACCTTAATGCCTACCTTAAAGGACTGTTGTGAGGATTAATAAAAAACTATGTTAGGCAGCCTGTACAACGCCTACCTCACACAGCAATTCAATAAATAGTGGCTATTAGTATTATTATCACTAGGTCAGTCCAAAGTAATAAAAAGCATA
This sequence comes from Homo sapiens, assembly GCF_000001405.40. NCBI lineage: Eukaryota > Metazoa > Chordata > Mammalia > Primates > Hominidae > Homo > Homo sapiens. The sequence goes on along the minus strand of NC_000017.11, from coordinate 61,259,877 downwards.
TCCTATTCAGTAAGATGCCACAGAGTGACATGCCTTATGGCAAAAAGTGACCTCAGGTGCCCCTAAAAGCACTAGGAGGATCAGCCAACAAGAGAACAGAAATGATAGCAAGTGTCTGATGTCCAGGGAGATCTCCAATATGATTGTCCTAGGCCAGTAATGAACGACTGCCCACTCTAAGGCTGGTGCCCTGGAACCAGAACATGAGCCTCTTCTTGAAAGTAGGTTGATGGAAGGGGAAAAAAAGAACAACAAAGAGAACCAGCTCCAGTGGCTGGAACACTTAAATGGCTTCATTAAAATTCTTCTGTTGACCAACTTGCTTTCTGGAGTAGCAGTTCACATACCAGCCAGTAACCTAAGAAGAGACCACGACTTAGACAACCTCAGCATCTGCAGCATTAAACATATCATCCAACGATGTTCTCAACCCCTATGGACAGGAACTGGCAGTTACTGTGCTATTAAAGTCAGAGCTGGACTCCAAGAAGGAACAAAAGCACAAACCATACTGGAACCCTGACCATAACCCTGGGTCACTATCTGGCTGAATTTCAGTGTTCTCAAATTCTGTGTGCCCTCAAGAAGAAGACAGATCAACACAGATTAGTTCTGTGAGCTCTGCTTACACTCCCCATGCTCTTTCAAAATAAAAATGTAAATACAAGTAATGATGATACTAACTACTGTTTACTAAGCAGCTACCAAGTACCAGGTACTATGCTAAACAATTCCCACTCTTCTGCCTCCTAGAAGGAAACATGTTTAGAAGGGGCTTAGACAGTGAAAAGCTTCTTTAGCATCCAATAGAGAATAACAAGTTTACTTCTGGCATTTAAGCAAGATGTTTAGGAGAGAAGGGCACTGATACTTAGACCCTTGGGTTTAAGAAGGAAACTCATCTTTTAATCAGAAACAAAACAAGAATCCCCAAGAGCTCAAAGCTCACTGCAACATCTGTCAGTTTAGAATGGATTAATAAAATTAAGAGGGACGGTAAAATCTTATCTTGGGGAATTACGAATACAAATCCATATGCTGGAATAAGACGGCATAGTCAGTTGTCAATATTTAGCTAGTGTTCTGTGGTTCTTCCACAGAGTGATGCCTGGCTTCCCAAATCAACTACAGAGGGTGTATACCAGTCCCTGTTATATCAAATGAGTCTACTAAAATTTATTATCCAAAATTCTCCACTTTAGAAAATCATGCAATAAGGAGTGAACATCAGTCTACTTACTTAATCAATGTTGTATTATGATCAAGGGGAACAGTCTAACATTTATTAAGCGCCTGTTTTGTGCCAGGCACTTTACATGCAATTTCATTTAATCCACACAACGATACCATGAAGTAGGTATGATTATTCACATTTTACAGAGGCTCAGAGGGTGAAGCAACTTTTCTAAGGTCAACAGCTAGTGAAGAAGTGGCAGACCCACAACTCAAACCTAGATAAACCTGCCTCTAAAAACCTGTGTTCTTTTGATCATACCATGCAGCCTCCTAGGAACTACGCTACACATTATGGTGGATATCTAAAGGCACGAAGTAACAACCCCTTTCCACAATGAATTTAAAGTCTGATAGGAAAGAAAATAAAGTTACATACTTAAAGACAACATCAGGCGAAACATGGTAAGTCCCATAAGAGGGCAATGACTATTAAAGACAAAGATATTCAGAGAAAAGAAGACAATTTTTGACTGGAATAATCAGAAAGGTTGCAAGGAAGAGCGCTATTTTCTCTAAACCTTGAAAGGTGAGTAGAAATCCTGTAGGTGGTTAACCAGGAGTGTATGAAGGACACTGAGAAGAGCAGGGCTCTTCAGAGGAAGGAACAGTGTGCACAAAAATAATAAGGTGGGAAGAGAAAATCTATGCTCAAGAGAGGATTAACAATTACATTTCCCATGAGCAAAGAATTGATCTAAGAAAGAAGTGGGAGGTAAGAAAGAAAAGATCAGTTTGAACCAGAGTGAAAATGGGAAGGGAAATGTCTGTTTATGGATTCCTACTACTATTAAGCACTGTGTTTGTGTCACTGCATTTAATACTTGCAAGACCCCTTTGAGCTGGTTTACCATTCACATTTGTCTAGATGAAGAAACAAGCTAAGTGTAAGTCACACATTTATCACAGAGAAGAATCATATTTTGAATTATTTGATTGATCCCAAATTCCGTGTTCCTCCCTCTACATAATGTTACCTTAAACAAGACAATAATGAATTAAGATTTCTATTATTTGAAGATGCAGCACATCAAAGTTCTTGAGAAGAAAAGTATTTTAACATGACCAAAATATTTGCTATTTTGATATAAAGGAAGACTTTCTTGGGACCGCTAAAGTATTCCATTCAAAGGAAGGTGGCTTGGTAAAAGTATTCTTGAAGAAACGACTGAAGACATGGGTGGAATGCCAGAATTCTGCCTTTTTTTTTTTTTTTTTTTTTTTGAGATGGAGTCTCGCTCTGTCTCCCAGGTTGGAGTGCAGTGGTGTGATCAAGGCTCACTGCAACCTCCGCCTCCCAGGTTCACGCGATTCTTCTGCCTTAGCCTCCTGCGTAGCTGGGACTACAGGCGTGTGGCCACCACACCCAGCTAATTTTTGTATTATTAGTAGAGATGGGGTTTCACCATATTGGCCAGGCTGGTCTCAAACTCCTGACCTCGTGATCTGCCTGCCTCGGCCTCCCAAAGTGCTGGGGTTACAGGCGTGAGCCACCACGCCTGGCCAGTTCTGCCCTTTATTAGCAATGTGATTTTAGAGTTTCTTTCCCTAAGCCTTATCAGCAAAATGGACATGACAACACCGATCGCAAAGATTGAGATCTAAATGGAAATCATGTGAGCGGAAATGCTGTGTAAATAAAAAGCATAATGTAAATTTTTTTTTAAATCCAAAAATCTTGATTTTGGTAGAGAAAATACCTCAAAGAGAACCTAGGTTCACCTCCAAGGAATTACTCAGAGACTTATTTATATGCAGTACTAAGGTTCACCTTTTCTTGTAAGTGGCTCAAATACCATCTGCATGGGCTGGGGTTGAGGCCTGAGAAGATCACTTTGGGTCCTTGTGCCATGGCATACCAACAACCCTGAAAGCCTCAGGTTTCTTTTGAAATGATTATTTTTGTGTTACTCTGTCTCCAGTTTATCTCTGTATCCAAGGCTCTCTGGTGACACAATTCACTGGTTTCAAAGGCAGGAAGTGGGCAACAACCCTGGACACATAGCACTCCATGGACAAAGACACCTAAACAAAACCAAACGGCCAGGCGCGGTGGCTCACGCCTGTAATCCCAGCACTTTGGGAGGCCCAGGTGGGTGGATCACTTGAGGCCAGGAGTTTGAGACCGGCCTGGCAAACATGGCAAAACCCTGTCTCTACTAAAAATACAAAAATTAGCCAGGTATGGTGGCCCACGCCTGTAATCCCAGCTACTCAGGAGGCTGAGACAGGAGAATCACTTGAACCCCAGAGGCGGAGGTTGCAGTGAGCCTTGATCACACCGCTGCACTCCAGCCTGGGCGAGAGAGTGAAACTCTGCCTCAAAAAATAAAAATAAAATAAAATAAATAAAAATAAATGAAAAACAAACAAACAAACAAACAAACAAACAAAAACCAAACTACCTCTTGGCTTGAAGATGGAAGGCTTGACAACCCCAGGTAGTCTGATCTAAGTGAGGGTCATTTTGAAGGTAAATATAGTACTTTCATGTTAAAACAGAAACCTCAGTTACATAAAGCCATTGGCCCATTTCTCCTGATTACCAGTAGAGGCTGATGGAGGCTGGAAAACATTTATTAACTGAAAGGTTAAAAAAAATCAGAAAATAAATATGGTACAATTATGACTCGGAGTTTCAGAAAATAACTTGTCAGTTTGACGAGACTCAATTTTCAGGGGAAAAGAGAGCAGCATTTCCCATCTCTAAAGTCTAGGAGCAAATCTCTTCATAGTACTTGGTAAGAAAACCATCCACCTTGAAGTCCAGCCCCAGCCACTTCTTCAATTAGGTGTCACTCACTGAACATCTAAACAAACTGCCAGGACTTTACCACAAATAACTTAGGGAAAAGAAAGCTGTGATAAGGTTCTCCACAAGAGCAGCTACATCCGGAACCCTTTAGCACTAAAACCCTGCACAGTGTGGTCAAATGAAGAAATAGTCTAGGCTTCCAAAAGAATAAGAATTCTGATGGAGAAGTGTCACTCAATACAGACACGGCACTTAAGCCAACTACCCAGACAAAAGTACAAAGCCAAGTCTACTCTGATTTCAGCACTAACATTGATTCCACAGGGTGCAAAGATGTGCCCACTGTGTTTCTGGAGAAGGATGGATAGACTTAGGGGTATTGATGCGCTACAAAAGCCTCTGTCCCCTTGGTAGTCATACCAGTTTCCTGAGATACTCTCAAGACATCATCAAATTAAGAAGAAATGTAGGAAAGTGTGATGTGGAAACTAAAGAAGGTATATTCTGGAGATCTGGAGGCTGTAAGGGAAAGAAACTTGGGCACATTCATTTAATCTCTCTTCTTACCTTGTCGGGTGACCTGGAGATGAGGAGTTATGCTTGAGATCTTTTCTTTGGCAACTGGGAATGAGATTAGCTGGGAGAAATACTTTTGACAAGCACCAGAGAAGAGAAAACTTAACTCTCGGATAGAGATGTGGATGGAGAATTGGTTCCAATCTCTGGTAGTTCCAAAAAGAGCAACATGTGAAACTTCAATAAGTCATTGTGCTCTCCCTGTGACAATTACAGCTCTTTGAAAATCTGCCTTAGTGCCTTCAGAACAAATTGAGATTAATGAAACCAAAGTCCCAAAGAGGAAAATACCAGGAAAAAGAAAGTAGGATGACACAACAGGGCTGTTTCAATGTAACCAGGCAATGTCAGAATTTTAAAAATTTAAAAGGAAAAAGCTAAAATGTTCTCACTGAATTTCTAGTTGGTTTTTCCAGGTAATGGTTTTGTTGTTATTGTATTGTTCTTGGTCAGGATGAACGACTTTTCCAGCAATCATATACTATACTCACTGGGTATTTAAAGCAGTATAAATTTTCTAATCCTTTTTTTTTTTTCTGAGACGGAGTCTCACTCTGTCACCAGGCTGGAGTGCAGTGGCGCAATCTCGGCTCACTGCAACCTCCACCTCCCAGGTTCAAGTGATTCTCTTACCTCAGCCTCCTGAGTAGCTGGGACTACAGGCGCCCACCACCACGCCCAGCTAATTTTTGTATTTTTAGTAGAGAAGGGGTTTCACCATGTTGGCCAGGCTGGTCTCCATCTCTTGACCCTGTGATCCGCCCGCCACGGCCTCCCAAAGTGCCAGGATTACAGGCGTGAGCCACCGCGCCCCGCCATAAATTTTCTAATCTTAAAGTTGATCAAACATTTTAGCAAAACAGGAAAACTGACTTGACACTAGGGCAAAGGAGAGATAAGAACTCAAAGGAAAAAACAATTGAGGCATCAACTAAGAAAGTAATTTTACCTTCTAAATCAGTGAGCCTTGTATTAAGCAAAGAAATGTGCATGTCAGAGTTGTTTAAGCATTCTGAAAGCAAGCCCTCTTTACGGCAGAAGTGTTCTGTGAGGCCTGAAGGGACACTGCTGTGGGTGAGGCAGGAGCAGCCCAGCAGGGTTAAATCTCCTGAAGGTTTTAAATAAAAAACAAACATCCACTTAACTTTTATAGGGGATTGCTCTCTAATAATACCTAAGGAAGGAGGCCGGCTCTCTTGAGTTTTTTCCTCGGGCTTGTCTCCATGCTGACTGAGGAACCAGGTCAAAATGAGGGTTTTAAGTAGGGTCCCAGTGGGCCTGATGTAGAAGAAAGGCTAAAGGAATTTTAGATCTTATGAGTATTATCCTAAGGCTCTTTCTTCTCCAGTTTTCCTTTTATATGTAAATTAGACAAGAGAGCTCTACTCAATTACCAAGTAAGGCTAGCAAGACATAAGGCAAGTCACTTTTTCTTTCTGCGCTTCAGTTTTCCCCCATGTAAACCGTGGAGGCCGAACTGTAATGTATACTTAATCATCTCTAAAGTCTCTTTCAACTAAAACTATACAACAAAAATGGAAAGGCAAAACAAAGCAAAAACAACAATAACATTAAAATCCACCTCTGCACCTCTGTTCCACAGCTGGAATCTGAGCACAGGACTTTATGAAGCACTGGCCCAGAGGCATCCGAGATTCATCTTCCCCTCTACTCAGCTGCCCCTCCTCCAATCCTGGGTCTGACCTTCTACTACCATAGAGCTCATACGCCATGCCTAGGCCGTAGGCCAAGTTCCTGGGACTGCTGATGTAGCAACTGTAGAAATAGTAGTAGCAATAAGACAGATGATAGTATAATGCTAATAATACTATTATTAATGGGAATAGATAACATTATTGAGCCCTTATTCCATACCAGGCACTGTAAATGTTACACATGTTTATTCTATCAATCCTTGTAACTCTGTGAAGCAGACATTGATTATATATATATATATTCTCTCCAACTCCTGACCTCAGGTGATCCGCCTGCCTCGGCCTCCCAAAGTGTTGGGATTACAGGCGTGAGCCACCGGGCCCAGCCCAGGCATTGATATTATCTCCATTTTGTAGACAAGGAAACTGAGACTGAGACATAGAACAGTTAGGCAAGTAGTAGGAACAAATGGTATAGCAACGGGCCGGGCTCAGTGGCTCATGCCTGTAATCCCAGGCCTTTGGGAGGCCGAGGCAAGTGGATCACCTGAGGTCAGGAGTTCGAGACCAGCCTGGTCAACATGGTGGAACCCCATCCCTACTACAAAATACAAAATTAGGCATGGTAGCACATGCCTGTGATCCCAGCTACTTAGGAGGCTGAGGCAGGAGAATAGCTGGAACCCAGGAGGTGGAGGTTGCAGTGAGCTGAGATCACACCACTGCACTCCAGCCTGGGCAACAGAGTAAGACTCCATCTCAAAAAAAAAAAAAAAATGTATAGGAACAGATTACTGGACAGCTTTCTAGAGTCAAAATCCAAGGAAGAAAGGGCAGCTTAGCCCAGTGAGGTAGAAGCCAGTGTGTTTAGCAGACTAAGAGCTGACAGATATGGATTCCACAATTGGTTCTATCACTATGGTTGTAAGCAGGTCAATGTCCTTGTCTATAAGCAGAGGGCAGAGGATGAGATAACCTTTAAGGCCCTTTTCACCTCTGCCACTCTACATGAGGAACCATGTTCCATAAGGACTCAAGGACTCAGCAACTGTTTAATTCCCAGGCTTTTTTTTTTTTTAAGTCCTTCACTTCTATTTTAAAAACTTGCATGTTCCCGTGGCCCTGGAATGCCTGCCTCCGGCCCCTCTGGAGCCCTGGGTTATGTGAAAGCAGCCGTGCCAAGCTGGCCCATGGGCGGGGCTGAGTCTTCCTGGCTGGCTTGTGACATGTTCTTGACGTACTGTGTGGTCAAGAAGCTGGAACTGGGGGGGCTGAACAAGGGCCAAGCCTTGCACTTCAGCTTCCTGACCTGGCAGCCATTCAGAGAGACCCTGCTAAGTGCTATTTCCTAAATACACTCTCTTTTCATAACAATCTTACCACATTGCTTTCCTTTACAAGCGCTCTTAAAAAAGAGAACTGGACTCCTTCTGGTTAATCTACACAGACTACATTTGGAAACCATCAGAAACTGAACTCTAAACAAAACGTTATTAATGTGTTGTAATCTGCCCTCTATGTTGCAGATGAAAAGAAAATGTTTTATAGTTTTGGAGCATACGTTTTAATTGCCTTTTAAGAGTGCATATACTTTTAGTACTTCGTGTTATAAAACTGTAGTATCTGTTTCTTGATAACTGTTGAGTGATCTCAGCTATTTTTATTAGTTTTTTTCTTTATCCTTTTCTCTCTTTTTCTTCTAAACTGCCACCCGTGTAAAGTTCCTTGAGATCAAGCTTGATAGAAGGCTCACATATTTGGGATCTTCATTATAAAGAGCTTCTTTACAACCTCCACCTCACTATAAAACACTTGTTCCTGAAAATGAGTTCTATAAACAAAGATGGAGTGGGTAGCTTTGTCTAATAATCCAGTATAGCTGGGAACCTAGCAGTCTAGCCTTTTCCCAGTTGCTATTGCTTTTTTATGGGGGCCAGATTATCTGCAGAGATCTGATGTTCTTGCTACTTTTCTCAACTGTACAGCCTTGTCCCAAGAGACCAACATATCAGTCATCAACCCAGAGGTCTCAAGGGCAGCATCTTGGATGGACCAGGATCCAGTCTTTCTTTTCTTTTTTTTTTTTTTGAGGTGGAGTTTCGCTCTTGTTGCCCAGGCTGGAGTGGAATGGCGCAATCTCGGCTCACTGCAACCTCTGCATCCCGCGTTCAAGTGATTCTCCTGCCTCAGCCTCCCTAGTAGTTGGGATTATAGGCGCCCGCCACCAGGCCCGGCTAATTTTTTGTATTTTTAGTAGAGACGGGGTTTCGCCATATTGGCCAGGATGGTCTCAAACTCTGACCTCAGGTGATCCGCCCGCCTCAGCCTCCCAGAGTGCTGGGATTACAGGCATGAGCCACCACACCCAGCCCAGTCTTTTTTTCAGCAAGGAATCCCAAATTCATTAGAATCAGGCCTTGAGTTAACAGACTCTCCACCAGCTTATCATCAGCCTGACAAATACTGTCTGGGACACCAGGCTGAGGCCTCCAATGTCTCACCTTCCAGCTGGGCAAGCACTGCCCAATTCTTGCACCAGTGATGTAAGACTGGCTCACAGGAAATGAAATGACCTTTCTGAATGAAGGGTTTCCTGGGGGCAGGGCTGGAGGGATGAGGGTGTTTCACCATCTGAATTCTTGGGGAGGAGGAAGTAGTAGAATTAGACACTGGTCTCCCAAGGGGTCCATAGTCTTAAGACCTCCCGCTCATGTGAAGTACCACAAAGGCACCCACAAGTCATAAAACCTTTCTGAGATTGTCTAATGTAGGATAATGTTCAAAAACCAGACTGATAGAGTCCTTGGGCCAGAAGGGCCCCATAAAGATTACCTGGTTGATCACTCGTTTTCAGGTGAGGAAGCTGAAGCCAAGGTGGGCAGTAACTCGCCCAAGGTCTCAGTCTACAAGTATCCAGAGCTCAGCTTAAAAAAGCCTGGTTTCTAGGTCACATACTCACAGCATGTACATGGGTTAGTAAAGGAGAGATCACTGAAAAGAATGCCTTTTAGCTGTCCGAAAACGGGAGACTGTGCCCCTTAATTTCAGTTTCTTTTTAGAGATAATCATCTTCCTTATCTCAAACATTAACTCAAATGTTTCTTATGATGTCTCCAGTGCTTCCCTAATGCCTTCATGACTCACTGGATATTACGGCTTGATACAGCACAGAGCAGTGCTCAGTTACAACCTTGGTTTCTAAAGCAACTCTTTAAAATGAAAAACAAGCCTTCTCTGGGTCCTCTTTCCATCTCGTACAATATATTGAAAATCCTTTCAATGGCTTAGCAGGTCCTATTTTCACAACATGTCAGAACTCACAAGTGTATGAAGAAGCCGTTGTTTATAAATCTTCTCATGTTTAAAATTACCAGGATTGGTAATTAGGTTTTCTTCCCTATCCTCCCTTTGGTAACCTTTTACTTCATATTTAGCACATTGCTGAGGGGGATAAACGATCTAGGAACACTGAGGTCTTATGTTTGTCAAATCATATGCAGACAATTATGAAGGCAAAGCTCTCTACTGGGCCCAGGGTATGAACTTTCCTTAAACTTCCACCAGACAAACCCAGGGCAAGGGGCCTGGTGTCTTCGACCTTCCTTATAGAAAAGCAGGGCCATTTCGTAACCTTCTCTAGTTTTACAATGGCTGCTCTTATTTGGTATCTTGTTTTCTGATCCTCTTTAAGCCTGCCTCATTCAATTTCTGATTTGTAAACTCTGGGGCAGGTGATATTTTAGTACCCTAAGAAATCATCTCAAAAGGGAGCTTTAAAAGCTTTAAATGTGATTGGGTCATCACATTTTTTTTGTATTCCATGGGTCTATCAGGTAGATAACAGAAAGTTTTTTCCCTTTTGACAGATAACAGATTAAGGTGTAGTAATTATCAAAATAATGGGCAGAGAGCAGCTACTTAAACATCCTTGGAAATAACTCCTGTGACCATGATTTCACAAGTATTTCTAAATAATTCTGAGCTTCCTAAAACAACACGAGAAAAAGAATTTTCCCTTAGATCAGTTAAGGGAAAACTCTTCCATTCTGTAGCTTTTGTATTGGCGTTCCTAAAACAAACTATTTCTTCAGCCAGAGACACAATTCTATGTTGGGACACTAGAGTCCATCTCTGCTGTTGAGATCTCTCTCCTTCAGATTTTAGCAATATAGTTTTGGGTGTGTTTCATGACCTTTTGTGCTAGCAAATAAGCCTTTGGAGGATTAAAATTAACTTTTCTCATCCTAGTTTAAGGAGTGCTCTGCTCTGGGAACATCAAAAAAAGGCACAGGCCTGAACTGAGCCAAATACCCACTCTAGCAGTGCTGGTATTATTTTCAAGTTTCTATTTTATTTTATTTATTTATTTTTGAGATGGAGTTTCACTCTTGTTGCCCAGGCTGGAGTGCAGTGGTGTGATCTCGGCTCACTGCAGCCTCTGCCTCCTGGGTTCAAGTGATTCTCCTGCCTCAGCCTCCCGAGTAGCTGGGATTACAGGCACCCGCCACCATTCCCGGCTAATTTTTTGTATTTTTAGTAGAGATGGGGTTTCACCATGTTGGCCAGGCTGGTCTCAAACTCCTCACCTCAGGGGATCTACCTGCCTCGGCCTCCCAAAGTTCTGGGATTACAGGCGTGAGCCACCAAGCCCAGCCAAGTTTCTTATTTTAAAAACAAATTTTTGCAGGAATAGTAGAATACACAGGAAAAGAATATATATTCATCTAAACAACGTCTTATCTTTAAGAGCAAAGAAGAAGGAAGTTTTATAAGTATTTGACAGTATACTACTTCTTTAAGATACTCCAAGTGGTTTGAAGTGTAAAAGGTGAATATACTGCTTCAAACCTCTTGACCTACAGGTCTAAAATAGTCGCTCATCTTGTCCTATGTGTCCTAGTACAGACTAAATAGAATATTCAAAGAAGTCCTGGTATCATTTGTGTTAGGGGCCTTAAAAATCAGGCTATCAGGGTTGGTCATCTGCCACAAAGCTGGCTAAATTCCCACCATGATACACTTCTGAAATAACCATTCAGGACTGAGGTCACTGCTACTTCCTCCCTGCTGAGGAAGCACAAACCAGACAAATTCTCACCAGATGGACTTTGCACTCTAATCTTGTATATTACCCCTCCTCCCAAGGCCCAAGGCTCTCTGGGAATTCATGCCAGGCTGGGACTTAGACCTTCAACTGCCAGTATCTTTACGAGTTGTTTTCTTTGAAAGACCTGAGAAATGGGTTGCAATAATCATAGGAATGGTCCTTTAGATTTTCTTTTTGGAATTTTTTAAAGTAGTATCAGCCACAATTCACAAATATATTCCTTTACCCAAGACAGAAAACATAGAGACAAATTATGTTAAACCATCCAATCCAACTCAGAAGAAAAAATCAGGCCTTTATGTGCTCCAGTCTTCAGAAGGACTCAAATAGGGTACCACCTACAAAAGAGATAGGATCAGAAGAAGTTCCCTTGGTGGCTTTGTTGGGGAAAGGATCCAAGAAGTGCTCAGAAAAGCAGAAAGCTCTCCAAAAGAAGCTAATTCAAAAGAGATTTCCAAGTCAACATCCAAACCAAAGAGATGTGGAAAAATTCAGAAAAGCATCCTAACAAAACATCCCAACAAAGTACCCCAACTCCTTTTTGTAAACCCACAACTGGTAGGAACAAAGTTCCAATGTGACAGCCTTTCAATGCCGCAAGTTGTAACCACAAGTGCGGCTGCTCTTCTAACATTATTTTCTTTGGGAAAATTACATGGGTGGGTAGGGAAGCAAACCCAAGAGGACTGCAGTTTACAAGGCCTGAGGCCTGGTTGGTGAGATCCAAGGAACCTAGAGGCGGGGGCCTGATGGTAGATAGGAGAAAACTAAGCTGATTGCACAAAAGGGCTAAGATCTCCAGCCACTCATCAGGTAGAGTATGCTGCTCTCTACTTGCAAAACTGCTTAATAAAATTTTACTGCCAAGTCAAAAGAAGAAACATCTGCTGTAGTCAAGAGCAGCTGTGGTCGGCAATAAGGGACTTGGCACATGGTCAATGCTGCTCTTGCTGGTAGGTGGTATTGTGGTCACCAGTAATTACTTTGGAGAATTTCATGGAGTCAAGGATAACTAAATGGACAAAGAACATTTTATTTTACTTTCTATCTTTAGCCCAAGAGCAAAAATCGTGACATGTACAGAATTCAGAAGCCCAATGAATCCATACTTTTTGTGGCAGAACTTTTTACCTCAAAGACTAGAAATACTTAAATATAAGTATTTTAAACAATATATTTTTGATAAGTGACCTCTCCACTCATTATTTCTGATTGAACGGTTCCTGAAGATTATACTAGTTTTCAAGTGTTTTCCTTCTGAAAGATGTATTATAGAATACTATAAGAAAAATGTGAAAATTATACTTAGCAAATCAATAAATGGTTCAGGTTTTTAAAAACCTCATCTTTATCAAATTTGCATGCTATCGTCAAAGTTAAATAACTTTACATTGAGTAGGAATTGGAGTGTAAATAAAAGTCTGATGTATTCATCTGTGATAATTTCTCATGGAATGATGAATGTCAGAAAGTAGCAGTGAAATTAATATACACTGTACTTAAAAAATTAAACACTTGGGAAATAACCCTTTGAGCCACTGGAAAATGATAAAGTCTAAGACATTTCAATCAAGTTAATTTCGGTACTAAAGCAATGCATTTTTCCCACCAGAAACTATATGAAAAAACAAATTAAACAAAATGGGTCTCCGAATGATGGGATAACATCAGGCTCATGGAAAACATCATGATTGCTTTGTCAATTAGGTTATCACACACATACACACACACACACACACACACACACACACACACACACTCTCACTCAAAGGCAAAACTACCCATATTCATTTTAAATCATGTCAAGGCTGAATGGTTGATATTGTATTAAAACAAAAGCATGACTTGCATTTTAATAAAGAAAAGGAAATTCTCTTGACAACCAACAGAGCTAACTTGTAGCAACTGGTCTAATTCCAGTACACAGGCTCCAGTGATGCCGTGTCAGGTGCCACCCCTAGCCTACACCTAACACCAAGGCTCCTACATTGACTTCTGGTTGGTTGCGGAAGTAAAAGGAGAGACCTAGGGGACTGGGGGAAACAACATAAATCTTTTTTTTTTTTTTTTTTTTTTTTTTCTGAGACAGTCTTGCTCTGTTACCCAGGCTGGTGTGCAGTGGCACCATCTCGAGTCTTAGCAACCTCTGCTTCTGTGGTCCTCTCGCCTCAGCCTCCTCAATAGCTGGGACTACAGGCACATGCCACCATGACTGGCTAATTTTTGTATTTTTTGTAGAGATGGGGTTTCGTCATGTTGCCCAGGCTGGTCTTGAACTCCTGGACTCAAGCCATCTGCCTGCCTCAGCCTCCCAAAGTGCTGGGATTACAAGCGTGAGCCACTGTACCCGGCCATAGCAACCTATTTAAAAGCTATTCCTGACTTGACCATCTCCAGAAAGCCATCTTAGATCAGTTATGAGGTCGTGATAGTTGTAAGACTCTCCCAGGATAGAAGAGAATTCCTGTCAGTGTGTGAGGTAGGCCAAATCTGGGTGTTAGAAGGCAGAATTCTAAAGTCTCAGCCCTCCCAATCACTGTGGAACCCTGGGTGGATCACCTGAGCTCTCACAGCTTCAGTTTTATTCACGTTAGGGGAGGTGACCTTCCAGCTTCAGCCTCACGCTGAGTGCACCAATAATGGACCCCTGGATTCTGAAGAGCTGCCCATCAGCTCCACAGCCTTCCTGACCTTGCACTAGGCAGTAGGTACCTCCACTCAACAACAATCTCTTTTTTTTTCTTTCAATGAGACAGAACTTCATTAACATGAAAAAGAAGTACTAAATGTAGGTGCTCCCTTAGGAACTGCTTTTTCTGAGAGCCCAATAGCTCATCTTGTTATGTTAAAGCCTACCATCTGAAACCACTTGAATGTTAGGCAGGGAGGTACTTCTACAACTTTGATTTGAACATATACAATTTTTCTACCAAAGAGAAAAACTAATTGACACATTGTTTGGAAACAACTTTTCACTTTTTAAAATGAACAGTTTTATACAGCTCAATAATATTTGCTTAAATACTTCCTAAAATTAAGCCGAGTGTGGTAGTACATGCCTGTAGTACCAGCTTCTCGGGGGGCTGAGGTGAGAGGATCACTTGAGCCCAGGAGTTGAATCCAGCCTTGGCAACATAACAAGACCCTGTCTCTAAAAAATAAATAAAAATAAATACTTACTGATATCGTTTGGCTGTGTCTCCACCCAAATCTCATCTTGACTTGTAGTTCCCATAATCCCCATGTGTCCTGGGAGGGACCAGGTGGAGATAATTGAATCATGGGGGCAGTTTCCCCATCCTGTTCTTGTTTTAGTGAGTTGGTTCTCACGAGATCTGATGGTTTTCTAAGGGGCTTCCCCCTTCACTGGGCACTCATTCTTCTCTCTGCAACCACGTGAAGAAGGACGTGTTTGCTTCCCCTTCCGCCACGATTTTAAGTTTCCTGAGGCCTCCCCAGCCATGCAGAACAGTGAGTCCATTAAACCTCTTTCCTTTATAAATTACCCAGTCTCGGCTATGTCCTTACAGCAGCGTGAGAATGGACTGATACACTTACTAAAATTATAGTCTATTACACCACATTTAGAAAGATGAATAATGAAATCACAAAATACTATGCAATTGCAGTTAAATCTTTAAAAAATTGCTCCTTCCCTATATATCCTTTTTTATTTATTTATTTTTTTTGAGACGGAGTCTCACTCTGTTGCTCAGGCTGGGGTACAGTGGCGCGATCTCGGCTCACTGCAAGCTCTGCCTCCTGGGTTCATGCCATTCTCCTGCCTCATTCTCCCAAGTAACTGGGACTACAGGTGCCCACCACCACGCCCTGCTAATTTTTTGTATTTTTAGTAGAGATGAAGTTTCACCGTGTTAGCCAGGATGGTCTCGATCTCCTGACCTCGTGATCCGCCCGCTTTGGCCTCCCAAAGTGCTGGGATTACAGGCATGAGCCACCGCGCCGGGCCTATATATCCAATTTTTAAAAATATAGACTGAATAAAGTATGTGAGATTTGGGTAATTTTAACAGTAAATTAAAATAATACTCTGAATTTTACCTATTGTTATTCTTTTGTAACACATATTTTTGTTGACTTCTAGTCACCCTGTTTCCAAACTGTCTTTGTTCATGATATTCACAATATAGTGCTAAGTAAAAAAGCAAAGGAAAACACATTCATTACTGGACAGGTAAGACTCATTACCTAATGGTAAATAAGCTCAGTGTGATTTCATTTTACAAACAATAGCGTATATATGTGTGTATACAAATGCATAGAAGAATCTTAATAAATACCATAATGTTAATAGTTGTTAACTGTAGGTAAGGAAATTACAAGTGATTTTAGTTTTCTTTTTTCTTCTGTTTTTTCTTAAGCTTTTTAAATAATAAATATGTATTACTTGAGTTAAAAAAAGAGGTTTAAAAATGCTTTAATTTGACATATTATTCTTTTAAAACTTGAAGTAATTAGCATATTAAAACTCATCCCTTTGGGAGGCTGAGACAGGGAGAATCACTTGAGGCCAGGAGTTCAGGACCAGCTGGGGCAACATAGCAAGACTCTGTCTCTTGAAAAAAAAAACTTAAAAAATTAGCAGGTTGTGGTAGTGCACACTGATATTCCCAGCTACTTGGGAGGCCCAGGTGGGAGGGCTGCTTGAGCCTAGGAGTTTGAGGCTGCAGAGACCTATGGTCATACCAGCGCACTCCAGCCTGGTTGACAGAGCAGATTCCAACTCTTTAGGAAAGAACCAAAACACTCATCCCTCAACTACATAAAATAGTTATAAGTTATTATTTTCCCTGAAGTCTCTAGCAGTCACTTCGTCCATGATGGATATTTCTGGCAGGGAACTGTGCTACATGAAGGAAGTGAATGAAAGTCCTGAAAATCAGGATAATGGTGATTACCCTTGATTCAATCAAACTGTACTCAATTCTAAGTCTTCTTATACTGTCTTTATATTTTCTTGAGACACACTTATGACATTCCTCAAAAAATTAAAAATAAAACCACCATATGACCCAGCAGTCCCACTGCTGGGTGTATATATCAAAAGGAACTGAAATGTGGATCTCGAAGAGGTATCTCCACTTCACTGTATGGAACGTTCACTGTAGCATTATGCACAATAGTCAAGATGTAGAAGCAAACTAAATGTCCATCCATGAATGAATGGATAAAGAAAATATAGTATATAGACACAATGGAATATTACTCAGCTTTAAATAAGAAAGAGATTCTGCCAGAGCAGCAGGTAACTTTTGGAGGTGATGGATAGGTATATACGTATCTCCATACTCATCACAGTGTAGACATTAAATGTGTATAGCAGTAGGGCGCAGTGGCTCATGCCTGTAATCCCAGCACTTTGGGAGGCCGTGGCGGGCGGATCACGAGGTCAGGAGATGGAGGCCATCTTGGCCAACATGGTGAAACCCCATCTCTACTAAAAATACAAAAATTAGATGGGTGTGGTGGTGCGCGCCTGTAGTCCCAGCTACTTGGGAGGCTGAGGCAGGAGAATTGCTTGAACCCAAGAGGCAGAGGTTGCAGTGAGCCGAGATCGCACCATTGCACTCCAACCTGGTGACATGGTGACAGAGCAAGACTCCGTCTCAAAAAAAAAAAAAGTGTATAGCTTTTTGTATGTCAATCATATCTCAATAAAGTTTTTTGGGTTTTTTTGTTTTTTTTTAAAGAATTCCATTTGGAAGAAATTGGTGTTAATTCATGAAGGCAGTGAAGGAGGCAATAATCTTTAGAGAACTGTGATAAGCTGTGATCACTATTACTTCAATTCAACATTGGCTCAGAAAAAGAATAAACTTATGTAAGCAAAAACAAGGCTGACTGGTAGAAGATAGGCTCTGGACATATATTTTCCCTTAGCTTCTTAAATTCCAGACTCTTTGAATCTTATGAGATTTTAACCACAGGTTCTGCCATAGCTTTTTGCAAATTTGCATTCAGTGATGTCCTTCTAAATGGGAGAAGGGTCTAGGCATCACAGGCGGGTCTTGTCACGTCTAAAGGATCTCATATGAAGGGAGGAGGGCTACACTCTATGCCTAGCAACATTAACCAAACGTGTATTTGGTCTAAAATAGACTTCCAAGTTACTCAAACCTCACTATAAATATGTGTTTTAAGGTACTGTGAGACTTGTCAAAGGGCTAACCAGCACACATCTCAAGGTCTCCTTTAGGTCAGACCCTGATATTTACACTGTCTTCCTGATGTTTGGATTTTTTTTTTTTTTTTTTGAGACAGAGTTTCACATTTGCTGCCCAGGATGGAGTGCAATGGTGCAATCCTGGCTCACTGCAACCTCCACCTTCCAGGTTCAAGCAATTCTCTTGCCTCAGCCTCCTGAGTAGCTGGGATTACTGGCATGCGCCACCACGCCCAGTTAATTTTGTATTTTTAGTAGAGACGGGGTTTCTCCATGTTGGTCAGGCTGGTTTCGAATTCCCAACCTCAGGTGATCTGCCCGCCTCGGCCTCCCAAAGTGCTGGAATTACAGGTGTGAGCCACCACACCCAGCCAATGTTTGGATTCTTTACCTTGGATAACAAGAGCCATTTCTGGTCCCAGATATACTTAACACTGAGAAATGATTCCTCTTTAGTAAACAACAAACAAACAAGAAAAAACCTGAATATTATACTATTATGAAAGCTCTCAGATTTCTCAGAAACATTTAACATTTATTCAACAAAATTTTATTTTACATGTTAAATGATGTTAGTAGAGAAAAAATAGGTAAGTACATTTTTTAGACTCATTTTACCTCCAAACTATTATTCTTATTATTATTTTTTGAGATGGAGTCTCCCTCTGTTGCCCAGGCTGGAGTGCACTGGCACGATCTCGGCTCACTGCAAGCTCTGGCTCCTGGGTTCACGCCATTTTCCTGCCTCATCCTCCCGAGTAGCTGGGACTACAGGCACCCGCCACCACGGCCGGCTAATTTTTTTTTGTAATTTTTTTTTAGTAGAGGTGGGGTTTCACCGTGTTAGCGAGGATGGTCTTGATCTCCTGACCTCGTGATCCGCCTGCCTCGGCCTCCCAAAGTGTTGGGATTACAGGGGTGAGCCACTGCGCAGGCCCAAACTATTATTTTATTAAGCTTATTTACTTTGACTTCTCTTTCATCATTAGCATAAACAGTTGGCTAAGGTGTGTGTGTTTTAAGTCACAAGATGAAACAAGCAGAGGACAACAGAGCCAAAGGAA
Source organism: Homo sapiens (assembly GCF_000001405.40). Lineage (NCBI taxonomy): Eukaryota > Metazoa > Chordata > Mammalia > Primates > Hominidae > Homo > Homo sapiens. The sequence goes on along the minus strand of NC_000017.11, from coordinate 61,241,303 downwards.
GACGTGGGTACTTGGTGGTAAACAGGCTCACTCACTAGCTTCATCACTTGCTAAGCTAAATACCAACCTACAAATTCGTAGTAATAACAGAGTCCTCACTGACTTTTGCAATCACATTCAAATAGTCAAGCCTCTAATATTAAATCCACATATTCAGTGTGCCCACTATATGAGGGTCCCCCAAAGAAAGCTTAACTGTATTGTAATTGCTATTCAGAGTCTTTTGAAGGGTAAGTGATGGAGAGTGAGAACTGAGGGGGCGGAAGCTCTAGAAGGTTTCTCATGGCAAAAATCCTGTCATGCCCAAACAAGAGAAAGCTCCCCAGTAAGAGTGGCATATTGAAATCTAATCAAAAGCCTAAACTATTTTTGTCTTTGATTTCATCAAATCATTCTAAGAATAACAGCCCTTGGTACCTTTTAAAAATGCTTCTTTTCGGGAAGAAAGTTTTAGTTAAGATATACTTCTGTGTGTCTGAGATCAATTTAAAAGAAATGGACCCTTTAGTTATAGGGCTCAATGATATAGGTAAATGAATCTGTTCTAGTGAATAACATAAAATCTGTTTTAAACTTTTTAGTGTATGTGTGCTAAGGCTGATAAGTCTCAGATAAATGTCAGCTACACTTGTTCCTTTTTATTATTTATTTATTGAGATGGAGTCTCTGTTGCCTAGGCTGGAGTGCAGTGGCACAATCTCAGCTCACTGCAACCTCTGCTTCCTGAGTTCAAGCGATTCTCCTGCCTCAGCCTCCAGAGTAGCTGGGATTACAGGCGTGCGCCACCACGCCTGGCTATTTTTTTTTGTATTTTTAGTAGAGATGGGGTTTCACCATGTTGGCCAGGCTGGTCTCAAACTCCTGGCCTCAAGTGATCCACCCGCCTTAGCCTCCCAAAGTGCTGGGGTTACAGGTGTGACCCACTGTGCTTGGCCCCACTTGTTCCTTTTTAATATCATGGTATAGTGAAAAGAATATGGACCTTGGAATCAGAGAAACCTGAGTTCAAAGCCTGTCCCTACCACTTATCTTCTCTTAGGCTGTTTTTGAATCTGTGAAATAAAAATACTATTCTACCCGCCAGGATGGTTGTAAGTAGAAGAAATTATGTCTGTAGAGTGCCTAGAGGAGTGCCTATGATAGAGCAGGCATTCAATAAATGGTAGCTCCTCCTCCTGCTGCTGCTGCTGCTGCTGTTGAGACAGCATGGTTACAGATCTCAAACATCTACAAGATGCTTTTCTCTTCACCAAAACACCTGTCACCAGGAGAATGTAAATGCCCACACAGAAAACCCCAATCAAAATATTTTTATCACACATATATTTAACATTCAAGTGCAGAACTTTTAGGGCTGAGAACTTCCAACACAACAATTATGGCTTCACATACCTGAGTGTTCTTTTAAAAAAATATATTCACATTTAAAAGGTCAAGTTGTAAAGCCATTTGATTAAAATAGTAATAAAAAAGTAAACATTAACTCACAATTTCTCCTTTGGTCTTTACTATTCCAACTGGTATCAACTCCAGAATAAGTTGCACCTTAAGACATTTTAGGATTATCTTGATTAAAATCTTTAAGTTCTTAATTTTAAGTAGGAAAAAACTAATCTCTGAAAGCCAACTTTAATACTTTTAGCATGATCTAGATCTTAACAGTTGCATGTTATCCTCTGCTACTCCTAAAACATTAACACATTGAAACATGATCACTCAGAGTAAATGAAGTTCTCTTTTTATATTAATCTTGGAGCCACTGATAAAATGCAAATGATTAACGTCAGAAAGAAAGAATTACTCATCACTAGACCAAATTTCCAAAAGCTTCATAAGTTACAGAAAGCGTTCACAAAGGTTTCAGAACTATCTGCTAGAGGCTTTGCAAATTGAATTAAAAACAAAACAAAAAACCCCAAAACAAAAAGCTGAAAATCTGTAGAGCTAATCATTATTTCAAACTCAGGCTTTCCTCTTGGATATATAACTATCTTTGATGGTACTGCTATAAAAACTAAGATCTTCTCTTCAAATCTGATATGCAGAGAATCTGTTCTAACCCAAACTAAATAAAGATGTTGGTGCCAATCAACTCCTACTATCTATACTATGGTAACCTGCTATTTTATTCCTTTTTGCTTTTGCATTTCAAAAATGAGCTCACTAAATCAGTACCTGATTGTCTCCTGAGAACTGTGAATGCCAACCTACCTGGCACACCTAGGAAAAACTGGCTCAAAGGTATGCTATATTGCTTCTATTGCTAAAAATATACACGAACAAATTAAAAAAATCTTAGGTACCCAAGCATTTTGGACTTCTGTTTGCTTGTCTGGACTATCTGCAATATCCATTTCGATTTTTGCTATTTCTAGCCATGAAGCCATCACAGGAGGTTAGCCTCAGGGCCCTGAGAGGAAATTTGGCTTCCACCTCTGGGACACACGTTTCAGTGCTTATGTCTGACTGACCCTGCCAATCACCCCTCCCAGAAGCCACAAGCCTGGCTTACAATAACAGAGTATATCAAAGAGGACAGGAAAGAAAACAAGACAGCAGCAGGGTCAGCAGAGGATAAGAATACGGTGAAGACACCCCGTGGAAACTGGGAAATGGAGAGCCATACACCAATGGTAGCAAATGTGTCGCTCAGAAAAAGCAAGGCCATAAAGACATAAGACCTGCCAAAGCCAGCTCTGCACTACCATAAATCACTGTCAGAAATAGCTATGAGGGCAGATTATCTCATTATGATGGAATTGGTCAAGCAGAAATACTCTTGTGCCTGGGTGTGGTGGCTCACAACTGTAATCCCAGCACTTTGGGAGGCTGAGGCGGGTGGATCACGAGGTCAGGAGTTCGAGACCAGCCTGGCCAACGTGGTGAAACCCCATCTCTACTAAAAATACAAAAATTAGCCAGGTGTGGTGGCAGGCGCCTGTAATCCCAGCTACTCAGGAGGTTGAGGCAGGAAAATCGCTTGAAACTGGAAGGCGGAGGTTGCAGTGAGCCAAGATCATGCCACTGCGCTCCAGCCTGAGCAACAAGAGCGAAACTCCATCTCAAAAAAAAAAAACCCGAAAAACTGCCAGGTGTGGTGGCGGGTGCCTGTAATCCCAGCTACTCAGGAGGCTGAGGTAGGAAAATCGCTTGAACCCAGGAGGTGGAGTTTGCAGTGAGCCAAGATTGTGCCTCTGTACTCCAGCCTGGGCGACAAAAGTGAAACTCTGTCTCACAAAACAAAAACAAAAACAAAACTCTTGTTCATACAAAGTTATAACCCGTATATTTAAACCAACTCAGGGTGGTGATCATAACTGTATCTTCTCCAACATAAAAATCACCCCTGTAAAGCAATTCTCTTTACCATCATCATCCAATTCAGGAATATGGGTGATCCATTAGAGTCAAGCTTCCTGCCTCCATATAAAAATATGGCTAATCTATTTTGCATTATGATCATAAAGTCAGCCAATTTAAAAGGAATAGAGAGTAATACAAAAAGCAGTTAAGAGCTGGGGGTCTACGGTCAGTCCAGATTTCAATCGTGACTCTGCTGCTTATGGGCTGAGCAGTCTTGGGAAAGTTACTTCGTTTCTCTGAGTCTCTATTTTCTTCCAGAATTATTTTGAGTATTCAGTGTCCCACGTACTGTATCCAGAGCTGGTTCCTGCCAGTGGATTCAGGGTCTTGCTGACTTCAAGAATGAAGCTGCGGACCTTCGAGGTGAGTGTTACAGCTCTTAAAGGTGGCAAGGACCCAAACAGTGAGCAGCCACAAGATTTATTGTGAAGAGCAAAAGAACCAGCTTCCACAGCCTGCTAGGGGGCCTCAGTGGGTTGCCGCTGCTGGCGGGGATGGCCAGCTTTTATTCCTTTATTTGTCCCCACCCATGTTCCGTTTCTGTCCTATCAGAATGCCCTTTTTTCAATCCTCCTTGCGATTGGCTACTTTTAGGATCCTGATTGGTGCATTTTACAGAGCACTGATTGGGGCATTTTACAGAGCACTGATTGGTGTGCTTTACAGAGCGCTGATTGGTGCATTTTACAATCCTTTGCTAGCTACAGAGTGCTGATTGGTACATGTTACAATCCCCTTGCTAGCTGCAGAGTGCTGATTGGTGTGTTTTACAATCCTCTTGTAAGACAGAAAAGTTCTCCAAGTCCCCACTCTACCCAGAAGTCCAGCTGGCTTCACCTCTCAGTATGGTAACCTTTCAATACATGTTAACTTATTATTATTTGACAGCTATGTAAAAAAGATAACTTTTTAATGGCTTCCTCTTGCTTTACCAAAGGAAGTCCACTCTCAGGCCTGGCATCCTAAGTCCGCTATGCAGAGGCTATTCTACTTTTTCAGTCTTCTCTTTTATTACCTCCCTTCACATCCAGGATCCAACTTTCCTGCCTCCAATTTTTCCTTTGTGTTGTTCCTGCTGCATAAAACCACTTTTAGAGCCACATTTAAAGATTCAATCCTACTTTCCCACAAAGTCAGCTCAAATCATACCTTCTCCAAAAAGCCTTTTTTTTTTTTACCTTCTCCATCATCCCTCCACTTACAACATTTTGAAACCTATTTACAATTGACTACTTTATACCATCTTTTTATAGCCATTTGTATATAAGTAGAGTACTAACACAGGGCTTTGTCCATAGTAACACTTAATAAAGGTTACAGTGGCCGGATGCGGTGGCTCACGCCTGTAATCCCAGCACTTTGGGAGGCCGAGGCGGGTGGATCACGAGGTCAGGAGATCGAGACCACCCTGGCTAACACAGTGAAACCCCGTCTCTACTAAAAATACAAAAAAATTAGCCAGGCATGGTGGCGGGTGCCTATAGTCCCAGCTATTCAGGAGGCTGAGGCAGGACAATTGGTTGAACCTGGGAGGCAGAGGTTGCAGTGAGCTGAGATCACACCGCTGCACTCCAGCCTGGGTGACAGAGCGAGACTCCATCTCAAAACAAAAAATGTTGTTAAAGTAACGAATAAATAAAAATTATTATCTCCAACATAAGATCTAAGAAGAAGAGCAACTTGCCCCTGTCCTCCCACTTTCCTACAGAACACCACGAAAATGCCACTGCCTCATGAACTCTGACAGGAGTGGGGACAGATGTTGCCAGGATTCTGACGTATGATAGCTGGCACTTTTCTGTTTGCACCCAAGGAGTTAAACTGAGTCCTGCGGAGATAAAAATCTCTGGTTTTATTGTGCAGTAAGGCTGCCTGACAAACGAAGATCCAGCTGCAATTGTAACATTCCAAGCTCACAAGGCACCAAGTTTTACTAACTATAATTTAACTGGTCCGACTGCTGCAGTCCAAATTCTTGTTTGGATAATCAGCCTTTGTTTGAGTATGTTCAAAAACAGCACAGGCTAGCATTCGCCTCTGGGTATGTCATGTGAGCTGATTACCCTGTGGCTCCCAGTAGCAGAAACTCCTAGACAAGAGGAGGATTATTTTCCTAGTATTACTGTTAAGCTAACATATAATCAGTCCTTTTCCCCCAGTCTCCACATCTCTTTTGCAGCCTCCCTAACCATTTTTTTCCCTTGTCTTTCTTTCTCCTTCTTCTCCTTTTTTTTTTTTTTAAACAATTCAAAAGTCTTCTTTCCAAGTTCAAACAAAGTTTAAAGGTGAAAAGGTCAAAAGCTTCATGGCTGGCGCTGTTTAGAAAGAGGTAGCACTAACGGGGGTCTCCAGCTCAGCATCCACTAAAGGCTCAGGAATCTCATATTTCACTGTACTTCTGTACTACGTAGTCACCTCACAATCTGTTTGGAATGAAATTAAGCCCTTGTTAATAAATTTGAACATAAGAGAATAATAACTCTACCTGCTAAACAAGCACATTCATGCATAAGCAACTCGAGTGGCTCAATCATCTGTCAAATATCGAAATTCTCAAAACTGTACATTTTCATTGAAGGTTACTTGTTTGAGATCTTCCCAGGCTGCCTGTCTGCAAGTCTTAGACTATAACTAGCCAAGAAGGATTCTGGAAACTACACTTATCCGGTCCTTCAGCCTTCACCTGGCCACTCTTTTCAAAGAGACCAAATGAGTTGACACATTTAAAGTGCTTAGGACAGGCGGGGGGCAGACAGCCAGGCGTGGTGGTTCACGCCTATAATCCCAGCACTTTGGAAGACCGAAGTGGGCGGATCATCTTAGGTCAGGAGTTTGAGACCAGCCCGGCCAATGTGGTGAAACCCTGTCTCTACTAAAATACAAAACTTAGCCAGGAGTGGTGGCGTGCGCCTATAGTCCCAGCTACTCGGGAGGCTGAGGAAGGAGAATTGCTTGAACCCAGGAGGTGGAAGTTGCAGTGAGCCGAGATCATGCCACTGCACTCCTCCCTGGGTGACAGAGCGAGACTCCGTCTCAATAAATAAATAAATAAGTAAATAAATAAAGTGCTTAGGACAAAGCCTAGTGCTTTGTGAGGAAATGTGAAGTTGAGAGAAAATGCGAAGCAGTACTATGATTTTTTTTTTTTTTTTTTTTTCTGGAAAAAGCCTGAGCCAGAGGGTATAGTTCTAACAGTCAGTGGGAAGACTGCTGGCTGGAAAAGGCCCTGGCGCAGGACAGGCAGGAATGACTAGCTATAGGTCCATGGGTTGGTGAAATGCTGCACAGTGGGAAATGAAGTGAGCTCTAAGCTGGTCTGGAACTGTAGGTGTTAATCTGCTTCTAGCAGCTCCTGAATTGCTAGAGGGAAGCCCACCAAAGGAGAAGGAAACTCCTCTCCCTGGGAGGGAGGTCTATTGATTTTGCAATTAACAACAGCAAAGAAACACATTCTGAAACTTTTCCTAGAAGGCTCAGAATTTAATCCTATACAACAGTTTAGTATTGAATCTGCAAGGTCTTGGCTGAGATGACAGGTGGAAAACAGAGTACTTCAGACCTGGCTCCAGTCAGAGAGAGGGACAGGAGTAATCAGGAGTAATCACTCTAGGCCAAAATTGCAACCTGCTCAGCAATGGTGTAGGAATGTAGGATTTGAGGAAGGAGAGGAAGGAAGAAGAGAGAGCTGTATCCTAGTACTCAGTGGGAAGCTTAGAAAGTGAGCACTAATGGTTGCAGATTTATCATTTACTTCCCCATTCTGCATTCTTGCTCCATGCATTCTGGGACAGAGGAAGGGGGTTTCTATTGTGAATTTCTGTAACTTCTAATAGTGCTATGTTTAGACCAGTACTAATCTTTAATATCAATGAATGGCACCCTCTACTAGCTTAAATCATTCTGCAATTTAGAACCACTTTTTTTGCTCCATGATGTGGGTACTAAGTGAAAAAAAAAAAAACCAAACCTGATATTAGTAATACTCAATTCACATTAATTAGAATAATGGATGGAATGCCACAGCTGGAAGACCTCTTAAAGAAAGCTCAACTAGACAGGAAAGAGCCTCAGGGGCCAGAACTGAAGCCAGAGAGAGATTCTCCCTGTGCCCTCCATTAACCAAAGCATCTCCTCTTGTATCTGTTTTATAGATTGGGGTCCTGCATAAAATTTTATTAGAAAAAGAGTTCTGTGCTTAGGAAGGTGAATTGAGAAGGGAGGTTTGACGAAGAGCTAGCCTAATCCATGCTTTCATTTTTAAGTAAAAGAAACATGAGACAGGAAGATTGTGACTTATCCAAGGTCCCTCAGTGAATCAGAGACAGGGTTAAGGCAAAAATACCTCTCCAGTCTTCAAGTTCGGTATATGCTTCATCTCCAAATCAAGTCTACTGGCTCCACCTTTCAGGGAAGCCCTTCATTTACTGTGTTTTGATCACAAGACAGCAACTTAAAAAGAAGCATTTCTTAGAAATATTTAGCACAATAACTCAAATTAACAATCATTTTTAGATCTGGACGATGAACCAATACAAGCTTAGTTGATTGGCATCTTTAGTTGTAGAATCACTTCTGCAAAAGCCATTAGCCACAGAGTGTTCTGGGCAGCTCAGATTTTACTACAAACCTGTAAAAGCCTGGGGTCCAAACTCTTCCCTGGGGCTCAAAGGTGTGAAGCTTCCTAAATGAAACTTGGGCATTCAGAACCTTCCCAATCAGCTCTAATCTTTATCACCTCCTTTCCATTATCCCTCAAAGAGTGTTGCTAGATAATATGGAGAGGAGTTTTTTAAAAAAGAAGTATTTTTAGCCCCTTTTTAAGTGGTAACAAAGTTTATCACCCTCCTACTCAAATTAGTCACACAGGTTAGTCCCAAGAGAGCGCAGTCTAGCTACAGATCACTGCAAAGGAATGACTTCATGGAGGCCCAAAACAAACACTTCGGCACATGGTTCCATCTGGAAATATAGTCAAATAGAAGCAAATTCCATGAAATTCCCAACTGATGCCGGCAACATAATTTTGCATCTTACAATACTAGCTCAAGGCTAATGCAGTAGCCTGCTAAATAGATAAGCAACTCTAAAAAGAAAATAGTTAACATAAAGAAAATAATTGAAATAGACAAAGAAAGTTGTTTTAATGGTGATAATAATTATTTCTAATACACACAGTCAGAAGGGTTGAAGAGGCCGACGAAGAGCAATGAGAAGAGAGATCAATCAAGACTACAATAGGATTTGCAAAGAATTTTCTACCATTGTGATTTTTTTTCCTCTTAAGAAAGAGAACACCGGTCCTGGATCCTCAGGATGAAACCCAGAGATGGGTTTTTGAAGATTTTCTTTACTCAAAAGAGGGTTCTCAAAGCAGGACTAGAACATGGACCATGAAGAAGGTTATATTCCAAGGGTCTGCCGAACTGCCATGAATACAACACATATTCCTACCTGGGACTCTGTTTCTCTGTATACAAAAGAAAAACAACCTCCCACCCTGCCAGATAATGATTTTGAGGAAAATTACTCCCCACCCCCCACCTTTTTTTTGGCCAAAATAAAACATTACAATCAGTATCTGTCATTACATGCAACACACGTCTATCCAGAATTAATTGCTTCTAAATTATCTGGGAAACAAAGCACACTACACAGATTAACATATAACCACTGACTTTGTGGAATGCTTTTAAACTCTCCTGATTTCTTTTTCTCTTTCTTTTTTTTTTTTTTTTTTTTTCGGAGTCTTTCACTGTCACCCAGGCTGGAGTGCAGTGGTGTGATCTCGGCTCACTGCAAGCTCTGCCTTCCGGGTTCACGCCATTCTCCTGCCTCAGTCTCCCGAGTAGCTGGGATTACAGGTGCCCACCATCACGCCTAGCTAATTTTTGTATTTTTAGTACAGACGGGGTTTCACCGTATTGGCCAGGCTGGTCTTGAACTCCTGACCTTGTGATCCACCCCCCTCGGCCTCCCAAAGTGCTGGGATTACAGGCATGAGCCACTGTGTCAGGCCTCTTTTCCTTCTTTCTTTGTTTCCTTCTTTCTCTTTCTTTTTTTTTTTTTTTTTTGAGACAGGGTCTCTTCCAGGCTTGAGTGCAGTGGTGCAATCATGGCTCACTGTAGCTTCGATCTCTCAGGCTCAAATGATCCTCCCACTTCAGCCCCCTGAGTAGCTGGGACTACAGGTGTGTGTCACCACACCTGGCTAATGGTAAAATTATTTTGTAGAGACGGTGTCTTGCTATGTTGCCCAGGCTGATCTCAAATTCCTGGGCTCAAGCTGTCTTCCTGCCTCATCCTCCTAAAGTGCTTACAGATGTGATTACAGGTATGAGCCACTGTCTCCAGCCTTGTCATTTCCTTTGAAGGTAGGATTCCTTAATGCCCAGCATGGTTTCTGCATTATGGATTTGGAACTTAAGAAAGGTATGGGTTAAAAACAGCTTTGTACTTCATGGTATGACTTTGAACAAATATCTGAAACTTCTAAAACCGGTTTCTTATCTGTAAAATGGAGATAAAGCAATAAAAAGACACTATCAAGAGAGTAAACAGGCAACCTAAAGAATGAGAGAAAATATTCTCAAACTATGCATCTGACAAAAATCTAATATCCAGAATCTATTTTCAGAAACTTAAATCAACAAGCAAAAAATTAAAAACACTAAAAAATGGGCAAAGGACATGAATAGACACTTCTCAAAACAAGACCTACAAGCAACCAACAAACACATGAAAAAATGCTCATCATCACTCTCATCTGAGAAATGCAAATCAAAAACCACAATCAGATATAATCTCACACCAGTCAGAACGGCTATTATTAAAAAGTCAGGTCAGGTACAGCAGCTCACACCTATAATCCCAGCACTTTGGGAGGCCAAGGTGGGAGGAGGATTGCTTGAGTCCAGGAGTTTGAGACTAGCCTGGGGAACATAGTGAGACCTTATCTCTTAGAAAAAAAAAAAAAAAAAAAAAGGCAAAAACTAGCTGCTGGCGAGGCTGCAGAGAAAAGGGAATGCTTATACACTGTTGTTATAAACTAGTTCAGCCGTTGTGGAAAGCAGTTCGGAGAGTTCTCAAAGAACTTAAAACAGAGCTACCATTTGACCCAGCAATCCCATTATGGGTATATATATATCCAAAGGAAAATAGATCATTATACCAAAAAGATACCTGCACTCCTATGTTCACTGCCACACTATTCACAATAGTAAAGACATGGAATCAACCTTGGTGCCCATCTACGAGCAGATTGGATAGAGCAAATGTGCTAGATATACACCATGGAATAAAAGAATGAAGTCATGTCCTTTGTAGTAACGTGGATGGAACTGGAGGCCATTATCTTAAGCAAATTAGTGCAGGGACAGAAAACCAAATACCACATGTTCTCACTTTTAAGTGGGAGTGAAACATTGAGCACCCATGGGCATAAACATGGGAACAATAGATACTCTGAACTACTAGAGGGGGAGGGAGAGACAGGGCACGGGTTGAAAAACTACCTATTGGGCGCTATGCTCACTACCTGAGTGCAAGATGCCCATGTAATAAACCTGCACATGTGCCCCCGTATCTAAAAGTTGAGAAAAAAATTTATAACCTCCATCAATGTTATGTTATTGTAGTGTTTCTGGGGGGTACATAATGGTGGACCACGGAGAGCTGTTTTGCTTAAAATTTTATGAAAAAAGTAATTTGGCAGACAAATAGCTTACATATTAAAACAAAGTATACATATATGCACATATCAACACTATGTGTGTGTGTGTGTGTGTGTGTGTGTGTGTGTATACACACACTTTTTTTTGAGACAGAGTCTCGCTCTGTCACCCAGGCTGGAGTGCAGTGGCATGATCTCAGCTCACTGCAACCTCGGCCTCCTGGGTTCAACCAATTCTCCTGGCTCAGCCTCCTGAGTAGCTGGGACTATAGGCACGTGCTACCACGCCCGGCTAATTTTTGTATTTTCGGTAGAGACCAGATTTTGCTATATTGGCCAGGCTGGTCTTGAACTCCTGACCTCAGGTGAACCGCCCGCCTTGGCCTCCCAAAGTGCTGGGATTACAGGCGTAAGCCATCGCGCCCAGCCAACACTATCTTATAATTCGAAGATAAAAGCCTAGCTTCAGGAGAATTTTCAGCTGGTAGCAGGCAAGGTTGTGGCTCCATATCTAGAGACGGGGTAAGAGGGATGCATAAAGCATCTCTCCTCTACTATTAGAGCTATGTAAATGGAGAAGCACAAGAATGTGGCTCATGAACGTGGACTGAGGCTGCCTGGAAGGAAAACTATTGTATTTAGACAAAGAAAATTGGTCTGTGCTATAGTTTGAGCATCCCCTTCAAAATGAATGTTGACATTTAATTGCCATTGTGTATCAGCCTGTCCTTCAATTGAAGCTTTGAAGCCAGGCACTGACTCCTCCTCTCTAGCTATGAAAGTCCTAGATGGCATCTTCTTCCAATAGAAGGCTGTTCTGTCTACATCGATATCTGTTGTTTAGCATAGCCACCTTCATCAATGATCTTGGCTAGATCTTCTAGATAACTGGCTGGAGCTTCTCCATCAGCACTTGCTGCTTCATCTTGCCCTTTTATATTATGCAAATAGCTTCTTTCCTTAACCTCACGAACCAACCTCTGTTAGCTTCAAACTTTTCTTCTGTAGCTTCCTCACCTCTCTCAGCTTCATAGAATTGAAAGAGGTAGGGCCTTGCTCTGGATTAGGCTTTGGCTTAAAGGAATGTGGTGGTGGCCAGGTGCGGTGGCTCACATCAGTAATCCCAGCACTTTGGGAGGCCGAGGCAAGAGGATTGCTTGAGGCCAACAGTTTGAGAAATGTTGTGGTTGGTTTTATCTGCCATCCAGACAACTAAAACTTTCTCCATCTCAGAAGCAAGGCTGTTTTACTTTCTTCTGTGCTCACTGGAGTGGCACTTTTAATTCCCTTCAAGAACTTTTCCTTTACATTAACAACTCGGCTAACTGCTGCAAGAGGACTAGCTTTCAGCCTGTCGTGGCTTTTGACATGCTTTTCTCACTAAGCTTAATCATTTCTAGCTTTTGATTTAAAGTGAGAGGCGAACCTCTTTTTTACACTTGAACACTTAGAGGCCATTGTAGGGGTATTAATTGGCCCAATTTCAATATTATTGTGGCTCATGGAATCAGGAGACCTGCGGAAAGGCAGAGAGATGGAGGAACAACTGGTCAGTGGAGCAGTCAGAACGCAAAACATTTATTAAGTTTGCTGTTTTACATGGGCATAGCTTGAGGGTGCCCCCAAACGATTACAATAGTAACGTCAAAGATCACTGACCACAGATAAAATAATAATGCAAAAGTTTGAAAGCTGGTGACAATTACCATAGTATGACACAGAGACACGAAGTGAGCACATGCTGTTAGAAAAATGATGTCTACACACTTAACACAGTTGCCACAAATCTTCAATTTGTAAAAAATGCAATATCATCTGTGAAGCACAATCAAGCAAAATGCAGTAAAATGAGGTGTGCCTATACTTTAGTGCTTTTAAATCCTTTTAAAATACACCATACCCATGTGTCCTTCCCACCTTAAAAAAATACACTATAAATTACGGTTTCCTGGTAAGGCAACTTTTCTGGTAATAGATTTTGATGTGTCTATAGTCGCCTTCATAATTTCTCAGCTGGGGCTTAGGAGAATCTCAAAGCAAAATAATAAAGAATTTTCCCATCTTTGAAACTGTTCAAGACTTCAATTAAGAGCCAGGTACTTGTCCTTCAAATAAGGAGTCCTACTTGCTGAAAATTGAGGAAGGTCCTACTGCTGGTTTCTACTGGGCCTTGAGGGTGAAGCAGGAGTATGCAGGAATGTGTGTAAAGGAAGGGGCCTTCTTAGGAAAACCAGATGCAAAACCTGTGCTGGAAATTGGAAAGGACAGTCTCCAGGTGGAAAGGGATTCTATGGCTACACCTGTGGCTAAGCCTTTGCACTTTATTTCCCTGAGGGTTCACTCCCAAGTAATAGGAAAAGTGCTGCCAACCCCACTGCATCACCTATTCTTCCCTTTAGAGAGGCTCAGATATTTGCAAAATTCTCTTTCAATGTTTAACCTTAGTACAAATTTTACATAAAATCAAGCAGAGAGCAACAGAAAATCATTACAGAAAATATAAATAACACAAAAAGTTATGTTTCTCAAGTACAGGTTTCTGATTCTAAAAATCACCTTCGGAGTAGCAAGAACTTTCCCGAGTGTGCTCCAACCTGATGGGCTGGTGTAAATTAACAGGACCTATGCCCAATTTATTCTTCCTTGGCTTCCCACCTGTCTCTCGGCCATGTGGCCTTAGGGCACAGAAGGTCTCCCCAGCACACAGGCCTGGTTCTACTGTCTACCTGGTCATTTCACTTCATTCATGGGCAAACACAAATTCCTCCCAAAAGCTAAAGAAAGCCCTTTTCTGTTTCAAACTTCTTACAGTCCCTAGAGTTCCTCTGTTCTTAATTATAATTTCTGGTCTTAGGGACATGTTTAGGTTATAACAGCATTAGTGATTAACATCCACCCACAGAGGCCAAATGAATTACCTTAATCTGGGATCCAGGGATGGATTTCAGAGGGGTCCTGAAACCCCTGAAAGCACATGCGACATTGTATATGTATGAGTATCTGCATTTTTTTCAGAAGAGGACTCATAAATTGCACTAGCTTCTCAGAGCAGTCTGTGGCCCCTCTAGGACAGTCTGTGGGAACTCATTCAGGTAATTCCTCCATTCCTAGACAAGAAAAGGCTCTAGCCAAAATCAGTTCATTCTGGCTAACCGCGTAACATCAGCTTAACTATGGAGTAACCATAACCTATGGGAAAGGGGCGTTGCACACAGTTAACCACCTCATACACCCCAACCTGGAACTCCTCTCCCAGTCTCCATCCTCTCCTCCCTCGAGGGTCCCATCAGGAAGGCCCACCAGAGCATATTTTATTTATCTGGATTTCTGGTCCTCAGGACTAGAAGCAACAAATTAAAAAGGAAAGGGATATTATAGGATATAGGCAGGCAAACTGACAGCAGTCAGAACAAATGTGGTTCTCTCTGAAGCTCAGTTCCCTAATACGTAAATGTGATACAGTAACAGCAATCTCATATGGCTGCTGTGAGGATTAAATGAGATATCCCATGTAAAGCTATGGGTATCTGGCACATATTAGGTAGTCAATTAAAGGTTTCTAAGAGATAAGGTTCTCAGCTTTGATGGCAAAAAAGGAAAAAATACAGAAAATACACATGAGTACTGGAGCTATTTTGCATCTGAACAAAAAAGATCACCCTGAAAAAATTCTAACCCTTAAAATCTAAGATCTAGTAAATACTGGGTGCTCATAGCAGTGAGTCGTTCAACACAATTCCAATAAGAACTGCATGCCTATTATGGGCTAGGCCCTGTCCTACAGCAAAGTGTATTCAATATATTTTAAGAAGCAAGCATAAAATCCACTTAACAAAGATCTCCATACAAAAGTTTGAAATGTCTTAATTCTTTCTTCAACTATACAAAAAAGAAAAACTGTTAATATAATTTAAATGTTTCAAATATTGCCAATCTTTTTAGACCAGCTGGGCTTACCTGAAAATTAGGTATCACAAAACAATTATTTCCTGAATTTTTTATAGAGAATTTTGGACATAACAAGAATGTGAAAATGCATTTGATAGACACTATTATGGTCAGTGGATATTTTAGGAATTTTTTAATTTTTAGAGCTAGGGTCTTGCTATATTGCCCAGGCTGGACTCAAACTCCTGGGCTCAAATGATCCTCCCACCTTAGCCCCCCAAGCAGCTGGGACTCTCGACAGGCACCATTACAGCTTGCTCATGCTGTATTTTTGAACACAGAACAGTATCAAATTGGAATTAGCAGATGACAGGGGAAAAGCAGGCAATTTACAAAAGTATAATCATAAACTGTATTCTGTAGCGGAAAACAGTATTGTTTCCATAGCATATGTAAAGAAAATAGGTCTTCTGAATAATCACCAATAACGAAGCCTTCCCTACCTTGGTTGTATCCTTTTAAAACAGGAATAAATATCCCCTTTACCACTGTACTACATCACTAAGATTTTAGGTAGAAAAAGGAGCTGGGAGAGTAAACTGATTACACGTGCATCAAATACAAGACACCTAAGTATTTCTGGATTGTAGGGATAATATGCCCTGGGCTTACTACTGCTTCTTGATTCCAAGAGATTTAAGGATCTGGTTTCAATTAGACGCTTTAAGCAGTAAAGCAACATCCACAGAGACACACTTATAGAAGAACTTAAAACTGAGATAATTAAGATGTTGAGGAAACTGAATTCCATTCCTTTTCCTTCTTCTTTGTCCCTCACTTGCTATGCATTTGAAAGAAGAAAAAGGCCTTATGATTTTGTGAATTAACCAACCGCAGCAAAATTAAATAAACTAATCTAGAGAGATCTTGACAAACTGGGCACTGATACTGTGAATCTTTGGAGGGGAAGTGTACAAGTTCATGACCTTTGACATAGTATCCACCGGCTAAAACCAACACAAGTGTGAAAGGTAAACTTCAGAAGCAATTGGAATTAGATCAGTGCTGGGAATTCAAAGGGCTGCGTCTAATGTGAAAAGGGGTGATTATTATATTTACCACATAATCTGTGTCCTTTCAAGGCTGTCAGGAATACAAAGGCAGGCATGGTCAGGAAAGAATAAAGGAGAGATGAGTCTTATTTCTTTAAAAAAAAAAAAAAAAGGCAGAGCGATACTTGTATGTCCAAAAGGATGGACTTGCTAGCAGTGATTGCTTTCATTCTATGTAACTGCTGACAAGTCTCCTGTGGCCAACTGAGACCAAAATGTATTTGGATTAACTTCTGGCATCTCAGCAACATCTGTAAGTGGTAGCTATGCCTATCAACATGAAATGGCTTGCATTCAATCCTAATGTTTCTCTCTTTGTGTGCATAAAACCAAAGACAGGAGAACAGAAGAATGGGTTCCAAATGTTCTAGATCTGTGCAGTTCAATATGGTAGCCACTAGCAACATGTGGCTACTGAGCACTTGAAATATGGCTAGGCTGAAGCCAAATGTGCTAAAAGTACTTCAGTCTATTTTTATATTGATTAAATCTTGAAATAATGATATCTTAGATTTACTGCATTAAATGAAACATATACTTAGAATTCATTTCACCTGTTAGTTTTCACGGACCAAGAAACTGAAGTAGAGAGATGATGAGGAATGTGCCCGAGGTTGCAGAAGTAAGAAGTGGTGGATGCAAGATGCAAATCCCAACAAACCAGTTGACTCCAGATGTATATGAAACACTGCAAAGTATTCAAAGGACTACACTGTATAGTCTTATTTCTCAGACTGGATCTCCTTTTGCTGTCCTTGCCACACTGTCTGATGGGCAAACCAAACCACCTGCTCGTCCCCATATGTACACCCTGTTTTCCGAGCACTGTTCTCCCTGCCTGGGATGACTTTCCTTTCTTATTTCCATATAACAAAACTCAGCTTGAATGATACCTCTTCCATGAAATCTCTCCTGAACTTCAAGAGGAAACTGATTTCCCTTTCCTTTGAATGTTGCCACAACTTCACCTGTACTTTTGATATCACTTTATAGTCATACATATACTCAGTCCATCTTCCTGCTAACAAGAACTTTACTTTGTATATCTTCCCATCATCCATGGTACAGAGATGCACATGATAGATGCTTAAAGATTTCTCTTATAAATCAATGGGAAAATAATAAAGATAAAGCATAAAAATAAAAACTGCTTTCTATAATCAAATATAGGAGAAAAGATGGGACTATCAAATTGATAGAAAGCAAATGCTTTTCTACTCTCAATTAGAGGTGGTTGAAAAAAATTGAAGATTAACAACTTCACTCTGACCCACCTCCTTCTATCCAAAAGCGAGCACATGATATTTAGCAGACATCCTTCAGACATGATCACTACAACTGGGTTCCAGCTCTGCTGCTTGGTTGACAACTTCAGGCACAACTCTACACACCACAGGGTATCCAAGTGTAGTAAATCAGCTGTTTTGAAAACACTTGAGCTGAGTGTTTCATTAAATGGCCACCTCATCAAAGGCCCTCAGAGGTGCAAATACAAGTTGTTCTATACAATATCCAAGAAATCAAGACAGTCTTCCTTTCAAATGTATCCTAATTGCTAGTTTTAAATTTTTAAAAAGCATACATCATGAAAAGAACCTTGATATCTTTCTAATGATTCAAGGTTAAAGATATCTTTTAGCTAGTTATTGGCAGGTAGTATATTAAATAGGAAAGTGCCTGAGCATGGAGACAGTACCCAAGGGCAGATAGGAGAATGACCAGGTCAGACAATTTACAAGCTCTCTAGGACCAGATTAGAGGTATTTCTATTAACTTTTAAAATGTTTTGAATATTTATAAAAAACAGCTCTGTGGCTGGGCGTGGTGGCTCACACCTGTAAGCCCAGCACTTTGGGAGGCCAAGGCAGGCAGATCACCTGAGGTCAGGAGTTTGAGACCAGCCTGACCAACATGGTGAAACCCCATCTCTACTAAATACAAAAAAAAATTAGCCAGGCGTGGTGGCACATGCCTGTAATCCCAGCTATTGGGGGGCTGAGGCAGGAGAACTGCTTGAACCCAGGAGGTGGAGGTTGCAGTGAGCCAAAGCTGCGCCACTGCACTCCAGCCTGGGCAACAGAGTGAAACTCCGTCTCAAAAAAAAAAAAAAAAAAAAAAAAGGCGCTGCATCCTGTCACATATTGAAAGTAAAATTAATATTTGTAGGAAATGCATTCCACAATTACCAACTGCAGTTGTGATTCAGGAAAGGGAGATATTGCATTGGCATTCTTCAAATACAGAGAATTAAACTAGTGATTTTGGGAACAACCGGACTGGAAAAGGAGAAAAGCCCAGTGTGGCAGGCAGGATGCTATCACTGAAAGGAAGCTGAAGGGCTGGCTCCTAAACAGCAAACAAATTACAACCCCCATCTTTCAGAAAGGGAGCAAACATGAAAGCAAAGGAAATCACAAGCCCAGAGCAGCAGCAGATAATTTCATTCAAGGCAGCTGACTGAGGCAAAAGGAAACTTCAAAGCAAAAATCAAAAAAGCCAACAGGCAGACGAATCGACCTGGAGTCGCAGAGTGGCCATGGCCCACCTTGACCAAGACCACTGGTTGCTGAATGAAAATTAAACAAACAAACAAAAAAAACCCATATACCACGTGACATAAATCACCCAATCAACAATAAACCAGAACAAATTAACCATGTTCAGTTATTACTAAGCTACAGAGACATGAGGCAGGAGCCTGAGATTTCACAGAAAAATGTACCAGGGGAGATCCACGAAACATCTGTACCTCAGGCAAACACCGCTGAGCAACAGCGAAAAGAGGAATGCTACGAGTCCTTTTCTTTTTAAGTAGACTTACAGAATTTTAGACCACAAGCTACCTTGGAGACCATCTACTCCACCTCTCCCAGTTTCCAGAGAAAACTGAGGCCTCCAGAAAGGAAGGACCACACCAAGACCATACTCATTAGTCAAGCCGAAGTTTCTTGCTTTTCGACTGTAAAAGAGAACAGAGGTTTTCAAAATTGAAGTCTATGGTTTGACAAGCCTATGGAGGCCCTTTCTTTCAAAGGTTTAAGCTGAGTCCTTATTTTTATCATTTCTTTACAGTTCCCCACTATTATTTCATATCTTGGCTTATTTATTCTGCCACTATATGTTCTCTATATTTGTATCTATGTCGGCATGACTGTTAACAAATTCCCTAAAATTATGCACTTTGAACACACAGAGGGATCATATGTACACTTAGTGAGCAGCAGGTATGTATTCTTAATAGTAATAGTAATATCAGCCCCTGTTAAGCACGTCACCGTGTGCCAGGTACTGTGCCATACTGCATTATCTTATTTAATCCCCAACAAACTTATGACGTAAGTTAGAATTCTCAATGTAATTTTCATTTTACAAATGAGGAAACTGTGGCAGAGGCAGGCAAACCCATTTCCTAGTTAGTGAGGTGGTTAGCATTCCGGGTAACGCTAGGGTTTATGCTTTTCACATCATACTCTCCTGTAGCCCACATTCTTGTGGTTTTTTCCTTCATGGTATGTAGCCTTCTGCAGGTTTCTTTTTTTGGTGCCTTGCAGAGCACCCCAACCACAGGCACATCTAAGCCTTTTTTTAGGATCTTGGTTGGGGTAACAGTCCCAAGAGCACACAGCAACAGCAGCTTTAGGAGAGAAGCCCAGCTCTAAGAAAGTGAAGGGGAAACAGACTTGGGCCTTCCCAAGGATCCATGCCATAATGTGTCCCAGAGGTGTACTGGCTTTTTCTTCCAATCGTGATAATCAGATTTATCCCTTAATAGCTAAAGTCATGCCTCTGCTGGTGACAAGAAGTTAAGAATCTTAAATCTCTAAAGGACAGATGATAACCCAGTGCTATCAATGTGGTTTGGGAAGAGGAAGCTGTGAAATGGCCTTAAGTGTCTGATAGGAGATTTTTTTCAGGCAGCCTGCAACACTGTGGATGGTGATAATGATAAAAACCAATTGTAAGTAGGTAGGGCTTGAAGTAAAGGAAGTCTCTTTCTCTCTAACATTAGAAGGAAGTATTCTGAGATCTTCTTTAGAATGAGCCAGGCAAACTACTGTTTCCATGTCCCTGAAAGGGAAAGTGATGTAGAGAAACAATTATAGCAGCTGATATCTGCACCGACACTTTGTAACACTGGGATTCTACTATGAACCACACTTTCTTTTTGTTTTTGAGACGGAGTCTCACTCTGTCACCAGGCTGGAGTGCAGTGGTGCGATCTCGGCTCACTGCGAGCTCTGCCTCCCGGGTTCATGCCATTCTTCTGCCTCAGCCTCCCAAATAGCTGGGACTACAGGCGCCCGCCACCATGCCCAGCTAATTTTTTGTATTTTTAGTAGAGATGGGGTTTCACCGTGTTGGCCAGGATGGTCTCGATCTCCTGACCTCGTGATCCACCCACCTCGGCCTCCCAAAGTGCTGGGATTACAGGCGTGAGCCACCGCGCCCAGCCGAACTACACTTTCTAGGTGGAACACAGACATCTTTTCCTCAGAGGCTCCTCCTGATTAGACCAAGTTCTTGTATCACACCAACAACCTTGTTAATTTGGCCACTTTTTTTTTCTTCCATTCTTACCACTAGTTCCCTTTTGAGTACCCTGTTGTCACTGGGTGTAGAGATCAAGAACTGTCTTTGGCGCCACAGGGGGGAAATCAATGTAGTGTCATTGTATTACCTCACTGAACTACCTCATTGTTTTAGCAAAGAGAATTCCAGGTGGAGTGGATATCCATTCTGTTTAATCCTAAAATTTGAAGTTTTAAGTCATTAGTTGAGAATTCGGCTACTTTGTTGAATCTGAAGATCAAATAATGGAACCAAGTTGACAAAGTAGCATTAATTAACTGTAAACTCTAAAATGTGGGCAAGCTATTAAATAGAAAATAGAAGCTGTGGGCCTGATATTCTCCAAATAGATTATTGTGACTCCATCAAATGAGAAAACTTCAGTTTTTTTGTTTTTTGTTTGTTTTTTGAGATGGAGTCTCACTCTGTTGCCCAGGCTGAAGTGCAGTGGCACAATCTTGGCTCACTGCAACCTCTGCCTCCCAGATTCAAGCGACTCTCCTGCCTCAGCCTCCTGAGTAGCTGGGATTAGAGGCGCCTGCCACCACGCCTGGCTAATTTTTGTATTATTAGTAGAGACGTGATTTCACTGTATTGGCCAGGCTGGTCTCAAACTCCTGACCGTGTGATCTGCCCACCTCAACCTCCCAAAGTGCTGGGATTACAGGCGTGAGCCACCGCGCCCGGCCGAAAACTTTAGTTTTAACGGCACACCAGAATTTTCCTCTGAAAGGTTGTGGGAATGGCAAACTTATTTCTGGTTAGACCCTCTTTCTTGCCCTACTCCTCTCCCCCCATAACCTGCCTTGTTTTTCCTACCCCAAACAGGATGGGAAAAAAACGTCCTTAAAAGACCTTTCCTTTTTTATGTTACACAATCTCATCTCTGGAATTCAAGTCCTAGTACTGCTCAGCCCAAATAAGAAGTGCTTGTCACCAGGAAGGCGGCCATCTAAACAAGCAGCAGCTGGATGAGAAAAGAGGGCATGTCAGCCCAGAGCAGCAGAGAGGGTTTCTCACGGCAGCTATTTGCAACCCTCCAAGGAGCTACAGAGGCTGCCCATTAAAACCCTGTTAAAACACTTCTGATGTTGTCAGCAGCAGAAAGCTGAAATAGCACAGTGATCGCTGAGATGCTATCTGCCTCAAGCAATTCAGTGGTACTGTCAATACTATGAGCAAGAAGGTACAAGATAAGCAACAATCTAATTTCTACATCAAAATTTCATAAACTCCCTGAGCTGGCAGCACCAGTAATATGGGCACACAGAGACCAAGTCAATGGGCCACCTGTGAGAAAGGAAGACTCATGTTAAGTCTGACCCAAAAGTCCTGAACCTGATCACTGCATGACTCCCAAAACTCCCTAGGAAATATGCCCAGAAAGGAATCACTGGAATGTTCCTCTCCAGGGTATCGCTGGGTACCACTGAGACACAGGATTTCTGGACAAGGATCTTTCTCAGAGATTGTATGTTTAGAGGACAACCTACTTTACCATCATCTACTCACCTTCGTCCCCCATAAGAAGAGTGAACACTTCTCAAAAAGGCTACAGACCTGTTTGCTTTTGGACTTTACTTCATTTCATATTTCCTATAAAAATATTAGTTACGGAGCGCAGAATCCTAATTCTAGAGAGCCATCCTTTATCAGCAAACAGAAAATGAGGAGGGAGATCACTTTTTTGGATTCAAGTGACACTACTTGTGTTGAAAACAATGGGACATACAGGCTAATTCTAATTACTTTAGAAGCACAGATTCTGGTATCATTCCATTTAGTAGCTCTTTCTTTTGGTTCTCCTATGTTTAATGTAGGGTGATAAATAAGGTGACTATCATCCAAACTGGTACACTTTTGGGTGACATAAGCGGCAATGATAATTAAACTGGTACAAGTAAAGCTGGGACCTAGGCAAATGTGGACCTGCAGTAACCCTAGCTAAGTCTCTGTCCTCATAGCAAACTGAGAACTGAAAAGTTATGTGACAATACAGGAAATGAGTAAGTGGCTATTTAATCACAAAACTAAACAGCAGGATGGAATGGAGATGTTCAGCCCATCAGCTGGATGTCTTGCTTGCCTAAACAACAAATATCAGCTACTTGAACCACAATGTTCATAGCAGGCAACTGTGCAGATCCATCCCTGTGCCTCTTGGTGAGAGGAAGGGAGTCATTACCAAAATAATTATAATGCAGTTGCAATTACTCACTGTAGCTTTACATACAGGATTGTAGGACCTCTAGGAACATGAAATTTAACTGATGCCAACAGCATGTACGTCTCAGAGTCCTTTTTCCTGGCTCTAAGGACAGACAGACTGGGGTTTGGGCATTTTCCATTTTAATAGAAGAATTTAAGGTAAGCCCAACAATCTTAGGAGAATTCGGTCTTCAGTCTTTCGGCTAGGAAAAGGGGCATTACCTAACCTTTGGATGCTACTACTCACTGTGATAATGGGCTCACAGCAGCCTTGGAATGCGGCAGTAGAGAGGGGACTTCAGACTGAGAAAGTCAGTGTAGTCAGCTCCAGGAGGAACAAGTTGTAAGATGCCCAATTTAATCTCTCATGACCCAACATTTAGGAGTCTTTCCTTTAACCATCTCAGTTCTTCTTGTTCTGGCTGGATTGAGATTGTGATACAATAACCAGATGGTAAACATAGCAATACTGAAATGGAGAGCTACTTGGAGAAGGTCAGATAATCCCAAGGATTCTGGTGGTAACCAGTCCACTAAATTATCAGTGATCTGTTGTAACAGAACTCATTCAAAAGCATGAAGGCCTCTCACAGGAGCAACAAAGTCAGCCACCAAGACTGTTGTTACAGAGAAGTCCGACGCTTTTCTAGTTTATTTTGTGCTTGGCGCTAGGAATTTCTGTAAAAAATTACTTTTAATAAGGGAGGGGAAAAAAGGCTTAGAGGAGTAGAAGCAAAGCAGTGTGGGATGTTACGGGATCAAGAATAATGTTTCTCAAGAAAATCAACTAGTCAGAGGAAGCTGCCTAATGATATCAGGTCTGGAAAACCTAACAGGATAAAAATGCAGACTTTTGGAGTGTCTAGGTCCTGGGAATATGCCCTTCATTTATTTGCCCACTCCTTTAATAGCTCCAAATAACCATGAGGGGAGGTGGGTGGGGGAAAGCATTTCTGCTCTTAGTTCCTGTTTATCTTGTTCAAGAAAGATTTCCTATAATTTACATTACTGGGGCAAGCCAAACTAAGCCAAAACGATTGTGGGGCCATTATATGCCTACCAAATGCTTCCAAACCATTGTAAGGACTGGAAATCATCCAGCTGGGGAAATAATCTATTCTTTTCAGGAACCTAGATTTTCACTATCACAAAAAATGGAGGATACTTTAAAACTAGTGCTAACTTTATTTTTATTTGTTTATTTATTTATTTGAGATGGAGTCTTGCTCTGTCACTCAGGCTGGAGTGCAGTGGCACGATCTCAGCTCACTGCAACCTCCGCCTCCTGGGTTCAAGCGATTCTCCTGCCTCAGCCTCCTGAGTAGCTGGGACTGCAGGAGTGTGCCACCACACCCAGCTAATTTTTTGTATTTTTTTAGTAGAGACGGGGTTTCACCGTGTTAGCCAGGATGGTCTCGATCTCCTGACCTCGTGATCCACCCACCTCAGCCTCCCAAAGTGCTGGGATTACAGGTGTCAGCCACCCCACCCGGCCAAAACTAGTGCTAACTTGAAACTACACATGGTAGGCAAACAACTTTGCAGATTGACTACCTATATGAAGGTATTTAGATTCAAGCAGATGCACATTTAAATCCTGCATTTTAATAGTCTATTTGAAAATCATCTCATGTCACATAAAATCAACATATAGGCTGGGCACGGTGGCTCATGCCTGTAATCCCAGCACTTTGGGAGGCTGAGGTGGGTGGATCCTGAGGTCAGGAGTTCAAGACCAGCCTGACTAACATGGTGAAACCCCGTCTCTACTAAAAATACAAAAATTAGCTGGGCGTGGTGGCGGGTGCCTGTAATCCCAGCTACTCAGGAGGCTGAGGCAGGAGAATCGCTTGAACCCGGGAGATGGAGGTTGCAGTGAGCCGAGATTGCCATTGCACTTCAGCCTGGGCGACAGAGCAAGACTCCAACTCAAAAATAAATAAATAAAATAAAATAAAATAAAATAAAATAAAATAAACACATACTTATTGACTTGCTTAGTTCATAGGTACAATGATACATACTATAATCCTACACGTTTCAATTTGATATGTCGATTTGAGCTGTTAAGTGTTTTTACTTTATACTTCTGGTTTAGCTAGAGCCAACTGCTGAAAGAAAAAAGCTTCCCCTTCAGTACCTTGTAGACTTAAGAAAAATCTGACAAAATGGTGATATAATCCCACTAGGGGCATCTTGTGTTATAAACAAACGCACATCAACACCACTCTAAATCCACTCATCTGTCTCAGGCCGTCCTGAACTTCTGGACATCCCATGATACTTTAAGGAATCTCCCTGCTAGCTTAAAATTTAATCTTAGGAAATGGGAATAGAAAATTCACATTGTGCCCCCTAATCTGAAACAGTGCTATCTCTCCAAAGGAAGTGATATGACTATCAGGAAATTAGTATGGAATAAAATCTATGCAATAAAATTCAATAAAATAAAATTTCAATAAAATATTCAGCAGAGTGTTCTGAAATATCAGCGATCTACTACTGGGAGAACCAACCAAAATATATATTTGAATATACTAGAGAAGTGGATTTACCTATTATATCCTGAAAAGCACAGAGATCTGACTAAGACAAAGGTTTTCAAATCTGGCTGTACACTAGAATTACTCAGGGAGTCTGAAAAATACTGATGCCTAAGCTCCAACTTCAACTGGAATTTTTAAAAGGTCTCCAAGGAATTCTAATATATAGTCAAGGTTGAGAACTACTGCACTAAGAGACGTTAGTGTTCACATTTAATGGAGCCTGGATATCAAGAACTGAGGGGTTAGCAAATTAAGGAGGTAAATGTGAAAAGAGATGGAAATTGGGAGAGGTTAATGTTAACCTTCCACACTTCTTTAAATTCTAACAATTTTAGTTTGAGCTTAAGTGGCTTAAAAAGTATGTTCCTCTGTATTTTATAGTCAGTGGCATAATGTATCTTGGTTCGCACTTTATGGAGATGTTGGAATGCAGGTGTTTGGAAATTTACATTTAAATGTTGCCTCTGTTCTTCAAGTAATATATCATAGAATTACTACAAATCTAGAGGGAGGACAGGAATCATCTAGTGTAGATGCTTCACAAAATACAAAACTGAAGAACAGAGAGGTGAAGTGTCAGAAGGACAGAGAGCTAGTTACTGACAGTGATGAGTAAAACCCCAGATCTCTAGATTCTCCATCCAGAGCAAAAAGAATCAACTAAGAAAGTAGTTTTCTTTTGCTAGTGACTCTGAAATATTTTCTTTAACAAATGAATTTCAAAAGAGATTTGTTCTCCTCTCTAAAAAGAGTTAAAGCATAAGACATAGGTGAAATGTATCCTTGTCCTCCATTTTCAGGAAGCTCCCTGAACTGAAAATAATTAGATTAAGTCAAGGGGTAGATTAGGAAAAACTATAATAATAGATAATATGTGAAATTAATCTTGGTTAGTTATATTTCCTGCTTATCTGCTCCAGTGATCAAAAGAGATCCTGATTAGTTCTATCTAGTGGGTGTAAGAGGTATATAGAGGCTGTATTTCTTTTTCTTGAGGGTAAACCAATGCAGTAAGTACATGCAAGTGGTAAATTTTCTGCAGTGAAACCAACAACAAGCTTGTTATTGCTAGCTACTGGTTACCACCTTTATAGTACACCCTTAGCTAGAACATACTCTTCTGAAGAATTAGCTTTCAGTAATTTCCAGAAAAGCCACTGGCTTGTGGACCTGTTAATTCCAAAGAACAGTCCATCAAAATATCCCTATAGTTCATTAAAAAATGTTTTTGAATTTTTTTCTTTTTTTCTTTTTTTTTGAGATGGAGTCTTGCTCTGTCGCCCAGGCTGGAGTGCAGTGGCGCGATCTCGGCTCACTGCAAGCTCCGCCTCCCAGGTTCATGCTGTTCTTCTGCCTCAGCCTCCGGAGTAGCTGGGACTACAGGCGCCCGCCGCCACGCCCAGCTAATTTTTTTTTTTTGGTATTTTTAGTAGAGACGGGGTTTCACCATGTTAGCCAGGATGATCTCCATCTCCTGACCTTGTGATCCACCTGCCTCGGCCTTGCAAAGTGCTGGGATTACAGGCATGAGCCACTGCGCCCAGCCTAAAATATTTATTTATTTATTTATTTATTTATTTTTGAGATAGGGTCTTGCTCTGTGGCCGAGGCTGGAGTGCAATGGCATGATCTCAGCTCACCGCAACCTCCACCTCCCAGGTTCAAACAATTCTCCCTGCCTTGGCCTCCCAAGTAGCTGGGATTACAGGTGCCTGCCACCACACCTGGCTAATTTTTGTATTTTTTAATAGAGATGGGGTTTCGCCATGTTGGACAGGCTGGTCTTGAACTCCTGACCTCACGTGATCCTTGTGAGGTCTCCCAAAATGCTGGGATTACAGGTGTGAGCCACCACGAATGGCCTATTCCTATAGCTCAAACGAGTTTTGAAACCAGCCATGCTAGGAGTCCTGTGAGGTTAGGTAGAATCTCCAGCCTACTGTGCAGTGAAGCCCCCATTTTTCTTGTCTTTCACTTTGGGAGACATTTGGCTGCCATAATTCCTCACTTGTCTTCCCTCTGCACTACATTTCTATAGTCTCTTCTCTGCTACCCTGGGACAAATACAAAAGGGCAGAAGGCAAAGTTCAAGATTTCATTAAATTCTTTCCTGCCTGCTACCCTTATAATCACATGTTGGGAGCTGTGATTTGGTAATCATGATATACTAAACCACATCCAGAAAATTCTGAATGTGTGTGTTCTAATCCAGTCTCTGCAGTTAAATGTACATCTATCCATCTGTACAGTCCTCCTCCAACCTTCTTTCACTACTTAAAAAAACATGCAAATATAAGACCATTAAAGACAGTTATAGGTCAGGAAGAGAGAAGAGCTAAAATGAAAGGAGTGGGAAAGATTATTCTAGGAATTTGAAGTAGGATGGTTATAGCAATACTTTTTCTTTAAATTTCCTGTCAACTAAACAAATAATAAGACTCTTTTCATGCCTTACTTTTTTCATATAAAAATATATGAATAGGCCAGGCGCGGTGGCTCACACCTGTAATCCCAGCACTTTGGGAAGTCGAGGCGGGTGGATCACGAGGTCAGGAGTTCAAGACCAGCCTGGCCAAGCTGGTGAAACCCCGTTTCTACTAAAAATACAAAAATTAGCCGGGCATGGTGGCAGGAGCCTGTAATCCCAGCTACTCGAGAAGCTGAGGCAGGAGGATCGCTTGAACCCGGGGACCAGAGGTTGCAGTGAGCCAAGACTGCACCACCGCACTCCAGCCTGGGTGACAGAGTGAGACTCAATCTCAAAACAAAAAACAAAAAACAAACAAACAAACAAAAATATATATATAACAATTTAACAAGGAAAGGAAACTAACACCTACATGCTAAATAGTGTGCTTGGTTCTGAGGAATACAGAAAAAGTGTGACATGGGTCCTGCCCCAAAGAACTATCCCAAACTATCTAGTTGGGATTCAAATCTAAAACATAAAAGCACTTATGTACAATATAATGAAAAAGGTATTAACTGAATAAGGGATAAAGTATAAGCAAAGGCTTTTGAAAGGAAGGACTTGGGACTCATATAGATACAGGCAAATTTTCCAAAGGGAGCCCACAGGAACGATGCTAACCAAATGCTATAGTCTAAGAATGGGGTATCCACAAAGGCCAATTCATTTTCTAATGAATGATTCTAATGAATTGTGATTCCAAAGAGAAGCTGAGAAATAGAAATTGGAAACTAGCACCACTGAATCTAATAAAGTTTCAGTTAAGGCTAGCATAGTCTCACTGCCTAAAGGCAAAAATGAAGGCATCTTGGGTAACTCTACTGACTTGAATACACAGAAATATTTATATGTTTATATGTATATATCTTTATACATGTATATGTTATTTTTACTATATTGCAAATATACAATATAGTTTTTATATATATATATATACACTTTATTCCATACCTTTTCTTTCGTTAATATAACAAAATTTAGGTAGCCTTTTGAACATACAGACACATTTTCTATAGACAAAGAATTATGCTTTATTACATATATCATCTTATATTTTAAAATTATTTGAGCTTCAAGGCTGGGCGTGGTGGCCCTCACTAGTTATCTCAGTGCTTTGGGAGGCTGAGGATGGAGGATCACTTCAGCCCAGGAGTTCGAGGCTGCAGTGAGCTATGATTACACTGCTGCACTCCAGCCTGGGTGACAGACGGAGACGCTATTTCTGAAAATAAATACGTAAATAAAAATAAAACTATTTGAGCTTCAAAATAGGATATCCTTCCAGTAGAACAGATCTTTTCATAGGTATGCTTTTTGTATAATCCTTAAGGAGCAACAAGTTGAGGATATAAATCTGTAAAGACCAGAATATTCCTATTTTGTTTTACAAATGACAGAAAACAATCGTGTACCAGTTCTTTCTAACATTAGCTGCTTTGTTTCTCCTCATAGCCTTACAGAAAAGATTATTTGCAACTCTTCACATCCTTACAAAATATTCAGACTCTTCAATGAAACAAGTTTCCCACATTGTAGAAACACCCACACAGCAAACTGCAACAGTGAATGAAATGGATTATAGTCAGATCTTTGACGATATTAACTTTATGCTAAGGCCCTGCCCTGGTGGGCAGCTTGCTCTCCAAGTCTATGCCTGAAATATTTTACCCAGTAAACATACTCTGGACCTTCAGATGAGCTGTTGAGCGGTTATTTGAAGCATAACACTTCATGTGTGGGAACAGACTGGTGTAAGTACAATGATGGTTCCTTGGCTGTAATGTCAGTGGCATTTTTTTTTTTTTTTTATGGAGAAATGACCTGGATGCAAACATAAGAAGTTCAGTCTAATGATGCATAATTCCTACTAGACCAATGCAAATCTGCAACACCAGCCTCAGGAGAGCCTGTCTGCCTTTCTCGGCCACCTCTGCTGTTGTAGACAGTGCTTTTTTCAGCCAACAGCTCTTAGGTGGAGCAACACTCACTTTAAATCAGCTTTCAAAGAGCTACTCATCCAAGGGAGGTCAACTCAAAAGGGCTCAAATTGGGCAGCTGGGAAATCTGCACTAGAGACATGACAAAAGAAGTCAAAAGGGACACAGTGGGAGAATGACTGTCAAAGAGGCTGGAGTCTCTGGATGTTTAAACCTGTGTTTGAAAAGTCTTACAGATCACAAATACAGTCAGTAAGGAAGCACAACCCCTTGGTGGCCAACTGGATTATCATCTGAACACACCAGACAATGATTACTGATTACAGAGTGGGGAAAGGGAAGCAGAGGTGGTTCCAACCTTTTTTGGGAGAATTTTAACGTCATTCCATTTCTTCTGAATAACTGAGCATGCCTCCAAACATTACTATCTGCAACTGCCTTTTCTCCCCCGTGCCTCAGGCCTTTTCTCCTGTCCCCCACCCAGCGCTGGGACCCTAGCTTGGGGAAGACTATGGGACCCTAGCTTAGGGAAGCCTTTGGCTCATCATCTCTGTGGGTATGGATTAAGCTGACCTCAGATAGATTGGTGATAGACTCTTTTCAGACTCTATCTGAAAAGACTGCTGAATGAGGTTTATACATGCCTTTGTTTCCCCATGATAACCCCTAGGTATCTGCAAAAAAGAAAAATGTCCGTGAAAAGCGGCTTCTCTGGTTTTGTCTGTCTGCAGCACAACTGGCTATGAGATGGGATAGAGAGTGTGCTCGTAGTTGAAAAGGTCCCTTCCTTCTCTCCCCTCATTCATGTATGTTATTACTCAGTTAGGGAAACACTTTGTGATCCTATTTAATAGTTACCTCTAAAATTACCTCTGCCAAGCAGTTCACTATTACTGACAACACAAGGCCATTCTTAGCACCTGGTCACAGAGCAATTTCAGTGACAGTTCCTACATGAAAACTTAGTGAATCTCAGGCTTTTACTGATGTTATCTTACTCTTACCCACTAGGCATGAGCTGGGAAAGAAATTCAGAACCCTTACTTCTTACTGCTGGCTCTCTCTTTCAAGTCTTGTCTCCAATATTTACTCCTTTAGGAGTTCTGGATATCATCTCATAAACTATAAAGGTAAATTTCTAAAGGGTTCCAAAGGAAGCCTGCCTTCAGAGTTAACAAGCCACTGTATTAGAAAAATTGTGAATTTCCTTTGTATACAACAGGATCAAACCCACCAGGTTACTTCACCCCTCAGGAGATAAGTTACTCCTGTGCATGACAGGATGACATTAACATCCACCACAGTGATGATGTGAGCACATATCAGGTCAATAGGTGCCAATAATTCTGAGATATGGATAAATTTTAATCTTCTTCCAATTCTATATTTTTTGTGAAATCTGACACAGTCCCTCTACAACTGATGGAATCAACTCCCAAATGTGGTGAACTTCGTGTCTAATTAAAGCACTCTGCAGAACTTCCCTGCGTGGGCTGAAGACTGGACCACATTCAACTGGGTTTCTGTTCAGCCTCTTTAAGAAGCAGTGGCAGCAGCTCCCCTACAAAATGATCCAGGGAAGCCACCTAAAAGGGTGGGTGATCTTCATAAATGGACAGGAAACAGAAAAGACGAATATTGGGCGGATGACAGATCCCTTAACTGGCCTTCAAGATACAAGCTGTTCTATTAAACATAGGGCCATTATGCTGGCCGGCCATCCACTTTAAACCCCAGAGTGATTAAAATGCTGGCAGGAAATGAAAGCTCTCTATTGAAGGTCCTTCCCTGAGGTCCTAATTTCAAACCAAATTTTACAGCACCGCACAGGAACAAAGGAAGCCCAGTCTTCCAAGTCTTCTTTTTGTCACTTTGGACAAAGACACCCCCTCATATTCCTCAAAGAACAATGGTCTCTGTACAGCCACAGCCACGCCAAGAATGGGCACAAACCATACAGAAACACATTTTAAAAATACATTTTACACTGCCCTTGACATTTCGGATAAATAGAAACCACTGCACTGAAATTCCAAATATTTCATCCTTTCCCTCCTCCCCTTGCCTTTATAATGAGAATTTTCCTATTCTCCCAATCTACTTGATCTTTGACATTTTGGCCTCTGTGAATGGAGGACACAGTAGAGTAGTCAAATACATTAATTATTCAGATAATTGCATTTTATTAAAATAATCACTGTAACCAAGACAATCACGATTTTCAGCAACAGAAGAGGACAGCAAGTTTGCCTACAAATCTTTTTAAATTGAAACGGCTCTAGAGTCATTCCTACTCCACAGTCCACTGTAAGCAAGCCAGGGAAAAGACGTTATCAGAACAAGATTTTTTTTTTTTTTTCACTAGCTGTTGTTTCGGGGTGGCCTTTTTTTTTTCTTCTTCTTCAGCAAAAACAGCTTTTATGTTTTTACTGAACCATTTCAGATTCACTCTTCCACACAGTGGATGTTTACTTGGATTTGGCAGGCTGAGAACAGCTGGTTGTTTGCTAACAAATGGAACATGAGACCATATGTTTCAACATTTAAGCAATTTTGAACCAACCAGAGGTATAATTCTGAGTGTCTTTTGCTGAAACTGTACATTAAATACCCAAAGGATCTGAGCTACACAAGAGATACAGGCCCTCCTTTTTTTTTTTTTTTCCTTTTTAGCACTTTTCTCTTAGCAACAAAACCACTCTACACCACTTATATCATAGACTTGCACTGCAAGTTTGCAGAGAGCACCAGCGAGCTGACAAGGGCTCTACTGCAGGGGCAGCTGTATTTTAAACAGGAAAAGACAGCTAAGCAGACCTTTTCCTTCTAATTCTGTTTGGGAACAAAATGTGTCTGAGGCTCTCTCTAGGGAGCATCAACAACATGGATACCTGCTTTCTTCATAGAAGCGTGGACCTAGTAGCTTTAAAAGAGAGTCTCTGATATTAGCATTTGGGATGACCACGTGCTTTGTTTCTCCCTCTCTCTTTTCAGAACATCCTCAAATTAAGCTGAGCTAATGAGATTCGAGTTAAACTCAAGCTGTTATGGACAAGAAATGTCCACAACAGAAGAAAAACTCTCAGTTTTTTAACGACACTTACTAGCACATTTCATTTCTTCGGTGCTTCAAGATTAATCATTAATAATGTTAGAAAATGAAACTATGGATTTAAAGTCAGGCTGAGTCAGAGCTTAGCAAGGCTTTAACAGAACATCAAGAAGAAAATTCTCTGGTCCCTGGGAGGAGAAGAGTCCCGCTTTAGACAAAATGAAACACAGTGAAAAGTCAAATATATGAGTAGACAATACAATAACTAAAATACCAAGCCCAGGAAAGTGGAATAGGAAGTTACTAGTCTCTGGAAAGTTCATGAAACCTTCCCATCCTGAATTTAGATTTGAAATACTAAGTAGAAATCAATAAATTTTTTATAAGCCACTTTCTAAAATATTAAATAAGTTACTAAGATATAATAAAAAAGGGTATGTGATCAACATTATCTCCTAAGTTTTTTGTTATTTCCATATAAAAGACTAATAGTAATTTTCCCCTCTAATTCTATTTAAAAGCAAGAATCTGACTGAGAATTTTGCAAAGCCAATGTTTTTAGCCATGTTACTAATAAGATCTCAGCAAAAACAGAAAAATTATTCCTACCCACCACTTCTCACTAAGCAACACACAAATATATATGTACCTTATTTCTCTTAGTTTAAATCTCACAACTCTAAGAAAACTGAAAAATGGGCACTCTGTGAGCATATTTCTTTGAGCCATGTAAGAGGGCGGATTTTCTCCTCTGGATTCTAAAGCAACATAGAAATTTGGGTGGGAGGCTAAGAAGCAGATATATTCAAGTTTCTAAGATGCTAACCACTGCACAAGGAAATATGTATAAAGATGTTCACTGCAGTTTTGTTTGTAAATGCAAAAAAAGTTAGACAACATCCATAGGGAAGCCATCAACTAGATGATAATACCTTCACAGAATAGAATGCCATGGGAAACAGCTTGGTGATTAGGAGCACAGCTTCAGGAGCCAGGGCATCTTGGTTTGAATCTAGTCATGCATTCACTGTCTTTGTAACCTTGGACACATTTGGGATCTTTCTTGAACTTAGTTTCCTCATCTATCAAAGAATAATAACAGTATCTGCATCCTAAAGTTATAATGAAGATTAAATGAATTAATATATATCTTCATCTAGAAATATTAATACACAGACAGTAAGAAGAACAAGACAGATGTATAAGTATCATACTTATCGACAAGAAAACGATGTCAATCACTTGTACCCATAGGCTGGAGAACAGGTGATATAGTAATATAAGGACAGAGAAGAAAAATAGGAATTTCTGTTCTTTTATGTGTGTAGCCAATAAACGTTTGAAAAACATCTCTGCTATCCTTGGCACACTGCAAGAGTTCATGTGAAGAAAACTTCGAAAAGGTGCTAAGAAAGAACAAATACTAATATTGCATCTTCAAATAAAGAGGTGCTTGAAAAATATACTCTGTTGTAGCTTACGTGTCACTTCTTCCCCTGACATATCTGTTCTTTCCAAACAAAATTATTTTGAATCCATGTAGAAATCAAATTAAAAAAAAAAACACCAAAAACCAAAAAACAAACAACAAACCATACAAAACAACTTGATTGGATCAAAGTAAAAACTGGTACATTCATAGGGGATTCCCCCTTCACAATTTTTTTTTTTTTTTTTTTTTTTTTTTTGAGACAGAGTTTCGCTCTTGTTGCCCAGGCTGAAGTGCAATGGCGAGATCTTGGCTCACGTCAACCTCTGCCTCCCAGGTTCAAGCGATTCTCCTGCTTCAGCCTCCCGAGTAGCTGAGATTACAGGTGTGCACAACCATGCCCGGCTAATTTCTGTAAGTTTAGTAGAGACGGGGGTTTCACCACGTTGATCAGGCTGGTCTCGAACTCCTGACCTCGGGTGATCCATCCGCCTTGGCCTCCCAAAGTGCTGGGATTACAGGTGTGAGCCACTGTGCTTGGTCCCCCCTCACAATTTTCTAATCTAAAAATGCAGTTTAGTTAATATTATAGTCACTCATAGTACCCAAAGGAACTACCAACATTTATGGATATATTAATATGTACAAACGAAGTTAAGTATGACCTTACTGATTTTAAAATATAAAGAAAGTGACCCTCCGCACTAAACAAGCATCTAGACATCTCTGCTTCAGAATTTGGAGAACACTGCAGACACGATGAACGCAGAATGCCTGAGGTTGCCCTGTGCATAAGGCAATGGTTCCACTGTGTTTAATTAGGGTTTTGCCAGGATTATGACTCACCCCATACATCTCAATCTGTCCAGGATTCACTTATTCATTCATCCACTCAAGAAACATTTAGCAAGTGCCTATAACTAGAGTGCAAGAAACAGAGGGGCCTATACAAACTTTCACTGGCTACGACTTGTGTTCTCCATATAAATGAAAAAAACCTACAGACGTAAAAGAAAACCAGAAGTGAGGAGTGTGCTTATTACTCATCTCAGTTGACTCTTCAGTTGGGAAAAAAGTTCAAATTCTACTGGTCTGATGGGTACAGATCACTGAAAGAGCTTTGGGGACATAAATTATCTTCCTAACTAAGCAAAAGGGCTGTCTTTTTGGTTGTGTTTGCCTTATCTTTTGCTCCCGAAACAGTTTCACACCCTAAGAATACAATGACTATTCACCTATTCAGTCCTTGCCTGGCAAAACTAGGTACACTCTGCGGCTCCTACAAAGCTTCAGAAACTTTAAATTAGCCATTTTAAGACTAAATAGAGTGGGAAAAGCATGCTGGGCAAGAGTCTAAGGAACATAAAAGAAGCATATCCTCTGATGAGGAGCCCTTTCTCCTGCTCTGCTTCACTCCAGACCAACGGCAGGGTTAGGAGGCGCTACAGCATGTGGTAGCAATCACACAGACCAATTTGTTCTGAGTATGTCAAGGTCAATGACATTATGGCTGAGGAGACTGTCTTGAGTCCTGGAAGTCTGCAATAGTTCCTGAATGTCACACAGGATCACCTAAGGTGTTTGTTTGCCATTTCCTTGATATTAGCTCTCTCAACAGCTATCTTTCTTGTAGAATTAGAAGTATGCAGAAATGAAAATACCTCATTCTGGTGGTCTTCTGTTGGTCAACAAATAAATGGTACTGATGTTGACAATGTGGGAGGCCCACCAGGAAGTCCAGCTGTATATGCTGAAATGTAACCAGTTTTCCTTCCTAAAACATATTTTATCAGTAAACTATTCTCTGGCTGTATCCAATTTAGGATATATTCTGTCTGTTCTGGCTCTAGAAGACAGAAAAGGAGGAAAATAAATAATGCCTTTTTTTTTCTTTCAGTTTCAACCTTTTTTTCATAGGTAGAAATGAGAAAAATAATACTTCTTACTTAGTGTGGACCAAAAGTTAGCTTTTGATTGCAGATGGAATCGGCCTCCCTAAATTTTTATCCTGTCATTCTTTAATTTTTTTTGAGACAAGGTCTCACTCTGGCACAATCATGGCTCACTGCAGCCTCAACCTCTCTGGGCTCAGGTGATCCTTCCACTTCAGCCTCCTGAGTAGCTGGGACTACAGGTATGTGCCGCCACGCCAGGCTAATTTCTATATTTTTTGTTGAGAAGGTGTTTTGCCCTGTTGCCCAGGCTGGTCTCGAACTCCTGGCCTCAACTGATCTGCGTGCCTCAGCCTCCTAAAGTGCTTGGATTACAGACATGAGCCACCATGCCAGGCCAATTCTTTAATTTTTTGTCGAGTTTTTCTAAATGCTTATTAATAAGTTCCAAGGCAGTTTTTCATTCTCCGCCAAGGTAAAGACTGAGCAATTAATGGGAATGAGATTTAAAGAAAAACGAAAACAAAAAAACCCTGGTACTGTGTTTTCAGAGGCAATTATATTCTAGAAATATTTAATAAAGGGGCTATAAATTCTGTTTTTAAGAAAGTTACAATGATGAAGCAACAACACATTTTGTTATTTTTAACATGGGTATTTCAGCTTAAAAAATATTCCACTCAATGTTTCCCAAATTCAATTTTTCACATAATGCGCAGTCAAATATGAATGTGGGAAAAAAAGACAAATCCAAACATAGAATATTATTTTCAAAAAATAGTGAACTAAATGTAAAGGTCCCGTAAAATGTGATATCTAGAATCTTCTGAACTCGTTCACATGACCTTCATTCTATTTATAGAAATGCAGCAATTCCCATTTGAATACAGAGCAATACCTTGTAGGAGAATTTGGTTTAGCACAAATAAACTTGAGAAAAGTGTTGACTTAAAAATAAAACACTGAAAGAGGAGGGAGAGTTTCTCTCCCTCTGTGAAAATTTCCGGAAAAGTTGTAAACAAAGGCAGGTTTGGCTCAGAGACTGAGTGACTCTGGTGAGCTGAGGAGGATGAAGAGTGTATCAAACCTCCCAGAGCGAGGAAACATTTGTAAAACAGTTAGTAAATCACAGGCGGCTAGGGTCACCAGGCTGAACAACCCGAGGACAGGCTGCCAAAACCCCAGCTGTGAAAGAAGGGGGCCGGGCACTGCCTCCCAGCTTGAACCCCATTTTGAATGATCTCTTGGTTCCATTCTCTGCCCTTTGCCTCTGTCACTTCAGAGCTCTGATAGCAATGCAGTTAATTAGCTCTGGGGCAGGGGCAGTGCTGACTGTCCCAACTGAGTGCCAAGGAGAGGACACTCGTATACTGAAAACATTCTCTGCAGAGTGACACTGATTGAGCTTTTGGTCTCGGGGACAAGGCTGAAAGTTCCAGCTGGGAAGAAAGAATCACACTCAACCTGAAACAAAAAAATGGTTACAAAGATGAACGGAAGGCAAAATATGTAGCTCAAAGTTTCCACGAATTTAAAAATATCAAGTGTTTTTTGATCACTTTTCTCCCTAACTAGTCTGTAATACATCTGTTGTTCTTTTCCTGATTTTACAGAAATGGCAATGTGGAAACTGTTAAGTTCTTCATAAACTATCTTTTTGGTTCCCCTCTTATCCCCCAGAAATCAGGAAGACAAAATAAAAATTGTAATGAAGCCCAGGCGCGGTGGCTCACACCTGTGATACCAGCACTTTGGGAGGCCGAGGTGAGCAGATCACAAGGTCAGGAGTTTGAAACCAGCCTGACCAACATGGCGAAACCCTGTTTCTACTAATAATACAAAAATTAGCCAGGTGTGGTGTCGGGCACCTGTAATCCCAGCAACTCGGGAGGCTGAGGCAGGAGAATCATTTGAACCCAGGAAGTAGAGGCTGCAGTGAGCCAAGATCGTGCCATTGTACTCCAGCCTGAGTGACAAGAGTGAAACTGTCTCGAAAAAAAGAAGAATAAAAGAGAAGTCTTGAAATTGTGAGGGGAAAAAACTATTCCCTTTTAGATCTAGGAGCTACACATAAATAAATAAAATTTAATGTAACTTAAATAATTTTTTTGAAGAGAGAGCTAGTGCACAGTAAACTTCTTCAGCAACCACACAAAATTTAATATTAGCCCTAATTCACAGCAGAGGAAGACTACTTTCATCACTGCGCTGATACTACAACCTGTCTAGAAAAAATTCAGTACCTTGATTACCTACATTAAAATAGGGCAAATACATAAGGGGAATCTTTACTTAATTGACTTAATCTATGAGATATTTAGGCTATTTATTTCTACGATTGACTCATCATCTTTTTTCTTTTGAAAACTCAGACCATCTGAGAACAACAAGACATGCTTTTGAGTTGTTTTTCTGAGTCAGATATACTCTTAGCTCATCTCATATTCTTCTGACAATGGCAGGCTAATGGTGATGCCATTTAATTCTCAGCTTTTCTTTGTAAAATATTAACTTGGCCTATTCTGAGATCAAACAAGATTTTGGGCTCAAAGGCATCATATTCTAACCAATGGAGTAGTTAGCCCAGACAGCTCCTTTAGAAGAAACACAAGTAAAATAAGAAGAAAAGTAAACTCGACCATTAAAAATTAAATAAGTAATATTTTAAAAAAAAAAGAAAATGAGGAGGGGAAAAAGGAAAGTAAACTCTTTGTTGAGAGTGTTAAGGCTTCAAGGGAGTTAAGAAAAGCATGGGCATTGAAGCCAGATCTTGGGTTAAAATCCTCATCCCAACCTTATTCGCTGTGATAGATTGCGCAAATCGTTTCAGATCTCATCAGTTTCCTCATCCGCAAAATGGGGAGAAAAATCACCACCTTTTTGGGTGCCTGTAGTCCCAGCTACTCAGGAGGCTGAGGCAGGAGAACGGCGTGAACCCGGGAGGCAGAGCTTGTAGTGAGCTGAGATCACACCACTGCACTCCAACCTGGGAGACAGAGCGAGACTCCATCTCTTTAAAAAAAAAAAAAAAAAAATCACCACCTTTCTGAAAGTACCTGGAATAGTGTCTGGCACATAAAAATTACAAAAAAAAAAAAAAAAAAAAAAAGAGGCCGGGCACAGTGGCTCACACCTGTAATCCCAGCACTTTGGGAGGCTGAGGTGGGAGGATCACGAGGTCAGGAGTTTGAGACCAGCTTCATCAACATGGTGAAACCCGGTCTCTACTAAAAATAACAAAAACTAGCCGAGCGTGGTGTCACATTCCCGTAATCCCAGCTACTTAGTAGGCTGAGGCAGGAGAATCACTTGAACCCGGGAGGCGGAGGTTGCAGTGAGCCGAGATTGCGCCACTGCACTGCAGCCTGGGCGACAGAGCGAGACCCTGTCTCAAAAAAAAAAAAAAAAAGTTAGTTTCCTTTCCCTTACCTTTCTCCCTCACTGGAAAGTACAGAAAAGGCTTTTTTAAAAGCCCATGGATTTTTCAGATTGAACGTGGAACGTACTTCACGAAGGGGGTCATGGTACCCTCTCTCACCATTAACCACAACCTGAGCAAACTCGCTAGGGCTTCCAGTCTCTCACCTCCTCCAGCACCACATTTGTTATAGTCTAAGCCAGAAGGACTCTTTCAGCCTCAAAGAAGAGAGTGTATCCCCCAAAATAAATGAACATGACTCAAACTTTGGATATTTAGCTATTTAAACATGTTGCTCACAGCTCATGTTCCCAGCTTAAGGAATTCCTCTTGGATCCTTTTTCCAGTGGCAATGGATGGTTTCCACATTACATTCTTTGCCCGCTTATGCAGCTGGCAAGCCTGATAAAATCAAAACAAATTCACAACAAATACACACATAAACACACACACTTCAGTGCTCTTGTGAGTCAGGCAAGTGGGTGATTTCCATGAGATGGAAGTATGATTACTGTCTGCAGGCCTCCTCATTCGTTCTGACTTTGCCTCTAGCAGATACCTGCGAATGCCAGGTAGTCTGCATTTAAGGAGAAATATTCCTGTCATTGTTTGGTTTTAGGTTCGGGTTAAAATGTATTTATTTCAACATTATCTTAATGTTTTAAAAGAGACCTCCTAATTTTTATGGAATGAAAAGACAACTGTATGACCTATAATTCTTTTTTTTTTTATATATACTATTTGTCCTTTCTTGCTCTGTCTGGTAAATGGGTAAACAGTGCTTTCTGAGTATGAATTAAAAATAAACACCTGTCCTGACTCAGGGCTGCTAACTTGGCTTTAAAATCCTATGAGGGTTTTTATTATTTCTAATGGAGACTGTTTGGATGAGGCAGGAAAGAGGAAAGGTAGCCCATCAAAAAAGTACATTTTCCAATTCTATTTGGAATTTCAGTACAATACTTGATTATTAGGCTCAAACAGGTTAACTGTACCTGATCCTATGGGTGTGGCAAAGAAACAAAATCCAAATTTTGGCTGAAACAGAAGCAAGATAATAGTAAAAAGATACTAATATAATAAGAGAGCCAGCCAAACAGCTGAGGATACCTCACTACCACCCGCATTGATAATCAAAAGAAATACGCTCTAGTCCTAATGCCTCTTCAGTAGGAATGTTTCGGAGGCTGAACGATCAGGATCCAGGAGGCTAACATTCCACACCAGCTCGGTCATTGATTTACCATACGGCCTTCGGCAAGCCGAGGGCCCTTTCTGAAGCTCAGGTTCCTTTATTATGAAATAAGAATAATAATCTCTCCTTTACCAAGTTGCTATGGCTATAAAATAATAAATAATGCTTTGTCAATAGTAAGTGCCAAATTGATGTTAGTTGTCACTATTATCAAACAGTGTACTGCCCAGTAAGGCAAGAATAATAAGCTAACTAACTAATTGTATTAATATTAATCTCCTTCTCATTCGCTCAGACCACTCTGACTCCTTCTGATGTCTCAAGCAAGCTGCCTTTGGGACCTGAATAAAAACTTTATCACTAAGTCAACAGTAAGTTCTAAGTTGGTTTTGTTTTGTTTTTTATAAAGAGGATAAGAAATGAAGGGGGGCAACTTCAAACTGGCTTAGACAGGATGCTGTAGTTTTGCTAAATTTTTCCCAAGCATGTTTCTATTTAAAATCATCTTTTTGGATTATTCTGGAAGAAAGGGTAACTTATCTCATCCAAAATTGGTGTTTCCAATTTCCTTATATAACAAGGCTTGAATGTTGTGGAGGAAGTAGGCAAAAACTAAAGAACCAAGAAAGATCAAAAAGCAAGAGACCTATAACCCGTAAGGTTAAGAGGTTATGACCCTAGGGCCCTGCAGTAAGGTGGATGTCTAGAAAGACATTTTCAGGTAGTTTTAAGCAAACTAACTTTACCGGGCTTTTGGAAAAGGGATAGAGATAGGATCTATTGCTGAGGACAACATTCCTGGCATGAATACGCTTACAAAGATCATAGGGATCCTATCAAAATTAAGCTGTCACTGCTGTTTGAGAAGGGAACTATGGTATTAGTAATTCATTACCCTTTGTGTTCACTGTTCAAAGTTAACATTGTCCACCTTGCAAGTATTTCTTGAATAACTTGTTCATCACAGTTATTATCCCAGTTCTAACCTTTCACAAGGTGCAGTCAGGGCACAAATTAGAAGGGAAAAAAATATGTGATTAGATAATAAAAATGAATCACATACACCTAAACAATGGTGTCACATTCTAAATTTGGTTGTGATAGCTACTATTTGCCTTTAAACTAGGGGAGGTAATTTGTAGTCAGTATGATGTCGAGTTGTCTTTACTGTAACACCATGCACTAGGTGCCCACCTGTGTTTTTCTAATGTTTGACAGGGAAGCAGTTGTAGCTGTGGCAGTGTAGAGAGGAAAGAGTAAGGCTGGCTGGCAGCATATACATTCTACACAACAGAACAGATAAAAACATGCATTTTGTGGTTCTACATGGTATACAGTAGACAGCTAAAAAGAGGGAGAAGAAATAGAAGGAAGAAATTTCTTCCTGGCATATCCCAGTAAGACCACAAATGTATTAAGGATTGGAAAAGGTTAAAAAATATAAAACAAAGATACAAGAATTGCTTTAACTAAGCTCAGGAAGGACAGACTCTACTGGACACTTTTTTTCCAGGATAGAGAAATGTTGGTTTCATTTATATATTTCTAGTAATCAGAGTATGGTAAGATATATTAAAAGTTTTGGAGCTTGTAAACATATATTAAAGGCATTCATCATCAAGGAACAATCAGTGATTTCTAAGTATCATTATCTTAAAAGCTTTAGAAACATGTACCTTTCAAACTTCCAATTACGTTAAACCAATCCACATCAATCTAAGAAAACATTTGGACTCTAAGAGTCAGGAAATTAAACCGTTAGTTCTAAAATTCCGAGGACACCTCTAAGCCTCTGTCTCATTTTTACACTTAAGGTTTGAAGATAAATGCTAAGAAAGTGTTTGAGACTAACTGAACAGTGTATTCAAATCAAACAGATTAACTAAAAGTAAATGCACAGAAGCTAAAAATGGGTCAGAATCAAAGACCGCAGGAATAGCAATAACAATGTGTCAAAAACATGTTTGTCTACTTTCACCTTCTTGCAAAACTTAACTGATCTATTGTGTAAATTAAGGTAATGGCCCTTCCCCCCAAAAGTTTTAGTATAAAATTGTTGTAGCTATTATAGAAGAAAATACTTAAATTAATGAATTATTTGAAAATCAACATATCGGGCTGGGCACAGTGGCTCAGGCCTGTAATCCCAGCACTTTGGGAGTCCGAGGCGGGTGGATCACGAGGTCAGGAGATCGAGAACATCCTGGCTAACACGGTGAAACCCCATCTCTACTAAAAATGCAAAAAATTAGCTGGGTGTGGTGGCTGGCGCCTGTAGTCCCAGCTACTTGGGAGGCTGAGGCAGGAGAATGGCATGAACCTGGGAGGTGGAGCTTGCAGTAAGCTGAGATTGGGCCACTGCACTCCAGCCTGGGGGACAGAGTGAGACTCCGTCTCAAAAAAAAAAAAAGAAAAAAAAAAAACATATCTTGCACTTTATCTTAATCGCATATCAGCAAACATCCACTAAGTACTCATATGTGCCAGACTCAGTGGATATAAACATGAAGATGACCTACTTTTCTTGCCCCCAACAAGCTTAAAATCTAATATTCATTACTATATAGATAGATGGGATAGACTTTCAGAGCCAACACCTAACACACTCATCTTATTACTTATCTATGGAAATGACCAAAACCACATCTAGAAGTCATGAGAATTTCTAATAAAGTGTTGATGCTTGAGAAACATTTGTTTTGATACTATAGGGCCACAGAACAAAGTGGGAAATTTACTTTATACAATTACACAGTAAATCTGAGTGTTTGAGGGATCAGCAGATAGCTTTGATAATTCAGGTCTCCCGAGGGTCTTTATCCAGACTGGCTTGGCACTATTCTTTCTCAGTATAGGGTCCTCTGTGTGTATATAGTTGGAAGATGTATACCTGATTGAGGGGTCCACAGCATCCTCCCTGTGCACATTCTAACTTTCTGATCTTTACTACTCATTAGAGGAGGTATCTGAGATGATCACTACAGTTCCTTCTAGTTTTGACATTCCACGAGTAAGGCTAAATGTTTGTTTCAGGCAGATCATTACAAGAAGGAAAATGCATTACCTAACTTCTATGTCAAAGCAGAAGATTCTCTAAGACAATGCCTCAATGTTGGCAAAAGAGCCTAATTTATATATCTTTATGGATTCTGATATCATGAGCTCATCCTACACCTATAAATGTATTCATTATGTAAGCTTTTCCTTAAGCAAACGTAAGACTGGAGAGGAAGAAAGTGCTGCTTGCCATTCAATTTGGCTTCAGCAGAACTCTCCATTATTAGGAAGAAGCGGCCCTTTTCTAGATAATGAGAACAAATTTTTTCTTCATCACTGTGGTGTCTTTTATTTTACTATGTCACTCTTGGAAGAGTTTGAAAGTCATATACTCTTCACCTTTGCCTCTTGAAGCATCAACAGGTTACAAAAATAATACTTTGCCTCATGGTATGCAACCTTAAGGTGAACCCAGGAAAACGGTATTTGTTATTCTGTTGGATATATTAGATGTGCAATAACGATGTATTATGAAGTAAATCAAATTACAAAAATGAACCCTATCCCTTGGATAAAATTCTGGGAGTGAGCCAACACCACAATTATTATCTTCTCTAGCATTGAATGTTCTACATAAGTGTTTGGGAGATGTAAACAGGACATAAATCTGAGACCGGTTCTTCAATCTCTCTACAAATAACCATGACATTATATATAAACTATACTTTAGAGCATATATGCTTTCTGTTTCAGCAGTTAAAATGTGTATTAGACCCTATGATAAACAGAAAAAACGGAGCATGAATGCCGATAAATGC
This sequence comes from Homo sapiens, assembly GCF_000001405.40. Classification (NCBI taxonomy): domain Eukaryota; kingdom Metazoa; phylum Chordata; class Mammalia; order Primates; family Hominidae; genus Homo; species Homo sapiens. The sequence continues at coordinate 61,196,740 of NC_000017.11, read as the reverse complement.
AAGCCTTCCGTCTCAGAAAGTCTTCACTTATTTGATTAAGTTAGGTGAAAAGCAGAGCAGTCATGCTTGTAGGCTTTCTTCCTTTTCCCTTTCCTCTCCTCTTTTCATTTCTAATTCGAATCGGAAGTCTATGTGGAGCAGTCTGGCTAGCCCCAGTCTAACCTCCCCATCTGGAAGGGGACTAACCAGCCTTGGGGCTACTTCCAACCCTTCCCAGCTGTTGGGTTGGGGTTTTTTGTTTTTGTGGGCTTGAGAAAGCATATTTATATAAATGATTGCCATATCCTTTGCCAGCTGTTGACCCTGTTCTTGTCCCGGCTGGGGCATGGTTTTCATTTTTAGCGGCCACAGACTGGAAATGACCCTGATAGAGTTAGCACGCTATGCAAACAGCTTTACGCGCTATTGCTGTGACAGTTCAGACAATGGATGCACAGTGTAATCCAAGGGACCGGTGTTTCCCTTTGGGCAAATGTCACAGAATCCAGAGCTGGAAGTATCAGTTGAAAAAATAAATTCTGAGATTCACTGTGTTACGGAATAACGTCTCTCTAGTAGTTCAGACTACACTGATTTCAGATAGGGTCAGAGCAAGAATTTAGAGCAGCAACAAATGAGGCTTGAATAAACCTCAGAAGTTGTCTAGATAGATCTGCAAAGGCGACTGTGGTCTCCAAAGTTAGATGAGAGGTAAAAACAAGCTATATTTTCAGTTTTAAAACTACCTACATATGCTTCTGACATCAATGTCCATAAATAAAAATTCTAGATCCTTATACTTTAACAGCACAAAAAGATAAAAATCAGTTTGGACTTTTCATCTTTACTACAGTCTACAAACAATCATTCCCAAAGATAGCCAGTCAGATCATTCTTTATGATCATTACCAACCAGAATAAACCTATGTTTAATCTGTGCATAACTGTAGTCACAATTAACTGGAAAGTTTATAAATAAGTCTCAGCTACTTGGGAGGCTGAGGTGAGAGGATAGCTTTCAGTCTAGGAGTCTGAGTCCAGCCTGAGAAAGAGAGAGAAATTCCATCTTTAAAAAACGAGGGGGGCCGGGTGCGGTGGCTCACACCTTTGTAATCCCAGCACTTTGGGAAGCCAAGGTGGGCGGATCACTTGAGCACAGGAGTTTGAGACCAGCCTGGGCAACATGGCAAAACCCTGTCTCTACAAAAAAAAAAAAAAGAAAGAAAAAGAAAAGTTTAGCAGGGCATGGTGGCTCATGCCTACAGTCCCAGCTACTTGGGAGGCTGAGGTAGGAGGATCACCTGAGCCCAGGAGGTTGAGGCTGCAGTGAGCCATGATTGCACCATTGCACACCAGCCTAGACAACAGAATGAGACCTTGTCTGGGAAAATAAAAGGAAATAGGGAGAGTACGGCTGGTGGAGAGATGCACAGTGTTTGGTGGAAAGAGTATAAATATCCCATTAAGGATGATTTATCCTGGACAACCAATATTTCATCTGCGGTTAAATGAGAAGAGAATGAACAGCCAATTTTTACAGCTTTCACATACTGTATCCAGTCCTTCTGGGCATAAGCACAATTGGTATATGTAAAGAATAAAGAAATGTAGTTAAAAATAAATTGTTAATGCTTAAAGTGACACATCTACCTGAACATTTGTAATAAGTGATCATTTACAGGACACTTCAGTCATTGCAACAGATCGACAGAGTCTTAACTGTGAAAGCTCCATGAGAGCTTGTCAGAAAGAAGGCAGTATTAGGCTCTCCTTCATTCTCTTCAAGCCTGCAGGCTGGCTGGCTATGGTGGATGGAGACTGCCATATGTAACTGTAATTAAAATGTGAACCACATCTTAGGGGTCAGAATAGAAGAACTGACAAATAGGGGAGCTGGAGATGGAAAGTGAAGATATTTCCTAATATAGGCATTTTCAGTCTTTGAAAAACAATCCAAAAGGAAATTTAGCCTATGAATCTAAGAGTCACATAGTTAGTATATCTTTTTTTTTTTTTTTTTTGAGACAGAGTCTTGCTCTTGTTGCCCAGGCAGGAGTGCAATGGCACAATCTCGGCTCACTGCAACCTCTGCCTCTCAGGTTTAAGTGATTCTCCTGCCTCAGCCTTCTGAGTAGCTGGGATTACAGTTGCCCACCACCACACCTGACTAATTTGTGTATGTTTTAGTAGAGACAGGGTTTCACCATATTGGCCAGGCTGGTCTCGAACTCCCGACCTCAGGTGATCCACCCGCCTTGGCCTCCCAAAGTGCTAGATTACAGGAGTGAGCCACTGCGCCCGGCTTAGTTAGTATATCTTTATGACTCCTCACAAGCTTGAGGGCTAGAATTGCTTTAAAGGCAGCTCATAATTTCAGTCAGCTTTCACTTGCTGGGGGAATTAACTGATGTGATTTGGAAGCCTCTCTGAACTCGGGTTAACCAATGACAAAGTCTGTGACATTACAAGGCCATGTTTTCTTTCTCTGTCTCGCATTTGTAATAGTGAGGAAAGAATGAAGCCATTTGTTGCTTACAGCAGAATCTGACTTAAAATTTGACACCACTAATACGAGCTAATAGCACAATCTGCAGATTCCCCTCCTCTCCCCTCCCCTCCCTGCCTTTCCTTTCTTTTCTTTTTCTGAGACAGGGTCTCGCTCTGTCACCCAGGCTGGAGTGCAGTGGCACGATCTTGGCTCACTGCAACCTGTGCCTCCTGGGTTCAAGTGACTCTCCTGCCTCAGCCTCCCAAATAGCTGGGATTACAGGTGCCCACCACCAGGCCCGGCAAATTTTTGTGTTTTTAGTATAGACGGGGTTTCGTGATGTTGGCCAGGCTGGTCTCCAACTCCTGACCTCAAGCAATCCGCCCACTTCAGCCTCCCAAAGTGCTGGGATTACAGGTGTGAGCCACCACGCCCGGCTTGTACTTTTTTTATAAGCAGAATATGACTAGGTTTTCAAAAATTCAATCTTTTTTTTTTTTTTTTTTTTTTTTTTTTGAGATGGAGTTTCGCTCTTGTTGCCCAGGCTGGAGTGCAATGGCACGATCTCGGCTCACAGCAACCTCCACCTCCCGGGTTCAAGCCATTCTCCTGCCTCAGCCTCCAGAGTAGCTGGGATTACAGGCATGCGCCACGACACCCAGCTAATTTTGTATTTTTAGTAGAGACGGAGTTTCTTCATGTTGGTCAGACTGGTCTCAAACTCCGGACCTCAGGTGATCCACCCATCTCGGCCTCCCAAAGTGCTGGGATTACAGGCGTGAGCCACCGCACCTGGCCAAAAATTCAGTCTTATATCCCCTGTCATTGAAGTTTGATTATTGACATATTGGGGCTTATTTCTACTATCTTATTTTGTATGATCTGTTCTTTCCCGCCTTGTATTGCACTGACAGTTTTCTATAGTAATTTTTTCTCTATATGTTTGGAAGCTATAGATTATATTTCTATTATGGTTTGTCCTTAAATTTTTATTTATTTATTTATTGTTTTTGAAACAGAGTCTCCCTCTGTCACCCAGGCTGGAGTGCAGTGCCATGATCTCGGCTCACTGCAACCTCTACCTTCTGGGTTCAAGTGATTCTCTTGCCTCAGCCTCCTGACTAGCTGGGATTACAGGCATGTGCCACCACACCCAGCTAATTTTTGTATTTTTAGTAGAGAAGGGGTTTTGCCACGTTGGCCAGCGTGGTCTTGAATTCCTGAGCTCAGGTGATCCGCCTGCCTCAACCTCCCAAAGTGCTGGGATTATAGGCATGAGCCACAGTGCCCCGCAGTGTCCTTAAATTTTTATACCATAGTTTTTTCTGGGCTACTCAGTATCTCAATATTTGTCTTGAATATGCTTTAATTGCCAGCGAACAACTCCACATCATTCTTGTCATTACTGTCTGAGGTTTTCATTCCATGTAAGTAAATTATAATATGAAAGGTATTGCTATTCTATTATCATTATAAAATTCAAAGTTAACTACCATCATAATTCTGAATCTTACATATCACTCCTACCTCTACATTTATATTTTGTTGGTGAAGCACATTTTTAAAGGATTTTCTTTTTCAACAAAAGCATGACAGTGGTAAACTGCCACTGTGTAAAAGTATTGAATTTTAGCTGGGTATAGAACTGTAAAATTAAAAATAATATCTTTTTTATCAGCTCAGCACTCTGGTATATTACTCCATTGCCTTCTGGCATCTATTGTCACCAAATTACAAGTCTATCATCAACCTAATTTTCACATTTATGTAGAAAAGATGTCTTTTCTCTCAGCTAGCCTTTTAAAAATCAATGGTCTTCAATTACACTACAACGTACATAGATACAAATTTATTTTTATTTACTCTGCTCAACACTCAAGTTATACTTTCAATCTGAGGTCTACAATTCTGGAAGATTCTTGGTAGTTATTATGTGAACATTGCTTCTCCCTATCATATTATTTTGGAACTCTTATTATATAAATGTTGACGTTTCTAAACTCTATGTTTCTTTTTTTTTTTTTTTTGGTAACAGAGCCTTGCTCTGTCGCCCAGGCTGGAGTGCAGTGGTGCAATCTCGGCTCACTGCAACTTCTGCCTCCTGGGTTCAAGTGATTCTCATGCCTCAGCCTCCTGAGTAGCTGGGATTACAGGCACCCACCACCACGCCCAGCTAATTTTTGTAAGTTTTAGTAGAGATAGGGTTTCACCATTTTGGCCAGGCTGGTGTCAAACTCCTGACCTCAGGTGATCCACCCGCCTCGGCCTCCCAAAGTGCTGGGATTACAGGTGTGAGCCTCCATGCCCGGACTCTAAACTGTATGTTTCTCAACTAACTAATCTTTCACATTTTTCTACCTATGTGCTTCTTTCTGAGCGAACTACTGTTCAAATATACAGTCTAAAATTGTTACTGAGTTACATTTCAATGTCTATTATTTTACTGCTGATATTTTGAAGTAATTTTTCTTTTCTTTTCTTTTCTTTTCTTTTTTTTTTGAGACGGAGTCTCACTCTGTTGCCCAGGCTGGAGTGCAATGGTGCGATCTCGGCTCACAGCAAGCTCTGCCTCCCAGGTTCACGCCATTCTCCTGCCTCAGTCTCCCAAGTAGCTGGGACTATAGGCGCCCGTCACCACACCTGTCTAATTTTTTGTATTTTTAGTACAGACGGGGTTTCACCATGTTAGCCAGCATGGTCTCAATCTCCTGACCTCGTGATCCGCCCGCCTCGGACTCCCAAAGCACTGGGATTACAGGCGTGAGCCACCGCGCCTGGCCTTAAGTCATTATTTTTCATATCCACTTGTTCTTATCTTGCGTCGTTTCTACAAGCTTTTGCTATATAATTTCTTGTTTTGTAAAGTTATTACTTTGTCCTTTTGAGGATCTTAAATTTTTTAATTGTTTTATTATTGTCCTATCACCTGAGTGAATTTATCTCCTACTTGCTCACTTTCTAATTTGTCTTTATTCATATTAAAGTATTACTTTATGGCTTTTGTTTTGGAAACAGGGTCTCACTCTGGCACCCAGGTTGGAGTGCAGTGGTGCAATCAGAGCTCACTGTAGTCTCAACCTCCCGGGCTCAAGCAGTCCTCCCACATCAGCCTTCTGAGTAGATGTGTAATTTTTTTTTAAATTATTTTTTTGTAGAGACAGAGTCTCCTTATGTTCCCCAGGCTGATTTATTATTATTATTATTTTGACAGTGTCTTGCTCTGTCACCCAGGCTGGAGTACAGTGGTGATGCATAGCTCATTGTAACCTCAAACTCCTGGGCTCAAGCAATCATCCTGCCTCAGTCTTTTGAGTAGCTGGGACCACAGGCATATGCCATCACACCCAGCTACTTAATAAAGTTTTTTTGTAGTCCAGGCACGGTGGCTCACACCGGTAATCCAAGCACTTTGGGAGGCTGAGGTGGGTGGATCACTTGAGGTCAGGAGTTCGAGACCAGCCTGACCAACACAGTGAAACCCCATCTGTACTAAAAATACAAAATTAGCCAGGTGTGGTGGCACATGCCTATAATCCCAGCTACTTGGGAGGCTGAGGCAGGAGAATCGCTTGAACCCGGGAGTCGGTGCAGTGAGCTGAGATCACGCCATAGCACTCCAGCCTGGGCAAGAAGAGCAAAATTCCATCTCAAAAAATAAAAATAAATAAATGAAATAAAATTTTTTTGTAGAGATGAGGTCTCACTACGTAGCCCAGGCTAGTCTTTTTTTTTTTTTTTTTTTTTTTTGAGATGGAGTCTTGTTCCATAGCCCAGGCTGGAGTACAGTGTTGTGATCTCAGCTCACTGCAACCTCTGCCTCCCGGGTTCAAGCGATTCTCCTGCCTCAGCATCCACAGTAGCTGGGATTACAGGTGCACACAACTGCGCCCAGCTAATTGTTTGTATTTTCACTAGAGAAGGGGTTTCACCATGTTGGCCAGGCTGGTCTTGAACTCCGGACCTCAGGTAATCCACCCGCCTTGGCCTCCCAAAGTGCTAGGATTACAGGGGTGAGCCACCGCACCCAGCCAAGCTAGTCATTTCTATTCATTCTATAATTCGTGGTAATGTGGCTTTCCTCTTTCCTGCTCTACTCAAACTGCTCTTGCCTCTGATAATTGCTTACTGTTATAAAGCAATGACTACTTCTGTCCTCATCATTGAGAACCACTATACTATTCTATAAGGAATGACACTGCTGATTGAAGCTCACTCCCCTATGACTCCTGTTGGCACTGCACTTTTTAGGTTCTTCTTGCTTCTTTGACAGTTAATTCTGTACAAATTATCCTATGCTAGTCTGTAATATTTTGCTGATTTTCAGGGCATGTCCTTAGACCCACGATTTTTCTCACTCTGCATACTTTCCCTTTCACCTTCCATAGCTATATGTTGATAACTCCCACATTTTTACTCAGGGCCAGCTGACCTGCCTTTTGTCATCTCATAGGTGCATCAAGGTCAAATTCCTAAAAGGATTGAGCTCCTCTTTAAACCGCTTCTCTTACATTCTCTCTTCCACTTAATTAGCATAGACAGAAACCTGGGATTTATATTAAACTCTTCCCCCTTCTCCTCATGACTGATATCCAGTCACCATGCCTGACAATTTTTACTTGTAGCTATTTTTCAACTTTCTATTCCTCTCCATTCTTCTCCTTTCGATTCCATTTACCCCTGCCCTAGGTGTCAGGTCAACAGTTTAAGTGGTCTCCCTGACTTCATTTTAAATCTTTCTTCAAATCTGCTCTCTCTACAGCTCCCAAATTACATTTAAAATGCAAGTCTGACGCTGTCACTCCTCTTCTGCCTAAGACCCTTCTCCATCCTTATAGGATATAAGTCCAAGTTCCTTAACTAAAATACACACTGCTCTGGATTAATATCTTATGACTTGCCTGCTAGGACTTTATATGATGGCAAGGTCAACCTCCTTATGAGCTCTTTGAATATACCATGGCTTCTCTTGCTACTGTGCCTTCACTTATGCTTATCTTCTCTACCTAGATTGCTATTACACTTCTCCCAGGTGTACTTCTACAGAAAGCTTTCCTTAAATATTCTCCACCTTCCTCAACTCTAAGCACATAAAGGAGCATAGCAACAAAGACCATACCCTTTGAAGTGTGCTGTTCTCTCTCTCTCTCTCTTTTTTTGTTTTGTTTTGTTTTCAGGCAGGGTCTTGTTTTGTCACCCAGGCTGGAGTGTAGGGGCATAATAGCAGCTCACTGCAGCCTCAATCTCCCGGCCTCAAGCAATTCTCCTGCTTTAACCTCCCAAGTAGCTGGGACTATAGGCATGCACCATCACGCCCGGCTGATTTTTTGATGTTTTATAGAGATGAGGTCTCACTATGTTGCTCAGACTGGTCTCAACCTCCCAGGCTCCTCCCACCTCAGCCTCCCAACGTGCTGGGATTATAGGCATGAGCCACCATGCCCGGCAAGTATGCCATTCTTTACTGAATAATATGATTTGAAATCCAGTTGATTTTTAATCTGTATCTTATCATAGGTTTAACATATTTAAAATTTGTATGTATACACTTTACTTTCTTCTCCTTTATACCCATTAAGCTCGACACAGCACTCTGAGCAGTTGCCTGAAGGACCTCTCCTCGCTTGTACTTGCATCCACAGTGGACTCTATATGCTTAGCACAAGCTAAGACCTACTGCTAAGGTTTAGAGAAAAAGAAAGAGAATCACCAATAACAATAAAGTTGTTTAAAGGTAAGTAAAATATCCTAGTAATCAAATGAGCCAAGATTTAAGATAAACAACTTTGATATAAAACACCTAAAATCCACTTGCCTCCCAGACTTGTGGTCCATACCAGAATATAAACTAGGAATCGAGTGGGAACTCTCTTGTTGAAAAATTCCATGGAGAACACACTTCTTATTATACAAGCACTCTCTTTACATTTCAAAGATGACTGATGAAACTACATCATAATAGGTAATACTTTTGGCTGAAGAGAAAAGAGAAGTAGGAGGTTTCAGGTATCAGGGTACCAACTCAATAGATCCTTAAAGTTAAACAACAACAAAACTTGCTAGTTTAAGAGTTGGAGACTGTTCAATAGCGAGAATAGCAAGGAGAGATTGTTTTAGGGGTGAAGACATCCCTGAAATCCTACAATTCTGCCATGTATTTGTTTTTCCCTCAAAAGTTCAAGAGCAGAGAAAATATTAGCTGCATTTGTACACTGGAAGATGAATGTTAAAGACAGGAACATTTTTAAATTTTAGAAAAAGTTAACATTGTTTTGAGGACTAGGATGGGGGCTAGAAAGAAATCTGAATAGAAAAAAAATACCTTAATGATAAATCTAAGCAAATAAAATGCAGATTGGAAAGGAGAAATTCTTCTAAAATTGGGCAAGATTAATTTGGCATGTTATACAAATGGAGGAAATCTGTTAAAACGAAAGAAAGAAAGAAAGAAAAAAAAAACCTTAGCTGCTAATCTTAGGTTAATAGCAAATGACCCCATCCACTCTTAACCTCAAAGACTGACCTCTTGACCCACAGCCAGTGGCCCTGTTCAGACACATGTTGCCACCAGAGAAAATAAAAAGAGAACATAATGTGGTGAAATTGTTACTGCTAATGACAAGTGACACGCCCTTTATACTGCCAATGAGCAAAGTCATCAATAAATAACCCTATACATGGTTGCCAACATTTTTCTGGAATCTAGCTTTCTGTTCTGTGTTTTAAAATTCTATTTATTTATTATGAAGGTAAGGGGGTAAAACTGTCATTCTCAGCTCTAGGTGTTTTAGAAGGAAAAACTTTTAAGTATAGACTATAAACTAAGGGAAAAGCAACATGGGTAACTCTGTTGGTCATCAGTGCTACTCAATAACTCATATCCATGCTCTCTTTTACTGGCTTTGTCCACGACTAAAAGACGAATGATAAGAAAGGAGTTTCACAGACATACCAGAAATCTAGCTGAGAACACATGTCAGCAACATAAAGTCCAAAGATAGGAAACTCTAAAAGCCTCATGCTGAGAGTATTTTGAGTGAGTTCTTAAAATCTCTTAGTGAAGGGTCTATCTTGATGTCCTTGATAACACTTACAGTCTTGGTTTATGTTGGTTTGTGTTGGCAAGTTGACTCAATAAAAATAACATGTAGAAACCAATGGTACTTTAATACTCTTGAAATTTTGAATAAATAAGGGTTACTTCATTTTTTTCCCCTACTCAAATGTGTACTGCATAAAACATTTCTGGAAGAATAAAGAAACTGTTGGCTGGGCGCAGTGGCTCACGCTTGTAATCCCAGCACTTTGGGAGGCCGAGGTGGGTGGATCACGAGGTCAGGAGATCGAGACCATCCTGGCTAACACGGTGAAACCCTGTCTCTATTAAAAATACAAAAAATTAGCTGGACATGGTGGCGGGTGCCTGTACTCCCAGCTACTTGGGAGGCTGAGGCAAGAGAATGGCGTGAACCCAGGAGGTGGAGCTTGCAGTAAGCTGAGATCGTGCCACTGCACTCCAACCTGGGCGACAGAGCGAGACTCCGTCTCAAAAAAAAAAAACAACTGTTAATATTGGTGGCCTCTAAACAGAGAAACTGGGTGGCTGGGGGCAGGGAAGGGAGAAAGGATTTTTCATTATGTATCCTTTTATGTTTTGAATTTTGAACCGATTGAAAATTTAAAATAATATGAAGACAAAAATTCAAATGAACAATTAAAATAAGTTATGAGCATATTTATGACCATATTTAGAAAGCAGGAAAAAACATATTCAAGTATGAAAAAGTGGAAGCAGGCTCTGAGTTACGCAGCATAAATTGACATGTGTATACCACTGAAAACAGAGCTAAGATAAAAGGATAGATAATTGTAATAAAATCAACACACAGGTTAAAAATGTTTTCGTTAAGCAGTATACATTTATACGTATATACTAGTGAAAACAGCTAAGATATAGGGATGGATAACTAACTGTAATAAAGACAACCTTAACATATGGGTTAAAAATGGTTTTATAGAATGTGTATGAATATATAAATAAGCTATCATATCAAAGACAACCTTAACATACGGGTTAAAAATGATTTTATAGAATGTGTATGAATATATAAATAAGCTATCGTATGTTAAATAGCAATTCAAGGCACTAGAAAGAGAAGATGGACTACATTTTTCAAAGCAATTGGCTATTAGGCAAAAAAATAAAAATTATATTTCACCCTCCATCCTAATGTTACATCTCTCCTAAGGAACTATTTAGTAAATGTACGGATGAAACTAAATTCTGTGTATACAAGTGTGAATTGTGTATTTTCTTATATTTTGTATTTTCTTAGTCAGTATTTTCAACTTGAGGATAAGAGGAAAAATGAAGGCTTTCTTAGCACAAAGTTATAATTTTTAGCCAAACATGAGTATATAAAATAATCCACAATTCTCAGAGATAACATTAAACTATGTTTAACTGTATAAGGTAACCGATTTCTCACTCAAATTTTTTAATAAATGACTTCTGCATTAAAGTTGTTCAACAGTAAAAGATGCTTTGACATGCTTTTAATTGATTCGTTTTACACTCAGAGAGAGGATAACAGTGATTTGTGAAAGGATTTTTTTTTCTGTCTTGCACACATCTCTCATTTGTCCATCTTAATTCAATTAAAGGAAATAAGGACAGTTTGACCGATGAATGAACCATATTTTAACCAAGGACCCTTCTATTTAAACTGGAGTGTATCAACCACTGTAATTGTCAGTTGGTTACTTCCGATCTCTAACTTTTGTTTTGAGAGGTCACGGTATGGTCATGGAAGACAATATAGTAGAATATGGGTAAGTATTTAAACCATTAGACTAGTAGCCATTTGAAGAAAGAAAAATTTTAATTATTACTACTGTATATGGAGATAGCCCAAACCTAACAGGAGCTTTGGCTGAAGTAGAGGCTTATACATTCAAATAAAATTTTTATTTTTTTTAAGTTGGAAAAGTAGGTACAATTTTATTATTTATTTTGAGTGAGTTCTTAAAATCTCTCAGTGAAGGGTCTATCTTGAATGTCCCTGGTAACAAAGTCTTGGTTTGCATTGGCAAGTTGATTCTGGCAAGTCAACCAAAGCCTTACAGGTTTTGGTAAAGAGTTTCTGTCACTGTTGTTTTAACCAGCTTTGTAAGGGCTTTAATTTACCCTTAATTAAACTCACCCATTTTAAGTGTTGAGACTGATAAAGGTTTTTTTTTTAATGCATATAGTATGTAATCAGCACTATAATCAAGATATAGAATATTTCCATCACTCCAAAAAGTCCCCTTATCCCTCTTCAGAGTCAATTCCTTTCCCCCAACTCCTGGCCCCTGGAAATCACTGATCTGCATTCTACCTCTATAGTTCTGCTTTTTCTAGAACTTCATATAAATAGAATCACAGATGATATATTCTTTTATGTCTGTCTTTTTTCACTTAGCACAATGCTTTGAAATTCATCTGTGTTGCTACGTACTTCCTTCTTTTTATTGCTAAGTAGGGAGGTAACATGATTTGTCTGTCCCTTCGCCAGTTGATGAACATTTGGTTTGCTTTTAGTTTTTGGCTATTGCGAATGAAGCTGCAATGAACATTCACATACAATCTTTTTTTATAAACACTGATTTTCATTCTCTTGAGTAAATTCCTATTAATAGAATGATTAGATTAGATGGCAAGTGTATATTTAACTTTATAAGAAACCACCAAACTATTTTAAAAAGTGGACATACCATTTTGCATTCCCCAAAACAATGTACAGTGTAAGAGTTCTACAGTTTCTTCACATCCTCACCAGCTCTTGGTATTGTCAGTCTTTTAATTTCAGCCATTCTAGTTGTACACAGTATCATTTCCCCAATGACTAATGACAGAGCAACTCTTCATGTCTTTTTTTTGTCATTTAAAAATCTTCTGTGGTGTTTGTCCAAATGCCCACTTTTTGAGTTTTTTTCCTCATTATTGAGTTATAAGAGTTCTCTACATATTTTGCACACAATTACTTTATCAATGACAATCTATTCTCATTATTCAAGGTACTTAGGAAGTCACTATGAACACTGAATTAGTGAATACTGAAATTTTCTCTGGGAAAAACAGGGTTAGGTTCCTGCAAGACCCTGGTCACGACATTTTCCATCAACTAAAATGTCATTTATTAATATGTAACATTGGTTCATTTGCCAATGTCTCCTCAATTGAAAACAAGCCAGTCTCAACAGTGTTGAAAACCGGCTTTTCCACATAACCCTTTTCCTGTGTAACACTTAAGCTGGTACTTTAAAAATTCTTCTGCATTTGCAGACCATACCTTGCCTGAAAGTTTAATATTCTTCACAACATATTGCCTTTTGAAATGTTCAAACCAGCCAGCACTAGCTGAGAAGGGCATAACATTTTCCTGACCCTGGGTAATGTAAATTTCTTTGGCTTTCAGCCTATCAACAATTGTATCAGTCATTTTCTCATAAATTCACAAATTTAGCCACCTTTCTATCTTTTCCATAGTTTCAATCAGGCACTATAGGTACTACCCTAGCATTTTCCCAAGAAGCTTTGTACAGGTTGGTGAACTCCCTCTTTCTTTTTCTGGACATACCATATTGTAGATTCACTAACATTAAACTCACAGCAAACTGCACTATAACATTTACCTAAATAAAGCTTAGGAACAACAGATACATAGCACTTTAGCACCATGCTTAGGGGACATTTTAAACATCTTAACAAACATCATGTAGAAAAATATAACAAACATATGTTTATGAGTCCTTTGTACAATGCTTAGCTTGAGACATCATATGAATTAAAATATAGTTTAATTAAAAATATATTACATTGAATATAATTAAATAAAAATATATTTTGAACTACGGAGATAAGGGAAAATTTCTAATTTGAGACAACATGGAGTTCAAAACATGTTTGTCTAAAAACCATACTTAAGATCATGCTTTTGTTCTTATGAGCTCTTCACATCGAATTTTCCCAGAGTGGACAATTTGGTAACTGACAAACAAAATGGCAAATTTTAAAGTAATGTTTTCTTTTCTAAAAGCAAGAAACTATAGATTTTTAAATGAAGGGGAGTTTCTTCAGGAAAAACAAAAAAATTTGTTTAATGGCAAATTTTAAAAAATGATTTTCAATATTGGGAGGAAGAATAGGAGGATCCTGAAAGAAGGTTCTTCTATTAAGGAAATATTTCCTTAAACAACTTAAGAATCAGCATGGACACACAGGAGATATCAGTTCATTAAAACAAAGACAAAACAACAACTGTGTTTTCCTCTAAAACAACACTGAAAGTAACAGGGAAGTCATTCAGCACATAGCCCACAAATTCAAGTGAAGATAAAGGCAAAGAAGGCTCAGTGAAAAGGGGCCCACGGCCACAAGAACAAAGTGCTGACATAGTCCACAACACTCTACATTCGACAACATGGATGAGTCTCAAAAACATTAGGCCAGCAAGCCAGCCTCAAAAGACTACGTATTGTATGTTTCCATTTACATGACATGTCCAGAATGACAAATACATAGAGACAGAAATTAGATCAATGACTGCGTAGGGTTGGGGAGTGTGAGCTCCTATTAAGGAGCATATGGGAACACAGGGTAATAGGAATATTCTAAAACTCCGTTGTGGTGTTGGATGCATAACTCTGTAAATTTACTAAGAAATCATTAAATTGTATACTTACCATGGATGAATTGTATTGTATGTAAATTATACCTAAATAAGGCTGTTAAAATAAAAATAACCAGCAAAGAGTAGGATTAGGGAGATAAGGATAAGACAAGCTTGGTTATTTATTGATAATTATTGAAGATGGGTGATGGCTAGTGGGGTTTTTTTAAGCTATTCTTTCTCCTTCTGCCTATGTTTAAAATTTTTCAAAATAAGAAGTTAAAAAAAACCGTTATCACAAACTCATAGTCCACACTCTTCCACTACCGTTAATAAACAACTAGCTAAAAATGGTTTAGATGCCTCTCAAAAATGGTGGGATGCTTTCACAAAATTTAGAATATCTGGATACTATGAGACAGCATTTTTAATCTCAAGCATAAAGCAATGGCCACATATGGTGGCTCATGCCTACAATCCTAGCACCTTGAGAAGCCAAAGTGGGAGGATCACTTGAGGCCAGGAGTTTGAGACCAACAGGGCAAAACAGTAGGACCTCATCTCAACAAAAATTTTAAAAAATTAGCCAGGTGTAGTGGTGCACACCTGTAGTCCCAGCTACAAGGCAGGCTGAGGTGGGAAGATCCCTTGAGCCCAAGAGGTTGAGGGTGCAATGAGCTAGAATCATGACGCTGCACTCCAGCCTGGGCAGCGGAGTGAGACCGTGTCTCAAGATTAAAAAAAAAAAGAAGGAAAAAGCAAGACTTTTGGTATTAGAAATAAAATATTAAGCAACTAAAAAGTTTCCAACCTCTGCTGTCATATCATGTACTTCAACTCAAGAATAAAGGCAAACTTAGTTACAGCAGACAATGAAAAAAATCATGGTGGAGCTTCTATTTATTTTGATTTTAGAGTTGACTCTTATCATCCAGTGTATCTCTATATGTAGATGATCAGAGTAACAGAAGCAAAATATCTTCACTACATCAATTACTGTCTGCTTTCTCAGCATTTGGCAACTCAGAAAGAAACACCAATTAGTGGATATTTTCTTCAAAAGACAAAAGAAATGACCAGACTATCAAAGGGAAATGATTAAAATAGTCAAGCTCTTTGGCTGGGTTACTACACAAAAGACTGTTTCTGGGTGTATTGGTCCATAAATGGTCAAGCAAAGGTTCAAAGATAATATCACCTCCAGCAATAAATCACTTCTCAGTTCTCTGAGTGGCTATCAGAATTATTTCATGGCAACTCCATACTTTGCTCTGATCTGATTAAAATCCTACATTTAACCACTACCAGTAGGTCTTCACAGTTTCAGGCCTTAGCATGTAAGCATGGGCTTAGGCAAGGAACGAATCATCTTGTTCCTCACCAGTCATACCAATTAATTAATTAAACTGTTTGTTTGCTCTTTTGCCCAGGATGGAGTGCAGTGGTGCTATTACAGCTCAATGCAGCCTCGAGTTCCTAGGGTCAAGTGATCCTCCCAGCTCCTGAGTAGCTGAGACTACAGGCGTGTGCCACCATTCTGGGCTAATTTTTTTTTATTTTAATTTTTTGCAGAGACAGGTTCTCACTTTGTTGCCCAGGCTGGTCTCGAACTCTTGGGCTCAAGTGATCCCCCCACCCCAGCCTCCCAAAGTGCTAAGATTACAGGTGTGAGCCATCGTGCCTGACCTTAGATCCTTTTTAAATCAAACTGCTATAATCCATCAGGGACTATTCTAACTAGGGATGCAATGACAAAAGATAAGACCCTGTCCTCATGAAGCTTATATTCTATTCTCAGGCTCTACATGGTTGTCTTATTTCCCCCTCATTTCAAGTGCTACATGGCTAGGATAACTTTATTCTGTGCCTACAGCACAAAGCCTACTGCAGATAGTGCCATATGCCATCTAAGCTGCTGCTTTATGTTCCACTGTGCAGACACGAAGCATGGGACTGATGCTCCTCAGACAGGTAGCAAGCTTCTGCCATCACATGCTATCTAAGTGCCTCATTTGCTATTGGGTCCTCTGAGTTGTTTCCTCATATTTGTAGGGAACCTGTCCTTCAGGTGACCTGACGGTCAAGTCTGGATGTGCAGTCTACTACTTACCCTGAGGCAAGGGAGAATTTTCATTATTTCTTTCATATCCTCTGACAACACTGGGCCAGAATTTTAGCCAAATTATTTCTACCCAGTGGCTCCCAGTTTAACAGTACATTGGCTTAGAGTTTATTTATTACAGCTTGTTGGCTGAATAGTTTAATCTCTTATCTGTGGCCATAATCATTTTCCTGTCTTGGTTTATCTTCCAAGATTTTTTTAAGTGAAATAATACATCATTATCTGAGACTTCTCATTAGAATGAGAAAAGAATATTAGAAAGCTCTTGGGATTAATATAAAAATGTACGACAGCTTCTCTGAGCTTTTAATCGGTCCTTCATAACAAGTCCCTTACACTAATGACTTAATGATGTTTGGCAAAATGGTGCACTCAATCTGGTCTCGGACTCCAAAATATCTCAATACCAGGAATTAATTACATAGAAACTCTGTGTATGTGTCTCTAACAAAAAGTCCCAGGTCGCTACAGCTTGCAGATATATTTTTATGAAACAGCTCAGAGAATACAAAGGACTCTCCATTATAAACGACTGAATATCCTGCTGAAAGTGTCTCAAGTGAGTGCTTCTAGATGATGCCACTAGGCCTATAACAAATTGGGCTGCCAAAAAAAAAAAAAAAAAAGAGAGAGAGAGAGAAAAACAGTGATATTTTACCAGTAGTTTTCTAGTAAGGACAGACATCCCCTCCTCTCTCTGGAGTTCATAAGGTTATCCTTGTGTTAATGACCACACACAGCAGACAGATTCGGTCTTTCTGCTTTTCTTTCTTATAGAATGATTTCCCTAAAGCCAATGTTGGGCAAAATGCCACTAATACCACCATAAAGCCCCTGCAGTGCTTGAAGGGAGAGGCAAGAGATAGAGGGTTAGGAGGTAATCAAGCTTACAGATTAAGCCTTAGTAAAGCTACAAGATGAGCACAGCTCTTGGTGTTTATTAACTCTTCTAGTACTGAACACTACTCCTCCCCCACCTCATGGCACAAAACACAAAGGTCTTTTCATCAATGGGCCTCAAAGGCAGGCCTGCAAGCTCCAAGAATAGCCTGTCTACTGGGGCTTTCTTTGGTGTCCAATATAGTCAGGCAACAGTTCTTACTTTTCCACATGACGCTAAAATTATCCATGACTGCAGACAATGAAATTTTTCTATCCATGCACTGACATCTGTGAGGGCCAAGTATTGAAAGGTACTGTATTGTAGATTAAAAAAAAAAAAAAAAAGGCTTTTTCTTTGACAATAGGAGTCTGGAATAGGAAAAACTTAAAATAAGAACAAAAACAAAAATTCAATTTTAAGGGCAAAGAAAAACAAGTTTGATTAAAATTAAATAGCTGTTTCTAGCAAGACCTTCTCTACTAATCTACCTGGGTGTAAGTTTTCTAAGGATTGAGTATTTTTTTTTAATAAAAAATGCTAATGTTAGGCTGACGGCCCAATTTACCTAGCAATGCCATTTCCAGTCACTTGGTGCATTAAACTAGATCCAATAACTCCTTCCCACCTCCTGAATTCCTCAACCCAAGCCCAGGAAAACATCGTATCATTTTTTAGACTGTAATAATTAATTACAGAACTTCTGTAATAAACCGATGCTCATTACTTTGCAAAGCTCCAGCGTCTTCATATAGGGTACGTAAACTTCATTTGTTCTTTCCACATTTTGACATCTTAAAGGCTACACCCAGGGTGTTAAATTTGGGGGTACTAATTCCTGAGGAATATTTATTTGATTTTAAGCCATGAAAAATTTCCCACCTCTATTTGATAAATTATATTCCTTTACCCTCACAACTTAAAAGTTATGTCAATTACCCAGCTGAACAAAAACAATTTTATATTATACATTTGTATTGTAACATTGTTAAATGAATTAGATAACAATGACTACTGGCTTCCCAATCATAATTTGAGACAGATAAATCTGTACTTTATTGATAGCAGAAGCAGATAGCCCTAATCACTAAACACCAGCACAATCTGGTTTCTGTAGGATAATGACCCATCTCTATATTCATAACAACAATCTCATTCATCATAATTCACATTAAAAAAAGAAGAATAACTCTAGTCAAGCTAATGGAAGAAACGTGTGAAAAGTGATTGGATGGGTAAAACTCTGTATGCAGCTGGAGAGTCCTAATTGATTATATTGTGCTGCAACT
This sequence comes from Homo sapiens, assembly GCF_000001405.40. Taxonomy (NCBI): domain Eukaryota; kingdom Metazoa; phylum Chordata; class Mammalia; order Primates; family Hominidae; genus Homo; species Homo sapiens. The sequence continues at coordinate 61,178,331 of NC_000017.11, read as the reverse complement.
AAGCCTTCTGCTTGTACATCAGATCTTTATCTAACTACATTTCAATTGATTTTCACTGATAGTCTTCTTTTTTATGTCTAAGGTTTAAAGTACTAAACTAATAAAAGGATAAAAGACTTTGTAATACAGATTTCAAAATATAATGTCCAAGCAGGACGTCCATGGAATAAGAGGGCAGATTGAATGTATACAGCCCACCCAACCAGAACCTGTGAATTTTAATTTAAAATAAAGAAAGAGATTGGGATTAAAGTCTGTATTTGAAGAGTCTGAAGCAAAACACCAACTCAAACATTCAAAGATACAAGTGTCTAATTTTTTTATGATAGAATGTAGAGATGTAGGACAAAAGATTACCCATTTAGTAGCTATAGTATATAGTCTTATGTAATGTACATATTCAATGTTTAGTCCAAAATCAAAATGCCATGAATTTAGCTCTCTCATTAAATAATGATGGGTTTGGAAACAAGTCAGGTGCAACAGATAGACACTATGTAACTTCCACTTAAAAGACCTACTAAATTAATTGGTATACATAATCTCAAAATAGCACTGCTGAACAGAATATAGAATGAGGGTATAAACTTCCATCCTTGAGAATATATTTTGATAGTTTAATTGCATACACTAAGTTAGACATATCTAAAGTGCACCATTTACAAGTTTTAACATATGTATACACCCATGAAATCATCACCACAATCAAGATAATGAACATAGTGTAGTGATCACTGCCAAAGGTTAAATCATGCCCCTTTGTAATCCATCTCTCTTCCTGCCCCATTTGGATATCCAGGAAACCACTTCTTGCTTTCAGTTACCACAGATTAGTTAGCATCCTCTAGCACATTATAAAAATGAAGCCGTACAGTATGTATTCATTTGTTCTGGCTCCTTTTGCTTATTTGAGATCCACCCATATTATCGCATTTATCAAGAACTCATTCCTATTTATTGCTGAGTAGTATTCCATTTTATAGATAAATACCAATTCGTTTCTCCATTTACCTGTTAAGGGACATTGGGTTATTTCCATTTCTTGACTACTACAAGTGTATATAGCTGATACTAAACTTTCATGTACGGTTCTTATATGGACAAATGCCTTCATTTCTCTTGGTTAAATATTTAGGAATGGAATGGCTAGATCATATGATAAGTGCATGTTTAATGTTTTAAGAAACTAGCAAGGAGTTTTCCAAAACATTTGTACAATTTTCTATTTCCAAAAGCAATGTACAAGAGCTCCAGTTGCTCTATGTCCTTCCCCAAGACTAGGTATGATCAGCATTTTAAATTTTGGGATATCTAATAAGCAGGTAGTGGGATCTCATTTTTGTTTTAATTTGCAAATCTCTAAGGACTAACGGTATTAAACATTTTTGCATATGCTTCTTTGCCATCTATAGATCTTCTTTGGTGAAATCTGTTCAAATCATTTGCTCATTTTTAAAAATAAAAGATTGAGGCCAGAGTGCGGTGGCTCATGCCTATAATCCTGGCACTTTGGGAGGCTGAGGCAGGAGGATCACTGGAGCCCAGGAGTTCAAGACCTGCCTGGGCACTATACAGTGGGACCCTGTCTCTACAAAAAATTTCAAAAATTGTTGGGACATGTTGGCACATGACTGTAGTCCCAGCTACTTGGGAGGCTGAGGTGGGAGGATCACTTGAGCCTAGGAGGTGGAGGCTGCAGTGAACCATGATAGCACCAGTGCACTCCAGCCTGGGTGACACAGCAAGACCATCTCTCTAAATACATAAATAAATAAATAAATAAATAAATAAATAAATAAATAAATAGACATTACACAATTTTCAACCTGTCAGAAAAAACAAATCACTGACAATGGGGGGACAGGGCCTCAGCCTTTTGAGGGTTGGGTTCATTTTTTCTTTTACTATCAGGAAGTAAGAATAAAAATTATATCACTGAGTAAAATGAAAACAAAAATATAGGAAGAAAAAAATTTTCTGGGTAAATAGCTTTTCTGGTTTTATATCTATATATAAAGTCAGAAAAATGTATATATTAGCCATATATTAAATACATATATAATATATTAAATAACCATATACATCTTACCTTATAAATAAGGTTGACAGTTTAAAGGAAAATATTTTCTCTACATTTTAAATTTGTCCAAATTTTTTCTTTTTCTTTTTCTTTTTTTTTTTTTTTTTTTTTTTGAGATAGGGTCTTGCTCTGTCTCCCAGGCTGGAGTGCAGGGGCACAATCATGGCTCACTGCAGCCTTCCCCTCCTAGGCTTAAGCAATCCTCCCACCTCAGCCTCCGGAGTAGCTGGGACTACAAGGCACATACTGCCACACCCAGCTAATCTTCTGTTATTTTTTGTAGAGCTGGGATCTCACTCTGTTGCCCAGGCTGGATTCTAACTCCTAGACTCAAGCAACCCTTCTGCCTCAGTCTCCCAAAGTGCTAGAATTACAGGCGTGAGCCACCACACCTAGTCTCAAACTTACCTATTTTTTAATTCAGTTGTTAGCTTTCTTATTCTTGAGTTCTGAGCTTTTTATATTTATATATTCTGGATACAAGTCCTTTATCAGTTGGGTGAGCGGAAAATACTTTCTACCAATGTGTAGCTTCCGTTAATATTTTCTCCCAGTGAACCACAGTGTATTGTTGGTGGGAATGTGAATTAGCACAGCCATTATGGAAAACAGTATTGAGGTTTCCCCCAAAATTAAAAATAGAGCTATCATATAATCTAGCTGGGACAGCTTTGAAATGATTCCAAACATTCACATAATTTGCTGCATTGGTGACATATGTTTTGCTAAGATAAAAACATGGAGTATAATGCCCTTCCCCATGACAATGTTACATCACCCCTTATCAGACCACATATGTGAGTTACTGATCTCAACTACTGGACTCCAAAACACATGTAAACCCAAGAGCTTTTTTTTTTTTTCCCACTGTGTCACCCAGGCTGGAGCACAGTGACACAATCATAGCTCACTGCATCCTCAAACTCAAGTGATCCTCCTGCCTCAGTCTCCTGAGTAGCTGGGACTATGGCCATGCACCACCACACCCAGCTAATCTTTATATTTTTTACAGAGATGGGGTCTCACTAAGTTGCTCAGGTTGATCTCGAACTCCTGCCAACAAGTAATCTTCCTGCCTTGGCCTCCGAAAGTGCTGGGATTACAGGTGTGAACCACCCATGCCTGACCTAACCCCAGGACTTTGACAAGACACACTGAGACCTCAGGATGCAGCAGGACTACTCTTTGTCAGCCTTCAAGCTGTTCTCCAAAGTCTCACCTGCCAATACCTGCACCACTCACTAGTGTACAAGGACTTGTGTGGTCAAACCATCTCTCCTGAGAAGCTCCCATAGAAAAGTACATATCGAACTGTGATTAGACTTTACTTCCACTGAGGCCTGATTCTATCTTAATTGAGCTACCAGAATTCATCAATTGGACTCTAAATAAAATGGAACTCACTGTGTCTATCGAGTGTATTCCCTACAAGATTTTTTCTCATTTTCTCCCCGTTTGAGCATTGTAGGGAAGCAGGGAAGAGAATCTCTTTGTATGGTAATACACCGTGCGATTATTGAAATCATACTTTGGCCATTTCCTTATTTTAACCATACAAACCATGAGCAATCCTGAAACTGGGTATATACAGAAAGGAAAGGAAATTAGTGTGTTGAAGAGATATCTGTGCTCTCATGTTCATTACAGAACTAGTCACAGCAGCCAAGTTATGGAATCAACCAAAATGTCCATCAACAGATAAATGAAAATGTGGTACATATGCACAATGGAATACTATTCAGCCTTAAAAAAGAAGGAAATCCTGTCATTTGTGACAACATGGATGAGCTTGGAGGACATTATGCTAAGTGAAATGAACCAGGCATGTAAGGACAAATGACCTATGATCTCAATTATGTGCAGATTTGATAAACAATCAAGTTCACAGAAGCAGAGAATAGTAGAACGGTGGTTATCAGCAGCTGGGGTGAGGAAAATGGTGAGATGTAGGTCAAACGGCACAAAGTTTTAGTAAGGAGGAGTAAGTCTCTTGAGATCTGTTTGACAGAATGGTGACTACAGTTAATAATTTGCTGTTCATACAGTTAATATACTGTACATTTCAAAATTGCTGAAAGTAAATTTCAAGTGTTCTTACCACACACAAAAACAATCATGTTGTACATCACAAATATATACAATTTTTATTTGTAAATTTAAAAATATTAAACAATTTTCTTCCAGTGTGTGGCAATCCATTAATAGTATCATTAGAGGAACTGACTTTCTTGATTTTGATGATGTGCAATTTCCATTTTTAAAAATGGATTATAGTATTGGTGTTAAAATGAAGAACTAAGGTTTGTTTTTCTGTTTTTATTTAAATAATTTCCACTTTGATCTGTATTATCGTTTTTGGGTTTGTTTGTTTGAGACAGGGTCTCACTCTGTCACCTAGGCTGGAGTGCAGTGGCATGATCATAGCTCACTGTGACCTCCAACCACTGGGCTCAAGTCATCCCCCATCTCAACCTCCTGAGTGGCTAGGACTACACACCTGCACCACCATGCCCAACTAATTTTCTAAAATTGTTTTATAGAGGTGAGGTCTTCCTATGTTGCCCAAGCTGGTCTCAAACTCCTGGCCTCTAGTGATCCTTCAGCCTCAGTCTCCCAAAGCACTGGGCCATATTATATAGTTTTTTTAAGATGAGAGGTGAGGCCACTGATTTGAGACCTTTTTTTCTTTTCTAATATAGGCATTTTGTGTTATAAATTTCCCTCTAAGTACTGTTTTAGCGTGTCTCACAAATTTTGATATGTTTTAATTTTCATTTAGTTCAAAACAATTTTTTTTTTTTTGGAGACAGAGTCTTGCTTTGTCACCCAGGCTGGGGTGCAGTGGCGTGATCTCAGTTCACTGCAACCTCTGCCTCTCGGGTTCAAATGATTCTCATGCCTCAGCCTCCCAAGCAGCTGGGACTACAGGTGTGCACCACCATGCCTGGCTAATTTTTTCTATTTTTAGTAGAGATGGGATTTCAGTGTTGGCCAGGCTGGTGTCAACTCCTGGCTTCAACTGATCCTCCCGCCTTGGCCTCCCAAAGTGCTAGGAATAACAGGCATGAGCCACCGTGCCCAGCCTCAAAACAATTTCTAATTTTCCTTTTTATTTCTTAAATCCATGAGTTATTTAGATGTGCTAGGTTCCAAATATTTGGTGATTTTTCCAAATCCCTTAAGGCTACTGATTTCTAATTTAATTCCATTGTGGTCAGAAGACACTTTGTATGACTTAAATCCTATTTATTTATTTATTTATTTGAGATGGAATCTTGCTCTGTCGCCCAGGCTGGAGTGCAGTGGCGTCATCTCAGCTCACTGCAAGCTCCGCCTCCCGGGTTCACGCCATGCTCCTGCCTCAGCTTCCCAAGTAGCTGGGACTACAGGTGCCCACCGCCACGCCCGGCTAATTTTCTTTTTGTATTTTTAGTAGAGATGGGTTTCACCGTGTTAGCCAGGATTGTCTCGATCTCCGGACCTCGTGATCCGCCCGCCTTGGCCTCCCAAAGTGCTGGGATTAAAGGCATGAGCCACCGCGCCCAGCCAATCCTTTAGATTTATTGAGGCTTGCTTTAGGACTCAGAATATGAATTATTTTCATTATTATTTTTTGAGACGGAGTCTCGCTCTGTCGCCCAGGCTGGAGTGCAGTGGTGCGATCTCAGCTCACTGCAAGCTCTGCCTCCTGGGTTCACGCCCTTCTCCCTCCTCAGCCTCCCGAGTAGCTAGGACTACAGGCGCCAGCCACTAAGCCCGGCTAATTATTTTTTTGTATTTTTAGTAGAGACGGGGTTTCACCGTGTTAGCCAGGATGGTCTCGATCTCTGGACCTCGTGATCCGCCCGCCTCGGCCTCCCAAAGTGCTGGGATTAGGCGTAAGCCACCACGCCCGGCCAGAATATGAATTATTATAGTAAATAGTTTGTGTGCACTTGGAAAGAAGGTGGTTCTGCCGTTGGTAGTGTTTTTTGTTTTTCAGTAAATGTCAACTAGATTAAGTTGGTGATTAGTGTTATTCTAAATATTCTATCTCCTTCTTGCTGATTCTTTGTCTATTCTATTGAGGACTGAGAAAGAGATGTTGAATCTCCAACTATAATTGTGTGTTCACCCAATTCTACATGTAGTTCTATCAGTTTTGTTTCATGTGTTTTGAAGCTCTGTAATGAGGCAAACATTCAGAACTGATATGTTCTCTTCACGAACTGACCCCTTTGTAATTATGAAATGTTTCCTTATTCTGTGATAATATTCTTTGTTCTGAAGTCTACTTTGTCTATTAATATAGCCATTCCTGCTTTTTAAAGCTTCCTGTTTGCTGGGTATGGTGGCTCACACTGGTAATCGTAACACTTTGGAAGGCCAAGGTGAGAGAATCACTTAATTCCAGAAGTTCAAGAACAGCCCGAACAACACAGTGAGACTCCATTTCTACAAAAAAAAAAAAAAATTTTTTTTTAATTAGCAGGGCATGGTGGCACATGCCTGAAATCCCAGCTACTCAGGAGGCTGAAGCAGGAGGATGACTTGAGCCCAGGAGTTTGAGGCTGCAGTGAGCTGTAATCATGTCACTGCATATCAGCCTTGGCAACAGACGCTGTTTCAAAAAAAAAATAAAATAAAATTAGTATTAGCATAATATATCATTATTTCTATCCTTTTACTTTTGTCCTATTCATGTCTTTATATTTAGGTGAGATTTTTATGGGCAAGATGTAGGTGATTCTTGCCTTTTTTATCCAATCTTACATTTCCTGTCTTTTAATTGAGTGTTTAGACCATTTACATTCAATATGACTTTTGATATGGCCAAGTTTAAATCTACCATCTTGCTAAATGTTTTCTATTAGTTCATACATTTATTCTTTGTTCCATTTTTTTCTTTTTGGTTCCCATGTGTTGTTTTGGATCTACTGAATATTTTTAGGATGCCATTTTTATCTCATTTGTTAACTGATTAGCTACACCTATGTTACTTTAGAGGCTGCTTTAGAATGTATAGCATATATTTGTAACTTATCCAAGTCTACACATTTAGGATGTATTATATCACTTCATGTACAGTGTAAGAACCTTACAACATTTTTCTCTTTATCACTGATTATAAGCGACTTAATTAGGAGGTGCCGTGGGTCTTGCTTTTTTTTAAGCAAGGAAGGCTACAGGAATTTAGAGGAAATTTTGCCCCACTTTTGACACAAAAATCTTGTATCACTTTACCTGCAAATTATGAGATTTTCCAATCTGGCTAATGGGAACAGAAATCACTCCCAGCCCTGCATAAGCTCCAGCGAATGTTCCCTCTGATCTTTTTAAGTGGCTCTTTCCTGGGCCTTGGGTAGTTTCCCATGTGCTCAGCTGAAGGCTTGCAGGATGTCCTCTGTAGATCTCTAGAATGTTCTCTCTCCGTGTACAGCTCTTTCCTCTCGGGGACTCTGCCCTGTGAGTTCTAGCCACCTTGGCCTCCTCAACCTCCCACCTCTATCTCCTCCACTCATGAAGACTGCTGCACTCCACCTGGATTTCCCCTTCCTTCAATATGTACCAGCGACGAGCTCTGACAATTGCAGGGCTCACTTCATTTATTTCCCATCTTTCAGGGATAACTATCCTTAACTGCCTGTTACCCAATACCTTGAAAACCATTACATCGTATCGGCCAGGCGCGGTGGCTCACGCCTGTAATCCCAGCACTTTGGGAGGCCAAGGCAGGCAGATCATGAGGTCAGGAGATCAAGACCATCCTGGCTAACACGGTGAAACCTCATCTCTACTAAAACTACAAAAAATTAGCCGGGCGTGGTGGTGGGCACCCGTAGTCCCAGCCACTTGGGAGGCTGAGGCAGGAGAATGGTGTGAACCCTCGAGGTGGAGCTTGCAGTGAGCCAAGGTCGCACCACTGCACTCCAGCCTGGGCGACAGAGCGAGACTCCGTCTCAAAAAAAACCAAAAAACAAAAACAAAAACAAAAAACCATTACATCATATCATTGTTCAGTTTGTTTCAAGCAGAAGGGTAAGTCTGGTGCCTGCATTTATTGAAGGCCTTGTGTAATTCGATGTGTGGAATACCCAACTGATTAGAAAGTAAATGTTAGCCGGGCGCGGTGACTCACACCTCTAATCACAGCAGTTTGGGAGGCTTAGGTGGCAGATCACCTGAGGTCAGGAGTTCGAGACCAGCCTGGCCAACGTGGTGAAACCCCGTCTCTACTCAAAATACAAAAATCAGCCAGGCGAGGTGGCATCCATCTGTAATCCCAGCTACTCGGGAGGCTGAGGCACAAGAATTGCTTGAACCCGGGAGGTGGAAGTTGCAGTGAGCCAAGATCGCATCACTGCACTACAGCCTGGGCGACAGTGCAAGACTCTGTCTCAAAAGAAAAGAAAATAATGTTAATTATTTCATTTTCAGAAAAATCAACTCACAGAAATTGGATCAAAATCTATTTTACATGAGATAAGTAAAAATGGTCCCATATCCACAGATATTCTTGGCTTAAAAACAACCTCAATACATTATCTTATCACCACCACCACTGTCTGAAAATCAAATGGTCTTTAAAATATGTTTAACAAATGAAAAAGTATAACAATTTTTCTGACTTTCTGTTTATTTATAAAGGTTGGTGTGGAGTGCTTCTAAAGTACACTGAGGAATCCTTAAATGAAACAATTCTATCTCGGCCGGGCTCACACATGTAATCCTAGCACTTTGGGAGGCCAAGATGGGAGGATTGCATAAGGCCAGGAGTTTGAGACCAGCCTGGTCAACATAGCAAAACCCCATCTCAATTTTTTTTAAATAACAAGGAAAGAAAAGGAAAAAGAATCCTATCTCATTGCACAGCTAGGTTATCCACATACAAAAATCTCAAACCAAGTTATTCTACTTCTATGTAAAGGACTGGGCACATAAAATGTTACCTTCATTCCAGACTTCTCAAAAACTGTTAAGCTTAATATGATTTGCCATTTTGTTTCAAGTGGAATATATTAAACATCATTTAAAAGTGGGCTTAAGGGTAGCAATTTACAGTTAAAAAGAGTTTTGGTATTGTCTGAACATAAGAATGACATAGGTATTAGAACTGTTGAGAAAACATCTTTCTTAATGGTGAGACCTTAATAATATGAAATATATTCTAATGTTAAATAATGTATTGGCTGGAAGTACAGTGAGAATCCTTGTATATTGCTCCTCAAAATAAATAATGATTTTTGGATGATTCATTTAAAAGCAGGCCCCTGTCTGATCTCAGCACATGTGAGAGTATTTATCCACACTTATACCTTGAGAGGTGAGACTTTTCCATTTGTGGGCATTAGGAAACTAGGCAAAATGGTCAGAAATCAGTTTATACTACTCTAGACATTTCAGCATCCTTCTGTTACTCTAGGACACATTTGAGGTGAACATAAGTCATTCCAAAACCGTACTATATAATGATAACATAAGGTATAAGCAGTTATATTTGCAATGACTATAAGCCTTCAGAAGAAGTTAATGAACTGAGACTGACCTTGATCGCTGACTCAGATCTTGCAGCACAGGGCAGAACCTGCTCCTTCTCCCACATTTGCCAACCTTTGCTACAACAGTAATCAATTTGCTGTCTTGATCTCTCAAGCATATCATACATTTTTTGATCTACCATTAAGCCTCAAACTTGTGGCCTAATTAAATTACTAGGGAAAAACACTCTGGAATTCTAGACTTTGGCAGGAGGGAAAATTAGAGATAAATATTTGAAAAGGTGAGAAAATTATGACCTAATCTCCAGGCATTCAAAGTCCCTGTTAAAAATAAATTAGCTTTCATTTGATTGCATTTATTTTTTACACAAAATGGAGTCAGCCCATTTTGCAGGATGGTAATTCAATGCCAAATACAAAATATAGGAGAAGGGAGAAATAGAAAAGGCTCAAGGAACGAGAGAGGTCCGCATGATAGATATAAATACAGAGTTGGATCAAAGAGTCATCAAAAAGATCTTCCAGAGTGTGGGAGTTAACAGAGGGGAAATTGTGGAAGGGTAGAAAAAAAGTCTAGAGTTAGAGAAATCAAAAACATACAGAAGGAGACAGATGGGAAAAAAGAAAAGTCAAACCTGACCCAGCAAATGAAATAAGCCAATGCTTAATTTTGTCAGTGGGCATAAATTTCCTTTGTTTCCAATGAGTGATAAAAGCCAATGGAGAAATAAAATGATGTCTACCATCAGGAGGCAGGCAGCGCCGTATGATACCAAAGAGGAGAGAAGTAAACCTATAGTTACAGCAAATATCGAAATGTAGGTTTTAGCACTGAGGCATGTGTACAGGTGGCTAAGACGATGAAAAGTAGGCATGGGGAACAAAAATGAGACTAGAAAAAGAAAATAGCTACGAATCATCAAAGCACTAACAAACAAAATGCAAGTCACAGCCCTTTCCTTTGTATGAAATGTCCTTCCAAACAATGCCATCTGTTCAAAGGTATCCCCTACAAGAAGCCCCAGTCCTGATAAACAGGGTTTCTCCTCCAATGTCTGGGCTCCCACAGCATATGTACGTAAAGCTCTTCTGTGTCATTTCCTTAAGTTTACCTTGTAGTCCAGTTTTTTAGAGGTCTACCCTATTACACTGTAAACTACTTGAGTCAGGGGACCATCTTTTCTAGTACCTAGTGCCTAATGTCCAGGGTATAGCACACAGTTTCACAGACATCTGCTAGATTGTGTCAGAAGCTTAAAACTATCTATAGTGAGATTTTATTTCCCTCTCAAAAATCTAAGTATCTACAGTTCAAGGAGAGAGTTAGTTCAGGTGAGAGACTGGTAGTCAAAAGATGTGAATTTGAATTCTAGACCTGGCAATATCTTGCTGTATAATTTTAAGCCTGTATTGCTAATCTTTCTGAGTTTTATCTTCTTTTAAGGAAGTGGGACTAGATAAGGACTTTATCAGTGTTACAATTCTAATATTACGATAAGCATTTACTCTCTGTGCCATTAATTTTGCAATTACTCATATAGTGCCTTGTGGTATTTCTTCATCTTTTAAGTAATTGAAATGCACTTATGCCTCATCTTTCCTAACTAAGGCTCCTTGAATTAGGAAAGGAAAAGTTTTCTCACCTCCCACACTGCTAAAAACACAATAAGCATTCAATAAATATTTACCTATTTCACAAAATAAATAGATTCTTTAAGGAAGTGCTCGGCTGGGCGTGGTAGCTCCTGCCTGTAATCCCAGCACTTTGGAAGGCCAAGGTGGGAGGATCGCTTGAGCCCAGGAGTTGGAGACCAGCCTGGGTCTCCACATTGTTGTAGAGATGGAGTAGTGAGTAGTGAGACTCCATCTCTACAACAACAACAACAACAAAATTAGCCAGTCATGGTGGCACATGCCTGTAGTCCCAACTAATCAGGAGGCTGAAGTGGGAGGATGACTCTACCCCAGGGAATTGAAGGCCACAGTGATCTATGATTGTGCCACTACACTCCAGCCTGTGCGACGGAGTGAGATGATGTCTCTAAAAATAAAAACTAAAAAATAATAAAAAGTTCAGGATGGGTGCAGTGGCTCATGCCTGTAATCTCAGCACTTTGAGAGGGCAAGGCAGGCGGATCACTTGAGGTCAGGAGTTCGAGACCAGCCTGGCCAGCATGGTGAAACCCCGTGTCCACTAAAAACACAAAAATCAGCCAGGTATGGTGGTGCATGGCTGTAATCCCAGCTACTTGGGAGGCAGAGGCAAGAGAACTGCCTGAACCCAGGAGACGCAGGTTGCAGTGAGCTGAGCTCACACCACTGCATTTCAGCCTGGGAAACAGAGCAAGACTCTGTCTCAAAAAAAAAAAAAAAAAAAAAAAAGAGAGAGAGAGAGAGAGTAACAATAATAATAAAACGTTTAGAAAAAGAAAAAAAAGGAAATGCTTTATGGAGCTATTTGCTATTAGAAGGGCCTGATACGAAGTGCCTTTTAACTAGTAAGTAGTTTGGAGGGAAGACCGTGATGAAGCTACAGTTAAATAAGATACTTTATAGGACAAAAAATATGCCATGAGGGAATTCGAGGATTTTGCTTGATGATAATCTGCCAAAAGGAATCCTGGGAGAGGTGCTTTGTTTTGCAAAGACTAAACTAGCAATTATGGGGAAAAAGGGAAAAACTTATGAGATTCAGTTTCCTTCATTCATCAAGAAGCTGAAGCAGCAATTACCTACTTTAGCTATGTCCTTACCATCATAAGAATTATGTAGTGTCACTTGGTGGAAAGACAAAATTTAGATTTACAAAACCTCAGTTTGACTTCCAGCTCTATCACTTAGTAACTATGCTGAAATAACCTAACATCTCTAAGCCTCCATTTACTCATCTATAAAATATAAAATAGTAATTCCTGCCTCTTTGAGTTCTTTCAAGTATTAATCCAGGTAATGTAAGTGAAGAGTCCGCTAGAAATTATAACTTTTTAAAAATAGAGAATAACTTTTGAAAAAATAGTAGGATAACTTTTTTAGTATTTTTTTAAAAAATAGTTTTTAAAAGTTTTTTGTTTGTTTGTTTGTTTTTCTGAGACAGAGTTTCACTCTTGTTACCCAGACTGGAGTGCAATGGTGCAATCTTGGCTCACTGCAACCTCTGCCTCCCAGGTTGAAGCAATTCTCCTGCCTCAGCCTCCCGAGTAGCTGGGATTACAGGCATGTGACACCATGCCTGGCTAATTTTGTATTTTTAGTAGAGATGGGGTTTCTCCATGTTGGTCAGGCTACCAACCTCAGGTAATGCACTCGCCTCAGCCTCCCAAAGTGCTGGGATTATAGGCGTGAGCCACTGCGCCCAGCCTAAAACTTTTTTAAAAAAAAGTAGAATAACTTTTAAAAAAGAATGTAAATGTCCTCAGAGTGCATAATACTACTGAAAATATATGTGGCCAGGATATACATTGGTGGGCACTAAGGTTAAGTACCCTTTTAGGAAAGGATCTGGCTTCTTTGGTGAGTTCATTCTAATTCCTTTGGATCCCAAGGCTCCTTTTGGGAGAAAAGTGTCTAATTTACATGCTGTTGGTCCTAACAGAGCTTCCTTTGAAATATACCAGATAATTAGGGAAATTATTAGGTAAGGAAAGGGCATAAAAAAGGAGTAAGAATTGAATGGATAGAAACTGTTACTGCTTGCCTTCTCCCAGGCAGGCCTGTCAAGCACTCTGCTTCTTTAACAGCCACCTGCATGGAGAACCAACTAAGGATCATCACTGTTCAATCTGAATGTCCATGTGGGGTTTGTTTGTTTGTTCACCTTTCCATAACGGACCAGGAAAGTGGTCCAATCGGGAAATGAATACCATGCTGGAGTACACAGAACATGCTTATGAATGAACAGGTATCTTATCCATCATTTGTGGATACTAACTCATAAGGAACTAGAAGATTATGAAGAATGCTATCTTAGTTCATTTTCTGCTGCTATAACAATACCACAGACTGGGTAATTTATAAAGAACAAAGGTTTATTTGGCTCAGTTTTGGAGGCTGGGAAGTCCAAGCGCATGACACCAGGCTCTGGTGAGGGTCATTCTATGGTGGAAGATGGAAGGCAGAAGCAAGCATGTGACAGAGCAAGCAAATTGGGCTGAACTCACCCTTTAGTCAGAATCTCACTCTGCGATAACCAGCCCACTCCTGCAATAACTAACCTACTCCTGCGATAACAGCATTAATTCATTCATGGGGGTGGAACCCTCATGACCTAGTTTACTTTTTTTTGGTAGGGATGGGGTCTCAGTATGTTGTCCAGGCTGGTCTCTAACTCCTGTCCTCAAATGTCCTCCTGCTTTGGCCACCCAAAGTGTTGCTGGCATTACAGGTGTGAACTACCATGCCCAGACCTAATCACCTCTTAAAGGTCCCACCTCTTAACACCTTTTCATTGGAGATTACATTTCCAACACATGAACTTTGGGGACATATTGAAACCATAGCACATGTTTAATAAAAAACTACCCTGAACATAGTATTTCTTTAAAAATTTAGAAGATAATTCAACATCTTGCCATTGATTCGGAATTACTACACACATGATTCCATAGTATTTTTATCACTTTCTATTAAGGGCTTTATAAATTTCCCAGTACTGATGTTTCCAAAAAAAAAAAAAAAAAAAGTCATGTCTTTATCACTGATTTCAGTGCCCAAAAATCTGGTCATTTCAAATAAATCTTTGATTTATTTGAGGTTTTTTTTTTTTGGTTTTTTTTTTTTGAGATGGAGTTTCGTTCTTGTTGCCCAGGCTGGAGTGCGATGGTACAATCTCGGCTCACTGCAACCTCTGCCTCCCAGAGGCAGAGGAGAAACAAGCGATTCTCCTGGCTCAGACTCCCGAGTAGCTGGGATTACAGGCATGCGCCACCATGCCTGGCTAATTTTGTATTTTTAGTAGAGACGGGGTTTCTCCATGTTGGTCAAGCTGGTCTCGAACTCCCAACCTCAGGTGATCTGCCCACCTTGGCCTCCCAAAGTACTGGGATTACAGGCGTGAGCCACCGTGCCTGGCTATTTGAGTTTTTAAAAAATTTGTTTGTTTGACTTTTGGGTAGATGGAATATTACTACTTCTTAATCTACATTCCATAAAGGACTCTGAAATGAAACCTTTAAATAAAGACTCTGAGAAGCTCTGCCCTGGAAAAACATACTGTAATTATACTTCAGATCTAAAGTATCTTGGTCATTCAGGTGTTAAGAGAATAGAAACCATCCCATCTCCTAATAGTTGAGAAGAATTGATCTGTTAAATTTTAGCATAGAAAAAAACTTTTTTTTTTTTTTTCCTTTCTGAGACGGAGTCTCGCTCTGTCGCCCAGGCTGGAATGCAGTGGCGTGATCTCGGCTCACTGCAAGCTCCGCCTCCCAGGTTCACACCATTCTCCTGCCTCAGCCTCCCCAGTAGCTGGGACTACAGGCGCCCACCACCACGCCCGGCTAATTTTTTGTATTTTTAGTAGAGACTGGGTTTCACCGTGTTAGCCAGGATGGTCTTGATCTCCTGACCTCGTGATCTGCCCACCTCGGCCTCCCCAGGTGCTGGGATTACAGGCGTGAGCCACCAGGCCTGGCCTAAAACCACTTTTTAAAAATAATATTTATCGTGTGTGCCGCAGGGTTTTACTCATTTAGTAGGAACAACATTTCCTCTGGTAAATGTATTCTAGGCACTCACTATTATGACATATAATAGGTGCTCAACAAATATTTGCTGAACGAATGTGAATAGAATGTTGCCTTGATCTTTTCCCAAAGTAAGACTAAACTTCCAGGATTACCTATAAAACTTAAGCAAGATATATATGTATATAATTTATTAAGTAAAAAGCTCTAACGTCATGTTGGTCCTCTTGAGTGTCCCAAATAACAACAAAAGGCAAAACATTAAGAATGTAAATAATACACTTTTCTTTCTCATATTCCATCAGGAGTGGTTCCTCGGGTTGCAGCCTCGGCTGGAGACGTTGCTCCTCCCCAAGGAGGGCATTATGACATGGAATCAGTTTCAGAAAGAGAAGTATATCCCTGAACTGGTTTACTTATTATTTTTGTTTTCAACAACTAAAAGCTGAAAACTGCAAAATGTTATTGGGGAAGTCTGCTAAAATAAATGCAGAGTCCAAAAAAATCAGTGAACCATACCAATAAGGCTTATTACTGGAATCATCTTGGTCTTGCTGCTGTACAACAGACTGTAGCAGGAAAAAAGATAGGCAGAAATTCTGTCAGGATACCTTCAAATAAAATACGATGTATATACCTGTCCTTTCTCTATATCTATGGTGTGAGAATATTCTTGTAGAGGCAAATGCATATGAAACAACCTTCTGTTGGGAATGCAAAGAAACCCAGCTGGCAGGAACACCCCTTCCATTCGCAAGCTCTCCTTCTCCTGAGAAATGATTCCCTACCTATCCCCATCCCACAGAGAATCGGAATCTTAACTAGGCTCCCACTTCCTATGTGAACCATACCCACTCCTGTAAGAACCGTGGCTCCATACACATTGCAATCACTGTTTACTTACCCAGGATATTTCCCAATAAAATATCTTCAATTTTTACTGAAGAAAAACATGGTGCAGGACCAGGATACGTACATTTCATTTGGGGTAGTAAAACCATCCACATACAGATCAAACTTTATATTCTATCAACCAAATCTACAACCAGCCTATAAATATAAATCAGCTCTACATTTAGCTGGCTATTAAACACGAATTTAGGATCTCTTAGTAGAAGGAATCCAATTTAGTTATTAAATGTGTGCTTTTTGCCTCAGAGAGAGTAATATAATTGAATTCTGACCATCGCAGCAAATCCGTGCTGCTCATCTTTGTCCAGCAATCATGTTTATAAAGGCCAGAGAAGGCAGTACTACTACTTTTCCAGAACAAGCGACGAGTTAAATATAAGCTGAGGAGAATGAGTTCAACCAACCAGACAGCAACTCAGGCACCATGAAACTGGAATTGCGGGGGCTGGTATGTGTGCTGAGGGGAGGGGCGCTGGCTACTCCCCTCCACCAGCAACCACCCTACCCTCCGTTGACATCACCTTTCCAGATGGCCTCTTCAACCACCACTAGATTGTTTAAAATAAAGACATCGTCTATCTTTTCATTCAGAAATGTGTATACTGAGGCAAAATAAAAGAAAAAAAAGATACTGATAGAATCACATGATCAATCAAATATTGCTTAAACCCACAGCACATTTTGTGCCACTATCTCTGTCTTTTAAAGAATAAATTTGAAAACGCTATGCTCTGTGGTAATGAAATTGGGACAACTGCTTTAAATTAAATGCAACAAGTGGGCCTTGTAACATGATCAAAATCCATCCCAGGCCTTTTCTAAATTCCAAATGTAACCAGAATACCTCTTTAACAATATTTGATAAGAAATATTTAACACTTTTCACATATTTCCTGTAATTATACATTTATAACAAAATGTGGATGTACTTGGCAGCCAAACCAAAATGTTTCATATTACTCTCAGATTGCAACTCTTGCTGCTGAAATACAGTATACTAAAAATGAAATAACTTTTCCATTTTAATGTGGTTATAAGCTTCCTGCTAGGCAGCAACCTAATTGAGACTTTTATGTTAGCTTTTTTCAGACATGCTATCCTTCATCATCTGCAGAGTATTTTAACTATAGATCTCTTGTAGTCGTCCCAAAGTTGACACAGGGAAGGGGGATGGGATGGGAAGAGGAAGGCCACTTTATCAAAGTCAGTGGAAATACAAGGCATTAATTATGTTAAATGAAGAAATATGGGCATTTGGTTACATTTGTGGGTCAGAAATATTTTAATCTGTCGCTGCCAGCCAGCTGCCTCTCCCTGACACCCCCTCCCTGCATTTATATCAGCTGCAGGAACACATCAAAGCTCCAAAATGTGGAGGAAAGCTGCCACAAGTAGGGCCTTCCTTACCCAACCCCCGCTTCAAGGTCACAGTTTTAACTAGAGTGACCATAGTGTGGTCCACTATAATCAGTAGTAAGACCATGACCTTTTTTATATTTTGGAGGCATAGATGGTAAAAAAGTTGGTAAACCATCAGCCCTAGGCATTTTTTTCTTAAAAGGCCCTAGTAAATGGAAAATACAATTTTTGTGATATTTAGAAAAAACAAATGGTGTACTCAATTGCTCCCAGTCAAAGCAAAGTTGGATCACACAGATGCAGCTGACTTTTAAGCTTTGCTAAGCTTGCCAAGCATACCATGCAGGAGCGCAGTCACAGGGAGGGGAGACATACTTGTCTGCCATGATGCCCCAGCAAGTTCTATTAGATCAGTGCTCGGAAATTCCGTATATTAACCATCCAGCACGGCAATGGCAATTACCTAAATGTGACATATTCACTATATGACTAGTGGAGGGACTTTTACAAGGTTATCCAGTAAATTAAAAAAAAAATTAACTCAGACTATTTTTATAAAGTTTTTCTGATCAAGGAATCAGATAATATGTTAGGAAGTCAGGTCACCATAACATGCAAAAATTCTGCAAAAAAAAAAACCACCCTGCTTTAAATGATAAAAAGCAACTTTTTAGTGAATGGCATTTCCTTGTAGTTAATTTATATCTTTGAATCTAGTAGCATATAAAGATTTTGGACAAATGTATTTATAGATGGTTCTATTTTCAATATATATTTTTATTTAAATCAAAGATACCAGCGAGACTGTCACTACAAAAAAAAAAAAATCAAAGATGCCAACCACATATTTTTTCTTTTACTTCAATTGCAGAAAATTCTCAAAGGTATTAACTTGTGTGTATAAATTTAAAGAAACTAATCTTTTGCATAGAATACACAGGCAAACACAACTTATCTGTTCTAGGACTGGATTTTGAAAGTTCTTATGGTAGATTTTGAAAATAGGAATTAATCAGGATGAGGCACAGATAAACCAGATTTTTCTTGAATGTTACATTACAGGTAGAGAGGAACATCTTTTAGGCAAAAACAAAACAAAACACAAAAACAAAGAAGGCAGGACTCAAGTGAAAAGACAAAGGGTCTGCCTCTCCAGGCCTCTGAAAAGATGAAGGCAAGGGTGTTTTCACTACTGTTGAGTCATTCCAACCTTAATCAAATGTCTGCACTTCAACATAGTTCTCCCACCTCCTCAAGGATGTTAAAAATGCACAAGATTACTGTCTGAAGATATGTGTGAAGATAGCTGCCTGTAGTTTTTGTAATCTTAATAATTCAATAAAAATCCATACATCTTGGGTCAGACTTACCAAATGGTTTTAAGTCATGAATAAAAGGATTTAGAAAGATGTTCACCTGAAATCATCTCACAAGTTTCTTCTTCATTTCACTCACTACTTCTTGGGGAAAAAAAAAATGAACATTTTACTTTTACTGATAGTTAATTGTTGTCAGAGGTAATATCCACACACACAAGGAATTTTAAACTAAAACCAAACAAAATCTCTCAAAGCTGATACTGGGTATACCGTCTCTGGTATCAAACCACAGCAACATTCAATTTTGAAAATAAGCAGAGGTAAACATATTGATTTTCTGCTTCTGTGTGTAATTCTTATGGAGTAATCAAAGGCAAAAAGGAAAAAAGAAAAGAAAAACCTAGCTGAGACAGTGAAGACTATAACTCTATTCTCACACTTTAAAGGATAAAATGTATGAATATATATGGATTCACAAGTTTGTGCTTGAAATGAGAAAAATTATGATTACATATATTTTGAGTTGTTGATGTTAAATTGTGTGAAGAAAATATGCAAGCTGATGTATAAATAATTTCCTTTTATATAACAAAAAGGATCTATTTCTGACAAAACATGAACTTCTAATCAAATTTCTGATTAGAAGTTTTGTTATTAGAAGTTCACTTTTGTTATCTGCTAATTTTTGCATTTCGGTTAGTATCTTTAAAGACCTTTATTTTAAATAAATGTAGTCAGACTAGTCTGGCTTTCCAATGAAATCGAAATCAAATTCCTTTATCGGAGCTGCCTTACTGTCTCATGTACTATCCCTCTTTCCCTTTAAGCAAATATCATTATCAGTTAACCCGCTATTTGTGCAACTGGGATTTTATTGTTAAGGCATAGGTGTTGAAATTATTTAAAAGCCTGGATGAAGATAGCATGATATTTGATGCAAGAGTAATGCAATCTGTCTAACCTCAGTTAAAGATTCACTACCAAAATTCCCAACAATTATAATAGCTACATGAATTCAGTAAAATACTTCTTAAAAAGGTATCAGCAAAGTTGGTCCAACTTGATTTTTAGAATAACCTAGAGATTTAGTTCAGCTACATTAAAGCAGCTGATTTTGAGTTAAAGCAAAAAACAAATACCAGCCACAAGTCATGCACATATTCTATCCCTTTTCCTAAAAAAATGACTGAAACACTTGAGAAAAATGTGGTATAAAGGCACAAGTACTAACATTACAAGACATTTGATGGGTCATGTAAAGAATAAGAAATCATCTCCCAGATGTTTGCAAGACAACAAAATAAATCTTTCCATGAATGTAGAAAAAATGTCGGAGTATAAACAAAATATCCATGATTAAATAAAACTTGAGGTGATCCAAACTGACTAGCATTTTACAGTATTAATGCTAATGGTTAGTCTTTTGGCAGGTTTAACAGGTCTCATAAAAAAAAGAGTTGCATATAGGAAGGAGAAGCAAACAGAAAACTAGTCATACATGGTAAAGAATAAGGAAAGAAGAGATATCAAATCAGTCAGAAATATACAATAGCAGTTTTCAATATTGCATCAGGAAATAAGGTAGTTAGAGAAAAGCTGCAATCTAAAACAGAAAACACTTTTAGGAAATGGCAAAATTAAAACAGAAGTAGATATGTAAAATAGATGAATGAAGACAAGGTCTTCCTGCACCAAGGGAGTTGTTTAGGAGAAACAGTGTCCGTTTGTGGCCAGCGATAATACTTTCCATTCAATAGAGTTTGCAGCTTGCTGATTCATATGATTGCAGGCTGGCGCCCTGCTGGCGAGCCTCTCCACTGAAATTAAATCCACTCTCTTCAGTTATAAATTATAATGCTCTATAAACAACACTCCCATTGGGAATGGGGGCGGGTGGGGGGGAAGAGAGAGAGAGAGAGAAAGAGAGAAACAGAGGAAGAGAAGGAGAGGCAAGAATGAAAAAAAAAAAGAGGCAGGGAGGGAGAAAAGAGCCGGAGAGGGAGAGCGTTTCTGCATAGTCCACTCACTGTTTAATGTTCTGCTCTTCTGCAACAAACAAGGGGAGTAAGTCTTCCACAGATAGCACTCCTGCTGTAATTCCTACACTGTTTGATGTAGAGCCCAGAAAGGAAAGTGGGATAGTAATATGAGTCTAAGAGGAAAAGTACTTAGAAATCAAGGAGTATACAAGATGAAGAGAAGATAAAAGACATTTTTATACCTGGATTTTTCAAATATATTACTGAATATATCTTTGGAGTCTCAAGGGAGAGCCAAAATGAATAAAATTATTGAATTCTGTTTTGATAAATTAGATCTTCACATTGTACATCTTTTGATATCCAAATCAATCAGAGTTATTTCCCCCAGATGCACTGGGAAAGCAAAGAAACAGGAAAGAAAAGTTAAAATTAATCCATCCCAAACAGCCTCAGACAAGGAGTCCAGAGCAAAGAGAAAGTTCAATGATTTCGAGATTAACCACATTTGCTTTTTAAAACAAATACGTATTTTGAAATTTAATACTAAATTTATAGGAGAGTGATGCCTCAACTGTTTAAATGTTGTAGAATTTGTTTTTTTTAAGTGTTGTTTCAAAGGAAAAATAATTGCAAATATTAAATTGTGTCAATTACCTAAATCATTCATAAAGGAGTCCATCGTTGAGGTGGTCTGTATGTACCAGCTTCAGGGCATTAACTTATATCCACACTGCAGATTTTTTGTGTGCATGTGAATTTTTTTAGGAGTTACTTATGGTTTATAGCAGGATAGAAACAATTATTGTTATGTGCCAATTAGGATTCCAAGGATTCACATCCACAGGTTACTCATCAACTACAAAAAGACACAGTTTCATATTTAAAAATCCCTCTGAAATTTCTTACCAAATGATGAAACTCGACATAAAAATAAAAGGGGAGGCAGGGGTTGGGTAGGGAGAAGGTGAGAGAGAGAAGCAAGCCCGTTCCAACCTCAGTCTGAACCTACAAAACCAAAGAGACCATTTCAGGTAAGGACACTCAAGGAAAACAGGATCCTCCACAAAGCACGTATTTCCATTTCTCTATCTCATTTTGGCAGACCAAATATTACTCTAAGTTTCCCCCAAAAGAAACAAGATAAAACAAAAGTCCACCTTTCTCCCGAACTCAGAAAATGAAGAGGGAAAGAGAAGGTGCCTGAGATTCCAGTTTTAGACCTAAGGAATTTTACCAGGCTCAATTCCAATCCCTGAAAAGAAGACCAAAATGAATACATTGACCCAAACTTTAACCAGAGAATTAGGCTTAGTAACAACTCAGATTTTACTTTTCTTTTTTTTTTTTTTAATGTGTCTGGCTGACTGTCTTTCTCTGTCTCTCTGCGTTTGTTTGTGGTGCATACCGAGTAAATTATTTGCTGATAGGTGAATCTCAGCAAATGCTTTTCTTCCTTTGAATGCCTGGTGAGCTTGTTGGGAAAAGTCATTTAAGTCACTTTAAACAATACCATGAAAAGTAAAACTCAATTCTGAAATAAGAGTATAACTTAGAGCTTAAAAATAAATTAAATAAAGGAAGCATTAAAAGATAAATGGAGCAGGATGCTCTGTGGCTGAGGTAATCTGAGTGGAGAGGGAAGAAGGAGGGTTATGTTAATAAATGATTAAAAGGCCTTAACAAGGGCCTATCAGGTTGAACAGGAAAGCATTCTTCTTCTCTGCTCCTCCCTGAGACCACCTTTTTTACATTTGTTCTCAATGCTGATCAATATGGTTTTCATTTGCTGATTTCCATAATGCCATATGTGATCTGCCAGGCTGACATAATGAAGCTAGAAAGAGCTGAAGTCATTTTAACATTCTCGCTTGTATGACTGTCGCCAGTTTACCAAATGCCTGTTATCTGGGAGCCTGTATCTCTCTCTTGTTTATTGACAAATAGAGAGGTTCGCTCCTAGAGAGAGCAGCTCTGGGTGACCAATTTAAGATTCAAACTAAATATTAGACTTTTTTTTTTTTTTTTTGCTACCACTCTAACCTGTTATTTAAGCTTGATTAAATAAAAACAAGATTTAAGTGTGAATTATCCTTTTCTGAACACAAGTGCTCACTTCTGTTGATAAAACAATAAATCACAAAAAATAAAGCACCAATACTTTGATGCCACCAAAGCCTCAGGACATATTTATTGCCCCAATTCAAATTTTCCTATAAATACAGTGTTTTCGTTGGCCCACTAGTATTTGTCTCTGATAACTTTTACCAAAATTCATATCAAACTGTGTGTTTTAAAATTTTTTACTCTTTACTAAAGTTTCTTTAATCCATGCTCTGGCAGGAAGAAACTTAAAAAAAAATCATATGTAAGCTTCGTACACTTTTTTCATTGTATAATAAAATGGGTTTGTTGAGGTCATCACATAAGTGACCCAGGCAAGAGCCTTCCACGATGCCTGACATGTCTCATTAAAAATTCTCTGTATTGTTTGTTGATCACTTTTCCATACTCAAAAGAAAATTTCAAGAAAAAATGCAAATAGAAAAACATTTCTGAAATGATTTATCTTTTGCAAGCCAAACACCCCCCACCAAAAAAAAAAAACCAGTTGCATTTGATCAAAAGGATACTTCAACATTGTAATTTAAGAGTAAAAATATATTTAGTGCCTTCATTTACAATAAATGTAATTCCTTTTTTACATTAAACACATTAAATAAATATTCTGATGATTAACAGAAGTCACGTTTTAGTTCTCAAGAACAAAATCCCTCTGAGGCTGGGCGCGGTGGCTCATGCCTGTAATCCCAGTACTTCAGGAGACCCATGTGGGGAGGGTCGCTTAAGCTCAGGAGTTTGAGACCAGCCTGGGCAATGTAGAGAGATCTCATCTATAGAAAAAAATAAAAAGTAAAAAAATTAGTCAGGTGTGGTGGTGCACACTGTGGTCCCAGCCACTGGGGTGGCTGAGTTGGGAGAACTGCTTGAGCCCAAGAGGTCTAGGCTGCAGTGAGCCATGATCCCCCCACTGCACTCCAGCCTGGGCAACAGAGGGAGACCCTGTCTCAAAAAAAAAAAAAAAATTGCTTGTGCTGGCAATTTAGTCCTGGAACTATGAAAACTGAAATCACAGAATTTTTGCAAAGAAAATCCCTCCGAGTTGTTCCAAAAAACGGTGACTGTGTCAAGGCTGGTCCAGCACACAAAGGTTTAGAAATAGTTGCATCACCAAATATTGCATTTGCCCCAACTCTCAGTTCACAATCTTGGCTGTATTACATGAGTTTTCTTCTCTCCTCCTTTCCTTCTTCCTTCCCTCCCTTCCTTCCTTCCTCAAAGGACACATTGGTTCAAAACAAAACAAGGGAAAAGAAAACAAACTGAAGGAAGGCAGTGCGACAAATATCTAAAGGAAAGGTCCTTCAGGAGAACAAAGTGGCAGTGGGGGGATGAACATCACATTTACTCCCTCAACCTTGCTTCCCTTCACTAAACCAATGGATTGTTGTTTTCTCCATCCTCTTAATTTCTTTAGCAACAGTGAAAGGATACCAAAACAATGAGACTTTTAAGCTGGCTAGTGTCAGAACATGAATTATTCCTTTTTTGTGTGTGGTTGTTGGTTGGTTGTTAATTCGTTTGGAAAACAGTGGCAGATTTCACCCCCAAATGGGAAGATAAAAGTGCACACATCGCTGTGTTACTAAAGAATCCTAATATGACTGCTGTTGAGTTCTGATATAAAAGTTGATAATGAGGTAAACAGCAAAGTTTAGCCAAACAAACGAAAAAACAAGAAAAAAAATGATACATGATACAAGGATTCTAACGGCATACAATGGTAGAGATAATTAATCTTAAGGACCTTCCTCTGGGGTTCTGAAATTTTTGGATTATGGTAAAGCAGATGATAAAGAAACTGTAGTCCATTTAAAAGTAACAAGCTAACTTCTCTTATGAATTCCAAATTAAATAGGAGATGCTACCTTACACTGGGGGTTTGGTGAGGTTGCAGAGATTATGTGGCTAGCATCTTTTAAGGGCAAAGTCATCTCTTTCCCTCTGATATTCATAGTAAAAACAATTATTAAAATAGTAAGAAAACAGAGAAAAAGAGGTAATCTTGCCTAGACGTGAACCAAGAAGAAAGGCAGGAATGATATTCTCAAAGTCCAGTAGAACTGGTGGTGGAGTACCCCACTGGAGACTTAGCAACTAACATTTTACTTTACTTGGCCCATAATTACCACACTGAAGGACAAGTCGGATTAGCACTGTCCTACAACATTGTATTATGGGAACAACAAGTTAGTTACAATAGTTGAAAACACTCTCATAAAAGGTGAGATTACCACCAGAAGAGACTTCTAAAGTGAGGTAATGGGAGACAGGCAGGAAAAGGCCACTTCTCTTATTTACAGAAGCTATGGGAAGAGAAAGGGAGTTCCAGCTTCTACTGACAGACAGGGGAGTAAATTATGAAGGTTCTTTTGAGCTGCAGCAAGCTCAGGAGGACAAGAAAAACTGTAAGTTAGTATAGGATGATAGAAAATTTCTTTCAAAAGAAGGAAGTAGAAAAGGCATTATATCCCAGTTCAGGCAGTACAAAAATAACAGTTTAACAATAAGGGATTCCCTTACAGAAAAATAAATCTCCAGGAGGCTGTTTTAGATCCTTTGCCCCAGTTGGGGTAAGCACATCTTTCACTGATTTGTGGAGAGAAGTATACTCACCAAACTAAAAGGGTCCTTTGAGGAAGGAGAATGACCAGGAATCTGCAGTATTGGGGTATTTTTTTTTTTAGAAGTTAACCTTAAGACTTTATTATCTTTACAATAATATTAATAATAAAAAGATTGAAACTTAGAACTGGATCATTTGGCCCTTTCTTCTCTTCTTACCTCCTCTACCAGCATTCTCTTAGATCTGAGGTTGGGCTCAACATGTTCAAGCCTTAGCACTATTTTCTTCCTAGTTTTAACCCTTTTCTAGAAAAATAGGCTCAGTCTGCCTACTGAGAGGTGAAGCCATCTGGACTTCCTGGGTCGAGTGGGGACTTGGAGAACTTTTCTGTCTTACAAGAGGATTATAAAATGCACCAATCAGCGCTCTGTAGCTAGCAAGAGGATTGTAAAATGCACCAATCAGCACTCTGTAAAATGCACCAATCATTGCTCTGTAAAACACACCAATCACTAGGATCCTAAAAGTAGCTAAGGGCAGGGAGGATTGAAAAAAGGGCACTCTGATAGGACAAAAACAGAACATGGGAGGGGACAAATAAGGGAATAAAAGCTGGCCACCCCAGCCAGCAGCAGCAACCTGCTTGGGTCCCCTTCCACGCTGTGAAAGCTTTGTTCTTTTGCTCTTCACAATAAACCTTGCTACTGCTCACTCTTTGGGTCCGTGCCATCTTTAAGAGCTGTACCACTCACTGCCAAGGTCCACGGTCTTGAAGTCAGCGAGACCATGAACCCACCGAAGGAACCAACTCCAGACACACTACTATAAGCCACTGTCCTTCCTATCATAAAACCACTTTCCCTGGGCACACAGAGAATCCTTGCCCTTCCGGTACTGTGTCACTATGTGGAGCTGGTGCTTGCCATACTTCTTATAGTAAGTCTGGTGCATTTTAGGAACATTCACGTTTGCAGGAGGAGTATTGGCATGAAAAGCCTGTGGTCTATCTCATCAACACTGTATCCAGAGACCTTGCCAAGAGCACCTGGCATACAACAGTCATTCAAAATATAGATGTTGGCCAGGTGCAGTGGCTCATGCTTGTAATCCCAGCACTTTGCGGGGCCAAGGCAGGAGGCTCACTTGAGCCCAGGAATTCAAGACCAGTCTGGGTAAAATGGCGAGAACTTGTTTCTGCCAAAAATTTAAAAATTTGCTGGGCGTGCTAGTCAGTATCAGCTACATGGGAGACTGAACTGGAAGGATCACTTGAGCCAGGGAGGTTGAGGCTGCAGTGAGTCATGATTGTGCCACGTACCCCAGTCTGGGTGACAGAGTGAAACCCTATCTCAAAAAAAAAAGAAAACGTTGAATGAAAGAGATGTTTAGATTAGAAGCAATGCAGGAATTTGCGGAAGACCTTAACAGGTTAAAAAAAAAAAAAGTAGGAAAAAACAGGAGGAGGAGGTAGTGGTATAGGTTGATTATCCCCTATCCGAAATGCTTGGGACCAGGAGTGCTTTGAATTTTGAATTTTTTCAGATCTTAGAATATTTGCATTATATACTTACTGGTTGAGAATCCCTAATCTGAAGATCGAAAATCCTCCAATGAACATTGCCTTAGAGTGTAATATTGGCACTCACTCAAAAAAGTTTTGAATTTTGGAGCATCCCAGATTTCAGATGTTTGGATTTGGGATGGTCAACCTGTAATAGCAGTAGTAGTAGCAGTAACAGTCATTGCAGTAGTTGTGGTCATTGTAGCTTTAAATGAGAAGTTGGAAGTGTAAGTGAAATTCAGTTGTCTAGATGTGGCTACACAGAAGTCTGTGGCTCCAGGGCCTTATCAGAATTAAAGATTTACTCCCCTTCAACTGGGCTCCCAGGGAACTACAAAAGAAGGTTTGCAAAAGTGTGGAAAACCAAGATCTTGAGTAACAGGAGGATTTATAGTCACGTTCAGTAAGTGAGAAACGAAATGATGAGGTAAGTACCTTATTAGTAATGCTAAGGTCAAGACCAGGTCAGGATGGGTTAAGTTAGAAGAGCCCTGTCACAAGTTCCAAAAGCAGTCTGGGGGTTAAAGACATTTACAACTTGGCCTCAGTTTCCTAACTCTAACATACCAGCAACCAAATCTAATTATGAGAAGTTATACGAAAGCAAATCTAAGTGTAATCAATTAGCAGGAATTAATGAGGAGAGTTGAGAAACATGTCTGTTGAAGACAGAGAAAGGAAGGGCTGTATTATTTTATTTCCTGGTCTTTTGTAAACTCTATACTGGTAGCAGAATCTCTATTTCTAGAACAAGCAGAGCTCTGTCACACATCTTGTACGATTGTTCCCACTTTTCAGTGCACGTGGGTGGTGGTTATTACTTTTAATGTATTCCTACTTCAGTAAGTCATAAATAAGCTTACCTATTCAAATGACCACAATAAATGATGAGAAATAGCACAGTGACCCATAAGCAGCAAAGACCCAGAAGGCAACACTTAAAACATAAACTGCCAACAGCAACCTGATCGGGTTTCATAAATCAGAGCAGCCATGGCCCTAAAGAGTGGGAATGAGAGCTCCAGTAATTGCAGTCTTCTGTCTGGGAGCATACTGTAAAAACAGCCACAGTAAGCAATCTTCCTGACCAATCAATAGACTCCTATTAACCTCCTGGCCAATTACAGGATGATTGGCTAAGCAAACAAAGAATTATTGGCTGTTTAGTTGGGACTTTATTCAGGCCTCTCTCTTCCCCTGTTTCTCATTCTGTTCCGCCTCTCCTCCCCACCCCCTTTCCTGTTAGGAAAAAACATCTGCAAACACCTGATATTCATCTAAGTCTCTGCAGTTGTACAGTCTTGTTAAATTGTTACCACCTTTTCCACAAGCAGTTTTGGCAATTAACCTCATGGCCAGAGACTTCAAAGAAAACAACTGTTGAGTTTAACCTCTCTGAGCTACCATAGATTCTTTTATGATTTTTCCTGAAACACTTTCATCCAGAGAGGAAAAATGCAGGCTGATAAAAGTAATGTTTATTTTAATATTTGGTTAATTTATTAAGAAGACAAACGCCTCAGACATTTGCCATAACAGGGTGCACTCTCTTTTCAAAGCCTTCACAAAGTGGGGTTTTATTTTAATTTACATTCCCAACACATGTGTGCTTCTCAGCTCTTCCACAAATCCTACATTTGCTGGAATCCAAGGATTTGATACATTTGACCCTCCCTTGCCCCTGTTCACAAATCTCTCATATGTTTCTCAAAACTGTTTAAAAGTTCAGAATGAAAAATGCATGTAAAATTAATGCTAAGAACCAAAGTTGCCATTAAAAATCTATTTTCATTTTCTATTTTTACCCTCACTGATATACTTTTTACATTAAAAGCAAGGTTAATCTCCAACTCTCATGAGAAAAAAAACTACTAGCTATAAAGATCAAAATATATAACTGAACAAGCAATACAATTCTTCTCGAATAATCTTCTTGCCTAAGTATTTCGCAATTTATGCTATGGAACCAGCTTTTTACAGCTGTACATAATAATAATAATGGGCCTGATCTTACCAGCGGAAAGCAGGTTTGTGGAGGTGCATTAACTCCTCAAGGCGTCTAAGTTCATTTAGAATTTTAATAAAAGTGATTAAATATTTAGTAGACACCGAGAACTACTGATATCTCTTTCTGGCAAGGTCAGGCTTTGTAAAATTGCCACTAATATTTTTGCCACTCTTTGAGAAACTTGAAGAACTCTGTTAACAATTTAGAGTATTTGTGTGCCTTTTCTAGAAGTACCATGGGGTTGAAATAAAAAATCTGGAGCAAAGTCAACAGAGCTTTTGTTTGATATTTGCAGTTATCATTATCTTCATGTTACAATCAATTCTCCCAAAGCCATAAATAACTGTTTTCTGGAAAATGGCACTCTGTGGTACAGTACCATGCTGTTTGATAATTTTGTTAAGGGCCTGGCTTTAACCAAACAGTACATTTTTTTGCCAACAGTACCACCTTCATGAGTTTAGGGAACCAGATGAGGAAGCGCAATAACAACATAGTTTTTGGAGGGAGACAGACCTGCAGTAGATTTCTACTTTTGCTCTGTATTAGCTGTGTTGAGAGTGCGCAAATACAAATAATTATACCTATCTTGTAGGGATGTTATGAGGATAAAATGGAGTGGAACATACAATGCAAAAGTCACAAACTGTTTCAGTTAGCCTGTAGTGTTTAAAAAATCAGGAAATATCCATAAAAATGTGAATTTCCTGTCTCTTTTGACTAAATGGAAAGTCTGGGAACACGGAGCCCACATTTCTGCAGTTGGCAACATGGAATGAAACGGCAGCAGCAACCTTAAATGTAGGTAATTTGCTGTATAACCCCCACCACTTAAATCCAGCCAGTGTAGCCTCTGAGTTTTTGAATGTTCCATGAAGTGGTTTAACACAGTGTTTGGAACAGTGTCTGGCACATAATGGTTGGTACATAGTAAGTACTCAATAAAAGGTAACTATTATATGAGCTACTACACCAAATAAAATGAGTTGGCTCCAAATTTGAGGGCAGTTTCACAGACCTATCAGCTAAACATTTTATGGGCAGAGAATATATCAAGCTCTGGAAATAATACAAAAACTTCTGTGTGTGTGTGTGAGATGTATTAATATAAATTACACACACACACAGTTTTCTAAACCTTCTGAGTGTCTCTACTTATCTAAAATTCCTATAGCACTTACTGTCAACAATGTTCCTTGTGGAATTTAGCACATACTGTATCTTGTATTGGTAGCTGCATTCCCAACCAACTTATACATTTCTTTCTTTCTTTTTTTTTCTGAGACAGAGTTTCACTCTTGTTTCCCAGATTGGAGTGCAATGGCATGATCTCGGCTCACTGCAACCTCCGCCTCCCAGGTTCAAGCGATCCTCGTGCCTCAGCCTCCCGAGTAGCTGGGATTACAGGCATGCACCACCACGCCTGACTAATTTTGTATTTTTAGTAGAGATGGGGTTTCTCCATGTTGGTCAGGCTGGTCTTGAACTCCCAACCTCAGGTGACCCGCCCACCTCGGCCTCCCGAAGTGCTGGGATTACAGGCGTGAGCCACGGTGCCCCGCCCCAACTTATACATTTCTAAGGTATGTATCCCCCAAAGCTTTATTGAGAATATAAAAACACCGCTAATTCAGGCAATTAGGGAAATGGCCAGTCTGAAACAAGGAAGCAGGTGAGTTATACTTGAGAACACTTTGAGAAACAGAAATCTATTAGCGCTACTTTGATACAAGAAACACCTGTTGGCCCAGGTACAATGGTGCACACCTGTAATCCCAGCACTTTTGGAGGCCAAGGTGGATAGACTGATTAAGCTCAGGAGTTCAAGACCAGCCTGGCAACCTGGTGAAACCCCCTCTCTACAAAACCAAAACCAAAAATTAGCCAGGTATGGCCGGGTGCGGTGGATCATGCCTGTAATCCCAGCACTTTGGGAGGCTGAGGCGGGCGGATTACCTGAGGTCAGGAGTTTGAGACCAGCCTGACCAACATGGAGAAACCCCGTCTCTACTAAAAATACAAAAAATTAGCTAGGTGTGGTGGTGCGTACCTGTAGTCCCAGGTCCTCAGGAGGCTAAGGCACGAGAATCGCTTGAACCTGAGAGGTGGAGGTTGCAGTGAGCCGAGATCACACCACTGCACTCCAGCTTGGGCAGCAGAGTGAGACTCTGTCTCAAAAAAAAAAATTAGCCAGGCATGGTGGTGTGTGCCTATAGTCCCAACTACTCGGGAGGATGAGGCGGGAGGGTTGCTTGAGCCTGGGAGGTCGAGGCTGCAGTAAGCCATGATCACGCCACTGCACTCCAGCCTGGGCAATAGAGCAAGACCCTGTCTTAAAAAAATTTTTTTTAAATTAAAAAAAGGAAACATCTGCCATTAAAAAAACTAAGTGGGTTTGAAATATTTTCATTTTCTCTAGCAAGTGCATGTTCCCCTCTGAAATATTATTTAAACTACCAATTTGCATAACATTTTACTCACACTTAAAGATCAACCTCAATTCAGCAAAGTCATACATTCTGAATGGATTGTGTTATCACTTACAATCTCATCTTTTTACTCTGATTATGAGAGTCACAAGGAAAGAAAATGAACATCATCAGTGGACCAGCAAAGCCTAGAATTCAAATCTGCCACTCTAGCTCAAGATTCTATCATTTTTACTTTAATTTTAGTTCCATTTTGAAAGCCATGAAAACTACCAATTTGATTAGGTTGTTTTAGATATTTGAGGGTTGTGGGGAGAGGGCAGAAACACTCCTAAGAGCTCAGTCATTTTAAACAGTAAGTATTTCAAAGCAATTTTCAGAGTGACCCAAACTGGTACACAAGTAAGCGACCTTGGCTGGATAGTCGCTTACAGTGGCTCACACCTGTAATCCGAGCACTTTAGGAGGCCGAGGGGGATGGATCCCTGAACCCAGGAGTTCGAGACCAGCCTGGGCAACATGGCAAAACCCTGTCTCTACAAAAAACACCAAAAAAAAAAAAAAATCAGCTGGGTGTAGTGGCTTACACCTGTAATCCCAGCTACTCAGGAGACTGACGTGGGAGGATCACTTCAGCCCAGGAGGTGGAGGTTGCAGTGAGCCGTGATCACATCCCTACATTCCAGCCTGGGCCACAGCGTGAAACTGTCTCAAAAAAAAAAAAACAAAAAACCAGTAAGTAACCTTGTGAACAGTACTGTGTCAGCTATCGGGGGGTAGATGATGCATAGGGGGATGAGTCCTCCCCAGCAAAGCAGAAGAGCTGCAGGGAAAATGACAAAAATAACAACATGGTCCATCAAGAGGATAAAAGGTAATCTCAGATTCCAGGAGTATCTTGGAAGCGGCAATGGAAGGTTTGGCAGTCTCTGCAAACAAGTGGCCTGGGTTGAAATTTGTGAGGGAAGAAAAAAAAATGAAATATGTCTTGTACATGAAGTTCAAATCAAACCTAAAACTTCCTCTGTCCACGCTTGTTAAGAGGACTTTCATATTAAACAGGAACCCCCCAGAGAGGGAAACGATTTCTGGTCATTCTCACTGCAAGACTTAGATTTTCAATTTCTCTTTAATTTTTATATTCTTTTTCAGCTTAAGTAAAAAGGGGAGGGATATTTGTGCTGAACATTTAAGAATAATTTTTTAAAGTAACATTAAATGACACAAGGGTCTGGTGCTGTGCTGTACAGTTCAATGAACTCCTGCACAGATCAGCAAGATGGTTGGAAATGCCTCTCTCCGTCTGTTTTTCATCTCCAAAGTCTGTGTACTCAGTAGAGTGTGAAGAGAGCCTCTCTTCTCCTCAGAACATTCTCCCAATGGTCCTCCCCCAGCCCCCACTCCCTCTCCGTAGCCCCTGCAGCAGAGAACAGGAACTAGAGCAAATGCTTTTGTGAATTAAGAGATCTTGTGAGCGTAAATTTGGTCAGGCTGCTCCTTTCTGCAGGCCAGACCCCGCTGCTGCCCCAGGATGTGAACTGTCAGTTTGCATAGCTGGTGATGAGTTGCAGAACCATCAGCAAAGGTGAAGACGGCAGAAACAAGAAAGATTCAAGACTGGTGGAAATCATTTCACAAGGAAAATTTCAGCCATCAGTGGGAGGAAGCTTTGAAAAATGCTGCCATTTCCGAGTCAGAATGAAGGAAAAATTAAATTACTGCCGGTGAGGCGAGCCAAAGTTGCATCTCCCTCCAGGGAGAGTTTTGATAATGGTAAACATTTGACAGCTGGCCTGGAGTTGTTATCTTGTTCTAACAGTTGTTATGGTCTAAATGAATATTTCTGATAAGGAAACAGAAAGAAAATTTTAAGCACTTTTATATTTTTATGTTTTAAACCTTATGGTGGTGAGCCAAACAGGTTTAGAGCAATTTGTCACTGAGGGCCTACTCAAATGCTATAATGATCTTAATCTGCGAATCTTAGCAGCATCATTATTTCAGTTAATCTACATGAAGTAATTCTTTGAGGTAAATCAACTGACTAAGAAAATATCTTTGACCTTTAGCTTCCTCAGCAACCCGTAAAAACAATTCTGAGAGCTGACTTGAAGAAGTCCAGAAAATAAAGGGTTAACTAAAGCTAACTTAAATACATGCTCAAGAACACGAGAGAAATATTGTATTGTTAAATGACTACTTTTTTGACTATTGAGGATCAACAATCATAAATTTTCAAACTTTCACAGAGATGTTATAAAAAATATTAGGCCAAACATTTCAGAAAGGTAACAGAGATAAAGTAGTCAACATTTTAGGCCTAAAAAGGGCTGCTTACTGGATGTCTAACACTTTTGCATTACCAGAAGATAGAGAATGCTTGGAGGGACACTTCATTATGAAACACTTGCTTAATTCCTATATATAGCATAAGAAAACATCTGTGTGATTGTCTGAAATGTTCCAGGTCTTCACAGGCACTGGATCTGTCATAGTATCTAGACATACACGTAGAAGACTCGGAGGAGATGGTAGGGAGTCACTTGCCTTATATGGATTTGCTGATAGTTGTGTCTTCAGAGAAAGAAATGAAGTCTTCAGGATACTATAACCCTCCTTAAAAAAAAAATCCATGCTCCAAAATTTATTCTGCCTCTGGCATTCCTCTAGGCAGGAGTTTACCAGTGGCAAAAAATAGGGACAACGGCAAAAAAAAGAGTAGAAAGGAGTCAACTGTCCTCCTATGAAATGAACAAAAACTTATAACTTATTTTCAGAACACTTATAGAAAATTTGAGCATTACTTGCCTAAAATGTAATTTGCATAGGTTATGGGAATTTAGTATTTCAGAAAAAAAATTCTTTCTGATTTCATGAATAATCACCATCTACTTGGTGCTTCACACTGAGGATTCAGTCTCTATCCCAAAGCAATGGTAGGACACACTGGCCAATGAAACCAGCACCCCTAATTTGTAGGTGTCCTATCTTTCTGTGACTTATACTTTATTTATTTTATTTTATTTTTTTGAGACAGAGTCTTGCTCTGTCGCCCAGGCTAGAGTGCAGTGGCACAATCTTGGCTCACTACAGCCTCTGCCTCCCAGGTTTCAGTGATTCTCCTGCCTCAGCCTCCCTAGTACCTGGGATTACATGCACACGCCACCATGCCGGGCTAATTTTTGTACTTTTAGTAGAGGCGGGGTCTCGCCATATTGGCCAGCTGGTCTCGAACTCCTGACCTCAGGTGATCCACCCGCCTCAGCCTCCCAAAGTGCTGGGATTACAGGCGTGAGCCACCATGCCTGGCCCACTTATATTTTAGAATGTATTTGCAAGCATTATGTCCTGACCAAAGAAAAATTTTAAAGTCTTTACCTCTATTTTTCTTTAAAAAACAAAATCAGAATATCTACCTTTATTCTACATTTGTGGGAAGTAAAAATTTCATTATTTTTTTCCCCAGGGACCCGGCCCTGCCTTAATATGAAAGTATATAAATTGATATTAAAGTATGGTATTTTGAGAATGTTTCAAAGTAAGGTCAAACTGGTGTTAAAAACCCTACTAGTGAAGGCTAAAATAACAGTCTGGCTGAACAGTCTTAAGTGCAGCTGACTCCAATTACTAAGTACATCCTAGCAATGTTTTTTACTAACAAGAACAATGCAAGCAAGTTGAGTTCAAAAATAAAGTCAAAGAGAACTTACTCATAAGAAAAATTAGATAAATTATCCCAATACTGTAGCTATATGGGCATTTGATAGTTAACTTCTCCTTCAGCACTGAAAAAATTGAGTTCTTTTAATAAATAATCAGAAAGAGAGGTGAGGGAGATTCTAAAAGGGAACAAATGCTAGAAGAAAAAGCTTCTGAGAAAAACCAAGGGAATTTTGGATAAGAAAACATATACATAATCTGACCACTATAAAATCATGGAAACAGTACTTTCAAATAACTTTTAAAAACATTTTATTATGGAGAATTTTGAACATACATCAAAATAGAAAAACATAATAAAACCCATGCATCCATCATACAACCCCAACAACCATCAAACCAGGCCAATCCCGTCCCATCCACATCCAAATCCACTTCCCTCCTCCTCTATTATTTTGAAGCAAATCCCAGATGTCATCAAATCCATTTTTGTCAGATGCAGTACATGAAAAGGCAGAGATCTTCCAAGCACATCATTCTATATGACTGCCTCTTCCTGCCTTCACCTCTATATCCCCAAATCCATTTTTTCTGATGATACGTTCCCCCACCCTCCCCTGCCCCAGAATGTTGTTACTAATGCTAACTAGTACTCCCAGGGCACTATACAAATCTAGTTAAACAGAGAACATTTATCAGATACACAGGACTTTTGTTTTACATGAGGGCTGATGGCTTCCATGTACCCTTTCATTCTTAAAATTCTCTGACTCCTCCATGCAAACATCCACTTTGGATTGGATCAGTATTCCTCCATTACCAAAACTGGGGCCACATCATCTAGCATCAAGAAAGCCGCTGTACTATAGTAGTTAAGACATCAGCTTCAATTGTACAGATCTGGGTTTAAATTTGGCTCTGCCAATTACTAACCGGGCAAATAACCTTTTTAAGTCTTTGTCTCCTCGTCTCTAAAATGGAAATAATAACAATTACCTAGCAGATTGTCAACAAGATTAATGAGATAAGGTATATACAGTACATAGCCAAGTACCTTAATAATAAACTTAGCTCATTAAAAAAAAATAAAACAAGAGAATCTTACATGTAATAAACACCAATAAATGAGAAGGTGTATATATCTGGGGAAAAGGAGAAAATGAGAGTGGAAATAAGAGTAAAACTACTCCATTTAAATAAATCTTATCCTCAACAAACTTCTTTCAAGAACTTGAGTATCTCTGTATAATTGTCTAACTTTTTTTTTTTTTTTTTTCTTGAGGTGGGGTCTCGCTCTGTCACCAGGCTGGAGTGCAGTGGCGCGATCTCGGCTCACTGCAACCTCCGCCTCCTGGGTTCAAGCGATTCTCCTGCCTCAGCCTCCTGAGTAGTTGGGACTACAGGCGTGCGCCACCACGCCCAGCTAATTTTTGTATTTTTAGTAGAGGTGGGGTTTCATCATGTTGGCCGGGATGGTCTTGATCTCTTGACCTCGTGATCCGCCCACCTCAGCCTCTCAAAGAGCTGGGATTACAGGTGTGAGCCACCACGCCCAGCCTGTTTAAGTTTTAATAAGCTCATAATCTAAAACGTGGGTGATTCAACTTTTATTTTATTTTTTGAGACAGGGTCTCGCTCTGCCGCCCAGGCTGGAGTGCTGTGGTGTGATCATAACTCACTGCAGTCTCGAACTCCTGGACTCAAGGAATCCTTCCACCTCAGCCTCCCAAGTAGCTGGGACTATGGACTCCTGCTACTATACCTGGTTACTTTTAACACTTTTTTTGTAGACAGAGTCTTGGTATGTTGCCCAGACTGGTCTCAAATTCCTGGTCTCAAGCGGTCCTCCCACTTTGGCCTCCCAACATGCTGGGATTACAGGAATGAACCCCCATGCCCAGCCTAATTTAACTTCTTTATAATTGTTTCAATATTTAAGCAACCAAATGCCCTACATAT
Organism: Homo sapiens; assembly: GCF_000001405.40. Lineage (NCBI taxonomy): Eukaryota > Metazoa > Chordata > Mammalia > Primates > Hominidae > Homo > Homo sapiens. The sequence goes on along the minus strand of NC_000017.11, from coordinate 61,141,219 downwards.
GAATGTAAAGGCCCCTTGTTGAAGAATTTATGTACTTCAACATAAATTCGTAAATGTTGAACATTTATGACCATTTATGAACCAGTAGGTGTAAGTTCTTAGGGCAACAGAGGATGAATACTCATTACTGTGTTGAAATGAACCAGCCTAGTCCCGCTGTACAGGTGAATCAGGATAAAGAGACATGATAATGAAAAGTAGAAGTGGTAGCAATGATCTCTCACGGGCTTCATGCCTGCCCCATTTCACTATTATACTTTTGGGGGAAAAAAAAAACACTCAAATGGACAAAGAGCACAGGGAGGCATGCTTTTTCCTTACTTAACATTTTTCAGGATACTTGCAGATTAGTACAAGATTTCCCTTAAATCATGTACCATCAATCCACTACATTACAATCTGTAATGTGCCCAAAGTCATAGAGTCATTTCATAAGGAAAAGAACATGAAAGTTTTATGTAACAACTATAAACTATGTAAATATATATTTATTAACTTAAAAAATCACAAACAATTAGCTTTTAATTGACTTTACAAAGAGAGTTTTCTCTTTTCTTTTGCATTCCAAAGTTATATAAAGGCCATACTAAGATGGCCAAATGCCAGAGTGCTGTTTCTCCAGAAAAAAAAAAAAAGTGGAGAGATAAGCAACTTTTATGTGACTTTACAAATTGAATCCACTTGCAGTGATTACTTGGTAAATGTTTGATTGTGATAACCACTTAACAGGGTTACTTTTCTTTAATGTTTCAATCCTGCTGCCAGAATACTTTTCCCCAACTCAAAACCTTCCATCTCTTGTCCCCTGTTCCACATCTCCCACCAGCACTCTACTTTCAGAGTCTGGTCCTAACCTTCCTTGACAGTTGGATCTTCCACAGCTATCCCTCACATATCCTTTGCTATATATTCAAAGCAAACTTCCGTACTTTCCCAAATTGGTCCAGTATGTGTATGTCTTGGTGACTCTGTTCCTTTTTTTTGAGATGGAGTCTTGCTCTGTCACCCAGGCTGGAGTGCAGTGGTGTGATCCTGACTCACTGCAACCTCCGCCTTCTGGGTTCCAGTGATTCTCCTGCCTCAGCCTCCTGAGTAGCTGGGTTTACAGGAATGCACCACCACGCCCAGCTAATTTTTTGTATTTTTAGTAGAGATGGGGTTTCACTATATTGGCCAGTCTGACCTCGAACTCCTGACCTCAAGTGATCTATCCACCTCGGCCTCCCAAAGTGCTGGGATTACAGGCGTGAGCCACTGTGCCCGGTCATATCACTTTGTGTCTTGACAGTAGGTATCCCTTTCCTCAATCTTCTCCTGCCAAAATTCCACGTATTCCTCAAATTCTAGCTCAAACGGCATTTTTTCCATAAAACTTTCTCTGATCACCCATTACAACAAATTTTACCTTTCTTTGCATTCTGAGAGAACTCCATCTGCCTTATTCTATGGTCACTAGGGTTGTATTTTTATCAACTGAATTCCAAGTTTCTGGGGGCCAGGGAGCATGCCTTCTTCATTTTTTATATTCCCTACATCATGTAGCATGATGACTTTTAATCGCACTGAACTATACTGCATGTATGAGTTCTAGGAAACAGTCAATAATAGCATTTACACTTTTTCTGATAAGCAGTCCACACAAGGAATCCTTCAAAGGGAGTTTCTTAGGTAGCTCACCCACTCCTGAACATTATACATTATGGCTTCTGCTATAAACAAAGCCCGCACTGAGCCCAGATGATGTGTGCCCAGAATGCACAGGGTGCAGCCATGCTCTCTCGACAGACTGAGAAACTGAAGAAGGAAGACACATGTGTAAGAGGAAACACCAAAACCACAAATATGAAAACAGCATTTGTGAACCTCGTTTGGCCAGATCACAGACATCTTTAACCTTCTCGCACTTCCTTAAAGAAGCAAATCAGGAAATGAAGAAAAAAAAATCTTCACACTTTCTTTTTAAGTCCTCCAACTTTTTAGATTAGATCATCTATAACTCTAAGGGAAAAAATGTGTACTCTTTAAGCCTAAGAATGTATCCGTAATTCAGAACTTCTATCACTAGCAATACAAGTACAGGGGGAAAATAGGTATAAATAAAAAGATAACAATTCTTGAAAATCCAAGAATAAAAAATTCATCTCTGTCTCTAATTTTTTCTAGATCTAATAGATTTAATAAACAAATGTAAGCAAAAGCATAAAGTGGGTTTAAAAATAACTTGAAGATTACAGCTAATTCAGGATAGCATTTGAAATAAAATATTTTTCTTCTTTTTAAGAATGTACTGCTGATGAAAACCTATCAACTTATTATAATTTTCTTATCTTCACCATTCAAATCTTATGGGTATGAAAAAAAATATTCCAAGACATGGAATCCTCTGAATTTCCAAGTAAATAATCAGAAAAATGCCCAAAAAGAATTGTTACTTTTCTGCTGAATTCCTAAATTCAGCTGTCATTTGGATCAAGAGCCAAAAAACAAATGTTCTAGTAAAAAATTATAAGACTTCAATAAAGTAAGTCTCTTATTCCAATAAGAGTTCTTAAACACTGAAAACAATCAAATATACCACATTTATCCTTTTATTCCTCAATGCTTCAACACTGCCCCCTAAATGGATAATTTATTTTGTAATTACTACAACAATCAAGTCAGTAAAAAATGCAAAATTGCTTACAAAAAGATGTTCAGAAATGTTGAAGTAACACTGGAGTATGAATTTACCCCCAGCAGAGTAATTTGGTCTGTGTGTAAGTCACATAGCCAAGGTACAACAGTAATCTCTGAATCTGCACTGTATAACTAGGAGTTCCCACGTAGATACTCAACATGGATAATTTATTCAATCCAAATCTGCCGTCTCTGGCACCTAAGATGTTTGCTGGGGATAAACTTAAGTTTGTGGTTTTTGTCAAAGCTAAGATTTCTAAAGCTGTGCTATTCAAAATGATAGCCAATAGCCACATCAACTATTTAAATTTAAATCAATTAAAATTAAATGAAATTTAAAATTTCAGTTCCTTGGTTATAACAGCCACATTCCCAGCACTCAGCAGCCACATGTGACTATTATATTGGACAGCACAGATACGCCACATTTCCATTATCACAGAAAGTTTTACCATACAGTGCTATTCCAAAGATTACCAGCCTCACAGGTCCTAGGTTCTATCTGAAAGATGAGAACTGATGCCCTAAGAATTTTCTTTTGTTTTTGTAGGCTGAAAATTCAATCTTTATGATGATTCAAAATAGATTGTGCATGTCCTACCATATCAGGATCTAAAGATATGGAAGAAAACAGTGGCTCCTCAGTGGACTCAAAGGAAACACCGAATCAACCAAAACAACAACTCCCACAAAACAAAAACCCATCACCGTCCACAGAGTACATGGGCTGTTCTACTGATAATTCAGTTTTTAGCATTTTGTTTTGTTTTTCTTTTTGAGATGGAGTCTTGCTCTGTCACCCAGGCTGGAATGCACTGGTGCAATCTTGGCTCTGCAATCTCTGCCTTCCGGGTTCAAGTGATTTTCCTGCCTCAGCCTCCAGAGTAGCTAAGATTACAGGCGTGTGCCACCACGCCCAGCTAACTTTTGAATTTTTAGTAGAGACAGGGTTTCATCATGTTGGCCAGGCTGGTCTCAAACTCCTGACCTCAGGTGATCCGCCCACCTTGGCCTCCCAAAGTGCTGGGATTACAGGCGTGTGCCACCACGCCTGGCCCCAGTTTTTAGCATTTTGAACAAAAATAATGCTCCCATTATTTAGAAATTGCTCATATTTGCTATATGCACATACTATCTTTGGTAGGTATATGCATTGTATTCTAATCAAGAAATTCATTATGTGGCTGGCATGTGGCTTATGGAAGCAACATGGTCAGATGGAATGAGTACAGGCTTTGAAACTAGACAGAAGCCGAGTCATGTATCCCTTGATATATGCTTGCTAGTTACCTCGATTTTAAGCAATTTGCTGAATCTTTTTGTGTCTGCATTTCCAAAAAGTTAAGAAGAGATAAACAAATCAACTTCCCAGGTTTGAAGTCAGCATTAAATAAGATATATATATTTGGCATCAATGAGTACAGTATATGACAAAATCAGTTGCACTGGTGGCCACTGAGGAAAACAAATGGAAACCACCTCATAATAATGCCACTAATAATAACTAATAGTAAACCAATACTTTTTTTAAAAAAGTTTTATTGAAATGTAATTCATAATTCTTACATTTGATGTATACAATTCAATGTGAATCAACTATCTGAATAATTCAACATTTTCTCAGCACCCACCAGGGTCTGGTTACTGCTGGTTTCCAGGGTAGTGGTTCTTAAATGGGGACAATTGGCTGAGCACAGTGGCTCACACCTGTAATCTCAGGACTTTGGGAGGCCGAGGTGGGTGGATCACTTGAGGCCAGGAATTTGAGACCAGCCTGGGCAACATGGCAAAACCCCATCTCTACTAAAAATGCAAAATTAGCTGCGTGTGGTGGCACACACCTGTAATCCCAGCTACTCAGGAGGCTGAGGTATAAGAATTGCTTGAACCTGGGAGGCAGAGGTTGCAGTGAGCTGAGATCGCGCTACTGCACTCCAGCCTGGGCGACAACATCCAGCCTCCGTCTCTCAATAAATAAATGGGACAATTTTGTCCACAAGGGGACATTTGGCAATATTTGGAGGCATCTGAGGGAAGGGGGCGTGCTGCTATCTAACGGGTAGAGGCCAGGGGTTCTGCTAAACATCCTATATGATGCATAAAACAGCTGCACACAAAGAATTGTCCAGTCCAAAATACCTTCAGTACTTACGCTGAGAAACCCTGTTCTACAGATATAGAGATGAAGAAGAGACAGTATCTGTCTTGAAAAAGCTTACTGTCTAGTGGGTGAATGCAAGGTGGAAACAAAGCTATGTCCAAGATGCTCCAGGTGCAGAGAAGAAGAGGGGATGCTTAAGTAAAAATATTGGAAGATAGGAGCTTGCCATGGGTACTCAGGATGGAAAGAAATGATTTTATGTAGAGGGAAGAGCACGGGAAAACATTTAAATAGGTGCAAAGCATTTTGGAGTCTAAGAGGTGCTAGTAGTTGAGAATTGTTAGAGCTCAGGCTGCCGGTCGCGGGGAAGGCAGGCGCGAAGGGGTGCAGGGAAGAAGGAGGAGGCGGCGGCAGTGGCGGTGGCCATGGCAGAAGCGGAAACAGGAGCAGCAGCAGCAGCAGCAGCGGCAGGAGAGGCACACAGGAGCCAGATCCTAAAGGCTTTGTATGCCACATTAGGAAAGAATTTGGAATACAGCTTCTGTTTGGAAAACATTTTCTGTAACCAGCCCGACAGTAAGTATCTTTAGGCCGCACGGTCTCTGTTACAGCTGCTCAACTCTGCCATCATAGGGAGAGCAGCCATAGATAATACATAAGTGAACAGACATGACTCTGTTGCATTAAAACTTATTTATGAGCCTGACATGTGAATTTCATGTGATTTTCAGGTTTCATAAAATCTTCTTTTGATGTTTTTCCTCCCATTTAAAAATGTGAGAACTGTTCTAGCCCGTGGGCTGCATATAGACAGGGGGTGGCAGTAGTCTGCTAAGCCCTTCTATGATGTACACACAGGACCTCAAGGTGACAAGTCAGCTAGCTGATCAGTTAAAAAATGAAGCAGGGCATTTTCCTACAGATCTTTGGAAGTACTGACTGTCTTCTGGCTATTTCCAGCTAAATAACAAATGCACATGGGCCTAAATTTTGTCATTAGCTTGTTTGTAATACTTACAATGAAATGGTATGCTAATTCAAAGGAATAAAAAGCTTATTTCAGGCCACTGTGGTGAAATGACATTTACCTAATGCAGATATAAATTTTGTGTTAATTAGTGAGCACTTGACACTGATGTAATTTGATTAGTGTGGCAAAGTCAGTCTTAAACTTGCTCCCTAGTACTAACAGAATATGTCTTTGAATTAAGAAAATTAGGGCTAAGTGACAAAAAGTACCAGATAATAAGAAACCAAGTCTGTACCATTTATAATCATCTGTTATAATAAAGATAATACTAATGGCCTTATCATGTCATTATAAGAAGCATGAAACAGGGCACTTCACACGTCGCAGTTTAGGTGACCTCACTGTCTCAGTTCCGATTTGATCTCAAGTCGGATTCTAAAGTCTTCAAACTACTGGAAACCTCATATGTTTAATTTGGAACTATTTTCAAGCAAGAACTCTAATAACATTCCAGTTTTGAAGAAATACTGTATATCACTTTTACTGACTTGTACAAATGTTTTATTTCAAAAAAAAACAAAACAACAATCTAAGAGAAAAGTAGAGTATTAACCATTTGAAATCTTAAAACCCGTGTTTTGGATCTTTGATGTGGCTGACTCTTCATGAATAATTCTAGTTCTGTGATTTGGAGATGTTACTTAACTTTTCTTAGGAACAAAAAACTGATGTCAAAAAGGATTGTTTTGAAGGTTAAATGAGGTGTTTGTAAATATAATTACATAATTATATAGTACAGGCTCCATCAATGCTAGCTATCATTAACTTGAAATGTCATTACAATCACCATTTCAGTTTGTCTCTAAATGTCCCACCATAACACAGTTCTCTCGACTTTAAAATACTTTCCTATAATTCTAGAACCAAAAGGATCTAGAAATTGCTCAGTCCAATACTCTCATTTTATAAATGGATTAACTGACCAGAGTCACACAGGGAGATAGTAGAGGCTGGTGTAAAAAGCGAGGGCTCTGGAGTCAGACATGCGTGGTTCCGAATCCTCATTCCACCAGCTTACTGTGTCAATCCAGGCACGTTACTTTCACAAGACCTCAATTTCCTAATTTATAAAACGATGAAAAATGAGACAATGCTCATAAAGTCTGAGCACAGTGCCTAACAGTTGATTTTTAAAAAATCAACAAGTGTTCACTACTATTATTGATCCTCATCTTCTTATTACGAAATGGTATTTCTTCCCTTTCTTTTTAGGATGTATAATTGCTCCAGTGTTCATTATGAATGTGACTTTTATTTAATTCATACTGGCCAGACTATAGCAGACTATATGAAATATTTATTTTCCACATCAGGCCAACTCTACCTCTCCTCCCTTTTTGTATATGACTCCTTTGTTAGTACATCCCTCAATTTAAAATTACTTTGCAGTCTTCAAATGCTTTCATCTCTCCAACTCTGCTCCATTGCTCCTTGGAACACATATGTGAAAATCACATGCTAAGTATGTTTGCAAAATACTTTGTTAAAAGATTACACAGTAAGGAATCAAAGATGGTTTTTTGGGTTTCCTTTTTTTTTTTTTTTTTTTTTTTGAGATTCCAGGCAGTTGCAGGCCAATGAAAGTCACAGAAAGCACCCTTCCAATTCATTTGCTTCAGGAGGCTAAGGAAATAACCTATTTCCTCTTCCCTCTTTTCTATCTGGTTTTTCTGATGTGTTCCCAGATCCTCAAAGAAAGATTCAGAGATCCATGAAATCTTAATATGCCTGTTTGAAGCCAGGAAAAATAAATAACAGTATGCCAGTATTTCAGACTGGGAAGAGAGTGTATCAATACTTGAGGGGGAATTTGGTTCAGTCCTGAAAATTACTAAGTCTTTCTTCCCTACTTAACAGGGAAGTAATGTCAAATGGTTGAAATTTGCACGGAATTCTACTAGCCTGGAGGGTGCTCCTGAAGTAATCTTACAAACTTGGCAATTAGTCCAGCAGCCTAAATCTTTGTCTCTTGGTAGATGAGTGGCAGCAATTTTTGTTTTTTCCTACAGAACTTGTACTTGACATCAGTTAGCCTAACTCAGACCCTGACCTTGCCTTTGTATTTGGGGAAGAGTCTGATCTTCAAGATGGACCCAACCTCAATAGAAACAAAGTATGTGTGAAAGTTCTTACCCAACCCTTTTCTTAGTGTGTTCTATTTCATCTTTAATGCAGATCTTTAATCTCAGACGTTCATCAGAAAGGGGTAACATCAAATACTCCAAATCTGAGCAACATTCAACTCATTTGTTGTTGTTCTGGGGTTTTGTTTTGGTTTTGGTTGAGACAGAGGTAAAAAGCCCAGAAAAGCCATAGAGAGAATTTTAAATGCTGCTCTCCCACTAATGGTTATACCTTTTTTATCAGCTTCTTCATCTGATTGGATTAGATTTAAAATTTTCCTTTAGCCTTGGATATCTGACAAGATTCTTTCAGTACAGTGAGACTTTCTCCAAGAAAAGGAATCCACTTGATTGGATCAGAAACCACAACCTGCCTCTGGAAGTTAAACCTTTCAGTAGGTCAGGTCATGAATCAGGGGTGGTGGCATTTTATGAACCTTGCTTGGATTCTTTGATCTTGCCCCGTGACCCACACAGACCTGGTAAGGAGCTTCTTCTCATTGACGGGGATAGGGGAGTGGACTCTATCTTCCACTTCTCTTGTCTTTCCTTCTCTCCACCTTGCCTCCTCTGCATTTAACACAGTCTGCAGCACACAAACCAGGAGCATGTACAGTGGTGTGCTCTTGCTCCCTAGAATGTTTCACGGCTTCCAAGGCACTTTATCTTTCTCCCTCTCTAAGTATTCTGAATGTGGCATTTTGACCACTCAATATAGTTTAGAGACCCATTGTATAAGCCCGGCACAAACAATCTATATTCTTACCATTTATTCCAATGTTAGGGAATCTTCTGAAAGAAAACAGAATTTTGGTTAAGTTTGACCAGGGCAGTAGATTATAGCTCACATGGCCACAGACAGTGAGACTACCATTAAGATTTGGTAGATGCCCCAAGACCCAGGTCAAGCAACCATAATTATCTGTCAAGTTCTCACCTATACTCAAGTAGTTTTGGAATGGTGCCTTCAGTTACGGACTTAACACTAGATTTGAAACTTTTGACCTGGTTGTGTTTAAAATTACCAAGTGAACAGGAATTTGTTTTTTTCTGCTGGCATTCTGTCTTGTAAAAATAAGAAGAAGGGAAGGTAATTATAGGTACCTAACATCAAATTTAGTAAAAATCACTGGAAAAAACCAGAAGTGTGATTTAATGATCTGAGAAATTAGGCAAGTGTCAAGTCTGAAGAATTTTAAAATGGTTATAGGTCAAAGCATTAAAAACTTCTTTGGGGACAGAGTGGCTATAAGGAGAACACGGTGAGGTATCTGCCAGGGGTTAATTGCAACCCTGCATGAAAAGCAGTTAACAAGTGAGAATTAGAACACCCAAGAGGAAAAGAAAAATGTTTCCAGTGCCATGAGAAATAAACAACAAAGAAGAAATATTTCCTTTGGCTACCACTACCTCCTTTTCAAAAGCTCAGAGGAGCTATGGGGAATGCCAAGGACTGGTTTTCTCTCAACTCCCTCTGAAACATTTGTCTTCATTACCACTCTTTTTAATCAGGGCTCCTTCATGAGTGTTTCTGCTCAGCCCCTAAGGGGCAGCTCTGGTCTGCGATAAATCAGAATCCACACCGCAAGTCACTAATCAGCACTCTCAGGGAAAGAAAAACAGAGAAGTGCAGACCACTACAGGCTGCAAAGGCCTGGAGGCTCACAGACCTCAAGGAAGAAAGGCCTTTATGGAGAAATAAATTAATGAAGAAGGAAGGGACCGATGTTTAGGCTTTATTTTAAAATCTCAAATGCAAATTGTTCATACTTAATTATGAGTTTGGAATATAATTTCATTTTAAGCGTATAAAATATATTATGAATTTATTTAACGAATTGTAATTTATACCCCTGGCTTAATAATTTTCATACCTAATTCAAAACTTAATAAGCCCAAGGCAGAGGAACAGAGGATAAATTAAGATAATTAAAACTATCAAAGTCAGGGAACCCTCTGTCATACCTGCTGTTTCAGTGATGTCATTAGGAAATGAAACTTTCCAAGTAAGAACTCTCTAATGTCTATGATACGAGTGTTATTTTTGTTATTTTACTTAAATGGAATTATAATCATAAAATTACAAACACATAGTATTTTTTTTCATTTTGAAACTCTCTTAGAAATAACCTAAGAAAAAGTTAAATAGACTTGTTAAAGGTCAACCTAGCTAGGTAGTGGCAGAGTTTACTCTAGAACCTAGGTCTCCAACATCTTTTTTTTTCCCCCTTTTTGAGACAGAGTCTTGCTTTGTCTGCCAGACTGGAGTGCAGTGGCGCAATCTCGGCTCACTGCAACCTCCGCCTCCCAGGTTCAAGTGATTCTCCCACCTCAGCCTCCCAAGTAGCTGGAATTACGGGTGCCCGCCACCAGGCCAGGCTAATTTTTATATCTTTAGCAGAGACGGGGTTTTGCATGTTGGCCAGGCTTGTCTCGAACTCCCGACCTCAAGTGATCAGCCCGCCTTGGCCTCCCAAAGTGCTGGGATTACAGGTGTGAGGCACCGCTCCTGGCCAAGACCAATATTTCTTGACGCTGACTTCAGGAGCTAGAACAGAACTGGTTGGAGCCCAGCTAAACTAAAAAGGTCAGTTTGATTAGAGTGGGTGTGCTCCTAGAGGGGATGTACAAGAAGCATAGCTAGACTTTTTAAATCTCCATTCAAACATTTGAACTTCCTGGTGTAAAATGGGATACAACTGAAGATTCTTGAGAACAGGGATGACAGGATAAAAAGTATTTGAGGAAGAAGATTCTCACCATATTACGTAACATAAACTGGGGGAGGTGGCAGGGTTAGAGAGGCTTATGTTTGTGGGACCGATTTGGTTACTTCTGCAGTGTCCCAGGCAAGAGGTAATTAAGAATCGGTTTTGTGGTTATTCTAATGATTGGGGTCTTGGGTTGTATTGTGGTTCTTTTGGATACGAGAATTAATAAGAAAATTGTACAGATGAATTTCTCATAATTAATTGGGAAGATATTTTGCCAGTTTCTATGGTGCTCTGGGATTTAGAATTGAGAGAAATACTTGTGGAATTATTATTAAGTATTAATAAGCATGAGACGTATAAAAAAGTGTTTACAGTAAATTTAAAATTAGTCACATAAACTCAGTTAAGGTGAAAGTGGGTCTTTTAGCTGTCCACCAAATATGTGATTACAACAACTGGACAGATGTCATTAGAGCATCATCCATATGCTCTATCTTGGACCTGCCAGCTGTCTGAGTCACAGAAGCAGTGTGTAATGATGCTGTGGAATACAACATTGCCTTTATAAACAAAAAGCTACAAAACAAGAATCATTGGTGGTCTATGGAAAAGTGTTGGCAGTCTTTGTTAAGTACAGATAAGGATTTTATTTTTCTTTGAAATTCTGTAATTAAGACAGAAATAATGAAATGATCTGCTGTGAGAAATTACAGCTTTATAAACAAAAATGGCTTCTGTAGACCTTGAAGAGTAGCTCAATAGAAGGAATACTCAGATTGTAAGTTCCAAACTATGGACAAGGAAGGACATGAAGTCCACGGGAGGAACTAAAGGTGTCAAACAATGGTTCTGAAACTGAAGATCGGCACCTCCCTAAACAGGATGCTCTCCTTTTCTCCAACAGCACAGCCAAGGGCAGCAAAGCCTTCTATGTTTACAGAGCCAAAAGGATGCCGAAGGCCCTGGAAGTTGAAAATCAAGACTGGCTGCTGTAAAGCAGACCATCTCAGACGTATTCTCATTCCTGACAAATACCCACCCACCAGCAGGACTGGGAGACACATGGCAACCAGAGCAAGTTGTCAAAACTTATCATTATAAAACGTCCATCTTACAAAAGTACAACCTTTGCTCAGTGCAGTGTTTTCCTTAGAAGACAGCTCTTCTGAGAGCTATAAAAAGGTGGTTAGAATGGGTGAGGTTAGCTCTCGTAGTCTAAGCTAACAATCATGTTAAAAATGTAAAGGTGAATAATGATGGCAGAATGTTTTACAAACAAACAACAACAACAACAAAGAAATTCATTAATTATGTTCCTCTACTTCAAAGAAATTCATAATTTTTAGCACTGCTCTTTTGAGAAAAGAAAATTGCCTGTAAGATCTCTGGCCCTTCTCCTTTAATTTCCTTTCTTACTCCATACCCTCAGGTGGCTAGCCTAGTGCTACATGGCCTAGGCTACACATAAAGTTCACAGCTCTTTGCCTGATCTCCTGATCCTCTATCAAAACAGCACTTTCAAAAGTGTTTCCTGTCTAGCTCTGCCCTTGCGTGAGCGTTTCCTTGGCTGGATCAGCTGCCAAACTAAATCTCTCTGTTAGAAAACTGCGGAGAACTCAATATAGCCCTGTCCCCCTCTCCACCTTAGGCCTGACATCCGGAAGTGACTTAGGAAGTAATTTAATGGTTACCAAATTTTGGGGAACTGATTTAAATTTTCTGTGCTAACCATGTGTTTAGGAGAGACTACATCACTAATCATCACTTGACCTTGTGACAGACCAAAAGTTGCCGATTTTTTTTTCCTGGGGGAAAAAATTCTACCAGCTAGCACGATGATGTAAATGCAAAATCATGTTGTGAGACGACTGCCAATATGCTGGTTTCCAGATGTTTGACAGGACGATGCAGAAACAATACAAAAGAGGGCTAACAGTTTCTGTCACAAACTCTGCTGGGTTACTTGCTTTCTCTCTCTCCATACTTTTTTTATTTTATAAGTGCTGGGGATTGTGTATAGCAGTCAAACGATTCAAACGATTTGGGATAGAGAAGAACGGAAGGTTTGTCCATTGCTTGTTAACCTCTGTCTTTGAAAACACAGAACATTCTCCAAATCTATTATTATTACTCTGTTGAGCAATAACTGCAGGGTGATTTGTCTGAATGTATATCTACTGGTGTCCCACCTTTCACTTAAATAAGCCTGTACATCAAACAAATAAGAAAGGAACTGGAATGGAGCTCTGCATATTTCACTAAGTCTCTCCTCTGCATCTCAGCCGTAGATGAAATCTGATTTAAGTCAAAGCCTAACACGGCCTAGGCTGTCCTCATTGCATGGGCTTCATCTTCATGTACTCATCCTTGACTCACACTATTCCTGGTGGAAGGCTTCCTAAAAGAAAACCAGATTGAGTTGTCAGGTTTACAGTATCAAGGAATCTCTAAAATGAATGGGTTCTTTAAAAGAAAAGCCAAACTTTGGGTAATTACATTCAAACTCCTTAATCACATTTTCTGAGCTCAATGGGAATTGTGGTGTTCTTTGCTGAATGTCTTCCCCAAAGCCACACAAATGCAATACAGTCTTCCTTCAGAGGAAGGCATCCAACAGAATGACTCCTGCTTGGCAGAATGTTAATTTCAAGTATGTACTCCTTAAGTTTTCTTTTTTCACACAGAAGCAGTATGTATGCATTCGTGTGTATATGTATTATTTTTTTTTATATCACCCAACTAACTTTGTAGCCCCCTTCCTCCCTATTCCACTCCCCCAAAAACAGAAAAACAGGATATAGAGGATCTGAGGAGTAATTTTCAAGCATACAGTTTACCAATGATGACAGACATTATTGAAGTTTGGTAATATTTCCTTCTTTCCCACCTCTGGGCATACAAGATAGCTGTACTTCCCCATCCTCTTAAAGTTCTAGCCTGGTAGTCTGCAACAGAACTTTCTACGATGATAAAAATGTTCTAAACCTTGTACTGTCTAATATGATAATGTGGCTAGTGCAACTGAGAAAATGAATTATACATTTTATCTTCATTATTTTAAATCTAAATTTAAAAAAATACAGCTAGTGGCTATTGTATTGGACAGCACAATTATAGCTCATGAGTTGTAAGCAGAAGTGACCACCATGAGATGTCCAGTGTCCCCTTATCCCTGCTCACTCACACATCACATCAGTAATATAAAACCCTCACTTACACGAGAAAACACTCTTATATTTATAAACCTAATGGTTACCTAGAATAACTCAGTGGTGAAGCCTTCGCTAACCTGGCTCCTTGAATGGAGATAACATGGAATAGAGACCCCTCAATCTGCGACGGACAATATTCAGCAATAATTTAGCCAGAAAAGTCACTAAATGTACAAGAAAGAAAATAGAGAAGTACTGATACTTGCGAAGACCAAATATTACCCATGAAAATGTCAAGAAGCTCCTACTGCATGTGTGTAGCTGGTAGTGAAGTGGAAGAGATGCAGCTGCTGAGATGTATCCTTTTTTTTCTCTCTTTTTTCTTTTGTTTATGTTTCGAGATGTATCCTAATTTAAATGCAATCTAAAACTTAAGTGCCTGTGACGAAGGGTGTATAACCTTGGGCGTTCTACTACCCGCTTGGAAAAATAACCCAGAAAGAAATCTTAACACATTTTGTATTCTTGTTACCATGTAAGACATTCCTGTATTCAAAGTAGTAATGATACGGTTGTAATATTTTTCCCACAAAGAAAAATCCCCTAGTCGTGAAAGAGTTAAGAGAGACCAAAATTAGACACAGTTCATGTTAAAGGTTACAAGAATAATCAGTCATTTGAAAAACACTACATAAACATTTTTCCGGATGCAATTTTCAGTCCAAGGATACATTTCCCAGTAGAAATCAGCAGCTAAAAAGGAAATCATTTCGTCTCCATAAGTGCCAAATTGTATCCTGATTTTTCCTGGTCTGGCTCAACTTTCAAAACTAGTGGTTCAACTTCTGCAATCTTTCACCCAATGACTATATAAACACATCTTTATAAAACAGACATAATCCTTGGGTGGGCCAATTTATGTTGGATTATGAAAATACTTAAAATACAAAATCATATAATGACTATTGTCCTTCGGTTTTTCACTAAAAGGAAAGAAAAACCTATTTAACATAGGCAGTGGTTCACGTGCGATAACATGACACATATACACTGCTCTTTTTTTCTAATGTCTCTGAAAATAAGTATCACTGACAATTCAGTAAAGGATTGCCTCACATTTTCTCAAGGTGATATGTAAATTCAGAATTTGCAAATATACTTCTGATGTACCCACATGCCACAACGCACACACAATTCTAATGAATTAAACTGCTCACAACGGGCAAGGAAAAATTCTCACCCTTGGAAGTATTTTGGATCTTCTGTATTCGGTCAGAGGTTATAGAAACATTAGTTTTAAGGATAAAGTAATCTTAAGTAAAAAGCAAAAGATTCATTCACAATTTATTACTGCTTCCAATTCACATACATTTCACATTACTCAGAATTCCCAATAACACAATTCAAGTAGAATCTCAACTCCATAGCTAGAAGAAATCGTAAATTTTAAATCTTTGTGGAAAGGTAAACTCTGTTTTTTCACTTCTTCCTTGAAATTCTACAGCTTTTATAAGTCAACTACAAAAGGTATCATGAAAAGCCTATCTTCAGCATTTAGCATGAGGAGGGGAAGAATTTTAACTTTTCCTCTAATGGATAAAGTTACGTAAAAGAAGACATTTTGGAAGTCTTTGGAGAATGCAGTATAAATCATAGCTGTAAGATCTGGAAAAGTCTGGTTGAACATTAAGAGATTTCCACATCTGTATCTATACATTCCCATCTTGGGAATAGTGTATGTCCAAAACCATTCACAGAAAAATGTTGTAAAGTACTCTGTTGGTGAGCAAAACTTAAGAGTTGCAATCACAAACATTTCATTTTCATCATAGATTATTGATAATTACACAATCAAATATCCATAAAATTATATTGATAAAAATTTTTTTTGTCAATATTCTAAAAGCCATAACAAAGCAATGAATTTAAAATAGCTTATTTCTAGGAACTTTTTATAGTTTATAGCATAACTCTATGAATAATTTTCTGATGCCTAGATTAGTCCTTCATCCTTGCTCTGAGAAAACAAATATGTCATTGAAGCAATATGACCACACTATAAGAAAGGACACAGAATAATGCACATTTTCTTTCACAGGCTGAGAGAGGCTGATGAATGTTACACTTCTCTAATTCACAAAATTTATCTGAATACAAGGACATATTAGGAAAGCATTTTCGTGTTCAAGTGAGTAGCTCTGCCCAAACCAGTATGAAGTATTTAATTAAATATTTTCGTTTAGCTATAATGGCAACATAAAACTTTTAAGTATTTGCCAAAATTAGAAAATCTCTAGTTCTTCTGAAAAATATACACATACCTAGACATTCAAAACTAAAAATTAAAGGTTGATTATTTAAATCTATCTTTTTAGTTCAAATATTTTGCATTCCTTTCTGATTTAAAACACTCTCCTATGAAAGCCACCATTATTTATAAGTGAAGAAAGAAAAGGGAATTTGTCTTACATCTCCCCACTCCTCACTTTGCCATTGTCACCTGTATCTATTTCCAGGAAGCCAATATTCATTAGGGTTAATCTGCCTACTAAATGAATAAACAAAGGATTTCTCTGTCACTAAGAGGCCAGGTGAGCCGATAGCATCTTCTAACACAGAAAATCATCTGTACCATACAGCTCAGGAAATTACCTGCTGCAATCCCACACCTGGGATCACTTGGCAGGCAGACCCATAATGCTGAGTAATATATGGAAAATGAACTATAACCATTTTTTCAAAGGGCTGACAAATCTCTCATATTTCAAAACTGAAAAACAGTTTAATATGATTAACTACATAACTCACTAGGGAAAAATAGTGAAAAAATATCAAGAAATGCTTCCACATTTTTCCCCTAAACAATAACAGGGTATGTAAGAAATGATGCCAAAATACTAACATGCAGTGAAATATGAATAACTGGTACAAGAATGCCAATACTTCTATGGATCTCTACGATCTTAAAAATAAGAACAGTTCTACAATAGAATGTAGTTAACAAACTAAATAAAAAGATGCATTGTTATATTATAATCCCTACTTTTATAGACTGACAAATTCAGATCAAGTAAAAGCTATATCTTGGTGGCTCGAGATACCAGGAAAAGAACCCAAGGGCAATTATTTGTTAATAGATTAATGGTATTATCACTTCATGTTTCATTTTGTGGAGGAGAATCCCAGGTTTTATTGTCCTGTAGAAATAATTTTTCCAGCTAAAGAAGCCAATAGGAAACCATTGGTGTTAAATAAACAAACACAAAATGAGTAAAAGAAATGAGATCAAAGATATCTGACTTCCCTCCAAATGTTAAATAATAAAAACATATATATGTATATATATATATCTCTCTCCTAGATACAAGTTTGAAATAACATTTGATAGCTGAAAACCATGTAGTATAAGCACATAAAAGAACTGATTTGATTAGAACTGGTTTGAAGATCAATTTGATTAGACACATGAGACTATGGCAACAAAACTCATTCACAAAACATGAAAACAAATAGTGATTAGTGGTCATTCTTCTCTCAAAATTATGTTCAGTTCTACAGAAGGTCTTGGGTGTCACAGAGAATGAAATAAAACTAAATATGTCAGCATATATGCCAATGAGAATCAACCAATATGCACAGGATTTATTTCTTTATTCAACTTTTAATAATATGTTTGCAGAGAAAAAGGAGCCAAACTATTAATACTGGGCAGATTACGGATCACTTTACAGAGGCACTACAAGTAGAGAATTAAAAGACTTAGGTCTTCTGGGACTGAGTACCCCCACTCCCCCCCAATAAAAATTAAAATAGGAAAAAAAAAAGACTTAGAAAAAGGGTTAGTCAACATTTAATGACTGCCCACTCCATGTAAGGCCCCATACCAAATAGGGCTGGGTTTGCTCAAGGGTGATAAAAAACAGATAGGGTCTTTGTCTATAGTATATATTATCATTATTATTTTTGAAAATCCTTTCTTAGCTTCACAGGGGTTCCCTGGTTGTTTTTATACTGAATATGTCCGAGTTATATCAAATACTACAAAACTATTGAGAGGTGTGTCCATCTGGGGGAACAGCGATATTGGCAGGGAAGCAGTGGAGGTGTGGGGCACCAGGTCACATATATGCTGCACCTAAGGAAATGTAGTGTAGAGAGAAATTAAAGAAGACTTACCCAGTGGCTGGGTGTGGTGGATCATGCCTGTAATCCTAGCACCTTGGGAGGCCAAGGTGGGTGGGTCACCTAAGGTCAGGAGTTGGAGACCAGCCTAGCCAACACAGTGAAACCCCGTCTCTACCAAAAGTACAAAAAATCAGTTGGACATGGTGGTGGGCGCCTGTAGTCCCAGCTACTTGGGAGGCTGAAGCAGGAGAATCACTTAAACCAGGGAGGAGGAGGTTGCAGTGAGCCAAGATCGCACCATTGCACTCCAGCCTGGGCAACAAAAGCAAAACTCCATCTCAAAAAAAAAAAAAAAAGACTTACCCATAATGTGGAATCTTTCACAGTCTTTATCTCTTGGGTCAAGTTTTCTGAGATAAGCCATTTAAACATAAATCAAAGTAAATGCAAACTGTATGTGAATTCCAATAGCCATCAGCTTACATTGCTGTATTGACAACAGATGCTAAATATATGAACATCATATATACATATTCTTGAATTTATTTTTGCTGAGATGGTTTTTTGTTTTGTTTTGTTTTTTGTCTATGTGGGAAAATTCAGCATGTGAGTTTAAGGAAATGTATATGATTTCCCTTTCAAGATCCTACAAAAACATATGGGAGCAAGATAATGTTTGTTCTGACCTGCCAAAATCCTGTGGAGATCATCTCGAATCCACATCACATTCCTGAGTACTAATGCTCACACGGGGCTTTTGCATTAGCAGATGTGTGAAAATGCATGTACTCAGAGAATTCCCTCATGGCTTCCTATCTAAAGAAGCTCCTCTACAACAGCTCTTCCAGCCAAATGCTGAAATGACATCTCCAAGTTCAGTATACCTTCATTTAAGCCAGTGTCTGGATGGAAAAAATTCAACTGAAAGGTTTGTTATCTGGCTCAAAACCAAGGGCAGCCTGAGTGAATGTGAGACAGATTTTCAGAAGGCCTCCTATATTCTACTTCTAATCCTCAAGTCATATCAGAGACTCTAGTAAATTTTTACTTATTCACATCACAATTTCTAGCAATCAGATTTCACCATTTCAAATGCGTCACTGGAAGATGCATGTGTATGATTTTAGTTGTGATTAAAACTGGGGGAAGGGAGACTGTTCAATACTCTTCCTATTTCAGCTGTGGCAAGACTATGCTGAAAATATTAAGAAAATCAATCTATCTTTGCATACTTTCTCTTAAATTTTCTTTTGTAAAAATCATATGTTTTTGGCCGGGCACAGTGGCTCACGCCTGTAATCCCAGCATTTTGGGAGGATGAGGCGGGTGGATCACGATGTCAGGAGTTCAAGACCAGCCTGACCAAGATGTTGAAACCCCGTCTCTACTAAAAATCCAAAAATTAGCCAGGCGTGGTGGCAGGCGCCTGTAATCCCAGCCACTTGGGAGGCTGAGGCAGAGAACTGCTTGAACCCGGGAGGCGGAAATTGCAGTGAGCTGAGATCATGCCACTGCACTCCAGCCTGGGTGACACGGCAAGACTCCGTCTCACACACACACACATATAAAATAGATGTTTTTGAGCCTTATAATAACACAGGCTCACCAAAGAAAACTTTGGAAAAACTTTAAAGAAGAAAATTAAAACTGTTCATAATCCTATCACTTGGAGGTTAAACACTATTTACAATTTGATCTGTTTCCTTCGTGTCATCCATGAATGAATACCATAAAGTTGTATAAATCCACAACTGCATAATTTTTCATAATACTTTTTGCACAGTTTTGTACTCTTCTAAGTTCATTAAAATGCAAAGCAGTGGTTACAATCTTAAATAGACAAAAGCATTAAAGAAGGGGGAAAAGAGGACACCTAGAAATGTTAACAGGTATATTTTATTCTACGATGATACTCTAACAATTATGACTATCTATATATCAAATAATACAATGTTGACATCATATAGCAAAACTATAGAATATAAGGAAAAATACAGAAAAATATTATTAGCATGAGATTTTAACTTCATGATTTTTAACTCCATAACAGCTGATATATCTATATATCTACATCTCTAGCTCTCTCTCTCAGAAAGCATGTAACGTAACCAATGAGGTAAATCTAACTGTTGAAATTGCAACTCTGTATGCTGAAAAGAGAAAATAAACCCCTTTTTTTCAAGTGCCCATGAAACCTTTACAAAAATCATGAAATATTTTTGCTAAAATATAAAATTTGATCAAACCAATCTCCCAGATCTAATAAACAATTTATAGGAAATTTTAGGAACAAAAGGACACCAAGAGATCAACAGAATTCAGTCTGTGGGAAATGCTATAAGATAAATGTCCCGGTTTCCTTAATAAATAAACTATAAAGTAGTAAAAACAAGGAGATGGAGGATAAACTTACATATTAAAAGAGTCTTATGAAATATATCAACCAATTGCAATGTATAAGTCTTATGTGAAACATGATTTTAAAAATGAGATAGAGAAATTTAACATGAACTGGAGATTTGATATCACATTATTATTGTTAATCTTCTCAGGCATGATAATACTTTGTTTTTTAAAAAAAAGTCCTTATTTTTAGAGATATGTACTAAAATATTTACAAATGAAGTATCATGACATCTGGATTTGCTTCAAAATAATATGGTAGAGTAGCGGGGTAGCATATAAAACTAGTTTGGTGATGGGTTGCTAAGTGTCAAAACTACCTGATTTTCAGGGATACATCAGGCTATTCACTCTATATCTGCATATATTTGAAATGTTTCATAATAAGGAGTTAAAGGGAAAAGCGAGCATGAATGTGTATATGCACACACACATTAAAAACTGCTCATAGCAAATATAGTTATTCTTTTGAGGAGGTGTTTTAAGGGAAAGGAAAGATATGGGTTTGTAGCTGATATCGCATTTACAACAGAACACCATTTATTCATTTTTATTTAAATTTCTCCTTTGTGTAGACAGATGTCACATAATGTTAGCAATTGTTGAATCCAGTGAAAATGTTTATATAATCACTGTACTATATTTAAAATTTTCTGTAAGTTTGAAATTTTTCACAATAAAATGTTGTGAAATTCCTACTTATTGTCAAGTTAAAAAGTTATCTTAGCAATTCTTGCCTGTATACTTTCAGATACACTAAAGAATAATTTTATCAATATTGTAAATCCACTGGCATTTTGACTGGGATTGCATAAAAGTTCTGAATTAATTTCAAAATACCTTCAATTGTTAAAATAATCAGTCTCCTTATTCAGAACATGATATATTGTTAATTCATGTAAATAATTTTTTAATCACTCTGTAGAATTTCATAGTTTTCTTTACATAGGTTCTATATCTTTCTTCTTAGGGTTATTCCTAAGTATTTTATATTTTCTGGTACTATCAGGAGTGAAATATTCTAAAGAATTCAACCGTCTAATTAGCTTTCACTTGTTTATAGAAATAGTATGAATGTTTTACATATTTACCAAGTGTCTGATCTGTTGATAAGTTCAAAGATAATGCTCTTGAATTTTCTAAGTGAAAAAATTATATTGTCTGTAAATGGTGATTTTGTAGTTACAGCTCTTCTTTTTTTATATATATATATTACTGCCTTGTCTGGAATATCTACATCTAGAGTAATTGTATAATGGTTTTAGTATGATTGCCTCTTTCATGATTTTAGGAGGAATGCCAAGAGTATTTCATATTAAATATGATGTCGGTTTTTGGTTTAAGATAGCTATTATTTATTATTTAAAGAAGACATCTTTCTATTTCTAGTTATCTCAGAATAAATCTCATAAATAAATGCTGAATTTTATCAAATGCCCTTTCAGCATCTAATGACACTATCATGTTTTCTTCGTGGACCAACAAATACTATACATTACAATAATATATTTTATAATATGGGATAAATCACATTTGGTCATGGTAGGTGATTCTTTTACTGTAACATTCAATTTGGTTTGTTGGTATTTTATTTGCTATTTCTGAATCTAAATTCATATGTAAGATTGCTACATAGCTCTCTTTTATGTATGTTATGTTTGTTAGGTTTTAGTCATTCATTTTTAAAAGCCTCTCTGAGAGGGGATTAGAAAAACCCTGTCCTCAATAGGTGTTAAAAAGTTCCTCAATGCTAATGCTATTTATTATGAAGTAGGAAAAGGCAAGAGGCCACAGCCTGCAAGCACAAAGGTGAGATAATGGCTTCCGCATCACTTAACTGTCAGCCTTGCTTAGTGTGAAGTGTTGTGTCTAGAGACTCCCAACCAACCATCCATTTAAAAATATATAGAATATTAAAGTAATTGACAAACACAGAAACTGTCAACGTTTTGGAAGATAATTTAAAAAGCAAAATGCATTTTGGGGGTAGTGTTAGTATGCAATAAGAAACAAAAAAAAAACCAGATTAGGCAAAAAACAATATCTATTTCAAATATCAGCACCAGAATCCTGCGAAGTTAGTCCCCATATTGGTAAAGGTTATTGAACATTTCTACACCTCAAGGTCTGTCTATGCTTTTGTCACAACAAAAGGCTGCTCTCTCTTGCCAAAAAAAACAGGAATGTGTAGCCTAGCAAGACAGAAACTTTTAGACAATAATTGCTTCTCTCTACCCAAACGCCACACAAAAACTTGCAGCACCCCCACCACCCACAGTGGGAAAGGCCAAGTAGGGAGCCCAGACTCCACCCTTGAGAGGCTATGACAAGGTGCCCAACACCTCCACAGGGGTGGTGTTGGAGAAGGCTAAGTACAGTCAGGACTTTCATCCCTATCTGCTGTTAACAAGAACCACCTCCTAACACACACGTGCAGTTTTGGTGCAGGACAAATGGGGAGTCTGGATTTTCACCCCTGCTTGGCAGTAAGGAGGCACCACTCCTTCTCTCCACTGGGGTGCTTATGAAAGAGGTCTAGGGGAGAATCCCTTTTTGGACTTTGACTGTATCATCCAGCACTAATGCACTGTCATTGGAGACTACGTTGGGAGCCGGGACTTCCATCTCTCCCAAGTAGTAACCTGATTGGGTGGTAACAGTAGTGTGGTAAGGAACCTGGGCTTCTACCTCCACCTGGCAGAAACGAGGTAGAACATCCTACTTCCCCTGCCATTGTGATACCAGAGAAAGCCCCTTAAAACCGAAGGTTTAAGTACAATTCATATCATAGGGAAATGCCCAGCTTTCAACTGAAAATGATTCAACATACTTCCAGCCAGCAAGATATCATAACAAATGAAAAAAAGACAATCAATAGATATCAACACCAAGATGACAGAGATCCTAAAATTATCTGACAAAGACTTTCAAAGCAGCCATGATAAAAATGTTTCAATGAGTAATTATGAACATGCTAGAAACACATAAAAAATGAAAATGAAAGAAATGTAAACTTTGGGTAATAATAATATATCACTTGTCAATGTAGGTTCATCAGTTATAGCAAATATACTACTCTGGTGGGGGATCTTGATAACAGGCGAGGCTATGCATGTAGGGGGTGGCAGGGAGTATATGGAAATCTCCCCACCTTCTGCTTAATTTTGCTGGGAACCTAACTAAAATTGCTCTAAAAAACCCCAAAGCCTCATCAAAGAAATAGAAAGTCTTAGCAAACAAGTAAAAGATATAAAAAAGAATGAAGTGGAATTTTTATTTACTTATTTACTTATTCATTTTTGAGACAGGGGCTTGCTGTGTCACTCAAGCTGGATTGCAGTGGTGTGATCATAGCTCACTACAGCCTCAAACTCTGGGCTCAAGCAATTCTCCTTCCCTCGGCCTCCCTAGTAGTTGGGTCTACAGGTGCAAGCCACTGCACCCAGCTAATTTTTAATTTTTTCTTGTAGACACAGGGCCTTGCTTTGTTGCCCCAGCTGGTCTCCAACTCCTGGCTTCAAGCAATTCTCCTGCCTCAGACTTCCAGAGTGCTTGGATTACAAGTGTGAGCCATCATACCTGGCCTCAAAAGAAAATTTTAGAACTGAAAAATACAATAACTAAAATAAAAAGCTAAGTGGATGCGTTCAGTAACAGAATGAAGAGGCACAGAAAGAATTAGTAAACTGTAACATGGAGCAATAGAAATTACCCAGTCTGAATAACAGGGGCTCAGGGATCTGTGAGATTATAATGAAATATGTAGCATTTCTATCCCTTTAAGCCCGAAAGGAGTGGAGAAAGGGTGTGGGTTGGCAAAGTATTTGAAAAATAATGCTTGAATAATATCCACACTTTTAAGAGACATAAATTGACACATTAAAGAAGCTAAATCCTGAACTTCAAACAGGAAACTTCCAAAGAAGCCCACTAGAAGACACATCATAGGTAAACTTCTGAAAATGAAAGACAAAGAAAAAATCTTGAAAGCAGTGAGAGAAAAATGGCACTTTACCTATATGGGAAAAAAACTTCAATTAACATCACATTTGTCATCAGAAAACACGGAGGCTCAAAGAAAGTAACACAATATTTTTTTCTGAGTACAAAGGAAAAGAACTATGAACCTTGAATCCTATACCCAGCCATAATATCACTCAGTAATAAAGGGGAAATCAAACCATTTTCACATGAAGGAAGACTAAGAATTTGTTGCCAGTGGACTTACTCTAAAAGAATGACTAAAGGAAGATCTCTTAACAAAGGGAAAACAAATGAAGAAGTAACTGTGGAACAGTAGGAAGGAAGAAAAAACATAGTAAGCAAAAACATGGTTAAATACTATAAGCTTTTCTTCTCCTCCTAAGTTTTCTAAATTATGTGTGAGAGTTGAGGCAAAAACAACACTCTTTGATGTGGTTCTAAATGCATGTAAGAGAATGTTTAAGATAATTATATTATAAATCAGGATGGTAAAGGGACATAAACGGAAGAAGGGCTACACTCAAATTGGTGAAATAGTGATACCAGTAGACTGTGATAAGTTAGGTATACATAATGCAATATACATATATTGGCCACTAATAAAGATACATAAAGGATCATAATTTTTATTTTATTTTATTTATTTATTTATTTATTTATTTATTTTTTTATTATACTTTAAGTTTTAGGGTACATGCGCACATTGTGCAGGTTAGTTACATATGTATACATGTGCCATGCTGGTGCGCTGCACCCACTAACTCGTTATCTAGCATTAGGTATATCTCCCAATGCTATCCCTCCCCCCTCCCCCTACCCTACCACAGTCCCCAGAGTGTGATATTCCCCTTCCTGTGTCCATGTGATCTCATTGTTCAATTCCCACCTATGAGTGAGAATATGCGGTGTTTGGTTTTTTGTTCTTGCGATAGTTTACTGAGAATGATGATTTCCAATTTCATCCATGTCCCTACAAAGGACATGAACTCATCATTTGTTATGGCTGCATAGTATTCCATGGTGTATATGTGCCACATTTTCTTAATCCGGTCTATCATTGTTGGACATTTGGGTTGGTTCCAAGTCTTTGCTATTGTGAATAATGCCGCAATAAACATACGTGTGCATGTGTCTTTATAGCAGCATGATTTATAGTGCTTTGGGTATATACCCAGTAATGGGATGGCTGGGTCAAATGGTATTTCTAGTTCTAGATCCCTGAGGAATCGCCACACTGACTTCCACAATGGTTGAACTAGTTTACAGTCCCATCAACAGTGTAAAAGTGTTCCTGTTTCTCCACATCCTCTCCAGCACCTGCTGTTTCCTGACTTTTTAATGATTGCCATTCTAACTGGTGTGAGATGGTATCTCATTGTGGTTTTGACTTGCATTTCTCTGATGGCCAGTGATGATGAGCATTTTTTCATGTGTTTTTTGGCTGCATAAATGTCTTCTTTTGAGAAGTGTCTGTTCATGTCCTTTGCCCACTTTTTGATGGGGTTGTTTGTTTTTTTCTTGTAAATTTGTTTGAGTTCATTGTAGATTCTGGGTATTAGCCCTTTGTCAGATGAGTAGGTTGCAAAAATTTTCTCCAATTTTGTAGGTTGCCTGTTGACTCTGATGGTAGTTTCTTTTGCTGTGCAGAAGCTCTTTAGTTTAATTAGATTCCATTTGTCAATTTTGTCTTTTGTTGCCATTGCTTTTGGTGTTTTGGACATGAAGTCTTTGCCCATGCCTATGTCCTGAATGGTAATGCCTAGGTTTTCTTCTAGGGTTTTTATGGTTTTAGGTCTAACGTTTAAGTCTTTAATCCATCTTGAATTGATTTTTGTATAAGGTGTAAGGAAGGGATCCAGTTTCAGCTTTCTACATATGGCTAGCCAGTTTTCCCAGCACCATTTATTAAATAGGGAATCCTTTCCCCATTGCTTGTTTTTCTCAGATTTGTCAAAGATCAGATAGTTGTAGATATGAGGCGTTATTTCTGAGGGCTCTGTTCTGTTCCATTGATCTATATCTTTGTTTTGGTACCAGTACCATGCTGTTTTGGTTACTGTAGCCTTGTAGTATAGTTTGAAGTCAGGTAGTGTGATGCCTCCAGCTTTGTTCTTTTGGCTTAGGATTGCCTTGGCGATGCGGGCTCTTTTTTGGTTCCATATGAACTTTAAAGTAGTTTTTTCCAATTCTGTGAAGAAAGTCATTGGTAGCTTTATGGGGATAGCATTGAATCTGTAAATTACCTTGGGCAGTATGGCCATTTTCACGATATTGATTCTTCCTACCCATGAGCATGGAATGTTCTTCCATTTGTTTGTATCCTCTTTTATTTCCTCGAGCAGTGGTTTGTAGTTCTCCTTGAAGAGGTCCTTCACATCCCTTGTAAGTTGTATTCCTAGGTATTTTATTCTCTTTGAAGCAATTGTGAATGGGAGTTCACTCATGATTTGGCTCTCTGTTTGTCTGTTGTTGGTGTATAAGAATGCTTGTGATTTTGGTACATTGATTTTGTATCCTGAGACTTTGCTGAAGTTGCTTATCAGCTTAAGGAGATTTTGGGCTGAGACAATGGGGTTTTCTAGATATACAATCATGTCATCTGCAAACACGGACAATTTGACTTCCTCTTTTCCTAATTGGATACCCTTTATTTCCTTCTCCTGCCTAATTGCCCTGGCCAGAACTTCCAACACTATGTTGAATAGGAGTGGTGAGAGAGGGCATCCCTGTCTTGTGCCAGTTTTCAAAGGGAATGCTTCCAGTTTTTGCCCATTCAGTATGATATTGGCTGTGGGTTTGTCATAGATAGCTCTTATTATTTTGAAATACATCCCATCAATACCTAATTTCTTGAGAGTTTTTAGCATGAAGGGTTGTTGAATTCTGTCAAAGGCCTTTTCTGCATCTATTGAGATAATCATGTGGTTTTTGTCTTTGGCTCTGTTTATATGCTGGATTACATTTATTGATTTGCGTATATTGAACCAGCCTTGCATCCCAGGGATGAAGCCCACTTGATCATGGTGGATAAGCTTTTTGATGTGCTGCTGGATTCGGTTTGCCAGTATTTTATTGAGGATTTTTGCATCAATGTTCATCAAGGATATTGGTCTAAAATCCTCTTTTTTGGTTGTGTCTCTGCCCGGCTTTGGTATCAGAATGACACTGGCCTCATAAAATGAGTTAGGGAGGATTCCCTCTTTTTCTATTGATTGGAATAGTTTCAGAAGGAATGGTACCAGTTCTTCCTTGTACCTCTGGTAGAATTCGGCTGTGAATCCATCTGGTCCTGGACTCTTTTTTGTTGGTAAACTATTGATTATTGCCACAATTTCAGCTCCTGTTATTGGTCTATTCAGAGATTCAACTTCTTCCTGGTTTAGTCTTGGGAGAGTGTATGTGTCGAGGAATTTATCCATTTCTTCTAGATTTTCTAGTTTATTTGCGTAGAGGTGTTTGTAGTATTCTCTGATGGTAGTTTGTATTTCTGTGGGATCGGTGGTGATATCCCCTTTATCATTTTTTATTGTGTCTATTTGATTCTTCTCTCTTTTTTTCTTTATTAGTCTTGCTAGCGGTCTATCAATTTTGTTGATCCTTTCAAAAAACCAGCTCCTGGATTCATTAATTTTTTGAAGGGTTTTTTGTGTCTCTATTTCCTTCAGTTCTGCTCTGATTTTAGTTATTTCTTGCCTTCTGCTAGCTTTTGAATGTGTTTGCTCTTGCTTTTCTAGTTCTTTTCATTGTGATGTTAGGGTGTCAATTTTGGATCTTTCCTGCTTTCTCTTGTGGGCATTTAGTGCTATAAATTTCCCTCTACACACTGCTTTGAATGCGTCCCAGAGATTCTGGTATGTTGTTTCTTTGTTCTCGTTGGTTTCAAAGAACATCTTTATTTCTGCCTTCATTTCGTTATGTATCCAGTAGTCATTCAGGAGCAGGTTGTTCAGTTTCCATGTAGTTGAGCGGTTTTGAGTGAGATTCTTAATCCTGAGTTCTAGTTTGATTGCACTGTGGTCTGAGAGATAGTTTGCTATAATCTCTGTTCTTTTACATTTGCTGAGGAGAGCTTTACTTCCAAGTATGTGGTCAATTTTGGAATAGGTGTGGTGTGATGCTGAAAAAAATGTATATTCTGTTGATTTCGGGTGGAGAGTTCTGTAGATGTCTATTAGGTCCGCTTGGTGCAGAGCTGAGTTCAATTCCTGGGTATCCTTGTTGACTTTCTGTCTCGTTGATCTGTCTAATGTTGACAGTGGGGTGTTAAAGTCTCCCATTATTAATGCGTGGGAGTCTAAGTCTCTTTGTAGGTC
Source organism: Homo sapiens (assembly GCF_000001405.40). Taxonomy (NCBI): domain Eukaryota; kingdom Metazoa; phylum Chordata; class Mammalia; order Primates; family Hominidae; genus Homo; species Homo sapiens. The sequence goes on along the minus strand of NC_000017.11, from coordinate 61,112,598 downwards.
ACTCAGGACTTGCTTTATGAATCTGGGTGCTCCTGTATTGGGTGCATATATATTTAGGATAGTTAGCTCTTCTTGTTGAATTGATCCCTTTACCATTATGTAATGGCCTTCTTTGTCTCTTTTGATCTTTGTTGGTTTAAAGTCTGTTTTATCAGAGACTAGGATTGCAATCCCTGCCTTTTTTTGTTTTCCATTTGCTTGGTAGATCTTCCTCCATCCTTTTATTTTGAGCCTATGTGTGTCTCTGCACGTGAGATGGGTTTCCTGAATACAGCACACTGATGGGTCTTGACTCTTTATCCAATTTGCCAGTCTGTGTCTTTTAATTGGAGAATTTAGTCCATTTACATTTAAAGTTAATATTGTTATGTGTGAATTTGATCCTGTCATTATGACGTTAGCTGGTGATTTTGCTCGTTAGTTGATGCAGTTTCTTCCTAGTCTCGATGGTCTTTACATTTTGGCATGATTTTGCAGCAGCTGGTACTGGTTGTTCCTTTCCATGTTTAGCGCTTCCTTCAGGAGCTCTTTTAGGGCAGGCCTGGTGGTGACAAAATCTCTCAGCATTTGCTTGTCTGTAAAGGATTTTATTTCTCCTTCACTTATGAAGCTTAGTTTGGCTGGATATGAAATTCTGGGTTGAAAATTCTTTTCTTTAAGAATGTTGAATATTGGCACCCACTCTCTTCTGGCTTGTAGGGTTTCTGCCGAGAGATCCGCTGTTAGTCTGATGGGCTTCCCTTTGAGGGTAACCTGACCTTTCTCTCTGGCTGCCCTTAACATTTTTTCCTTCATTTCAACTTTGGTGAATCTGACAATTATGTGTCTTGGAGTTGCTCTTCTCGAGGAGTATCTTTGTGGTGTTCTCTGTATTTCCTGAATCTGAACGTTGGCCTGCCTTGCTAGATTGGGGAAGTTCTCCTGGATAATATCCTGCAGAGTGTTTTCCAACTTGGTTCCATTCTCCCCATCACTTTCAGGTACACCGATCAGACGTAGATTTGGTCTTTTCACATAGTCCCATATTTCTTGGAGGCTTTGCTCATTTCTTTTTATTCTTTTTTCTCTAAACTTCCCTTCTCGCTTCATTTCATTCATTTCATCTTCCGTCGCTGATACCCTTTCTTCCAGTTGATCGCATTGGCTCCTGAGGCTTCTGCATTCTTCACGTAGTTCTCGAGCCTTGGTTTTCAGCTCCATCAGCTCCTTTAAGCACTTCTCTGTATTGGTTATTCTAGTTATACATTCTTCTAAATTTTTTTCAAAGTTTTCAACTTCTTTGCCTGTGGTTTGAATGTCCTCCCGTAGCTCAGAGTAATTCGATCGTCTGAAGCCTTCTTCTCTCAGCTTGTCAAAGTCATTCTCCATCCACCTTTGTTCCGTTGCTGGTGAGGAACTGCGTTCCTTTGGAGGAGGAGAGACGCTCTGCGTTTTAGAGTTTCCAGTTTTTCTGTTCTGTTTTTTCCCCATCTTTGTGGTTTTATCTACTTTTGGTCTTTGATGATGGTGATGTACAGATGGGTTTTCGGTGTGGATGTCCTTTCTGTTTGTTAGTTTTCCTTCTAACAGACAGGACCCTCAGCTGCAGGTCTGTTGGAATACCCTGCTGTGTGAGGTGTCAGTGTGCCCCTGCTGGGGGGTGCCTCCCAGTTAGGCTGCTGAGGGGTCAGGGACCCACTTGAGGAGGCAGTCTGCCCGTTTTCAGATCTCCAGCTGCGTGCTGGGAGAACCACTGCTCTCTACAAAGCTGTCAGACAGGGACATTTAAGTCTGCAGAGGTTACTGCTGTCTTTTTGTTTGTCTGTGCCCTGCCCCCAGAGGTGGAGCCTACAGAGGCAGGCAGGCCTCCTTGAGCTGTGGTGGGCTCCACCCAGTTGGAGCTTCCCGGCTGCTTTGTTTACCTAAGCAAGCCTGGGCAATGGCGGGCGCCCCTCCCCCAGCCTCGCTGCCGCCTTGCAGTTTGATCTCAGACTGCTGTGCTAGCAATCAGCGAGACTCCGTGGGCGTAGGACCCTCCCAGCCAGGTGCGGGATATAATCTCGTGGTGCGCCGTTTTTTAAGCCGGTCCGAAAAGCGCAATATTCAGGTGGGAGTGACCCAATTATCCAGGTGCGTCCGTCACCCCTTTCTTTGACTCGGAAAGGGAACTCCCTGACCCCTTGCGCTTCCCAAGTGAGGCAATGCCTCGCCCTGCTTCGGCTTGCGCACGGTGCGCGCACCCACTGACCTGCGCCCACTGTCTGGCACTCCCTAGTGAGATGAACCCGGTACCTCAGATGGAAATGCAGAAATCACCCATCTTCTGCGTCGCTCACGCTGGGAGCTGTATACTGGAGCTGTTCCTATTCGGCCATCTTGGCTCCTCCCCCCATAATTTTTAAAACTATACATAAAAACTCTTCAACAAATGGTGCTAGGATAATTGGCAAGCCACATGTAGAAGAATGAAACTGCATGCTCTTCTCTCACCTTATATTTAATACAAAAATCAACTCAAGATGGATTAAAGACTTAAATCTAAGACCTGAAACCATAAAGATTCTAGAAGATAACATCAGAAGAAACCCTTCTAGACATTGGCTTAGGCAAATACTTCATGACCAAGAACCCAAGAGCAAATGCAACAAAAACAAAGATAAATAGATGGGAATTAATTAAACTAAAAAGCTTCTGCACAGCAAAAGAAATAATTAGCCAAGTTAACATACAACCCACAGAGTGGGAGAAAATCTTCACAATCTATACATCTGACAAAGGACTAATTTCCAGAATCTACAAAGAACTCCAACAAATCAGCAAAACAAACCCAAACAATCACATCAAAAAGTGGGTTAAGGATGTGAAAAGACAATTCTCAAAAGAAGATATACAAATGGCCAACAAGCATATGGAAAAATGCTCAACATCACTATGGAAACGCAAATCAAAACCACAGTGCAATACCACCTCACTCCTGCAAGAATGGCCATAATCAAAAAATTAAAAAATAATAGATGTTGGCATGGATGCAGTGAAAAGGGAACTTTTACACTGTTGGTGGGAATGTAAGCTTGTACAACCAGTATGGAAAACAGTGTGGCAATTCCTTAAAGAACTAAAAGTACATCTACCATTTGTTCCAGCAATCCCACTACTAGGAATCTACCAAGAGGAAAAGAAGTCATTATGTAAAAAAGATACTTGCACACACGTTTATAGCACCACAATTTGCGATTGCAAAAACATGGAACCAAACCAAATTCCCATTAATCAGCGAGTAGATAAAGAAAATGTGGCGTGTATACACACACACACACACACACACACACACACACAAATGGAATACTACTCGGCCGTAACAAGGAATGAAATAATGGCATTTGCAGCAACCTGGATGGAACTGGGGACTATTATTCTTTTTTTTTTTTTTTTTTTGAGACAAAGTCTCACCCTGTCATGAGGCTGGAGTGCAGTGGTGTGATCTCAGCTCACTGCAACCTCCGCCTCCTGGTTTCAAGTGATTCTCATGCCTCAGCCTCCTGAGTAGCTGGGATTACAGGCATGTACTACCACGCCCAGCTCATTTTTGTATTTTTAGTAGAGACAGGGTTTCACCATGTTGGCCAGGATGGTCTTGATCTCTTGACCTCGTGATCCGCCCACCTCAGCCACCTAAAGTGCCGGGATTACAGGCATGAGCCGCCGTGCCCAGCTGGAGAGTATTATTCTAAGTGAAGTAACTCAGGAATGGAAAACCAAACATCATATGTTCTCACTCATAAGTGGGAGCTAAGCTAAGAGGACGCCAAGGCATAAGAATGATACATTTGACTATCAGGACTCAGGGGAAAGAGTGAGGGGTGGCAAAGGATAAAATATGACACATTGGATACAGTGTACACTGCTCGGGTGATGGGTGCACCAAAAATCTCAGAAATCACCACCAAAGAACTTATTCATGTAACCAAACACCACCTGTTCCCCAAAAGCCTATTGAAATTAAAAAAAAAAAAAACCACTATAGACAAATCAAGATAGAATTTTAGAAAATGTTCCATAACCTACAGGAAGGCAGGCAAAAAAGAAAAACCAAATCGAGCCTAAACAAACAAAAAAACAGAGAAAGAAAAAGCAGAGATCAAATAGAAAATAAAAAATAAAATGGCAGACTTAAGCCCTGACAGATAAATAATTATATTCAATGTAAATGGTCTACAAACACTAATTAAAAGACAGATATTGGAAGAATGGACTAAAACACATGACTCAACTATATGTTTTTTACAGGAAATTCATTTAAAACATATCAAATATAATGATACAGACACACTGAAACTAAAATGTTAGAAAAAGATATATCACGTAAAAGTTACAGGAAGGAAAGTGGGGGTGGCTACCTTAATACAAGATAAAGTAGACTTTAGAGAAAAGAAAATTACCAGATAAGAGAAAGACATTATATAATGATAAAAAGTTACACAAAGAAAACACAGCAACCCGAGATGCGCATGCACTAAAAACAGAGCTACAAAACATATGAAGCAAACCCTGACGGAACTGAAGGAAGAAATAGACATACCTACAGTTATAGCTGGAGACTTCAATAATTCTTTCTCAACAGGTAGATTTCTCATATATTGATGGTAGGATTATAAAATAATACAGACAGTATGGAAAATAGTTTGGAAGTTTCTTGAAAAATTAAACATATCCTTACAATGTGACCCAGCAACTGTGCTTGTGGGCCTTTAGCTCAGTGGAATGAAACTTCTTTTATCTACATGAAAACCTTTACATGATTGTTCAAGGCAGTTTTACTTGAAATAGCCATAACCTGGAAACAGCCAAAATGTTGTATAATAGGTGAATAGTTAACTAAACTGTGCGACATCCATACCATGCAATACTACTCAGCAATTAAAGGGAATAGACTATTGATACATGCAATAACTTGGATGGACCTCAAAGGCATTATAATCCATTTTAAAAACAGGCAATATCAAAGGGTCACATATCGTAAAATTCAATTTCTTAAAAATCTCAAAATGACAAAATTATAGAGATGAATAGATTAGTAGCTGGCAGGGGTCAGAGATGGTGGTGGGATGGGAACTGAGTGGGGCTATAATGGAGCAGGAAGAAATGAGCAAGATATTTGTGGTGACGGAACGGTTTGTATCTTGATGATGGTGGTGGTTACATGAATCTGTGCACATGATAAAATGACACAAAAGTGGCCAGGCACAGTGGCTCACGCCTGTAATCCCAGCACTTTGGGAGGCCGAGGCAGGTGGATCATGAGGTCAGGAGTTCAAGACCAGCCTGGCCAAGATGGTGAAACCCCATCTCTACTAAAAATACAAAAATTAGCCGGGTGTGGTGGTGCACACCTGTAATCCCAGCTACTCAGGAGGCTGAGGCAGAAGAATCACTTGAACCCGGGAGGCAGAGGTTGTAGTGAGCCGAGATCACACCACTTCACTCCAGCCTGGGCGACAGAGCGAGACTCCGTCTCAAAAAAAAAAAAAAAAAAAAAAGTAAGCCTAGTGTTAGCAAAGCAAGACTAAAGGAAGGAAATGAGGAACATCAACCTTAGCTGAATGAATGAATGAAGCACAAATTGATAGAACTTTACTTAGGGCAACCTGGCAATATGTAAACATAAAGTGACTTAAAAATATACGTATTCTGGACCCAGAATTTCCACTTCTGGGAATTTATCCTAAACAAATAATCACAGATAACAACAAAGATTTATATATAGGAATTTATTTATTCTAAATTAGTATGGTAAAAAATTCTAAACGATCTCAAAGTTTAATGATAGAAAATCAGACAAATAAATGATCCAGCCACCATTAAAATATCTATGTCTTCAAAAATATTTAATGACTTGAAGGAAATCTGCTAACAATAAATGAAGCAAGTTTCAAAATATAATTTATTCTACAACTGTCCCCCGCTCCTTATCTATGGGGATACGTTCCAAGACCCCCAGTGGATGCCTGAAACCATGGACAGTACCAACACTATACACCCACGCATTGCTTAACAACAAAGATGTGTTCTGAGAAAGTGTGTTATTAGGTGATTTCATCACTGTGCAAACATCATAGAGTATGCTTGTACAAACCTAGATAGAATAGCCTACAACACACCTAAGCTATATGCTATAACCTCTTTTATTACTCCCAGACAAAAAATCTGTGCAGTATGTTACTGTACCGAATACTGTAGGCAACTGTAACACAATGGTCAGTATTTGTGTATCTAAACATAGAAAAGGTACAGTAAAAATCTGGTATTATAATTTTACTGGAACACTGTTGCACGAGCATATAAGGTCCACTGTTGACTGAAAGGTCACTATGCCATACATGACTGTATATACCATGTTTTTTCCTATATGTACAGACCTATGATACAGTTTAATTTATAAGTTAGGCACAAAGATTAACAACAATAACTGGTAATAAAATAGAACAATTATAACAATATGCCAGCATCAACCCTTGTGCTTTGGGGCCATTAAGTAAAATAAAGGTTACCTGAATACAAGCACTGTAATACTGCAACCAAGACGGCTGCCAAGTGACCAAAGGATAGGTAGCATAGACAGCCTGGAGATGCCAGACAAAGGGATGATTCACGGTCTGGGAGGGATGCTGTAAGATTTCACCAGGCTACTCAGAAAGGCACAAAATTGAACATGTATGAATTGTTTATTTCTGGACAATATTTTAAATAAAACACCAATATGTGACAAATGAATTTAACCAAACATCCCTAGCTGCCTTTCTGTCCCAAAGTGTACCAGTACTAAAGCTCTAACTTTTTTTTTTCCATTTTCTCCCAACACTTAAAGCAAGAGGTATAAGAATTCTGTGGGTTTAGGCCGGGCACAGTGGCTCACACCTGTAATCCCAGCACTTTGGGAGGCCGAGGCAGGTGGATCACCTGAGGTGGGGAGTTCGAGACCAGCCTGACCAACATGGAGAAACCCCATCTATACTAAAAAAAATACAAAATTAGCTGGGCGTGGTGGCACATGCCTGTAACCCCAGCTACTCATGGGGCTGAGGCAGGAGAATCACTTGAATCTAGGAGACAGAGCTTGCTTTGAGCCAAGGTCGCGCCATTGCACTGCAGCCTGGGCAACAAGAGCGAAACTCTGTCTCAAAAAAATAAAAAAAATTCTGTGGGTTTTTCCTCTAGTGTCAGCATAGTAGTCATGGCCTTTCATGGGTCTGCTTTTCTAGCCACATTCCACTTAAGTTTTATTGAAAACCTCACAAATGGAACTAGCTCCTCCTAGGTTTTTCTGTGATCATTTAGTTTAAAGAAATTAAAGGTCTGAGGAAAGCAAAGGCCAGGTTTTGGGGTAAACCACCTGAGTGGAAAACTGGGCTGGTGCAAGGCAGTTTTCCAATGTGCTGTGCCCTGCGGCAGGGTAGTTTTCAATAAATGTAAGTAGAGAATATTTAAATAGCACCCAATTCACTTTTTATTCTCATAAAAAGGGAGGGATGAAAGAGATGGAAATGCAGCTATGGTTCCATAAAAAGCCACAGCTGAGCCAACAGCAGTGAGGAAACCCACGGAGGTTACCTGAAGTATGTATTACACAGCTTGTGATGAGAAAAAGCCTCATGAGTTTTCCTACTCTCAGCTATTCCTAGTTTTATTAAACAACCTGGTACACTAGCAAAAGACACTACTTACTTCTACCAGGAAATCTTTTTTGCAGTGGTTACTTGCAGAACCATCCAACGCTTAGGTTTACTGGGCTTACTTTTAAGAATGTTCTGCTCCAGGGCTGGGCAAAGTTACTCTGCTGAGTAAAATGTAAGATAAAGTTGTAAGCATTTTTTTTATGGAGAGGGCAAATATTTTTCATTTCTTTAAAGCTTTAAGATGATCATCTAAAGTCCTTTAATGAAGCAGAATTGATGGGGTAACGCAGAGGATCTTTCACAGGGTGACATGTAATACCCGATTTGGAGCTCAAGGCGCTGACACGGATCCTAAGTAAATGAGACTGCTATTTGATCCAATAAATGATGAAGTATGAGATGAAGTGCAGATCTGAAAGGCATATATCTCAATCCCCAAAGGTTGCCTCAAATAGTAATTACTGATGTTCCAAGGCATTTGCCCTATGTGCCACAGTGAAACAAACACTTTAAAGCCATCCTGTGGTATTTCCTTACTTTAATTTCAATAAAAAATTTTCTTTATTCAGTTATACAAGATGAAAAAGTTATATGAAAAACTTTTTTTAAAAAGTTTTTAAAAAATAAAAGCAGAAAAATATGTCTTAGCTACTCCTTGGTCAAGGTCTCGCCTCCTAAAAGACTGGAATAAAACTCTCAGCATCTTTGCTGACATGAGTCTGTGGGTGGGGAGGTGGAATGGGAGAGAGGACATCAAGCCCACCCAACTCCTGGAATTTTTACAGAAAAGACAAAACTTTCCAAGTGAAATAGTCATTTTGGTAAATGAAACCATTTGTAACTTTAGAAAAGTTTTTTCTTTTATTCCAACGTATCATAAGAAAAATCCACACTGTGCTTCTAATAGGCTATAAAGCTTTGGTTTAAAGATGGGTCAACAAGAGCTAAAACCACTAATGTCATACTTGGAGAAGCAAGAGTGGAGAATAGTGACATCCCAACACTTCCAGGATCCCAATGAAAAGTCTCACCCAGGCGAAAGACTATCTGCCAAATTTATGCCAAGAACAAAGTTTTATAGCCAAGTTAAAATCTTTTGTGTATTTAGGGACTGTTATAAAAATAGTAACATTTTCTGCATCCTTGAGAGAGCCTTTTCCTTATAGAGATGAAACAGGATTATCAAAATAGGAAGATAGTTGCTGTGAGGGAGCAATAGAAACAGGACAAACTGAAACAGAGACAGAAAAAAGAACATGAAAGACAAAGACAGAGTAAGATGGAGTGAAAAACACACATAAACAGTCTGACATGCTCAGGAGAGTGATCTGTTCCTCTGCAAACCAAATAGCTTCATTTCTTTGCCTTTTTAGGCTGAGTAAAATGTATTTGCATGTAAAAACAAATATAACTAAAGTTAAATCCATTTGGGCAGCAGTATTTTGAGGTTCTTTTTTAAGAAGAGGAGACTTAGGGAGTTAATTTCATTCCTTAGTCCCCACCAAAAACCTCCATGAACTGGTTAATTTCAGGTCAGTAGGAGTTCCTGGAGTTAGAGTAAAAATGTCAACATATTCCTTACTAAAGCCACAGTGATGAATACTTTTCCCTTAAACGATTCTCAGAGCTGCCTCAGACTACTGCAAATGTATCCAAATGACAGAGGATCACAGATTTTAGAATCAGAAGGGTGTTTGAGCATTTAATATACAAATTTATTACAAGAGTAATAAGGAGATACACTGTTATACCAGCATAATCTAAGAAGGGAAGAACTGAATGGTAGGGATGCGGGTACAAGAGAATAATTTCTGGGATTTAGATTCTTGTCTGAAATATCAGAATATAATCTGTTATTGGAATATATCTTCATACCAAAGCACATTATAGCTAAAAACACAGGCTCTGGAATCAGACTGCTATAGGGATTCAACCAGGAATCTACAACATTTCAGTCTGTTTTCTCAACTGTAAAATGGGGACAATAGTATAACCTATCTTCTTAGGATGCTCATAATACATTATGATACACGTGAAGAGCAAAACTAAAACTTTGGGACAGACAGAAAGGAAATATTTTACGGAAAGAAGGTAAGGTGGTGACAACTGACATTTAATGAGTCCTTGTTATGTACCTGAACTATGGCCAGAAGATTTTTATTATCTATTAATTTTTACAACATCAGAGACAGATGTTCCTATACTCTTCTTATGGACAAAGAAACTCAAGGTCATGTACCCAGTCAGCTACAGAAATGGGAATGAAATCTACACCTAACCACAAAGCTCATGCACTTGCATTACACACGTCTATTCAAAAAATTTATCAAAAATGGACTTTAACAACAAGCTATGTAAAACATGTTCATGACAAAAAAATTCAGATGACACTGCCAAAGTTGGGAGGTAGTATACAGTACTTAATTTCTCTAAATCACACCTTCTTCTGAAAAAAATGGAAATTGTAACAGTGCTTTTACCTCATAATATTTTGTGAATACAGGTGATAATGCACGTGAAATGCTTAGCATAGTGTATTCAGTAACCAAATGTTACCTAAAACCACTGATAGTTCATTATATATCATTTAATATGCATACAGGAGAGAAACTCTATGAGCTGCATATAATTCAAGATTTAAAAACAGATGTTAAGAATCCTATTTAACTTTTAATTCCATAATTTTTCAAGAATAAACCTCTCCAAATAGGTTTCTTTCATGAAAACAGATGCATACAATTCAAAATTATATCAGCTTACGTTAATTTTCATGATCACAACCTCAAAATAATTTTGTCTCAGCTAAGGACATCTACTAATTTGCATATAGCTATTTTTGTGAATGTTAATAGTATTGCATTCAGGAGGTTCCTTAGTAATTCCTTATTTTTATTCTTGAGACCATATATGCTAAAGTAAACTACAGTGAAAATTACACCATCCATAGAAGGAACTGATAAAGGTATCATCCCACAGCCTTTCAATTTATTAGTATTTTTATCATATCAACTAACTAGAAGGCAAAACCTAGTCACCGTTTTGCAGATGGATAAACAGAGGCCAAAAATGGGCCAGTTAAAGGTACTGCAGTCCCCATGCATTAATGGGTATACTTTCATATCTGCACTTCCTTAAATTTATTAAAAAGCCAAATATTATTCTGAAATCAAGGTAGGGAGGTAATTCTGAATACATCACACAAAACAAACCAGAATTTTAAAATGTGAAAACACAAGTCAAGAGGATGAGAGCTGAACAACTCTTAAAAGTTTGAAAGTGGCTAAGAGCTCTTAGATCTTTATAGTAATAAATATTGTAGTGTACAATGGTCCATTGGGAATCCTCACTCATATGTTATTCCATGATTGAAGATCAAGGTGTCAGGTCCATTTAGAATCAGTGTATTTTGGGTATGTTTTAAGCTTTAATCCATATTTTGAAAAAATAGTTAACAATATTTCTAAGGGAAATATAATCACTTTGCTTGCCTTGCACTCCCCCACTCCCCACTATAGAGTGAATTGTGAGTTTCAAACACTGGTATTCCTTTAGTTTGAATTTTCCCATAAGTAGACGGAAAGGTAATGACCTTGGCCTATCACGATTCTTAAGTGGAAAGCCTTTTTCAGCTTAAGAAACCACTACCTGATTGAGAGTGGCTTTCCTAGCTGAAAATAACTGTTTACTGCTTAAAGGATAAGTATCTGTGAGATGCAGGTATAGTTAGGTGAGTCTTGAATATAACATTCTTCCATCATCAAAATCTCATCGGAGAGGTTTTGCCAATGGTCTTTTAAAATAGAGGTGCCATTCCAGAGTGGAGGTGATGTATTTTGTGTCCTCTATGATACAACAGTATATGATAAAAAGAATAAATATAAATAGTTCTTAGGTCACATACATGCCCTGATGATTATATGAATGAAATCAAGGTTGGCTGAGATGCTGTTCAAGGTCCGGGAAAAAATGAAGGTTTCACAGATTCACACCTTTGCTCTACCATCTACTAGCTCTGTGACAGTAGACAAGTTATTTAAATCTCTTAACCTCAGCATCTTCAACTGTTGAAAACAAAAAATCTAAAAAGTATGTTGTTAAAAACAGAGTTTAATTTATGTTTGCATGGATAATGCAGGGCCGTGTTGTAAAGGACTCTAGTGGAAAGATGGTCTCCTTGTCACTTCTGCTCCCTAGCCACACAGTTTCTCTTTGAGGAGGTAATTACTGTTCCAGGCAAATGCAAGAACTTGGTTTCAATGTTCCATGATGAAATATTGAATTCATTAACATTTGCTGAGTGCCTATTATGTGTCAAAACCATTCAGGGAGCTACGGGGAGTACAAAGATGAGCTCATAGTCTAGAATGAAAAACAATACCCAACTAATTTTAATATCAGATGGTACACATAACAGTAAAAGTTTAAGAACACATGAGAAAGTAATTAATTTAATCAAGGGGGTGAGTTGGAATAAAGAGAAAGATTAAGAACATGTTTCAAGAGAAATGAAAAGTGTCAGGCACCATAGTAAGTTCTCTCTGGCTTAAGCCGTCTGATTCAGGAACTGGGTCCCTCTCATGGCTATAAAAACTCTAATTTGAGGTACTGACTCATGGCTATGAATTTCTAACATAGGAAAAGGAAAAGGTAGCCCAAATAGAAGATCATAGGGTTCGCTATTTCCTCTTTAGGTAGAGAGAAACAGAAGAGTAAATGGGTTCTGTTCCCAGTCTTACAAGCATTCATTTGAGAACTACATAAACTCATCTAAAGAAGGGATAACTGACTGGGGAGTTCAACTAAGTGTCAAGTGTAACTTAGTGTTCTCTACAGTCTTAACATTGAACATTTATATAATAACTGTTGCCTTTCCAAATATTGTAGAACACCAAAGTAAAATAGGTTTAAGACTCAAGACGCCACTTCATACAACAGAAGTCAATTCTACCATGTTTCTTGTAGCTGTCTAGAGCATAAGTACAAGTAACTAAACTGTAATGACACCACTAAAATTTTGGAAATTCTTCAACAAAATGTTTTGGCTTAATGGAACTTAGGGTCAGTTCTCCATATGCCAATGTCCTATGCCCAAAATGGGCTAGCTTCAAAGGCAGCCCAAAATATCCCTAAAATTATGTCTGAAAGTTAGCCTAGTAAGAGCAGAAAGCAAAAGCCTGTCCATTCTTTTCAACAGATGTTTACCAGTCCTGACCATAGATTCCAGAAAGCAAGACTTCGCTAGAGTTAATGCTTTATAAAGATAACCTTAAAACAAAAATTTCCATGCTAAGCCTAATAGAACGAAAGCTTGTATCAAAGAAATATTCTGTTTAAACATAATGCTGCTTTAAAAGCATAACATAAAAGATAATTTGAAATGCTTTGTAAAATATTTCACTTGATTACACAATTGACCATAGGCCCATACAAAGGAATAGTGATCATAACATAAGGGCAAACCTAACTGAGGACCAGGTTTAAGTCAGGTAACGAAGATAAAGACTCAGCATTACCAACTTGTAATCATGTTATGATATTTAAAGCCTTATGTTTTATAAGAAATCAACAATGGTTATCATTGTTGATTATCACTGACTATCATTATTAATCATCACTGACTATCATTATTAATCAGATATCAAGAAATATTGATTATCTGCTCTGTGGAAGGTACCAATACCAGGCAAAGGGAGATACAAAGACAGCCCTTGTTCTCAAACAGTCCTTTATTATAAGCCATCATTTTTCCCCCTCTGTTCTAAGCATGCTACATATAAGGTAATCCAATAATAATGCCATCCAGGAGTATCTTTTATTTTTTTTGAGACAGAGTCTCACTCTGTCACCCAGGCTGGAGTGCAATGGTGCGATCTCAGCTCACTGTGAGCTCCGCCTCCCAGGTTCATGACATTCTCCTGCCTCAGCCTCCTGAGTAGCTGGGACTACAGGTGTGCGCCACCATGCCCGGCTAATTTTTCGTATTTTTAGTAGAGATGGGGTTTCACCGTGTTAGCCAGGATGATCTCGATCTCCTGACCTGGTGATCACCTGCCTCGGCCTCCCAAAGTGCTGGTATTACAGGTGTGAGCCACCACACCCAGCCCATCCAGGGGTATCTTAAGCCAAGCAGTAACAGAACAATCAGGATCCACACCTACTGTTAAGGTGTTTCATGCTTCCACTTTTACCGTTTTCATTTGGCAAAGAAATCCTGATCACAACAACGTAAAAACATTTAGAGACTTAAGAATTGCTATCAGTATCATCTCCTTCTACTCACTCTTGTCCATGGATCATGGATGCCATAAAATCTGCTAACCGAATTCCTTTTTGCAGCATACCACTTAATTGCAGGAAAAGCTCAAACTCAAATGTGTTATTATTTAAAGCCAAGCCTCACTTCAAATTGAGGTATTTGGGTTTAGAAAAATTCCTCCCCAGAATTCTACTCTGGTATTAGAAAAATCACAATTACAAGCCACAGAATATTAAAGTCACAACTTTGGCAAAATATCAGGATCACTTCAGAGGTAAGATTAGAACTTCAGCACCCAAAACCAAAAATACAATGTTCTAATCCTATAATATCACTCTCTTCTGTGATTATGAAGGCCTCTTAAATACTAAGAACAGAAAGGGGGACAAAGACTCTATTTTTCTCCTCTCCATGCACAACTCAGTCCCAATGTTCTGAATATATGAATATTCTGTAACAACAAGCTACCTTCAAAATGTCCAAGTAATTACAGGTTCAGGTCAAGAACTCTAGACCATATTGATTACCTCTCTATGCAAGAAGGACCCTCCAGCACCATTTATATCCATGATAACAGAGACAGCTTTTAAGGATCTGTGACATTAAGAATTTTCAGTCATATCAATGCCAGGAATGGAAAGCCAATGACCAGTCAGGCCTGTCAGTTGTTGCCTAAAGCAATAAGGACAAGCTGGGAATTCATCACACTGGAACTTCATCTGCCAGCTGCATTCACACATTTTCACCACCTGAATAGTTGATTCTCTTCAACTCCCACGTGGCTCATTTCAGCATACAGTGTTTTGAAATGAATATTTGATTAGGCAGGGTAGAAAGAGGTTTAGACTTATCTGAGGTGTCACCATAATGCACTTTAAGTAATTTTAAGTATCAGGAGCTAGGTGTCCTAAGTCCTGTTCTTTGACTATTGCTAAAATGGACCTTGATCCTAATTAAAGAAGATTAAATGAGATGAGACATGTGGCAAGACCTAGCACAGTGTTGGGCACCTAACTGTTTATAAATTAATACTGGTTTCCCATCTCTTTTACTTCTGTCTATTGAAAAATATCCTGAAGATTCCTCATAGAGCCTCTTGATTATTCAGACATGGGGATCTCACACTGCCAAGGAAACTTAAAAATCACCCTGCTACTTTTCCAATTTCTCTTTTTATCAAAAGTCCAAACCATCACTTAAATATAAACCTAAGAAATAAAGAGGCTGGTCACAGTGGCTAATCCCAGCACTTTGGGAGGCCGAGGCAGGCGGATCACAAGGTCAGGAGATCGAGACCATCCTGGCTAACATGGTGAAATCCCGTCTCTATTAAAAATACAAAAAATTAGCCAGGCGTGGTGGCGGGCGCCTGTAGTCCCAGCTACTCGGGAGGCTGAGGCAAGAGAATGGCATGAACCCGGGAGGTGGAGCTTGCAGTGAGCCGAGATTGCGCCACTGCACTCCAGCCTGGGTGACAGAGCGAGACTCAGTCTCAAAAAAGAAAAAAGAAAAAAACAAATAAAGAAACAGAGTAGGCTTCTTAAAATTCCTTCCTTATGTTTAGATCTGAACAGTTTGATTATAATATGTCTACGTATGGTTTTCTTTGTGTTTATTAATATCTCACTCAGCATACACTGAGTTTCTTAAAACTTTGACTTATGTCTTTCATTAACTTTGGAAAATTCTCAACCCTTCATGCATTTCTTTTGCCATATCCTCTTCTTTTCTTCCACATATGTGAAATAATTACACAGATGTTAGACAGTTTGATACTGCTATAGTTTGATATACCGCTCACAGTGAGTTCTATTTTATTTCAGTATTTTTCTCTCTCTGCTTCAGTTTTGATAAATTTTTGCTTATTGTCATTATACTTCATAGTGAAATAATAAACCCTTCCTCCTAGGGTTGAGAAGAAAACAAGAATATTCAATATCATCATTTCTATTCAACATCGTAGTGGAGGTTTAAACAAGTGTAATATGGGAGAAAGATAAAGATTAAAAAGAAATAAAACCATCTTTATTTGCAGATGACATGATTACATAGTAGAAAATCCAAGAGATTCTACTATTAGAATGAATAAACGAATTTGGAAAAGTTGCTGGAAACAAGTTCATTTTTTGTTTTGAGACAGGGTTTCCCCTCTGTCACCCAGGCTAGAGTGCAGTGATGCAGCCTTGGCTCACTGTAGCCTCAACCTCCTGGGCTCAAGCAATCCTCCCACCTCAGCCTCCCAGGTAGCTAAGACTACAGGTGCATACCACCATACTCAGCTAATTTAAAAATTTTTTTTTTTGTAGAGACGAGGTCTGACTATATTGCCCAGGCTGGGATACAAGTTTATTATACAGAAAAGTATTTTACTCTATATGCTGTAAAGAAAACTGACAAGTGAAATAAAAACGTGCTATAGTTATCATCAAAATGTAATAATAGAAAGAAAAAACTTTTATATAAGATGTGTAAGACTTCTACATTGAAACTTATCAAGGAGAAATTAAAGAAGGCTTAAATAAGTGAATAGTTATAAAAGTTTATGTTTTGCCTGTAATCTCAGCTACTCAGAGGCTGAGGCACAAGAATCGCTTGAACCCTGGAGGTGGAGGTTGCAGTGAACCGATATCACACCACTGCACTCCAGCCTGGACAACAGAGTAAGACTCCATCTCAAAAAATTAAAAAAGCTTGTTTTGAAAGATTTAGTATTTTTAAGATGTCAATACTTCCAAATTTGATATACAGATTCAATGAAATCCCAATCCAATCTCATCTGAATTTCTGTAGAAATAAACAAACAAACTAGTAATTTAATGTGTGTGTGTGTGTGTGTGTGTGTGTGTACGAGAATATGCATACCAGTGGTTTTCAAACATTTTAAAATTCAGGATCCCAGTGTGCTTAAAAAAACTCAGGACCCCAGTCAGGTGCGGTGGCTAATACCTGTAATCCCAGCACTTTGGGAAGCCAAGGTGGGCAGATCACTTGAGCTCAGAAGTTCAAGACCAGCCTGGCCAACATGGTGAAACCTTGTCTCTACTAAAAATACAAAAATTAGCCGGGCATGGTGGTGCATGCCTGGAGTCCCAGCTACTCGGGAGGCTGAGGCAGGAGAAGCACTTGAACCTGGAGGCAGAGGTTGCAATGAACCGAGATTGCACCACCACACTCCAACCTGGATGACAAAGTGAGGTTGTCTCAAAAAAACAAACAAACGACAACAACAACAAAAAACCCAGGACCCCAAAGATCTTTGGTTTATATGTACTATATCTATCAACATTTAATACAATTATGTATCAGCTAATTTAAAAACAATGATAAAGCCTCTATGTAGAAATATCAATTACATTCTATATAAAAATATTTTCTAAACAGAAAGAAGTGAGAAAAGTAACATTTTTAAGAGAAAATCCTCTAATAGACAACAGCTAGATTCTCATATCTGCTATTGCATTCTATCTGTTCTGATATGCTGTTTTGGTTGACGTACACGAAGAAAAGTTGGTCTAACTCAAATACGTAACTGCTAAAAGATAAAGTATATTAATAGCATTTTCAGGTTCTGGGGATATTCTTCCTTGATATGATCCTTAACAAATTAGTTGCAATGTGGAATCTGAAACTATATCAATTAACTTTCATATTCTATTACATTAAAATCCTTTGTCCTATCTTGCATTTGGAATGAGTCCTTTACTCTTGCATGATTTTGTAGCAACATGAAACTGGTCATTCGGAAAATGTTGCAGATGTTCCAAATGCTGATATATTTTAATATCTATTATGCAAAAAATCATATTAGTTAATATCACTACTTATTTAATGAGAAATTTTTTTTTTAAGACAGAGTTTCACTCTTGTTGCCCAGGCTGGAGTGCAATGGCACGATCTTGGCTCACTGCAACCTCTGCCTCCCGGGTTCAAGCGATTCTCCTGCCTTAGCCTCCCAAGTAGCTGGGCTTACAAGCATGCACCACCACACCCAGCTAATTTTTTGTATTTAGTAGAGACAGGGTTTCACCATGTTGGTCAGGCTGGTCTTGAACTAACCTCAGGTGATCCACCCGCCTTGGCCTCCCAAAGTACTGGGATTATACGCGTGTGCCATCGTGTCCGGCCGAGAAATGTCTTTAAATATTGGGACTCTGTTAAACAGACAGTGGTGGATACAAGGTTTTCAAATTTCTAATTTTCAATTGAAAGCTAGAATGTTATTATTGGTAATAAATATTGTTAGTTGTTTTCTTCGAAGTGACAGGGTTTGCTTATTTTTGAGAAAATTTCTGCCAAATGCCCATGTCTGAATAAACATAGTTTGTTTTATTCAGATAAAATGGGATTCCATGAAAACAGTTGCTAGTTCAGTTTACAAATCACAATGGCTTTCCCTCAAGACAACTACTGTGCATTCATTCCCACTTGATATACAGAATATTAAGATGTTACACAAGGATCAAAACTTAATAAAATTAAAGTTGATGATTTTTACTGCTTTAAAGATATTCTTAGGTGAATACAGCTTAAAAAAGAACTCTTAAGTAGGTAGCAGAGGCTACTAGCAATAGTTAGGTGCCATTGCCTTTACTATGATAACAGGCCACCAGTTTTACCCACAATTGCTTCTGCACCATCTATACTAAATTTCACCACAGTAGAAAAAACAAAGGCAAATAATAACTTGATACTAGTATAAAAATAATTTTGACTTAATAGACCACTTGAAAGTGTCTTGGGAATTCCCAGAGTTTGAAAAACCACTGGTATGTTCGTACAAATGCACATGTGTGGAAATGCAAAGGCCCCAGAATAGCCAAGATAACCAGAATGAAAAACAAAGGTGGAGGCCTTAAAATATGAGACTTCAAAACTTACTAAACATCTACAGTAATTAAGGTAGTACAATGTGGGTAAAAAGACAGCTATATAAATCAATGTAACAGAATAAAGAACCCAAGAAAAAATAAAAATTTTAAAAAGGCATCAGTGCAATTCATAATAGGAAAGGCGTATCTTTTTGATAAACAATGTGGGAGCAACCGGAAGAAACTAAACACCTTGATCCCTGCCCTACATCAAAATAAAATTTTTTTTTGTTTGTTAAACAAGGTCTTGCTCTGCCACCTAGGCTAGAGTGCAGTGGCGTGATCACAGCTCACTGCAGCCTCAACCTCCCAGGCTTAAGTGATCCTCCCATCTCAGCCTCCTAAGTAGCTGGGACAACAGTTGTGCACCACCATGCCTGGCTAATTTTTGTACTTTTTGTACAGACAGAGTTTTGCTGTGTTGCCCAGGCTGGTCTCAAACTCCTAAGCTCATGCAATCTGCCCACTTGGGCCTCCCAAGGTGGGATTATAGGCATAAGCCACCACACTTGACCACCCACAATAAAAAATTAATTTGAAAAGGATCATAGTCCTAAATGTGAAGGCTTAAACTATACAATTTCTAGAAAAGAGTTATCTCTTCAAGACTGGAGGGGCTGGGCATGGTGGCTTATACTTGTAATCCCAGCACTTTGGGAGGCCGAGGCAGGCAGATCACCTGAGGTCAGGAGCTCGAGACCAGCCTGGCCAACATGATGAAACCTCATCTCTACTAAAAATACAAAAAATTAGCTGGGCGTGGTAGTGGGCACCTGTAGTCCCAGCTACTTGGGAGGCTGAGGCAGGATAATCACTTTGAACCTGGGAGACGGAAGTTGCAGTGAGCCGAGATCATGCCACTGCACTCCAGCCTCAGTGACAGACTGAGACTCTGTCTCAAAAAAAAAAAAAAAAAAAAAAAAGACTGGACAAAAGATTTTTTTTGTTTGTGAAAACATAAAAGGAAAAAACAATGAAAAAATTAGATTTTTGCTTGTCAAAAGATACCATTAAGAAAGTGAAAACGCAATTAACTGAAAGAAAATATTTGCAATGCACATATCTCACAAAAGGACCATATCCAGAATATTTAAAGAACACTTGGTATTCAATAAAGACAACATATCTAATAAAAATCAGTGAGTTAACTAGGACATTACAAAAGATGATATCCAAATGGCCAATGAGTATATTAAAGATGCTCAATACCATTACTCAACAGAGAAAAGCAAATTCAAACCATAGTTCACATCCACTGGAATGGTTAAAATAAAGATCAATAATATCAAGTGTTGATGAGAATGTGGAGCAACTGGAACGCTCATGCATTGCTGATAGGAATGCAAAATGGTACAGTCATTTTGGAAAACGTGTTGGCAGTTCCTAATAAAGTTAAACATATGCCTACTTTGTGATCCGGCAATTCCAGTACTAGGGATATGCCCAAAGGAAATGTATGCATATGTTGACGAGAGACAGAGAGAGAGAGAGAGACAGACAGACAGACTTATAAAAAAATGTTTATAGCAGCTTTATTCCTAATAGCCAAAAGCTGGAAATGACAGAATATTGGATATATAAAGTGTGGTATATTTGAAGAATGGAACACTACACTGCAATATTAAAAATGAACTAGTGATTCATGTAATACCTGGATGAATCTCAAACAAATTAAGTTGAGCAAAAGAGGTTAGATACAAAAGCACAGACACAAGATGATTCCAATCATATGAAGTTTAATACAGGTAAAGGTAATCTGTGATGATAAAAATGGTTACCTCTAGGTCACTGGTAGTATTAACTGGAAGGGGCATAAGAAACTTTCTGGGTTGACGGAAATATTCTATGTTTTTATGTGAGTGGTGGCTGAGTATAAAAATTCATCAAGCTGTATGATTAAAACATGCATTTTTGCTATACCCAAATTATACCCTAATTTTAAAAACATCTTCAGAGGTGCTTGAAAACACAGGTTCATCCATGTTTCAAGCTGAAAGGGACTCCGCTGAGACTAGAACTAACAAAGATCCACAAATTAGTGGTCATTATTCTTTCCTTAACACCAAGCTTCCAGAACAAGACTTTTCTCTGGAACAACTATTTTCATTTTGATTATTTACTTTAGCCTTTCTGTGACAGTTCTCAACAATATCCAGAGGGAATATCAGAAGCTCTGGTTCTGACTAGTTGACCAAGTGGGGTCCCAAGCTGTTCTTTAATTGCCCACTGGGCTTACTATTCAATGGAGAGGGGCTCTTTGTTTGTTTCTAAGTTTATAGATGGCACCTATAAGCATAAGCCTCTCAGGCTCTTGCAGACAGTTTAAAATAGTGTTGCACTAACAGTTTTGACACTCATGTCACTAAGACAAATGGAATTCCCGGTTCAGACTTAAACAAATTCTAATAGTGCCCCCAACTCTGTCCCCCTGCCACCATAGTGTGATGCAACAGACTACATAAACAGTCCAGCCCTGTATGAGAGGCACAGTAAATGTACAAAAGTGAAAAGTTGGGTCTTTGGTCAAAAAGTCCCATGTAAATATGTGGAACCCTACTATATCAACAGTGAGAAGTATTGCATCAATTCCCTCTCAAAATGCTTAGGAAAGATTTAAAGCCATGTCAAGGACCTG
The DNA here is from genome assembly GCF_000001405.40 of Homo sapiens. Taxonomy (NCBI): domain Eukaryota; kingdom Metazoa; phylum Chordata; class Mammalia; order Primates; family Hominidae; genus Homo; species Homo sapiens. The sequence goes on along the minus strand of NC_000017.11, from coordinate 61,091,187 downwards.
ATGCTTGCAATATAGAAAGCATAGGCAAGGTTTTAGTTGACACAAAGATTTATTCAAAGAAGCAATGTGTCATCAGAAGACACTTTCCCAATAGCTTCTTCTACTTTTGTTTACTGTTTCTTCATCTTCAAATGGGGCTATCATTTTTTCTTAATTGTGCTGAACTAAAATTTTCCTCATTGTTAACTTGACTTTGGTCTTCTAACATCCTATAAATACTAGAAAGAAGAAAGGGCCAGGCACGGTGGCTCACGCCTGTAATCCCAGCACTTTGGGAGGCCGAGGCATGTGGATCGCGAGGTCAGGAGTCTGAGACCAGCCTGACCAACATGGTGACACCCCATCTCTACTAAAATACAAAAGTTAGCTGGGCATGGTGGCACATGCCTGTAATCCCAGCTACTCGGGAGGCTGAGGCAGGAGAATCGCTTGAACCCGAGAGGCAGAGGTTGCAGTGAGCCAAGATCACGCCACTGCACTCCAGCCTGGGCAACACAGTGAGACTCCATCTCAAAAAAAAGAAAGAAAGAAAGAAAGAAGAATAAGAGGAATGTTTAAATCAGAAGAGGAGAGATACAGCTGAGCATTTTCCTTATGGGCAAATAAGGTCTTTTCCCTATGTTCTTAATCTCTAAAACTTACTTTTGATTTTATATAGACAGCAGATAGTCGAAAGATTAGAATTAATTTAATGTATACACTTACTCATTTCTAATATAAAAGCCAATCTTAATATTTGAGTTTGAATATTTTTTCCCCTCTGAGGGATTGTTCACAGGTCAGGGCTGAGCCTTCTTTTAATTTCACTCTTATCCTTAATCTTCTTACTGATCCCACACAAGCTTTCAGTACCCAAGGTATATGCCCTGGAGTTTTTGTCACTTTATAATCATCAAGAATATCTGAAACTCTATTAATTGAAAATCACATCATTTATTCAAAAAATATCTTAATATTTCTGAAGAACTTTATATTCAGGAGTTACTTAAGGAAATAATTTGAACACACCCCTTCCACAAAAGGTGGTAAAAAAAGTTTTGCATAGGGACTCTTAATCTTCTTTTACTGATGTAGAAGTGAATGGCATGGTAGGAGAATGACTTGAAGGTTTCAGCAAAAGTTCAAGACCATGATTATGAAGTCATGGCTTTTTCCACTCAGTTCTAGCTCTAAGACCATGGAGCTATGTGGCCACATCATTGTAGACTGAACAATGTCTCTCACTAATCTCTTTATTTTTACCATCAGCATCTCTATGCCTCTGACAGCCTTTAAGAAATAGTACCTAAGTAGGCCTCAGATTGAAATGGCAACTGTCAATACAGTGAAATATAATCTTAGAATACTCTTCCCCCAGGTTGGGCGCGGTGGTTCATGCCTGTAATCCCAGCACTTTGGGAGGCCGAGGTGGGTGGATCACCTGAGGTCAGAAGTTCGAGACTAGCCTAGCCAACATGGTGAAACCCCGACTCTACTAAAAATACAAAAAATTAGCCGGGCGTGGTGGCGCGTGCCTGTTAATTCCAGCTACTTGGGAGGCTGAGGCAGGAGAATGGCTTGAACCCAGGAGGCGGAGGTTGCAGTGAGCTGAGATCGTGCCATTGCACTCCAGCCTGGGTGACACAGCGAGACTCCGTCTCAAAAAAAAAAAAAAAAAAAAAAAAAAAAAAAAAAAAAAGAGTGAAACTCCGTCTCGAAGAAAAAAAAAAAAAGAATACTCTTCCCCCAGTCCATGAACAAAATCTCTATATGATAAAAGAATGCCTCTATAAGAAGGTCCTTCCAGCACAGATTTGACTGCAAGACAAAACAAAAACTGCTCAAATAACCTCCTTGTCACCTATCTAATCACACTTCTCTATTAATGAGTATTATTTGTTTTTTTAAGGTGATATACCAAATGCCAAATACATAAAGTAGGCATAAATGATCATTATAAAATCAATCAAATCAAACTAGTTTGGGATTTTAAGTGTGTAATTTTCTTCAGTAAACAGTATTTGATAGTGGAGAAAATTAGGTGCTCAAAAGGTATCTCCTAAATTAATTATTTTTATTACTTCAATTGTACAACAAAAGTAGTATTTCTCTTGAGTCAAGAACAACAAAAAACCCCAAGTCTGCAACTTTGTCCCTATTTACTGAAATGCTTGATGTAACACTAATACCTTATGATCCAAGGCTGCTCAGGATAAGAAGTCATTTTTCTTATCTGTCACATTGTCCTTCTCACACTACCATCTTCCTCAGGCATGTACACAAACACTGCTTCCACCACACTTCCTCAGGCATGTACACAAACACTGCTTCCACCACACCTCATAACTTTATAAAATGTTTTCTTTAATAGAGTTTGATAAAGATGTCTGCTCTGCATATGAGTCACGCATAAGTTTGTCTTTCGATCTCAATTATCTGAGTTCTTTGTTAGTAAACATCCATCTCCATAGTAAAACCACAAATCAGGACAAACAAACTCAGGGGTGAACCAGATCTTTCTAGGCTCTTTGATTTGATGACTCAGAAGCAAGGAAAGGTTATCTATTAGGTATAGCCTTCAAGTTTTGGAACAAGAATAGTCAGCAATCTGGAAAACAAAGTTCCAACAAGACATTGACAGCTGTCTTTCTGCTTTCTCTTTAGAGGTCCTACATCTTTATCAAAAGAAGGGCACAGGTTATAAGGTACAAAGAATAGAAAGAAATTCTTAGCTATCTAGCCAAAATGAACATACAGGAAAATGAATAAATTGATGCAGTGCTTTGGCTAGAAATACTATCAATGATTCATCGACATTGTTGTTCATCAGCTGGATATGGGAAAAAGTGAGCAACTGCCCCAAATCCCATTTGTTCTGGGTAGCCTGTGTCTTAGGTTAAAATCCTATAATGTGTCCATTTCCAAAATGATCTCCTCAGCCAACAATGGAACATCTTACAATTATTTAACCCCCACAAATTTTAGGTAGGATGGTTTTTGTTTTGTTTCGTTTTGTTTTGTCTTTTTGAGACAGAGCCTTGCTCGGTCACCCAGGCTAGAGTGCACTGGTGCAATCTCAGCTCACTGCAACCTCTGCCTCCCGGGTTCAAGCAATTCTTGTGCCTCAGCCTCCTGAGTAGCTGGGATTACAGCCATGTGAAACCATGCCCAGCTAATTTTTGTATTTTTATTAGGGACGGGGTTTTGCCATGTTAGCCAGGCTGGTCTCAAACACCTGACCTCAAGTGATCCACCGCTTCGGCCTCCCAAAGTGCTAGGATTATAGTTGTGATCCACTGCGCCCAGCTGGTATGGTGTCATTAGAATCACCAAAGACAAGATGAGACAGATGTTATGGGAATAACATCTACTCATCAAGCAGTTATAGAACTGCTGAAAATCAAAAATACTCTATATGTATTTTACAGAGAGACAGTAAGAATCTAGTTCATAGGTGTCTAAAGGCATAGAATTTACCCGGTGCTTAAATCACTGAAGTTAATAATTTAAAAATATGTATTTTAGGCAATGTGTTTCTTTGCAAAAGCATGAACCAGAGATTACCAGATATTAAGAAATTGTGAAAAAAACCATTACATGGTAAAAGTGGCACACTCTGCACACCTCTTTTAGTTTCAATGGAATAACGTTGTTGGATTAATACATAGATATCTAGAAAATAAACTGCAGACCCAAGATTTAAATAAAATATTTTCACTTTAAAAACTGTTATAATTGTCAAAGGATTTAATTATATCACATTAAATTCTATTATCTGTGAATAAAGTAATTATATGAAAAACAATTATACTGCCACAAGGTTAGACAGAGCAAGAGCTGTCACTAAAATAGAGGGTTAGGTGTAACATGTGCCATAGGAATAATTAAGAAGATAATCCATGAAGTCATATAAAATGCTTGAAGGTAATACAGGGCAATGAAGACCAACAGAGGAGGTGCCACACTGGTCGTATCTCCAAGTAACAGGCAATGAAACCTCCAGATAAGCAACTTCCTGATGTGCAGCTGACTCCAATGCATGGATCATAATCAGAGGTGCACTTCCCGGTTCAAGAGCAATTATAAAAATTTATTAGATTCTTTTTAACAGAAGAATCTACAACAAAATTTTCCCATAAATATGTTTACATAAAGAACTCAAATTATTTAGCCTCGATTTCGTTAGACTTGCTACCTTGATTTTTGTTAGCCTAGATGTTGTTTTCCACAGATGTAGAAAGTAATTCTGTTGACAACAGTTGGTCCTATTAAAGTAGATGGACATTCCACGACAAAACATTATTCACTCAAAAAATGCGTTAACATATATTTCTCATTCAAAAGGGATCTGAACCAATTGAGAGGTAGCTGAAGAGAGAATTACTCATAAAAGTCCAATTCCTTATCTATGAGGCTTCTTTAGCTCAAAGTTAAAGAAGGCAGCACACATGTTTCACTGTTTTGGTTGTCTTTCAGAAAGGTACCATGGCTTCCTGGAATGAAAACAGGCCTAGAAAAATAATAATAAAGCTTAGCCACCAAGAAGTTCTTTCCTACTCAAAAGATGGGTACTTTCAGGCAGAGAGGGTCAATGCCATCGAAACTCATACAGTGTATCTCTGATGCAAATTAAGTAATCTTAGGACTACTTACATATCAGATTATTTACATGTAGGATCTAATTCCTTATTCAAAAGTCAACTTAAAAACTCTTCTTGCAAAAGGATTTAAATAACAGTTCACTGAAGCTCCTCCCTTGTTGCATGAGATGACTTTACATACAGCTAAGATTGCTACATGATAAATATGGAATGTTGGCCAGACGCAGTGGCTCATGCCTGTAATCCCAACACTTTGGGAGGCTGAGGCAGGTGGATCACCTGAGGTCAGGAGTTCAAGACTAGCCTGACCAACAAGGTGAAACCCCATCTCTACTAAAAATACAAAAACTAGCTGGGTGTGGTGTCAGGTAGGTGCCTGTAGTCTCAGCTACTCGGGAAGCCGAGATAGGAGAATTGCTTGAACCTGGGAGGCAGAGGCTGCAGTGAGCCAAGATCGTGCCACTGCACTCCAGCATGGGTGACAGTGGGAGACTCTGTCTCAAAAAAATAAAAAATAAATATATATATATGGAGTGTTACCTCAGAATCTAGTATTGAATATGTCTACTTTTAATAACACAAGGTAACTGCTTTGGCAGCATGTGTTCCTAGTAGCTAGTCACTCGACAATAAAACATCAGTAATCTGGTAGTTTAAGAAGGTTTAAAAAGCCCAATCAAGGCCTACTCTTGTAATCTTGAATAAAATACTTCAGATTAAAATATGTAACATTTCCAGGATTCACAATTGTAAACGATCATTCCAAACGAGCACAACAATCTCTTAGCATTCTCAGAATGTGACTATAAAAAAGATTTATTGTTTAAGTTCCCTATCTCGATATCTCATTCAGTGCCGGGAAGCAATGATAGCGACTCTACACATTTCCATGCTCATTTCCAGGGGACAACCATGGTTGCCAAGTTAAAGCAGTAGGAACAAGTATGAGTCCTCTAAAGTAATAGTCTACGTTAAAAATGAAGGCATAGCCCTAGATGGGGCAGCTCAGTAAGATGCAAGGTACAATCCACTAACCAAAAAATCAGAAAGCTAAGAATATGTATAAAACCCATTAGCTTTGAAACTTAAAAATATATCCATATCCACAGACAGAAACTTTGGTCTTTTTAAAGTGACCTTCACAAATCAGTTTTGTGTTTGTTTCCATTTTCTTTCACAGTTTAAGCCTCAATCAAATCAGCAGTCTCTAGGGATTTTGAAATCGCTATAGATTAAAATCCTCTCTGACTCAACTGTTTGACTAACGCCGAGTATTTAATAATTCTACTTGAGAGAGAATTTTTGGACAAAATCCTGCCATGCGCTGTCTTCAGATGCTCCCCAGCTGCACTATAAAGCAAGGCATCACTGTCCTTATTTTATCACTTGACTTAGAGACGAGAAAATATATCACTACAGACAATTCTACCATTTAGTAGGCCTGGCTGAAAAGTTTTATAATACTAATGGAGCAACGATCACCTATAAAGGCAAAGATCTCCTTCTCTGTACTAATGATACATATTCATAGCTTGTTTCCAAGGATAGGAAATTAATAACTGTGATAGATAGACCAGGGTTAAGTTAATGAATTTTTAAACTTGATGCTTTTGATAATAAAATCATTCAAGCTATAGCATTTGGACTGTCTCCTCTCTACTCCCACAGATTAGGCACTTTGATACTCAACAGGTTGAGTAAATTGAATCCATAGATTGTATTTACGTTCTCTGTCAAGGTTGCTTCTCCACATTTCAGTGATCAAAGGCAAAACAGTCATCAACCCTGTAGCCTTCAATACTATGTTCATTACATTTAATCAAGTGCCAACTCCACTGCATCATTCACCAACCTTAGGAATGCTTAAAAGCATGGCATTGTTCAGCAAGAAATATAGGCACAGTACTGTATTAAAATGCACACACACCACAAAACAAAAAAACAGAGAGGAAAGCAAATAAATGTCATCCTCTACATTGTGCGAGAAAATTAGTTAAAAATGCACAGGACTGCCCAATAAATATTTCAGAGGTGGTTTTCTACCTGAGGCAGCATCAATCACTGTGGAAACTCCCCTTCGATCAGAGACTGGACGGGATGACCCTGGCATGCTGACGGGGTCAGAGCGGACTGGCTGGATCCTGCAATGCAATTTAATTTAATTCACATATGTTACTGGCATCAAAACTGTCACTTGCTACAAATGACCTTAAATCAGGAATGCTGGAGTAGCACAATCCATTAAAGAACCATCCATTCTAAAACAAGACAAACAGGGGAGCTGCAGTCCCTAATTGCTGCACAAGGATAAAACACTACAAATATTCTCTACACTCTGGACCCCTTCTAACTTATCTTTGTGTGTTATTCCATAGATTTTTAAGGAAGGGACTGAAAAGCTGACATTAATTTAAAGGGATACAATAAGTAGAATGGGAGAGGAAATTAAACACTGAAAATGTTTATACTGAAACCTTTGGGATTTCCAAGGGACACACATGAAGAGTTTTGAGAATCCTGAAATTCACTAATATCACCATAGCTATTAATGTGTTCCATAAAAGGCAGCAATGTGTAATTTCAAATTTTGAGATGCTCCATTAAAATGCTCAATGAAAGTTACTTTATATCTGACAGTAAGCATAGGATAACAAAGATGTACTGTGGCCGGGGTGGGTCACTACTAACTGAGCTACCTTTATAAAATTACCAACTAGCATACAACAATCAATTAGAACCTCAGTAAACGTGCAAATTACTACACACAATTTAAAGTTGCTTAAGAATAATAAACATCCATCCTGGCTAACACGGTGAAGCCCCGTCTCTACTAAAAATGCAAAAATTAGCCGGGTGTGGTGGCATGCACCTATAGTCCCAGCTACTCAAGAGGCTGAGGCAGGAGAACTGCTGGAACCCAAAAACCAGAGGTTGCAATGAGCCAAGATCGTGCCACTGCACTCCAGCCTGGGTGACAGAGCAAGACTCCGTCTCAAAAAAAAAAAAAAAAGAATAATAAACATATAAATGCCAAATGCCGAGTGTCTCTTTCTAGCTGCATTAGAATAAATACTATTAACATAAAAGTATCTGGAAGATTAAAAGATCTGAAAGTCCCAGGCAACTTAGTGAAACAAAAACTTATTACAACAATATATGCATGCATTTCTGGTAATTCATTCATACAGTAAGTATTTACTGAATATTAATTGCTTGTAGGCATTACTCTGAGAACAAGCAGAAACAAAACATAAAATACAGACCAATGTGTATATATATGACATAGCACATGAACATTCATGACAATGCAAAATAAAACTAAAGTGTAAATATGAATGACATAAATAGTAAAAGCTCAGATTGAGGAGATGGGGGAATACATGCAGGGTCCACATCAGTTAGAGATCTTGCAGAGCTGGAACAGGGATTAGGTCTGTATATAGTAATAGTATATACGCATAATGAAGAGGAGCAAGAAATGCCCTTTAAGCACAGGACTACAACATATAGAAACTTAGATTAGTGACTGAATACGATAGATTCAGGGCATCTTGAAGTGCATGATTTGGCTGAAGTATAGAGTTCATAAAGGCTATTGATGGAAGATAAAAAGTTGATAAGAAACATGGGACAGATGACAGAAGCCTGAAATGCCAAGTATGAACTGCAGACTAGTTATGAAATGCATGCTTTTGTTGTGAGGAAGAAAAAACAGGAGGGAGGTATAGGATGATCTATTACCGGAAGGTGAAAATACTGATTAACAAATATTGATCACTGCTATGTAGGACTACCCAATATTCATTCCACCCCAGCTAATTTTTCTAAGCCAATCATGGTAATCTCATCACATCTCGGCAGTGGTTAGTTAGGGGATAGGTAAGCCTAAGCTAATGTGGGCCAGTTAGAAAAGAGAAGTTTATTTAAAGTGTCTGGAAAAGAAGTTTCCTTGTTCTTGAGAGCAACAAAAAGCTAGCCTCTTAGATATGGTCAGTCCATTCAAAATTATGCCCCCTTCTAGTCTAAACAACTTCCTATGTGGGCTAATACAACTCCTATAGTTAGTCAATTTATATTGGGGTTTCTGAATAATCCAGAGTTGGAGGTAGGGTGTGAATGGGGCTACAGATGAAGCAAGATTGGCCATGACTTGATAGCTGAAGCTGGACAACAGATATATGGGGGTTTATGCTATTTTTCTTTTTATTTTATACATGTTTGAATTTTCTTCATAATTAAAAAAAGAGAAAAACTGGTTGGGATGATGGAAACGTTCTGAAATTAGTGGGATGGATGCCAAACATAGTGAATATACTAAAACCCACTGACTTGTACATTTTAAAACTGGTAAATTTCATGTTATGTGAATTATATCTCAGTTAAATAAAATAAAATAAATGATAACCAATTTCTGAGGAGCTAATCGAGTGGAAAGAGAGGCTTTGCATACTCAGCATCTTTTACATTATATGTTTCTCAGGTCTGTTAGCAAATATTTCATTGCCCATTCTTTTTAAACACCTGCTCTGTGTAGGGAGCTTGCCTGATTCCCTTATGGATGAGAGTCAACACTATGCCTGCCTGTTTCCCATTTTGGTTAGGCGGCAGGGAGGAAGATTATCACTGCACTACATATTATTATTGGTATCCTATGGGGTACAGGACAGTGTACTAGGTGTCAAGGGTCAGGTGAGCCCCAAAAAATCTAAACAAGGACTTCACAATTTAAGAGAGAAAGTAAAGCCAATGGTCGGCCATAGGCCACCATGCACAGGCGTGTAGAAATCAGATGAGAGACAAGGAGCTGGGCTAGAGTGATCATAAACGAGAATGAGGAGAATCTCAATAGTTGGGTTTCTAATTGGATGCCGGGTGGGAAATGGTGGTACTAAAAAGGACTTAAAATTGATGTGAATAAAATCTATATTTCCCATAAAAACTGCTGTAGGGTCTTAGCCAAGGTCCCAACCAAGCTTACCTGCTGAAAGTTTAAAATATAAATTACAAATGCAATTAACAGAAATTTATAAACCTGCTGCTCAGTATAAAGGTTTCTAAAGGTTATATGTGTCCTGTAAACAGGATAATATTCTAATCAAACATAAACAATTTAAAGTCATTTAGATTTAAACAAAATTTGGGGAGTTATTTATTATTATTAACAAAGGGAAAGTCTGCGAGGAAAATTCTTAAGGATTCTGAAAAGTAGCTATATCTGCTTTTAAAAGAAGCGAGTTAGAATTATCTTAATAGAAGGACTATACCTGAGGAAAAGAGTAACAAAGAAAGCTGAGGAGGCCACGAAACAATGGGGCAAAGACATCCTCAGAAAAAGTACAGCACAGGGCTTTATAAATAGCAGCTGGTCAATCACTAGAAAAAAAATGAGACAGTGTCTTGTGCACGGTTTAGCAAAAAAACTAAATGTGTTATATAGTTGTGAAGAGAATAAATTGGTTACTTATTTTAAACGCTTTATTATTAAGATTTAAATAACCAAATGACTGTTGTAAACACGAGTACACTGAATCACTAAGTTGAGGACTGCAAAGAATTGACTCCCTGATCATGGCTTCAGGTCCTAATCTAGACCATATTTAATCAATTAGCATCACTGAAAATTGGTCTGACACTCTCACTGTATTCTGTCATTATTACCTGACATCTTGGTCAAAAAATGTCATTTTTAGAAAGCTGGAGGAATTATGCTGGAACAAAAAAAATGCAGAGAAGAAAAAAACAAAATACAAAGCAGAGTAAACAAAAAATACTAAACAAGGTATTAAAAGAAGATACATTCTTCTTGATGAATCGTTCTTTTTTTGTGTGTTGGTTTGTTTGTTGTTTTGAGACGGAGTCTCACTCTGTTGCCCAGGCTAGAATGCAGTGGCACGATCTCGGCTCACTGAAATCTCCGCCTCCTGTGTTCAAGCAATTCTCCTGCCGCAGCCTCCCGAGTAGCTGGGATCACAGGTGTGCACCACCATGCCCGGCTAATTTTTTGTATTTTTTGTATTTTTTTGGTAGGGTTTTGATGGGGTTTCATCATGTTGGCCAGGCTGGTCTCGAACTCCTGACCTCATGATCCACCCTCCTCAGCCTCCCAAAGTGCTGGGATTACAGGCGTGAGCCACCACGCCTGGCTGAATCATTCTTTAAGAAGATACATCAGTCAGGGGAAAGCAAAAATGTAAAAAGGGACAGCAGTTAGGAGTCTGTGAGATGTTGCTAGGGTGCTGGCATTAGGAATGGAGAGGAGTGGAAGGTTTCTAGATGTATTTTGAATAGAAATGACATAAGTTGGTGAAGAATTAGATGTGGCATCTGTGAAAGGAGAGATTTCAAGGATAACCTCTAGATTCTGTCTTGAGTAGGTAGTTTGTGGAGTAATTTAAAGAGATGAGGCCAGGTGCAGTGGCTCACGCCTGTAGTCCCCACACTTTGGGAGGCAGAGGCGGGCAGATCACCTGAGGTCAGGAGTTCAAGACCAGCCTGGCCAACATAGTGAAACTCCATCTCTACTAAAAACACAAAAACTAGGGAGGCGTGGTGCCACATACCTGTAATACTAGCTACTCAGGAGGTTGAGGTAGGAGAATCGCTTGAATACAGGAGGCTAGAATACATTCTAGATGTTGCAGTGAACTGAGATCGCACCACAGCACTCCAGCCCAGGTGACAGAGTGGGACTCAGTCTCAAAAAAAAAAAAAAAAAAAAAAAAAAATACTCATGCCTGTAATCCCAGCATTTTGGGAGGCCAAGGCGGGAGGATCACTTGAGGTAAGGAGTTCAAGACCAGCCTGGCCAAAATGTTGAAACCCCGTCTCTACTAATAATACAAAAATTAGCTGGGTCTGGTGGCGGGCGCCTGTCATCCCAGCTACTCAAGAGCCTAAGGCAGGAGAACTGCTTGAACCCAGGAGACAGAGGTTGCAGTGAGCAGAGATCACACCATTGCACTCCAGCCTGAGTGACAGAGCAAGACTCCGTCTCAAAAAATAAAATAAAAAATAAATAAAATAAAATAGAGATGACAAAGAATAGGGGTGAGAGCAGGATTAGGGAGTGAGATGAAGAGTTGCAATTCAGACCCAAGTAGGCAGCCGGCCGTACTCTAGGCTTATCTCCTGGCACCTCCTGGCAGGTACTCAGTAAATATGTGTCATATTTTCTAAACAGATACATCAGGCATAATCCAACTTTGCAACAATTTTCATCTTGTTATAAAAATTTTTTATTGTTACTGACAAAGAAGACAAAAACGTATTTCCACTATGTAACTGGAACATTTTTTCCCACTATTTTTTAAAAGGTGTGCAAGAAAAAGGTCAGAGGGTTGTTTTATATTCAATTCAAGATATACTATAGAGTTTTTTTTAAAGAGAAGACAAGAAAAGGGAGATTATATTACATTAGACTGAGTCCTTCATTATCTGTTGCACCCTAATGTGTCAAGTCTTGGTATAACAAATTAAACTGCTAAGCAAACTTGAGACTGCAAGTCAAAACTGTCTGAGTTGCAATTAAAAAAAAAAGCTAATAATAAAAAGCATAATTTGTACACCTGTCCTAGGATTCCTACAAATAAGGATGAGAGAACATGTATTATAAAAATATAGAAGATAAACTATAATTGAATTTATACCAACGTTTTTCCATCCAAAAACTTTATATAATCTAAAAGAAGGGAGATACAGGATTAGATAAAAATCACAGATGAAATTTAATTGAAAGGTGGTGCCAACTTCAGAAAGATCAGGAAAAGAATACATAATCAGATTCAAGCAGTTAGAAATATAAGCAAAGCATCAAAAAGTGGAATTGCTTGAAAAGTGCAGTGACTATTAGATTTAGGGAGAATATAATCTGAAAAGCAAGTATTTATTGCACGTAATGTGATCCCACGAGACCCTATATACCATCTCAAGTAATGACAGGGAATTACGTGCAACAGTACATGTAGTCTGCAACATGATACTGTGCCAAAAGGGGAAACCTAAATATTACATATGATGCTCATTTCACACGAACATATTAATCCTTTTGTTCAAATCACTCCCTAATTCTCATTTCCTACCTGAGACTGTTGAGATCAAGATCATCTGTATCAAAATCCAAAAGAGGCTGTGGCGTGTCACTCGGACCATGAGACTGCAACACAGATGAACTGGATGAGATAACTGTGGTTTGGCCTGAGGGATGGATGGTTTTGAACTGGAACTGTGGACCCATCCACAGACGTCTATGGGGTCCAGTGTGTGTTACAATTTCAACCTGGAATGGAGTAGCAATGATGATTTAAATGGTTTGTGATCCTGATTTGAGAGACTTCACAATCCCCCATTCTTCCTCTTAACACCCACATTCTTCAAGAAGCCCATGTTAAAGTGGCAAAGGGATAGGACACCCATAATTAAAAGGTGATGATAATCACAGCTGATGTAGACATTCAAAATATCCCTCTACTGCTTTTCATCAACATAAGCCAAAAATACATTTTGTGTACATATACATACACAGACACACATGCACACCTCACACACATATACAAGACAAAAATCACATGAAAGTAAAAGGACCAGTTGCTTGCCTCATATAACTAGTGTCAGCTCCGTAGGGTCTACCTTTTCATTCATTCTAGACAGTACTTACCATGTTGTGGGCATGCACTGAATACTACACCTATTAATCCACAGATTAAAAGCAATTCCTTCACTGAGGATCAAGCTTATGACAAACGTGAAGTTGTTCTTGAACCATCCAAGGAAAAGTAAAGGTCTGAAATAATTTTAATGCCCAAAGCCACTTTATTTCCACAATAAAATATTATAATATTTATTATACTGCCCTAATATTACCCCAATCCACTTTTAAATGAAAACATTATTATATATTTTCTCTCAAACTAGATTTTTGTCTTCCAAATACCATTAATTAGTGTGTTTTCTCAACTGCCACAAATATCGACACAGGCATTTGATGTGCTACAAAACAGTAATACCAAAATGCTTTATGAATTTCACGCTCAATGGGGGGGATAGGGAATGTTGCCAATATTTTATTTTATTTATTTTATTTCATTTTTTTTTTGAGACGGAGTCTCGCTCTGTTGCCCAGACTGGAGTGCAGTGGCGTGATCTCCGCTCACTGCAAGCTCCGCCTCCTGGGTTCACTACATTCTCCTGCCTCAGCCTCCCCAGTAGCTGGGACTACAGGCGCCCGCCACCACGCCCGGCTAATTTTTTGTATTTTTAGTAGAGACGGGGTTTCACCGTGTTAGCCAGGATGGTCTTGGTCTCCTGACCTGGTGATCCGCCTGCCTCGGCCTCCCAAAGTGCTGGGATTACAGGCGTGAGCCACTGCGCCCGGCCGCCAATACTTTATTAAACATTATAAAGTCAAAGAAGTGGGTAGAAGACACTTGGAAAAACCTGAAAATATATATATTACATGATTTTTTTTTTTTTTTACAAATAATCAACTCGAATGAGAGACTAAATATACAAACTAGTTTAAATGTCTTGTCAATGGTACATTCATGCCTGTGCAAATACTTTATGTAATTGACTTCCCACATGCCTTATTTTTGTCCTGAGTTCTTTTATATTTAATCACATTTCTCTGATTGTGGTGATTAATTCTTAACAAAACATAACTGAAAAGGTTCACAGAGTGTAGCCCTGTGTGAGTCCAAAAGGGCAAAAGCATCATGGTCTTTGGAACAATATTCACATTCCTACTAATCACAGGGAGAAAAATGCTCAGATTGAGGACAGTGATTTCTGATTCAAGTAGTTGTATTCAGCAATGTAAATTAGGCCACAGATAAAGCATTCTGTGTACTTTAAGCTCAAAACCATCAGTGTCACAGAGCCCAGAGGTAAACAGATGCCTGTTCAATTTCACCGAGGCGATGGCCAGATGTTCCTATTCACTCTCCTGTTGTGTGCCGGACAAACACATTGTATATACTTTCACACTGACAGCACACATTACCCCTTTTTCTAATTGAAAAGTTGAAGTGAAGGACAGTGGTTTCTCTGCCAGCATTCCTTGGACAACATTTTGATTTTGGAAAAAACACACATTTGGGGTTTACTTTATCTTCCTAACATTAAGAAAGGATGGACCGCCACATGCCAGGAACTGAAGAATCAACTTCCTTCAAGGAACTTCCTGTGAATATTTTTGGTGTGATGAAATAAATACATGTTACCTAGACACTGCTTGATTTTCCAGTTTACTTTACTTTTGATTTTCCAGACTTTAGTTTTCAGGCTACCCTCCTTGAGAAAGAAATGAAACTACAAATGGCCTCCACATTTTTGAGGCACCTGTCCGATGAAAAGCTGTCAGATTGGTAACCTGAGATAGGTCATTAGCTTCATAAAATGATGTCAGACTTGAGGCAGACATAACAGCATTTGTAATGAAGTCATTTGTAATCCCATCATTTTGACATCTGCCCAAGTATCTTTTATTTCAAAGCCCTTGAGATGAAGACAGCTTCACCTGGCAAGGGGAGGGATGGTCAGTGAAGCTGTTGGAGACTGGGCATGGTGGCTCTTGCCTGTAATCCCAGCACTTTGGGAGGCCAACACAGGAGGATTGCTTGAGCCCAGGAGTTCAAGACCAGCCTAAGCAACATAGGGAGATCCTGTCTCTACATTAAAAAACAAACAAAAAAAACAAATTAGCCAGCATGGTGATGCGTGCCTGCAGTCCCAGCAATGTTGTAGGGCTGGCTTAGAGACCACTAAAAGCAGCATTACATGGGCTTAGGAAAGGAAACCAAGGCACCATCAGAATTTCTGCAGGGTGGAATGTTATATTTCCAATAATGAAAGTATGAACTCAATCTTCGGAAAATGTTGGCTCCACAAAACAAATCCCAAAGATTGCTGAGTGGCTTCACTGTTTCATCAAGGTCAACTTTTATTTTAAACCTGATGAAAATGTGTTCCAAAGAGCCTATTTAAATTCCAAGCTCCTGGCTGGCCACAGTGGCTCACGTCTGTAATCCCAGCACTTTGGGAGGCCAAGAAGGGTGGATTGCTTGAAGTCAGGAGTTCAAGACCAACCTGGCCAACATGGCGAAACCCCTTCTCTACTAAAAATACAAAAATTAGCCAGGCATGGTGGTGCATGCCTGTAATCCCAGCTACTCAAGAAGCTGAGGCATGAGAATCGCTTGAAACCAGGAATTGGAGGTTGCAGTGAGCCAAGGTCGTGTCACTGCACTCCAGCTTGGGTGACAGAGCAAGACTCTGTCTCAAAAATTAATAAATTAATTGATTCCAAGGCCCTAAGGCTTTAAATGGATTGTGTGAAAAATACACAAATTTTATGCCATGTTTATGGAAGCTAACATATATATATATACACACACGTATAATGTATATATAATATGTATATGTACACCTGCAGCAATATTTGTGGAGTAATTTGTAATATGGAAAGACAACTAATTCTTGATAATCCAATAAAGAGTTACCAATTCTCCCCTTTTACCTCTAAGGAAAAGAATAAAAACAGTAAATTTCTGTTTTATTTTACTTTAATACTCTCAATATTTCAGAGTTTTACCTGGGAAAGCCATTCTTCATCTTCCTGTCCACTATGGTCAGAAGCTAAACTGTCGTAAGACCCATGTCGAGTAATGGGCCCAGGACTTCCAGGGGGAACCACTATAGGAGAAAGAAAATAGATTTAAACCACTTCATTCCATGCAGTGGAAAAACAGACGTGGGCACAACCATTTTGGATACTATGGTAATTTATAAGATAAAATATAATACTTTAAAGCAAAAAGGCAATTCAAACAATTATTGAACAAGTAAGAATGAAGTTCTTAGGAATAAGATACTTTAAAAAATATCTACAGAAATTTAGTAATGCCATCTTCTTGCAATAAAAGAAATAAACAACTAACTACATATGCTAATAGCAAAAGTACACTGAAGAGCAGCGACAAATCTATTCATTGGGGGATGACATTAGGATTCTTTAAAAGAGTTTATTTAGTAGCTTCATATAAATGCTAGGCATAAACATGCACACTTAATAGAAAAAATGCTTTCAGTCCTAAAAAAAATTCATTTATCCAGAGAAATACATCATCTTTCTTAGATACCTGAGTAGTTTTCATGATTCTTAAGTGGTATGACATAGTCAAATTACAACAGCCTACTTTTTCATTCAAATAGGAACATTTGCTTAGTAAAACAATACAATGATTCAAAAATATTTACTGAGTTCCTAATATGAACCAGATATTATCTCCTCAAAATCTTAGTCTCTTCTTTGGAAGCTACGACTCACTCACTCTGTCTGTCTCCATGTCTCTAAAGGTATTTTTTTCTTTTTTTCTTCTTTTTTTTTTTAACAGCAGTTTTAGGTTCACAGCAAAGTTGAGCTAAAGATACGGATATTTCCCATATAACCCCCCAACCTCATACATGATTGTATTTAATCTTTTTTTTTTTTTTTTTTTCTTAAGAGATAGGATCTTGCTGTGTTACACATGCTGGATTACAGTGGCATGATCATAGCTCACTGTAACCTCAAACTTCTGGGCTCAAACCATCTTCTCACCTCAGTCTAATAAGTAGCTGAGACTACAGGCATGAGCTACCAATGCCTGCCCAATATTTTCTTCCTTGTAGAGACAGGATCTCACAATGTTGACCAGGCTGGTGTCAAACTCCTGGCCTCAAGTGATCCTCTGGCTTTGGCTCTCAGAGTGCTGGGATTACAGGCATGAACCACCACGCCTGGCCTACCATTTTAATACTCAGAGAAATCAAGCAATGAAGTACTGGGAGGAACAGAGAAAAAGAGGGGAGGTAAGTAGAAAGAAAAGTAAGAAAGTAAGAGATGATCATTAAAGAAGTGTGGAAGAAATAGAAAAGAATGAGAAGCTGAAAACCCTCATAATTTCTACCACCAAAAGACATTTATATATACACATCAACATACAAAAATTTCCTTGAGTTAGATTCCTACATATGAAATCAGAGGATGTAAATATATAAATTTCTTAATATATGTTCCCAGAAAGAGTTATACACTTACCCAAGCAGTGAAAGAGAATGCCAACCTCACTGAGCTCTTGCTAGAACAAGGTAGTATTTTGAAAAACTGTATCTTAGTGAAACAGATACAAATAAAGTAGACAAAGCATAACCTAGGGCAAGATTTTAAAAGACACAGACTCACAAAAAGCTTATCTTAACTTGCTGCAAGAGGAGAAATGCTAATTCAGTGAATTACTCAGCAGAGGCATACACAGTATTAAAGTGTAAGATCTGCAGTAATCAAAACTTTTAGCTGCTAGTTCTTCAAAATCATAGTTCTACAGCCAAGCGGCATGGTGGCATTTGTACAAAACACAAATGATCACAAAAGCATACACCTACATTCTTGTGATGACAAATTATATCAAGAAGAAAAGAATATCACAATAACTATTATTTCAGCATTCTTTTGGAAATAATTGATATACATTGAAAGGCTGATAAGTAATGATATTTTCAAAAGGCTAAGTTATCTTCCCACCACTAAATTCTATATTAATTCTTAATACAGAAGAGAACAAGAGGATCCTTGAAATTCCCACCCCTTAAATACTAGTGAAAAATGTGAATATGGAAAATATGTAGAGGCTGGAAAGCAGATGAGGGCAGAGAAGATTTTAAAGAGGTGAGGTAATATGTTATGCAAATATCTGAAGGAGAGGTGTGACCAAGGGAATGTTAAGTACAAAGATTTTGAGATGTAAACATAAAGGGAATAAGTAACAGCTAGGAGGCCACTGTGGTTGGGTGGGATAAGCCATGTTGTGAGTGGAAGGTTAAGTCAGTAAGGCAAAGGAAGTAGGACCAGCAGATTACTGTGGGCTTTTCCTTTCTTCTTTTTTTTTTTTTTTTTTGGTAATAAAGCTCGAGTAATATGATGGAAAGCAATTAGCAATTTTTAAGTAGAAGTGAGTAACCATGCCTTACGTAACTAGCTAGTACCTAATGTGAATTTCTCCAAAAGTTTATGTTGTGTTTTATATATGCTGAGCCTAGACTAGTACGTGTCACAGAACAAGTACTCAATAAGTATTTACTGGGTGGTTGGAGTTTTGGATTCTGTACTAAGTAAGTAACGGCACTAGAATGGCTGGACACTTATTTATCCATCATCAAAATAGGGATAATATATTATAATGTCTGGGATTAGCTTCAAAATAACCCAGTGCAGGGATGAAGGTGGGAGGTAGAATTACAGATGAAAACAGGATTGGTCATTAGTTGATCATTGTTATAGCTGGCTGATAGGTACATGGAGGCTCACTATACTATTATTTTCTAGTTTTGTGTATGTTTGGAATTTTCCACAGTGAGAAGGGAGAAAGATCCTCTCTGCCCTCATTAACTTTCCAAAGGAAGTAATAAAGATTCCAAATATACATCTAGAAATAGTACCATAAATATGCACCCCAAAATCCTAAAGAGATTATAAGAATTTCCATCCCCTTTTTTCACCAAAAATAGTTTTCTAATTAAGCATACTTGGAAGCCATCAGAAGATGGGCAATATAAAAAATAAATCTGGTGGGATAATATTTTTCATTATCAAATAAATATCCTTCCTCTGCCTCACCATTTTTTCCATGTTTGATACATTTTTATTACTAAATTGGGTAAAAGCACAAACATCAAAACAGGAAAAGCTTATAATTAGAAGCTAACTATAATCCAAATAATTTTGAAAAGTCTGAAAGAAGAGTGCAATAAGAGAACATATTTTTTTCACAATAAATTAATCATTAATTGGCACTGTGGTGTTAAACATACAACTAGATATATTACTGTTCATAATAATTGGTAATGTAATATATTTATTAAAATCTGTTGGTCTTCCTATTATATTTAGTATTGGATTCTCTATACAGTTTTAGGAATTACAATATGTAGTATGGAATACCTTAGAACAGTCCCAACAGTATACCACCAAGCCAGAACGCTGTTCCTCCAAATGTGGTCCTCAGACCATTAACATTGACATCCCTCGCAGAGCTTGTTAGAAATAAATAACTTCAGGCTCCACCCACCCAGCCCTACTGAATTACAATCTGCATTTCAACAAGATCCCTAGGTGATTTTATTACACATTAAAATTTGAGAGCTGCATTATACAGGAGTAGACTCACTGCCATTCCTCTAAAATAGATCAGTAGTAAAAGTTTGGAGAATCTACATTATTCTTTAAAAGGAAAAAATATGAAAAACTGGTTTTCATTTGAGAGCTTAGGAGGAAAATAATTAGTTACTTATTGCCATTTCTAAAATCTAGACAAGAAAATTCTGAAATAAGCATGGTTATTATGAGATTAAGTTAGCTATAAATTATTAGGAAATTTAAAATAGAAAGGTACTATCATTTTCATAGGATTTACTTTTTTTGTCCACTTGTTATCCTTCTAAATTCTTCACTATAACCTCAAATTTCAGTATAAATGGCCATTATAGCAGAAGAGCCAGGCTCTGTTTTCCATGGCTGATGTTGGGGGACATATCAAGCCAGTATATGCATAAGTTAAAGGGACAGATCTAAAATGTTCAGCTTACCAGTATTTAATACTTTTCTTAGTTTTTGTTGTAGTTGTTGTTGTTGTTGTTTTAGTCAAAGGTGGTTAAGTGTTTGGAAATGACCTTAGGTGGCTTCTGTTTTACAGATATGACCTGCCAGCGTCACACAACTTTCATACAAAGAAATCAGTAAGTCTCTTGATTTTAGTCAGTCTACATATAGTATTGAAAAGCTTTGTGACAAGTAATTCTTTCTAATGTTACCAGGCTGCCTGTGTAAATACAGAAGGCCAGCCTAGGAGACAGGATAAATTATCTGTGGGAAGGGCCCATAATCAATAGCCAACATTCTAGTTTAAAATTCATTCTCAAATGCTTTGGGCACAAAAAGGTAAAAATAAACTAAGTTTTTGCTCTTTTTATATAGCATATATTTTCTTAGTTTGTACTAATACATTCTTATATTACAAAGGCAATTTCATGGAAGAATCTTCCTTTTGATATTGAATCATCTGAAATTACACAAATAGAACTATACATTCAAAAAAATTCTCATGTGAATAACAAAAAAGACAAGTTAAACAACAACAAAAAAGCTTCCTTTCTATTTTTTTTAAATGGTGAAAAGATATATATATATATATATATATATATATATATATTCAGAATTAGGCAGCTGGACTCAGTTTAGATGATCCCAATTTTGTTGGCAACATCCAAAGCATCGTAACCAGGAGCCAGTCGAACATATGCCTTCTTCTCTCCATCAGGCCAAATCAGGGTGTTGACCTTGGCCACATCAATGTCATAGAGCTTCTTCACAGCCTGTTTAATCTGGTGCTTGTTGGCTTTAACATCCACAAGGAACACAAGTGTGTTGTTGTCTTCTGTCTTCTTCATGGCAGACTCAGTGGTCAGCGGAAACTTGATGATAGCATAGTGGTCAAGCTTGTTTCTCCTGGGAGCGCTCTTCCGAGGATATTTGGGCTGTCTCCAGAGTCGCAGTGTCTTCGGCTGCCGGAAGGTGGGTGACGTGCGGATCTTCTTCTTTTTGTGGCTGTGGACACCTTTCAACACTGCCTTCTTGGCCTTTAAAGCCTTCGCTTTGGCTTCGGCTTTAGGAGGGGCAGGAGCTTCCTTCTTCGCTTTCGGCGCCATCTTGTGAAAAGGGTCTTTTTTTTTTTTTTTTTTTTTACACAGGGTCTCACTCTGTTACCCAGGCTGGAGTGCAGTGGCATGATCTCGGCTCACTGCAGCCTCCACCTTGTGTTCAAGCGATCCTCCCACCTCAGCCTCCTGAGTAGCTGGGATTACAGGCGTGCGCCACCATGCCTGGCTAATTTTTGTATTTTTAGTAGAGACGGGATTTTGCCATGTTGGCCAGGCTGGTCTCAAACTCCTAACCTCAAGTGATCCACCCGCCTTAGCCTCCCAAAGTGCTGAGATTACAGGCATGAACCACCACACCTGGCCTGAAAGTTTTCCTTTCTTGCAGGTGGACATTGAATAGTAGGCCTAATTTGGATTTTGTTTTAAAAGTCCCAAAACAAAAGCAGCTTAAAACCTAATTAAAATGAATTTAAAAATCTGTGCACTCAACTACTGGTCTCTGGCACCATTTTCTGTTTTTTGTCCTTGTGGCGCAGGTTCTTCTTTGTTTCTTCTTTTGCTCTTTTCATTGGCTCAGTTGCACCATTCTCCATCACATTCATCATCACTATCAAATTTAGTTTACCTGCCCTGAAACTGTACCTTCCCTATCGCAAACCCAGGCTGGGTAGCTTTATTACTCTTCCCTTTTCCTGTAAATCTGCAATCTTTGACTTCCATTTATTTGGGGATTCTTGTTGGTCTTGCATGATTTTTTTCAATGCTTCTTTTTCATCTCTCCTTCTACTATTTCCCAAGTCACTTCTTTGGTTTTTTGTTTTTTAATTGTGGGTTACCATTATTTGTGTCTTTGGCTTTACCTAATGCTTCTTTGGCTTTTTCTTTAAATAGAATTATCCTCTCTTTTGCTCCTCTGACAAAGTCTATCCATTTTATTTCACCACTTGCATTTATTTATATTAAAAAATTTCTCTCAATCCAGGTAGGAAGAACATTCTATGTTTACTACCTTGGGAAGGAATGACATACCTGTTCACATGGAAAAAAGAATTTACAACCTTGATAAAAAGAAAATATGATAAGAGCAAAGTTTCCATGCTTCTAACCACTCAAATATTAGGAATGATACCCTGAGATTGGAGCGAGACTGGCAGAGACAGAAAGGGGAAAAAAGAGGGTCACAAAGAGGAGTGGGAAACGACAGAATCCCAGAAGAAGTTTTAGGGACCAATGGCGGTGAAAACTTATGTCTTCAATCTTGGGCAGAGTTAAGGGAAGTGGCAAGAGATCCCACATGGTACAAGAGTAGAAATGGTGTGCACATAGTGTGTCTGTACAGCCAGGTCTGTGACAACCTTACCATGTTCTCCATAGCTTAGAGGAGAAGAATGTTTCATACATGTACAAGAATAATATGGACATAGTCCAGACAACTGACAGGAGCTGGATGAGAAACAAGAATGGATGCTGCAGAGACCTATATGAACCAATGGCCAATGATCTGGTGGGGAAATGGGACATGTCAGTGGTGACAATTAGGACAAAATGTCCCCAAATCCCTTACCTCATACTTTTATACCCTGAACACCCTAGAGAATTTAGATGTAACTTTGGAGGTGGTATAATTGATTGAGATTAATTTTTCCACCTTTCTTCGAATGGAGGTACTAAAAAAAACTTAATAGAGTTTATTTAAAGAAAAATAAAGTTACATATCTTGCAAATCCAAGTTCAATGGACCAAGATACAAAATAGCTACCCTAAAGAAAAATGTTTAGTATCTTTTATATTTACCAACTGTCCTTAGATAATTAATAAACTTGGTACAAGGATATAAATCTAGCCATGTTCTTAGTACAGTAATTTTCAAACACACCTTATCTGCCAAACTGAAAAGGAAAATACTGAATAGGGAATACTATCAATTTACTTTAGAGAATACAACTTCAAAAGTACTGCCTCTACACACAGGCTTTTGCTAAATATACATCAACGAGCAAAGGCAGGATGAGTAGATCATTATGAGGTAACTGTGAGCCTGTCTGTTTTTAGTATTTATAAGCAAATCATGCTTATAGTGAGTAAATAAGAGCTAAAAAATCACTTATGGTATTTTTCTTATAGGAATATATGGGCTTCTGTGTATACATGTGTGTGTTTCTATATATATATATATATTTTTTTTTTTTTTTGTTTGTTTGTTTGAGATGGAGTCTTGCTCTGTCACCAGGCTGGTATACAGCAGCATGATCTCAGCTCACTGCAGCCTCCGCCTCCCAGGTTCAAGCGATTCTCCTGCCTCAGCCTCCCAAGTAGCTGGGATTACAGGTGCGCACCACACACCCAGCTAATTTTTGTATTTTTAGTAGAGGTGGGGTTCCACCATGTTGGCCAGGATGGTCTCGATCTTTTGACCTCATGATCCGCCTGCCTCAGCCTCCCAAAGTGCTGAGATTACAGGTGTGAGCCACTGTGTTCAGCCTATTTATATATTTTCATATGTGAGTATGTGTAAAGCAAACAAAAGCCAATCTGCTTTAGGGCTGACCTTTGAAAATTAGTCCTGTTAATCTAAACCAAAAATACTGCCAAGTCTGTATAAATATATATATATATATATATATATATATATATATATATATATACACATACACACATAAATAAAGTTATGAAATGAAAGATTAATGTCCCCTTAATAACATCCTTAGGTCTGAATCCTATATAATAAAATTCACAATGTTCCAAAAAGTCAATTAATAATATAACTTTTCAAATCAAAATCTTAGAAGAGTTCTATTTTTGAATTTTTAGATGCCTTCTGCAACTTAATACAAGAATCAATGTGTAAAGAATTTTAAAAAATTACCCACAGAAAATATGGTATTTATCGGTTAGAGAAAGTTAAAAGTGTTGCTTTACATACTGCTAAACTATAGGTACAAAGTATTAAAGTATATAAATAATAATTGCAAGATTAAAGGTATAAACATTAACAGACCTCTAAGTTGACATCCTTAAGTTTCTTCAAATATCTAGTTCTTTAACACTACTTAATACAGGTTAGGATAGGTGAATTTGAACCAGGATTCCGAGAATGAGTTATTACCATTCCTAGAAAAATTTAAACCTAACATTTCAATTTTTCCCCCAAAAGAATGAGAAGAAAACCTCAATTTTATGGAATCAAATTCTTTCTAAAATATCCCCAGAGAAACAGCTAGATATCAAAAAAGTTCATCTGCAACTAATCTAGTCTTCTACTTAGAATACAAAAGGTAAGATATTTATCATTAACATATTAAATATACTGTACATTAGAGCAGGTAATTAATTACTCTCATTATATTGGACATGGTTTAAGATACTCAGGAAAAAAATTAGACCTTGTAAAAATGAAGTTTATAAGATTTAAATATTTCTTTGTAAAGCAAGAATAAAAATAAAAATATCTGTATCCAGTACCATTTCATTTAAAGCAATGAAAAACAACTGCCAACGCATGTAAAAGTTAAAAGACTACACACAGCTTGTAAGCATCCTCTTTATATAAACAAGCACAAAGCATAATGAACATCGAGCAGTGCTTATTTATGAAAGTAATGAAGGAAAAGTCTATTTGGTTTGGTTTTGTTCTTCTTGTTCTACCCTTTCCTACATTTCTTGAATTTCCAGTAATAAATTCTCTTAGCTGTAGCTCTGGAAGCTTTAGAGGACATAGCTGATCAACTACAGGTACCACTGTTTGTAAACTCCAGCCTCCCAACTCTAGCAGATGTTAAGAAGCTGTTCTACTCCTTGAAATTAATTGCAATGCTATCACTATCAGAGAAATCTGCTTCTCAAATTAAGGATAAAAATGCTGACCCTAATGGTACCTAGTTTTATATGTGAGATAATCATATAGTTACCTGCTTTAAGATTTTGTTGGAAACTTAAAATATGATAATAGGCTGAATATATAGAAATAGAAATTTAGAGTCTCTTAATTCAAAAATTCACACTGATCTATAAATGAAGATTAAATGCATTTGTAAGTTTAATTATAAATTTAAAACTCACACTGATTTATAAGTGAAAAATCAAAGATGGACCCAAAAGCTCTTATCTGGACAAGTGAGTTTACTGGGTCCTACTGGCAGCTGAGTTTTATATGGGCAGTGGAATTCTTCAGATTCAGGACCAGACACAGTTTTTGTTTTCTCCTACTCTTTACCATATCCCCACCCTTCCTCCACAAACAATAAAACCCTTAGCACGTGAAAGTTTTTAGTGGAGACCTGAGAGATGAATAATGTTGTGCCAGCATTTTTCAGTCGTTTAGGTTATTTAGAGGAACAACATTCCTTTTTCTAGCAACAGAGAAATTTGCAGTTAAATGACATCATGCTGCCTTGAATGAAACAGCTCAGGCTCAAAGTTCACCCAAAGGCCAACAGTGATAAACTCTCTCCCAAGGACAAACCTCAATATATTTTTGGTGCTTATTAAAAACAGCATTTATATAGCAGCCATACAATAAGCAAGGGCTATTTACCAAACTCTGTTTCTGATCAGAAAGCACTCAGGATATAAGGATGAAATTCTGCTTGGGAATGTAGTTTCTTAGTATAGAAACTAAAATTTGCCATTTTAAAACAAAGGTTCAGAAGACAAATAATCCAAAAGCAAAATGAACAAAGGCAGTTCCCAATGAACAAGCAATTCACAGAGGAGGAATTATAATATCCAACAAACATATTTAAATCGTAGTAATTGGAGATTTAATGATTCAAGTTATCATTGCATACATATCAAAGTGGCAAAAATTAAAGTGTGATTTTTTAAATGACTAAAAAAAGGGAGAACCCTTTCAGATTAAAAATAACACACATAACTACTTGAAAATGGGTAGTATTAAATTCACACTGATTTATAAATGTGACAATTTAAATGTAGAGGAATTCACTAAATCTAATACACAGAGCAGTAAAGCAATTCCACAGAATATCACTGGCTGTTCTGTTGATTAGCAGCCATCCCTATACCAATGCAACAACAATACATAAAGGGGAACAAGCTTTATCTACATTATATATTATAGGGATCAATGATCTTCCTTGTGCCCTGACCCTGTAGTACCATAGATGTTCTCTAATTAATTATTAAAGTTTTCTAACAGTCAGTATTGTACATCTCTGGTTTCACTTTCCTTTTATGTCACATTCCCAGAAGAACAGTCACAGGCAATATATAATTAGAAAAAGTATATATCTTCTCTGTCTATAAACTAATAGATTTCACTGAAAAACTGACAACTCTGGGTGCATCTTTTCTCCCCATCTCCTTTTCTGTACCCCCACAGTATCATAATATTACTACAGAAGACATAAACTAAGGAGCTTTCATTTATTGTTCCTGCTACCAAGAGGTCATTTGACATTTAGCATCTGGACAAATTACCCCTGGAGAGTCTGGCTGGGCTCACAATTTAGTTTTACTTCTTAGTGGCCCTAAATATCTCATAAAATGGAGAGAAAGAATAAAGCATAATGGGTTCATGCTATCAGCCAGATCAGTTACTCTACTAAGGAAAAATTTCAAACAGTCCAAGTATACTTTTTTTTTTTTAAGAGATAGGTATCGCTATGCTGACCAAGCTGGCATGCAGTGGCTATTCACAGGCATGATCATCATAGTGCACTATAGCCTAGAATTCCTGGGCCTCAAGTGATCCTCCTGTCTCAGCCTCCTGAGGAGCTGGAACTACAGGTGTATACCATGACACCCAGCCTCTAATATACTTCTAAGAAGTGAACAGACTATAACCATCCTCTCAAAGCACTTGCAAGGTCAAACCATTTTAAGGACAAGGTGGAGTTTAGGAGGGGTCTTCAAAAAGTTCATGGAAAACTGAAGTAAGAACAAATGTCAAATTTACAGTCAAGCTTGGGTAGAAGAATGGTGAAATTATTGATGCTTTACCAAAAGTTTATGGAGACAATGCCCCAGAGAAATCAGCAGTTTACAAATGGATAGTTCGTTTTAAGAAGGGACAAGATGGTATTGAAGATGAAGTCTTCAGTGGCCAGGCCATCCATATCAATTTGATAGGAAAAAAATTCATCTTCTTTGTGCCTTAATTGAAGAGGACCAATG
The DNA here is from genome assembly GCF_000001405.40 of Homo sapiens. NCBI lineage: Eukaryota > Metazoa > Chordata > Mammalia > Primates > Hominidae > Homo > Homo sapiens. Next base: position 61,063,783 of record NC_000017.11, on the reverse strand, counting down.
ATTAACAGCAGAAACTACAGCCAGTGCCAAAGATATCTCAATTGGTTCCACTTCCCCAATTCTGACTGAAAAATTAAAGGTGAGCAAACTTTTCACTTAATGGGTGCCTAAAGCATTGCACCCAGATCAGCTGCAGACTACAGCAAAGCTTTCAATGGAAATTTTAATCAAGTGGAAACAAGATCCTGAAGCATTTCTTCAAAGAACTATAACAGGAGGCCGGGCATGGTGGCTCATGCCTGTAATCCCAGCACTTTGGGAGGCCGAGGTGGCGGATCACGAGATCAAGAGATCGAGACCATCCTGGCTAACATGGTGAAACTCCGTCTCTACTAAAAATATAAAAAATTAGCAAGCGTGGTGGCAGGTGCCTGTAGTCCCAGCTACTCGGGAGGCTGAGGCGTGAGAATCGCTTGAACCCAGGAGGCAAAGGCTGCAGTGAGCCGAGATTGTGCCACCGCACTCCAGCCTGGGTGACAGAGCAAGACTCTGCCTCAAAAAAAAAAACCAAAACAACAAAAAAACAAAAAACTGTAAATAAACCATGGCTTTACTGTTATAGTAGGATCCAAGAGACGAAGCACAATCAAAGCAATGGCTACCAAAAGGCAGAAGTGGTGCAGTCAAAGCAAAAGTGGGCAAGAGCAAAGGTCACGGCAACAGTTTTTTAGGATGCTTGAGGCAGTTTGTTTGTTGACTTTCTGGAGGGCCAAAGAAAATAATAACATCTGTTGATTATGAGAATGCTTTGAGAAAATTAGCCAAAGCTTTGGTGGGAAAATGCCCGGGAAAGCTTCACCAGAGTCCTCTCCACCACAACAATATTCTTGCTCATTCCTCCCAGCAAACAAGGGCAGTTCTGTGAGAGTGTTGATGGGAAATCATGAGGCATCTACCTCACAGTCCTCATTTGGCTCCTTCAGACTTCTTTTTGCTTCTAATCTTAAAAAAAATCATTAAAGGGCATCCATTTTTCTTTAGTTAATGTAAAAAAGACAGCATTGACATAATTAAATTCCCAGGACCTTCAGTTTTTAGGATGGACTAAATGGCTAGTATCATCGCTTACAAAAATATCTTTAACTTGATGGGGCTTATCTTGAGAAATAAAGTTTATATTTTTAATTTGTATCTTTTAACTCCCTTTTTCCACAAACTTTTTGAAGTCCCCTCATATCTACCTGGAGAGACACACACAATATCTACTTAATGTGTTCTACTAGAACTCACACTAGTGCAACTCATTTGATAGTACAACTGCACTGTATGTACATTAAATCACCAACAGTAGGATAGCTGGAAAAGTAAGTCCACACTATTTTAAAGAATTGTATCATAACTATAAAGTACCTTGCTTATAGCTTGTGAATAACAACTGTTGTCTTATCATGGGTTATATAATCTGGCCAGACTCATATGTAACAATAAGAGCATTCTTATTAAAGCTTACCTTTACAGGAGTATAGAATACAATACATTACTAATAGTAGTTGCCTCCTGGGAGGGGATGAGGTTAGTTGGGAGATACGGAGGATTTATTTTCCACTGGATATTTTTTGTTACCTTTTAAACCGTGTATATCATGTTTATAAAATAAACATGATATAAAAATTCATATTTAATTAAAAGTTGTGGAATAGGAACAATACAATTGATACAGATGGTGCAGCACACCATAGTCAATATATGCAAGCAAACAAATCAGATATATATCAACAGAAGTTGGAAAACGATAAACAAAATAAAAGTTGACCTTATTGCATAGTGGGTTATGTGTTTTTCCCCCTATTTTTAGATTCAGTAACTTTTTAAAGGGGGTGTGCTACTTCTAACTTGCTTATGCATAATGTCTCCGTATCTGTTTATTTATCATTATCTCTGTATTTATACACACAAATATCAAACATAGGACCAGCTTTATCAACTGCTCAAACACGTTGTTTTTTTGTTCAGAAGAATGATTATTTGCTGAAAGCATCCTAAGCTAAATTCTGTGTAGAATTATGAGTTGTAATGCTTCAACAGTAGCAACGGTATTCTCACAGCCAAACCTGAATGTTAGATGCATTTCTTTCAGGAATAATCAATTCTCCATTATAAATTCAAGGAACACTCTAAAATATACTTGATAAGATACTAGGATGAGTAGAGCATATATGGAACCTACTGTAAATTGATGTTGTAAAGGTAAATAATCACTATTTTTGGTCATTAAATTGTGTGCAGTAATCGATGTACCCATCTGTACATGTAGGCAATAGGACAGTGATTGAAAACTTACTGTTCTTGACTCCATCTACAATGGCACAGTTGAATAGCAAAGGCTCTAATGTAGTATTCAGTCTAGCATCTACACTAAGCCCTGACAAACAACAACAAAAAAGCAGGCGAGGATGGGGGGTGATGTTTGCAAATGTAAAAATGGCAAAAATAATTTTTTTTTGCAAAGACTTAATGTGGTTTTTTCATGTTTCATTTATTTATTATCTAGTTACATACTAGGAAAATCCACATCATTATGCAGCAGGAAGAATTACATACAGATTTTCTCTTGCCTAAGCAAAAGAGGCAAAGTTGCCCTGGCATGGAGAGACAAAAGCTTTTAGACCTGGAAGGCACCAAACATTTTCACCCTATAGTTAGGAAAATAATCTAAAATCTTCTTAAATGATCATTAAGCATTCATGATGTTTTCCATATTTTAACTCTAAATTAATCAGAAAATTCTCAAAACCGAGAGGATAGGGGAAAGCATGAGACAGAGAACACAAGCCCACAACTACTGCAGGGTTTTCTTTAACTTTCCAAAAGTAAGAAGAGCATTTTCCAGGCTTGATCTTCCTTGCCTACTCCACAACGTCAAACTACTAAACAGAGATCTCCACAAATCACTGTCCCTGCCTCACCTGTTTTACGTAATGGTGGGGAGTTGTGATCTTTAAAAAGTCTTTATAATCAGATGTATAGTGAAGAATCATGGGTAAAAAGACACAATAGTGAATGACTTTCTTAGGATACTTTGTGGTAGAATGTTGTAAATTGTTGAAACTTGGTAATTGGTAGATTCCTTATACAACTAACTGTGTACTATGTACGTCTAACGTTTCTCCAATAATTTTTTTAAAAACTATTTTATGAATGTTTCAAAAGATTGAACAACCATTTCTTGACCTGCAGACTGACAGAGAGTCATCTTGACTCTTCTTGGCTAGGGTGTGGAATACATGAAGTATTCAGGATCATTCAGTGAGTGATAATTTAAAAAATCATAGTAATACTTTTCTAGAACAGGTTTTTTTTCCCACATAACACTATATGTATCATCCATGTTAATACATTTAGGTCTGGTGGCCGGGCGCAGTGGCTCGCGCCTGTAATCCCAGCACTCTGGGAGGCCAAGCGGGGTGGCTCATGAGGTCAGGAGATCGAGACCATACTGGCTAACACGGTGAAACCCCGTCTCTACTAAAAATACACAAAAAAAAAAAAATTAGCCGGGTGTGGTGGTGGGCGCCTGTAGTCCCAGCTAGTCAGGAGGCTGAGGCAGGAGAATGGCGTGAACCTGGGAGGGGGAGCTTGCAGTGAGCCAAGATTGCGCCACTGCACTCCAGCCTGGGCGACAGAGCAAGACTCTGTCTCAAAAAATAAAAATAAAAATAATAAAAAAAATATATTTAGGTCTGGTTTACTTTCATTACTGTATACCATTTTATTTTCATCTTGTATAACAAAGTGAGGTAGTTCTTTTCCCCTGCATTTTCTTCCTTCCTCACTCCCTTCTTTCTTTCATTTTCACTTTCTCTCTTTCCCACTCATTTTTTCCTTCCTTCCTAGGTTCAAGAGATTGTCCTGCCTCAGCCTTCCCGAGTGGCTGGGATTACAGGCACGCGCCACCACGCCCGGCTAATTTTTGTGTTTTTAGTAGAGACAGGGTTTCACCATGTTGGCCAGGCTGGTCTAGAACTCCTGGACTCAAGCGATCTGCCCAACTTGGCCTCCCAAAGTGCTGGGATTACAGGTGTGAGCCACCGTGCCCAGCCAGTAAAATTTCTTTCTATAGCTTTGAAAATGTGCCCAATATTAGAGCCATACTTGTCCAGCTGACCACTGAAGATCAGAGGAGATATAATACAAACGCTTTCTCTTCACAACAAAGTATGTTCACCTGTGCCACCTGGCAGTATCTGTCATAAAGTAGGTGGAATCATGAGAAGCAAGAAAGACCTCACGGAAGAAGGGTATTCATTCTCACACAACTAAGTACAACCACCAGCTATCATTAGTGAGTTTCTTTTTTCTATCCAAGCTCTTGGGTAAGCCTTTTTGGATCAATTATCTCATATTATCTAACAATGATCCTGTAAGGTAGGTATTATTAATACCCATTTTAAAGACGGGGAGAGGCCAGGTGCAGTGGCTCACGCCTGTAATCCCAGAACTTTGGGAGGCCAAGGCAGGCGGATCATGAGGTCAGGAGATCAAGACCATCCTGGCTAACACAGTGAAACCCCATCTCTACTAAAAATACAAAAAATTAGCCAGGCGTGATGGCGGGCGCCTGTAGTCCCAGCTACTCGGGAAGCTGAGGCAGGAGAATGGTGTGAACCCAGGAGGCAGAGCTTGCAGCGAGCCGAGATTGTGCCACCGCACTCCAGCCTGGGCAACAGAACGAGACTCTGTCTCAAAAAAAAAAAAAAAAAAAAAAAAAAAAAAAAAAAAAGATGGGGAGAAAAAAGAGTTCGGGGAGGTTATCTGCCTAAAGCTGTACAGATAGCAAGTAGCAGAGACAGAGTTCAAATTCAGGACTGCTGACTCTAAAGATCACATTCTTCACCTTAAGCAAAATCACCTCACCTCAATTTATCACTTCATTACCTACTAAGTTCATTATTTTAAGTTAAATTTATCATATAAAACATGTAAGAGATTTTTATCCCCAAACGTCAATTATATCATTGATTGAGAGTCTGTTGTTTGTCTATTCAATGTCTGCTTCACTTAATATAATCTTTTCTATAATCATAATAAACAGTTATGTATCCTGATCAGAGATACCTATACTGTGATCAAACAATGGGGAAAAATTACTTTAACCAGAAGTCACAACACAAGGTTACAGACATTGAAGGAAGCTTCACATGCAGTGAGAGAAACAATCAAAGTGCTACTTTACATACACTATAATACCTCTGATTAAAATTTTTCATCGTAGAAAATACTGGTTTGTTGGTTTCATATTTAAAGGTGTACATGATGCAACCACGGATGACATGCTAGCATCTAGAAAAGAGCACAGAAATCAGCCGAGTGACCAAGAAAAGAAAAAAACGCTATCCTCAAAAAATCCCCAAATCTCAGCTTTGACCAGATTTCACATCATATAGGGTTGTTACAGATGTTCTTCACAAAGTCATAAAATACAAAGAAAGCGTAGTATAAAAGACAAGAAACTGATGGCATAAAGGCACTGAAGGCAATATGGTGTTTCTGGTCCCCTGCCAAGTTCCACAGAATCATATGGCCAAAAGTCTCCTATCCTATGACAACAATAAGGGGAAGAAGAGACTGAAGCTGCAGAGAGACAATCTGTGGCACTCACCCACCAACCTTATGCCTCGGTTACTGGGCTGGTTACTTTCAGTAAGAAAAATCAAGAGAGAAAAATTTTTTCAAAGAAAGAGAAACTCAGTAATGATAAGAGCTTATACACTATCAAAGCAAAATTAAAACTTTTGATAAATGGAACAGTCAGAACTCCAGAAACAAAAATAATATTAAATATGTTAGCTTCATAATCAGCAGCTAAAAGAGGCTTCAATATAAAAAAAAAGTAGCTATGCTAAAGACACAAGACTATAATTTAAAACAAAGTATTAAAACATATAGGAAAAACTAAAATCATATATACATTAATTTGAAGAAAGAAGGGATTTCTAGGTATTCTTGGAAATAAGAAATAATTCAAAAAGATCGCTTAAAAATGTTTATGAAACATACATTTTCCATAAAGAATAGCACAGGCTGCTTTGTTTCTACTATTGTATAATCAGGAATTATTTGCAAACTATTAGAAAATCCTGTTGCTACATAAAATGTGAAAAAAAAAAAAGTAACAAGACAAAGACCTTGACTTCAGGTGTCCTAGCTGCTTGTTTCCTCCTCTTTTAACATGTCTTGGGTCTGAATTTTCATGAGTTTCTGGACAAGTTACGAGATTCTAGGGCAGGGATCTCCCCAAATCTGAAAGTTGAAAAAGATTTTCACACCCTTAATTATAAAGATGAGAAACCTGAGGCGTAGAAGGCAATGACTCACTCAAGGTAACAATGTGAAGGAAGTCAAAACCATCAGTGTCTGGATTTCCTGTTTCCTAAGTAAAGGCCCTGTCATATATAAACTTACACTGGAGCAGTCACAAATCTGTAAGGTTATCTGGGAAATCAATGAACATAGAAGCACAAGATGGACAAATAGAGGTGCAATTGAAAACTGAGCAGAAAGGCTGAACTACAGGGTTTCCCTGATATTTTCTGGAATATTTAAAAAACTATTATATAGTCAGGAGAGGGTAGAACACACCTTTTAACACCACAGAAATCAATTTTTTATTATTTAAAAGATGGTAAGTAAGCACAGGCCTTCTATTAATGGCAAAGAGATGCAGATATACATATAAACAACACTACCATAAAGAAGACATTTTTGTTTTAGCAAAATCCATATTTATATGATTACATTTCCTATGGTCGAGAGCAGCTATAATTAATGGATTTCCCTCCTTCTCCTAATGCAGCCATTTGTCAATTCAAATAAAGAAGGTCCAATCAATTTTGATGTATTTAGTGAGCAATTTGTCAAACAGTGCTATAATCCAGTTAATATATTAATCCTTGTCATGGAGAGAGTTCTAACAACTATGAGGTTTTCCATAACTGGAGAGAAAAAATCTGTGCATGGATGCAATGGTCATTTTTATGGAGATAACACCTCTGTGTCTCAATATCTGAGAGCATGCAGTAGTACATCACTTAATAGGAAAACCATTTTGTTATAATAAAACCCCTGGGTCTCCTGGACAGGATGGCAGCTAATTCAGTGTAATAAACTGAGTTTCTTCAAATCTCTGTGTAGCTCATGTATTTTTAATAAAATAAACAAGCCAGTATATATAACAATAAACACAACATCAGTAAGTTCTAAGGGGAATAGGGCTTTGTTAATACAAAGCCTGCATCTTAAACTTTAAAAAATATCTATAAAAGAATTTTTATACTTTATAAATTTATTTTAAATACTTTAATTAAAATAAAGTATAAGTTAAAATTTTAATTTGCCTCTTAACGTTTCTTCATATGACTTGCAAAATAAGTGGTTCTCAGTCTTTTATTTTTCCTGTCCCAACATATTTCAAGTAAATTACTGACTTCTATCAGTATATAACATGGGCACTGTACTAAGGCCACACAGTTAGTTACTGGTGGTCAAGACTCCAACTCGCGGAAGGCTGTCCTTCAGTTGACACCATGTAAAGCTCTGGACATGACAGTTTTCTTACTTTCCATCTTTATTTTGGCCACTAATCAATTTCTATCTCCATCTCTTCCCAAGTCTGTCTATACACTTGGAGCTGGAGACAGAACAAGTACATACGCAAAGCTTTCTGGCAGGTGGTCCACATTTATACCACGAAAGAAATCTGGAATGCAGTGACCAAGGAAGGGTCAAATCCTTTTCCAGCCTGGTTACTACCAGTTTGGGCAGAACAGAGGGCTAGAAGAAGACAGGTTTTGAGCACGTCACAGATAACCTCCAGAGCCATCCTGAGCAGATTTGGCAAACACTTTTGAAAGACGGTAACTCTCTCCATTCACTATATCCAAGGCTTTCTATAGTTCTCTATCAGGAAATGCAAAATCAGAGATGAAGGCAAATCATTTCTAGAAAATAAATGGAAAAACACGGCAATTTTTTAAAACTAGAATAATAAGAAAGAAAAGAGATAAGGAATACATTTATTTTCCAGACATTAGGATCCCCTTGGCCCATTTATAAACCATGTAAGAACAGAGAAAAAAAAATTAGAAGAGTAATTTGGCACAAGGCTGTGTATTTATTTTAAAACCTGCAATGTATACCAGTTCTCCAGACTACCAGACGTCCCATTGTTTCATGTGTCTGCTGAGAAAGGTGCCCTATGTGTCAGAAAAGCACACTGAATATTTTTCAATGACCCAGGGGGCAGAGGTCACTTATTATAAATGGATAATGAGACCTAATGCAGTGCTCTGAGTATGGACAAAGAAAGGGTCTATCCATAGCCCCTGGTGGATTGGTCATTCAGGCTTTTACTTCCTCTGCACACTTAATGGAGTCAAACAATTGACAGAAATTCTATAGAGAAGGCTGAAACTGAGAGAAACAACTGTATTCTAACTCTGATAGACAAATACAAATAGTCACCCTGAAATGGCGCCAGAATTCCTGTTACCACTAACACAGCAGACAGTTGTAGCATTCCTCCTAAATTCCCAGTCAGTCATTTATTAGCAATTAACCGTAGTGATGGAAGTGATGCCACATCAACCCACAAGCTCCTGCCAATATCAACCCATTACATTACTGCAGGTAAGCACAGACAGACCATTCTATTTTAGCTCCTCATTTTTTGAAGAAAAGGGCAAACATATATCCAAATCCTGCATCCCCTATCCCCACTACCCAATCATAAAACCACACATTGAGGGATATCAGTATCTGTATGTAAATAACCTTAAACTTACGTGAGATAGCATAAATGACATCAGGAGCAGAGTTCTGATAGCCTACAGGCTTTACAACCAATAGATGCTTTTTCTTTAATCTATCAGAATCAATGTCCTAGCCCAGCCAAATTTGTTAATCCAGTGCAATAAATATGACTAGCTTCAGTGGAAAAAATGCTTACTCTCAAATGTATCTGAAAAATAGCAAGTCATACAACAATCTGAAGGAACACTGAGATACTACTATCACATAGAATTCTGTAAAATAAAGACATTAAAAAGTAAAAAGCAGCCCTTTATAGAGACATTCCTTTTGTTTCACTTCTATATTAAGAACAATTATGACAGGGCTGGGTGTGGTGGCTCATGCCTGTAGTCCAAGCACTACAGGAGGTTGAGGTGGGTGGATTGACCCTGGCCTTGAGCCCAGGAGTTTGAGACCAGTCTAGGCAACATGACAAAACCTCATCTCTACAAAAATACAAAAACTAGCCAGGCATGGTGGTGCACACCTGTAGTCCCAGCTACTTAGGAGGCTGAGGCACGAGAATCACCTGAGCCTGGGAGGTTGAGGCTGTAGTGATCTGTGATCATGCCACGGCACTCCAGCCTGGGGGCAAGAGAGTGAGACCCTGTCTCCCCCTGGCCAAAAAAAAAGAATTATGACAGGATGGTGGTACGACACGCACACTTTTTTTCCCCAACTGGTAAATACTAAAGCAAATGACAGAAAATGCCAAGATTAGCTTCAGAATAGGGTACAGATCATTAGGTTGTAATGGAAAGAACTTTTAATGTTGAAACATCTCGAGACCAGCAATGACAGAAAAACTCAATGAACTCTATTGTACAGGTCTGAAGATCTATGCGAAGAGATGGAGAAGTAGGTAACCAATGAACACAAATGCAAAAAGGGAAATCTAATACAAACTTTAAGTCCATCATTTACAATGTTTGCAGATTGCTGATGGTACTTTCATTCAGCTATCTGACATCTTTTCAGTGAACAAGAAACTTTAATTTCATAATATTCCCCAAGTTATAAAACATACATGTGGCTAAATTCAGGGTCTAAATGTCTCAAATGTTTAGTTTCTTAAAGAAAAACACCGTCTCACTGAAATCATTTCTCTATGGAAGGATATGTCAACTGAGAAGTTTAAGTGTAAATAAGTGAAATTTTAACTATCCCAGATTTTCAGACCTGGAGAGAGCAGTATGACACACCCTATGGACAACAATGGACTATAAACACTCTTTAAATAAGTCCTACATTACAAGTTTCCTCTACAAGAGAAAAACATTTCTTTCTTCCCCTTCCACCCCTACCCAGTCTTGGGCAAATATTTATTATGGACAATGCAAGGAAATATTGTTGAGTACCTCCACCATGTACAGTACACATACCACAACAGCAATGCAATCCAGGATGTTAGGTTAAATCTAATGTGACATTTGAAAGGGAGCAGCTCATAAGAAAATTGCTGCATATTTAATTGCTTTTCCAGGGCACTGACAATATCCACGGTAGAAAACACCAATAATTTCTTTAACTTTTTGTATCGTTGTCCTTTTTATAGGCAGCAGGGAGTGGAGTTGATAACAGCAACATGCACAAAACATATCAGCATTGGACTCAAAACTCATGAAACAACAGGATAGTAAAATCTTTTAAAATGACTTCATTCTAAACCCAAATGCATGGCTTTATATTAGAATGAAAAATATTGGCTCTTTCTAGTCTCAATGTTGTGATTTGTATGCCAGCAGTACAAAATTTGTTTGGGAATCAAGATCCCTAGAATTTAACCTTAATCATGTTGCTGACTACTAATTTTAGTACTCCTCTACTAAAGCTCAATACCACTTTTAAGTCCTATCTACTTTATTGTATGTAAATGCCAAACAAAATGTAAGTGAAGGCCAAGAGATTAGTAAAGCAATCATATTTTTTAAAGCCTATAAATCAATAGACAGCCCAGCTATTCAGAAGAAACTCACCACAGGCCAGGCGTGGTGGCTCACTCCTGAAATCCCAGCACTTTGGGAGGCCGAGGCGGGCAGATCGCTTGAGGTCAGAATTCAAGACCAGCCTAGCCAACATGGTGAAACCCTGTCCCTACTAAAAATAAAAAAATTATCCAGGCATGGTGGCACACACCTGGAGTCCCAGCTACTTGGGAGGCTGAGGCAGGAGGATCACTTGATCCGGGAGGCAGAGGTTGTAGTGAGCCAAGAGCGTGCCACTACACTCCAGCCTGGGCAATGGGAGAGAAACCCCGTCTCAAAAAAAAAAAAAAAAAAAAGAAAGAAAGAAAGAAAGAAACTCACAACAGACTTAATTGTCTTTAGCATAATAAAAACTAAGATTTTGTCAAAGGAACACAACTACTTCGAAGTCAGGTTACAGTAAGACTTTTTATAGTTATTAATTCAACTCATGATTCTCTTTTCTAATTCCCAAAGTATTGTTTTATGACTTCCATGACACCAAATTCTGTACTAGTTGCTTTTACTTCTAATCACTTGCTTTTACTTCTCATCTGCTGCCTTCTAACACGTCGTGCTGCCTATGGTTCCATAATATTCCATATGGTCAAACATGTAGATAAGGAAGAGGAAAATAAAAGATATAAAGAAGATCCAAATGGAACTTCAAGAGATAAAAATTATGATATCCGAAATGTAAAATACATTGAATGAAATTAACACAAAGAAAAAGAATTAATATACTTACAGATACAGAATTAAAAACTATATAAAACCAGAGAGGAAAATAAGAATAAGAAAATCTTAACAAAAATTCAGTAAGCTGGGAAAGTACCAAGTGGTCAACGTAAATAAAACTGGGGTCCAAAAAAGGGAAAGTGACAGAGAGAGTGAAAGAAAAAATATTTGAAGACATAATTGTATAAAAATTTCCAAATTTGATGAAAACTACAAACCTACAGATCCAAGAATCCCATAAACCCCAAGCAGAAGAAAAGCACACCATAGTTCATTGCTTTTTCTCTATTGTTTTTATGTTTTCTGTTTCACTGATTTTATACTCTGATCTTTTTCCTTTTTTCCTGTATTTTCTGTTTTGCATTAATTTCCTCTACTTTGTCTAGTTTCTCAATGTGGAAGCTGAGGTCATTGATTTCAGATCTTTTCCCTTTATAATATAAACATTAGCCCTATAATTTTTCCCTTGAGTATGGATTTAGTGCCATCTCACAAAATTTCCTGTTTTTCTTTAAGGTTTTTATTTTGAATTAGCCAGGCATGATGGTGCGAGCCTATAGTCCCAGGTACTCAGGAGGCTGAGGCAGGAGGATCACTCAAGTTCAGGAGTTGGAGGCCACAGTGAACCATGACTAAGACACTGCACTCCAGTCTGAGTGACAGAGTAAGACCCTATCACCATTAAAAGAAAACAAGTTTTTATTTTGAAATGATTAAAGATTCACAAAAAGTTGCAAAATAGTACAGTGATACTCTGTGTACCTTTCACTCAGTTGCAAAATCAGAAAATCACCATTGATACAATCCAGAGACTTTATTCAGATATAATGAAATTTACATATACAGTTTTACACTCAATTTATGTGTGTGAGGGTCTATTCAATTTTATCACATGTGTAAATTGGTGTAACCTCCACTACAATCAAGATACAGAACTGTCCTATCACCACAAAGATCAACCTTGTAATAACTCTATATAGCCACATTCTCTCCCACCCCATCCCTAATCCCTGGGCACCACTAATCTATTATCTATCTCTATAATTTTGTCATTTTGAGAATGTTATATAAATGAAATCATGCAGTGTGGAAACTTTGGAGATGGGCTTTTAATTTTCTTGAGGGTCATCAAACGTGTCCCAAGTATTAATAGCTCAATCCACTTGTAAAAAAATCTGAGTAGTTGTCAAAGATATGGGTATATCTGATTTCAATCTCATTCAGTCAAAAATAATTTCTTAATTCCCTTTAGATTTCTTCTGTGAACCATGGACTATTTAAAAGTGTGTTAGTTTCCAAATATTTGTGCACTTTCCAAAGATCTTTCTGTAATTCATTTCTTACTTAACTCTTGTGGTCAGGGAATATACTTTGTATGACTTGAAACCTTTTAAATTTACTGGGATTTGTTTTAGAGCCGAGAAGATTCCCTATATTGGTCCATATTCCCTGCACACTTGAAAAGAATGTGTATTCTGCTGTTGAGTGAAGTGTCCTACTTAGTCTGATATTAATGTAGCAATTCCAAGTTTAAAGTGTGTTTCTTATAAGTAGCATACAGTTAGAACTTACTTTTTAAATCTAATTTGACAATCTCATTTTTTATTAGAATGTCCGTTTATAACTAATGAGTATTGATATGGTTAGAATTACATGCTCTTGCTTGTTTCCATTTTATTTCCTTTGTTGGAATATTAGATACAACATTTTGTTTTTGTTATTTTAGTAGTTGCTTTTGAGTTCATTATGTACATCTTTAACTTATCACAGTTTACCTTCAGGTAATATTATACCACTCACATATATTACAAAAATCTTACAATAGTATAGTTCCATTTCCCACCCCCCTGGCCTTTATGCTACTGTGTACACACATATATATACACACATGCGTAGGTACACACACAGTATATATTAAAAACAATATGCCATTTTTTTCTGTTAACAGTCAATATTTTAAAACAAGTCAATTATATTTTAAATTTTAATTATTTACATTTTTACAAATTAGAAAAATATCTCATCCATTTACCTACGTTTTTCACCATTCCCAGTGCTCTTAATTCCTTTCATGCTGACGTAGTTTTCTTCTGTTTTAAGGACTCCCTTTAACATTTCATATGAAGCTGATAACTTCTTTAAGCTTTCATGAATCTGAGATTTCTAATATTTTGCCTTCATCTTCAGAGATTTAGGGGGCAAAGGCAGAATATAATTCTGGGTTGATGGTTATTTTCTTTCCATACTTCAAAGATATCTGCTGGCTGGGCGCAGTGGCTCACGCCTGTAATCCCAACACTTTGGGAGGCCGAGGTAGACGATCATCTGAGGTCAGGAGTTTGAGGCCATCCTGACCAACATGGAAAAACCCCGTCTCTACTAAAAATACAACAAATTAGCCAGGCGTGGTGGCGCATGCCTGTGGTCCCTGCTACTTGAGAAGCTGAGGCAGAAGAATCACTTGAACCCAGGAGACAGAGGCTGCAGTGAGCTGAGATCACGCCATTGCACTCTAGCCTGGGCAACAAGAGTGAAACTCCGTCTCAAAAAAAAAAAAAAAAAAAGAAAAGAAAAGAAAAGAAAAGAAAAATCTGCTTATCTTTGCTCCTTGGTGTGTAACATGTCTTTTCCTCTGGCTGCTTTTAAGATTTTTTTTTCTCTTTGTCAATGATTTTGAGCAAATTGATTATAATACACTTTGGTATGCCTTTCTTAAGGTGTCCTGTACTTGGGATTTACTGACCTTTTTCTATCTGCAGTTTTATAGTTTATATCAAATTTGGAAATATTTTGGCTATTATTTCTTCTGTCCCACCACCCCTTCTTCAGAAATTCTGTTTATTAGTGTATATTTTCCCACAGTTCAGTGATACTCTTTTTAAGTTATTTTCTTTCTGTGTTTCATTTTAGAAACAAGATCTTTATCTTGCTCTATCTTCAAGTTCACTAATCTTTTCTTCTGCAATTTATTTATTGATTTTATTATTATTATTTGAGAAAAGGTCTTGCTCTGTTGCCCAGGCTGGAGTGCAGTGACAGAATCATGGTTCACTGCAGCCTTGACTTCCTGGCCTCAAGCAATGTTCCCACCTCAGCCTCCTGAGTACCTGGGATTAAGGGTATGCACCACCATACCTGGCTAATTTTTCAAATGTTTTCTTTAGAGTCAGGGTCTCACTCTATTTCTAGGCAGGTATTGAACTCCTGACCTCAAGCAATCCTTCCACTTTGGCATCCCAAAGTGCTGGGATTACTTTTCTGCAATTTATAATCTATCTTCAGTCTTATGCAATGAAGCTTTCTCCTCACACACTGTGGTTTTCACACCTAGGAGTTTTTTATATTTAGATCTAAGTAATTGAGAAGTCTACTTAACTTTTTGAACATATGGAATACAGTCATAGTAACTGTTAGTGTCACTAGTCCTGACTCTGTGTGACCATTGTGCCCTCTAAGACACTCAGATGGTTGTTTCCTAGGCTGCAGTTTCCTCAGAGGCACCAGTATTCTGTTGAATACTGGAAAAGGACCCTCTGCAGTCTTCAGCATTTTTTCTCTGTGAAGATCTCCCCTGATATCCCATCCAACAAACTCTAGGTGAGGGTTTGAAAATAGTAAATATTTTGGGCTTTGTGGGTCATATGGTCTCAGTTACTGTTACTCAACTCAGTGATTATAGCTTAAAAGTGGCCACAGACAAGATAAAAATGAAACAGTGTGGCTGTGTTCCAGTAAAACTTTATTTACAATAAAAGCACATGGTAATTTGCCGACACCCGCTCTTCTTTGGTCTTACTGGACTCTCAGCTCTGTCTCCTCAACTGAGGGAGTTCCCTGGGTTTCACTTGCTTTCTCCCTTACTGTAACACAGCCTAGAAACTCCAAAGACGATAAACTAAGGCAAGTGCAGGGCTTGTCTCATTTGTTTCCCATCTCTCAGGGATCATTGTCCTTCATTCCCTAATGTCAGATGACTTGAAAACAATTGTTTCATATATGATTTCTGTTTCTGTTGTTGCTACATGCAGGAAAGTAAAACTGACCCCTGTTAGTCCATCTTGTTGGGAAGCTACTACTCAACTGGAACCTCAAGAAATAGTCAATGAAACTGAGAGAACACTAAATCTCCCCAAAATTTGAGATCAAATTGAAACATATAAAATATTTTCTCCATCTTTCTCATATTCCTTTTAAAGTTAGAAGAAACCAAGTATACACCCAATAATACACAGGGAAGTACTATGGACCCCAGTCACCTTTCTATTGTATATCTAAGCTATATTTCTATTGAATGAATGTATATTTCTATTACAAATAAAACTCAGTAAGTTTACAGAGGAACTTTTCACACATCACAGCCTGATTTAGAAAGAAGTCCAAACTCTGAAACCCACTCTGCCACAAAGCTAGTTAATGTCAGCAACTTAAAAACACTGTTGCTGCCAAATTACCTGAAAGAAAGGAGGAAACATTATTTTTCCCTTAAATAAGGCTTTCCTAAGGCAACTCAGTAAGCTCTGTTTTTAATTTACAAATTGGAAGCTCTACAGCAGACTGAAGAAAAAGTTATTGTCTATTTTGGGATCATATTCAAAGCTGGTTGGTATTTACTGATATGTTCTATGGTTTATCTTTGTTTTTGGCAAAGGAATACACTGAAATATAATGCCTGTGTTGGAAGGCAATATAGTATGTAATTTTTATTTTAAAGGGAGTAAATACAGTGCTAACACAGAAATCACTAATGACCTCTGCTGTCATCTTTTTATAAACTATTCCCAAAATTTCTTTGACCAAGGCAAAAACATCTTTTGGATTATAAATTCTTGACTTTTACTTTTACTGAGTTAAACAGAAAAATTAGATTACCATCTATATATTTAGTTGGCATATATAAATTAATCTGTGAAACTGCTGAAATATCAGACTTTTAAAAAACTTATTAAAAATGCCAATTTCATATCGTTCCACCTAATAACAGAGAAGTCATCTGTGCCTCTACAGTGACCTCTGTATGGAACATTCTAGTATGATCTAATTTACAATACACCAAAATTCCTCAATTTGGGGTATCAATTTGTGATACAGCAAAATTCTTCAATAAAAATAAAAATTCATTAATTTTGGTCATTCCATTCAATTAATATAGGTAGGAAATGTTACTATAATTTAAGAATACAGGATCTGGAGTTTTTACTTACTTTATATTAAGGTTACATAAGAAGTGTTTAGTGTTTAGGGCTGGTTCCCCCTTCCTTCCACCACAAGCCACCCTTTTTGCCACATATACAGAACTTGTTTATTAACTAGCAGTGTATTTATTATGATTACTGGGCTGGAAGGGGAGTGGAGATTCCTTGCTAAACATCCTGCTCTCCTACTCTCTTCTCACTGAGACAAAGTCTCTTTCCCATTTCCATTTACATCATTCTTTGTCTACTATTATTATAATTTCCGGAGTTTGTACAAGTCTGCTTCACTTGATCCACAGATCCAAACACACACAAAAAAAATGCTTGCAACATTTGTGAAGTTTGTATTAGAGTTTACCAAAAAGTTATACAGTCAGCCTTCCATATCCCTGGTTCCGCATCTATGGGTTCAACCAACCACAGGCTGAAAATATTCTGTGAAAAAAAAAAGGATGGTTGCGTCTCTACCGAACATGTCTAGACTTTTTTCTTGTCATGATTCCCAAACAATACAGTGTTAACAACTATTTATATAGCACTTACATTGTATTAGGTATTATAAGTAATCTAAAGATGACTTGAAGCATACAGGGGGATGTGCGTGGGTCATATGCAAATATAGTACCAGCATCAGGGACTTGAGCATCTGTGGATTTTGGTATCTGAGGGAGGTTCTGGAACCAATTTCCCATGACACCAAGGAATGACTATATTTGAAAATTCTTTGAGAATAATATTTATTAAAGTCTTCAAGTTGGGAAATAGGTGATTTCCAATATAGTTAAGGAAAACAAAAAACTTTCTGGCACCAGGTATGATATATTTGTGTTTTAAAAGGTATAATATCCTTACAAATGGCTTCAGTAAGGGAAATCTGGGAGAAAGCAAGAGAGTAATAAAGTCCGCTTAATGGCTCTAACTTGCAGAAAGGGTGCAACAGATGGGTGGGCATTCTCTTGAAACTGGCGCCAGTATTGCTTTTATTTTACTTTATATATATATATATTATATATATATATAAATATATATATATTATATATATATAATATATATATTATATATATATAAATATATATATAATATATATATAAATATATATATTATATATATATAAATATATATATAATATATATATATTATATATATATTTATATATATAATATATATATTTATATATATTATATATATAAATATATATTTATATATATTATATATATAATATATATTTATATATATTTATATATATATATATAGAGAGAGAGAGAGAGAGAGAGAGAGAAAGAGAGATGAAGTCTCACTCACTCTGTTGCCCAGGCAGGAGTGCAGTAGTGCAGTCTCAGCTCACTGCAACCTCCAACTCCTGAGTTCAAGCGATTCTCCTCCCTCAGCCTTCCGAGTAGCTGGAATTACAGGTGCGCGCCACCACACCTGGCTAAATTTTGTATTTTTAGTAGAGATGGGGTTTCGTCATGTTGGCCAGGCTGATATCAAACTCCTGGCTTCAAGCGATCCCCCCGCCTCGGCCTTCCAAAAGTGCTGGGATTACAGGCATGAGCCACTGCGCCTAGCCTTTTTTTTTTTTTCTTTCTTAAGAGACAGAATCTTGCTCTGTCACCCAGGCTAGAGTGCTGTGGTGTAATCACAGCCCACTGTAACCTCAAATTGCTGGGCTCAAGTGATCCTCCTACCTCAGCCTGCTGAGCAACTGGGACTACAGGTGCATATCACCATGTTCAGCTAATTTTTATAATGTTTTTGTAGAGACAGGGTCTCTCTATGTTGCCCAGGATGGTCTTGAACTTCTGGCCACAAACAATCTTCCCACCTTGGCCTTCCAAAGTACCAGGATTACAGGCATGAGCCACCATGCCCAGGCCAGGTAGTCCACTGTAAATGCAGAATACAAAAAAGGTTTTGTAAATTGTACCAAAAGTCCCAGAAGTCTATCATTTGAAAATATATTCTTCTGAGGTAAGAAACAAAAGCTTATAATAATAATGCTCAAATGTATAAACTATTTTACAGTTTTAAAAAGGACTTTATGCTGGGCACAGTGGCTCATGCCTGTAATTCCAGCACTTTGGGAGGCAGAGACGGGGTGGATCACAAGGTCAGGAGATCAAGACCGTCTTGGCCAACCTGGTGAAACCCCATCTCTACTAAAATACAAAAAATTAGCCAGGTGTGGTGGCGTGTGCCTGTAATCACAGCCACTTGGGAGGGGAATTGCGTGAACCCAGGGAGCAGAGGTTGTGGTGAGCTGAGATGGTGCTACTGCACTCCAGCCTGGCAACAGAGCAAGACTCCATCTCAAAAAAAAAAAAAAGGACTTTAGCATCATTTCACTGATCATCATAACATCTCTATAAGAGCAAGTATAATAATTGATATCTACATTTATCAAGTTATTGCTGGATTTAGAACTAGAACCCAGGTCTTTTCATCTTTATCCCAATATTAGTCCACCTGGAACTCAAAAGGTCTAAAATGAAATGCATTATACAATAAGTCCTCATTTAACATCATTGATAAGTTCATGGAAACTGTGACTTTAAGTGAAATGAAGTATTACAAAACCCATTTTACCACTGACTGATATAAACAAGAGTTAAGTTCTTATGGCATATATATATATATTTTTTTTTTTTTTTTTTTTGAGACAGAGTCACGCTCTGTCACCCAGGCTGGAGTGCAGTGGTGCAATCTCGGCTCACTGTGAGCTCCGCCTCCCAGGCTCACGCCATTCTCCTGCCTCAGCCTCCCGAGTTGCTGGGACTACAGGCGCCCGCCACCACGCCCAGCTAATTTTTTGTATTTTTAGTAGAGACAGTGTTTCACCGTGTTAGCCAGGATGGTCTCGATCTCCTGAACTCGTGATCTGCCGGCCTTGGTCTCCGAAAGTGCTGGGATTACAGGCCTGAGCCACCGCGCCCCCACCTCTTAAGGCATATTTTTTTTTCTGGTCAAAAACATCAGTAAACTTCTGAATAAAGACCCCAAATGCTTTAATATTAAACATCAAAATAAATGTGAGCTATACATACATTTAAGAAAGATTAATGAAAACAAGTAATATGATTATTTACTCATTTTCTAGCGAATCACTGAGTAGTGGAGCTTGAAGTGCTGGTGAGTTAAATCAAGGAATAAATGTTTGCAAAGTGAAAATTTTAATGAGCACCTCCTACAACCACGAAGTTAAAAAACAGATAATAACCAATATGCTGGGCTTGCTGAGCACTTTCATATAGCAACATTTATTGTTGTGCATTTCTGTGATTTACCATATATTTTAAGAAGTTTTATTTTACAATAATTTGTATTCATTCATTCAGAGTTGTGGGTGGACAGAGCCTATATCCTGGCAGCTCAGGGTGCAAGGCAGGACCCGATCCTAGACAAGACACCATTCGATTGCAGGGCACTCTCGCACACACAGGCCCGTATTTACTCAGCCTGGGACACAATGTAGCCATGCCAATTAACCTAACATGCATACCTTTGGTATCAGGGAGAAAACCTGTGTACCCACTGAAAACCCACACAGACATGGGGAGAACGTGACAACTCCACACAGGCAATGGCCCCAGGCAGGGAGCGATTATTTTTTCTCATCAGCCTTATAAAGAATTGATGTTAAACAAAATGACATCATTCAAGGACCTGCTGTATTCCATATGAGAAACCACAGAATCATTAGTAACTACTTAGTTTCAAATTGTCCCTCTCTTTTTTGAGACAGAGTTTCACTTTGTCACCCAGGCTGGAGTGCAGTGACACCATCTCAGCTCACTCCAACCTTCACCTCCCAGGTTCAAGCAATTCTCATGCCTCAGCCTCTTGAGTAGCTGGGAGTACAGGTGCACGCCACCACACCTGGGTGATTTTTTTGTGTGTTTTAGTAGAGATGGGGTTTCACTATGTTGCCGAGGCTGGTCTCAAACTCCTGAGCTCAGACGATCTGCCTACCTCGGTCTCCCAAAGTGCTAGGATTACAGGCGTGAGCCACTGTGCCCAGCCTCTAATTCTTTTCTATGCCAACTATTAAACATCTCACAGGTCTGTCCTGTCTTCTCTGTAATACAGCATTAATTTAAGGTCTCATCTTGCTCTAGGATCACCTAGCCTCCACTCCCTTCCTCTGAATTTCCTGCTGCAGTGCTGCCAGAGTGATCTTTCTTTCTTTCTTTTTTTTTTTTTTTTTTTTTTTTGTGAGATGGAGTCTTGCTCTGTTGCCTAGGCTGGAATGCAAGGGCGTGATCTTGGCTCACTGCAACCTCCACCTCCCGGGTTCAAGTCACCCTCCTGCCTCAGCCTCCCAGGTAGCTGGGATTACAGGCATGCACCACCACACCCGGCTAATTTTTTCGTATTTTTAGTAGAGATGGGGTTTCACCATGATGGCCAGGCTGGTCTCAAACTCCTGACCTCAAGTGATCCTCCCGCTTCAGCCTCTCAAAGTGCTGGGATTACAGACGTGAGCCACTGCGCCCAGCCCAGAATGATCTTTCTAAAATACAATTTTGATGGTGTCATTCCTATGCTTGAAAACATGTAATGGCTTACTACTGCCAACAGTGGTGGTTCTTAAATTATGCACCTGGGGATTTTTGTTGTTCTGAGCATTAGACAAAGGTGTTTAGGGCAGCTAAAATCAAGCAGAGTGTAATGTCAATAAGGTCAATCACTGGAACAAAAAACAATTAAGAGATAGATATAGCTATATCTTTTCCCCTATGTGTTTTATAAATATTTCAGACTTGTTATAGTATGTCTATTAAATAGACTTAATAGGTATCAAAATAACAACACAAAACACAATATTAACTCTGAAAGAGTCAACTATGCTTAATTCAACAATTAGTTTTGCTCCTTGAGAGGTAATGGAAAATGTACTCATGATTCTTATTTCATATCATATTCATGTCATGTATTTTTCCAGTTCATATGATAGTTAAATATATGCTTAAAAAATCTAGAAACTAACAACTTCTATATGCACTGCTTCTTGAATCAACCCGAAAACCACTTACATATCACCCGTCTGTGATGCCATAGGCAACACACGTCACTGCTCTCACAGTTCAATTTATAACCCTCCACTGACACACCTACCCCACTTTATTTTACTTTTTTATTAAATGTCTATCTCCTGAATTAGGGAATTCATTGAGGAGAGAAGCAATATACTAATCACCTTTAAATCAGAACTGCCTCACACATAGTAGGCACTCAATAAAAATGCCCTAGAAAAAGCAGAGAGTTCAACAATAATATGAGAGAGCAAGACTGCCAACTATTGATTACAGTTATAGAGTTTCATAACTTGAGAGCAAAGTCTATAAAATATTTCTGTTTCCAGTATAATATATAGCACATTATAAAGATAAAATAAAATCATTCGACAACTATTTTAATTCATGCTTTCTAATATACCGGGCAAGACAATGTGTTAAATACAACAAAGTTTCATTAAAAACATGTCAATGTTGATTTTTAAGAATTTTCTTTAAAGCGTGCACTACTCAGAGCCATCAAATTAAATTAAGGATTCTGTCTATATCTACAAAACTGAATTATAATTGTAAATAATTTTTAATTCTATAAACGCAAACTGGATAATAAATACTAAATTGCCTTTAAATGACTCCCATATAAAAAGCTGTTATCTAGGTCAATGAACTTGGTTCAGTCTCTACAAATGCTCACGCTTAAACATATAAGTAAACAAACAAATTAACAAATGTAGTTGAAATCTTTACCTCATTATTGCAAGTAAAATTCTACCAAAAGAAAAGCCTGCTGGCATTGTTTTCATAGTTGCACTTTTAACTGTGCTAAGTTTTGGGGTTTTTTTTTTTCCATGTTAGAAACAGATTCCAAGCTTTATGAAACTTTTTATTATATCCTAGCATTTTCAGGTGGTGGTTTTTATGTTTGTTTGAATTTTTGAGCCCTCCAGATATTCCCTATCAACTTAACTTT
The DNA here is from genome assembly GCF_000001405.40 of Homo sapiens. Classification (NCBI taxonomy): domain Eukaryota; kingdom Metazoa; phylum Chordata; class Mammalia; order Primates; family Hominidae; genus Homo; species Homo sapiens. The sequence continues at coordinate 61,041,117 of NC_000017.11, read as the reverse complement.
TATTACAGAAATATATTTCATAGGTAAAGAATATAAGCAGTCAGAGACATAATGTATACTAAGGCTTACAGTTTATATTCATATTAAATATCTTATTTGCCTCAAACTGATTCTTTAAGGCCCATGGCCTATGGACCAGTGGTAATGTTTGCTTTCAAAGCTAGCATTTTAAGATGAAATCTGAATAGACCATACGAAAGGAAAAAAAAAATCTGAACTACTTACGGCCAGCAAGCAGGAACTGATAATACTGTACTGCATCTGCAGCGAGGAGCAGAGGGTGGTTTGCATTAAACGGTGGCTGCAATTCATTCCATTGAGGGGTTCTAAGGAAACAGGAGAAGAATATTAATATTTAAGCTTAATAGATGGGATGTAAATCACCATGACTGTCATCACTTATGAACAGTGACTTAAACTCACACTACTTTTGTGATCATTAAAATGAACTTGTAATCATTAAAATGAATGTGATGAAACCTGAAACACAAGGCCATCTGCTTAGAAAAAATAAAAAGGTGGCAGTCTTTCATACAAATAACATGCAGTCAATATAAGCTTAACAGCAGAAGACCCTCCAACAGGATAGGCAAGACATTCAGAAGATTAAACAGGTGTAAAATTCAAATGTTACAACTAACTAGTTCTAATTTATGTAATTTCTGACCTCTCTATTCTTAAAATATGTGTATATTTTAAAATAAAATGAAGTAGGTAAAAATGGTTAATAAAACACAGCTGTGTAAATGGATGACTTATTATAGATCAAATTAGCATCTGAGTTCTGAAATAAGTTACTATTTCAACAATGATAGTGTAGTAACTTTAATTAGATCTGCCCACTCCTAAATAAGCTTGATAAATCAGATATTGATCAGATCAATCCAGCATAGTAAAGTAGTAGTAAAGAATGCTGGAGCCTCCAAAAATCAATACAAGAATATTTTAAAATGTCAAAAGGACAGGGATCATTTTCATATCCATTTTTGTCTGTTTCCTTCCATACATGTCAGGAGCAATTTTTTCTTTCCTGGACAATGAACTATATTAAAGAGGTTTTATTCCAGGTTTTTTTTCCTTTTGGTTATAGCTTATAAAGATTCTAATCATTATGCACGTTTGAGATGGACTCTGATTCTTAATAAACATTCCTATAAGGCTTAACCACTGTATCTTGGAGAATTACTTTCAGAGAAACCTTTGAATCTATCTATATTAGTTTCTATTCCCCTTAATGGCTATCTCAATGTTACTCTCTATTTTCGGTGAGCATGAGATTGCAAATAGAGGAAGCATAAATCCAAGAAAATTTAACACAGAAGTGCAAGGGGGAAATAAGTTCAAACAGAGGTATTCTCCAAGGTACATACAGAAGACAATTAAAAAAATATGTTCATGGGCCGGCGCGGTGGCTCACGCCTGTAATCCCAGCACTTTGGGAGGCCGAGGTGGGTGGATCATGAGGTCAGGAGATCAAGACCATCCTGACTAACACAGTGAAACCCTGTCTCTAGTAAAAATACAAAAAATTAGCTGGCGTGGTGGCTAGTGCCTGTAGTCCCAGCTACTCAGGAGGCTGAGGTAGGAGAATGGTGTGAACCTGGGAGGTGGAGCTTGCAGTGAGCCGAGATCACGCCACTGCACTCCAGCCTAGGTGACAGAGCAAGACTCCATCTCAGGAAAAAAAAAAAATGTTCACACAAGAATCTGTACATGAATGTTCACAGCAACATTATTTAATAACAGCTTAAAAAGTAGAAATATCCATCAACTAATAAATGGATAAACAAAATGCAGTATAACCATATAATGGAGTATTATGTAGCCATAAAAAGGAGTGAAATTCTGACACACGCTACAACATGGATAGATCTTGAAAATATGCTAAGTGAAAGAAGCCAGACACAAAAGGTCACATATTATATGATTCCACTTACATGAAATGATCAGAGTAGCAAAATCCATAGAGAAAGAAAGTAAACTGGCTGCTGCCTAGGTCTGAAGGGTTGGAGAAAAATAAGGAGTGACTGCTAATGAGTATGAGGTTTCTTTTTAGGGTGATGAGAACTGATTGCAGTGATAAGTGCACAACTTTGTGAAAAGTCACTTTTAATGGGTTAATTTTATTGTATGTAAATTATGTCAAATGAAAAAGTAATGAAAGGCCAGGTGCTCATCCCTATAAAACCAGCACTTTGGGAGGCCAAGGCGAGTGGATCACCTGAGGTCAAGAGTATGAGACCAACCTTGACAACATGGTGAAACCCTATCTCTACTAAAAATTAGCCAGATGGGATGGCAGGCGCCTGTGGTCCCAGCTACTCAGGAGGCTGAGGCAGGAGAACCGCTTGAACACGGGAGGTGGAGGCTGCAGTGAGCTGAGATCGTGCCACTGCCCTCCAGCCTGGGCAACAGAGCGAGACTGTCTCCAAAAAAAAAAAAAAAAAAACAAAAACAAAAACAAAACAAAAAAAAGGAATGAAGTATTGTTTGTTTTGCTAGATGAAAGTGAGATTTAAGAAATTACATACTATATGATTCCATTTATATAAAATTCTAGAAACTGGGCCAGCACGGTTGCTCACGCCTGTAATTCCAGCACTTTGGGAGGCTGAGGCGGGCAGATCACGAGGTCAGGAGATCGAGACCATCCTGGCCAACATGGTGAAACTCCGTCTCTAATAAAAATACAAAAAAATTAGCTAGGTGTGGTGGCGTGTGCCTGTAGTCCCAGCTACTCAAGTGGCTGAGGCAGGAGAATCGCTTGAGCTGAGATCGCGCCACTGCACTCCAGCCTGGGTGACAGAGTGAGACTCCGTCTCAAAAAAAAAAAAAAAAAAATTCTAGAAACTGTAAACTAATCTGTAGAGACAAAGGGGGTGAAAGAAGGAGAGATTACAAAGGGTCACCAAGAAACATTTGAGAGTGATGTATTTGTTTACCATGTTAATTGTGGTGATGATTTCGTAGCTGTATGCATGTCAAAACTTATCAAATTATACGCTTTTAATCTTCTATACCTTAATGAAGCTGTTAAAAAGAAAAAAAGAAAAGAGGTACTACCTAACCAGAGTCCAGCTGGCTCGAGGCGATGTCATCATTTCCAGTGGTGTGTCGTCACTAATCTTGGGTGCAGTGCTGAGGGGTCGCGGCTCCATCATGTGTTCCACTAAGGTGCCATAGCAACTGATAATGTACAGGGACTCAACTACAACTTGTTTGGACTGATCTACAAACAGAGAAACAGAACCCGATGTGTTATGATGGCATAAATGGAGCACAGAATAATTTTTACAAGTTAATGATCTTATTAGTCTGCTCCTGAGGCTGCTCAGAGAAAATGAAAAGACAGGAATTTTTTTCTTTTTTTCTTTTTTTTGGAGATGGAGTTTTGCTCTTGCTGCCCAGGCTGCCGCCTCCCTGGTTCAAATGGTTCTCCCGCCTCAGCCTCTTGAGTAGCTGGGATTACAGGCTCCTGTCACCACACCCGGCTAATTTTTGTATTTTTAGTAGAGATAGGGTTTCGCCGTGTTGGTCAGGCTGGTCTCGAACTCCTGACCTCAGGTGATCTGTGCACCTTAGCCTCTCAAAGTGCTGGGATTAAAGGCGTGAGCCACCATGCTCAGACGACAGGAATTTTTTCATATGGTGCTTGTTCCTTGCCTAAAGGTTGCCTCGTATAAGCACATGCTAGTGAATATGAAAATGTCTATGATATCAGAGTATTTTCAATCTTAAGCAACTTACTTCAAGAATGATACTACTATGCCCCAAATCCTAATATAGTAAAATCCTTCATAGACTTTTGTACTTGTCTACAATGTAATTTGTCCCACATTATGAAAAATGAATGATATCAGGAAATGGACTAACTGAAAAGGAATAATGTATGGACTAGGATTTAGTTACCCTGCATGTACCAAATGACTTGCATGAAAGGTTAGTTGTATGCCTAAATCAGCCTAATGTCTCATCTATTTTTTTTCTCAGAAGACTTAAATTTAGAACTTAAATTTGTGGATCAAAACAAACAAAAAACATTTGATGTGTCAATGTAGGTTCATCAATCCAAACACACGTACCACTCTGGTTGGGGATACTGATAATAAGAGGCTTTGCATGTGTGGAGACAGAAGGTATATATGGAAAAATCTCTGGACCTTCTGCTCATTTGGCTGTGAACCTAAAGCTCCTTTAGAAAATAAAGTCTATTCAACACACATACACAGGCATGCATGTGCATCCCCTTCCCCCAAATCCTCTTCTTTCTCTCCATGGGATCACTGGCGCCATGGTAAATGAAGATCAGCCATACTTTGAGAAGTTAGGTGCTGAATATGGATCTAATCAACTGACTTTATAAGGAATACACATGTACCCACTAGCAAAACAGGTTTAGTCCTCTCTCTCCGGTTTTACAGTAAACCTAGGAGCATATAAAATCACTCATGAATGCTGGGTAGGTCATCTTATCTCTGTGTCAGGCGAATCAATTACAGCTGATTTGAGAAAATAGCTAATGATCAGCCAGAGGGACATAAAGGAGTAGAAAGTTAAAAAGGTAATTAGAACAGAAGGGAGAAGCATTTGAAATCGAGCTTCTCAGAGGGTTTTAACTAGTAACAAAAAGTCCTTTCGATAGCATCATTAAACCTAAGGAGGTAACAAAAAAAATAAAGATGGGATAAGGAAATGGAAGGCTTGCATACTTAACAGTATCCTCTCCCACTTAGGTAAGGAACCTGCTGCGCGTGAGATCCCATTACCAAGTAAAGGGTCACTGAAAGGCGATAACAAGAGAAAGGGCTCATGTCTGACTGCCAGTGTTAGCATAAAGGAGAGCCATTTTGCCAAGAACAATACAGCCTGTGGAACTCACCAGAGAAGTGCCCCAGTAACAACCCGGTTTGTGACCTACTTTAATAATACTAAAATATTAAGGGGAAAATCATAACATTCAAAATTATATACTTGGTTTATGAACGTAGGCATTCTCTTCTAAACAGAAGCAATAAGGATTCACATGCTATAAAGCACTAATCCTATAAACATTTTAGGTATTGACCCTGGTGATCAAAGCAGGGATTAGAAAGATAATAACTACAGTAGTCCCTCCTTAGGTGCGAGTTCAGTTACCCATGGTCAACTGCAGTCCAAAAATATTAAACGGAAAATTCCAGAAATAAACAATTCATAAGCTTCAAATGGCAGACTGAATAGCGTGGTAAAATCTCTCGTTGTCCCATCTGTCCTGCCTGGGACATGAATCATCCTTTGTCCAGCATATCCACGCTGTATACGCTACCAACCCATTAGTCCCATAGTACCTATCTCAGTTATTAGACTGAAATGCATTGTACCATATAGGGCTCCGTACCATCCGAGGTTTCGGCCATCCACTGGAGGTCTTGGATGTATCCTCCACAGATAAGGAGAGACTACTGTATATTAATTCAAAGGAGCAATGGTAACCACAAAAGCTGAGCCTTATTTCTCACTGGCAGGCTGTTTCCTCTTTTTTTTTTTTTTTTTTTTGAGATGGAGTCTTGCTCTGTCACCCAGGCTGGAGTGCAGTGACGTGATCTCGGCTCACTGCAACCTCTGCCTCCCGAGTTCAAGCGATTCTCCTGCCTCAGCCTCCCAAGTAGCTGGGATTACAAGCGTGCACCACCACGCCCAGCTAATTTTTGTATTTTTAGTAGAGATGGGGTTTCACCATGTTGGCCAGGATGGTCTCGATCTCCCGACCTCGTGATCGCCCACCTCTGCCTCCTAAAGTGCTGGGATTACAGGCGTGAGCCACTGCGACTGGCCTTAATTGTGTTTTAAAACATGGCAGAGTTGATTTTTTTAATGTGAAGATTTTTAGCATTAGAAAATCTGGTTTCAAACTCTGATTCCATTGCCTAACTAACCAGTACTTTTAGCTAAGATATTTAAACTTGCTGGTCTCAAGTTCTTCATCTCTAAAACAGGGACAATGACGCTTTTCCTCTCTGTACTTCACAGACCAGGGGTGAAACTAGCTTGTAAAAATGTAAAAGGTATAAAATGGGTATAGAATTGACAGCATTGAGATCACCTGTAGATTGTCACCAACAAAACAAAACAAAATCACTCAGTGGGCAATTCATTAACGTTCATACTGAGAGGATAGTTTTTCTTCTTGACTAGGCTTGAGTAGTTGAGAAGTGACATGCTAATTACATTAAAAAAATTGGTTTCCAGACTACTGGGTACAAGATTATTCTAGGGAAACTGCTAAAAATTTTCCTTAAGAAGCAAAAATTACAAATAGAGCATTCATTTTTCAGTAAAAATACATACCTTTTTCTCTTTTCAGACCTGCATTATTTGCAAACCATGACCTGGATGTTCCGAAGATAGCAGCCACACAAAATTCTCCGCCCATCGATTTGCTGGGTGAAATTTGTGGAGGAGGTTTAACTTTGCTTAAAAAATAAAATAAGAGTAAAAAACAATTATCATGATGAAATGATACTCCTTTAGGTAATGACAGTTTTTCCTTTAAATTCCACCCCTATTCAAATCCTCCAGTATGAACATGCATTTTGCCTTAAGTAATAAATGGTGATGTGAGACTATGTTCTGGAGTAAAAGTAGAATTATTTCAAAGTTCCAGAGTTTTGTAAAGAGAGCAACATTTATAAGACCAATAAAAATCAACTCCTTTTTGAAGTATGTGCTGGCAAAATCCAAGTCACCTCTTTTCAGATGAGTAACATTTCCCTAGAAATTTCAAAGTGAAGCAATAGTACCAGCATGAACATCTCACAATAATAAAATGGTTTATCACTTCATTTCTATATATATTAGGTTGATGCAAAAGTAATTGTGGTTTTTGCCACTGCCTTTGCACCAATCTATAAGATGTGGGATTAACAGTATAAATGAATTTAGACAGCATGGATGAAAATGAGGTGATATAGAATGAAGCCTTGAAAATGCTCTCTCGGCCACAATGCTATGGAGAGTTAGACAGTGCAAGGGAAGAATAGCTAATCATCTAATGCAATTATATTCACTGATCTTCCTGTTGTCTCTTTTTCTTCTCGGATTTGTGAAAATGATGTGTCTATTTTTGTTCAGAGAAAAAGACCAAGGTGGAATTACATATCAATAGCCTCTCAAACCTAAATCTTTTCTGTTGCTCATATGTCTGAGGACACATTTAGTAACTGCCATTACTTCCTGTCACTGCCATTCAAAAGAAGTAGATCTCCTCTGTTTTCCACAAATAAGTTTTCATGCTCAGCTTCTAATATCGACCTCACACCTTTTCAATCCCGTATTTCTGTTCTCTTTTGGTTTATCAAGGGCTTCCCAAAGCAATTTTGCCAATCACCTTTGATAAATTATTTTCTCTAATTCATAAACCAGTAGCCTCATCGTGCACTGGTAAAGATCACAGCCAAGGTAGGAAACAATAAAAACTAGAGCTCTGATGTTCCTCTCTGCTAGTTAGCCTCCAATGTCAAACATTAGTTCTACCTTATTTTGCTCAATTTTTGTTTTCATCCTTTACTAAAGTATGGTGGGATGGAAAGAGATAGTTTTGGAGTCAGGAAGAAACATGTAGTTGAATCCCAGTGCTGGCACCTCTGAGCTGTGTGACTTTTGGTTAAGTTATGTAACCTCTCAGAGCTCAGACTACTAATATGTAAAATAGAAATAGTAATGCCTACTTCATAGGATTATTTTAATGATTATATTATCTCAAAGCACTGTCCCCAGCTCATAGTACCACCTGAGGACTTCTTAGGAGTGCAAGCAAATACTCATAGGCCCCATCCCAGACCTACTAAATCAGAAATTCTGGGAATGGAGCCCAACAATCCGTGTTTTGAAACAAACCCTCCAGATGATTCTGATGCATGCTCAACTCTGAGAACCACTATATTAGACAAAGCAGGTAAAGTTCCCAGGGCAGTACTTTCCCATATCACAGTACTCAGCAAATACTAACTTTTCTATATGGCCCTCAGCCCCAACCTAATCTTCAAAAAATTCAGACTTTGCTTTGGTAATCTCAGTTTCCCAGTTCCTATGACATTTTAAATAGTCTCTCAGACATCTTATTTCCTGAGGCTTGTTTAAACATCTTCCTCTAAGGATGGCTAAGTCTGGATCAGAGGCAACTATGATTGGTCCCTTTGGTCTCCCCACTTTGAACAAAATCCATGGTAATGCATATTACTATATATGAAAGAAACCTCTTCTGCCATTTACATTTCTTAAAACACTTCTCATTATTCCTGCAACAAAAAACATCCATGCCTAAAATGTCAACCAGTCACAGTGAGACTTCCAGTGACAGGGAATAAAGACATCGTTTTTAAATAAAAAGTTTCTGTGGGAAGCTGAATCTGGCTCTATAAACTGTTTCACCTCTTCATACTTGCATCTGTCACAACTGTAGTAACATACCTCCAGAAAGGAAGACTCTTCTCTGCCCTATACCTGAACAAATATGCACCTTCCCATGATATCTGGGTCACTGGCATCAGAATTGTTCTTTCTGGTTATGATGCTCTCTGTTGCATTACCTGAGAATATAAGGCTTCTTTCAAAGCTTTTATTTCCATCACTAAACTGCTATCATTGAACTGACAAATTCCTCTAGCTGGTATCTTTGAGGTACCACTGGTCATTTTTAATCCTTAGGAGTTTTGGGAAGATGGTGGCTGGGGGAACGGGAAAGAGAAAAGTATTGTAGAATTTTTTGAAAGCAGTTTGCAATTGTGCGACTATGTGCTTTTACTAGAATCACCATCAGAGAACAAAGCTACTACAATGTACCAACAAGCTTCATTGGGACAAACTCAAAGCTCTTTGCAAATTACTGGATGTCATTGTTGTTGTTTTTAAATCATGTGGTAAGTAACAAGTGAGCATGCCTCTTCTTAAGAGAAAATATGGTCCCTCTGAAGTATGCATCCTAAACAGACTTAAAAATAGTTGCTTCCAGGCCAGATGGCAAACTTTCTAACATGATAATAAAAAGTAGAAAAATGAGAGGACGTCAATTTAGTTTTTTGACATACAAAAAATATTTTTTGTATGTTTACTAGTTTAGAGTCTAATCAGCTCATGTCAAAAGCTAAAATCTCTTATACATCTATAAGTTACATACAATTCTGTTTTGGAACACACAAGTAAAAAGCATCAACACGGTGTTATTTTTACATAAGCTCAGTATCTCCTACAGAAAATAAGTATTTTATGGTAAAACTATGCTTAATTTCAGTAAAGAATTACCATTTTTATTTTTATATTTCATCATTTCTTTTTTCCTCTGATAGGGCCTTAAATTTCATTAGTAAAAGTCTGTGTTTATTAAGGAGTCAAAAGAGTTTTCACCCTGAAAATAACTTGCTATCTGCTACATAACATAGTGTTGTGTGTTGGGTATGAAGCATATTGGGTAAACACATTCATATCAAGTTATTTCTATCATCAATCTATAATCTGGAATGATTGTGGTATTTCAGCAAAATAAAAACATAAAAATATGTGTGTGTCTTTAAGATTTGCAGAGGAATAAAAAGGAGAAATAATCTAATAAAAAGAACGTTATGAATAAAATATCTTCTATGGGATACACTCAAAGTTAGAAATTTTAACTTGGGTTCAATCTGCCCTTCATCCTAAGTTTTTAAAAGTCCAAGAAAGCTTGGCAGAAGTAGAAGGGCTTTTCTAGCAATATGCCAGTGACATACAATGTATGAACTTTTCCACAATGACCTAGAATATTTCTATCACAAAATAACCTTTTGTTGACAGAAAGATAAAACATTGAAAAATGATACATACGTGAATGTATTAGAAAAGTGCTAGCTTTGTATATTATGTAAATTTACAGATTGCTGACCCAACCCTCATAGGAAAGCACTCCAATGCTAACCTTTTTTTTCTCTCTTGTTCTCAACATCTCCCTTTCTCCTCCAAAAGGGGTCTTTAAAAAATCTCATTAAAGAACATTTGCAAGTTTAGAAAGAATTTCTCTGGGTGTTTGGATGCCTTCCCTCATTTATTTAATCATTTATTAAGTTAATAATACAATGATAGAAAAATATTTAAATTTGTATTGATGCCCAAAAGTTTAACTGTATTGATTATGTGGACTCATCCATTTTTTTTTAAAATGGTTATACATGAGAACAAGACATACTCTCGATGGACTCCTTTCTACTGACAATTCCTGTTCCTTTACTACCCTTAGTTTTTCACACATAACCCCATGTTCAATAATTTTTTAAAAATTTGACTTAACTTTTGAGCAAAAAATAAAAGAAAAAATGGAATAAATTCAACTTTCAGCATCATAAAAATGACAATCATAAAACATCATATTTACTAAGCCTGATACGAATCAATGTAATCAAAAGAAAAACAAACACGCAAGCAAACAAAAAAACCGAATAACCAAATTAACAAATAAGATGCTAAATTAAAAATCAGGAGTTTAACTCTTTGTCATTTCTTCTGAGGAAACGCTTAACTGTCTAACCATAGAACGAGAATCATTTTCACTGCAATCAGAGGAAGTTATAGGGATATTAACATTACTAGGACTTCAAAAATATTTGCAAAGGCTACTAAAGTTCCCCATTTTTCTTCCCTTGGCCTTTATTATGTAATCCAGCCAGGTCAATATATTGAATTTCTCTGGCCTATTTTTTTCTCCACACCCAACTGCAAAGAGAGAAAAAAAAGAGTACAAAATTCTAATGATATCTGCTTAAAAATTACAGGACAATGATCTCCATCTGAATAGGACAGATGTGAAGTATCTGTGGACAGCATGATAAGCAGCAATGTGCTCCAGTGCCTTCTGTGGAAGGACACAAGCATGGAAGGCGCTAACATGAGACAGAAGCACCGTTTCTTTTCATTTTTAAAACATAAAAGAATAGTCAATATTTGAGTTTAAATGTAAGACCCAATATTGATCTAAGTATTACAAGTGGTATAACAGCTTTCTATAAAAGAAAAAATATTCTTTATATTCTTTTAGAAGTTTTTTCTCATTCTCAATCTTAGTTTCTAACATAAGACCTAAATGGGAGAACTGGAAGCATTTTATTTCAAATAACTAAAGATATTAATAATCTGTCTGAAATTATTCTATTCTGTCATAAATTTTTCTTAAAGGTCTAACAGATTTGTGTAAATGTGGCAGGTAAGAATAAATTCTCCTCTCCATATAAATCGTATCTTTCAAAAAATGAAATCATAAAATTTTAAAATATTTAAGAGAACAAGATTAGTTTACATGAACTGTTTATAGCTTGATCAAAACTCTTAGAAAACACTAATTAAAACTTTCTAATTTAATATGCAAATTTTAATTCTTTAAAATTTACCCTTATATAATATGAAAACATTTTATGAGGAAGAAATATACTTATATGGACTACCCATTGTCTACCTGTCATGTATGTTTTTTGATAAGCAATTCAAAAATAACAGTAGCTTAAATACAACACTACATGCAAATTCAGAGCTTGATACATTCCTATTTATTTGTAATATTGAAAGCAAAATTCAGATTCAAAAATTCACACTGGGATTATTTATCTTAAATTCCTATGTTTAAAAAAGTATGTTATATGTGTAATTCTTTTGTATTATTTTATATAGTCATCCAAACTCAAATATCCTAAACTAACCTAGATGACACATAATACCAGGGAAGTCCAAAGTGACTAAAATGTTGAAGATGCATAGTTTACTTTCCAACAAGCTTATTTTGTTACCAAAGGGAACGACTGTATTTTATAACGACTCATCTGAAAGTATATGAATGTAAAGGACTAAACCTGTTTAATGGAGAATAAAGAACTAGCAGAAATTGTGATATACCAAAAGCAAATTCTTAGCTAAGTGTTAACGTTGCAACTCGAAACTAATAAAAAGTTTGTAGAAAATTTACATTTCATTTAAAAATTTCATTTTTCATCCAAAATACATATATTACCCTATAACTGGATATACTAAAAACATATTTATTTAGCATATAATGTTTTATTTCAGAACAGTACATAAAAACATTCTCAGGTTGAATGCTAAATAACATGGAAAAATAGCAAAAACTATTAAAACAAAGGAGCTCTTATAAACAAAATGGAAGAAGTTGTCAAATTTATATTCATTTGCTGCCTTAATTTGAGGTTTCATTAAGATCTTAATGGAAAAAACATGCACCACTGGGAAAGTAACATTTTAAAGGAGAACCTTTTAGTCTAGTATAAGTGACTAAAAACGAGTTTCTTGTGAGCTAACGATGGCATCAAACAAACCACAAAGCAGTCTTCTAAAAGACAGGCAATGATTTAAAAGTCTACTATATTTAATATATCCCTTTCTTTAATCTGGCTCTTTTAATCTTGTTTCAACCTCAAATCATTTCTGGTTGACAAGTGCTTTTGCTTAAATGTGAGGAGCACGTAAGCTGTTGAAGGAATGAACTTTACTTACTTAACATACAACAGTTGTTATTCCATCTTTTACTTCTATGCAAAACTTCAATCTTTATTAACATACTACAACTCTTTGCTTTGTACTTAGAAGAAGAATTTATCCTAAAATGGAATTTAATTCTAAGTTTACAAAGAAATTTTGTCATATGTTGAATGTGGCATTTAAAATTCACTGATCACTGGAAGGCTCATAAGTAAGATCTGTGTATCTTATTTGTTTTTAGAAGACATCTGGTTAACAAAATGAATAAAGATCAACTTTCATGAGATTTATATTCTTGTATATCCTGAATTTGTTTAGAATAGTTTTGCAAACTGTGTCTAATTATAATTTTCAAGGAGGAAAATTTTATGTTGATTTGTTTTATGTCACCTATTATTAAGCAATAACAAAATTTTCAGATCTTCCTATGGCATATAAACATTGAAATAAGTTTGTGTCAAATAATAATTAACCTTAAAGAACTATTTAAGCTTCTTTCTGTCCAAGAGGAAAAAACGTTGGAATGTTTTTTTCTAGTGTAATAGAACAGTATGAACAATCCCCATTTAGCAGTTATGAGAACTACACATATGTGCAGAACTCTTTTCAGTATTCTGACTAAATTAATAAAATTAATATAGCTTACATTTCTCAAAACTTCGCACTGGTTAACATATCCTTAAAAGTGAAAAACATAATCTAATTTAAATAAGCTTCTTTTGAAACACGGTATTTTTCCCTGAAACAGGAAAAGAAACAGTGGTAGCAGCTAACATTTACTGCACATTTACTATGTGCCAGGCACTGTTATATACTAACACATACTGAGATATGTATCAGCTTATTTAATACTCATAGTGAGTCCATTACATAGGTACATTTAATACATAAGGAAATAAGAAATAGAAAGGTTTTAGAAAACTCCCCCCAAATCATATAGCTAGTAAGTGTGTCAATTGGGATCTAAGACCCAGGCAGTCTGACTCTTAACCATTAAACATTTTATACCATTCTTAACACATTCTACTTCCTATCTTTACATGAAAGTATTAAATATATTCGAATTCTTTTCTATGACCTTCCTGTCTAAGACTGACAAAGCTGTATTCTGTGCACTGACATGAAAGAATTTACCAAATAATTAAGCTATGATGAGTATGTGCTAATAATTCAAAATAATAAATTATTTAGGAGGTTTTATGTAAAATATATATTTTGTCATTATGTAGCTCCTTAAATACCTAAACTATTCAAAAACAGAACTTTTGTCTCTTTAGGACCAAATAAAATGCAACAAAAACTTTATAAGGTGCTTTTGGTATACCTTAAATATATTTATATTTCAAAATAAATCATGTCCTCAAATGCTATGCATGATATGTAGGTAACTTCTAATGCCATAATACTCAAAGCTTTAAACTTGGGTGTTAGCCTTGTCTTGTAATATTTACGAGCATTATGAGAGAATTCTTCTATTTAAAAAAAATTCATCTGTGGTTTTTTTTTTTTTGTTTTTTACTTTTTAAAGAATGAAGTGAAACCAAGAAAACCACTTTTCTAAAGCTTAAATATCAACATTCATGTTCCATCTACAAATTATTCAGTAACTTGGTGCATCTATCTGTGATCAGGCCATGCAACTGGAAACAAAACTACAAAACAAATTACTTTTTGAGAGTACAGCAAATGAATGAGGCATGCGGGACTGAACTGGAACTCACCATGGGGCTTTTATGGAAAAACACCCCGCTCCAAAGAGATAAGGCCTTCATGGAAAAGGGGGAAAAATGCACAAAAAATTAGAGAAAAACTCATTTAACATTAGCAAATACAAGTATATCATACTGTTATAGAGTATGGATAAAAATAACTAAAAAATTAGTAATCATTTACAATTCTGCTGTACATACTGTCTGATATAACCAATAAACAGAATGATGTGTAGTAACAAGGCCCTTAATTTTCAGAGTTAGAGATTCAAAATTTTCTATTTCTCCCCCTTTTCTGGAGCACCCCTGTAGTATTTCTAAGTTAAAATAAAATAAAATTCACTGCTGAAGCCCTTTAAAACAAGGTATAAGTTAAATGGAATAACCAGATGGAGAAGAGTGAGATCAATAGCAACAAATGTGTAGCTATGTGACACAAAATGGTTAAAATTAGCTAACGATGACTGGATAAAAAATTTGATATGAATTGTCTGCTTTTCACTGGTTCCAGTCTCAGAACCACAGAAAGAGGCACATATTTTTCAAGCTGCTTATTTGTCGTAAGTTGAATTGTATATTGTTGGTCAAAGGAAAAAACACTAAGTACAACTAGTATAATTTTTCTCTATTTTTGGCCATAATCCAGGAAATTAGGATATCTCTTAATAGTGGTCTAAGAGGTTAGCTTCCTTTACCTGGTCTGCACTAGATTAGGTTAGTACGCAGCAAACTAAAGCTACAATCACTTGTTTTAAATACAACTGGGAAACTGGGACTTCAATGTTATACATATTTCTTCTCAAAATTCTGTTCCTAGCATTTAAGATATGCCATGCACATCTGCACATAAAGAAAACTGAGTGATTTAATGATATCCAAACCAAATGGTACTGTAACATCTGACATTTGGAAATCATAACAAATGGAGGAGAAAAGCACATTGGTAAAATGTGGGTATTTCCTTCTTCAAAATTGGTTCTAGAATTAAAAAATAAAAATCCTGCTGATTAGCCTTAATTTTTTTCCCAGTAAACTGAGTATATTTGACCACAAAGCAAAACTTGAGAAAAATGTTTTCACGATAGTGAGTACAATTTTGAGGCTTGAAGCGCATTATATACAAAGAAAGGAACAGAGACACGCAAGAGATAACTAGAAGAAAGTGAGGTAGAAGGAAAAATAGGATAGATAAAAAATAAAACAAAACTTTAGAGATGATGCCAATGCCAATGCCAAGCAAGGATAGCTCTCTCTCAGTTAGATAAGAACATACCCAGCGGTACGATGTCAGCATCCACATTTAAAATAGTAGATTTTAAACTTTTTTGACTGTGAACCCATAGAAATACATTTTAAGGTGTAAGCTGGTATGTGCACGAGTACACACAAACAAGACAGAAACAATAATTTAATGAATGTGTTATCTGTAATAAATGTTACTATTTTTATTTCAATGTTTTATAAACATTAATGTTGAGATTATGTTACAATGCAGATAAATGCATATTCTAACACTGTGGGTCTGGCTGGGATCTGAGATTCTGTATTTCCGATAAGCTCCTAGATAACAGCAATGCTGCTGGTCCACAGAACCAGTGGCAGAATTGCACTTTTATTCTACTTCATTAAAGAAAAAAAAATGTTGGCCATAATCTCCTTATATGATTTCATGACTAATTACCTCAAAACCAAAATGTTACTAGAGCTCAGCTTGCAGTTTGACAAACACAGATTTAAATAACTAAAACTACTTGAAGACTACAATCTCTCAACTGAATAGTGAGCCCGTTCTGAAATGATAGGAAAAGGAATGGTTCACGCCATTTCTATATGCCTACAAATACCTCTAAAATGAAGAGGTTTTCGTTGTCATATAGTATACAACTTCTCTTAATTTCACCTAATTAGGCAAGACACCTGAACTAACCAAATTGTCCAGAAGTGACTGTAATCTGGAATGTCCAGGCTTACGTCGTTATATTGTACCTACTCAGGGCAGTCTCCCATCTCATCCAGAACATCAGCATATTGATTTATTATAAAGAATTTAGAAGTTTAACTTAGTCCTTATTACTTAAAAGGTTTTTCCATTGGCTGCAAAAACCAAACAAGCAAAAATGAAACAAAAACTTCAAGTGTCTAAAAATTCAAAAGACCATCTGATATTCCCTACCTGTAGAGCCAGTAAATACCTTTCTTCCAGGTTTAGGTTTCCTTTTATGTAAAAAGGAAACATACGTTAGCCAAAGAAAAATATAGAAACTTAAAAAAAAAAACCTCGAGATTTTCCTTTCCAGGCAGTAACATGTTGCCAAAAGGAGATTTCTCCAACTACTTCCTTGTCCCATAATCCTAAAATGCACCGTAAAACTCAGACACTGTAGTTTACAGGCCTGTACTAAATAAATAACATCATTGTTAAGTTTGAATACAGTAAGGTTCACTATTCACAATTTGACCCACTTGTGTTAGTTTAAAGTTATCCTAATTCAATCAAACTAGGATTCACTGGCTAACAGAACTCAAGGAGAAAGGGAACTGGAGAGACAAGGTTAGAACCTGGTTTAGCATGTACAATTGGCATGTATAAAATCTATACTCATCTGCCTCTGGCCTAGTCCTACAAGCTAGACCTCTGCCATATACATGTAAAAGAAGATCCACAAACTCCAAAGAATTATAGTGACTGACGTAATTACTGTCTTTGTATGGATAGTGTCAGCTGTTCTTTTGAAATGTGCCTGCTTCATCTTTCCTCAGTAGCAAAGGAATGAAAATATAAAGTCACAAAGTACAAATCCATGATCCAGCTGTCTTCACCTATGACTTCACTCTCCCCTCCCAAAAGTTCACAGCTATAGTTTCGTATTAAAGTGAGATGAGAGTGGAAAGAAAAAGAGATGATGTGAGTGGGAGTGTATACTGAATGAAATATTCTCTGTATTAACAGAGGCAACCCAAATTACTATATTCAAACTCGAATAATTGGTGTTTTCCAATCACCATTAAATTTTAGCAGGCTTAACAAATATGCCATATAAAACCTACTCAATTTGTCATAATTATATCCTTTTTGACCTGAATTCTGATTTTCAAATCTCAGGAAAATCTGGTCAAGAGACTAAAAATCCAGAAATATTACAGACTTATATATAGGCCACCGTGAAATGACCTGGCCATTAGTTCTCAAAGGGTTTCTTCAGGAGACTCCCAGAAGATAGGAAAGAATTATGTTTTATAACATACCATAACACTATGTAAGTCATTCAACTGATTCATTTTGTTGAATGCCACATGGTGCCACAAAGTCTTCAATCTTACTAGCTGAAAACAAGGTAAACACGAAGAATTTTTTTAATATGAGAAAAAAGCAAAACTAGATTTGATTTGAAATCCTCCAATCCTCTATAATCTGACTCTAGTGCTAAAAGGTATTAGTAACAATTCTGTTCAATCATCTCCAGAGTTAAAGAAGTACGTGGCATCTAAGAGACAAATTTTATAAACATACTCTATAAACCTTATTTTTCAATTAATCATGTCCTAAGACAATTCAGGCACTGCCACAGAACAGACATCAGAATGAGCCCATATAAATATTAAATGTAATAAACAGAGATGAAGCAGAGAAAAAGCTATACAACATTATGTGTCAAATATTGAAGCAGAGCCATATTTCTCTAAAAATAAATTCTAGGGATGCTAATGACTTCTAAATTCTGTGTGCCCTCTGTTAAAACAACAACTGAAGTGAACTTGCATTTCCCACATGCATATCAGTAAATTATTCCTAATATCATTTTTAAGTTATACTTTGAATTTTTCATTAATTTTACTTGCTCCCTACCAAAGAGACCTATCGTATTACTGGTAGTAAACTATTGATCTGTAGGGGAAACTGAAGCTAAAACAGACAAGTGTCTAATTTGAGATACACATGATACCCAATTTTAAGTGATAAACTCAAGATTTAGAAGATTTTCATTAGCAGGCTGGGCATGGTGGCTCATGCCTATAATTCCAGCACTTTGGGAGGCTAAGGCAAGACTGAGCGTAGGAGTTCAAGACTAGCCTGGGCAATACAGCAAGACCTATCTCTTCACAACATTTTAAAAATCAGCCGGGTGCGGTGATATAGGCCTGTAGTACCAGCTACTCAGGAGGTTGAAGTGGGACGATCACTTGAGCCCAGGAGTTTGAAGATACAGTGAACTATGATCACACTACTGCACTTGAGCCTGGGTGACTTTTCATTAGGAAAAAAACATTGATAATGTTAAAATTCTGTTATATGTGGCAAAAAAAGAGATGAACATAACATAAATAATGTCAAACTTCTGTAGAAATTTATGCCTGCTGACTTTTAAAAATATGGTATAGGCTGGGCGCGGTGGCTCACGCCTGTAATTCCAGCACTTTGGGAGGTGGAGGCAGGTGGATCACGAGGTCAAGAGAATGAGACCATCCTGGCTAACACAGTGAAACCCCATCTCTACTAAAAATACAAAAAAATTAGCCAAGCGTGGTGGCGGGCGCCTCCAGCTACTCGGGAGGCTGAGGGAGGAGAATGGTGTGAACCCAGGAGGCGGAGCTTGCAGTGAGCCAAGATCACGCCACTGCTCTCCAGCCTGGGCTACAGAGCGAGACTCCATATCAAAAACAAAACAAAACAAACAAACAAACAAAAAATATATATATGGTATATAGTAGACATCATCCAAAAAAAATTCCCAGATTTACAGTATGGTGTGGTTTAAGTACTCCACTGATATAGCAGAAAAATTGGAACTCAAACTATGTTAAATATATTGCATATGTAGTCACATCCATACATATTCCAATGAAAATACATTGTCCATTATTTAATATCTAGAACCAAACATCCATTGCTTAGCTATGAAGAACTGGTACTTACATAAGGCAGAAACATGAGGTGGGGAATTACCCAAGCTATTATATCTGTATCTAGTGGGTCTTTCTCCAAATATTTCCAATTTAATTCTCCGAACTTTGCCTATAAAGTTTAAGGCTCAGGCCAAACTGTGTAACTGAGCCAAGGTGTACCTAATTGAATTAAAATAAGGAATAGACCTTCTGCAAGGCCTACTATATGCCAATATCATTTACTCACATAGCCAAGTCTGATGGTAGATT
This sequence comes from Homo sapiens, assembly GCF_000001405.40. Taxonomy (NCBI): domain Eukaryota; kingdom Metazoa; phylum Chordata; class Mammalia; order Primates; family Hominidae; genus Homo; species Homo sapiens. The sequence continues at coordinate 61,021,768 of NC_000017.11, read as the reverse complement.
TGGTCTACAAATATCAACTGGATGTGTCTGAATAAATGCTATTTAATGCTTCCATTTAATATCATTTAAAAGCATCTATGCTTTCTAAGTGGGGCCTGAGCCCATCAGCACTGGCTTACGGCTGCTCAACAGTCCTGAGGCTTAGAAATGGGACCAAAGAACTGGTAGAAACTCATACATGATAAGGATTAAAAGATTATAATCCATATATATAAACTTTTTTTTTTCAGGTGAAGAAATTTACCTAGGACACACTGGCAAATAGGTGCAGAACCCAGATGAGAAGAAGCCAGGGCCTCAGACTCCCAATTCCATATTTTTTCCACTACATTACTTAACCTACTTCTACAGGGTGCATCTGAAGCTTCCTAATAACCACCTAAATCTTCACAAAGAAATGAATAAACATGGCCGGGTGCGGTTGCTCATGCCTATAATCCCAGCACTTTGGGAGGCTAAGGCAGTTGGATCACTTGAGACCAGGAGTTCAAGACCAGCTTGGGCAACATAGAGAAACCCAATCTCTACAAAAAATACAAAACTTAGACAGGCATGGTGGCACACACCCACTTGTAGTCCCAGCTACTCGGGAGGCTGAGGCAAGAGAATCACCTGAGCCCAAGAGCAGAGGTTGCAGTGGGTGGAGATCACACACCACTGCACTCCAGCCTGGGTGACAGAGCAAGACTCTGTCTCAAAAGAAAAGAGAAGAAATGAAATGAGTAAATATAAAGATGGGGAGGGGGAAAGAAATGAGGAGCTACTTCCATTTAAGGAAAAGGAAACCTACGAGAGAGCAAATCATCCCATGTTTACTTCACAAAAAGTGCTCCACCTAGTAAGAGCAAGGAAGTAACTTCATTTTCAATTTTAATATTTTTTATTCCCACGGAACTACCTACCATGACTTCTTTTTGAAATTTACTGTTCTCTGCTTGTGTCCATAAAATAATTTGGAAATATAAATAATTTTAGATTTAAGCAGATAAAATTAAGCTCATTGATGAACATTTTTTTGTGAATTGTTACATAGAAAATATTTTTTAAAACTTGATCACTCACTTGATAATGCCAAACATCTATGAAATGCTGCTAATAAATCCCTACTACAAACCTAACATCCAAGATATGGTGCAACCTCTTAGCACCTAATTCCACTTTTAATAGATTAGGAGAACTATTCTTACTTACATATGATAAGAACATGATAACCTGGACTTTTTAAACCTCCAGTCTTAAACTGAAAGAAAACAGAGTCTGTTTGAATGGGTGATTATTGGAGCCAAATAATGTCTAACACTTCTTTTACCTCCATCAATGTATACTGTCACAGAGTTAAGCAGCAGCTGTTGCCAAAACAGGCCTTATTACCTCCAAGTGCTGCTTCAAGGTACTGAACAAGAAGGTGTAAATACATCTGTCTTCTGCTATTTGTAGTTCTACTGGCCTCATGTATGTCTCGCAGTGAGACAGATGGTCCCTGACACTGCACAGGCTTTCAGGCATATGTATTTGCAAACATAAGAAGGCAGATGTTGAATATGGTAAACACACGTTTTGTCCCCTTAAGGTTTAAGTTGAGGCTTCTATCTCAATTTGGGTATTTAATTACTGGATCCTAGAAATCTTTAGAAATCTCTACTTTAGAAATATAACACTTTATGGTTATTTTATGACCATGTGCAAAATACCTCGGACATAGATGAAGTGGAAGCTTATCTAACCTAAGTACATAATTTTACCAACTACATTATCAGGTATATTGAAAACAGAATATAATTTACCTGTCTATAAGTGGGTCACTCTGTGTTCTCTTTCTACATAATCCATGTCAAATACTTCTTGTTGATTTTATTTTAAAAATACTAGGAAAGGAATTTTATAAAAGCAAAGCTTGAGTAAATGAGAATTTCCAGAATAAAAAGAGACATGGAAAATGAAAACTCTCATGTGCTCATCACCCTGGTGACGTTAATGGAGCCATCAGATTTCTCAGCAAATACAATACAATTTAATGCCAATAATTAATGGAAATTAGCTAACTCCAGTCTTAAGAATTTGTCATAGTAAAAAAAATTTAATAAAATAAATATAGCCTTTAAAATCTAATAGGATGAAAGCTAATGGGATGAAATATTGTCTGAGATTTGTTTCAAAACTCAGAATATAGCAAAAATGAAAATTCACAGAATATATTTGGTTCTCACGAATCAAATATTACTTTTGACAAGGCAAAATACATGTATTTTAGTGAAAATGTTAAATTTTAAGATAATCAAACCATATATTATATTCTGAAAACTTTATGATTAAATGTTTTAGATAACTTATAGTAAAAGAACAATCAGAAAAGTCAATAGTAGTTTCCAGGTATAATCAACAAACTCTTCAGAGAGTGGCTTAAGGAGCGATCCCCAACCTTTTTGGCACCAGGAATAGGTTTCATGGAAGTTTCACTTCAGATCATGAGGCATTAGATTCTCATAAGGAGTGTGCAACCTAGGTCCCTCACATGTGTAGTTCACAACAATAGGGTTTGCACTCTTAACGAGAATCTAATGCCGATGCTGATCTGACAGGAGGCAGAGCTCAGGCGGTGATGCTCACTCGCCTGTTGTTCACCTCCTGCTGTGCGGCTCAGTTCCTAACAGGCCAGGGACTAGCACCAGTCTGTGGCCCAGGGGTTGGGGACCTCTGGCTTAAAGATATTGAGTCTTGTCATCTAGCAACAGTCAAGTATGACTGACCACTATCATCAAAGTCTTATCAGTCACTGTACTCTATATTAATAGGAAGGGATAAAAAATAGTAGATGGTGAGGGAAAAAAGGAACAGTAGGTTGGGTAATTTGTAGTACACTAAAGCTATGCTACAAGTAGAAAAATCATTATAGACAACAATTATGTGGAATTAAGAAAAACTAATGAAGTACGTTCAAGGTCTCTTCTTCTGATAACTGTACTACAGTTATATAAGAGAATGTCTGTGCCTTTAGAAATTACACATTGAAGTATGTAGGGATAAGGGTATATTAAGGCTGCAAAAACGTAACATGTTAGTGTATATGCAGGCAGAGGGAGAGAACGTGAATGACGTGTTAGTGTTTATGCAGGCAGAGGGAGAGAATATGAATGATAAAGCAAATAAGTTGATCTATTAACATTTGGGGCCGGGCGTGGTGGCTCATGCCTGTAATCCCAGCACTTTGGGAGGCCGAGGCAGGTGGATCACTTGAGGTCAGGAATTCAAGACCAGCCTAGCCAACATGGCGAAACCCTGTCTGTACTAAAAATACAAAAATTAGCTGGGTGTGGTGGCACACACCTGTAATCCCAGCTACTAGGGAGGCTGAAGCAGGAGAATCACTTGAACCAGGGAGGCAGAGGCTGCAGTGAGCTGAGATCGCACCATTGCACTCCAGCCTGGGAGACAGAGCAAGACTACGTCTCAAAAAAAAAAAAAAAAAAAAAAAAAAAAACTGGGGAATTTGGGTAGACAAGAATTCCTTTGGCTAGTCTTGAAACATTTCTGTAAGTCTGAAACTATGTCACAAATAAATTAAAACCTAGTACTCATTGTGGGACAAGTATCAATTATTCTCTCTAAACACTTCAATACAAGGCTTGCTAAAAAAGAATTCGAAACTATGGCAGAAATAAAATGGTATAAATTGAGATACAAAGCCTAGTAAACAATATGATACAAGTATCTTAACTAACATTTGTTTCAAAGCACATAAAACAACTCAAATTGATAACAGTTCCCTTATTAATAAATTGTTCATAACGCAACAGAATACATGCTCCAAAAATCTGAGAACAGAGAGCAAATTTTTGTAAGAAAAGGAAACATAAGAATTTTATCTAAATTCATAATGTGTAGTAACACAGGAGGACACCAAATGACTAACAGTTTCTATTCATCTCAGTGTAGAGAGAAATCGGGTTGTAAGAGGGAGAGAGAGAGAAAGAAAGCAAGAGATTTTATCTTCTTATGGAAAATTTCAAATACTACATAAAAAAGCAGACTCACTTCCTACCCCTCACCATAAATATTATGAATTAAATTCTAACATCATATCATTTTATGCACTAAACTTCAGTTACTATTTCAGAGATATATTTGGAGAAGCTCATTAGAAAAAGAGAGCTAATTCTTTGCATTATAAAACAGGACAGCTCTTATGTTAAAATTAAATAAACACGCACCAGAAACAAAGCACCAGAATATGCTTTTATGACTCCAGGAGCCTTTTGAACCTTCTTAAATTTCCCTCACTCTGAATATAAAATTAAATTACAGAGAAACAATTTTGAGGATGGTTTCACTTAGATTCAGAAAAGACAGGCTAAAATTTGTAAGTACTTTGGAGAATTGTACAATGCTGGAGTGAATCAAGATGATACAATTATGTACTGACTAACTTCAGTAAGTAAAAAAGAAACTTTAAAGTTATGATTCCAGATTTAGTCCCATTTTTGATTCTACATCCCAGGAATGTAATATACAATGAAAAAATAACCTAATTGTGAATATAAAGGACATAACCTCTTCATTATTCACAGCCATTATTCTTAAATTATTTTAAAATAAACTAACAGAGGAAGAGAAAGTTGAAATCCAATTTAAAATTATACTTTTCCTGGGCCCAAGGAGTTAAAAAGCTGAAAAAAATTAAAAAGATATACAGACCAAATTATTGGTGCCTTAAGATGTCTGATTTGGGATGAAGTTTTGCTGAAAAACACAGCAAATGCCACAGACTCAATTTTATGTCTGCATGCAGCAACAGGATCTTTTTATATACAAACACCACTCCACCTAGCTACAGAGTCAATTTCTATGTTGTGGTGATACCTGGAGCTCAAAGGCCTTGTCCCTGAGACTACTGAGTATTTCTTCTCACAAAAGTGACCTCTGTAAGCACATTAATACTGAGCACAACAAAATTAAGATATATTGACGTAGCAGCCAAATAATATATTCCTTTCATTGGAAAGAACTTGAGGACTGTTTGAGGCCAGACAGGGTTTTCTCTTGACTACTTTAATACAGAAATGTAAAAAAGTTGTTTCATTTCAAATTAGATTAAACTTCAGGATTGCTCATTATGGAAAACAAATAATTTGCCTATAGACATATATTTTCTGATATAAAATGGATTTCCAGTGTTAATATACAATTGAATATCTAATGATATCATAGACCTAGCAGTTTATTTTCAGGAACCTATTGAAGTGATAATCTTATATTCCTAAGGGGTAGCAAATTGCTAAAATAAGCACAAATAAATCAAGTGAGTAATCAAAAGTCTTTAAGGAAGTTAATGACCAATCTTAAATAAAGCCCAAATCTTAGTGCACTGGCTTTGAAAACTACCAATGACATCACATTGTCCTGACACTAATGACAGATTATTATATGTAAATTATATCTCAATATAGATGATTTTTTCAAAGTACTAAAAAGATGGTTGTCATCTAAGGTTCTCTCCATATTTGTATCTGTCAAAATTTGGGAGTCATTTCAAATCCCGAAAGAGCCAGGAAAATGAAACTGTACTTGCAGGCAAAGCCACAAGGCAGTAAGCATAAGACGAAGTAGATGGATCTGTTTTTGATTAGCCAATACTAGTTTTCACAGCTTGTCACTGTTTTGTTTTTCTCGATGAATGTGTGTATACATGGTTGTGTGCAAGTATGCTTGTGCAAGTTCTATGCTTTGTACTTAATCTGATGCCATTAAGTCTTATTTGAGCTGGAAATGAAGAACATAATAAAAACCACACAAAGAAAAAGTATGTTTTATTTTTATTCATTCAACCCTATAAAACAGCTGTTAAAAAAGCATCAAGTCTAAGGCCTTACCCGGTTCGTTTGGTGATGGTCCCCAATGTCATTGGCTGCTTGATTTGTGCAAGAGGCATCACTACCATCAAGCTGGGAAGAGGAGAGAGCCGAGGGTTGCCAGGGTTGTTGTTGGTAAAATTGTTATAGGAGTCTTGGCTGTTCAGTTTCCCTACAAAGAGAAAAATAAAGAAAAGCATCACTGAGGAAGGTTCTCTATCTCCCGTTCTCTATCTCCGATAGGGTTTTCACTGACTCCAGTAATCATTTAAGAAAGGCATCAAAGGTAGAATTGATGCCAAGAGAATTACAATTATGTGGATGAGAAGAAACCAAACTATTCTTGGAGAGCTGGATAGCTCATGACTGTAATCCCAGCACCTTGGGAGGCCAAGGCAGGAGGCCAGGAGTTTGAGGCCAGCCTGGGCAACAGAGTGAGACCCCATCTCTACAAAAAATATCAAAAATTAGCTGAGTATTGTGGTACACGCTTGTCATCCTAGCTACTAAAGACTGAGACAAGAGGATTACTTGAGTCCAGAAATTCAAGGTTACAGTGAGCTATGATAGCACCCCTGCACTCCAAGCCCAGGTGGCATTAGAGAGACCCTGTCTCTAAACAAACAAACAAAAAAGAAGTATTCTGGTAACACCAAGTGTGACTTAATTATTAACATATTTCAGTCTTTGGGAATTAGGGCTGAATTCCTAATCTTTCTAAAGACAGTTAAAGTGGTTTGTTGCCCTGCTTAGGTCCTTACATCCAACACAATCTGCTAGTTCCCCCATACCTTGTCAATTTCTAAACAAAAGCCAGCTGAGTTTTTGATAGGGATTACATTTAATCTGGAGATCAATTTGTGGAATACTGCCATTTTAACAATAATATACCTTTTAATCCAAGAACTTAGGATGCCTTTCCATTTACCTAGGTATTCTTAAATTTCTTTCAATGTTGTTTTGTAGTTTTCAGGGTACAAGTTTTGTACTTCTTTGGTTAACTTACTACTAATTATTTCATTCTTTTTCATGCAATTTGAAAATGGAATTGTTTTCTTAATTTCATTTTTCAGATTATTCATTGTTAATGTATAGAAATACAGGTAACTTTTGTACATTGATCTTGTATCCTACAACTTTGCTGAGCTCCTTTCTTAGTTCTAATAATGTCTTCTGGATTCCTAAGGATTTTCTACATACATAATTATGTCATCCTCAAAAAACAGATAGTTTTACTTCTGCCTTTCCAGTCTAGATGCCCTTTTTTTTTTTCCTCCTCACTGACCTACCTAGAACTTCCAGTGCAATGTTGATTTGACAGGGGAAAAGCAAACTGTGATTTATTTTTAGTTCATTTTTGTGTATGTAGTGAGAGCTGAGGTTCATTGTATTCATTTTTTTAATATAGAAGTGTAATTGTTCCATCACCATTTGCTAAAAAGATTATCCTTTCTCCTTTAATTGCCTTTCCATGTTTGTCAAAAACCAACTGACCATATACATGTGGTTCTATTCCTGCATTGATCCATGTGTTCCATTGATCTATGTGTGTAGCCTTTCACCAATACCACATTTTCTCAATTACTGTAGTTTTCTAGTGAGTCTTATTAATTGATGGGTTTACAGAGAAACTATAAAAATTACCTCATTTTCTGTGTTACGGAATAAGCCAGTGCCTGTAATCCAACAACTCTTTCATGCAAAAAACTTCTTATTGACTTAATGTTAATTTTATATCACTGTTCTTGACTGTCGATAAAAATTATCAACCCCATTTATGTGGTTAGCAATAGATAAGGTATTTTTTAAATAACCACAGTAAACACACATATAAATTTTTTTTACTAATTCGAATTAAGTTGACCAATTTATGTACACAGCAAAAGCATCCCCCCCGAAAGTCCTAATTAATATCTTATTTCTAAAACACATCCTAAAAGACATTTGCTTTAAAAATAGCATGGATTCAGGATAGAGGGAGAACTACCACACAGTATCTAATGGTAGCCTGAGAGGTAGTGAAAAGTCAAAAGTGCCTTTCTAAAAAATCGTAACAAGATGACAGTGGCTTCAGAATTAGGATAGTGGCTTAACCAAATGTTACTTCTTCCTTGGACACAAATCTATCCTTTTATATTACTCTATAGAACTATCAAGTTAACCTTTGATAAATGTCTCTTTTGTAAAATATGGGGAAAGATAAGAAATTCATGCAAATAAAATAAATCGTTCTCTATCTCCTCAATTTCCAATTCAGAATACACATTAAAGTTAACAGAAGCCATCTACACCTGTTGCAGGAATAACAAAAGACAGAATTCACAATACACACAAGATGATTTAGGCCACAACACAGAACCTTGTAGAAAATATGAAGAGGGAAATCACATTAAAATATTATATTTGTGGAAGAAATGAGAAAAACTGCTTCATAGTTAAGCCATTCGAAGTAATTTATTATCACACTCTCAAGGCCAATATAGATGTAAATAATTATAAAATCGCTATTAGACAACTATGCTAATATTAACTTGAATTTGAAATCAGACTGCAACTTTCTGTCACAAGCTGGTGAAAATTAAGAATTGTGTACATCATATGTATTTCACAACTAGTAAACAAATATTTGTTGAGTGCCTTAGCTTAAGATAACACTGTAAGGGACTGTTTTCCTTGTTATCATGAAGCTTACAGTCTAACAGGCACAAACAGGAATCATTAAGTGCTAATTGCCAAGAACCAAAGATAAGCAGACGTGGGAACAACTTTATATGGAAAAGGGCTCAAGGAAAAGGGCAAATGGGATATGATCTAGATTTTGAAAATTGGACAAAATATGGATAAGGGTAGGAGAGAAGGAATATTCTGGGCATGAAGGATAACGTGAGGGGAGAGTGGTATAAAGGGATGCCATTATGTGAGGAGTAGTGAGGAATCTCTAACTATGGCAGATAAAATATTTCAGTTTTAGGAGGACCTCTCAATTGAGCCAGAGGAGTAGGAACTTAGGTTAAGTTCTTCAGCGAGGGAACAGTATAGATGTTGAAGTCATTGAATTTGACAGATAAAAGGAGTGGTCTAGGAAAATGAAGTGATTCACTGAGAAGTTCCAAATCTGTGGTTTAGCTAGGCACAACTTAAAATGCTTCACTGTCTCACCAGGATAAAGGACAACCTCAGAATAGCATACAAAGAACTTCAGATCTATCCTTCTCAGCCTGCTCCTGTGTTTATGCTGTAGAGTCCATTTGAAACCAGCACATCTGAGAGAGCAAAGTAAGTTGTGTAGGTTTTACATTCATGTTTATGTTCGTAGGGGTGGTGTCTGTCTTACATATTAATGGATATGGCTAGCAACTTATAAACACAGTTTTAATGAAACAATGAGTATATTAATAAAATGCTCAATAAGGCCAAGATCTAAGAAGACAAACTCAGAGAAAAAGCTAACTCTAATAGTCTTCAGTAGGGTAGTTTCAGCAGTGAGGTGGAAAAGTCAGATTGTAAGCCATAAGCAAAGGAACTGCTGATAGGATAAAATCAAGGTAACAGAGAACAAAGATTTAAAGACTGACACTGAAAAAGAAGACATTAACAAAGATGCATACTGCGCCAAGCAAAAGTTCCACTCAATCTTTGCTCTGTCACTTCACACTTTTGGAGGCTTATTGGTATCAGGCCCTGTTCTAGATTCTGAAGGAGTAAGTCCAAGGGACTTTCAAAGAGTTCATAATGTAATGTTACAGAAAGACATATTAACAAAAAATGAAAAATGGGAGAAAACCATGCTAATAAATACATCTGAAAAATGACTCAGGAACAAAAAGTAAGGAGTCACTTTTATTATTGTTTTAAAGGACAACTTAAAAAGGGAGAAAAGGTATACAAATTTTGAGCATAAAGGAAGGAATCTCTATCTTTTTATTTTGCTTTTCTAGTAGAAAATAAAGCAGGAGAAATGTATAAATAACATCAGAAGTTAGTAAAATGAAAGAGCTAGCTTAGACCAGAAATCTCAATAGCTGACACAGACATGTAAATAATACACATTAAATAAATAAATGCAATAACTACACAAGACAGCCTAACAATCCTTTCTTCCAGGACCTATTGTTAAAATCTTTGGTTATAAATGATTTTACACTATTTACACTGTCTTGGATTTTCTTTGAAAATTCAGCTAGAATCTAACAAACCTCCAGATTTGTCCTCCACAATACTGGAGACTCCACCAGGCTGCCTATACTCCTGAGGATAGTGTCTTACTAGTCATTAATAGCTAACAGCTCAATAAATGTTTGCTGAATGAATGAAGGAAATATATTTATTTCCATGTCCAGGAGGTAGAGAAAAATACGGCCCTATGATCTATAGAAAAAATAATTCTGGAGGGGACTCAGTACTTCAGAAGGTTGCCAGATGACTGGAGTCTGCGGCTTTCACTATTCTGCTTAGTCTCACGTTCACTGGCCTAGAAGGTTAGACTTGATAACTTTAAAAATAGATCTTTAGACATTTCCATGTGGTTATATCAAGCCTAAATTTTCAAGCCAGAATTCTTCATTAAACCTCAAGCCTCTTCGTATAAGGAAGTTCAGCAGGAAGAAACCTGCAGTGTCTGCCTTGGACCTAGATGAAGTCTATTGCTATTCTTTTTCTTTGCTTCACCTCTCAGAAATACATAAGATACAAATAATATTTCTGAGATCTATGAAGAGAGTTACAAGGTATCACCTTCACTAACCTTTCTTTACTATACTCTTCTATTTTTTCCTTTATTGCATGAGTACAATGAAAAAGAACAGAGGTTATTTAAGTGCAGTTTTGGTAGTGGACTGCATGAAGTCTTGAGATACATAAAATATTTCACACACTATTATACTTTCAAATTCCAGCTAAGAGGAGACCTGTAAGTGACAAATGCCATGAGAATGAATATTCTCACAGTATTTCTGGCACAAGCAGACAGAGGAAGTCCCAAAAATCTCATGAGAAAATAAGCTCATCTAAGACTCTCATCCCAGTTTTTTGGGCTTACTCTATATAGATAAACTTGCATAAGCCTCAGGCTTTTGGGTCTTTATCCAAATCCACTAGAGCTTTGATCCTTTAGAGGTTTACCAGTCCCCACGATAGATGGAGTTCTCTTGGGGGAAAGAAATCCCGAGTTCCAATAAAATGGTTTCTCAATAAGTTAAAGCAGGAATTCTATTTGGGGATACAAAATTATTTAAAAATCAGAATTTTTAAAACATCCCTTGATGTTTAAAGCTATGATGTCTTGTTTTTGTTCTGCTTTCAGTTTTTTGTTTACTGCTATTATTGTTTTTAATATTACAATACAAAGCCATTACACCAGAACCATTCACTTTCGGGTTCAACCACTGACTTTCTATGTTTATCTTCTAAAAGTTTGCAATTTAAAAAAAAAAAGGAATTATGAAAACAACTTCTTGTGCTCTTTTTTTCCTGTTACCTTTTGGATAAAGGATATCTACAGGTACGTGTACTTTGGGGGACACAAACTCTCAATCTCCATACTAACACATAGTTCCACTGTCTGCATATATGAGAATGACATGGTGTGATCTGTTTACTAAAAGTTTTGCTAACTTCAAAATACCATCTTACTTATGCTTTGTCCTAAATTATGTTTTCCCAGACATTCTATACTATAAAAACACAGAAGAAAAATGGATTAAGTTGAGGATAAAAGTGAACAGAGAAAATAACAATGGGCTTTGTTGCCACGCTGGAGGAATAGCTTGTCAGGTCAGCTTTGCAGAGAGGCATATTCCCAAACCAGTCATCATTAACAGACTCACTTCCACAGGAAAAAAAAAAAAAAAAAAAAGACAGAGTCTGAAAACTCCGGACAAAAGAAATCCCTGCAGACAAAGTAAAAACAAATTAAAAGACCCATTATAAAACACAGATGCTACAAGGAAAATAAACTTTCTAAGATTTACTGGGCTTTGACAAACTTGGACATTTGTGGAAAAGACATCAGCAGCAACTCCCAGGTAATGTGGCTGCAAAGTTAGACTCCCTTCTGTTTTATCTTTACCCTCTGTGCAGAAGCTGCCAGGTTGGTATTCTTAGCTTCTGAATGCAGTGATGTGAGAACATGTGAATGTGGCAAACTGCCAACTGCAAGAACTCTCTGAAGCTAGCAAAACTGAAATTGTTGAACATTTCAGATTATGTTAAATATTAAAGTTACTATCAGTGTATCTGTGTGTACATATGTATAGTTGTCTTTCTTCCGAGATACAAACAAGAAGAGGGAAAATAAAAAATGAATGTATTTGCATCCTTTCTACCTTTAAAAAATTTCCATATCTTACCATATTGTGAACCAAAGGACATAAAATCAGTTAAAATAACATTAAGGAATCAAATGACAATAGTTGTAGATCAGAAAGTACCTTAAAGGAGTGTCATACCAGAGAGAGAGAGAAATTTTTGTTACAGGTTTCTAAAAGTTATTGTTAATGGAGGACAAAGAAAGATTCTTTAGGAACAGAAGGTATGAGAAACTAAGACCTACAATGGAATAAAGTGGGTCAAGTGAAACATTTGGAGGATAAAAAGAGCACTGTCCTTCTGTTGTCATTAGACATATGAGGTAAGTATAGTATTAGAGTATTAGAGATAAGTATAGAAACGGCAAAGCTTCATTTGCAAAAAGAGCTAAAGGACACTAAGCAATGGTGCCCTGTGAAAGAGCAGTGTTATTAGGAGGTCCACATATCATCCCACTTATTCTTACCACAGACACAGACCTTATCCACTTTAGGCACTCCACTTTTCTGAAGGTTTACAATAGACACCTTCCTATAACTCAGTACTCTAGACTCCTACGACTGTATTAAATTCTGTTCTCATCACCTCTCCATACACTTATCTACAACACCCACTATTGTTCTAGGATATAAGCTCCTCACCTAGTGTCTTTGGTCTCCTATTTGGAACTCTTGCATTTTGAAATCGGATTACTGAGCCACACTGAAGCCCGAGGTCAATGTGACTCTCTGGCACTCCTCAGAAGACAATTCTACGGAAACAGCCCCAGTCCCAAATATCTCCTTTATTTTTGCCCTCTTTGCAACACTTTACCTATTCTAAGACATCATGTAGATGTTCTATTCCCTATATCATATCTTTCAAAAATAAAAACTAGATGATGAGTTCTACGGGGCCTTTTTTTTTATTTTTTTATTTTTTATTTTTTGGTAAACTTTTGTCTTCTACAGAAGAGCAAAGCTTTTGGACTGTTTTTAATATCTTGCTGTGGAATTGACAGGGATAAAAATCTAAAATATACCAAGGAGTTTAACTAAGTTAATTCTGTAGTTGAAAAGCTCTGACTTCTTGACTCTGTCAAAGAATACAATGGTAGCTTGTTTTGAAATAGTCACTGGAAATGTGGGCTCTGAAAAGTTAAAAACACTGCTTAGTTCTTGCTTGCCATCCAATTTAACATTAAAGTTTTTTCAACCAAACTCTCAATAGTTATTTAACAAAAAATACCCTGTGTAGAAGGGAATTTCCTGCAGGTGGGTTATTTTTGGTTGGGATGGGAGTGTGTGTCTCTCTCTCCATCTCTCTCTTCTCCCCTTTCCTAGATGAGAATGTCAAGCTTCCCAGCTGCAGTTCCAGGACTTTCACCCTCCTTTATGACCTTTTCTCAGGCATGTTCCAGTATAATCTGCAATCTACTCAAGTCGGAAAAGGAAACAGCAGCACCCTGGTGAGAAACAGTGCCTTCTGACCCACATACCAAACTGGGCGGAAGCAATGCTTGTTCACAGGAGCCAAGGAGAGTAGAACACACACTAAAAGAAAATGAATTTTATGTGTGTGTGTGTGTGTGTGTGTCGACACACAGACACACATTTTTAAAGACTATAAACACAACAAACAGTTTGGGTGACAAATAAAGACAGAAAATACTGAAGGACAATCCTGTGTGGGCACTGATTCATTTTGCCTATAACTTTTTTTTGGAGGCAATCGATGGTGAAGTAAAAACACTGCAATTTTTGATGCATTTCAAGCAAAAACACTTGTTGCTTTCTTTGAGTAAAAAGTTCACGTCACCATAGACATTACTGTAGGTACTTTGAGAAAGGGTGAGAAGGTAGGAAGATTAGAGAAATCTCCCACAAAATGGACTTGAAAACAAGAATCCAATCTTTCTTTTTTTTTTTTAAACAGGATGGGGATTGAGATTATTAATGATAGTGTCATCACTTCTCCCCACTACATACAAAGTAGCCTGCATGGAGCTTTGCCTAGGGCTTATTAAATGTCACTAGAATTAAAAGTGTACTTTCAGGAGAATTGAAACTGTATATATTTATGTACGAATACTCCAATAAATAATTTGCTAGGTAGTTTTCCTTTTCTATTGTGAATCCATTATCATCTGTTAATTATTATCTGAATGTGTTGGCTACTACAACATACAAATTTAAGTATTTTTCTTTTCTTAAAGCTAAAATAAACCCAATAAATTTAGAAATTTGATGCCTAAAAATTAAAAGTCATAAAGAAATAATTCCTGTTGCTAAAATTCTAAGTACAGCAAGTATAGTTGACACAACTCCAAAAGGTAACAAGGTGGGCCTAGAACAAGGAATATTGAAAACTTAGGAGGCAAAAATTCCCTAGAAAAGGAGATGAAATCAACAGTTAGAAACAATGTTTATAAAATGCAAGAACACAAAGGGAAAAATAATAGAACTAGCTGTGAGGAATTCTACTGAAATATAAAAAATCTGTCTGAAAAGTTTCATGCAATTAAGTTTCAATCACAGAGTCAACCCAAACTTGTAAGTTAAATGAACAAAATCTCCTCCCTCAAAGTGGTAAGTTCATTACTTATTATTCTTAGAGCACTCCAAGATTTTGGAATGAAGAAAGTTTATTAAGAGTTGGTGCTCTTAAAATTTAAGAAGGTTTAGCAATTTTTAATTCATTTTACGTATTAGGATTGTAGTTTGACACTCCTTCAACAATGAAAAATCAAATATAACAGTAAAAAGACTATATTTAACACAAGAGGGAAGAAAGTAAATTCTTCATACGTATAAATAAAAATTTTTTAAAAAGATCTTTGACCTTAAGCCTCAACCTATTTCTAAATGTATCATATTAAAGCACCCTCAAAATTTCCCACTCCTCTGAATCAAGTTCAAATATAGTACTGACACTAAGTGCTCAAAAGTGGAGTTTTAGCCTAATGAAAAATCCCTGAATTAAGGCTCCATAATCTAACATCCCTTAGAACAAGTCTGAGGTGAAATGTGCTCCCCAAAGTATAAGTCCTCATTAAATTATTTCTTGAAAATACCCTATACTCAACTCTCCCATCTTTACCTCACAATGAATTTTGTATATCAACAGAGT
This sequence comes from Homo sapiens, assembly GCF_000001405.40. Lineage (NCBI taxonomy): Eukaryota > Metazoa > Chordata > Mammalia > Primates > Hominidae > Homo > Homo sapiens. Next base: position 61,006,508 of record NC_000017.11, on the reverse strand, counting down.
AAATAGAAATGCTTTACTGTAGATGGAAAAAATATAGAATCCTATCTTCTTGTTTCAACAAATGTGACTTTATTACTTAAACTGCTAAACATACAAGATGTAGAAGTATCAGAAGTTGGTTCTGAGATAAACACTTTGTAGGAAGATGAAATATAGAATTAACTGCAAGATTTAAAGTGTATTTTCTTAGATCTGGAGAACTCAAAACTATTTAATTTTACATTTGCAGAACTTATCTTTATGTACTTTGTATACCTATACATTAAAGAATGTATACTTAAGGAACAATTTAATATAAAATCGAAGCATTTTCTCTTGAATAAAAAGTATAGCCACAACACATATACACCATGGAATACTATGCAGCCATGAAAAATGATGAGTTCATGTCCTTTGTAGGGACATGGATGAAATTGGAAATCATCATTCTCAGTAAACTATCGCAAGAACAAAAAACCAAACACCGCATATTCTCACTCATAGGTGGGAATTGAACAATGAGATCACATGGACACAGGAAAGGGAACATCACACTCTGGGGACTGTGGTGGAGTGGGGGGAAGGGGGAGGGATAGCACTGGGAGATATACCTAATGCTAGATGACAAGTTAGTGGGTGCAGCCCACCAGCATGGCACATGTATACATATGTAACTAACCTGCACAATGTGCACATGTACCCTAAAACTTAAAGTATAATAATAAAAGAAAAAAAAAAGAAAAAAAAGAAATTTTTTCCTAAAAAAAAAAAAAGTATAGCCACAAAATGTAAGTAACTTTCCTAAAAATCAAAATGATGTAAACTGAAAGAGCAAAGACTCTCTTCTCCTCACAGTCCCCTATTCTCCCGCCCCAACCCACGGACGCCTTCCTTCTTTTTACCCATGACTGTTAAGGATATTTTCTGGCTCTATTTCAGCATCATGACGCAGGTCATGAGAAGTGTCAAAGATGCATTTCCTTCAGATGGGAAAGAGCAACAGATTGTAACAACCATACAAAGATGGGAGTACAGTACGAAAGGGCCAAATCAGCATTTTTGACAACAGGGCAGATAAAACCTTTTCTATTCACATATACTTTATTTCCAGTTTTAAAACATTTAAATATCTATCAAAATATGCTTACATATTTTCCTCAAGATGAAAACAGGAAACCAATACTCCATTTAGCTGCCTAAATTATCAACAATTTGTGGAACAGTTTACCAAAAAAAAAGAAAAAGAAAAAAATCAAACTAAGCACACCACACGAATACTAATAGTTCAAGCCCTTCTCTTCTAAATTTACTTTTCCAAAAGTATGCCTATGACTTTACCTACGTACGTAAAACCTACTTTTACAAAAGATCCTTGACAGTAAGAACCACAAAGAGGAGTGATACCACGACCATCCCCAGTTGAGAAATAATGACTCTTCTTTCCCTGTAATTCCCTGTCAAGCCGAAACACTTTCCTAATCAGCTGGAGCACTGCCGGAAAACTATATTCATTTATGAGTACTGTCATGGTATTTTTTCCCTCATCTATGGTTTTATCAAATATAGACACATTTCAATCTGCTCCAAAACTAGACCAGAGTGAAATATTATTGAACATTAATTAAGCATTCCTTACTAGAGATGGCTCTTAACACAGAAAATGGAATGCTCTATTTCTTCTGAAGCCAACAACAACAGTGCCCATGTTAATTCCACCTTGGTCCATTCTGAAATAGTAATTTCCCTCTTGTGCCTCATTCTAGCTTCAATATTCTCACCTGCAAAAACACATCATCCAATGTTAATAACTCTTTCAATGAACCTTAAATCCTTTTCCTTTTCTCATCCTCCTCCAAATTCAAAATATCATTTACCTCATCATGGTAAGAACCATCAAAATTTCTACTTCTGTGCATAATCCTGGTATAGCCCTGATCCCTGTCTTGTTGTCCTTTTGTAGTTTACAACTATCAACTAGCAGATTTCTAGTTCCTGCTCAGATTTCAACCTCAAGACTATTCATGTCTGTTATTCTCAAGTCTGATAATTTCTAAATCTGTTCATATGGGTCAATCATTCAAACTCTGGCTACTACAAATCCTAAGAAGCCTACTCACTCTCTTCTCCCTCTCCAATTTTTCTCCAAATTAAAAAAAAAAAACATTTCAGATCTTCCTTTTGATAAGTACATAAGGAAATGAACATTCACTTCTTTTCCCAAAATTTGTTGTTCTACCCATTTGCACTTCTTTATCTGAATAAGTAGTTTTTACATTCATTCACTTCAGCAACTAAAAATTCCATCTCCAGATTTCCATAGAAATATTTTTATTTCAGTGGAACCAGACCAGAATTTCTTACTTAACTGTCCTCCTAACTAGGGAAGTAAGACAATAATCAAATGCAAACAGGTTCTCCAAATCCTCTTTTTGTTATTCTAATCACTAGACAAAAATAATGTTAACTCCTTCAACTCCTTGAAAACTAACTTCTAAGTTTATTGCCAGAAACTCTTTATTACCCCAACCCCACCCTGAACAGAGGATAGAAGAATTTCTTTGTGGGAAAACTGACCAGCGTACATGAAAAGACCTACGGATAGTGACTATTTGAGGTATGATAATAAAATGGCATTCCTACCTGATAGACCACTGATACCTATAAGGCGGTATGCCCTTCCCACATTCAAAAAGCTTCCAATCAGTTCCTTAGTATTGATTTGTTGATTAGCTGAATAAAAATGAATAAAATAAAAATGAATTATTAAATAATAGAATGTAAAAATAAAAATAATCAGCCAATGATCCATCAAGGATTCCCCATCACTGAGGTCAGTGTTTTGGTTCAATCAGTCTGATGGAGTCTAGGCCTCAGTATTTTTCAAATCTATCTAGCTTAAGTATAATGGACAGTCAAGGGTTGAAAATCACTGCTCCAGATGGGCTTGGTGGCTCACACCTGTAATCCCCAGCATTTTGGGAGGCTGAGGCAGGCAGATTGCTTGAGACCAGGAGATCGAGACCAGATTGTGCAAAATGGCAAAACCTTGTCTCGATTTAAAAAGGCAAAGAAAGGGAGACAAGAAAGGAAAGAAAAAAAAGGAAAGAAAAAGAAGGGAAGGGAAGGGGAGGGGAGGGGAGGGGAGGGGAGGGGAGGGCATAATAAAAGGAGCACAAAAAAGCTTCAAAATTTATAACGATCTCTTAAAGAGAGAAAAATATTACACATAAAATAAGAAAAGGGTGTGATAATAAAAAAAATTCAAAGAAAATCATATTAAAAAGATTGCAGAAATAAAAATGCAACAAGAAGACTGAAACATACGTTGGGGAAATTCTCATAAAGTTAAAAAAAAGATAGAAAATAGACAAGAAGATTAGGGGCTCAATGTAGAAGATACATTATTCAAGTAATAGGATTTCCAGGAAAGGGCCCAAAAAAAACCAACTGAGAAAAAAACAGAAGAGTTAAAAGAAGAGGCCTCTGGGGAATGACACCCGAGAGTGGGGAGGATAGGCCAAAAAGTGCCTCCTTTCACTATAAAATTATATTTTTGACTTTTATAATAAATGCATGTATTTCTTTGATAAAAAATAAAAATTATATTTAAAGGGTAAACAACAACAGTAAGTGTCCAATCAATGTTAATAGAAAAGAGTAGATAACTATTAGCCCTTATAATGCCTCAATGCCTCAAAAATGAAGTTTAATCACTCTGATATTATAAAGTATACAGATAACAAGTCCCTGAATAGCAACACATAGAGAATAAAAAAACATTTAGCATAATGACCCCACATACTCAAATGATATAACTAAAAAATTTGCCTCTATTCATTCAATGGTATTCACTCAGAGGAACTGGATCTGCATGTAGTACTCAGAAAGGATATTAATTGATAGTAATATATTTCCAAAGTTGAATTCTCTAAGAAGACGTTGAAGAATAAATCACAGAAAACATAATAAAAAGGAAGAAAGGCTATTTAAGATCTGATAAGACATTAACATCCCTAGTACCTCAGGTTCATGCCAGGGTTGCCTTGATTACAATGAGAAAATATTGCCCTCTAGAGGCATGTCTCATTAACCATTTAAAAATAAAACTATTTTGAAATCTGGAGTTTATGATTTGCCCATGTAAAAAATACATAGAAAAGAAAAAATATTTCCACAAGCAGTAAAAAGCAAAGAAGAAATTCTGGATTAGTTTCAAGGGATAACTACATCATCTGGCATTTATTTAAAGGCAAAACTTACAGAGAAAAGAAATGTGTTATATCCAAAATGAAATACACAAAAATATAAAATATCTACATAGAGTTTATTTAGGTTTAAAATATTTTTAAATTAATTTTCATAGCACTAAATTTTAAAGTATAATTTAGAGGCAATATAATATCAGGTTTCCTTTAAAATATATCCCACTGGCAATTTTATTTCCCCCCAAAACTACGTTATCTATACCTTTCTCTCAATTTTACTGAGAACCTAAAACTTCTCTTTAAAAACCTATTTAAAAACAACAACTGTACAATCTTCATTTAATAGCTTCTTCCATTAATGATTCTGAAATGAAAGCATCTTGTTTTCAGGAAGGTATTATGAGGTCACTCTTTTCTATCCACTTTCCCTAACAAACTCATCTGCTCTGTCTTGAGAAAATAGTAAATGTTAAAACTAGCAGAGTGCTATAGCAACATTTTTTTTTAAAAAAGGTGATAAAAGAATTTGAGAAAACAAATTCACCAGGAAAACTTTAAATCTGAAAATAACAAATGAAAAACAAAACTGCATTTGAGCTAAAACAATAAAGTACACATAATCAATAAAAATCCAGGTACTAAACTAAGATATCCCCCCACAAGATTTTTCTCCATTTAACATGTTTATACTATTTATATACTCTATGTCATATGAGGCATAAAATCTAAAGCAGAGCTACAGTGCACTTGATTGATTTTTCTTGGCAAAAATTAAAACATGCACATGGAAACTTCAATCCACAAGTAAACAGTGATGTGGAAAGAAAAGTCAAGAAACATCACATTATCATTGATTCTCTTAAGTAGGTGAAACTATATAAGGCTGAAATGTGTGGTTGCTTTGTATTTACAATTGTGATGTGGTCTGTATCAAGAAAACTACTGATCAACGTAAGTTAAAATTACAATAAACCATCAAATGAAAGCTATAAACAGAGTCTTTGAGTGGTAAAAGGAATGCCTCATACAGATGCTAAAAAGAAAAGTGATACTTCCAGTTTTGTAAAAGCACTTTACTGAAATATGGAGGCTCCAAGTCCAAGAAATGAGAGGCTTTGTACAAAGGTCTCCGAGTCTCATCAACTACTTCCATTTAGAAAAAGCAGAATCTAGAATTCAGATGCCAAAAGCTGTGACTCAAAGATGACCCCTCTGAGGACGAACAAGTTAATAGGAAAGGAGACACTTGCAGGAACTCTAGAGAACTGCAGAAGTGAATCCAAGATCTGTTTGTTAACTCAATGGAAATTGCAGGAAGAAAACAAATTCCTTCTAAGTCCCATGACACAGTGAACTCTATATTTTTGAACCTAAAATGGAAAACTAATTTGCAAAATTAAGAAATGGCAAAGGCTCAAGAATAGGTGTACTGATTTATAAAACCATATTTCCTGATGTATACAATTAAAATGAGCAAAAACCAATTAAAATGATAATACTACCATCACTTTTGGTTTTGCATTGGTGTAGCAATGTAGCAACTGAGCTTATCAACATTGAGCCTAGTATTGTTCTAAAAGCCTTTAAAGAATAAGTTCACAATTATTATATTTAATTTACTCATTATTTAGTGAATTACTCATTTATTCTGTTTTCTGGATAACAGGTACTGTACCAAAATACGAAAAATGAATCAGTTCTATAGACTCTCACATTAACAGCAGTATCAATAATGATACTAATGATAGAAACTACAGTAATCCTCTACTGAATATTTGATATGTGCCAAACACTATTTAAAGGGCTCTGATTCTCATAGTTACTCTATAAGATTGGTAATATTATTATTCCAATTTTACAGAAAGAAAAGTGAGGTACAGATAGAATAAATAATTTGTCTAAGATTACAGAGTTAGGAAATCATGGAAGATAGATTCTACCACCAGGAAGTCTGATTCCAGGTCCTCCAATTTCCTCACCAAGAAAGTTTTAACTTAGTAATCAGTAGCATCAAAAATAAAAGTAGACTCAAAATAGTAAGAGTCATCTACAACAAACTCATAGCCAACATCATACTGAATGGGCAGAAGCTGGAAGTATTCCTCCTCAAGAACTGGAACAAGACAAAGATGTCTACTCTCACCACTCCTATTCAACATAGTACTACTATAAGTCATAGCTGAAGTGATTAGGTAACAGAAATAAATAAAAGGCATTAAATGGGAAAAGAGAAAGTCAAATTATCTCTCTTTACCAACAATATGATTCTATACCTAGAAAACTCTAAAGACTCCTTAACCTGATAAATTACTTCAGTAAAGTTTCAGGATACAAAAATCAGTAGCATTTCTAGACAACAATAATATTCAAGCTGAAAACCAAATAAAGAACGCAATCCCTTTAAGAAAAGCCACAAAAAAATCCATAAAATACCTAGAAATACGTCTAAGCAAGAAGGTGAAAGACCTCTACAAGGACAACTACAAAACACTGCTGAAAGAAATCACACATGACACCAGCAAATGGAAAAGCATTCCATGCCCATGGATTGGAAGAATCAATATTGTTAAAATGTCCATTATCACCCAAAGTAATCTAAAGATTCAATACTATTCCTACCAAATTACTAATGTCATCTTTTCACAGAATTAGAAAAAACTATTCTAAAATTCATGTGGAATCAAAAAAGAGCCCAAATAGCCAAAGCAATCCTAAGCCAAAAGAACAAAGCCTAAGACATCACATTTCTTTTTCTTTTTCTTTTTTTTTTTTTTTTTTGAGACACAGTCTCACCCTGTCGCCCAGGCTGGAGTGCAATGGCTCACTGCAACATTCAGCTCACTGCAACATTCAGCTCGCGGGTTCAGGTGATTCTCCTGCCTCAGCCTCCTGAGTAGCTGGGATTACAGGTGCACACCACCACACCCAGCTAATTTTTTTTGTCTCTTTAGTAGAGACGGGGTTTCACCACGTTGGCCAGGCTGGTCTCGAACTTCTGACCTCATGATCCATCCGCCTTCATCTCCCAAAGTGCTGGGATTACAGGCGTGAGCCACCGCGCCTGACCTGAGACATCACATTTCAAACTGTACTACAAGGCTATGGTAACAAAAACAGGATAGTATTGGTGCAAAAATAAGACACATAGACCAATGGAAAAGAACAGAGAACTCTGAAATAAAGCTGCACTCCTACAACCACCTGATATTCTTCGACAAAGTCGACAAAAATAAACAATGGGGAAAGGATATAACTATTCAATAAATGATGTGGAGAAACTGGCTAACTATATACACACAGAAGAATTAAGCTAGGCTCCTACCTACTCACCACATACAAAAATTAACTCAAGATGGATTAGAGACTTAAATGTAAGACCTGAAACTATAAAAATTCTAGAAGAAAACCCAGGAAAAACTCTTCTGGACACTGGCTTGAGCAAAGAATTTATGACTAAGCCCTCAAAAGCAAATGCAACAAAAAAAATTGACAACTGGGACCTAATTAAACTAAAGAGCTTCTGACTATCAACAGAGTAAACAGACAATCTACAGAATGGGAAAAAAATACTACAAACTATGTATCTGAACAAAGGACTAATATCCCAAATCTATAAGAAGTTTAAATCAGCAAGCAAAAAACAAATGACCCCATTAAAAGGGTCATTTAGACATGAACAGACACTTCTCAAAAGAAGACATACAATGGCCAATACACATATAAAAATGCTTATCACTAATCATCAGACAGATGCTACAATAAGGTACCATCTCACACCAGTCAGAATGGCTATTAGTAAAAAGTCAAAAAACAACAGATGTTGGTGAGGCTGCAGAGAAAATAGAATACTTATGCACTGTTGGTGGAAATGGAAACTAGTTCAGTCCCTGTGGAAAGCAATTTGGAGATTCCATAAAGAACTAAAAATAGAATTACCATCTGACACAGAAATCCCACTACTGGGTATATGCCCAAAAGAAAATAAATCATTCTTACAAAAAAAACACATGCACTTATATGTTCATCGCAGTTCTATTCACAATAGCAAAGACATGCAATCAACCAAAGTGCCTATCAATGGTGGATTAGATTGTTTAAATGTGCTACATATGTACGACGGAATACTATGCAGCCATAAAAAAAGAATAAAATCGTGTCCTTTGCAGCAACATAGGTGCTGCTGGAGGTCGTTATCCTAAGTAAATTAACACAGAAACAGAAAACCAAATATGTCATGTTTTCACTTATAAGTGGGAGCTAAACATTGGGTGTATACAGACACAAAGATGGGAACAATAGACATTAGGGATTCAAAAGTGGGGAGGAAAAGGGTGGGGAGGTTGAAAAACCACCAGTTGGGTACTATGTTCACTATGTGGGTGACGGAATCAATGGAAGTCCAACCTCAGCATCATGCAATATACCCATGTAACGAATCTGCACATGTACACTCTTAATCTAAAATTTAAAAACCAATAATAATAGGCAGAAAGTGGAAAACAATCAGTACAGATAAAGGGTTTACAGAAGGAGCAAATATATGAAATTCAACACTATTTTTAGAGAGAGAAAGTACATCACAAGCTGGCCTTTAAAGATGGGGTTGAATGTGTACCTGAAGAAGTAGGGAGAAAGTAACTTAGGTGTAGAAACATGGTATTGAAGCTGGAAAGCAAAGATATGTAATTAAATTTACTTAGGGCACAAATAACGGTGGAAGATATGCTTTATTCATTCAACAAAAATTTACTAACTGGTGAAAGGAATGCCTATTCTCCTAGAGGACTATTTCTTACCTTTGCCTTTCTCCTCAAAGCTCCAATACCTGCACCCATCCTCACTACCCATTTCCTTATGATAAAAGAAGCAACATCCTCTGTCTCCTCTAAATGTTCCTGCTTCCCCTTACATCAATCCTCCCTGAAAGACTTGTCGACACTGTCTTTTCCTATTCTTACTAAAATCCACTGGGACCAGGAACTTACCATGCCACCAAAAGTATTCTTATCAAAGACATATGTCTTTTACACAAGGGGTTCCCAACTCCCAGGTGGTGGACTGGTACCGGTCTGTGGCCTGTACGAAACCAGGCTGCAGAGCAGGAGGTAAGTGGCTGTCAAGCTGGCATTACCACCTGAGCTCACCTCCTGTCAGATCAGCAGCAGCATTAGATTCTCATCAGAGCACAGACCCTGTTGTGAACTACACATGCAAAGATCTAGGTTGCACACTCCTTATGAGAATCTAATTCATGCCCGGTGATCTCAGATGGAACCGTTTAATCCCAAAACCTCCCACCCCTCCCCACACTGGCCCATGGAAAAACTGTCTTCCACAAAACCGGTCCTTGGTGCCAAAAAGGTTGGGGATCACACTTCTACATTACTAATTTTAATAGTCTTATTTTTCTCAGTTCTTCATTGATCTGTCAGTAGAATTTAACACATTAATCATTCCCTTCTCTCTAAAAGAATTAATTCACTTGGCCTCTAGGATTTCTCATATATAGTTTTGCTTTGTATGTCACTGGCTACTTAATGTCAGAGGGCCCCAGGGCTCAGTCCTGGGACATCTCTTTTTTATACTCACTTACCTACAAGGTGATCTCATCTCATTTTTGTTTCAGCTACCATCTATGCATTGCAAACATTTATCCCTACATAAATGACTGCTTTCCACTGAACTCCAGACTCATGTAACCAACTACCTACTTACCATCAGTAGGAGGTCAAAAAGACATCATATTAAACTTAACATGTCCAAAATTCCTGATCCTGTCCCCATCCCAAAACCTGCTTTATCCACAACATTCTTCATTTCAATTGACACCAACCCTATCCTTCTAGATGTTTAGGTTAAAAGTCTTACTAGTCATCTTGACTCATCTCTTCTTTCATACTTGACATAAAATGTACCAGAAATTCTGATCGCCATACCATAAAAAATATATCAAGAATCCAATGACTTCTCACAGTCTTCACTATAAACAACTTACTCCAAACCTCATCTTTTCTTGCCTGATTTTTTGCAATACTCTCCTAACTGGTCTCAACTAAGTTTCCACCCATGTCCACGTACAGACTGTGTTCTCAATACAGATCTCCATTCTAGTCCTGCCAAAACACAGTATTATCATGTCACTCTTATTCTCAATGCCCTCCAGAGCCCCCCTCCATCTCATGCTGAGTGAAAGGCTAACAATCATCTGCCCTCATTACCTCTCCGATCTCATCACCTATTATACACCTTACACCATGTGCTTCAGCCACACTGGTCTCTTTATCATTCCTTGAACATGCCAGGCACACTCCCACCTCAGGATTTTACACAGGCTGTTCTATATGAATTTCTCTCTTACTTCCACCAGATCTTTGCTCAGATGTCATCATCTCAGCAAGGCCTATGGGAAGCATACTAATTTCAAATTGCAATCCTCCCTAGGCATTCCCTATTCCCCTTCCCTCATTTTTCTCTGTGGCTCCATGGGAACACAGACATGTTTCTCTTTTGTTCACTGCTAAATTCCTAAACTCAGAACAGTGCCTGGACACAATAAACACTAATTAATGTTGTTGATCAAATGACTACACCTTGGAGATGTTTTTTTAAGTTGTTACTATGAATAAAAAGCTCTTCATTCTAACAAGTAATTATTTAAATCTAAATTGTTTTTCTTAGAACAACTTCTAAAGATGTTTTAAAACTCTGGTTTAAAGCCTTAGAAACTGGTCGGGCGCGGTGGTTCACGCTTGTAATCCCAGCACCTTGGGAGGCTGAGGCAGGTGGATCACTTGAGGTCAGGAGTTTGAGACCAGCCTGGCCAACATTGTGAAACCCAGTCTCTACTTAAAATACAAAAATTCGGCTGGGCGCGGTGGCTCATGTCTGTAATCCCAGCACTTTGGGAGGCCACGGTGGGCAGATCACTCACTCACGGTGAGGTCAGGAGTTCAAGACCAGCCTGGCCAACAGAGTGAAACCTTGTCTCCACTAAATATACAAAAATTAGCCAGGCATGGTGGCGGGCACCTGTAATCCCAGCTACTTGGGAGGCTGAAGCAGAAGAATCACTTGAACCCGGGAGGTGGAGGTTGCAGCAAGCCAAGATTGCACCACTGCACTCTAGCCTGGGAGACAGAGCAAGACTCCGTCTAAAAGAAAAGAAAAGAATAGAATAGAATTAGCTGGGCATGGTGGCACGCACCTGTAATCCCAGCTACTCAGGAGGCTGAAGCAGGAGAATCGCTTGAACCCAGGAGGCGGAGCTTGCAGTGAGCCGAGATGGCGCCACTGCACTCCAGCCTGGGTGACAGAGCGAGACCCCGTCTCAAAAAAATAAAAAAGGCCTTAGAATCTATGTCAACTGCCAAGATACAAATAGAAACACCAAAAAGACTTTGTGCTCACAGAAGTCAATCTAATAGGAAGCCCAGACATGTCAATGAATAACCTGCATATTATAATATGATAAAAGTATGCAGAGCATACCAATACCAAGGTTGAAAAAGATGATAAAAATCAAAAGAAGGCTTAAGAGAGGCAGTAATATTTTAGCTTGCTTAGTAGGCATTCAAAGAGGCAATAATAATGTCAAATAAAGAAAAGTTGCAAATAGGAAAGTTATCAAAAAATAAATACATGTGGCATATTCAGGGAAGGGTACAGAAATCTAGGTATGGTTAGACAAGAAGCTGGAAATAAGATAGGACATTTTCTAACCTTCTAGGAATATGGTGAGACACAAAGATCTTAAGCAGAAAATTGGCAGATCATATTTATAGCTAACATTCCACAAGGAAGTGCTTGTGATAGTAAAAAATTGTTAGAAATTACTGATATAGATGAGGGAAAAAATGATGATCAGGGATTCTTAACCATTTTTGTATCACAGACTATTTGGACAGTCTGGGGAAGCCTGAGGAATGTTTCCCAGAATAATACTTACAAGCCATGGGAAAAAGACATATAATTACAAAGAAAATGAACTATACTGAAGTACAGTTATCAATATATTAAAAATAAAGTGTTATAGTAATGTATATAATCAATTAATACTAAAATATTATATAATCATAATTTCAAAGTAGTGATGAGTAAAAACAATATTTTAAAATATATTCAATAATGCAAGATACTTCAAGATATATATTTCATATATAAAGTGATATGAGTAATTCTGCATTTTCTATTGGTAACAGTGTCACAAGCACTGTTAATGTTTTTGTCATGTATTTTCCATGTTCATAACAAAAAGGAAATGCTTACTTTTGGTTAAAGGATAGTGAATATAAAGATGTAAATTTTTTTCCTATCCTGTTCATGGATCACAAGAAGTCCTCAAGTAGACTAAGTGGATGTTCAGGCAACAAGATAGGAAATGGAAGAGATATTTATAAAGAATATATTTCAAATAAATAAACATCCTCTGGAAAGTTAAAAAAATTGGCAAATAGATAAAATAATCCTAACCTAAACTGGATTGGGTCCAAAGAGTAAAAAGGAAATACCCCTATATCAACTGTTATTTAACAGTTTCCTTTACTTGGCTAAAAAGAGCACAGACAAACAACGGTAATACCGCCAAAACATGATTCATTTTCAAGATGAATCCCTCCCTGTTCAATGGTTTACATTGTTTTTGACCAGCATCAGACTGTTTACCCACACAAACTGTAAATACATCATTTTTAGAACTAACCAACAATGCCCATTTTGTTATGACATGTAAGATACAAAAAAACATGAAGAAAAATGACCATCACTCTAAAGTCCATGCTTCAAAAATGAGAAAAACTACACAGAGTAATAGACGGAAATTCTGGAAATAAAATTTTAACACGTGTTATCTATCAGGAGGAATAGGCTGCCTGAAATTCCTTGCTTTCAAAAGAAAATCTTAAGTACAGCAGCATAGTCGAACAGTGTGGATTCTCCTCTTTGAGATTTCTGAAAAAAACATGCAGAGAGACATGAAAGCAATAAAGCTGAGAGAAAACAATATATTTTGACTTGGAAATCTAGTAGTATTGCTCTTTAACTACTGTCCTTTCACAAATGATGAAATCCTTCATTGACTGGCACTTTGCAACCTTCAACAAAAGTATATTGAAAGGTATTTGTTCACAGTCATTTAATATCTGTCTTTTCCCGTGGAATACAAGATCTATGAGGGTAGGAATGCCCACAATCTTTTGTGCACATTATGCTTGAATCTTAACACAAAAACCTCTTATGTGGTTTGCTGTATAAAGAAGCAAGAATAAGAACAAAAAAGAAGCTCAAGGAAATATCTTCCAAAGACATATAAATGTAGGGATCACAAAGCCTTCTTAATTTACTAATACATCTGTGGTTTCTCTTATTGACCTAGCTGCTCCATGTGTACAGTGAATCTCTTTGCCAAAAGATTTTGCTAAAATTTTATGTTATGAAAAACATTTGACACAAAAAGAAAAGCCCCCAAAGAACCTATACTACACATCTACATAGAAAACACAATTTTAACACTAACACCAAAAAATGTAACTAAGTCTGAAATAAAATGTCTAGCAAATAGCTGAAAATATCAATATCTCATAGCTTTCTAAATTTTATTTTATAAAAATTCTATATACTTTTTTGAAATATAAGCATTGTTTTTCAATTTTTATTTTATGTTCGGGGGCACATGTGCAAGTTTGTTACATGGGTAAACTGCATGTCCCTGAGGTTTGGTGTACAAATGATCCTGTCACACGTAGTGAGCGTAGTACCCAACAGGTAGTTTTTCAACCCTCACCCCCTCCCACTGTCCTCCCTCCAGGAGTCCCCAGTGTCTACTATTCCCATCTTTATGTCCATGTATACTCAATGTTTAGCTCCCAATGACCTTTTGCATCTAGAGCTGATTCTAAAAACTTTCAACCTTAAATATCATGGGTCACTAGTTAAATTAAATACACATGAATAACAATCATTCTCATTAAAAATAATAGAACCAAAGCATAAAGTATGATCTCAGGAGTAAAAAGAGGTCCCATTTTTTTGAGTTACAAAAGTCCCGAGGAAAACATTTACCTATATTTTTTCAGTCTATCTTTAAGCTTCCTACAGAGTGTGTGTGTGTGTGTGTGTGTGTGTGTGTGTGTGTGTGTGTAAGTCATCGGATACTACGAAAGAATGTGTAATGTGGTCAGTACAGAAGCTGAAACAAATTAGGATAGGTACATACTCAAAAGAATTACATAGAAGTACTCAAATACACGTACACACATATTCATAATAGCACTATTCACAATAACCAAAAGGTAGAAACAACCCAAATGTACCTCAGTGAATGAACAGATCAATTGCGTTACATTCCTACAATGGAATATAATTTACCCATAAAAAGGAGTGAAGTGTTAATATATACTACAATGTGGATGAACTTCAAAAACATTATACTAAATGAAAGAAGGCAGAAACAAAAGGTCATATATTCTATAATTATATTTATATAAAATATACAGGACAAGTAACAGTCTACAAAGCAGAGAGTGGTGTTTGCTAGGGGATTAGGAGAAAGAAGAATGAGGAGTAAGTGCTTAAAGAATATGTGGTTTCCTTTTGGAGTGAGGAAAATGTTTTGTAAACAGGTTGTGGTGGCACAACATCATGAATGTACTGTCACATTTACATGGTGAATATTACGTTATGTGAATTTCAGGTCAATTAATAAAATAACAATGACTTTCTGTGGTAACCACAATCTCTCTATATAAGATTCCCCAATCTTGAAAACCTAAAATGGTCACCCATCAAGGGAAATCTGCAATGCTCCAGAAAAGGTGATCTAATGTCAACGTTTTCTGTCGTTCTAGTGAGAATGAAACGGTACAACCACTCCAGTGTTATTTATCAAGGTTAAGATTCAACTACGTTATGATCAAGAATTTCCACTCAAAAATTAGTATACATATTATCCCCAAACCTGAAACCATGCAATGTACATCAGCAGTAGTAGAAAGGATAAATAAACAGAAGTACAATGGAATAAATGAGAGCTGTAAATAAATGAACTAAACCTACCTGCAACAACATAACTGAATCTCACAAATATAATGTTAAAGAAGCCAAAGATATCAAAATATACATACTCTACAATTCCATTTACATAAAATGGAAACAATAGTGTTTAAGGACACTTGCTTAGGAGTAGAAATATTCTAAAAAGTAAAGAAGTGGTTACCATAAAAATGAGAATTGTGGTTTAATGTTATGGAGAAGGTATGCAAAAGAGAGATTCCAATAATGTTCCATTTATTGATTGGGATGATGGTTACACAGCTACTTGCTCTAAGATAAATTACTGAGATACACAGCAGAAATCCCGCCAATCCCATTTTAAAATAAAATGCAGGCTGGGTGCGGTGGCTCATGTCTGTAATCCCAGCATTTTGGGAGGCCAAGGCAGGTGGATCACAAGGTCAGGAGTTCAAGACAAGCCTGGCCAACATAGTGAAACCCCATCTCTACTAAAAATACTGAAAATCAGCCAGGCGTGGTGGCGGATGCCTGTAATCCCAGCTGCTCGGGAGGCTGAGGCAGGAGAATTGCTTGAACCTGGGAGGTAGAGGTTGCAGTCAGCCGAGATCACGCCATTGCATGCCAGCCCAGGCTACAGTGCAAGACTCCGTCTCAAAAAAAAAAAAAAGCAAATGCTGCTCTATCTAAAATACACATTACCCATGACTATTTCTTTCCAACAATGAATATTTCTTAATAAACTATAGTGTCCCATTGAACATAGAATGTTCTGGAAGAGATAAGTAAAAAGGATGTTCAGTTCTCTGAAGTTATAAAAATAGTTCCAAGTTTTATATTCCATAAATATGATACCAAATATCCCTTATATATTGAAACAGGGAGTTAAAATAGCATGGTAAAGATCACCATTACTATACTGGCTCCAATTTATTAAATTATTTAATAATTAAGAATTTCATATAAGCCTAAGATCTTCTTTTTACATGAACAGACTATAACAAGTTTAGTTTTATCCCAGATCTGTAAAAATAAGGACAAAGGGAAGGAAGATTCAAGATAACAGTGGAGACAGAGAAAATTACCATGCAAGGGTGACCCAGAAGGGCTGCTTGATAGACCTGGAACAGGGCTACAGCGACCTCCTTGCTTAGACGTCAGTTCTTGTTCAATCTCTTCCAGTCCAGCACTTTTCTGGAAACGGCTCATGCGATTCACTACTCGTGGTGACATATGTGTACGAACACAAGGCTGGCCACCATAAGGGTTGATGGGGAAAACGTGGGAAGTACCCCGGAGAGTACTGACCACAACCCAGCGACAGTCATGGCTGAAGCAGATGTCCTGTACCTAGAAATGAGATAAGAAAAGATACAAAAATGTCTCAAACTACTTGGATTTTTCTAAGAGTATCACACATCACCAAATATGAATATAAATGATTGCCTCATTACCAAATGTACCTAAGATCAGGTAATAAATAAAAATTTACTCTACAGATGCATTTCACAATGACTGTTGATCAAAACTCCATTAGGTAGAATGTTACTTCAATAGTCAGGGATACAGGATCCTGAAGAGAGGTGAAATGCAAAGAAAGAAGATCTTAAAACACTCAATGCCCTTTGCCCCCCAACACACACACATAACTGATAACAACAATAATTCATGTATCTGCAGTGGCTCATGTATCTGCAAGCTTTTTCTGTAAGAGGCCATATGGCCTTGTAGGATGTAAAAGCTCCACTGTCTGTTGCAGTTACTCAGCTCTACTCTTGGACTGTCAAAGCAGTCATAGAACATATGTAAATGAGTGCAGTTATGTTAAAAAAAAAAAAAAACAACTTTATTTACAAAAAACAAGTGGTGAGCCACAGACCTGAGCCAGGGAAAGTTAATTTGTATGACACTTATCATACAGTGAATAAAGAATCTCCAGTATTTCTGAATTAGCAAATTGAATTTACTACCTTTATCTCAATATCAGTCAACTGGTGACAACTTGAGCAAAAATATCTCCACTTACTTATTTCAGAAAAAAATTAAAGAAAGCTAAGGAAAATTTGATACTGTTATAAGCATTTTTAAGCATAGCCTCTAAAAGGAAGGCAGCTCACAGATACTTAAGTTTTCTACACTGACTAAATTAATTTTCCACCACCTAAAACAATTGTCAAATAGTGTTTTAAAAAATCCAGACAAGAGAAAAAGCACAGTAGAATAAAGATATTTGTGAATGAAACTTAACATGAAAATATATATATGGATACAGTAAAAGCAGTACTAAGAGGGAAGTTTATAGTTATAAGCACCTAAATAAAAAAAAAGGAAAACTTCAAATAAACAATCTAACAATGCATCTTAAAGAAATAGAAAAGCAAGAGGAACCCAATCCCAAAATTAGTAGAAGATAAATAATAAAGATCAAAGCAGAAATAAATAAAACTGAAATGAAGAATACAAAAGATTAACAAAATGAAAAGTTGGTTTTTTAAAAAGATAAACAAAATTGACAAATCATTAGCTGAACTAAGAAAAAAAGAGAGAAGACTCAAATAAAATCAGAGATGAAAAAGGAGACATTATGACTGATACTACAGAAATTCAAAGGATCATTAGAGGCTACTATGAGCAATTATATGCCAATATGTTGGAAAATCTAGAAGAAATGGATAAATTCCCAGACACGTACAACCTAACAAGATTGAATCATGAAAATATCCAAAACCTGAATAAACCAGTAACAAGTAATGCGACTGAAGATGTAATAAGTCTCCCAGCAAAGAAAAATCCAGGACCAATGGCTTCACTGCTTAATTTTAGATGTTTTACCAAATATCTAAAGAAGAACTAATACCAATCCTACTCCAACTATTGAGAAGAATAGAGGAGGAAGGAATACTTCTAACCTCATTCCACAATGCTTTTATTACTCTGAAACCAAAACCAAACACATACATAAAAAAAAAAAAAAAAAAAAAAGAAAAAGAAAAGAAAAGGAAAGAAAAGAAAAGACAAGACCAGACAAGACTAGACTAGACTAGACTAGAGGCCAATATTCCAGGTGAACATTGATGTAAAAATCCTCAACAAAATACTAGTAAACCAAATTCAACAACACATCAAAAAAAAAAATCACAACCAAGTGGAATTTATCCCAGGTATGCAAGGACAGTATAACATACACAAATCAATGTGACATGTTCTATCAAGAGAATAATGGATAAAAACCATATAATCATTTCAACTGATGCTGGAAATACATATGATAAAAATTCAACATTACTTCATAATAAAAACTCTTAAAAAACTGAGTATAGAAGGAAAATACCTCCATAGAAGAAAAGCCATGTACAATGGACCCACAGCTAGTATCTTACTGAACAGGGAAAAACAGAAAGCCTTTCTGCCAAGATATGGAACAAGACAAGGATGCCTACTTTAATCACTGTTATTCAACAAAGTACCGGAAGTCCTAGCCAGAGCAATCAGACAGGAAATAAAAGGCATCCAAATTCGAAAAGAAAAAGTCAAATGAGCCTCGTTTGCAGATCATATGATCTTATATTCAGAAAAACCTAAAGACTCCACCAAAAAACTAACAGAACTGATAAACAAATTCAGTAAGGTTGCAGGATACAAAATCAACATACAACAATCAGTAGCATTTCTACATGCCAAATGTGAACAATCTGAAAAAGAAATTTACAAAGTAATCCCACTTACAATAGCTACAAATAAATAACTAGCGATTAACAAAAAAAGTGAAAGATCTCTACAATGCAAACTACAAAACACTGATAAAAAGAAACTGAAGAGGACACAAGAAAATAGAAAGATATTCCATGTTTATGGATTGGTAGAATCAATATTGTTAAAATGTCTATACTACCCTAAGCAATCTACAGATTGAATGCAATCCCTATCAAAATACCTATGACATTCTTTACAGAAATAGAAAAAAAAATCCTAAAATGTATATAGAGCCACAAAAGACCCAGAATAACCAAAGCTATCCTGAGCAAAAAGAAAAAAAAAAAAAAACCTGGAGGAATCACATTACCTGACTTCAAATTATACTACAGAGGTATAGTAACTGAAACAGCATGGTACTGGCATAAAAACAGACACATACACCAATGGAACAGAACAGAGAACCAAGAAACAAATCTACATACCTACAGTGAACTCATTTTCAACAAAGACGTCAATAACATATATTGGGGAAACATAGTCTCTTCAATAATTAGTGCTGGGAAAACTGGATATACATATGCAGAAGAATAAAAATAGACCCCTATCTCTCGCCATACACATAAATAAAATCAAAATGGATTAAAAACTTAAATCTAAGATCTCCAACTATGAAACTACTGCAAGAAAACATTTTGGGAAACTCCTGAACATTGAAACTGGGCAAAGATTTCTTGAGTATTACCCTACAAGCACAGACAGCCAAAGCAAAAATAGACAAATGGGATCATGTCAAGTTAAAAAAGATTTTGAACAGCAAAGGAAACAATCGACAAAGTGATAACCCGAAGATTGGGAGAAAATATTTATAAACTGTCCATCTGACAAGGGATTAACAACTAGAAAAGAGCCCAAACAACTCAACAGGAAAAAATCTAACAATCCTATTTTAAAATGGGCAAAAGATATGAATAGATTTTCTCAAAAGACATACAAATGGCAAACAAGTATACAAAAATGTGCTCAACATCAATAATCATTACAGAAATGAAAATCAAAACTACAATGAGATATCATCTCCCTCAAGTTTAAAAAAAGGCTTTTATCCAAAAGACAGGTAATAGCAAACGATGGCAAGGATGTGGAGAAAAGGGAACCCTCATACACTATTGGTGGGAATGTAAATTAATACAACCACTATGGAGAACAATTTGGAGGTTCCTGAAAAAACTACAACTAGAGCTACCGTATGATCCAGCAATTCCCCTGCTAGGTATATACTCGAAAGAAAGGAAATCAGTATATCAAAGAGATATCTGCACTCCCATGTTTATTGCAGCATTATTCACAATAGCCAAGATGTGGAAGCAACCTAAGGACCCATCAACAGATGAATGGATAAAGAAAATATGGTATATATACGCAATGGAGTACTATTTAGCCATAAAAAGAAAGAATAATATCCTGTCATTTGCAACAACATGGACAGAACTGGAGGTTATTATGTTAAGTGAAATAAGCCACTTACAGAAAGACAAACTTTGCATGTTCTCACTTATTTGTGGGATCTAAAACGTAAAACAAGGAACTTGGCCAGGCATGGTAGCTTAGGCCTGTAATCCCAGCAGTTTGGGAGGCCAAGGCAGGCAGATCACTTGAGGTCAGGAGTTCAAGACCAGCCTGGTCAACATGGTGAAACCCTGTTTCTACTAAAAATACAAAAATTAGCCTGGTGTGTTGGCGTGCGCCTGTAATTCCAGCTACTTGGGAGACTGAGGTGGAAGAAACTCTTGAACCCAGGAGGTGGAGGTTGCAGTGAGCTGAGATCGTGCCACTGAACTCCAGGCTGGGCGACAGAGCGAAACTCCATCTCAATCAATCAATCAATAAAACAAAATAATAAACTCATGGAGATAGAGAGTAGAAGGATGTTTACGAGAGGCTGGAAAGGGTAGTGGAGGGAGGAGGGGGGAGTAGGGATGGCTAATGGGTACGAAAAATAGAAAGAATGGATAATATCTGGTATTTGATAGCACAACAGGGTGACTGTAGTCAATAATAATTTAATTCTACATTTTTAAATAGAATAAATAAGACCTACTATTTGATAGCACAATAAGGTGACTATAGTCAATAATAACTTAATCATATATTTTTAAATAACTTAAAGAATATAATTGGGACCAGGTGTGACAGCTCACACCCATAATCCCAGAACTTTGGAAGGCCAAGACGGGTGGATCACCTGAGATCAGGAGTTTGAGACCAGCCTGGCCAATATGGTGAAACCCTGTCTCTACTAAAAATACAAAAAATTAGCCAGGCATAGTGGCGCATGCCTGTACTTCCAGCTACTGGGGAGGCTGAGGCAGGAGAATCACTTGAACCCTGGAGGCAGAAGTTGCAGTGAACTGAGATCATGCCACTGCACTCCCACCTGGGCAGCAAGAGTGAAACTCTGTCTCAAAAAAAAAAAAAAAAAAAAAGAATACAGTTGAATCGTTTATAACTCAAATGGATAAATGCTTGAGGAGATGGGTACCCCATTCTTCACTATGCACTTATTTGACATTGTATGCCCGTATTAAAACAAAACTTTTTTTTTTTTTTTTTTTTTTGAGATGGAGTCTCACTCTGTCACCCAGGCTAGAGTGCAGTGGTGCAATCTCGGCTCACTGCAACCTCTGTCTCCTGGGTTCAAGTGATTCTCCTGCCTCAGCCTCCCAAATAGCTGGGATTACAGGCATGCACCACCACGCCCATCTAATTTTTGTATTTGTAGTAGAGATGGGGTTTCACCAT
Source organism: Homo sapiens (assembly GCF_000001405.40). Taxonomy (NCBI): domain Eukaryota; kingdom Metazoa; phylum Chordata; class Mammalia; order Primates; family Hominidae; genus Homo; species Homo sapiens. The sequence continues at coordinate 60,984,825 of NC_000017.11, read as the reverse complement.
CTTGGCCAGGCTGGTCTCAAACTCCTGACCTCAGGTGATCTGCCCACTTTGGCCTCCCAAAATGCTGGGATTACAGGCGTGAGCCACTGTGCCTGGATAAAACAAAACATTTCATGTACTCTACAAATATATATAACTACCTACTATGTACCCACAAAAAATTTTTTTAAATAATTAAAAGAGTGTAATTGGACTGTTTGTAACACAGAGGATACATGCTTGAGGTGATGGATACCCCAATTACCCTGATGTGATTATTATGTACTATATGCCTGTATCAAAATATTTCAAGTACTCCATAAATATACATAACTACTATGTACCCACAAAAATTAAAAATTAAAAAAAAGCTGTATATATACATATCTATGTGCATGAGGCATATTAGCTTCATTATAATAACATGAATTAGGTAAAAGTCCCCAAGTGGTCAGAGAAACACTTTTCAGTGTATTAGGTCTTCAAATAAGACTACATATTTCAGAAACGCACCACAAACAAAAGCTCTAGGTAGCCATCAAAGTACAAGTTTCTAATAGAGCCTGGAATCTTTTAAATAAAAAAGAAATTTTAGTCTTATGTATCAAGACAAGATACTTCATTGCTAGAAAACTGCTACACAAACATCATCAGTACATGAACAAACTCAAAATTCAACCACATGCCTGCCAATCTCGACTATTGTGACACATCCAAATGACACATTAATGATATAATTAAAGACTGTCCTAAAAGCTGAGAAATTTAACTCCCAACAATTCCAGCATTTCAGATAAATAGTTATTCCAGAAGTGTTTAACCTCTGTAGCTTGCCTACGATTATGTTCAGCTTAACTGACTTTTCTGAATAGATCAGGGGTCCTATTAAAAGAAAGGATGAAAGTCGTAGAAAAGCAAGAGGAAGGGAAAAGCAGGACGAACAAAGGTGTAAACAGAAGAAGTAAGAGAAAAGAAATATAGTACCGGAAGAAATTAATATCATAATATGAAATGCATTTTCACATGACAGAGTCAACTATATAAAGAAAGGCATCCTTAGATTTATCATTGAGCAATTTATGTTCCAGCCACAGTGAAATTGAACTATGTTATCTAACATCTTTTTCCAAAACACTTATAATCAAGACCACTTCCTGGTCTGTCAATAAAAAGGAGTTTCTTTCTTTCATTTTTAGACTACTCAGGATATAGAGGTGGTGTTAGTAACAGTATCAAGGCAGGAAGACAGAATTCCACCTAATGCTTTTTTAGAAAACTGCTAATAGAGAAGTGATTCTGCTCTATGACCTTGAAGACATATCAGCATATATAAATGAGCAGAGAAGGACTGCTAAAGATACTAGCTGTCAAAATAAGTAGGGAAAGTTTAATCCTTTAAATAACATTACAGAGGATAACAAGTTGCCTATCCACAAGATGTAAAATAATATAACTGTTGCTATTAGTTAACTAGCTGGACGGTTTTTCAGACATTATTAAAAATGAAAAAAACCTGTAAAAATGGAAAACTAGTAATAAGGTGATGACATTATCTGCATGATTTTTGGACCTCAATTATGGAATGTTATTTGTAATTAACATATTCTCATCACAAAAAGAAGAGCTAGATAGGAGTCGAGTCGCATTACTGATTTAATTCTACAGCACTAAATATCATGAATATCATGACAAATAACATTTACCATGTACAGATTAGGCAACCGTGGTAACAAATAATAAACAAGTACAGGTACCACTCACTATTCAAACCCCTGCTCTCAAATTTAGGACACAAACATATTTATATATTTTTTTCTTTAAGACACTCACTAGTCAATATTTTAAACTCAGGAACTAAGCAGATGTGAATAGCAAGAGATAAAGTATATGTGCTCCTGGTTGGCCACATTTCAGAATCCTATAGAACTGACACAGAAAATGTTTGTGGACATGAGAGAAGTGGAGGTTTTTTTTAGAACTGGGTTCAGTAAACTTTTTCTGTAAAGGACCAGATAATAAATTTTAGGCCTTGAAGACAAGAAAGCAAAATCAAAGGTACCATGTAGTTGTTGTTTATAACAAGAGAAAAACCAAATTTTGACAAAATTTTTGTTGATGCAATTCAAAATATAATAATTCAATATAGTTTTTTGTAATATAGATCTACAATGAGAAGAAAGACATTCTTTTTATGGGAATAATCTTTTGCTCAGTTGAAATTCAAAGTTAGTGTTATTAGATTCTCCACAGTAGAGAGAGGAAAAACTAAAGAAAGTCTTCCCTTAAGAAAAATCCATACAAGACATGAGTTAAGAACATGAGACCAATGAAATTAAGATACTTTATTTTTAAGGTACTTTAAAGAATTCAATAGCAAGCGAGGCGCAATGATGCACTTGTAGCTCCAGCTACTCAGGAGGCTAAGGTAGAAGGATCGCTTAAGCCCAGGAGTTATGAGGCTGCAGTGAGTTATGACTGTGCCACTGTACTCTAGCTTGGGCAACAGAGTGAGACCCCCAATCTGTAAAATAAATTAATTAATTTAAAAAATATGGATTATCTGCTTAAAAGAAGAAAAATGACATTCAATAGCAAGCAGATATTTTGTTTATTTTGTTTTCAAGGTAGAATATAGCTATATATAATAAAATAATGAACATAAATACAGAAAATAACTTTGGTATTTTAAAAAAATCACACACACATAAATCCCACAACTATTTCTCATTATCTTGGAACACATCCTTCTTTCAGGCAACTCTTAATGCAAATATACAGTATATCTATCCATTTATATATATTACATAACTACATATACACATTTGTGCATACACATATAATTTCTTTTCAGATTAGATTTAAAATACCAATTTGAAATGAAACAATCTACAAAGTTTAATATTATAGAAGATTATGAAAATACATGGAAACAGTACTATAAATATAAAGCCATATATAAGCTTTACCTAGAGGCAATATATCACAGTAAATATATCTACTACTTACAAGCTATATGGCCATATGAAAGTTAATTACCAGCTCTGTGCCTTGAGATTCTTCATTTGCAAAACAGGAATAATTATGCCAATTTCATAGGGTTGTTGGGTATGAGTTACTGCATACAGCACTTAGAACAGTGCCTAGCACTTAATAAGCACTATACAAAGATGTTTGCTATTATTATTATTGTCCTCATAAAAATACATTGCAACTCTGTCCAAATGTCTGTTTTCACTGCTATCAACATACTGCTATCACTCTTGTGGCTGGGCACAGTGGCTCACGTAGGTAATCCTAGCACTTTGGAAAGCCAAGGCAGGCAGATCACTTGAGGTAAGGGGTTCCAGACCAGCCTGGCCAACATGGTGAAACCCTGTCTCTACTAAAAATACAAAAATTAGCTGGGTGTGGTGGCACATGCCTGTAATCCCAGCTACTAGGGAGGCTGAGGCAGGAGAATTGCTTGAACCTGGGAGGAGGCAGAGGCTGCAGTGAGCCAAGATCATGCCACTGCACTCCAGCCTGGGTGACAGAGCGAGACCCTGTCTCAAGAAAAAAAAAAAATACACTTAAAACACTATCATCTACAAGGTTACTATATTAGTCTCTTACTTGGACTCTTAATCGAGATCACCTATAAGCAACCCAAGTCAAAGTAGACAAATCATACTTCTTCAACATTAAAAACTTTGCATGTACAAAGAATACATTGGCTGGGCATGGTAGCTCATGCCTATAATCCCAGCACTTTGGGAGGGGGAAGTGGGAGGACTGCTGGAGGCCAGGAGTTCAAGGCCAGCCTGTGCAACATAGCAAGGACCTGTCTCTACAAAAAATAAAAACACATTAGCCTGGCATGGTGGCACATGCCTGTAGTTCCAGCTACTTAAGAGGCTAGGGTGGGAGAATCGCTTCAGCCCAGGAGCTTGAAGCTGCAGTGAGCCATACTGGTGCCACTGCATGCCAGCAGTGTGAAAACCTGCCTCCAAAATAAATAAATAAATAAATAAAGGTCAGGTACAGTGGCTCCTGTCTATAATCCCAACACTTTGGGAGCCTGAGCTGGGCAGATCACTTGACCCCACAAGTTCAAGACTAGACTGGGCAACATGGTGAAACCCTGTCTCTGCAAAAAAAATAGAAAAATTAGCTGGGCATACTGGTGTGCGCCTGTAGTCCCAGCTACTCAGGAGGCCGAGGTGGGAGTATTGCTTGAGCCCAGGGAGGTCAAGATTGGTGTGAGCTGTGATTGCAGCACTGCATTTTACCCTGGGAGACAGAGTGAGACCCTGTTTCAAAAAAAAAAAAAAAAAAGAATACCATTAAGAAAGTTAAAAAAGCCATAAAATGAATGAGGGAAAGTATTTGCAAATAATACATCTGATAAATAAAGGACTGGGACAAATATTTCTCCAAAGAAGATAAACAAATGGCCAATAGCATATGAAAAGACTCTCAACATCATTAGTCATTAAGGACATGCAAATAAAAACCACAATGAGATACCACTTCATACCGAAAAGAATGGCTAAAATAAAAAAAGATGATAAGTTTTGGTGAGGATGTGTAGAAACTGAAACACTCAAATTTCCATAGGGGAAATATAAATGGTGTAGCCACTTAGAAAGTGCTTCCGCCCAGAAGTTTAATCTCTGAATAGACCAATAACAGGATCTGAAATTGTGGCAATAATCAATAGCTTACCAACCAAAAAGAGTCCAGGACCAGATGGATTCACAGCCGAATTCTACCAGAGGTACAAGGAGGAACTGGTACCATTCCCTCTGAAACTATTCCAATCAATAGAAAAAGAGGGAATCCTCCCTAACTCATTTTATGAGGCCAGCATCATCCTGATACCAAAGCCGGGCAAATACACAACCAAAAAAGAGAATTTTAGACCAATATCCTTGATGAACATTGATGCAAAAATCCTCAATAAAATACTGGCAAACCGAATCCAGCAGCACATCAAAAAGCTTATCCACCATGATCAAGTGGGCTTCATCCCTGGGATGCAAGGCTGGTTCAACATACGCAAATCAGTAAACATAATCCATCACATAAACAGAACCAAAGACAAAAACCACGTGATTATCTCAATAGATGCAGAAAAGGCCTCTGACAAAATTCAACAACCCTTCATGCTAAAAACTCTCAATAAGTTAGGTATTGATGGGACGTATTTCAAAATAATAAGAGCTATCTATGACAAACCCACAGCCAATATCATACTGAATGGGCAAAAACTGGAAGCATTCCCTTTGAAAACTGGCACAAGACAGGGATGCCCTCTCTCACCACTCCTATTCAACATAGTGTTGGAAGTTCTGGCCAGGGCAATTAGGCAAGAGAAGGAAATAAAGGTGTATTCAAGAGGAAGTCAAATTGTCCCTGTTTGCAGACGACATGATTGTATATCTAGAAAACCCCATTGTCTCAGCCCAAAATCTCCTTAAGCTGATAAGCAACTTCAGCAAAGTCTCAGGATACAAAATCAATGTGCAAAAATCACAAGCATTCTTATACACCAACAACAGACAAACAGAGAGCCAAATCATGAGTGAACTCCCATTCACAATTGCTTCAAAGAGAATAAAATACCTAGGAATACAACTTACAAGGGATGTGAAGGACCTCTTCAAGGAGAACTACAAACCACTGCTCGAGGAAATAAAAGAGGATACAAACAAATGGAAGAACATTTCATGCTCATGGGTAGGAAGAATCAATATCGTGAAAATGGCCATACTGCCCAAGGTAATTTACAGATTCAATGCCATCCCCATCAAGCTACCAATGACTTTCTTCACAGAATTGGAAAAAACTACTTTAAAGTTCATATGGAACCAAAAAAGAGCCCGCATCGCCAAGGCAATCCTAAGCCAAAAGAACAAAGCTGGAGGCATCACACTACCTGACTTCAAACTATACTACAAGGCTACAGTAACCAAAACAGCATGGTACTGGTACCAAAACAGAGATATAGATCAATGGAACAGAACAGAGCCCTCAGAAATAACGCCGCATATCTACAACTATCTGATCTTTGACAAACCTGACAAAAACAAGCAATGGGGAAAGGATTCCCTATTTAATAAATGGTGCTGGGAAAACTGGCTAGCCATATGTAGAAAGCTGAAACTGGATCCCTTCCTTGCACCTTATACAAAAATCAATTCAGGATGGATTAAAGACTTAAACATTAGACCTAAAACCATAAAAACCCTAGAAGAAAACCTAGGCTTTACCATTCAGGACATAGGCATGGGCAAGGACTTCATGTCTAAAACACCAAAAGCAATGGCAACAAAAGACAAAATTGACAAATGGGATCTAATTAAACTAAAGAGCTTCTGCACAGCAAAAGAAACTACCATTAGAGTGAACAGGCAACCTACAAAATGGGAGAAAATTTTCGCAACCTACTCATCTCACAAAGGGCTAATATCCAGAATCTACAATGACCTCAAACAAATTTACAAGAAAAAAACAAACAACCCCATCAAAAAGTGGGCAAAGGACATGAACAGACACTTCTCAAAAGAAGACATTTATGCAGCCAAAAAACACATGAAAAAATGCTCACCATCACTGGCCATCAGAGAAATGCAAATCAAAACCACAATGAGATACCATCTCACACCAGTTAGAATGGCAATCATTAAAAAGTCAGGAAACAACAGGTGCTGGAGAGGATGTGGAGAAATAGGAACACTTTTACACTGTTGGTGGGACTGTAAACTAGTTCAACCATTGTGGAAGTCAGTGTGGCGATTCCTCAGGGATCTAGAACTAGAAATACCATTTGACCCAGCCATCCCATTACTGGGTATATACCCAAAGGACTATAAATCATGCTGCTATAAAGACACATGCACATGTATTTTTATTGAGGCATTATTCACAATAGCAAAGACTTGGAACCAACCCAAATGTCCAACAATGATAGACTGGATTAAGAAAATGTGGCACATATACACCATGGAATACTATGCAGCCATAAAAAATGATGAGTTCATGTCCTTTGTAGGGACATGGATGAAATTGGAAATCATCATTCTCAGTAAACTATGGCAAGAACAAAAAGCCAAACACGCATATTCTCAATCATAGGTGGGAATTGAACAATGAGAACAGGTGGACACAGGAAGGGGAACATCACACTCTGGGGACTATTGTGGGGTGGGGGGAGCGGGGTGGGATAGCATTGGGAGATATACCTAATGCTAGATGACGAGTTAGTGGGTGCAGGGCACCAGCATGGCACATGTATACATATGTAACTAACCTGCACATTGTGCACATGTACCCTAAAACTTAAAGTATAATAATAATAATAATAATAATAATAAAAAGAAAGTGCTTCCGCCAAATGCAATGGCTCATGCCTGTAACCTCAGTACTTTGGGAGGCTGAAGTGGAAGGTTCACCTGAAGCCAGAGAGATAAGCCTGGACAACACAGTGAAACCTTGTGTCTACAAAAAGAAAAAAGAAAAATAGCCAGGTGTGGTGGCATGTGCCTATAGTCCCAATCACTTGGGAGGCTGAGGTGGGAGGATCGCTGGTGCCCAAGAATTTGAGGCTGCAGTGAGCTATGATTGAGCCACGGCACTCCAGCCTGTGCAATGCATATTTTTAGAGACTCCATCTCTAAAAAATAAAAGCTTAAAAAATATTGTTTCGTGGGGGGCAGCCCCCGCCTGGCCAGCCGCCCTGTCCGGGAGGTGGGGGGCAGCCCCCGCCCGGCCAGCCACCCCGTCCGGGAGGTGCAGGGCAGCCCCCGCCCGGCCGCCACCCCGTCTGGGAGGTTGGGGGGCGCCTCTGCCCGGCCGCCCCGTCTGGGAAGTGAGGAGCCCCTCTGTCCGGCCACCACCCCGTCTGGGAGGTGTATCCAACAGCTCATTGAGAACGGGCCATGATGACGATGGCGGTTTTGTCGAATAGAAAAGGGGGAAATGTGGGGAAAAGAAAGAGAGATCAGATTGTTACTGTGTCTGTGTAGAAAGAAGTAGACATAGGAGACTCCATTGTGTTGTGTACTAAGAAAAATTCTTCTGCCTTGGGATGCTGTTAATCTATAACCTTACCCCCAACCCCGTGCTCTCTGAAACATGTGCTGTGTCCACTCAGGGTTAAATGGATTAAGGGCAGTGCAAGATGTGCTCTGTTAAACAGATGCTTGAAGGCAGCATACTCCTTAAGAGTCATCACCACTCCCTAATCTCAAATACCCAGGGACACAAACACTGTGGAAGGCGGCAGGGCCCTCTGCCTAGAAAAACCAGAGACCTTTGTTCACATGTTCATCTGCTGACCTTCCCTCCACTATTGTCCTATGACCCTGCCAAATCCCCCTCTCCGAGAAACACCCAAGAATGATCAATAAATACTAAAAAAAAAATATATATATATATATTGTTTCCAAAAGTTTAACATAAAGTTACCATATGACCCAGCATTTTCACTCCTAGATAGATATTCAAGAGAACTAAAAACATACGTTCATACAAAAACCTATATACAAGCTGTGGTGGCTCAAGCCTGTAATCCCAGCACTTTGGCAGGCCGAGGCGGGTGGATCACGAGGTCAGGAGATTGAGACCATCCTGGCTAACACGGTGAAACCCGATCTCTACTAAAAAATACAAAAAATTAGCCGAGTGTGGTGGCAGGTGCCTGTAGTCCCAGTTACTCAGGAGGCTGAGGCAGGAGAATGGTGTGAACCCGGGAGGCAGAGCTTGCACTTGCAGTGAGCCACTGCACTCCAGCCTGGGCGACAGAGCAAGACTCCATCTCAAAAAGAAAAAAAAAAAAAAAAAAAAGCAAAAATCTATATACAAATGTTTGCAGCTGGATTCCTAAGCCCAAATGTGGAAACAACTTAAATGTCTATCAATTGATAAATGAATAAACAAAATGTCATATATCCATATAATGAAATAGTATTTACTCATCCATGAATAGGAATGAAGTTTCTGATGCATATTTGAAAATGGATGAACTTTGAAGCATTATGCAAAGTGAAAGAAACAAGACATAAAAGGCCACATATTGTATGATTCCATTTTATATGAAATGTATAAAATAAGCAAATCCACAGATACAGAAAATAAATTAGTAATTGCAGAGGAGCAGGGAGAGGGGGATGGAGAGTGACTTGGATAGGTACAAGGTTCATTTTGGGGTGCTGAAAATGTTCTTGAATTGAATGGTAGTGATCAATGGATAACTGAATATACTAAAAAACTACTGAATTGTACATTATAAAATGGTGAACTTTATGTATGTGAATTATACCTCAACAAATCTGTCATAAAAAAATGAAAGGAACACTAACTAGCCAGTTTCCTGAAAGTGAAGTTCTATAGCCTCTTTTTATAGTTTGTGGTTTCTTTTAATAGCCCCCTTAGTTCTTAGAGATGCCTTTGCTGTCCTATGCACAAAGGAAGATAAGCAGCTGCTGAGAAGCCTAAACGAGCATTTTTATCTGTGCCTATCGTGGCTCATTTCACATCTGGGGTTGGGTTAAACAAATGGCTTGAGGCCGGGCGCGGTGGCTCACGCCTGTAATCCCAGCACTTTGGGAGGCCGAGGCGGGTGGATCATGAGGTCAGGAGATCGAGACCATCCTGGCTAACAAGGTGAAACCCCGTCTCTACTAAAAATACAAAAAATTAGCCGGGCGCGGTGGCGGGCGCCTGTAGTCCCAGCTACTCGGGAGGCTGAGGCAGGAGAATGGCGTGAACCCGGGAGGCGGAGCTTGCAGTGAGCCGAGATTGCGCCACTGCAGTCCGCAGTCCGGCCTGGGCGACAGAGCGAGACTCCGTCTCAAAAAAAAAAAAACAAAAAAGCAAAAAAAACAAAAAAAACAAATGGCTTGAATATAATATGGGTAAAAGGTATAACCAGATGTTCTTATTAAGTTTCCTTCCATTCAGCATAAAAGTGTGCCATAAGAAGAAAAACTCAAGCAAACAGCACTTAACTTAATCTGGGAATCCTCATTAGGGCACTCATTATTACCAATTTAGAGTTTTTAAGTATACAAATGTCAGAGTTCTCAACTAATGAGATACAAATACAGTATTACAGTGTTTAATTAAATGTTTTGCAAATTTATGTTAGGTTATGTAATTTACCATTCATTAAATGTTTCCTGTATTATTTAGCATATTTATAATATCTCACATTTCTCATTATAATGATATAAAATTTGGCTAATCAGAAACCAATTAGGCCTCTAAAATGCTAAGATATTTGTTCTTTAAAACGTACTGTAGTCATAGTCCAGTAATTCCGATTTATACAAATACTTTATGTAATCTGAGTTATTCATTTTTAAATATTTCATCGATTTGAGAATTCAAAACTGTAATATTTGGGGAAACCAATATCTAATATAGTAGATATACTCACATGGAACATAAAATTTCTAAAGAGTGTTTTCATCTATGTTCAACATTTTATCAAAACTTAAAAAAATTAATTCACAAAATGGGTTGAAGTCAAAGTACATATGAAACAAGAGGATTGGGTACTAGAATTAAATGTTACTACATTTCAGCATCTAAGATGTAGAAATCAGCATCTTATAAGGCTGTGAATTCACCACCAAAAACTCAATAACAACCTCAATTAATAAGAATGATAACATTTTGGGATTATTTAACATCCTAAAAAAACCTGAAGCAGAGATTGTTAAACTTTAGTGTGATAAGAAGCACTTAGATGATCTGTACAAAATGCAGATCCTGTGGTCACATCTTCAGAATTATGATTCAGCAGTTATTTGGGTAGGAGGGGGGATGACCAAGAAATATGCATTTTTAGAATACTTAAATAATAACTCTGGTACTGATCAGCAATACCAAGTTAGAAAATAAAGTGACCAGCAACAGCATTCCCTCCAACCCCATATCAAACCTTAGAAATTACAGAAAAAATATTTTTAGGCAGGGTGTGGTGGCTCACGCCTATAATCCTAGCACTATGGGAGGCCGAGGCAGGTGGATCACTTGAGGTCAGGGGTTCAAGACCAGCCTGGCCAACATGGTGAGACCCTGTATCTACCAAAAACACAAAAATTAGCCGGGTGTGGTGCATGCGCCTGTAATCCCAGCCACTCAGGAGGCTGAGGCAGGAGAATCGCTTGAACCTGGGAGGTGGAGGTTGCAGTGAGCTGAGATTACACCACTGACCTCCAGCCTGGGGGACAGAGCAAGACTCCTTCATACATATATATATATATATATATATTAATAATAAGGTAATAGCAATGTCTAGGGCAGCAGCAGGGCAGAGAGCACTGACGAAAAAGGGCAGGAGGAAAGTTGTTTCTGAGATAAGAAAACTATTCTATATCTTGATTGTGGTGATGATTATATAGATTTAACTACTGAGAGGCAAATCCAACATCCATCTCCAACATTCACTCCTTCACTGGATGCCACCACAGATACTTAATCTGTGATTGCCTAGCCTCTTTTACAACAAGTGGTGACATAGTTATGATCACTCAAAGGCAGGTGGCTATTGCAGGATTCTGGAACAGTATCTGCTTTCCTGATAAAGGAAATTAACATCACTGATGGTGCCCTTTCTCCCCTTCTTATTGCCTTGAAGTCTGAAATGATGCCCAGGGAAGTGACATTTATAAAGGAATCATGAGGGAAAGAGCAAAAAAAGTCACATAGACATCATTCAGCCAAGACCAGCAGCAAACATTTTATAACGTGATAAAAAATAAACACTGATTTTAAAAAACCATTGTTAAATGTGGTTTTCTTTCTATGGCCAAAAGTATGCCTAATGATTCCAATAACAACGCCCTTTCTAACCCTACTGGAAAAGAAAGAAAACCCAAGAGCAATGCTCGGATAAAAAGTCTCAAGACGAAGAGAGTTATCATAAAGATAACTGCATATAGCAATAACTACCTTGCCAAAGTCCAAGCCATTTGATGAGGTTATGTTTAATGAAAACATATAGAAATATAAAAAAGGGAATTAAAATACAAGTTCTAGAAACATTCCCAGCCATGTACTTCAACATTTTTTATCCTTCAGAACTGATAAAAACACGTGCACTTTCGGGCTGGACACAGTGACCCATGCCTGCAATCTCAGAGCTTTGGGAGGCCAAAGTGGGAGGATCTCTTGAGGCCATGGATTCAAGACCAGCCTGGGCAACATAGCAACAGCCTCTCTAAAAAATTTTTATAAAAATTAGCTGGGCATGGTGGTATGCAACTGTATGTAGTCCCAGCTACTTGGGAGGCTGAGGTGGAGGATCTCTTGAGCCCAGGAGTTCAAGGCTGCAGTGAGCAATGATTGCACTACTACACTCTAGCCTACGTGACAGAGCAAGACCCTGTCTCAAAAAAAAAAAAAAAAAAAAAAGGCCAAGTGAGATAAAAGCCCAACATCCTAGCTGTCCCACCTTATGCAAAGGGTAGCTTCCCCTGCCATGCACAGGGGATAACATTACTGAAGGGCAATTGTCACTGGAGCAACTGGCATGTGCACATTAAAAACGCTAGTCCATGCTTTTCATGGAGGAAAAATACACTGGAATGGGATATAAAATGGTGGGACCCTTTAGTCCGATTCAATGTACTATCATTTTGACTTATGTTGGTGAATATATAACTGGTATTAATGGCTTACATGACTGTACTTAAATGCTTGTGCCAGAGGATATCATCGAACATGTACACCAAGGTGATAGTGGGACAACTGCACAACAGACCACCTACTAGACTTCCAGTTCCTTCCCATATTATATGCCAGAAACAACGTAGGATTCCAAGAGTAAAATGTTTAGGTAAAGACTTAATGGCTGCTGAAGTACTCAGAGGTGTTATCTCAGTACAACATCGCCACCTGCCTGATGCAGCCACCAAGTACACTCCCTTTTTTAGAAGGCTGCTATTAACCAGCTACAAAGTTCTAATTGTAATTGAACAACTGACCCATGGAGGCCTTGTGACTTTCTAGACCTACTTGGGGATGGGTCAACTAAAATTTGAAAATGAACAAGGTGGGAAGAGCCCAACCAACAGGGACCGCTATTCAAATGGAAATGGTATATTCCAGAGTACAGCCAGTCTGGTTGAGCAGAACCTTGGGTATTACAGCCACTTTATCTTTTATTCCACTGTCAGAAGCATGCCACTGGCTCAAGAGGCACTGGATTCACAGAGCTTCCTTTAAATACCTGGGCCTGATTGACTGATGGCTCAGCTAAGATGAAACCTGATGATGCCCACTGGGCCTTGATAGCTGTATAACCCCAACAACTCTGGAAGGCTGATTGAAATAAGGAGCAACCAGCATGATAGAATAATGCAAAGCCATCACCCCAGCTTTAATTCAGGGTTAGGTAAAAACTATGTCGGTGGGCCAACTGTGCCCATTCATTTATGTACTGCCTATGGAAGCTTTTGTATGACAGCAGGAGAACTGAGTATAGAGACAATATGGAATGCAGAGTCAAAGATACTTATTATCTGGTCCTTTAAAGAAAAAGTTCGCCGCCTCCTAATTCTGAAAACCCTCTAGAAGTTTCATTTTTACTGACTTTTCCTCAGTTGGCAATGGCCTGGCCAGTGGTCTCATCTGCCACAAGGAAGACTAAACACTCGCAGACTACAGATGCACCTCTTTGGGGCCATGAGTTCTGCAAACAAATCATAGTTGCTAATTGAACAATCTGGATCACTCACAGCCAAGGTAAGGTTCTATTCACTGATGGAAATGACTGGAATCAAGCTGCTTATCAAGCCTACAGTACCCTGCACTGCACTGTGATTGCCATCCAAATCCATCCATAATAAATGTTTTGCCTCTGACTTAAGTATCATCTATTATCCACTGTTTCATATCCATTCAAACTAGGCATGATGTCATAATTGAAAATAATATGTATTCTGCAGTTGTTGGGTTTGGTTATCTAATAGGCCAATGTAGCTAGTAGTGTTACTCTAATAATTTATGTCTTTTTTCTCTATTCTATCAACATCAAGAAAGTGGTATTAAAATCAACAATGCTGATTGTAGAATTATTCATCCTATTAATTCTGATTTTATTTAATGTATTTTAAAACTCAGTTTTAGATGCATACATTTATTTTATTTTTTATCATACAGCCCAAAATGTCAAGATGCATTTAAATTATGTGCATTTAAAACTGAGTCTACGTGCATACATTTAAATTTTCCTGATAATTTGACTTTTGAACAGTACAAAATATCTCTGGTAATAGGCTTTGTCTTAAATTCTATTTTAGTTGATACTAATATAGTTGAATTTCCAATATTCTTATGTTTCTTATTTGGATGATGTATCTTTTAATATACATTTACTATCATATTAATGTCTCTATATTCAACACTACCTTATAGGCAATTTCTTCCTTTATATTGGAGTACATTAATATTTAATTTCTATATGGTTGAATTTTGATATACCATTTAATATCTGTTTTCTGTTTATCCCTCTTTTTCTTGTGCTTCTGCCTTTCCTTTCCTGTCTTTTGTATTAACTGAACATTTTTTAGTATGCCATTTTCATTGAAGCATTGATTTTTTATGTATAGCAATGTTGAACCTTGCAATAGTACAGCTCCATATACCTGCCTCCACCCTAGCACCCTCCATCTTTGTGCTATAGTTGTCATATGTATTACATGTACATATAATACAATACCAACAAAATAATTCAATCATTCCCATATATTAGACACAAATTTTTAAAAGGGAAAAATCATCCTTTCTATTCAACAAGAAATGACCATATTCTTCACTATTTCCTAAAGCTGCAAGTTTGCTTCTGGTATTATGTGCCATTAGCATAATTTACAGTGTGGATGTCTCGCCTTTACTGCTCCTTCATCCTTGAGAGATATTGTTGTTTGATGGAAAACTTCAGGTGGCCAATATTTTATTCTTTGAGTCCTTCAGACATGTTATTCCACTGTCTTCTGACTTCCATGGTTTCCAGTGAGAAGTCAATAGTGTGTTAAAATGTACTTTCTGTGTGTGCAATGCATTACTTTTGTCTGCCTACTTTCAAGATTTCCTCCTTACTTTGGTTTTCAGAAAAATGACTATGATGTCCTTTGACATGGTTTTTGTTGTACTTAATCTTATGTGTTGTTTGCTTATCTTTTTGAAGTTGTAAATGTATGTCTTTCAACAAAAGTGGAAAGTTTCCCACTTTTAGATTTTTTTTCCTCCCTTACTCTCCTCACCTTCTGCAATAACTACATGTATGTTGGCTCTGATATTGTCCCACAAGTTGCTAAGGCTCTACTTATTTTCTATTTTTTCACTCATTTGGTTTGGAAATTTCTAGTGATCTATCTGCAAATTCATTTACTCACTCAAATTCTGCTATTAACACATCCATTTCATTTTTATTTTTGATATTGTATTTTTAAGTTGTAGACTTTTCACTAGGTAATTTCCTATATTTTCTCTTTCTCTGCTGACATTTCCTACCCTTTTATTTAAAAGAAGCATATTTTCCTTCATATCACTGAGCATAGTAATAATAGATGCTTTAAAATAATTTCTACTAGAAGATGGAGACTTCCAGTTCCAAAACGGTGGTATAGAAGCTAGCTGGCTTCACTACCCCTGCAGAAAACCAAAAACAAATATATAGTACCGAGATTTTAACCAGAAACACTCAGAACTCAAATATGAGGATGAGACAATTCCTGAGGCCACAGAGAAGTGAAAAAGAAAACCTCAGAGTGAATGGTAAGAGATTCAGACTTCCAGATCTGTAATGCCCCTCCCCCGATTCTGCCTGGCATCAAGAGCACAGAAAATCTCCCCCCCCAACTCATGGTGACTATACTGGAAAAAGTGAGACTGAGGTGGTAAACCAGCTTTCCCACCATCTTGGGTGCTCTGGCAGGAAAACTATCCTTGCCTTAACTGGCAGGAAGTATCGTGGCTGCCTGATGGGAGAAACAACCCTGAGGACAGGCCAAGACAAAGTGGGGAGGCTAGACTACCATCCCTAGCCCTGGAAACTTTGTTCCATTACTTGGCCAAAGGAGACACCAAATTAGAGTGGCTGTTCAGCAGCACCATGTAGTAGGCAATACATTACAAAGGTCCCTGGGCACAAACCCCTAGCCAGACTTGACACACTGTGGGGATAACCACTTTGGGATGCTCCCAAATCAGGATAGGCAGTACTACAATCATTTAGCAGAGCCAAGGTGAACCTGGGCTTTAGGTACCACCTATATCCAAAAAAAAAAGGCAACAACTTAGCTGTAAAGATTCACTAACAGGCCAGACACGCTGCCTCATGCTTGTAATTCCAGTGCCTTGAAAGGCCAAGGCAGGTGAGAGGATCACTTCAGGCCAGGAGTTTGTGACAGGCAGGGCAACACAATGAGAGTCTGTCTCTAACAACAACAACAAAAAAAATTCTTTTTAAAGTTAGCCAGGTATGGTGTCACGTGCCTGTAGTCCTAGCTACTCAGGAGGCTGAGGTTAGAGGATTGCTCCAGCCCAAGAGTTCAAGATTACAGTGAGCAATGACTGCACCACTGTACTCCAGCCTGGGCAACAAAATGAGCCCTGACTCTAAAAGGATTAAAAAAAATGCACTAAGCAAAATATACCCAATAAAATCAAAACAAGGTAGACAGATAAAACTGAAATAAAGTATCAATGCAAAGATACAGATATACACACGAAAAAAACAACAGCAAGTAGGGAATTATGACCTCTCCAATGGACAAAGCAAAACTCCAGTGACAGACCCTAATGAAAGAGTGATCTGTGAGCCCTCTGACCAAGAATTCAAAATAGCAGTTTTAAGAAAACTCAGTGATCTCCAAAACAACAACAACAACAACAACAACAACAAACACACAGAAAAGCAATTCAGAAATTTATCAGAGAAATTTAACAAAGAGATTGGGAAAAAATATAGAAATCTTGGAACTGAGAAACATATTTGCTGAACTGAAGAAGTCATCAGAGACTCTCAACAGTGGAATGGACCAAGTGAAGGAAAGAATCAGTGACCTAAAATACTGGCTATTTGAAAATACAATTGGGGGTGTGGGGGGTGGTGGGAGAAGGACAAAGAACAAAAAGGAATGAATACCACCAACAGGATGCAGACAATTACCTCAAAAGACCAAATCTAAGAATTATTGGTATTCAAGAGGGAGATAAGACTAAAGGGTAGAAAATGCAGCCAAAGAAATAATAATGGAAAACTTTCTAAAACTTAAGAAAGATATAAATATCCAGTTATAGGAAGGACTGAGAACAACACTCAACCCAAATAAAAGTACTCTAACACGTATAATAATGAAACTCTCAAAGGTCAAGGACAAAGAGAAGATCCTAAAAACAGCACGAGAAAAGAAGCAAACACTGTATCTCCAATTTGTCTGGCAACAGACTTCCCAGTGTAAATCATATAAGCCAGGAGGGAGTATAACAACATTTTCAAAGTGCTCAAGGAGAAAACATTGCCATCCAAGAATATTGCATTCAGCAAAATTATACTTGAAATATGAAGGGGAAATAAAGTATTTCTGAGACAAACAAAAACAAATAATTTGCCACCACCTGACCCACCTAACAAGAAATGCTAACGAGAATAATTCAATCTGAACCAAGAAAACTCTGATGTGCTAAAAGAAAGCTTTTCAAGGTATAAAACCCACTGGTAAAAAGTACATGGTGAAACACAAAATACTCTATAACTGAAATGGTGGTGTACAATCCACTCATAACTCTAGTATGAAACCCAAAAGATAAATCTATCAAAAATAATAATCGCTATTAGCAACCTGTTAAAACATAGGTAATACAAAAAATATAAACTGATATAACCAAAAGTCAAGATGCTGGGGGTGCCAGGCATGGTAACTCACATCTGTAATCCCAGCACTTTTAGAGGGCAGATCATTTGAGGTCAGGAGATCAAGACCAGCCTAGCCAATGCAGTGAAACCCTGTCTCTACTAAAAACACAAAAAAATTAGCTGGACATGGTGGCACATGTCTGTAATCCCAGCTACTCAGGAGGCTGAGGCAGAAGAATCACTTGAACCCAGGAGACGGAGGTTGCAATGAGCCAAGAACGTGCCACTGGGTAACAGAGTAAGACTTTGTCTCAAAAAAAAAAAAAAAAAAAAGTTGGGTGATAGAGTAAAAGTATAAATTTTTTTTACATGTTCTTTATGCCTGCCTTTGTTTCTACTCTTCTATTTGTGATCTAAGATAAGTTGTAGTCTCTTTAAAATAACTTGTTATATCTATTATAAGATGTCTCTATAAGCCTCCTGGTAACCACAACACAAAAACTTGTAACACAAAATCCTGTAACAGACTCACTAAAAAGAAATGCAACAAATTAACAGCATAATACCAGAGAAAATAACTTACCCACAAAGGAAGGCACTAAGAAAGAAACAACCAGAAAACTAGCAAAAGAATGGCAGTAGTATCTTCTTACTTATCAATAATAAGGCTGAATGTAAATGGTCTCGATTATCCAACTAAAAGGCACGGAGTGGCTGAATGGATAAAGAAACAAGACCAAGTTACATGCTGCCTTCAAGAAATCCACTTCACCTATAAAGACACACATAGACTGAAAGTGAAGGGGTGAGAAAAGATACTCCACGTATCTGGAAACCAAAACAGAGCAGGAATAGCTATACTTACATGAAAAAATAGACAACCAATCTAAGATTATAAAGAGAGACAGAGAAGGACACTATACAATGATAAAGGGGTCAATTAAGTAAACATATGTAACAATTATAAATATTCAACCAACACTGGACATCTCAAGTCTATAAAGAAAATATTAATAGATCTAAAACAGAGATAGACTGCAATACAATAAAAGAAGGAGACCCCACTCCAGTAATGGACAAATCATTCAGACATAAAATCAACAATGAAACAGCAGAGTTAAACTACACACCAGATCCAACAAGCCTAACTACGTTTAGAGAACATTTTATCCAACTGCTGCAGCATACATTTTCTTTACTAGCACATGGGACATTCTCCAGAAGAGACCATATCTTAGGTCATAAAACAAATCTGAACAAAACTTTTAAAATAAAAATCATATCAAATATCTTTTCTGGCCACAATGGACTAAAACTAGAACTTAATAAGAAGAACTGGGGAAAATATATAAACACATAGAAATTAAAAAACATGCTCCTGAGTGACCAATAGGTCAATGAAGAAATTAATTAAGAAAGAAATTTTAAAATGTCTTGAAACAAGTGAAAATGGAAAAATGGAAATGCAATATATAGGCCGGGCGTGGTGGCTCATGCCTGTAATCCCAGCACTTTGGTAAGCCGAGGGGGCAGATCACTTGAGGTCAGAAGTTCAAGACCAGCCTGGCCAACATGGTGAAACTCCATCTCTACTAAAAATACAAAAATTAGCCAGGTGTGGTGGCGGGCGCCTATAATCCCAGTTACTCTGGAGGCTGAGGCAGGAGAATCACTTGAACTCAGGAGGCAGAGGTTGCAGTGAGCCAAGATTGCGCCACTGCACTCCAGCCTGGAGTGAGACTCCATCTCAAAAAAAAAAAAAAAAAAAATTCAATATACCAAAACCTATGGGATATAGCAAAAGCAGTACTAACAGGCAAGTTTGTAGCAATAAATGCCTATATCAGAAAAATGAAAGGCTTCAAATGAACAACCTAATGATATACCTCAAGGAACTAGAAGCAAGAACAAACCAAAGTCAAAAATAGTAAAGACAGAAATAATAAAGATCAGAGCAGGAACTAATGAAATCGAAGCTAAAAAGAAATACAGATCAATAGAACAAAACATTGGTTTTCAAAAATGTAAACAAAATCAACAAGTCTTGAGCTAGACTAAGAAAAAAGAGAGAAGACCTAAATAAATAAAATCAGAAACAAAGAAAGGACACATAACAACTGAGACCTCAGAAACACAAAAAATCATTAGAGACTACTATGAACAATTATATACCAACAAACTGGAAAACCTAGAAGAAATGGATAAATTTCTGGAAACATACAACCTCCAAGATTGAATCATGAAGAAACAGAAAACCTCAACAAACCAATAACAAGTAACAAAACTGAAGCTGTAATAAAAAGCCTCCATAAAAAGCAAGAAAATCCCAGGACTTCACAACTTCACTGCTGAATTCTACCAAACATTTAAAGAAGAATTAATACCAATTGTACTCAAACTCTTCAAAAAAATTGAAGAGGAGGACATACTTCCAAACTCATTCTATAAGGCCAGCATTACCTTGACAGTAAAATCAGATAAGGACACGACAACAAGAAAAGAAAACTACAGGCCAATATCCGTGATGAACATATATGTGAAAATCCTCAACAAAATACTAGCAAACAGAATTCAACAACACACTAAAAAGATCATTTATAATATCAAATGGGATTCATTCCAGGGATGCAAGGATGGTTCAACATAAGCAACTCAATAAACATGATATATCATATTAACAGAATCAAAAACAAAAACCACATATTTCAATAGATACTGAAAAAGTATTTTATAAAATTCAACATCCTTTATGATATAAAAAAACCCCTAATCAAAATGGGTATAGAAACAACATACTTCAAAATAATAAAGACCATATATGACAAATCCACAGCTACCATCATACGGAACAGGGAAAAAATGAAGGCCTTTCCTCTAAAGACTGGAACAAGACGAGTATGTCCACTCTCACTACGGTTACTCAACATAATACTGCCAGTCCTGGCCAGAGCAATTAGGCAAGAGAAAGAAATAAAGAGCAACCAAATTGGAAAGGAAGAATTCAAATCAGCCTTGTTTGCAGACAACATGATCTTATATCCAGAAAAGGCTACAGAACTCACCAAAAAATTGTTACAGCTGATCAGCAAATTCAGTAAAGTTGCAAGTTATAAAATGAACATACAAAAACCAGTAGCATTTGGCCGGGTGTGGTGGCTCACGCCTGTAATCCCAGCACTTTGGGAGGCCGAGGCGGGTGGATCATGAGGTCAGGAGATCGAGACCATCCTGGCTAACACAGTGAAAGCCTGTCTCTACTAAAAATACAAAAAATTAGCTGGGCATGGTGGCAGGCGCCTGTGGTCCCAGCTACTCGGGAGGCTGAGGCAGGAGAATGGCATGAACCTGGGAGGCGGAGCTTGCAGTGAGCTGAGATTGCGCCACTGCACTCCAGCCTGGGCGACAGAGCAAAACTCCATCTCAAAAAAAAAAAAAAAAAATCGATAGCATTTATATACATCAACAGGGAACAATCTGAAAAAGAAATCAAGAAAGCAATCCCATTTGTAATAGCTACAAAAATATAAAATTCCTAGGTCTCAATCTAACTAAAGAAGTGAAAGATCTATAAAAAGAAAACTATGAAATATGAAAGAAATTGAAGAAGACACAAAAAAATGGAAAGATATTCCATGCTTATGGATCAAAGAATACTGTTAAAACGACAATACTATCCAAAGTAGTTTACAGATTCAATGCAATCCCTATCAAAATTCCAACAACATTCTTACAGAAATAGGAAAAAAAAAATCTTAACATTTATATGGAGCCACAAAAGACCACAAATAGCCAAAGCAATCCTGAGCCAAAGGAACTGAAGGCATCACACTTTCTGACTTCAAAATTTACTACAGGTATATAATAACCAAAACAGCATGGTGCCGGCATAAAAATAGATACACAGACCAACGGAACGTACTAGAGAAACCAAACATACATCCATGCATTTACAGTCAATTCGTCTTTGACAAAGACGCCAAGAACATAAGAAGGTAAAAGAACAGTCTTTTCAATAAGTGGTGGTGGGATAACTGGATAGCTATGCAGAAGAATGAAACTAGACCTCTATCTCTCACCATAACAAAAATCAAATCAAAATCGATTAAAGACGTAAATCTAAGACCTCAAACTATGAAACCACTAAAAGAAAACTTTGGAGAAACAGTCCAGGACATTGGTCTGGGCAAAGCCTTTTTGTGTAAGACCTCAAAACCTAGACAACCAAAGCAAAATAGACAAATGGGATTACCTGAAGCTAAGAAGCTTCTACACAGCAAAAGAAATAATCAACAAAGTGAAGAAACAACCCACAGAATGGAAGAAAATATTTGCAAACTATCCATCTGACAAAGAATTTATAACTATAATATATAAAGAGCTCAAGTAACTCAATAGCAAAAACCCCCAAATAATCCAATTTTAAAATGGGCAAAATCCAACCCCATTAGAAACAAAAGAAAAAATAAGAAAATTTAAAAATGGGCAAAAGACCTGAACACACATTTCTCAAAAGAAGACATGCAAATGGCCAATAGGTATATGAAAAAAAATGCTCAACATCACTAGTCATCAGAGAAACACAAATCAAAACCACAACAAGATATCATCTCACCCTAGTAAAAATGGCTTGTATCAAAAGGACAATCAATAAAAGATGCTGGTGAGAATGTGGAGAAGAGACCCTTGCACACTGCTGGTGGAAATGTAAATTAGTGCAGCCACTATGGAGCACAGTATGGAGGTTCCTCAGAAAACTAAAAACAGAATTACCATATGATCCAGCAATTCTGCTACCAGGTATATAGCCAAAAGAAAGAAAATCAATGCATCTAGGGGATATCTGTACTTCCATGTTTATTGCAGCACTGTTCACAATAGCCAAAATATGGAATCACTCTAAGAGTTCATCAACAGATGAATAAATAAAGCATATATGGTATATATAGCAATGAAATATTCAGCTTTAAAAAAAAGAATGAAATCCTGTCATTTGCAGCAACATAGCTGAAACTGGAGGCCATTATGTTAAGAGAAACAAACCAGGCACAGTGAAATGTTGCATGATCTCACTCCTAGGTGGGAACTACAAAAGTGGATCTTTGATCCTTTTGTAGTTCATAAGCATGATGAGTGGGTTTTCACACTGCTGTGTGAGATGTGCCTTCCTCAAGCCTCGTTACAATGTCAGCACATTATCCATCTGATGTGAAAAAAAAAAAGCAGTGGGCCTCATGAAGATAGAGAGTAGAATGGCAGTTATCAGAGGCCAGGAAGTGTGGGGCAGGGTGAATGAAGGGGAAGAAAAGGAATAGAAATGTATTTATTACCACTGAACTGTACACTTAAAAATGGTAAAGATAGTAAATTTTATATGTATATTTTTTTAAGTATAAAAAAGGAGAAATTTGATATGGTATAGAAACTTTCTATACTATCTTTGCAACTTTTCTGTAACTCTAAAATGATTCCAAAATTGAAAATTTATTTTAAAAATAAAATAATTTTTATAATTTACTACATCTGGGTAATCTCGAGGTTCATTCTGCTAATGTGACTATTGTGATCCTATAGATTGAAGCAGCAGCTCCTGCATGACAGTTTCCACCTGGACATTCCTTCTGGCCAGCCCTACTGATTTCAGACTAGCCTAGCCAGCCGCCAGAATCATGTATGCTGATAAACCTCTGTAATGCCCTACTGATTCTGTTTCTCTGGTAGAACCTTAACGGATACAGAGGTTTAATCCAGTTCCTATCATTCCATCATAGCTAAATGACAAAATTTATGATATAAGTTTTTCAAAATTTCTCCCTGACCTCAAATGTCTCCCTTACTGCCATTCAGAGTGCTTCTTATTTTACCATTCAATAATACTTCCTTTGGATCTTCTGGTATTTGAATATCCTACCAAGGAGAAAAAGATGTTACTATGAGGAGTTTCATGGTTGGGAAAATGTGCTCTGAAGGCCAGGAGTATAGCTTGACAACATTCTGCTGAAGACATCAGGCATGTGTTTCATGGATCCACTCAATCAGCAGAAGCCAGGAATAGAGAGACAAATGCAAGAAAGATCTGTGGAGTGTCCTCTTGTCTGATGGCATGGATCCCCATGACATACACAGGAGATACACAAGGTTTTTGAGAATGTAGTATCTGCAGAAACACCGCCATCTTGGACTGAAAGGCACAAAGGCATGATTAAAAAAAAAAAAAGAAAAAGAAGAAGAAGGCAGCTACTGGACTTGCAAAATTCCACAAGCAGGAAACAGGCTGATAGAGCTACCTAGGTGCAAACCTGTGCTACCCTTCAATAAAATGTATGAATGACTCCAAGGGCAGAGATGTGCACTTAAAGGCCTAAGCTGTGTGTACAAAGGCAGGAATGGGCAGAGCCACAGGCCCAGAAAATGAAGCCGCAGTCCAGGAGGGCAGTGCCTCAAGCCAGATGGGAAACTCTGGCCTTGAAACACAATGGAATTTGCCCTGCTAGATTTTAAACATGTTTGAAACCAGTGACTCTTTTATTCTTTTCCATTTCTTCCTTTTGAAATGTCTATCCTACGCATATCCTACTACTGTATTTTGGCAGGAGGTAACTTTTATTGTAGTTTCACAGGTCCACAGAAGCACAGGAATTTTGCCCTAGGATAAATTCCAGAGTCTCAACCATACCAGAGTCAGATGATTGAGATGATAAGATTGGACCTTTGAGCCGATAATATTTTTAAAAAAAATTTAGACTTAGAGTTGATGCTGTAATGAATGGGTTGTGACTTTTGGGGATGTTGGTAGGGAAAAGAGGTAATACTTAGCATATGGCATGAACATGAATTCTGGGAGGCAGAGGATAGAATACAGAGAAGTGAATTATAGCCCCCAAAAGACATGTCCACATCCCTCAAAGGATCAAAGAGTTACTCTTTGGCAAAATAAGTGATTAGGTTATAAATCCTAAGAGAAGGGGCTTATCCCTGGGTTATCCAGGTTGGTACTTAAAACAATCACATGTATCTTTACAAGAAATACAGAAGAGGAGCTGACTCAGAAATGAGGAGGATGTAATACAATCAGAGAGACAGAGACTGAGTGATGTGGCTATAACTCAAAGAATGCTAAAGGCCATCAAAGGCTAGAAAGGGCAAAGAACAAATTCTTCCTCAGAATTTCCAAAGGAAGTGCAGCCTTGCTTACATTTTGATTTTAGATTTTTGCCCTCCAAAACTGTAGGAGAATAATTTTTGATATTTTAGGCTCCCAAGTTCATGGCAATTTGTTGTAGTAACCACAGGAAAAAAACCATTGAGTAAATCTGGACATCATCCTGAACAACATGAATTTTATAATATGAACAATCTGCCCCAGGACTGAAATTGCTGGGTTCTATGGTAAGTACATATTAATATTTTAAGTAAATGCAAAATTATTTCCCAGAGAAGCTGTACCAACAGCAATGTATGAAATATGAGAAATTTAGTTCCTCTATTCACTGACTGTGGGGAGTTAGTTCTTTAAAGGTATTGTGGACATAAGACATACAACTTGTGTCTTTTCATTCTCTTAATGGTTTTGTTCAAAAAGCAGATGTGTTTCATTTTGATGAAATCCAGTTTATCAATTTTTCTTTAATGGGCTTTGGAATAGAAAATTTTGCAAAGCAAAAACAAAACCAAAAAAAAAATTTTTTTTTTGAGACAGGGGTTTGCTCTGTTTCCCAGGCTGGAGTGCAGTGGTGTGATCATGACTCACTGCAGTCTTGACCTCCCAGGCTCAAGCGATCCTTCCACCTCAGCTTCCCAAGGAGGTGGGACTACAGACATGCACCACCAGGCCTGGCTAACTTTTTTTTTGCTTTTGTAGAGACAGAGTCTTTCTATGTTCCCCAGTCTGGTCTTGAACTCCTGGGGTCAACCGATCCTCCCACCTTAGCCTCCCAAAGTACTGGAATTATAACTGTGTCCAACCTTGGTGTCACATTTTAAAAGTCTGTCCCTAACCCAAGTCACGAAGGTTTCTTTTGGTGCTCTAATAACTTCATAGTTGTAGGTTCTACATTTAAGTCTATGATCTAATTTGAGTTAATTTGTTAATTTGTGGAAAAGACTAATCTTTCTCCACTTTGTATCTTTGCACCTTTGTCAAAAATAAGTTGTCTCCACATGTGTGGGAATGGTCACAGGATCCCTACTGATTATTGTAGTTTTAGTAAGTCTTGATATAGGTAGTGACATTTCTCCAACTTTTTCTTTTTCAAAATTATTTTGCTCATAAGTGTTGTGCATTTTCATGTGAATTTTAGAATTATCTTGTTAATGTTTAACCAAAAGAAAACCCTGCTGGGATGTTGATGCAGATTACATCGAGTCTATGGATAAATCTGGGAAGAACTGACATTTTAATGATGGTAAGTATTCTAGCACAAGAAAATGGTTTAATTCTCCATTTATTTAGGTCTTTACTCTGAGCAATATTTTCTAGCTTTCAGAGTACAAGTCTTGCTTATTGAATGTCAGTAGTATACACTTCTGGATTTTTTAAATGATCAATTCATTGTTGTTAGTATATAGAAATGCAACTGATTTTTGTATATTGATCTAATATCCTGTAACCTTGTTAAAATCATTTATTAGTTTTTTAAAAATAAAATAAAATCCTTTAGTTTTTCAACATAGACAATCATGTCATTTTTGAATAAAAGATAGTTTTACTCTTGCCTTTCTGATCTGACGGTAGTTCTTTCTTTGTTCGCATGTCTCCTCTGCAGATCTCTGGGATTCTCTCTCTGCAGCTCCCATGTCTCTGGTCCAGTGTATTGAGAATCTATGATCTTGGCCTCCCAGGACTCTTAGCAATACCTCATCAATTCAGGGAGACTGCTAGGCTCCACTAGGGTTCCCCCTTCCTGCACCATGACTGGAAACTCTTTCAAAGCAATAAACTGGGGCAACCATAGGCATCCTCTCATTTGTTCTTCATCTATCAGGGATTGCCATCTTTCAATGACTAATGTACAGTAAATAGAAAACTACTGTTCATTGTTTAGTTGTTTCAGGTAGGAGGGTTAATCCAGCTCTTAACGCTATATTGGCCAAAAGTAGAGGTCCTAATATTGACTCTGTATTTGGCATTTACTGTGCCAGTGCTTTGCTAAGCATTTTACATATAGTATTTCTGTTATTTCCTCAATAAACTCTGAAATCGGTATTGGCCCCATTTTACAGAAGAGTAACTTGAAGATTAGAGAAGGTATTTAGCCTGTCCTTAGTTATATAATTACTAATCAGCATCCAAGTATATAGGGGAGCAGGGAAAACAGGAATGAGGAGTGACTGCTAATGGATAAGTGGTTTAAGGATTACAAAAATGTCCTGAAATTAGATACTAGTGATGATATGCAAACTGTAAAAACATAACAAAAACCACTGAATTGCACTTCTAAAAATGAATTTTATAGTATGTAAATTATATCTCAATAAAAATGACGTTTTTGCAGAAAAACTGAAGAATTACATGACTATAGATAGGGTCATGCACAGGGTTGCTAGATTCACAAAAATAAATACAGAAAGCCCAGTTAAACTTGAATATTAGTAAAACCATAACTAGGAAATATTTGGAACATGTTCACACTAAAAACAAATATTTGCATTTATCTAAAATGACCATCAAATAGTTATCAGTTAATAACACTGAATAACTAGATGATTTTCCCCTTGACAATTGAAGATACTAACTATATTATTTCACAGTATTATTCTAGAATGGTAAAATTAACACTTTTCTGATTTTGTTTCAAAAGCAAGTTTGCCATTTGCCAAAATTAGCATGCTAAGTACAAAAATGACTTGAGTCTGTTTGAGAAAGTATGTTAACAAAATATGTGTAAGGTTTATACTTACTGTTGAAAACAAGGACTATTTTTCTTACTGCATATGTGCTTTACGAGGAAAATTACTGTCAGATGCAAAGGATATCCCAAGTCATAGACCACAAAACAACTTAATTCAGTATAATTAGATACACATACTGAATTTTTTTCCTTGCCTGATTAAAGTACCGTCAGAGTTCTTGGAAGAATCCAGAAAAACATGCTTTTGTAGTACTCAAAGAGGGCCAAACAGATCATGTGACATATAGATTTCACGACTGGTGTTAAATTTTATATATCAGTTCAAAATAATTTTCTGTAGAACCTTATAAAATTAATTTTGTGGTCACTGAGGTCCTGGTATTTGGGGTTTAGAAATTCCCAGTCTCCCATACAGAGTGTGTTCTAGAGCATAATCATTTAAATAATTTCTATTTGACTTTCCTACCTGTTAAGTAGGAACATCACTGGCATTAGCAAACATTTGCACTACAATATGCAAGGCTCCATTCTATGCATGAGAGATGCCAAGAAGCTTAAGCAAAATTTCTATTTCCATATTGAACTTATAGATAAATTAAATGGCAAATAACTTTAATACAAAGAGGTATCAAAAATAGGTGTTAAGTGCTTAAAATATCCAAATTCTAAAAGGTCAGAGATGAGGTAGAGCATCTCAGTGACTAGAACAGATGGGATGGGATTTGAAAAAGAGGTAAGAAATAAAATGTGCCCAGCAGCACAGTGAAATATTAACTCTAGATAAAATGCTCATCAAATTTAAAACTTCCATACAAAAGAGACAAAAACAAATAATAATTAAACTTAAGGGTAAGCAAGTTAGTTGTGCCAGAAAGTAAGGACAAGCTCAGAAAGTGGTGAAGATATGTCAAAAGGACACAGACACCAAGTTATTGGGCTCCCACTGGCCAAATGTGGGACATTTTGTGCACTATAATAAGTAATTATTGAACAAATATAATCCATTGAATAAAATAGGAATCTATGAGACCAAAATGATAGGTAAATAAAGGAATGAATTGAAAGTTCAATGCAGAATGGCATATTTACATAGTTTTAAATTACTGCCCCAAAAACCTTGTAAATTTTTATAAGTACAAAAGAGTAACTGCACAGTGAGGAAGACCAGCAGACATCATCTCAGTCATGTGATTAAACTGATCATCATCAATAACAAATCAAAATCAAAATCAGTAACAACCTGATAGGATGCAATAAGAACCAGCACCTACTCTGTGACATTCCTGTCAAGGATGAGTAAGCTAAATCTAATCATAATGAAACATCAGATAAAAAATTGAGGCACTTTTGACAAAAATAAATTACTTGTAATATTTAAATGTGCCGAGAGCATAAAAGGCAAAGAAATAATAATGACCTGTTCCAGAATGAAGGAGATTAAAGAGATATAAAAATTCAGTCTCCAGCCGGGCACGGTGGCTCATGCCTGTAATCCTGGCACTGTGGGAGGCCAAGGAGGGCGGATCACAAGGTCAGGATATCCAGACCATCCTGGCCACCAACATGGTGAAACCCCATCTCTACTAAAATTACAAAAAAAAATTAGCTGGGCTTGGTGGCGTCTGCCTGTAATCCCAGAGGCTGAGGCAGGAGAATCGCTTGAACCAGGCAGTCGGGAGGTTGCAGTGAGCTGAGATAGCGCCACTGCACTGCAGCCTGGAGACAGAGCAAGACTCTGTCTCAAAAAAAAAAAAAAAAAAATTCAGTTTCCCTGAACTAGATCCTTTAGCTAGTTACTGGGACAATCAGTGAAACCAAAATGGACTTTCAAAATTAGATGGTGAAAATTTATTGATTTGACTTTTTTATGGTTACACAGAAGAATGTTCTCATTTGTAGAAAATACACATTCAAGCATTGAGGGTAATAGGGCATCATGTCATGTTGGCAATCTACTTTCAAATGGTCCAAGGAAAAAAATGTATCTGCCTTAGTGGAAGGCCTATGCATATAAAAATCAATGAGGTACAATTTATTTTTAAAAGAAATCCCAGTATTAGTGGAGACAAACAAGTAGACAACCAGTCAAAATACAAAATAATAAGTACTATAATGGGGCGTAAAATGAGTAACACAAGGAAGAGAAGAATTGATTCCACCTAGATAAGGAAGAGAAGAAATAAGGTAATTTTTAACATGAATATTGCATGAATGAAAAATATAAATCATGATCCAATGAATATACTTCTAAAATGAAATCTTAATAGAAAAATCAATTTCATTAAACTCAGTAGGAACTTTAAAAGTATGCATTGTATGTATTTTTGGTGAAGAATAAAACAGATATAATAATCCTTATTACCCTCAAGAAGGTAAAAATATTTTAAGTATTTAATCCAGAAGAAAGAAATTGGGCATTATATGTATGAGATGTTAAATATTCCCATATTTACTCATGAATGAGTTAAAATTTGCACATAAATAATAATTTGCCTGATGGGAACATTAGAAGAAAAGACACTGTGTTAATGACTAAAATTCCATTTTCTAGTTTTTCTCTAATCAAGGAACTACTAGTATGGGTAAAATGTTAAATGGTGATAGCTTAGAAAAGTCATTCAATGCTAAAGGCTAAGATTACCTAGATGATGGTGATGGATGCACAACAGTGTGAATTAATACCATTGAACTGTATGCTTTAAAATGGTAAAAATGGTGGAATTTTTTTTTTGCATTTCACCACAATTTTCTAAAATAAGATTCCCAAACTATTTTAAAATTCATATGAAACCAAAAAAGAGCCCAAATAACCAACGTAATCCTAAGCAAAAAGAACAAAGCTGGAGGCATCATGTTACCTGACTTCAAACTATACTACAGGACTGTGGTAAGCAAAACAGTATGGTACTAATACAAAAACAGACACACAAACCAATGGAACAGACTAGAGAGCCCCAGAAATAAGGACACATACCTACAACCATCTGATCTTCAACAAAGCTGACAAAAACAAGCAATGGGGAAAGGACTCCCTATTCAATAAATGGTTCTCGGGTAACTGGCTAGCCATGTGCAGAAGGTTGAAACTGAACCCCTTCCTTACATCATATAAAAAATCAACTCCAGTGGCTCACGCCTGTAATCCCAGCACTTTGGGAGACCGAGGCAGGTAGATTGCCTAAGGTCAGGAATTCGAGACCAGCCTGGCCAATATAGTGAAACCCCATCTATACTAAAAATACAAAAATTAGCTGGATGTGGTGGCAGGTGCCTCTAAGCCCAGCTACTCGGGAGGCTGAGGCAGGAGAATCGCCTGAACTCGGGAGGCAGAGGTTGCAGTGAGCAGAGATCACGCCATTGCACTCCAGCCTGGGTGACAAAAACGAGACTTCATCTCAAAAAAAAAAAAAAATCAACTCAAGATGAATTAAAGACTCAAATATAAAACTCAAAACTATAAAAACTCTGGAAGACAACCTAGGCAATACCATTCTGGACACAGGAACTGGCAAAGGTTTCATGACAAAGACACCAAAAGCAATCACAACAAAAGCAAAAATTGACAAATGGGCTCCAATCAAACTAAAGAGCTTCTGCACAGCAAAAGAAACAATCAACATAGTAAACAGACAATCTATAGAATGAGATAAAATATCTGCAAACTATGCATCTCACAAAAGTCTAGTATCCACCATCTATAAGAACTTTAAACAAACTTACAAGAAAAAAAAACAAAAAACCCCATTAAATAGTGGGCAAAGGACATGAACAGACACTTTTCAAAAGAATGTCATTAGAGAAATGCAAATCAAAACCAGGATAAACCATCTCACACCAGCCAGAATGGCTATTATTAAAAAGTCAAAAAATAACAGATGCTCCTTAGGTTGTGGAGAAAAGGGAACGCTTATACACTGTTAGAGTGTAAGTTAGTTCCATCACTGGGGAAAGCCGTGTGGCAATTCCTCAAAGAGCTAAAAACGGAATTGCCATTCAACCCAGCACAATCCCATTCCTGAGTAAATATACAACAGGATATCAAACATTCTACCATAAAGACACATGCATGCACATGTTCACTGCAGTGCAATTCCTAATAGCAAAGACATGGAATCAACCTAAACGCCTATCAATGGCAGACTAGATAAAGAAAACATGGTACATAGACACCATGGAATATTATGCAGTCATAAAAAAGAATGCGATCATGTCTTTGCAGGAACGTGGATGGAGCTGGAGGGCATTATCCTTAGCAAACTAATACAGGAATAGAAAACCAAATACTGCATGTTCTCACTTATAAGTAGAAGCTAAATGATGAGAACACATGGACACATAGAGGGAACAGACACTGGGGCCTCCTTGAGGGTGGAAGATGGAAGGAGGGAGAGGATCAGAAAAAAATAACTACTGAGTACTAGGCCTAGTACCTGAATGGCAAAATAATCTGTACAACAATCCCCCATGACATGAATATACCTACATAATAAACCTGCATATGTACCCCTGAACTTAAAATAAAAGTTTAGGCCAGGCACGGTGGCTCACACCTGTAATCCCAGCACTTTGGGAGGCCAAGATGGGTGGATCACCTGAGGTCAGGAGTTTGAGGCCAGCCTGACCAACATAGTGAAACCCCGTCTCTACTAAAAACACAAAAATTAGCTGGGCATGCTGTTGGGCGCCTGTAACCCCAGCTACTCGGGAGGCTGAGACAGGAGAATCACTCGAACCCAGGAGGCAGAGGTTGCAGTGAGCCAAGATCGAGACACTGCACTCCAGCCTGGGCAACAGAGCAAGACTCTGTCTCAAAAGAAAAAAAAAAAAGTTTAAAAATAATTTTTAAAAAATTTAAAAGATAAGACTTCCCAGTTTAGCCTGAGAATAAAATAACAGAGATAAAGAAAAATGTGCAAACCCATTTCCTGTCTTTAGTCTTTTCTAAACTGTAGCAACAAGAACACAAAAAGCAGGAAAAAATATACAGTAAGGGATAAAAATTCAAGATTTTTACATTTTAATTAAAGCTCATGAATTAATTCAAATAGAACTTGGACTATGAAAATGCCAAGACCCAGCCAAGTGCAGTGGCTCATGCCTGTAATCCCAACACTTTGGGAGGCTGAGGCGGGTGCATCACCTGAGGTCAGGAATTCAAGACCAGCCTGGCCAACATGGTGAAACCCTGTCTCTACTAAAAATACAAAAATTAGCTAGGTGTGGTGGCGGGTGCCTATAGTCCCAGCTACTCAGGGGTGCTGAGGCAGGAGAACTGTTTGAACCCGGGAGGACAGAGGCTGCAGTGAGCCGCGATTGTGCCATTGCACTCCAGCCTGAGCGATAGAGACTCCGTCTCCAAAGAAAAAAAAAAAAAAAAAAAAAAGAAAGAAAAGAAAATGCCAAGACCCTATCAATCAGTAAATTGGATTTTCCCCTAGATATTAATTAGAAATAAACATACATAGCTTTTAAGAACTATTGATCTTTAAATGTCAGAACTCAAATTAGTAAGGTTAAGTAAAATCATTTTTTTAATCCTCAGATCTCCAGTGCTAGGATAATAATTGAAAAAGATATAATACCACTGCACTGTTAAGAACAATTTCATCTACAATAAACATGTTTGGGGATCTTAAGAATGCACAACAAATTGACAAGCAAAGCAGCTCTGGGTGCAGAGGTTAATGGGTCAGGTAACTTTGATGTTTTTGTTCCATGTAGTTCAAGATTGTCTAAAATTTACCTCCAAAATGTTATTATGTATTACTTATATCATGAAAAACATGCAAGAAATAGGGCAAAACAATGAAGTCAAAATAAAAGATATTATTCAAAAAGCAAAGAGTATAGCTATCACTACTACAGTTGCATAATATTTTAGAATTCCTAGACAATATAATAAGAGAAAAATAAAAACAAAAAAGATAATAATTTTCAGAAAATGTATTCCACTTAGAAATTCCAAGAAAATTTACTGAAAAACTACTTAATCTTACAAGAGAATCTAGCAAAGCAGGCATACACAAATTCAATACAAAATTATCAATAGCTTTGCCATACCACAGCAATGACAAATTTTAAAATGTTAAAATTCCTAGTTGCAAAACTTCTACAACATAAAGATGTCAGTTCTAACTGTATTAAAATGTAATTTCAATGCAATTTAAATAAAAATCTCCACGGGATTCACTATGCAACGCAAGAAGGTCACTCTAAAACACAACAGCTGGGAAAGCTTTTGAAAACGAACAATAAATCAAGTCATAAAGCTAAAGTAAGTAAAAAAGTTGGTGAAGGGTGTTGTTTTTGCTTCCTATTAAGAGAAATTTCCAAACATACACAAAAATATAGAGAATGTTAACATGACCCACCTACATGGACATCATTCAACTTCAACAATTAACGCTCTGCAGATCTGTTGACTATATCTCATTGTTTGTTTTGCTAGAATATTTTAAAGCACATTAGAGATATCATCTCTGTTCACCTGTAAATAATTCAGAATATATGCCTAATAAATAATGACTTTTAAAAAATTAGTTACAAGGCAATATGCAGTGGCTTATGTCAACACTGTGGAAGACCCAGGTGGTAACCCAGGAGTTCAAGACTAGCCTGGGCAACACAGCGAGACTCTGTCTCTACAAAACAAATACACAATTACATACCCAGCAAATTAGTTATAGTTGATAAATGTCAAATAACACCTCATTCATGGTCAATTTTCTCCAACTGTCTCAAAAATGTCTCTTTATACTTTATTTAGATCAGGGTCCAAACAAAGTTTTCACAATGCATTTACTCAATGTGTATTTTAAGTCTCTTATAATCAACATAACCATCCCTCTATTGTCTTCTGTCACTTATTTGTCCTATTATCTAACCAACCCTCCCCTCCCCTACTGCTAGATCATTTCAAAGCAAATTCCAGACATCTGTAAATACTTTTGCATCACTAAAAAATAAGGACTTTAAATTCCTGAATACCTAATATTATCTATATAATATCTAATAATAATAAATAATATCTAGTAAGTCAAATGTAAAAATCTCACAACTTGTCTGAAAAATGTCTTTTTATATTTGGTTTGTGTGAAAGAGGATTTAAATAAGGTCCACGCTTTGTACTTAGATGATACTCTCCAAAGTCTCCTTGAATTTTAACAATTCACCTTTCCCCCACCACACATCAACTTTTATTTTCCAATTACAATTATTTGTTAAAGAAATCAAGTCATATTTGTAATGTAGAACTTCCCATATTTTAGAGTTGGCTAGTTGCATTTTCATGGTGTTGTTTAACTTATCCCTCTATTTCTGTATTTTCTCCAAAGTGAGACTATATCTAGAAGCTGATTTGTTAGTTTAGTGCAAAAGTAACTATAGTTAACAATAATTTATTGTATATTTCAAAATAATTAGAGGATTGGATTTAGAATGTTCCCAACACAAAGAAACAATGGATATCCCAATTAGTCTGACGAGATCATTACGCATTGTATGCCTGTATCAAAATATCACATGTACCCCACAAATAGGTACAACTATTATGTACCCATAAAAATTAAGAATAGGCCAGGGTGGTGACTCACACCTGCAATTCCAGCACGTTGGGAGGCTGAGGCAGGAGGATCACTTGAGCTCAGGAGGTTGAGACTGGCCTGGGCAACACAGTGAGACAACATAGTGTCATCTCTACAAAAAAAGAAAATAAACTGAAAAAATTGCCAGGTGTGGTGGCATGCACCTGTAGTCCCAGCTACTTGGGAGGCTGAGACAGGAGGATCACTTGAGCCCAGGAGGTCAAGGCTGTACTCAGCTATGATCCTGCCACTGCACTCCAGCCTGGACAACAGAGCAAGACCCTGTCCTCAAAATACTACTACTACTAATAATAATAATTGTATAAGAAACCTTAGAAATAATTTTTAAAATTTTACTTAAGCCAGTTTTATGTTAGAATATTTCCGTGAGGCTGGGCGCGGTGGCTCACGTCTATAATCCCAGCACTTTGGCAGGCCAAGGCAGGTGGATCATGAGGTCAGGAGTTCAAGACCAGCCTGGCCAACATGGTGAAACCCTTTCTCTGCTAAACATACAAAAATTAGCCAGGCGTGGTGGCACATGCCTGTAATCCCAGCTACTCAGGATGCTGAGGTAGGAGAATTGCTTGAACCCAGGAGGTGGAGGTTGCAGTGAGCCGAGATCATACCACTGCACTCCAGTCTGGGCAACAGAGCAAGACTTCATCTTGAGGGAAAAAAAAAAAAAGAATATTTCAATGAAAAAACTTTCCCTCATCAACTACTTGATTGTCTTATTAAATTGATAACAAGAAAAGTGGGGTAAACACTGTATATTTTTGGTTTATCAGTTTTCAGAGTGAGTTAGTAAATAAGCAACCTAGAGTAATGC
This sequence comes from Homo sapiens, assembly GCF_000001405.40. NCBI lineage: Eukaryota > Metazoa > Chordata > Mammalia > Primates > Hominidae > Homo > Homo sapiens. The sequence goes on along the minus strand of NC_000017.11, from coordinate 60,948,732 downwards.
CTAATACTTTTTCAAACATATTCTTATAAACTATTAGCGTTTAAGTTCTCTAAATTTAAGACATTTCAATCCATTATAGTCATTTATTTTGGTGGGAATTCAAGAGAAACATCACTTTAGACTGTTGGAAAATGATAGGCTAGTCAATAAATAGAGTAGGGTCAAATGGCTATCTTGTAGAATAACATATATACAGTGTTATATTGGCAAGTGCATATAAGGTATGAAACAAAAGGTGTTTGAGATTTTAAGCGATTAAGACAATACACAATATCTACCATGTGATATTAAGAATATTAAATATATGTGGGCCAGGCGCGGTGGCTCATGCCTATAATCCCAGCACTTTGGGAGGCTGAAGTGGGTGGATCACGAGGCCAGGAGTTTGAGACCAGCTTGGTCAAGAGATCAGCCTGGCCAATATGGTGAAACACCGTCTCTACTAAAAATGCAAAAATTAGCCAGGCATGGTGGTGGGTGCCTGTAATCTCAGCTGGTTGGGAGGCTGAGGCAGGAAAATTGCTCGAACCCGGGAGGCAGAGGTTGCAGTGAGCCAAAGATCGCAGCGCCACTGCACTCTAGCCTGGGCAACAGAGCGAGACTCCAACTCAAAAAAAATAATAAAAATAAATAAAAATTAAAAATTAAATAAGAATATTAAATATATGTGAAGCACTTAGCGTGGCACCTGATACAAGCGCTCAGTAAATCATGCATATGAACATATGTGTACCCATGCACGTGTACGTGATTATCTGCTGGTAAATGTTTAAAATCTAGCTCTCTGAGGAAAAAAATAGCCCTGATTTGTAGTGTTTGCAAATTTTCATGATCAAATAGTCCCAACATGGGTGATTTCACGCAATCAAAATAATATCACTAAATACCGTGCCAAGGAGGGATGTGCGCAACTGGTTCTCACTAGCCTCCACTGTATTCATATATCCATATTCATCATGAAACTATTTTTGTATATATGAATATGTCCATGTTTATATGTATATGTGTGTGTATGTATGCACATACATATTTATGTACACAGAATCCAAATGCCTAGTAAAAGGTCTGGAGAGACAGCAAATGAATGACAGGAGTTTTCCCTGGGGCAAGAAATGGTCTCAGGTTGGGAAAAGCAGGATAAACAGCCCTACTGTTTTATCAAAATTCATTGAATTTTTAAACAAAAAAATGTTCATCTAGTGCTTATGTATTTACTGGGTCAAAACGGAATTTTTCCCTATTTATCTAACCCATTCTATCACAGACAGCAATATTTTCTCACAAACATCAACATTAAGCTGCAATGTAATATAAATGACCAGCTAGAGTAGATGTCATATTACACCAAGAAATCGCCTTCTGAAAAATTATACAGCTTACTTTGGCTTCAGTTTCTCCCCTGTGAAGAGTATACAGATGGTGGACAGCACATTGTGATGAGGACCAAGGATGAGTCAGAATTTGGAAGACATGAAAGTCATGGCCAAGGGTGTCTGTTGTGACTAGAAGCATTCCTGGAAGACAAAAAACAAAGGGTAAAAATAAAAATGATTATGTATGTGGATGAAATATTCTAAAAAGCTATTCACAATATTTAAAATATTACCAATGGGAAAAAAATTACCAAGGCTATAAGAAACTTTACAAAAGAAAAAAATAAAATATCTTTTTCATGTGAATACCAAGCTTAATGACACATCAGTATATCAGCAAGGTATAAACACTAGATGTGCAAGTATTATGGCATTCCTGTAAAACTAGCAGAGAGAAGTTTGATATTCCTGAATTTACAGAATTCATAATTTTATTTTATTTTTTTCCTGAAGCAGAACCTCACTCGGTTGCCCAGGCTGGGGTGCAGGTGCCTGATCACAGCTCACTGCAGCCGCAAATTCCTGGGCTCAAGAGATCCTCCTGCCTCAGCCTCCCAAGTAGCTGGGACTACAAGCACATGCCACCATGCTTGGCTAATTTTCTTTTATTTTTGTAGAGACAGGGTCTCACCATGTTGCCCAGGCTGGTCTCAAACTCTGGGCCTCAAGCAATCCTTCTGTTGTGGCCTCTCAAAGCTCTGAGATTACAGGCATGAGCCACCGTGCCCAGCCACAATCATTTTTCAAAACAAAGAATGTGAAAATGACATACCCCCCATGAAACTCCCTCTTTTGCAATTTCTTCAAGCTTTAATTCTACGCTCCAATTTATCTACTGATCCAACTACTACTTCCTGTACTTAATTCACCATGATATTTATTGAAAATGCCAATAGAGTCTATTACAGAGAAAGTTCTTAATTTTGATGAGATGTCATAGCTAAGAATTCTTTGCCTAACCCAAGGTCACAAAGATCTTCTCTTTCCTTGTAAAAGTTTCATAATTTTATGTTTTACATTTAGGCCTATCATCATTTTAATATTTGTATAAGGTGTGAGGACCTTATACAACAGGTTATAAGGTGAGGATCCTATACAAAACATGGACAAGGTTAACTTATTTGCATAAGATGTCCAATTGTTCCAGAAAGACTTCTTGAAGACACTGTTTTTTCTCCATTGAAGTAACATTGTCAACTTGCCAAGGATCAATTGGCTATTTGTGTAGGCCTATATCTTTTTGAGATGGAGTCTCGCTGTCTCCCAGGCTGGAGTGCAGTGGCGCGATCTACGCCCACTGCAAGCTCCGCCTCCCAGGTTCACGCCATTCTTCTGCCTCAGCCTCCCAAGTAGCTGGGACTACAGGCGCCCGCCACCATGCCCGGCTAATTTTTTGTACTTTTAGTAGAGACGGGGTTTCACCATGTTAGCCAGGATGGTCTCGATCTCCTGACCTCATGATCCGCCGGACTCAGCCTCCCAAAGTGCTGGGATTACAGGCATGAGTCACCATGCCTGGCATTTTTTTATTTTTTATTTATTGTTATTATTATTATTATTTGAGACAGTCTCGCTCTGTCACCCAGCCTGGAGTGCAGTAGTGCATTCTTGGCTCACTGCAACCTCCACTTCCTGGGTTCAACAGATTCTCATGCCTCAATCTCCCAAGTAGCTGGGACTACAGGTGTGCGCCACCATGCCTGGCTAATTTTTGTATTTTTAGTAGAGATGGAGTTTTGACATGTTGGCCAGGCTGGTCTCAAACTCCTGGTCTCAAGAGATCCGCCTACCTCAGCCTCCCAAAGTGCTGGGATTACAGGCGTGAACTACCATGCCAGGCCAAGGCCTATTTTTGAAGTTCTATTCTATTAATTCAATTTCTGTGTCTATACATTCACTAATACCACATTCTTGGTTACTGTAACTTCACAGAAAATCTTGAAATCAGGTAAAATGAGCCTTTTCCTGCCTTTTTCAACATTATTTTAGCCATTCTTGTTTAGGATTTTGAGGGAACTGTATTGAGTGTAATAAATTAATTTGGGGACAACTGTTATCCTAATATTGTGCCTTCTGATCTATTAACACAGCATATTTCTTGATTTAGATCTATTTTGACTTCTTTTTGTTTGACACACAGATTCTGAAAATATTGTCTTTTAGAGTTATTATAAATGGTAATATTTTTTAAAATGATCAATTTTTGCTTGCTAGTGCATAGAGATAAAATTGATGATTTTTTATCTTGACAATGTATGTTTCCTGCAAGTTCTAGGGGTTTTTTTATACAGTACAAGAATTTTCTTTGATGACAATTACGTAGTTTAGGAACAATCACAGTTTCATTTCTTCCCTTCTGACCTACATGCCTTTTCTTCAATTTTCTCGACTTACTGCATTTGCTGAGGCAAGCAGAAATAGGAAGGAGAGATTTCTGTGTTGTAGGAGGAAAGCATTCAATCTTTAAGTATAACATTATGTATAGGTTTTTTGTAAAAGTCCTTCGTAAAATATGTTGAGAGTTTTTATAATGAAAGAAAATTGAATTTTTCAAGTGCTTTTCTGCAGCTATTGAAATGATTATGTGGCTTCTCTTTTTAAATCTATTAATATAGCGAATTCTAACAATAACTGATTGTCAAATGTTGAATATGCCTTGCATTCTTGGGATAAGCCTCGTTTGGTCAAAATCCTTTATTATAAGCAGCTAGATTCAATTTTCTAATATTTTCTTGAATATTTTCTTATCTGTGTCCCTGAGAAATACTGATTTGTGGTTTTCTTTTCTAATAATGTGTTTGGATGATTTTGATATTTAGGATAATCCAGGCCTCAAATAATCAAATGGGAATGCTCCTTACTCTGTTAATTTCTGGGGAAAAAAAAGATGTAGGATTGCTATTATTTCTTCGTTAAATGTTTAAGGGAATTTTCAAGTAAAAATATTTGGGCCTATTTTTGAAGATTTTTAACTACCATTAAATATTTTGTTAATTTTTTAATTTAAAATTTCTTCTTTGATGAATTACTTTCTGTAATTCAAGGAATTCATCCTTTTAATATCTGTAGAGACATTAATGATATCCACTTTTTCATTCACGATATTGGTAATCTGTGTCTTCTCTGTTTTTTTTCTTCACCAGTCTGGTAAGGTCTTTTTAAGGTTAACCTATTTGGTTTCATAACTTTCTGTTTTTCTCTTTTCAATTTCACTGATTTCTGTTACTATATTTATTATTTCCTTTATTCTCCTTGTTTTGGGTTCATTTGCTCTTCCTTTTTTCGAGTTTCTTATGGGAGCAGCTTAGATTATTGTTTCAGGAACTTTCTTCTTTTCTGGAGTAAGCACATATAGGTATTAATGTCCCTCTAAGCCTGCTTAGCTAAATGTAACAGATTTTGATATGCTGCAATTTCATTTATATTCAGTTTTAAATGTTTCCTAGTTGCTTTGTCTTTTGCTCGTGGGTTATTTAAAGGTATATTGTTTTGTTACCAAATATTTGGATATTTTCCAGATATCTTTCAGATATTATTGCCAGTATAATTTCATTATGACAAGAAGTTACTTCTTTTACATTTGTTAAAGTTTGTTTTATGGCTTGAAATATGATCCTTGTTCCATATACACTTGAACACCTAGAATATATTCTAGAAAGGTATGTAATTGGTAGTGATGTTTGCATCTTCAATTTCCTTACTGACTGACTGCTTTCTGTTCCATTACTGAGTAGGAGTTACAGTCTCCAAGGATAATTGTGGACATGTGTAGTTTTCCTAAGTTATATCAGCTTCCTAAATTTTAGAGCAAGGTTCATACACATTTAGGATTGTATGAAGTCTTGGTCAATTAACCCTTTTAACATGATTTAACCGTGGTTATTTTCCTTGCTCTGAGGTCTAGTTTTTTCTGATATTAACTTTACCACTCCAACTTTGTTTTGATTGGTACTTGCATGGTATATATTTTCCATTCTTCTACTCTATATCTATCAATATAGGCTTCTTTTAGATAACAGTTGGGTGCTCTCACACTCGCTCACTCTCTTTCAATCAAATCACTGCCTTTAATTGGTATTTGTAGTTTATTCATATTTAGTACTTACTGGTAGGGCTGGACTTAGGTCTACCAATTTATTATTATTTTTGCTTGTCTTGTTTCTGTTTTTTATTTCTCTTTTCATGTTTTCTTGCTGTTATGGGACTATTTATTTGGAATATTCAATTTTTATGAAATGCTAATTTCAACATTTTATTCAGTTTTATTTCTCTTCTCATGGTTTCTTGCTGTTTTGAGACTACTTATTTTTAACAATATTTATTGTTGAATGTTAAAAATAAATAATTTATCTATGGACTTTTGAGCTATATCTCTTTATATTAAAATTTTACTGGTTGTTCCAGAGATTATAATACACATATCTAACTTTATGTGCCTGTTCAGTTGTATTTTGTCCAGGTTTCATAAATGTTTTCTATGGGAAGGATGGTTTCTACGTTTACCTTGCTATTCCCAGAAGCAGAATCACATTAGTATAAGCATTTAAACTAATGTTTTGTTGAACAAAAAGGCATGAAAGAATATTAAGCATCTGTGGGAAGACAAGATAGTCATTTCAGTGAAAAGATGAAGTAAATTTGAGTTTGCTATTTCTTTGGCAAACATAAGGTACAGCTCTAGTCACTATATTAAAATATCCTACTAGATGCCACTGTCCTGGCTATTTCCAAGAGAATACATTTTAGAAAATGAAAGGTACCATTTATTATAAATAATTTAATAAATTATTAAACCTACAACAATATATATAACCTTACCTCTCATTATATGTCTAGCTATGATCATGAGGTTATTGACATAGTTTATATTCTTTACTTACTGTTATTCAAACAATAAATTTGTTTTGTTTTGTTTTGTTTTGTTTTTGTTTGGAGATGGGAGTCTTGCTCTGTCACCCAGGCTGGAGTGCAGTGGCACAATCTTGGCTCACTGCAACCTCCGCCTCCCGGGTTCAAGCAATTCTCCTGCCACAGCCTCCCGAGTAGCTGGGACCACAGGCGCCCGCCGCCACGCCCAGCTAATTTTTTGTATTTTGATAGAGAGGGGGTTTCAACCATGTTGCCCAGGCTGGTCTCTGACTCCCGAGCTCAGGCAATCTGCCCACCTCAGCCTCCCAAAGTGCTGGTGTTACAGGTGTGAGCCACCGCACCCGGCCTCAAACAATGAATTCCTAAGTTTAGGCATGAATGCTTTGTTGTCCATTTGTAGACAGTGTTTTGCCACTCCTACTTTTTTGCTGAGTTATACTAAGTTTGAATGATCATAAATCCACTACTATCTTCTGACTCCACCTCTCTGTAACAAATTTTCTGCACTTGACAAACAATTCAATAGAAACATCATTCTGACAGGAAATAAGATGAATTTGCATTTGTAACATATATTCCTCACCTACTATAAACTTCATTAAATTTCGTTTTAAATCATACCATTTTATGTAGAATGAGCATTCAAATAAAGGTCCTCATTTGCCAAATCAAGACTATTATTGTTTTACATATGAATGAAAATCACAAATGAACACGTTCCCATATGTTCCTAGCTTTTCAAACTGGCATTCATCTCTGTTTAGTTATGATTATGTAAAACAAATTCAAATTTTCAGGAAAATGTCCACTAAAAAATTATGCCTATTATCTTCTCTGTATCCTATCTCAAACACTTTTTTCCACCCCTCCATGCAAATGTGGCTTCTACAATCCACCAGTAAGTTTACTTTTTTCACAAAATTTTAAAAATAATATAAAAAATTTAAAGAGCAGAAAGGAGAAAAAGAAATAGCTAGTATAGGACTACATAGTCACGTGCTTTCTTTTCATTTAGAATTTCCTCTTTTGCACACATTCTGCCAGGGAAATAGCAAGCTTTTTTTTCTTCTAGAAAACAAGTTAAAATGCACATATACATAAAAGGAAAAACTTGTGCAGAGTAGACTGTGGCTTGAGAACTATTTATGCTGCATCAGAAGACTAAACCAGACTCTGGCCTGGCCATAAACTAAACCCACGCCCCAAATGAGGTGCCAAGCCACAAAAAGCATTTGCGTCATCTGGGAATACAAGGAAAAAGAAGGACTTCTAATTATAGGGCCTGGAAGCGGAAGCCTAGAGTGATTAGCTGTTTAGGCACTTCTGTATGTTTATCTGGAAGCTTCCTCTCCCTCACTCTTAGCCTCAAGTTTGATAGATGAGCATTAGCGTTAGAGGGTGGGGATTCAAGCTGCTGATGGTACACAGCGTTCTCCAAAATCTGAGGTAGCTGGAGACTGAACATTAAGGCTTTTGTGGCCTCACACGAACATAAGTCTTTTCAACTGGGCGTCAGCTGGTTAACCCAAAAAGCAAAATTAAAGAATAGCAAAATTTCACCAGGCATATGCTATAAAATCTTGGAAACATGAGTAGGTTTGCCTTTTTTGCCATATCCTATTTATAACACCTACCTAATTGTATGGTTCTTTATCATATACACACATGTGAACTAGAAGACAAACTACCAGCTACTCACACTCTTTTCCAAAAAGAGACATAAACATGATTATGCTGAATCAAATAGAAATGTTTACAGGAATTCAGATTATATCATTCATAAAAGAATTTTATACTTTGGCATTAATGCTTGTTCATGTAATACTTTTCAATTAACACCTGTATAGATACAAACTTACAAATTACTTAATTATTTAGAAAAGTTAATAGCCAAATTTGTAAACACAAAAGCAAAGAAACAGAATCCCAGTACTGAAAGAAAGCGTTAACCTCCTCAGCTTACACAAATCATAATATCATAGCTTATTAAAGTCAGATTAATAAAACTTTCAAGCTGGATATGAATACTGGAAAACAAAGGTCCCAAAGTCTCCATATGGGCAGCATAAACTAGCTTACAGCAGCATATTTTTTAAGCTACTTACAAACACTAATAATCAAACTCATCAATGTATTCTTCCACTTTAGTAGCCTAAAATATAGTATATCGTTATCAAATTTGCTACATAACACTCTGTTAAAGGCACTGAAGTAAACACTACCAAAGCAGATGATTTAGCTGATCCCTTACAAAAGTTGCATATATCCATAACCAACATAAATTAGAAATCAGTGATATTGCCCTTATTTGTTTCATGTGGAAAAATCTATATAAAGTGAACAACTGATTTTCTAGCTCACTTTATTTTTTAATTTGTTATATTCGTCCTCCTGCATTTTTAGCAGTTCGAAGTGTATTAACATCATTATTTAAATATTTAATTATTTTCTTTCTCTTTGAATTGTACAATTTTCAGGCTTATGAAGACATCTCTGGTCATTTCCAGTGAGTTTTCATATTAAGCATTCTAATGTTCATTATTTTTAACAGATTTCCTTACCAAATAGATATTTAAGAAAGTGGTGTATGCCTACGTACATGTGTTCTCATTTTTTCAGGTTGTTGAGAATATTTGTCCATTGCCAGAATGTTTTTTAAAACTTTAACCTTTATGAATACATAATTTATATACAATAGATTCATTTTAGATGTACAGTATGATGAATCTGACAAATACATATACCTGTGTAACTACTACCATAGTCAAGAGAAAGAGCATTCAAAAAAAGTTCCCTTGTGTTCACTTGCAAACCATCCTCTCCCCAACCACCTGGCCCCAAGCAACCACTCATCAGCTTTCTATTATGCGGGATGAATACTGCCTGTTTTAGAATTTAATGAAATATAATCACACAATATTTTCTCAGTCTATTTGCTACAAGTAGCAGTATGTCATTCATTGATTTATATTGCTGACTAGTGTTCCATTTTAAATACATACCACAATTTATATATCCATTCCGTAGCTGTTTCTAGTTTTTTGTTTTTTCTTTTTTTTGAGATGGAGTCTTGATCTGTCAACCAGGCTGGAGTGCAGTGGCACCATCTCAGCTCACTGCAACCTCTGTCTCCAGGTTCAAGTGATTCTCCTGTCTCAGCCTCCTGAGTAGCTGGGATTGCAGGGGTTTGTCACCACACCTGGCTAAATTTTTTGTATTTTTAGTAGAGACAGGGTTTCACCATGTTGACGAGGCTGGTCTCAAACTCCTGGCCTCAAGTGATCTACCCACCTCGGCCTCCCAAAGTGCTGGAATTATAGGTGTGAGCCACCGCACCTGGCCTGTTTCTAGTTTTTTAATATTGTAACTCAAACAGCTATGAACATTCAAATACTAGTCTCCATGTGGACATGTTTTTCTTTTCCTTGGGTGAATATTTAGGAGAGAAATTGCAGGGTCATATATTAAATATTTATAAGAAACTGCCAAACTATTTTCCAATGTGGTTGTATAATTTTACATTCTCACAAGCTCCATAACTTCACCAACATTTGATACTGTCAGTCTTTTTAATAATTTCAATTGGTATTCTCACAGTTTTAATTTGCCAGTATTCCTTGGTTATCAGTGATGTTGATCAGTTTTTTGTGTGCTTACTGGCTTTTAAATATTTTCTTTTGTGACATGATTGTTTAAAATCTTTTCCTCATTTTAAATTGTATGTTTTCAATATCTATCTATCTATCTATCTATCTATCTATCTATCTATCTATCTATCTTCTATCAGAAATTTTCTCCCAGTCTGTGGCATGGCTTTTCACTATTTAACATTTTCCCAAAAGATTTCCAATTTTGATGAAGATTTTGTGGTTTGGGTGTTTATCTAAGAAATCTTTTTCTATCCCAAGTTTAAGGATATAACCTTACGTTTTCTTTTTAAAGTTTCATAGTTTTAGTGTTTATGCTAAGCCTATTATCCATTTAGAGTTAATTTTATGTATGATGTTAGTAAAGATTTATTTTTCCACCAAAAGATACCGCAGTTGTTCTAGCACCATTTGTTGAAAAAACTATACTTCACCTATTTAATTACCTGCCACTTTTGTCAAAAATCAAATGACTGTTCTGGACATTATTCCATTCACTCATCTATGTCTATACTTACTCCCTAAAAACCCTTTCTTGGTGAGCTTTAGATTAATTCAGAAATTTAGGTAGTTTAAGTCTTTAAAATTTACTCATCTTTTTCAAGATTGATTTGGCTATTTTAGGTCCTTTGAAATTCCATACAAATTTTGGCCGGGTGCAGTGGCTCACGCCTGTAACTCCAGCACTTTGGGAGGCCAAGGCTGGCGGATCACGAGGTCAGGAGATTGAGACCATCCTGGCCAACATGGTGAAATCCCGTCTCTACGGAGATGGCAGTGAGCCGAGATCTTGCCACTGCACTCCAGCTCCGTCTCAAAAAAAAAAGAGTGAGAAATATAATTGGAAAAGTCTAAGGATAAATGAGTGTTAGTTTCTGGTGTATATTATGTCCCAACACAAAGTTTAGTACTCAAGATCTATACATATCTACATGGTAGTATCAGACTGTAACCAGCCTCAAGGAAAAATTACAGATACAGATACAGTCAACTAATGCTAAATTCATGTCATAGACAATAATTGCTGGAAGTGCATAATAAAGTACACCTTGAATGGAGGTTAGTAGGAATTTGGTAGACAGAAGGGATAGTAAAGTGAAATAATTATGAACAGCATAAGACAGGAAGCAGAGATAAAGAAGAGGATTTCATGGAGAACAATCTGTATCAAGCAGATTCTTTATGTGTTAGGACTACAAAATAATTGGAAAGGTAAATATGGAAATGTAGGAATTTCTAAATGTAGGAAGGGCATTCTGTGTATTTCAGAGATGTGTGAAACAGATCTTTCAAACACTATGGATGTTGCTTAGAGAGGTACATACATAAATAAAATTCAACAAGCCGTATACTTAAAATTGGTGCAACTTATATTACGTAAGTTACAATTCAATAAAAATGAAGACAGACAAAAACAAAAATAAATGTGAGGACAAGATAAACTTGTTGGCTTTATATGGAGTGAATGGAGAAAGGGAAAATGCAAGATGTTTAACAGACCAGTTAGAAAGTTAAAACACTTGAGCAGCCACCCCACCCCCATGGAAGAAAAAAAAAAGAGAGAGAAAAACTCAAAACGCACCATTCAGAGAAGGATATATAAAAAAAAAACAGATATATGGTGAGGGGTAAAAAAAAGAGGTCAGTGACCCTCAGAAATAATGTCGCATATCTACAACCATCTGATCTTTGACAAACCTGACAAAAACAAGAAATGGGGAAACAATTCCCTATTTAATAAATGGTGCTGGGAAAACTGGCTAGCCATATGTAGAAAGCTGAAACTGGATCCCTTCCTTACACCTTATACAAAAATTAATTCAAGATGGATTAAAGACTTACATGTTAGACCTAAAACCATAAAAACCCTAGAAGAAAACCTAGGCAATACCATTCAGGACATAGGCATGGGCAAAGACTTCATGTCTAAAACACCAAAAGCAATGGCAACAAAAGCCAAAACTGACAAATGGGATCTAATTAAACTAAAGAGCGTCTGCACAGCAAAAGAAACTACCATCAGAGTGAACAGGCAACCTACAGAATGGGAGAAAATTTTTGCAATCTACTCATCTGACAAAGGGCTAATATCGAGAATCTACAATAAACTCAAACAAATTTAAAAGAAAAAAACAAACAACCCCATCAAAAAGTGGGTGAAGGATATGAACAGACACTTCTCAAAAGAAGACATTTATGCAGCCAAAAGACACATGAAAAAATGCTCATCATCACTGGCCATCAGAGAAATGCAAATCAAAACCACTATGAGATACCATCTCACACCAGTTAGAATGACGATCACTAAAAAGTCAGGAAACAACAGGTGCTGGAGAGGATGTGGAGAAATAGGAACACTTTTACACTGTTGGTGGGACTGTAAACTAGTTCAACCATTGTGGAAGTCAGTGTGGCGATTCCTCAGGGATCTAGAACTAGAAATACCATTTGACCCTGCAATCCCATTACTAGGTATATACCCAAAGGATTATAAATCATGCTGCTATAAAGACACATGCACATGTATGTTTATTATGGCACTATTCACAATAGCAAAGACTTGGAACCAACCCAAATGTCCAACAATGATAGACTGGATTAAGAAAATGTGGCACATATACACCATGGAATACTATGCAGCCATAAAAAAGGATGAGTTCATGTCCTTTGTAGGGACATGGATGAAGCTGGAAACCATCATTCTCAGCAAACTATCACAAGGACAAAAAACCAAACACTGCATGTTCTCACTCATAGGTAGGAATTGAACAATGAGAACACATGGACACAGGAAGGGGAACATCACACACCAGGGCCTGTTGTGGGGTGGGGGGAAGGGGGGAGGGATAGCATTTGGAGATATACTTAATGTTAAATGACGAGTTACTGGGTGCAGCACACCAACATGGCACATGTATACATATGTAAATAACCTGCATGTTGTGCACATGTACCCTAAAACTTAAAGTATAAAAAAAAAAAAGGTCAGTGAGTCTCAGCTTGGCTAAATGGGTGCTCAAAGAACCATGTATCATAGTACTTAAATGAAAATATAACAGACATGAATCAGGGTTCTGGTCCAAATGTTCAGAAAGTAAGTAACTAAGTAACAAATGATAATGATTAGATGAAAGATAAAGTTTCAAAGATAGTCATCAAGCATGCTGTATCAAATTGTACATCAGTTAACACATTTTGGGTATATGAGCATATGTTGAAAATATTACCAAATGACCAAGTGTCTCTGGAAATTAGGTTTGATTACCTACAGGAGCAGTATCAAAGCATGACTCTGTGACTATGTTACAGAACAAGTATATATAAGAAAAATGGCTGATCCATAAAAAAGATGACTGGGTAGGCAGGCATTCTGTGCACAACCAAATTATATATTTACTTATTCAATGTCTTCTTAGAAACAATCAAAGGAACAAAGAGAAAATTATAAAATCAGTTCATTTTTAATTACTATATCAATTATAGTATAAATTATTTAATTAACTATAATTGTATTTGATAGTATTATTTTACATTGTTGTACTCTTAAAACTATATTAACATCACATTTATTAATTCTCAATTCTAATTGATAAACATTACTTCCACTTTCTTAGCATTCTAGATATCCTTTTTAGACTTCAGATGCATGGAAGAATTAATCAGATTTTTCATTTCGTCTATGTTAATAAGTCCATACATAAACCTTCTCTTGCTATGTGCATTGCATTGCATTGCATTGTATTCCTCTACCTCCTGGGTTCAAACAATTCTCACGCCTCAGCCTCCCAAGTAGCTGGGATTACAGCTACGGGCATGAGCCACCACACCCGGCTGATTTTTGTATTGTTAGTAGAGATGGGGTTTCACCATGTTGGAAGGCTGGTCTGAAGCTCCTGAACCCAAGTGATTCGCCCACCTTGGCTTCCCAAAGTGCTAGGATTACAGGTATGAGTCACTGCACCCAGCCTCTTACTGTTTTTACATTTTCTCTTTGCTTCTCCGTTCCTGCACCCACTCTTCATTTCTCACTGCTCCCGACCACAGGTACCCACCTTACTATATATAATAAATCTCTTTGAAATGAATATATATCTTTGGGAAATATTTAGGCTGTTTTTAGAGCAATGTTCAAAAAATATTTAATGTATGGCAAGATACAGGCCAATCTGAATAAGAATAGTGAAACAAGGTGCCCACCATCCCCCACCAGGGAGGGAGGCTCAGAGGCTACTGGGACAGGCAAGAAGTATTCAAGTACTTCAGTGTTTAACAACTAGTAAGGGTATACTGATAAATGAAAAGTTGAAATCAACAGCTGCTTTGCATGTATGTACCTGACTATACAGATCCTTCTTTACCTTTTGCAAAATTAAATACTATGTTTATATTATTGTAAGTATTTATGTTATATTTGTTGTAGACAGGTCTATTTTTACAGGTATATATGTTGATTTCACATTTTTACATAGTATCCCAATGTATGCATTCACATATTCCATGAGTTCATTCACTATCAACTGAGCACCTTTATTCAATTAAGTGGTAGTGCTGTGGCAATAGTGATGAAGAATGGAAAAGGCTCTTCACTTACTGATGGAACCCAGGGCTACATTAGGACTTTAGGTGGGACCTGGGCATTTTTGTCTTCATGGGCACTCTCCTTCAGGAAAAAATACTTAAAGTTATATTTTTTTACTCCATTCTATTAACTTAAAACCATGTTTTTTTTTCTGCTTTTAAAGAAATCAGAAAATTATAGCGAGGTTCTAAAAGTATTGTGGTCCCTAGACACTGTACCTACTACCTAATCGTAAGTCACCCCTACAAAGATCCCTCTCTTACACAACTACAGTGCCACAATGAACAGAGAGCAAACAGAACTAATTCTTCAGAGAGTAAATCCATTACATGAGTAAAGGACACCACTTTACAAGATGATGAAACAAGAGAGTAAGTACAAACCTACTATGGAAACATCCTCTTCTAATGAAAAAAGGAAATAAATTCTTCAAGTTGCCTTTGCATTGTGAATGAAATAATATAGGTGTCTGGTAGTGATAAACCAGAAGCTGTCAGATTAAAAATCTCAAGCTATGTTATGCTGTAGATCTGTGATGCATTATAGATGTTAAAAATAAATCAAGACATGGTATTTCTCTAACCACTTGCTAGACAATGGGAAAACCTTTATGTCCAAAAAGAAAAACCTAAACTTCTTTAACAATTAACCCAAGACCACAATCACCTTTTAATATGTATCATTTAAGTAACCAGAAGAATTTCAAGTCTGCTAAAGATGCAGCCAAGCATCTAAAGGGGTACATATTTACTCTGTTTTGCTAGAGATTCAACACTCATTTTCCTCTTATTAATGGATGGAAAAGCAATTTCCCTGCCAAGGAGGGGTAATTATTTAAAATGTAGATGTGTTGTACTTTACATTTCTCAGTTGCTCAGCTGGCAGAAGTAATGCCTCTGAAAAGCAAATCAATTATTTACTGAATTAAAGGTTCATGTCAGGCTTATTGCACAGAATTGAGGATTTCTTCCTTATGTTTCTAACGATAGTTTGATAAATAAGAAATAGTTTGTTGTCCAAAAACATAATAGTATACTAATCTATTGTTCTTATTACATAAAAATGTCATTTCCATGGGGTCCTTTTTTTTTTCTTTTTGAGACGGAGTCTCACTCTGTCACTCAAGCTGGAGTACAGTGGCACCATCTCAGCAACCTCTGCCTCCTGGCTCAAGCGAGTCTCCTGCCTCAGCCTCCCCAGTAGCTGGGATTACAGGCGTGTGCCACTACACCCAGCTAATTTTTGTATTTTTAGTAGAGATGAGGTTTCGCCATGTTGGCCAGGCTGGTCTCGAACTCCCAACCTCAAGTAATCCGCCCTCCTCGGCCTCCCAAAGTGTTGGGATTACTGGGATGAGCCACCGCTTCCAGCCTCCATGGGGTATTTTAAATTACTATCTATTACATATTTCAGTTTTAGTTATCTGTGATATGTATCTGCATGTATTATAATTTGCCATCATGTATCACTCCCAATATATAGAGATGGAGACGATTCTTTTTTTTTTTTTTTTTTTTTTTTTGAGACAAGAGTCTCGCTCTGTCGCCCAGGCTGGAGTGCAGTGGCACCATCTTGGCTCACTGCAAGCTCCGCCTCCCAAGTTCATGCCATTCTTCTGCCTCAGTCTCCCAAGCAGCTGAGACTACAGGTGCCCGCCACCACGCCTGGCTAATTTTTTGTATTTTTTAGTAGAGACGGGGTTTCACCATGTTAGCCAGGATGGTCTCGATCTCCTGACCTTGTGATCCACCCGCCTCGGCCTCCCAAAGTGCTGGGATTACAGGCGTGAGCCACCGTGCCCGGCCAGACAATTCTTATTCAAACCACAATTTAGACATAAGTTGATTTTATTCAACAAATGAATAACAACATTGAATAAATGTCTTAATTTTGCCCTGCTATATTTTTTCCATGATTACAATTATGAAGCAATCCAATGTAATTAATTATTGTAATTATTCAATGTACACTTACTCAGTATCAAGTATGTGAAAGCTACTGGGCTAATACTTGGGGACAAAATATTAACAAAAGCTTACCTCTAACAGCGAACACATTGAAAAGATACTCTGATGGATGTAAATAATTTAAAAACTAGGATGAAGGTGATTGATAATAATGAAAACAGAAACAACTAATATCTATTGAGGTTACTCTATTTGTTAGATATTATTTTATTTTTTATTTTTTTTTAGACAGGGTCTTGCTCTGTCACCCAGGCTGGAGCACAGTGGCGCGATCTCAGCTCACTGCAATTTCTGCCTCCCAGGCTTAAGCAATCCCCCTGCCTCAGCCTCCCAAGTAGCTAGACCTACAGGAGTGCACCACTACACCCAGCTAATTTTTGTATTTTTTGTAGAGACAGAGTTTCACCATGTTGCCTAGGCTGGTCTCTAGCTCCTGAGCTCAAGCTATCCACCTGCCTTGGCCTCCCAAAGTATTGAGATTAAAGGTGTGAGCCAGTGCACCTGGCCAGGTATTATTTTAGATATCATTACTAGCCCCCATTTTATTGATGAGGAAACTGAAGCATTGAGTGTGACAAGCAGATTAACTAGCTTGCCCAATTAGGTGACAAGGTGAAGGAGGAAGGGGAACATGACATTTTATGTAGACTCAGGGAAGACTTCTTAAATGATATTTAAGATAGGAATCAGTGTAAGAGTTAGCCAGGCAAAAGAAGATTCCGGCCGGGTGTGGTAGCTCACACCTGTAATCCTAGTACTTTGGGAAGCCAAGGTGGGC
This sequence comes from Homo sapiens, assembly GCF_000001405.40. NCBI lineage: Eukaryota > Metazoa > Chordata > Mammalia > Primates > Hominidae > Homo > Homo sapiens. The sequence goes on along the minus strand of NC_000017.11, from coordinate 60,931,519 downwards.
AGATTGCCTGAGCTCAGGAGTTTGAGACCAGCCCGTGCAACATGGTGAAATGCCATCGCTACTAAAAATACAAAAAATTAGCAAGGTGTGGTGGCACGTGCCTGTAATCTCAGCTACTCAGGAGCCTGAGGCAGGAAAATCGCTTGAACCCGGGAGGTGGAGGTTGCAGTGAGCTGAAATTGTGCCACTGCACTCCAGCCTAGGCAACAGAGCGAGGTTCCATCTCAAAAAAATAAAAATAAAAAATAAAGTTTATTAATTTTTTTTAAAGTTCCTTGAAAATGTTATTCACTTTGTCCCTGAGAGCAACAAATTTACACTGCCCATATTGAATCTGCCCAGATCTAACCATGGGGATCAATCTGGTACTTCTAAACAAATCATAAATGCTGCCACTAAAATATTTGTTTTAATTCTGGCCTCAAAGTCACAGCTAATAAATAAGAATGGGAATTAAAAAATTGAAAAAAAAATGAATGCAGCTGCTGAACTAGAAGTTTCACAGATCTATTTAATAGCATCACTTCATGTCTTTTCTGAATAGGTCCCATACAAGACAGAAATGTATGCCACCCAGTCAACCAACCTACATGGTCTCCTAAATTCGTTTTGCAGTGTTATTCCATCATGTACATTTTATAGTATTTTTAACGTTTCCCAGGAAGTGGCTATGGGCCTGGTTTGTTCTTGGATTTTGTTGTCCAGGACATGTTTATAATACTGTTGTCTAAAAATATGTCTTTCTTTTAAAAAGACTAAAAGGGCTGGACGCAGTGGCTCACGTCTGTAATCCCAACACTTTGGGAGGCTGAGGCAGGCGGATTACCTGAGGTCAGGAGTTCAAGACCAGCCTAGCCAACATGGCAAAACCCCGTCTCTACTAAAAAAATACAAAAATTAGCTGGGTGCAGTGGCGCACACCTGTAATCCCAGCTACTCAGAAGGCTGGGGCAGGAGAATTGCTTGAACCTGGAGGCGGAGATTGTGGTGAGCCGAGATCACACTACTGCACTCCAGCCTGGGCAACAGAGCAAGACTCCGTCTCAAAAAATGAATGAATGAATGAAGACTAAAAGGAATTTATTTATATTCTTAAGTGTAACAGTGACAAACACAGGTAAACTGGTTTGAGTAAGATCAGCTTTAAAAACAAAAATCATGCAATCAACTTTTTGGCATGTTTTGTTTGTTTTACATAAACTTCCCTAAACTAGTAAAAAGTATTCTAACAAGCAATACTGTTTTTATTAGCCATATTACATACCCCATGAAAATACCTTTAACCAAATTAGATAATTATTAGAGGGTTAAAACTTCCTAATATAAATTTTAAAACATATATGGTTACATGTATGGGTAAAGAAGGACTGGAGTATGTCATTGGAGGATCTATTAGTTATATTTTGGAAAAAGCCAATTTAAATTAAAAATTGTAACTACTGTGTTAAGGCCTATTGAAATTACATATCTTTAAAGACACATGCACACATATGTCTATTGCAGCACTATTCACAATAGCACAGACTTGGAACCAACCCAAATGTCCAACAATGATAGACTGGATTAAGAAAATGTGGCACATATACACCATGGAATACTATGCAGCCATAAAAAATGATGAGTTCATGTCCTTTGTAGGGACATAGATGAAATTGGAAATCATCATTCTCAGTAAACTATTGCAAGGACAAAAAACCAAACACCGCATGTTCTCACTCACAGGTGGGAATTGAACAATGAGAACACATGGACACAGGAAGGGGAACATCACACTCTGGGGACTGTTGTGGGGTGGGGGGAGGGGGGAGGGATAGCATTAGGAGATATACCTAATGCTAAATGACGAGTTAATGGGTGCAGCACACCAGCATGGCACATGTATACATATGTAACTAACCTGCACATTGTGCACATGTACCCTAAAACTTAATGTATAATAATAATAAAATAAACAAATTAAAAATTAAAATAAAAAAGAAATTACATATCTTTTTATAAAACGTCAATTAATAAAAGTTCAGAAGCTAACAAATATAATTCAGCCAGTGTGCAGAGAACTACCTCATTTTACTTAATTTTTTAATTTTTTTTCCAGACAGGCTCTTACTCTGTAACCCAGGCTAGAGTGCAATGGTGGGATCAGAGCTCACTGCAGCCTTAACTTCTTGGTTCAAGCAAGTCTTCCATCTCAGCCTCCCAATTAAGTAGCTGGGACTACAGGCACGTGCCACCACGCCCAGGTAATTTTTTAAAATTTTTTTTAGATACAGGATCTTGGTATGTTGGCCAGGCTGGTCTCAAACTCCTGGCCTCAAGTGTTGGTCCCCCCATCTCAGCCTCCTGGGTCACTGGGATTATAAGCAATGTGCCCGGCTCCTACCTCATTTTATAATGTCGCATTTCTTAATCACATTAGTAAACTTATGATTTACTAGTGGGAAGGACTTAAATGAAGAGTGCTAGAAAATACATCATTTTATCTCACAAAAACATTTTTAAAACTGTAAGACAAATAATAATTTAAGGGAAAAAACCCAGCTACTGAGGTATCTATGCATTTACAAATAGCAATGCAGTTTCCTCACTAAAACATGTCCTCTATGTATGTGTGTGTATATGTATGTACACCAATCAGAAGGGTTAGAAGAGTAAATATGAACCAGAAACTAGCAAAGCAAAATAAAATGTCACCTAATGATACAAGCTGATTAATGGTTAGAAGCCATGGCTAACCCCAATTACTTTTTGTACAAAGCTGGGTAGCTGCTGACTAGCACTTGCTAATTAAAAAAAGAAGGAAAAAATCCAGACTTCCACATCATTGAGAATTGAGCACTTTCTGCATCCTTGCTCATAATCAAGTAATAAGTCAATATTCAGAACAGCAAAAATACTCAAAGCTGAAAGTAAATAATTAAGAAGAATTGTAAGTAATTGCTTACCAGCTACTATAAAGCATTGTGCAAACCAACTGTATGAGTGGTTGCTGAGTTATAAACCCTCCACTGAATACAGATATCTAAACAGGCATGAAGGATTTATAAAATGTTGCAGAAATGAGAACACATTGAAAAACATATCTGTGCACAACAAACTAATGAGTCCACTATACAGACTATGGTTCACAATCTATTTCAAATGTACCATATTTTTCTTGCCTCTTTCATTCAAATAATATTTATGGTGCCAGGCACTGAATCATTATTTTCTAATCTTTTAGGTCCCAGCTTGGAATTGATTTCCTTTTGAAGAACTATCTCCAAAACCAGGCTAATATTTATCCCCTAGCATGCTGTCCTTCCTCCACAAAGGGTTTTCCTTCCTTAAGACCCTGTTTGTGCATTTGCAACTAACCAGCAAGCAGACTCTATGCATAGGGACTATCTCTTATTAAGTGAATTAACAAGACTTAGCCAGACAAGGTGAATAGAGTCACTAGTGAAAGAGGTATCTTCCAATGTGCTAGCTGAAACGGGTAAAATCACATCAGCAAGCTTCAACCTTTTTGATAAAGGGTTCTAAAACATTTCTGTAGTGTGGATCCTTTTAGCAAGCCAAGAACCACTTTCCCAGAATGAAATTAAAACACAAAATATAATACTTAAGATTTTAAAAAATTAAAATATAAGTAGTATAAGGGCTTTTTTGTTAATATATTAAATTATAGGCTCTATCATAATTTTGAAGCATAAGCAATATTTAGAGAATTATATATAAATGTGAAATGATATAAAAATAACCATTATTTTCATCACTCACAAGTTTACAGGTACAGTTAACTAATTAGCATCTCCATATAGGATTATTTCCAATGATATTAACAGGCTTCATAGATTGCTATATGAAACAATTATGTAATACCAGAACAAGGAAACTCTATACACCATGAACCATTTCAAAGTGAATAAATTCCAGAAGAACTTTAGTAGAATCTCATCAAAATTTCTATAGAAAAATAAGGAAAGGACCAGGGGTGGTGGCTCATGCCTGTAATCCCAGCACTTTGGGAGACCGAGGCAAGTGGATCACGAGGTCAACAGATCGAGACCACACTAGCCAACATGGTGAAACCCCGTCTCTACTAAAAATACAAAAAAAAATTAGCTGGGCGTGGTACACGCCTGTAGTCCCAGCTACTTGGCAGGCTGAGGCACAAGGATCGCTTGAACCTGGGAGGCGGAGGTTGCAGTGAGCTGAGATCGTGCCACTGCACTCCAGCCTGGCAAAAGAGCGAGACCCTGTCTCAAAAAAAAAACAAACAAAAAACAAAAAAAGAAAGAAAGAAAGAAAAAAATAAATAAAAGAATTTAAAAATACTGAACTGACCTATCACTTTCATTGTCAAAATAGAGACTACCATGCCTAATACAGTGCCATACATCTACAGTGGGGAATAGTTCAAAATAATTCACTAAGTTTCCTATTACTCTGAGACACCATGCCAAGCACTAGAGATACAAAGATTAATGACATCTGATCTCTTTGTAGGAGGAACAGATAAGTTAGCAAGGGAAACAAATATTTAAACAAATGATTGTCACAAAATAAATTACATCATAGTTATAAACCTAGTGTCCCAGCAACACAGAAAAATAGGTATAAATATTGCTATTTTTAACCTTATCGTATAAACACAAATGTGAGAGGACAAAGAAATCAAATGGCAAATGTAGATCAAAATTATGAAACCATTTTATGACGACTACAACACTCTTTATATTATATAATATGTTCTTCTTATAATGCAAAGTCACAGGAAAAAAATACAGCTGCCAGTGTCAGAAGCACTGTAGGGTTATATGAAATATACACTAACACAAAGGAGATCTGACATAACAGATGGAATATCAATATGAGTCATACCGGTCATTCCAAGTGGAGTGCTACAAGTGACATAACTTCCAGGCTGTTTTTTCACATTTAACTTAATTCCCACAACACTCACAGAATTTCAATAAATCTTGCCTTTATTAATTAAATCAATCCTACTGATTACCAATCACTATAAAAATCCTGTTCCCTTAATCAAAGATGACTTATTAAGATATTAGAGGGTAGATTATTTAAAGTGCTTTATAAAATAATATCTCTATATAATGATAATCCCTTACTATCATTCTTTATTTGAAAAGATGAAAAGAAGGGGAAAAGGATTGGCTTTTCCCATCAATTTTAAGTGATATAATCATTTCTGAAAACTAAGATTAAAAGTAGCATGCTCCTTAGATACATCAACCAAATGGGTAAGATCTGAAAAGACTGCAAGTTTATGATGACTATACCAGCTCTGAAAACAAAAGAGCAGTTTTATTTACAAAGTATTTTTAAAATACAGATTGAGCATTCCTAATCTGAAAAACCAAAATCCTCACAGAAATTTATGTTCTTCTTATAATGCAAACCAAAATGCTCTGAAATGCTCCAGAACTGGAGCACTGACATGATGCCACAACTGGAGAATCCACACCTGACCTCATGTACAAAGTCTCAGTTAAAACGGAGTCAAAACTATGTTTCATGCACAAAATCACTTAAAATATTGTACAAAATCACCTTCAGGCTATGTGTATAGGGTATACATGAAACAAATAAATTTTGTATTTAGACTTGGGTCCCACCGCCAAGATAACTCATTATATATGCAAATATTCCAAAATCAAAAAAAAAAAATCTAAAATCAGAAAGACTTCTAGTCCCAAGCATTTCAGACATAAAGTACTCAACCTGTAACTTGTTTCCTACCACTGGAAGTATTACACCAACTCCTTACTGTGAAAATTGGTCATTTAAAAGAAAAAGAGAGAGAGAGAATTAGGCATTTATACCACTTTTGATATACAGGAGAAAGGCTGTTTACTCCTGGCTGATGAGAGAAAACGTTTTCTATAGAAGAATAACAGTCAATAAATGCAGAGACCAGGACAGAATTAAGAAAACAACCCACCATTCTACAACCTTCAATGTAACAAAATTATTAATTAAAAAGTTGCTTCAGAAATAATGTCAAAATGACATACTGTAGAGTACTTGTTAATCTCCATAAGAAAAACCTATTTCCAATAATGTAGATACTTGATAGTCATTACTTTACTCATGTGATCAAATATAGCACCACAAATAGGGAGACAACCTAAAATAATGTGTCTCCTATTGGGATGAAATGATGTAGACGCAATACTTACGAAGTTTAGAAACAAACAAACAAAAACTCCTTAGCCTGAATGGATTTATACCTCTAGACTTAACTTCCAGTTAAACAGATAGATATCCAGGGAATGGAGAAATACAAAAACATTATCATAATGAAAAAAATCTGGCCAAGCATCGTGGCAATACTTTGGGAGGCTAAGGCAGGAGAATTACTTGAGGCCAGGAGTTCAGGACCAGCCTGGGCAGCATAGTGAGACTCTGTCTTTATCTTTTTTTAAAAAAATAGTAAAATAAAAATTTAAAAATCTTACAAATGCAGAATTTAAATAAGACAACTACTCTGGATATTGTGAAAAGAAAATTAAGAGTACAAATTGTATGCTATATTAAAAGGAACTAAAAAGATATAACAAAATGTAAGGAGTAAACCTTAAGAAGAAAAAGAAAAAGAGCACCACTAAAAAAAAAACCGAGAAAATTAAATTAGCTTACAAAGTGTTGTAAGTTAGTTACACAAAACTTCAAGTTACAAAAAAAAAATACTGCTCATATCCATTAATATTCTAGTTTGGAATACTGAAGTTCTTGGAGTAATTATAAACAGAAATTCATGTAACTCAACAGCATTGTTTAAATGGCTGCTATTTAATAGCTACTTTATCGAGAACAAAACCAATTTTAGAGGGATTTTAGAGGGGTACTAAATTTTTATTATAAATTCCTTTATTCAATATAATGACTTAATAACTTTTCTGATATATACTGATACATGAAGAAAAGTCAGATTCCATATTCCATATTTGGCTGGAAAACCCATTATATAAATGGTCTACAAAAAAAAAAAAAAAAAAGACAGAGAGCGAACTTACCACTTGTATTAAAAGCCATGCAGCACACTGGCTTCTCATGGGCAGGGAAGTGGGCCACAATGCCATCACTGTCAGAATCCTCACTCACAAGCACCTTCACAAAGAAATAAAGACAAATGGAGGTAAATATTTTCTCACTGATAACCGAGCTTGAAGCCTATAAGAAGGCACATCACAAACCACTGACCAAATAACATGTTTCCACTCTAGCAGATTATTCTTGCCAATATAAGGAGAGAATTCCACTTTAGAATTGAGGAAGAGATATAACATGCCCCCACGCACATCAGTCATATAAACTCTAAAAAGAGTCAGCTGACTTGACTGTAGATGACAGAAACAATTACTTCTTCAAGTATAGGTTCAGAGGAAAAAAAATGATACAATCAACTATTTTCAATTCTTTACAAAATGTAATCACTTAGCGCTTTATCCAAGGACAGGAAATACAGGTCTTACTGTGTTATGCGATCTGCTGGGAAATCACAATTTTTTGCCCCTTATTGAAATATAAGAATGGGGGGGAAACAACATAATTTGTTAAACATAAATAAACAGGTGTATAGAGAAATCATCCAATAACATTTTCATATTATAGTATGAAAGTCGTGTTCTTCAACTCTCAGTTTCTAGAGAGAAATAGAACTTCTTTGAAATGACTATGAAATCATAAAAGCAGAGGTACATTAGAATAGGTACCTCTGTATCTCAAATGGAGTTTCTTTTATTCACTCCTCTTAATTTTTAAGGCTACACTGAAATATAATTTACATTCCATATAATTTCCCATCATAAGTTCAACAACTTTTTAAAAATTGTTTTACTTATCTAATGTTTCAGAAAGAAAACCTATTACACCAATTTTGGATCATAATATTTAGACACAGAGAAATTTGATTTTAAGTAGCCTTGGAAGTTGTCCTACACTGGCAACGCTATTTTTTTCTCTCAAAAATGCATGTTAAGAGTCAAGTCTTACTATGTGTAAAATACTCTGCTTAGAGCTCAGAATATAAACCAAATGTTATTCCTGCCCTGAAAGATACAGAGCAAATGACCAGAACAGTTATTTTATCAGTTACAACATATATGCAAATACAGCCCAAAAAAACAATGTACTTAAGCACTGAGATAGTATTTGTGAGTGAAAGCTTTACAAAGATACAACTTGCACACCACAAAAGCTACCCGTTTTAACTGTGCAGGTCAATCATGCTATACAATATCATAAACAACAAGCCATCATAAAAATGTCTGAAACATTATCCTGTCAGATCTTTATGCCTTATTGATCTAGCTAGAACCTCCAATTCAATCTAGCTACAAATACATTGATTATATTGATCTTTTCAAATAACCAATTTTAGACTTTTCCAATATTTCACTGTTTACTGTTCCATCAGCTTCTATCCAGATCTTTATTATTTGCTTCATTAGTCTTGCATTGGTTATAATTTGCTCCTTTTTATAATCTTTTAAGGGAAACACTTAGATTATTAATTTCAGGCCATTTTCTTGTCCTAATATAAGCATTTAAAGCTGTAAATTTTCTTCCATATAACACTATAGTTATACTCCATAAATTTTTATATGTTCTGTTTTCATTTTCATTCAATTCAAAATATTTGCTAATGTCCCTAAGCTTCTTTCTTTGACCCATGAGTTATTTACAAGTGCGTTTTATTTCCAAATATTTGGAGATTCCCCAAATCGAATTTTGTTATTGATTTCCATTGTCCTTAGAGAAATACTCCGCATGACTTTAATCCTTTTAAAGTTATTAAGATCTGTTTCATGGCCAAGCATCTGTTCTATCATGTACAATGAATGTCTCAGATGTTTTTGAAAATAATGTGCATTCTGCAGTTTTGGGTGGTCAAGTTAGAAAATAGTGTTAATCATGTCTTCTAAGTCTTTTCTAATTTTCTATCTAGTTGTTCTATCAATTATTTTTTAATAGAGAAATAGTCGTACATGTTTACTAACATGCATGTGGAAAATTACAGAGTGCTTATTCCTATCAATTAATGAGAATAAATTATGTAAATCTTGAGCTGTAATAAAGAGCTAAAATTGGGCCAGGCGCGGTGGCTCATGCCTGTAATCCCAGCACTTTGGGAGGCCGAGGCAGGGGGATCACGAGGTCAGGAGTTCGAGACCAGCCTGACCAATATAGTGAAACCCTGTCTCTACTAAAACTACAAAAATTAGCCGGACATGGTGGCGCGTGCCTGTAATCCCAGCTACTCAGGAGGCTGAGGCAGGAGAATTGCTTGAACCCAGGAGGCGGAGGTTGCAGTGAGCTGAGATCGTGCCATTGCACTCCAGCCTGGGCAACAGAGCAAGACTCTGTCTCAAAAAAAAAAGAGCTAAAATTTCTTCTTTCAATTTTGTCAGATTTTGTTCAATGTTTTTAGTGGCTGTGTTGTTAGGTATTTATATACTAATAATTGTTTTATTAATTATACATATTAATAGTGGTTTTCCAGAACAAGTATTACTGAGAAAAAAAAAGAAAAAAATGTTTTATCTGTATTATGTGTTAACAATTGTTTTATTATATTGACCCTTTTATCGTGAATGAAATGTCTCTCTTTTACTCCAGTAATACTTCTTGACGTAAAGTCTTTAATATTACTATGGCCACTCTAATTCTATTATGGTTATTGTTTACATGTTTTTTTTTTAATTTCAACTTTTAGATACAAGGGGTGCATGTGCAGGTTTGTTACATGGATATATTGCACCCAGGTAGTGAGCATAGTACCCAATAGGAACCCATACTCCTCCTTCCTCCCTCCCCACTCTAGTAGTCTGCAGTGTCTATTAATAGTTCCCATGTTTATGTCCATGTGTGGTCAATGTTTTTTTTTTTTTTTTTTTTTTTTGAGACGGAGTCTCGCTCTGTCGCCCAGGCTGGAGTGCAGTGGCGGGATCTCGGCTCACTGCAAGCTCCGCCTCCCGGGTTCACGCCATTCTCCTGCCTCAGCCTCCCAAGTAGCTGGGACTACAGGCGCCCGCCACTACGCCCGGCTAATTTTTTGTATTTTTAGTAGAGACGGGGTTTCACCGTTTTAGCCGGGATGGTCTCGATCTCCTGACCTTGTGATCCGCCCGCCTCGGCCTCCCAACGTGGTGTGGTCAATGTTTAGCTCCCACTTATAAGTGAGAATATGGAGTATTTGGTTTTTCATTTCTCCATTGATTTGCTTAAGGTTTTGGCCTCCAGCTCCACACATGCTGCTGTAAATGACATGATTTCATTCTCTTTATGGCTGTGTAGTATTCCATGGTGATGAATAGCACATTTCCTTTATTGAATCCACTGCTGGCGGGCACTTAGGCTGATTCCATGTCTTTGCTATTGTTAATAGCATGGTGATTAATATACATGTCTCTTTTTGGTAGAGCCATTTATTTTCCTATGGGTATATACCCATTAGTGGGATTGCTGGGTCAAGTGGTAGCTTTGTTTAAGTTGAGAAGTCTCCAAACTGCTTTCCACAGTGGCTGAACTAATTCAGATGCCCACCAGCAGTGTATACGTGTTCCCTTTTCTCCACAGCCCCACCAGTATCTGTTGTTGTTGTTGTTGTTGTTGTTGTTGTTGTTGTTGTTGTTGTTGTTGTTTGCGATGGAGTCTTGCTCTGTCGCCCAGGCTGGAGTGCAGTGGCATGATCTCGGTTCACTGCAACCTCTGCCTCCTGGGTTCAAGCGATTCTCCTGCCTCAGCCTCCCGAGTAGCTGGGACTATGGGCACCCGCCACCACGCCCAGCTAATTTTTTGTGTTTTTAGTAGAGACGGGATTTCACTGTGTTAGCCAGGATGGTCTTGATCTCCCGACCTCGTGATCTGCCTGCCTCGGCCTCCCAAAGTGCTGGGATTACAGGCATGAGCCACCAGGCCCAGCCAGTTTTTGACTTTTTAATAACAGCCATTCTGACTGGTGTTAAGGTGGCATCTCATGTGGCTTTGATTAGCATTTCCCTGATGATGAGAGATGATGAGCATTTTTCCATATGTTTGTTGGCCCATACGTATGTCTTCTTTTAAGAAGTGTATGTGTGTCCTTTGCCCATTTTTAATGGGGTTATTTGTTCTTGTTGATTTAAGTTCCTTACAGATGCTGGATATTAGACCTTTATCAGATAAACCATTTGCAAACATTTTCTCCCATTAAGTAGTTGTCTGTTTGCTCTGTTGATAGTTTATTTTGCTGTGCAGAAGCTCTTTAGTTTAATCAGGTATCATTTGTCAATATTTGTTTTTGGTTGCAATCGCTTTTGGGGACTCAGCCAAAAATTCTTTACCAAAGCAGATGTCAAAAAGGGTATTTCCTAGGTTTTCATCTATGATTTTTAGTTTGAGGTCTTACATTAAAATTTTTAAAGCATGTGATATATTTTTTACCATCTTTTTATTTTCAAACAAGTGGTCTTTGAATCTGAAGCAATTTGGGTCTGATACATTTGCCATTAATATATTGTTGGTATAACTGGATTTTAAGTTTGCCATTTTACTATGTATATTTATATGTCTTAGGTGTTTGTTGTTCCTCCTATCTTCTTTTGTGTTTAGAAAATATTTTTAGCATTAATATTTTAAGTCCTCTGTTACTTTTTCTGAGTAATTTCTTAGCGGTAGTTGGAGGGATTACAATATGCATATTAACTTATCATCTATTTCAGGTTAATATTGATTAAATTCCAGTAAAATACAGCTCATTGATTGAATATACTGGCATCTGCTACCTACTCCTTTGAGTTATTATCTTCCTATGTATTACCAATTTAAAAATACCTTGTCATTATTTTAAAAAAAAAAACACACAGGAAAAAGCCTTCCCCTATGAAAGCCAATTTTAAAAATTAGAAGTGGGCCGGGCATGGTGGCTCACGCCTATAATCCCAGCACTTTGGGAGGCCAAGGCGGGTAGATCACGAGCTCAAGAGATCGAGACCATCCTGGCCAACATGGTGAAACCTCGTCTCTACTAAAAACACAAAAATTAGCTGGGCGTGGTGGCACACACCTGTAGTCCCAGATGCTCGGGAGGCTGAGCAGAAGAATCACTTAAACCTGGGAGGCAGAGGTTGCAGTGAACTGAGATCGCACCACTGCACCACTCCAACCTGGCAACAGACCGAGACTTCGTCTCAAGAAAAAAAAAATTAGAAGTGTTATACCTGATGCACAGACATCAATGAAAGGACACAAGAAATATGAAAAAGCAAGGAAATATGACACCTCCAAAGAAACACAATCTTCCAACAATAGGTTTTAACCCCCCCAAAAAATGTATAAAATGCCTGAAAAAGAATTGAAAAATAATGATATTAAAGAAGCCCAGTGAGATACAAGCAGACACAGACAACATTACAAAGAAATAAGAAAAACAATTCAGGATATGAAAAAGAAATTCACCAAAGAGATAGATCTCATAAGAAAGAACCAAACAGAAATCCATAAACTGAATAACTCAATGAATGACATAAAAATACAAGTGAGTCCAGGTGCAGTGGCTCACGCCTGTAATCCCAGCACTTTGGGAGGCTGAGGCGGGTGGATCACGAGGTCAGGAGATCGGGACCATCCTGGCTAACATGGTGAAACTCCGTCTCTACTAAAAAATACACAAAATTAGTTGGGCATTGTGGCGGGTGCCTGTAGTCCCAGCTACTCAGGAGGCTGAGGCAGGAGAATACCGTAAACCCGGGATGCGGAGCTTGCAGTGAGCCAAGATCGCGCCACTGCACTCCAGCGTGGGTGACAGAGCAAGACTCCATCTCAAAAAAAAAAAAAAAAAAATTGAGAAGCTTCAACAATAGACTAGATGAAACAGAAGAAAGAGATTTCAGTTTGACAGACAGGCCTTTCAAACTAACCCAGTCAGACAAAAGAAAAAGAAAAAGAAAAAAAGAATGAAGAAAGACAGGTTGGGTACAAATGTACACTCAGATCAAAGGAATAAGTTCTAACATTCCATAGTAGAGTGACAATAGTTAACAACAATACCTGGTACATTTAAAAACAGCTAGTAGTGAAGACTTAAAATGTTCTCTACACATAGAAATGCTAAGTGCTCATGGTGATATATATCCTAAATACCCTGATTTGATGATTAGACGTTCTATGCATATAACAAAATATCACATGTACCCCAAAAATTTGTACAAATATTATGTATCAATTTTTTAAAGATAACCAAATGGCCAATAAGCAAATGAGAAGAGGCTTAACATCACTATTCCTTAGGTAAATGCAAATTAAAACCATGATGAGATACTACTTTGCACTCATTAGGATGGCCATTTACATCATTAGGATGGCCATTATTTTTAAAAAGAAAAATAACTAGTGTTGGGGTAAGGATATACGAGAAATTGAGACCCTTATCCATCATTGGACGTTCACTGGTGGGAATTTAAAATGGTCCAGCCACTGTGAAAAATAGCTTGGTAATTCCTCAAAAAATTAAATATAGAATTACCATATGATCCAGCAATTTGACTTTTAGGTACATAACCAAAAGTATTACAAGTAGAGACTCAATTAGAAATGTGTACACCAATGTTCACACAAGCATTATTCAAAATTGGCGAAAGGTGGCGGGGCACGGTAGCTCATGCTTGTAATCCCAGCACTTTGGGACACCAAGGCAGGCAGATCACTTGAGGTCAGGAGTTTGAGACCAGCCTAGCCAACATAGCGAAACCTTGTCTCTACAAAAAATACAAGAATTAGCCAGACATGGTGGCAGATGCCTGTAATCCAGCTACTTGGGAGGCTGAGGCAAGAGAATCGCTTGAACCCAAGAGGCAGCAGTTGCAGTGGGCCAACATTGTGCCACTGCACTCCAGCCTTGGTAACAGAGCAAGACTCCATTTCAATAAAAAAAAAAAAATTGGCAAAAGGTAGAAGTAAGCCAAATGTCCATCAATAAGTAAATGGATAAACAAAATGTAGTATACACATTCAGTGGAATATTATGGAGCCTTTAAAAAGTATGAAATTCTGATATATGTTACGACAGGTATGAACCTTGAAAATATTATGCTAAGTGAAATAAACCAGACACAAAAGGATGAATACTGTAGGATTGCACTATGTGATATACCTAGAAACAGGCAAATTCAAACACAGAAAGTAGAATGCTGGTTACCAGGGCCTGGGAAACAGAGTACTGGGAAGTTATTGTTTAATGGGCAGAGACTTTCAGTTTCAGATGGTGAAAAAGTTTTGGAAAGGGATAGTGCCTGTACTGATAATTATATAACACTACAAATGTACTTAATGCCACTAAAATGTACATTTTATATTGTTAAATAATATTATATTGTTTGCATATACCACATTTTATTTATCCACCCATTCATCAGTTGATGAATATTTAGATTTTTTTCTACTTTTTGGCTATTGCAAACAATGCTGCAAATATTCAGAGTTTTATCGTAGATATATATTAGTCATATAACTCTGTTTAACATTTTGGGAAGAACTTTGAAACTCTTTTACAAAGTGAATGCACAATTCTGACTAGCAGGTTAGAAGGGTCCCAATTTCTGCTTATCAGCCACAGGTATATCTTTTTCAAAGAAATGTTTATTCAAATCCATTGCTCATTGAAAATTAGGTAGTCTTTTTATTTTTGAGTTATAAGAGTTCTTCACATATTGTGAATACTGGTACCTTATCAAAAATATGATTTACAAATATTTTCTCCCCTTCTGTGAGTTGTCTTTTCATTTTCTTGATTGTGTCCACTGTAGCATAAATTTTGATTTTTATAAAGTTCAATTTATGTCCCCATTTTTTAAAATATAAAAATATTAAGTATTTCTTACACACACATCGGTCAACACACATCAGATGATGTTACAATTTCTAACGCAATCATCAAATATAATCTTATAAATTCATTAAAAAGGATATCTCACATATACCTTTATTTTTACCCACCCCATTGTTGTTCTTTCATTTTTGAAGTTCTAAGCCTTCTTTTATTGTCATTTCCTTGGAAAACTTTTTGCCATTTTTAAGAGTTGATCTGCGAGTGATAGGTTCTCTTAGTTTTCCTTTTTCTAAGAATGCCTTTATTTCCCTTTCATTTCTGAAGTATATTTTCACTACAAATGGAATTTGGGGCTACCAGTTCATTTATTTCAGTACTTTAAAGATATTGTACCACTTTCTTCAGCTTCCATGGATTCAGTTGGGAAATCTGCTGTCTATCATACAGTGCTGGTGGGAATATAAAATAGCACAGGCACTTTGGAAAATAGTTGCACATTTCCTTTCTAAAAGTGCACTTATACAACTCAGCAATACTCTTGGGCATTTACAGAGAAATGAAAACATATCCACATTAAAAACCTTTACACAAATGATCACGACAGCTTTATTCATAATAGAAAAATGCTAGAAACAGTGCAAATGTCCTTCAAGGGGTGAATAATTGAACAAACTGACACATTCATACAATGGAATACAACAGAGTGATTGAAAAGTACAAACTACAGCTGGGCGCGGTGGCTCACACCTGTAATTCCAGCCCTTTGGGAGGCTGAGGTGGGCAGATCACGAGGTCAGGAGATTGAGACCATCCTGGCTAACATGGCGAAACCCCGTCTCTACTAAAAAATACATAAAATTAGCTAGGTGTGGTGGCGGGCACCTGTAGTCCCAGCTACTCAGGAGGCTGAGACAGGAGAATGGCATGAACCCAGGAGGCAGAGCTTGCAGTGAGCCAAGATCGCGCCACTGCACTCCAGCCTGGGCGACAGAGTGAGACTCTGTCTCAAAAAAAAAAAAAGAAAAGAAAAAAAGTACGAACTACATGCTGCAACCTGAATGGACTTCAAAGACAATATATTTAGTGTAAAAAGTCCATCTTAAAATATTACATAATGTATTATTCAATTTGCATAACGTTGTCAGAGTCATAAAACTATAGAGATGGAAAACAGATTAGTGGTTATCAGGAAAAAGGGATGGGGTGGGATGAGGGATGCTCATGAAATACAAAGAAGTATGCGTTGATGAAACAGTTTAGAACAGTCCTGTATCTTAACTGTGGTGGGGGTTACATGAATGTATACATGGGATAAAATTTCACAGCCCTATACATGCCCACATAAACACACCAATGAATGCAGGTTAAACAAATAGAGAAAACTGATTAAGACCTGTAGCCTAGTTAACAGAGTGTATCATTGTCCATTTTCTGAGGTTTTTTTTGTTAACCCACATCACTCAGAAAATTTTCTTGTTTTGGTACTATACTATAGCTACAAAATACATCATCATTCAGGTTAAGCTGGAGGAAGTAAGATGAAAGGCATGTGCAACTCACTGTGAGTCTATAATTACTTCAAAATTAATAAAAATATAGAATATATTGCAAGCTTTTGAGCGGCTCAGTTTCTGATAAGTAAAACATGGTATCTCAGTTTTAATTTGCAGCTTTCTCATTAATAACAAGTGAAGTTATGGGTATATTTTATATCATTTACATGTATAGTTGACCTCTGAACAACTCATGTTTACAAGTGCTGACCCCCTGCACAGCTGAAAATCTGCATATGACTTTCCCTCCTCCAATACTTAACTACTAATAGCCTACTATTGACTGGAAGCCTAACTGATGACAAAAATTGTCAATTAACACATATTTCGTATGTTATGTATTACAGATTATATTCTTATAATAAAGTAAGAGAAAATATATTTACTGTTCATTAAGTGGAAGTGAATCAATTATAAAGGTCTTCAGTTTCATTGTCTTCACTACAGGTAGGCTAAGGAGGAGGAGGACAGGGAGGAAGAAAAGGGGTTGGTCTTGCTGTCTAAGGGCTGGTAGTGACAGAGAAAATCCACATATAAGTAGACCTGTGCAGTTCAAACCCATGTTGTTCAATGGTCAACCATATTTTATTTTCTCTGTGAAATATTTATTTCTATCTTTTGCCCATTTTTCTACTTTAAACTTTATCTACAAGATTCCCTTTCCTTTCATATATTATAACCCTACACCCTGTATGTTTCCTTCCAATACAACTGGCATTGAGTATTCAATTTGATGGCAATAATAAAGACAGAAGCCATCCAGCAAAAAGGCACATTAATCTTACCACTACGTAAGATTCTTTGAATGTTCTCTTTATGGACTTCACAAATATAAACAACCAGATACTTTTGGAAGAATCTTCTCCATTGCATCATCACCTAGCCTAAAACATTAAACCATTAATGTCAGAGATATTCCAGTATAATTTTCCTAAGACATGTAATCTTCACTCACCACTTATCACAGTAGGATGAACTCTTAAGTCTGTATTAACAACCTGACTACATTAAACAAAGCAGAGCCCATGAATTGATACAAGGTGGATAAGCCTTCATCACATGAACAAAACACCTCAGAAGCTATTAAATTATTATGAATAACACTTGTTCTCCAGGCAAGAAATAGCTCAGATTTATGTCATCATTCTGAAGCATTTTATTTCCATTAGAGATTTTGCCACATTGCTAACTTCAATTATATAAACGTGTAAAAAGCAAATTATACCACTTAACTTATTCTGGTCCAGAAATGCTTTTAAATAAAACATGAAAGTAACACAGATAAAAATGGATGCAAAGTCAATCAAATCCATTTCTTCTTAATACAGTTAACACACAATGATCCCATCACCATAAAATCAAACTAATCAATATGGCATCAGAAGGATGGTGAATCCGATTTTATATACTACAATTGTTAACACAAAAAAAATCATTATCAAAGGCTCAAGGGATTTAAACAGCAAAAGTCAATGTATTATCAGCTTTTCGTATACAATCTGAGTTGTATTTGGAAAAGGAAAAACATTACAGTTTAGGCTAAACATCAGCGGAAGGGGCTAAAAGCGATAAATCTAAGACATTAACCACTGCAGTTTTAATACAATCCAGCATAATCTAAAAACAGCCTGTACTCCAACTGAACTACTTATCAGAGACAAAAACATTTTATTGACAAAAAACAGATTCATGTTAATTAAAAGACAGAATTATAC
Source organism: Homo sapiens (assembly GCF_000001405.40). NCBI lineage: Eukaryota > Metazoa > Chordata > Mammalia > Primates > Hominidae > Homo > Homo sapiens. The sequence continues at coordinate 60,913,439 of NC_000017.11, read as the reverse complement.
TGCACAGATCTTGTTGCTTTACAAATTATATATATTTTTTAAAATGTACACACTAACTCACCTTTTATTGAAAATCAATTTCTTTCCTGTCCTCTAACAGAATTTTTTAATCAAGTTAAAATTTCAGAATATGTCATAAGTGGAAGATTGGGGCTACTAACCAGTAACAGAAAAGGTAGAATGTTCCATGTTGAACAACATTTAAGATTCTTAACTTTTAAAAGTTAACATTTCTATGATTCTTCTTAATAAACATATTTGTTTCAAGTGTTATCAATGCATTTATCACAGACAAATGAACTTTTGCAACTCTCCAATCTATAGTCCATTTCCATACTCCAAAATTAAGACTTCCTTTTTCAAGGTCATAAAAAGTTAATGAACTTAAAGAAAAAAATTAAACCACATTTTAAAACATAAGGCCTAAATGTCATGTTTTAATATAATTATATGTCCCCATACTTCCATTTAACAAAATAAATACGTGAATTACACTTCTATTTCATCAAAATTACTGAGATAACATTTTCTATTTTGAAATAATCCCAAATCTCTCCATCAACAAATGCTAGATCTTTAACAGATGTATGGTCCTAGACAATGTTGAGGAGAGTTGTTACTACCCAATAAATGTGGGTGGCCTTGTAGGTGAATTAATTAAAAATCAAAAAATCAAAGAACAAAAGGAATATTTTACTCTAACACTCACAACACTAAAAGTTTATACATTTCATTTCAATTAAAAAAGAGAACATTTGTGTTTATCCACATCAACTAATTAACACAAAGTCATTAAAGTCAACTGAAAAGTCTTCTAGCACTTCATTAAAAAAATACGAATCTGTAACACATTTGGCTAACCACAAAGTTAAGACAGGAGAGGCAGAGAATTATTACTCAGATTTCAAGTAAAATACAAGAGCCAAATTTAATAATCCAGAATTTCAAAGTTTTTTTGTTGTAATTGCAGAAAAACTTTCTTGAAACGCTGTTAATCTTACTATAGGAACTAGCATATAAGTAGCTGCCAAATGTAATTTTTCATCACAACACCAACCCATATATACTGGAAACAGATTTTCTCAAAACATATGCAATATTTAAGGCTAATACCTTAACAGCTCACATAGTTTCTAAGCATAGTGCTCTGAATATGGAATTAAATATATATTCTATATAAAAACTAAAAGAAATTTTATTTCACCAATACTGCCCTACTCCTATCTCATTCTAGGAATTGATTCTAGATTGTATTTTTATATCAATGATCACACACTATCAGAATAAAAAAATTACCTTCCTTTAAGAAACGTATATTTAAAATGAAGACTATGACACAAAAGAAAATAGAGTTTATGAGTGCATGGGGGAAAAACAGCCCAAATGATACCTTACCAGCAAGATTTATAAGCAAATGTAACATGTATTTCTGTACTTATAATCACTCATTGTAAATGTTTCTGAAGCTAGATTTTTAAAATTACAGAACACTGTATCTGAAGATACAAGATTTTATAATAAGCTACTGCCATGTATGTATTCTTATATGCTACTTTAAGATTTCACATATTTTTATATTGATAAGAAAACATCTGTTATAAATTTTGATACTACTCAGTAAATTGTGTAAGTTGCAACTATTAATTAATTTGTTTATAAATTCCTCCAAATAGGTATGGTCCTGCCTTTAAAACAAAATTTACGTGGCTGGGCGCAGTGGCTCATGCCTGTAATCCTAGCATTTTGGGAGGCCGAGACGGGCATATCACCTGAGGCCAGGGGTTCAAGACCAGCCAGGCCAACACGGCGAAACCGCGTCTCTACCAAAAATACAAAAATTAAGGCTGGGCGCGGTGGCTCATGCCTGTAATCCCAGCACTTTGGGAGGCCAAGGCGGACAGATCACTTGAGGTCAGGAGTCCGAGACCAGCCTGGCCAACACGGAGAAACTCAACTCTACTAAAAAATACAAAAGTCAGCTGGGCATGGAGGCACGCACCTACATCCCAGCTACCTGGAAGGCTGAGGCAGGAGAATTGCTTGAACCCAGGAGGTGGAGGTTTCAGTGAGCCAAGATCGTGCCACTGCACTCTAGCTTGGGCGACAGAGCAAGACTCTGTCTCAATAAATAAATAATAAAAATACAAAAATTAGCTGGGTGTGGTGGCACATGCCTATAATCCCAGCTACTCGGGAGGCTGAGGCAGGAGAATCCGCTGAATCCAGGAGGCAGAGATTGCAGTGAGCTGAGATCACTCCACTGCACTCCAACCTGGGCAACAGAGTGATGCTCCATCTCAAAAAAAAAAAAAAAAAGAAAGAAAAAAAGAAAAAAATTTATTAATCTTACAATTTAGGTTATGACAAATGTCATTACACACAAAAAAGAAACAATAACTGAGTCTCTAGGGTAGCAAGTTAAGAAAAAAAAGAATATTATGAACAGAACAGTATTAAATGTTATATAATTATTTATTTATGAAACAAATGTCCTCACAGATAAGAGAATCTCTTAGAACCTCGACTTTACCTTCAGGTTTGATGCATTAATAATGTTCAAAACAGCAGGTTCTAACATGTTACTAATCATTTTTAAAGAAAAACCTCATTTGAAATAATCTGAATTCCTAAAATTCCAAATTGATAATCTCCTAGGCCAAATACATTTTGACTAATCTTGATCTTAGCCCCATCTTTGCAAGTAACACACATGGTACGCACCAAAAGTTCTTCTTACCTGGCCCTCTCCAACGGTTTCGGTGTCAATAACTGTGATGATGCCTGGGACCAAAGGACTCCGCCGTGAATTACTGTGGATGGCAACATCATCTTCTGTCACACCTGAAGGCAGTGTGCCTGTCAGCTGAGTCACCACTTTCCCTACCATTGTCAGGCCACTTTTCAATGTCTGTACAATGAAAGGTAAAATGTATGACTTCACATCAGTATTTGGATTCTACATAGAAATACGCATTTTATTAATTTTCCTAATCATTATGTTATTTATTCTCTTACAATCTTTTATAGCAGTAAACTGTCACAGACATTCAGTCTGACTTTTAATGATCTTGAATTTTAATTAGAATATCAGTATTAGTTTGAGGGAATGGCATCAGTAAAGTCTCTAAAGTCACCATGGCAGGCATAAAGCCATAGTTAAAAAAATTAAAGAGCTCTGTTTTACATAAGGGTACAATTATATTTTTATAGAAGATATTTCTTTCATTCCCTCCTCTTAATGTATACATCTTAAAATCAATGACATAGGAAGAAGTAGAAACTATGAAATGGTCAATTCTTTGAAATATTATAACTCTAATTGTATACCTATTTCTAGTATGAAAAAGACTGAGACACTGGTAGAATACCTATGTGGAAAAGAATGTGCTTCCAAAGCAAATCTATGAATATGCTGTTATATAATACTGTATACCAAGATTTGGCATATGGAAAACACAATCTCTGTCCAAGATATTAATCACTGGATGAATGAAGTATCATACTAAATTAGTTAAGAGAGTTATTTTCTATCTGGTAACAGAAAACAATTAAATGTGGTGCTCCTACTATATTATTTCAATTAAAGATAACTTAAGATGTTTATAATTACATTTTAGCTCCATTTCATTCAAAACATATAAGTAAAACTAACTCGTGAAATATTTTTTCTTCTATGTGAATATCCTCTGATTATCTTCATATGCATTAATAGAAACATTTTTCTAAATAACAAGTTTTTTCATCTGAAAGGAAGAAAGCTTCAAGTTTCTGAGTCTACAGAAAAAGAAATGAAAGGAAGAAAGCTAAAATAAAGACAAATACTTGTGAGTCACACATTGCTGAAGAAGGGTATCATCATTAGAACAAAAACAGGCACCCTAGAATACTTAGACACATCAAAAATTACATTTTAAATAATATAGGTACATTTTTCCAATTCTCATGTTGTAAGAAAAAAAGTTTCATTAAAATATTTCAAATTAATCTTCAATGAGGTGACTATCTTTTCTAAAACAATTATGAAAAAAAAATCCTTACCTAATTCTGGCACATGCTATGGCTAAATTTGAAAATATAAACTATTATATACATGGTATTTCAAATTTTAATTCATAAATAGTACACAAAGACAGTTGTGTATAGAGGTCTAAATGTGATGTAAGCAATAATTAGATTAAAACTGAAAATGGGAGAAGTATTTTCCAAAGAAGTGTTCTATTAAAATACCATAAAACTAGCACTAATAATAGATGCATTATTTTATGGTAGCTATGTTTCCACGGTGGCTTTTCTATGGACTAGGGACTGGTAAAGGCACTTAACATAAACTATGTTGATAGATTTCCTCAGATACTTCAATTTTATGAAAGAGAAAATCGAGGCTAGGGAAGTTAAGTAAAATGGAAGCTCAAACAGTTACCCAATGACAAAGTCAGAATTCAAAACTGGGACCATCTGTCTCCAGGGCCTGATTTTTACACTATCCTGTACTGCCTTGTAATCTATTTCTGTTACTACTTGTGATCTCACAGTTAATGAATACAAAACACAGATGTCTGAAAGGTGGAAAACAGGAAAAATTAAAATCCATAATAATATACTAATAAATACTTAAATAAAAATGACCAGCAAAGCCATATGCTGAATTCAAATAAAAAGATATAATTTAACAGCAGACTAAAACCAAGAGAAAGCCACAAATCAATTGTAACTGTTTTGTTTAGTGCTAAAAACTCAAACTCCCGCGATTATAAAACACATCAACGTTCCTCAATTAGCAGCCAAACATTTCTTTCAATAATTCACAAGAAATGACTTACACAAAGTCTGTTGGAGTGTTGTCAAGTAAGCCTCTGAAGGACCAACAGATTCAGGCGCCACAGTGTATTGATGTCAAGAGCAGGCCAGGAAGCCTGATTAACCTCTGAGATGCCTTAACTGATGTACTCACTCCATTAATGCTAATGGAGATGCTCCCACTTAAACACAGCTATCCCTTTATCAAAGGAATGCCTTTTAGTTTTAAAGTCTTTGGTTGTATATCCTCCCCATTTGCCCCTGAGCCTATTATTTCATGCTCTTATACCAATGAAAAGGAATAAAACTAAAAGAACTGGAGCACATAAAAAGTGGAAAGTAATGTGTACCAAAGCAAACCACAACAGTAAAAGTTAACATAAGAGAACCAGGAAAAAGATCCACAGAGAGAAGACAGCAGTAGATTTCATAGTCAACAGCTCATATTACATGAAGAGTGTTTGATATTTCCTAGGGAAAAAAAAAACATGACTATTGATGGAGTTGTCTTAGTAGTGGACAAAAATCTAAACTCAAAATTTAAGTCATCAAATATGCAATTTGTATAGCAAGTTACAAGATACTACTATTTATCATAACCCATTAACTATGCAGGGAGTCAGGGGTGTTAGAGAAAAGTGCTGGAAGTTTTCTGCATTTGTAAAGACCCTTGCTTTTAGGGTAAATTTGTTTCCATGTTAGCATCAAGCACATCTATGAGCACTAGTGTCCAGAAGTTAACTGATAATGTTATTTAACGGAAATCTAAATCACCTCACAGTAATTTGTCTCTCCAATTAATTTTAGTAGACAGAGTATGTATATATCTGACTATTTTCTCAAATATATATGAAAAATTATAAAGCCTCAGCAAAAATTAGGAATAGAGAAGTATAACCTGGCCAAAAGGAGATGAAAAATTAGACTAAGTGTCCTCACAATCTGAGGTATCTACATAAAAATGTTCATTAAATCACTGATGAATCTTCACACAAGTACTCACAGAACTAAACTGTAGCTGTAAGACAGCTGAACATGACAGACTATAACGAAAGTGTGAGAAAATCCGTTATGACCTATAATTCAAATGAGCATGGTACTTATTCTGTTCTGCTGCAAGCAGATTTGCCGAAGGGTCACTAGTCATCTTTAACCTTTCCCATGCCATATCAGTTGGCCTCCCTATCCATTAGTGCTAATGGTGCTGCTCTCACAAAAGCTGTTAGTTGTCATTAGGAAGTTATCAGATAACAAGAGAAAACAGGGGCATTTTTATTAAATCAATTGACCACACTGGTAACACACATGAAAATAAGACGGTAATGAGGGAACTAGAAAATATGGACCAAGATTTTATAAATGTGTCAAATAATCTCATTTGAACAATTTCAATATTTTTTATCACTACCATAAAAAATTCATGACTCTCATATTCTTTATGAGAAAAGTCAAATTACTTGGAAAATCAAAGGAAAAAACATTAATAGCATAAATATTATGCAAGTTGTATTTGGAAATGCAGAAAATGTAAAAAAGATTATTTCCTCTAAGGAGCTCCAAGTACATATGCAATGAATATATTTATCCTCACAATTGCAGTGAGACAAAAAATTTAAGACAAAAAAATTAATAATTCATCCTTCTATATAACAAAGTGGTTAATAACCTCTATTAAGCCACAAGGGAAGCTGTCATCGGAAAGAGTAAAAGAGTAATGATTACACTTTCAGAGAAAGTGACTTAATAAAGTAACTGTAAAATTACTTAAGTATTTTTCTTAAGGAGCACATACTACATGGCTTTTTAACGTGCTCTCCATGTTGTATCTCAAAAAATATATCACCTAGAAATGGTTAAAAAATAAATAAGAAAATATGTTTTCTATTTTCAATAATGACAGGTTGGGGAAATCAGATCAATCTGATTTCCACTAATGAGAACAACTAGGAAAATCGAAGAGAATATTTTTGTAAAATGCTGCTTGAAGGTACTGAGTTACAAAGTCAGAATCCGAAAGAATAAGGAAATCCAGACATTTCAGCTAGGCATTTAGGCCTAGAGGTATCTGGTGATTCTAGGAAGCAGGAGGTAGGGTGCTAAGAAACTAAGTGGTGTTTTTGATAGATGGAACTAGAAAATCATCTATGAGAGTCAAAGCCCTGCCAAATGGGTCTACTTGGTGACATTCCCTCCAAGCTTGGGTTTGAACATAAAGAAATATACAATAGAAGAGTCCACCTACAGCAATAAGGTGACCACAGCTATTGCAGGTGAACTTCACTCAAATAATCTCAATCCCTGAAATTGGATTATTATTCAAGACTGATACTGTCCCAGAACTCCACTGTCATCCCAAACTCAAAACTATTTTCTAAAAAGTTTTGAAATAAATTCTGGCAAACAAGTGATAACAGGAGTTAAAAAGAAATTATTTAGGCAGTTAGTGAGAGTAAGAGAGTCCTCAGCAAGGTTTTCCTTTAAATAAAAATCAGCCCCCAAATAATTTCTTTTCTAACAAAAAGCAGCCTGAAAGATCAAGCTGCAAGCATAGATAAGCAAGCTGGAAGCTTGCATAGGTGAATGCCAGCAGCTGTGCCAATAGAAAAGGGATATCTGGAAGTCAGGTATATTCAACCGAGAGGTTCCCTCTTACCTTTTCTTTGTAACCACATGTGCAGGCAACATGGCACCAGCCAGGTAGAGACTCCATTTGCATAATAAAAGATTATGGTGGGATAGCCAGCCTCTACACATGCTATGCAAATGACACACCTGGTCCAACCAACCCACTACACCCTATGTAAATCAAACATGACCTCCTCAAGCTCATCTATAAAACCAATCACATCTCGCCCCAATCCTGAAACCCGCTCAGGCCCCCTCTCTCTGCAGGAGGAAGCTCTCTTCTTTCTTCATCTATGAAACTTCCACTCTTAAACCCATTCCTTGTGTGTCCGCGTCTTCAATTTCCTTGGCATGAGACAACAAACTTCGGGTATTACCCCAGACAAATGACACCGCTTCACAAGGACTCAAGTCATAATAAATGAGAACGAGCAGAAACAACACACAAGAGAAATGGACCCAAAAGGGAACCAGACATTAGAGTTATCAGAAACAGACTTCAGTATGACCAGGTTTACTGTGTTTAAACAAGTTTGATAATTTGAGAAAAATTTAAAAACCAAGAGAACCAGAAACTATCTGTATTTATTAAGATTTTATCAATGAATATATTTTCAATTTTATCAAATACTTTTTGTTCATCTATTGTGATAAGCATATAATTTTCTCCTGTTAAATGTGCAAATTATGCTCATTGATCTTGAGTGATAAACCAGCTTATATTGTGGATTATCTCAAATGGATTGTGACACAATATATAGCGTCCTATATACTGAAGAATTGTGTCCTATATATTCTTATCCCAAGTGGATTGTGACACAGCATATATTGTGTCCTATATATTATACTATAATTATGTCCATATATTCTTATTCCAAATGGACTGTGACACAATATATATGGTATCCTATATAATGCTGTTTTTCTGCAAATATTTTATTTAGGATTTTTCACATCTATGTTCATTGATTTGGACTGTAGTGTTCTTGTATTATAATGCTCTTCTAAAGTTTTAGTATTAAGGTGATCTGGCTTCATCAAACCAGATTAGGCATAATCTGACTTTGCTTATTCACTGGAAGAGTCTTTGTAATATTGCCATTGTTTATTCTTAAATATTAAAAAGAATTCTCTAGAGAAGTTTTCTAGGTCTGGAGACATCTTTGTGAGTTTTTTAAAAATAACCCTTATATTCTCCCAAAAAGAAAAGTAAACAGATTGCAGTGACGCAATCATGGCTCACTGTAGCCTCGGCCTCCAATGCTCAAGCAATCTTCCCACCTTAGCCTCTGGAGTAGCTGGGACAACAGGCATGTACCATCACACTCAGATAATTTTTAAATTTTTTTGTAGAGACAGGGTCTCACTATATTGCCTCAGCTGGTCTCAAATTCCTGAGCTCATGTGATCCTCCCACCTCAGCCTCCCAGAATGCTGGTATTACAGGCACGAGGCACAGCATCCAGCCCTAAAGTGTTATATTAAACATAATTTCATAGTCTTAAATGTGGAAGACATGAGTATATGCCTCACAGTTCCCAATATTGAGGTATGAGAAAATGGGGAGTTTGCATTTTTTTTGTTGTTTTGTTTGTTTGTTTGTTTGTTTGTTTTGAGACAGAGTCTCGCTGTGTCGCCCAGGCTGGAGTACAGTGGCGTGATCTCAGCTCACTGAAACCTCCGCCTCCTGGGTTCAAGCAATTCTCCTGCCTCAGCCTCCTGAGTAGCTGGGACTACAGGCACCCGCCACCATGCCCAGCTAATATTTGTATTTTTAGTAGAGACGGGGTTTCACTATGTTGGCCAGGCTGATCTTGAACTCCTGACCTCATGATCCGCCCACCTCAGCCTCCCAAAGTGCTGGGATTACAGGCATGAGCCACAGCGCCCAGCCCTGCACTTATTTTTAAAACATCTTAAGTCCAGCCTCACTCCAGCATGTCCACAGCAAAACATGGAATGAAGATCACTTTCTTTTTATATAAGCACATAAACACATAAGAATAGCAAACAGGAGCTGAAAAGTTATCCTCCATTCCATAACTAAAAATTACTGAAAATGATCATAAGCTAAACTATCGTGACCCATGTGTATGAGATAGACAAGTCTAAAAGGAGTCTAATACTTGAGAAAAAGATCTCGTTGTATTTTGTGGATAAATGAGTAGACTAATACTGAAGATGTTTTCTAAATACTCTCTCTCAGCTCTTCATTGAAATAACCATCATAATTTTTCTATACACAATGGAGAAAAGTAAGCAATCTTTATTAAGATTTCTGCAATTGCTGGGTGCGGTGATGCACACCTGTAACCCCAGCACTTTGGGAGGCTGAGGTGGGTGGATTGCTTAAGCTCAGAAGTTCAAGACCAGCCTGCGTAACATGGCAAAACCCTGTCTCTACAAACCAGGCGTGGCGGCATGCGCCCGTAGTCCCAGCTACTTGGAAGGCTGAGGTGGGTGTTCACTCCTGCCTGAGCAACAGAGCGAGACCCTGTCTTAAGAAAAGAAAAAAGATTTCTGAAATCTAAAAACTCATAGTGCTATAGGCATAAAGACCTAATGGTTAATTCCCTTTTGGGTGAAAAATATGTAATGCTTCTCTCATCAAACCAAGGAACACATTCTGAAGCGCATCATGTAAGCGTCTGTGATCAAATATGAAGTATTTTTGTATTTGTTTTACATAAAACAGTGTGACCTTTGATTCCCACTCTGTGGTTTGCTTTAAACTGTTGTTCTTTTCTGAATGGTTGTGCTTTCTATTATATGTTGTCTTTTAGATTCACTCTGTCATTCCTATTATTAGAATTGTTTTGTTGTATACTTCACAATTCTAAAGGATAGTGGTTACAAGAATACCTTATAATCAGCATAAAGTTTACCAGACATCATCAAAATTAACCCTCACACACATGAAAAAAAGAGCTCACTTGACAAACATGAAGGGGCAGCCCCTTGATATAAAAGAATCTTTGAATGTGACGAGGGACTGACTCAAGTTTTCATAGGGAATAATATTCTTTTCATGAGAAGAAGACTCTGAAATGTTCAAAGATGCAAAGGGATGTCAGTGTAGGCAGAACGATGCAAATCACAGAGAATCCAGAAGTCACTGTTTAAAACATGGAAAGCTTCTTCCAAATGTGGTATTAATTAGGTAACAGTCTTGAAGCTAGTTAACAGACTTAAAATCTTTAAAATTGGATAAGTACAAGCACTACAATCATTACAATAGAAAATATAATTCAGGAGAGAAATCTGAACAATTACTACACATAACCACAACTCTCCAAGATTTCGGAGGTACTCACTTTAGCAGCACTAATGACTGTGGCAGTATAAGACTGAATGTTGTCTCCACAGGCTCCACCACGGGACTGATGACATCGAATCAACTGAGAAAAAGAGAGAGAGAGAAGCAGAACGTCATTTCTATTAATCTGTTTAACTCTACAGGCTATCAGGATAGAGCTTATTTTCCGTGAACAGTGATGGTGATGGGTGGGAATGTTTGCATGAGTGTATTTCAGACAAACAGCTAAAAGCTTTGCCGAGACACTTCTACCCCTTTTTATAATCTACTGGTGCCACTCAGGCAGTTTCATGCTCAACTACGGTTTTCATTACAAGAAGAATGGTCTTTAAGAATCCATAAACTCTGAAATGGTAGGATTGGGGTCTGGTGGCCTTTCCACAAATAAATTTTAAAAACGTAATCAAAGGACTTACACATGACTTCCTAACTTAAATATCTGACATGCTAACAAATTAGATGTTTTATCCTGTTAACTCCTCCACAAAGATTATAAAAGAAAACATAAAAAGTAGACAAAAGATTTTGCCATATTTATATTTTCAATTGTGTCAGTGGAAAAGCATTACAAATTACGCATAAATCAACTATGACAAGTATATTAGCTGTCCACTTCAGAGAGCTTAAACTTTTACCATTAGGAATGAAAAAGACATATCCTTATTTGTGACTGACATAAATAAAGCAAACTGCCAATTTTCAAAATGAATCACTACTTTGATATGCATGATTATTTCACATGCTACGCAATAAACCAGGATTAAATTCTCCACTGGTCCTCTACTTCCTATATTTAGCAAAAAATGTCATTAGCCAGATTTGTATGTTTAACATTTTTAAAAAACAAAATGACAAGGGTAGAGTATTAGAACTGCACCACATTATGAGTTTTTTAGAACCTCTGGAATTCACGAAGAATCTATATCTCACAAAAAGTAAAAATTAAAAATGCTTTACATTGTTTAAAACCAGGTCCTCTGATGAAGACTGATATGTAATCCTTTTATTCTTAATTCAAAATTTTCTTCATCACTGACATTGTTATTTTAAACATCCCTGAAAGCAATAGTAATATATTATAATAGAATGGAACACCCTTAAAAGTATGATATGCAAAGTCAAGATTTTTTTAAGCAATCTCTGTTACATCACACTGAATGACTGCTTAAATAGATTTGAAAGAGAGAAGTGAGGAATTTTCCAAATGTCAGGTGATCATCAAATGTGGTTTCACATAGAGTACAATAAAGAATTTGAAAAGTGATCATTTTAGCAAATAAAAAGAATCTCTCTCTTGCTCACTCATTCATCCACAAATACACATTCAAATAATTATGAAAATTATTCCTCTGCTGCCTCCTGCTGCATAAGCAAGAAAAGAAAGGCTATTACTTATTCCCTGCTTCTGGTAATTAAAATACTCAAGGACAAATATGTAAAAAACAACAACAACAACAACAACACTCTTACCTTTCTTTTTTTTTTTTTTAAGAGACAGAGTCTCACTCCGTCACCCAGGCTGGAGTGCAGTGGTATGATTTCAGCTCACTGAAACCTCTGCCTCTTGGGTTCAGGTAATTCTCCCGCCTCGGCCTCCCAAGTAGCTGGGATTACAGGCACATGCCACCACGCCTGGATTTTTTTTGTTTATTTTTAGTAGAGACGAGGTTTCCCCATGTTGGCCAGGCTGGTCTCAAACTCCTGGCCTCAAGTGATGCACCAGTCTTAGCCTCCCAAAGTGCCAGGATTACAGGAGTGAGCCACCACGCCCAGCCCTATTCTTACCTTTCAAATTCAACTACAACTGAGTCAGCAGTTCTACACAAAAGTAACTAAGTCAGAAATTTTGGTCTAAATTTAGAATCATCAGAAAATTACATTTGTATCTTGGTTCAACAAAATCAAAGATGAGTCAGAATTTTGCACTATAGAAATAGTGCAAAATTCTATCAAATGAACTAATTTCCAGGAAATATTGTTAAGCAAAAGAAAAAAAAAAGCAGTTTGCCAAAGAGCATATATACGTTATCATTTGTGAATGAAAGGGATATAGACTTTGGTCAAACACCATTTCATGCTCACCTCTTCCACTTAGAAGAACCAAAATAGTGCATAGAGAATCACACTTCAAATACACTGTCCAAGGTAAAACACTGGAATTCAACAGAGAACTAACAGGAAACACCAAAAGTGGGTAGGAGAAGGAAGACAAGTAGCCTGCTTGGCTAGGATAGGCTGGGAGCTGGGAGTGGCTTCCCAACACAAGGCAAGGGTAAGTAAGAGAATTCCAGCGGCCCACATCCCCAACCATGGAACCATGCAATCTTAGCCAGGAAAGAGACCCTCTACCCTCCCAGGCCCTGAAACTTAACATAGGGAGCTGCCAGGAGACTCTCCAACAGAACTGCTCCAGGGAGGGAGCTTGTACTGGGTCCTATACACTTTCTGATACCTAAGTGGCTATAGCAAGACAATATTTTCTTTTTCTTTTCTTTCTTTCTTTTTTTTTTTTTTTAAGAGACAGCGTCTCACTATGTTGCACAGGCTGGAGTGCAATATTCATAGGTGCAATCCCACTACTGATCAGCATGGGAATTTTGACCTGCTCTATTTCCAACCTGGGCTGGTTCACCCCTCCTTAGGCAACCTGGTGGTCCCCTACTCCTATGAGGTCACCATATTGATGCTGAACTTAGTGCAGACACCTGATTGGCATAGTGCACTACAGCCCAGAGCTCCTGAACTCAAGCAATCTTCCTACCTCTGCCTCCCAAGTAGCTGGAACTACAGGCACAAGCCACCATGCCCAGCAAGACATCATTTTCAAACCTGGTTTTTGGCAGATGGCATGCTGCTCTGGGGCCTAGCAGCACTGGGACTGAGGTGTTAAAAAAAAAAAAATCAGGGGCCTGGAGTGGTGGCTCACACCTGTAACCTCAGCATTTTGGGAGGCTGAGGTGGGCAGATCACAAGGTCAGGAGTTAGAGACCAGCTTGGTCAACATGGTGAAACCCTGTCTCTATGAAAAATACAAAAATTAGCCAGGCATGGTGGTGCATGCCTATAATCCTAGCTACTCAGGAGGCTGAGGCAGGAGAACTGCTTGAACCCAGGAAGTGGAGGTTTCAGTGAGCCAAGATTGCGCCACTGCACTCCAGCCTGGGCAACAGAGCGAGACTCCATCTCAGGAAAAAAAAAATCTCAGGCTGTCACTGCTGGGACTAGGGTGTGATCTGGGCTCATTCCCGCACTAGGGGCTGAGAATCGAGTAAAGCATTGGCTGTAGCAGCTACCAATGCAGGGAAGCAAGTGCTGCCAGGCCAGAGACTGAGACATGAGCAGGCATGAGTTGCCACTAAGACTTGGTTGCGAGCTGGGCAGAGGCTCCTGCAGCCAGGGATGGGGGTGAGACAGGTATATGCCATTGCCACCGGGACTGGGGGGTGAGCCCCACTGGGACTGGGGTGTGAAAGAGACACATTTTCCCCACCTACCAGCCTAGCTGTGGCCACTGAGGCCAGACCTACCCTCTCCATAAGCAGCCTCAGGGCCCCTCACCCAAAAACTGATCCTAGGATTACCCTGTCCCCACCCACCATGGCTGGTATCTGCTCTCATCATTGGGGAGCCTGAGAACAAGCCCACCCAGCCTAGTTCTGCCTTCAACCCCCAAAGACAGAACTCATAACCCAGGGTCCTTGGGACTGCCCAAACCAATCCACTTCTTTGGGTACATAAGCACTCCTCCAGGGGGTCTGAGGTTGGGCCTTATCTCCCTGCCACTGCCTCAAAAGCTGGCACCTACCTGCAAGCTCCAACCACAGGCCTGGAGACTACCTCCCGAACCCCCAGACCACTGCAGCCACCACCAACATCAACACACGCCACTAGGAACAAAAATAATTATCTTGCCACTGCTACCGTTATCACCCATGTTACACTGGCTGCCCAGGGGCTCAGGAACCAGCCCACCCATACTGTTCACCATTGCCACTACCAGCATCCAAGCAAGCTACCTGGAAGACCAACAATCAGCCCACTTGTAACCACCAATATAGGTGCCAGTGTACACTACTCTGGGGCACAAGGATAGGCACACTCAGCCCAATGCTGCCACCACTGCATACTGATGACCAGTCAACCTGGCATCCCAGTCTCCAGCAAAACTTCACCACAGCCACCACTAATAATCACACCCTAATTCATTAAGTAAATAATAAATACCCCTAATGATGTATACAGAAAAAAAAAATCAGACTACATTACCGCACACACCCAGAATCAAGACCAAAGTGTCCTATCCAACCAGTACTATAGATATATCTTCATTAATAAAAAAAGTCCTCTACGAAAGTAAATGTAAAAATATGAAGAAGTAACTGTTGCACCTGATGTGCAAATATCAATGTAAAGACACAGGAAACATGAAAAATAAAATATGATGCCTCCAAAGAAACACAATAACTCTCCAGCCAGATTCTAATCAAAAAGAAATTTATGAGAGCCCATTTATAGGACTCAAAATAATAATTTAAAACAACCTTGTGAGATTCAAGAGAACTGTGAAAAACAATACAGAAAAATCAGAAAAACAATTCAGAATATAAATGAGAAATTTACCAAAGAGACAGATAATTTTTAAAAGGGTCAAAGAGAAATTCTGGCCAGGTACAGTGGCTCATGCCTGTAATCCCAACACTTAGGGAGGTCAAGGCAGGAAGATTGCTTGAGCCCAGAAGTTCAAGACCAGTTTGGGCAACATGGCAGGACCCTATCTCTACCAAAAAAAAAAATAAAAATAAAATAAAAATTAAAAAAATTAGCCTGGTGTGGTGGCACACATCTGTAGACCCAGCTACTCAGGAAGCTTAGGCAAGAGGATCACCTGAGCCCTGGAGGTCTAGGCTGCAGTGAGCTGTGATTGCACCAGTGAACTTCAGCCTGGATGACAGAGTAAGATCAGTGAGATCCTGTCTCTAAATAAATAAATAAATAAGTAAAATAAAACTGACTACATCAGGCAAAAGGGAGAATCTCAGAACTTGAAGACAGATCTTTTGAAACAATCCAGTCAGATAAAAATAAAGAAAAAAGAATTTTAAAAATAAGCGAAGACATTATGACATCTGGGGAAACATAAAGTGTCAAAATATTACAATTATAAGTATTCCTGACATTGAAGAGAGAAAGAAAAAATTTGAAAGCACATTTAATGGAATAATAGATGAAAACTTCCCAAGTCTAACAAAAGTTTGGACATTCAGATACAACAGGCTTAGCAATCCCCAGGCAGATACAATGGAAAAAGGTCTTCTCTAAGGCACATTATAGTCATTGTCTAAAATCAAAGATAAAGAGTGAATCCTAAAAGCAGCAAGAAAAAATCGTGTCTAGTCACATATAAAGGAAACCTCATCACATTAACTGTAGATTTCTTAGCAGAAACCTCACAAGCCAGAAGACAATGGAATTATAGATTCAAAGGGTTGAAAGAAAAAAGTATGTCAGTCAAGAATACTGTATCCAGCAAAATTACCCTTCATAAATGAAGGAGAAATGACATTTTTTCCAACAAGCAAATTCTGAGAAAATTCATTATCACTATATTGACCCTACAAGACATGCTCAAAGTAGCCCTAAACCTGGAAGTGAAAGGACAACATTTAGTATCACAAAAACACACCAAACTATGAAACTCACTGGTAAAGCAAAGACACAAAGGAGAAAGAGAAAGAACTCAAAGAGTACCACTGCAGAAATCCACCAAACCATAACATCAAACAATAAGAGAAAAAGAATGAAACCAAAAATATACGAAATAACCAGAAAACAATCAACAATATAAGAACAAAGTCTCACATATTAATAATGACTTTGAATGTAAATAAAATAAATAATCCACTTAAAAGAGACAGAATAACTAAATGGATTTTTTTAAATGACCCAACTATATGCTCCTTACAAGAAACTTACCTTACCATAAAGACATATGTAGACTAAAAGTAAAGGGGAAAAAAAAAGAGATATTCCACACAAATGGAAACCAAAAGTGAACAGGGGTAGTTATACTTATATTAGATAAAACAGACTCTAAAGTCAAAAACAGCTGGAAAAAAAAAAGACAAAGAAGGTCATTATATAATGATAAAGGGATCAATTCAGCAAGAGGATATAACAGTTCTAAATATATATGCACTCAACACTGGAGCACACAGATTCCTAAAGCAAATATTAGTATATACTATATCTAAAGAGAGAGATAAACTGAAATACAGTAATAGTGGGGGACTTCAAAACTCCTCTCAGCATTAAACAGATCATCTAGCCAGAAAATCAACAAAGAAACATTGGATTTAAACTGGACTTTATTTATTTATTTATTGAGACTGAGTCTTGCTTTGTCACCTAGGCTGGAGTGCAGTGATCTCAGCTCACCACAACCTCCACCTCCTGGGTCCAAATGGTTCTCTTGCCTTAGCCTCCCAAGTGGCTGGGATTACAGGCACACGCCACCATGCCTGGCTATTTTTGTATTTTTAGTAGAGACAGCATTTTGCCATGTTGGCCAGGCTGGTCTTGAACTCCTGACCTCAAGTCATTGGCCCGCCTTGGCCTCCCAAAGTGCTGGGATTACAGGCATGTGCAACCGTGCCTGGCCTTAAACTGGACTTTAGACCCAATGGACCTAATAGACTCTTATAGAGCATTCTATCCAACAACTGCAGAATATACATTCTTAGCCCATAGAACATTCTCCATGATAGACCATATGTTAGGCCACAAGTCTCAATACACTTTTAAAGACTGAATCATATCAAGTATCTTCTCAGACCACAATGGACTAAAACTAGAAATAAATACCAAAAGGGACTCTGGAAACTTTACATATGGAAATCAAATAACATGCCCCTGAACACTACTGAGTCAATTCTTTAAAATCTTGAAACAAATGATGATCTTGAAACACAACATACCAAAACTGTGGAATACAGCAAAAGGTGTGCTGACGGAAGTTTACAACAATAAACGCCTACATCAAAAAAGTACAAAGATTACAAATTAACAATCTAACAATGCACCCAAAGGAGCTAAAAAAGAATAAACCAAACCCATAATTAGCAGAAGAAATGAAATAATAAACAGAGTAGAACTAAGCAAAATAGACTAATGAAACAATACAAAAGATCAATGAATAAAAAATTGGTTCTTCAAAAAGATAAACAAAATTGATAAACACTAGCTAGATTAACCAAGAAAGGAAAGACCCAGATAAACAAAATGAGAAATGAAAAAGAGAACATTACAACTGATACCACAGAAATACAATAGATCAGCAAACTATTATAAAAAGCTATACACTGAAAATCTGAAAAACCTAGAGGAAATTGATAAATTCCTGGAAACATACAACCTAACGTAACAAGATTGAATCAGGAAAAAACAGAAATCTGAGCAGACCAATAATGAGTAGTGAGAGTGAGTAGGTAATAAAGTCTCCCAGAAAGCAAGCCCAGGACTAGACAGGTTCACAGCTGAATCCTACCAAATGTACAAAAGAGATCACCAATTTTCCTGAAACTATTCCAAAAAAATAAAAGAGGAAGAAACTCTCCCTAACTCATTCTATGAAGCCAACATCATCTGATACCAAAACCAGACAAGGATGCCACAAAAAAGAAAACTATAGGCCAAGATCCCTGATGAACACAGACACCAAAATCTTCAAGAAAATGCTAGAAAATCAAAACCAACAGCACATCAAAAATATAATAGACCACAATCAAGGGGGATTTATTCCAGAGACATAGGGATGGTTCAACATATCTAAATCAATAAGTGATAATCACATCAACAGAATGAAGGACAAAAACCATATGATCATCTCAATAGATACAAGAAAAAGCATTTAATAAAATTCAACATCCCTTCATGATAAAAACTCTTAACAAACTAGGCATAGAAGGAAATTATCTCAAAATAATAAAGACCATATATGACAAAACCACAGCTAACATCAGGCTGAATGGGGAAAATTTAAAAGCCTTTCCTCTAAGATTTACTACAAGACAAGGATGCCAACTTCACCACTCGTATTCGACACAGTACTGAAGTCCCAGCCAAAGCAACAAGGCAATAGAAAGAAAGAAAAGGCATCCAAATTGGAAAAGTAGAAGTCACATTGCCCCTCTTTGCTGATGACATGATCTTGTATCTAGAAAAACCTAATGATTTCACACACACGCACAAAATCTTAGATTTGGTAAACGGATTCAGTAAAGTTGCAGGATATAAAATTAACATACAAAATTCAATAGCATTTCTATACACCAATAATGATCTAGCAAAGAGGCAATCACATTTACAATAGTTACGAAAATATATATATAAGAAGAAATTTAACCAAGGAGATGAAAGATCTCTACAAGAAAAAACTACAAAACACTGATGAAAGAAATTGTAAACACCAACAAATGGAAAAACATCCCAAGCTCATGAACTGAAAGAATCAATATGATTTAAATGACCATACTGGCCAGAGAAATCTATAGATTCAGCACAATTCTTATCAAATTATTAATGTTTTTTCCACAGAATTGGAAAAAGCTATCCTAAAGTTCATAGGGAAGCAAAAAATAAAATAAAATAAAATAAAATGGGGTGGGGCAGCAAATGGCCAAAGCGGTCCTAAGCAAAAATAACAAATCAGGAAGCATCACACTGCCTGATTTCAAACTATACTACAAGGCTGCAGTAACTAAAACAGCATGGTACTGGTACAAAAGTAGACACATAGGCTGGGCATGGTGGCTCATGCCTGCAATCCCAGCACTTTGGGAGGCCAAGGTGGGTGGATCATTTGAGGTCAGGAGTTCAAGACCAGCCTGGCCAACATGATAAAACTCCATTTCTACTAAAAATACAAAAATTAGCCAGGTGTGGTAGCATGTGCCTATAGTCCCGGCTACTCAGGAGTCTGAGGTGAAAGAATCACTTGAACCCAGGAGGCGGAGGTTGCAACAAGCAGAGATTACGCCACTGCACTCCACCCTTGGCAACAGAGCTACACTCTGTCGTGCAAAAAAAAAAAAAAAAAAAAAAAAGATCATAGGTCAAGATAACTGAACAGAGAACTGAATAACATCAGATACTTATAACCAACTGATATTTTGTTAACAAAGTTGACAAAAATACACAATGGAGAAGGGACACCCTATTCAATAAACGGAGCTGGGAAAATTGGCTAGTCATATGCAGAAGAATGAAACCAGACCCCTATCTCTCACCATATACAAAAATTAACTCAGATGGAATAAAGACCTAAATGTAAGACCTGAAACTATAGAAATCCTAGAAGAAAACCTAGGGAAAAACTCTTCTAGACATTGTCCTAGGCAAGGAATTTATGACAAAGACCCCAAAAACAAATGCAACAAAAATAGACAAATGACACTTAATTAAACTAAAAAGTTCCTGCACAGCAAAAGAAATAATCGATAGAGTAAACAGATAAACTACACAATGGGAGAAAATATTTGTAAATTATGCATCCAACTAAGAATCTACAAGAAACTCAAACAACTGAACAAGAAAAAAACAAACTCCAATAAAAACCCCAAAGGACATAAACAGACATTTCTCAAAAAGAATGTAAATGGCCAACAAACAAATGAAAAAAAAATGTTCAACATCACTAATATTCAGAGAAATGCAACTTAAAACCACACCAAGATACCATCTTATGCCAGTGAAAACGACTTTTTATTTTTATTTTTATTTTTGAGACAGAGTTTCATTCTTGTTGGCCAGGCTAGAGTGCGATGGCATGATCTCGGCTCACCGCAACCTCCACCTCCCGGGTTCAAGTGATTCTCCTGCCTCAGCCTCCCGAGTAGCTGGGACTACAGGCGCCCACCACCACACCCAGCTAATTTTTTGTATTTTTAGTAGAGACAGGGTTTCACTATGTTGGCCAGGCTGGTCTCGAACTCCTGGCCTCACGTGATCCACCCACCTCGGCCTCTCAAAGTGCTGGGATTATAGGCATGAGCCACCATGCCGGGCCGAAAACGGCTATTCTTAAAAAGCCAAAAACGGCCGGACGCTGGGGCTCATGCCTATAATCCCAGCACTCTGGGAGGCCGAGGCGGGCAGATGACCTGAAATTGGGAGTTCAAGACCAGCCTGATCAACATGGAGAAACCCCATCTCTACTAAAAATACAAAATTAGCCAGGCATGGTGGCGCATGTCTGTACTCCCAGCTACTTGGGAGGCTGAGACAGAATCACTTGAATCCAGGAGGCAGAGGTTGCGGTGAGCCGAGATCATGCCATTGCACTCTAGCCTGGGCAACAAAAGCAAAACTCTGTCTCAAAAAAAAAAAAAAAAATAAGTCAAAAACAACAGATGTTGACAGGAATATGGAGAAAAGGGGATGCTTATACACTGTTGGTGGGAATGTAAATGGAAAAGAGTATGGAGATTTCTCAAAGAACTAAAAATAGAACTACCATTCGACCCAGCAATCCCACCACTGGGTATATATCCAAAGGAAAAGAAATCATTAATTTAAAAAGGACAGGCACTTGTATTTTCATCGCAGTACTAGTCACAATAGCAAAGTCATGGAACCAAACTAGGTGTCTATCAGCAGCTGATTATTTGAATAAAGAAAATATGGTTATACACACCATGGAATACTTTGCAACCACAGAAAGAATGAAATCATGTCCTTTGCAGCAACATGCTTGGAGCTGGAGGCCATTACCTTAAGTGAACTAACTCAGAAACAGAAAATCAAAAATAGCATGTTCTCACTTATAAATGGGAGCTAAACAATGGGTACACATGATGATGAAAATGGAAATAGGCAGTGGGGACTCCAAAAGGGGGAGGGAAGAGGCAGCTGAGGGTTGAAAAATCACTTATGGGGTACAATGTTCAATATCTGGATGATGGATACACTAGAAGCTGAATCCCCACCCTTACACAATATACCTGTGTAACAAACATGCACGTGTACCCTGTGAATCTCAAAACTAAACAAAGATATACGGCTTCTTAAGATTTTATAGTCAAAGAGCATTTTCACTGAAAGAGACTGGTACCCCAAAATTTAATTCAATTTTACAATTCTATACTCAGCCCCAAAGCTAAAACAATTAGAAACTAATAAATGCTAGCTCTTATGAAAATACTATGTAAGGACATTTATCTAGAAATATTTTGAGATGAAAGCACGACATTTGACTCACAAACTCCTTGTGAAGGCCACTACGTTGTCTGGTCTCTGTACATGACACCAGATATTAACATGTATTCCTGAAGAGGGAAAACAACTGGTGCATATTCAGGCTATGCATCTATGAAGGGAGTTCTTTCCCCTCAAAGGCAATATGTAACTACTTACATATTACCTCCACTTCCAAATGGGCAGTTCCCCATATGTGAGAATACATCCACAAGAACCAAGGGACAATTTATACATCTTTGTCTTGAATGTTTCCAGCACTCAAGGGAAATGCTTTACAGATAGAAACATTAGAAGATACCATTGTGTCACTACACTTACTTGTATGCCTTGTTTTGTTTGAAAAGAATAATTTGAAAGAGCTATTTTTACAAGATATACTGGAAAATCAAGAGAAAAAACAAAATGGAATATAAATACAGAATTCAGGAAGATGTAACATATCTAGTAGTTAGACAGATTTATGGATAAGATCTCAAAGAATTTATGCAGAAAAATAATTTTCTTCAGTAGTTTCTTGATTTTTGTACATTCCAGAGGCTAGAAATTTAGTAGATTTGGCTTTACCAAATAACTACTTTACTTACCACATCCTAATTTTGTCAAGAACTATTTCATATTAATTCATATTAATCTCAAGATACAATAACTATGCAACTAGCAAAAACGAAACCAAAAATAGTAATATTCTTTTAGAAGATTTCATTCTATATTCACATGCAGGGTACTAAATGGAATTAAAAGAATTTTATCTTTCTTTTTGAAGATTCAAATTTACCTTTTTCCTTAAATCAGACATAAGTAAAATTCCTAGTGCATATAGTATCTTCACTTATTATGATGACCTTAATAAATAAATTGATAAATAACCGAAGAAGTCAACAAAATGTGAACATGTGTGATTTAACTATTAAAACAAATGGCTGAACCCTTATTTAGATATAGTTGTTAGCATATAGTTAATGTAAATTAAATTATTCTTTTTTTTTTTCCTTTTTTGAGACAGGGTCTCACTCTGTTGCCCAGACGGAGTGCAGTGGTGCGATCTCAGCTCACCACAACCTCCACTTCCCAGGCTCAAGCAATTCTCCTGCCTCAGCCTCCTGAGTAGCTGGGATTACAGGCGCATGCCACCACGCCCGGCTAATTTTTGTATTTTTAGTAGAGACGGGGTTTCACCATGTTGGCCAGGCTGGTCTCGAACTCCTGACCTCAAATGATCCACCTGCCTCAGCCTCCCAAAGTGCTGGGATTACAGGCGTGAGCCATCACGCCTAGCCTTGTCAATTAAATTATTCTATGCCCAGGTTTCTAATCTACCAATGAAGACAGAAGTTACTCCTGCCTCCTGATTTCTAAAAAGTCAAAAACTACTTTCCTTAATACCACTACTGTGGTCATCTCAATGCTGCAAATTAATAGAATGAAGTTCTCTATATAAAACCAAGCTAAAACAATTAAGGTTCTACAGAGTCTGGACTTAATGACAACTGCCAAACATTTATAAATTCTTAAACGAGTTCAATTATTAGTTGCACAATTAAAACCAAACCAAAGCAAATGAACTAGTAAGTAAAACATTTATTATTGGTAATCAACTATGGAGCACAGGTATTTTTTATGGAAAATCCTTCAACACTTGCTCCATTACAAATAATCCAAACACAGGCCACGTCTTACCTTGTTTTCTGCATAAGCAAGCCAGCGGCTCCCAAGAGCAATAGGATTCATGTTTGGCCCTGGACATGGATAGCAGCCTGAAAAATTTCAAATGGCACTATTGAGAAATTTCTTAATAACTTTTCTGTTGGTGCATCATATATCGATGCCAGAAAAACAGAAAAATCAAATGCTTATATTTTTTCAAGTCTCACATAAAATTCCTGTAACACTAGTCATTATTTTGTTAGCTAAGTAAGGTGCATTTTTCCCCCTCTATTTAGTTTCCTTTTGGCTTAACTCTGTCCCAATAAGAAACAAATCTGGAAAGAACTGGTCATCACTTTCAGCAAACACTGGGCATTTTATACAGTTATTCCTAAACATGAGAATGAAGTTAACAGGGCCATTTTAAGTCTAACATTCATAAATCAAGGAAGAATTTTGGGAGAGGAGAGAGAAATGATATGATGGGTTCAGGAATTTAAAGGCAAAAGATAAATGAGACTATCAGACATGATACTACAATGAGGAGAGAAAAAGAACAAGTATTTGACCTCACTGAGGCCAATGAAGACAAGTAACTCTGAAAGTCTGCCTCCACAGAAAGATGTTAGGGAACTGCATAATCCTTTGTATTTACATTTCACTCAATATCATTCTTCTTGCTTGCAGTTCTAGCCAATAACAACAGTTAATTGTTCTATGACATATATTTACTGTTTATTTTCTATCTTCCTCCAACTTGATTACAGGGATGTGTAAATTGAAGAATCGGTTTTCTTCGCCGCTGACTCTTCCCTGCTGCCACTCCCTAGTCATTCTGACTATGTTCCTATTGCTATGCTCAAAAGCACTAAAGAAGCACACCTTACTGTCACTTCCAGTACACAGCCATTTTTAGCCTAGCTCCCTAAACTGCCATCTATTTTGAATTTTCGTCTTGAAAAGAAAATAATAAACTTATAGAGAAGAGACAGACCCTAAAAGAAAGTCCACATAAACAAAATAAAAGCTTTCTCATTTTATTGCTCCCTTTTTAAAAAACTGTTCATTCATGCTACTGTTTGAAGGAGTATGTTTGCAATACTTAGGGTTTCCGGAAAACTGACTTCAGGTTAACTGTAATATTACTATTATCTATTAAATGCATATTATGGAAACATATATAGGACAAAAACACACTAAAAATTATAAAAAGACAACATACTGTAATATAAATTGTGTAGTATTTACACAATAGATTAGACCATTGAATAGATTAATCTTATTCATTAAAAATATAATTTTATATGAGTATGTATACATGTATTCCGCTGACAATTTCAGAGCTGGAGAAATGAGGATAAATATGATCTATAAGAAAGTTTTTCCCCTTTTAAAATTCGTCATGAAAAATAGAACCAAGTACTTGTGAACAGTGGTGTTACATTAGACACAGAGAATCTCCTGAATTAGCTTTAAAACTAAATAATCTAACTCTCAATAAATTCTGATAACCACTTTAACCTCACAAATACAAAAGGGTCCTAAGGAAAAACACAGTTTACAATTCTTCATTTCATTTTTTGAGTCCGTATTTTTAGAGTTCAGTGGACCTCAAGAATTACAGTATATTGTAATGAAAACAACTGTTTTCCTGCTTGCCAAAAGAATGCTTTATAGCTGGAATCAGCAGAACATAAGCCACTCAGCACCATCCCAACCTTATAAGCATGACTCTTTTAAAGATTAATCTTTGCCTCCAGGTAAAGTCTGAAAACAAGTGAAGGGGTTGGGGGGACATGAATCTCTATAATACTAGGCCTAATTCTAACATGTTTACAATTTTATTGGACAAAGAGAACTGGATGTTAAAAGAATTCATTTCCCAATTTAAATGAAGGTAAAAAATTTTTAGAAGCACACTATATTTGTCCATTACTAAAAAAGTAATTAAGAAGGTACACAAGCATGATGCAATTTTAGATGGCATCCTCCCAGAAAGTGGTCCTAATGGAGAGGTGACCTGAATTCATTTCAAAAAACAAAAAAACTGAACTGCTCTCTGTGATACTTTGCCTTATTTCTCCTGGCAAGGACAAATAAAAAGTCTGAGCCCTTTTTTTAAAGAAAACAGTTATTTACATTTATAAGTCCACTGATTTTCAACAAGAATACCAAGACAAGTCAATGGTGAAAGAAGTCTTTTCAACAAACGGTGCTGGGACTACTGGATATCCAAATGCAAAAGCATTTGGACTGGAATGAACGTGGACCCCTATCTCATACCACATACAAAAATGGATCAAAGGCTTAAATATAAAAGTTAAACAATTGAGGAGCCAAGATGGCCGAATACGAACAGCTCCAGTCTACAGCTCCCAGCGTGAGCAACGCAGAAGACGGGTGATTTCTGCATTTCCATCTGAGGTACCGGGTTCATCTCACTAGGGAGTGCCAGACAGTGGGCGCAGGTCAGTGGGTGCACGCACCGTGCACCGTGCGCGAGCCGAAGCAGGGCGAGGCATTGCCTCACCTGGGAAGCGCAAGGGGTCAGGGAGTTCCCTTTCCGAGTCAAAGAAAGGGGTGACGGACGCACCTGGAAAATCGGGTCACTCCCACCCGAATATTGCGCTTTTCAGACCGGCTTAAAAAACGGCGCACCACGAGACTATATCCCACACCTGGCTCGGAGGGTCCTACGCCCACGGAGTCTCGCTGATTGCCAGCACAGCAGTCTGAGATCAAACTGCAAGGCGGCAGCGAGGCTGGGGGAGGGGCGCCCGCCATTGCCCAGGCTTGCTTAGGTAAACAAAGCAGCCGGGAAGCTCCAACTGGGTGGAGCCCACCACAGCTCAAGGAGGCCTGCCTGCCACTGTAGGCTCCACCTCTGGGGGCAGGGCACAGACAAACAAAAAGACAGCAGTAACCTCTGCAGACTTAAATGTCCCTGTCTGACAGCTTTGAAGAGAGCAGTGGTTCTCCCAGCACGCAGCTGGAGATCTGAGAACCGGCAGACTGCCTCCTCAAGTGGGTCCCTGACTCCTGACCCCCGAGCAGCCTAACTGGGAGGCACCCCCCAGCAGGAGCACACTGACACCTCACACGGCAGGTTATTCCAACAGACCTGCAGCTGAGGGTCCTGTCTGTTAGAAGGAAAACTAACAAACAGAAAGGACATCCACACCGAAAACCCATCTGTACATCACCATCATCAAAGACCAAAAGTAGATAAAACCACAAAGATGGGGAAAAAACAGAACAGAAAAACTGGAAACTCTAAAACGCAGAGGGTCTCTCCTCCTCCAAAGGAACGCAGTTCCTCACCAGCAACGGAACAAAGGTGGATGGAGAATGACTTTGACAAGCTGAGAGAAGAAGGCTTCAGACGATCGAATTACTCTGAGCTACGGGAGGACATTCAAACCAAAGGCAAAGAAGTTGAAAACTTTGAAAAAAATTTAGAAGAATGTATAACTAGAATAACCAATACAGAGAAGTGCTTAAAGGAGCTGATGGAGCTGAAAACCAAGGCTCGAGAACTACGTGAAGAATGCAGAAGCCTCAGGAGCTGATGCGATCAACTGGAAGAAAGGGTATCAGCAATGGAAGATGAAATGAATGAAATGAAGCGAGAAGGGAAGTTTAGAGAAAAACGAATAAAAAGAAATGAGCAAAGCCTCCAAGAAATATGGGACTATGTGAAAAGACCAAATCTACGTCTGATTGGTGTACCTGAAAGTGATGGGGAGAATGGAACCAAGTTGGAAAACACTCTGCAGGATATTATCCAGGAGAACTTCCCCAATCTAGCAAGGCAGGCCAACGTTCAGATTCAGGAAATACAGAGAATGCCACAAAGATACTCCTCGAGAAGAGCAACTCCAAGACACATAATTGTCAGATTCACCAAAATTGAAATGAAGGAAAAAATGTTAAGGGCAGCCAGAGAGAAAGGTCGGGTTACCCTCAAAGGGAAGCCCATCAGACTAACAGCAGATCTCTCGGCAGAAACCCTACAAGCCAGAAGAGAGAGGGGGCCAATATTCAACATTCTTAAAGAAAAGAATTTTCAACCCAGAATTTCATATCCAGCCAAACTAAGCTTCATAAGTGAAGGAGAAATAAAATACTTTACAGACAAGCAAATGCTGAGAGATTTTGTCACCACCAGGCCTGCCCTAAAAGAGCTCCTGAAGGAAGCGCTAAACATGGAAAGGAACAACCAGTACCAGCTGCTGCAAAATCATGCCAAAATGTAAAGACCATCGAGACTAGGAAGAAACTGCATCAACTAACGAGCAAAATCACCAGCTAACGTCATAATGACAGGATCAAATTCACACATAACAATATTAACTTTAAATGTAAATGGACTAAATTCTCCAATTAAAAGACACAGACTGGCAAATTGGATAAAGAGTCAAGACCCATCAGTGTGCTGTATTCAGGAAACCCATCTCACGTGCAGAGACACACATAGGCTCAAAATAAAAGGATGGAGGAAGATCTACCAAGCAAATGGAAAACAAAAAAAGGCAGGGATTGCAATCCTAGTCTCTGATAAAACAGACTTTAAACCAACAAAGATCAAAAGAGACAAAGAAGGCCATTACATAATGGTAAAGGGATCAATTCAACAAGAAGAGCTAACTATCCTAAATATATATGCACCCAATACAGGAGCACCCAGATTCATAAAGCAAGTCCTGAGTGACCTACAAAGAGACTTAGACTCCCACGCATTAATAATGGGAGACTTTAACACCCCACTGTCAACATTAGACAGATCAACGAGACAGAAAGTCAACAAGGATACCCAGGAATTGAACTCAGCTCTGCACCAAGCGGACCTAATAGACATCTACAGAACTCTCCACCCCAAATCAACAGAATATACATTTTTTTCAGCACCACACCACACCTATTCCACAATTGACCACATAGTTGGAAGTAAAGCTCTCCTCAGCAAATGTAAAAGAACAGAAATTATAACAAACTATCTCTCAGACCACAGTGCAATCAAACTAGAACTCAGGATTAAGAATCTCACTCAAAGCCACTCAACTACATGGAAACTGAACAACCTACTCCTGAATGACTACTGGGTACATAACGAAATGAAGGCAGAAATAAAGATGTTCTTTGAAACCAACGAGAACAAAGACACAACATACCAGAATCTCTGGGACGCATTCAAAGCAGTGTGTAGAGGGAAATTTATAGCACTAAATGCCCACAAGAGAAAGCAGGAAAGATCCAAAATAGACACCCTAACATCACAATGAAAAGAACTAGAAAAGCAAGAGCAAACACATTCAAAAGCTAGCAGAAGGCAAGAAATAACTAAAATCAGAGCAGAACTGAAGGAAATAGAGACACAAAAAACCCTTCAAAAAATCAATGAATCCAGGAGCTGGTTTTTTGAAAGGATCAACAAAATTGATAGACCGCTAGCAAGACTAATAAAGAAAAAAAGAGAGAAGAATCAAATAGACACAATAAAAAATGATAAAGGGGATATCACCACCGATCCCACAGAAATACAAACTACCATCAGAGAATACTACAAACACCTCTACGCAAATAAACTAGAAAATCTAGAAGAAATGGATAAATTCCTCGACACATACACTCTCCCAAGACTAAACCAGGAAGAAGTTGAATCTCTGAATAGACCAATAACAGGAGCTGAAATTGTGGCAATAATCAATAGTTTACCAACCAAAAAGAGTCCAGGACCAGATGGATTCACAGCCGAATTCTACCAGAGGTACAAGGAAGAACTGGTACCATTCCTTCTGAAACTATTCCAATCAATAGAAAAAGAGGGAATCCTCCCTAACTCATTTTATGAGGCCAGCGTCATTCTGATACCAAAGCCGGGCAGAGACACAACCAAAAAAGAGAATTTTAGACCAATATCCTTGATGAACATTGATGCAAAAATCCTCAATAAAATACTGGCAAACCGAATCCAGCAGCACATCAAAAAGCTTATCCACCATGATCAAGTGGGCTTCATCCCTGGGATGCAAGGCTGGTTCAATATACGCAAATCAATAAATGTAATCCAGCATATAAACAGAGCCAAAGACAAAAACCACATGATTATCTCAATAGATGCAGAAAAAGCCTTTGACAAAATTCAACAACCCTTCATGCTAAAAACTCTCAAGAAATTAGGTATTGATGGGACGTATTTCAAAATAATAAGAGCTATCTATGACAAACCCACAGCCAATATCATACTGAATGGGCAAAAACTGGAAGCATTCCCTTTGAAAACTGGCACAAGACAGGGATGCCCTCTCTCACCACTCCTATTCAACATAGTGTTGGAAGTTCTGGCCAGGGCAATTAGGCAAGAGAAGGAAATAAAGGGTATCCAATTAGGAAAAGAGGAAGTCAAATTGTCCCTGTTTGCAGACGACATGATTGTATATCTAGAAAACCCCATTGTCTCAGCCCAAAATCTCCTTAAGCTGATAAGCAACTTCAGCAAAGTCTCAGGATACAAAATCAATGTACCAAAATCACAAGCATTCTTATACACCAACAACAGACAAACAGAGAGCCAAATCATGAGTGAACTCCCATTCACAATTGCTTCAAAGAGAATAAAATACCTAGGAATACAACTTACAAGGGATGTGAAGGACCTCTTCAAGGAGAACTACAAACCACTGCTCAAGGAAATAAAAGAGGATACAAACAAATGGAAGAACATTTCATGCTCATGGGTAGGAAGAATCAATATCGTGAAAATGGCCATACTGCCCAAGGTAATTTACAGATTCAATGCCATCCCCATCAAGCTACCAATGACTTTCTTCACAGAATTGGAAAAAACTACTTTAAAGTTCATATGGAACCAAAAAAGAGCCCGCATTGCCAAGTCAATCCTAAGCCAAAAGAACAAAGCTGGAGGCATCACACTACCTGACTTCAAACTATACTACAAGGCTACAGTAACCAAAACAGCATGGTACTGGTACCAAAACAGAGATATAGATCAATGGAACAGAACAGAGCCCTCAGAAATAATGCCACATACCTACAACTATCTGATCTTTGACAAACCTGACAAAAACAAGCAATGGGGAAAGGATTCCCTATTTAATAAATGGTGCTGGGAAAACTGGCTAGCCATATGTAGGAAGCTGAAACTGGATCCCTTCCTTACACCTTATACAAAAATCAATTCAAGATAGATTAAAGATTTAAACATTAGACCTAAAACCATAAAAACCCTAGAAGAGAACCTAGGCATGACCATTCAGGACATAGGCATGGGCAAGGACTTCATGTCCAAAACACCAAAAGCAATGGCAACAAAAGACAAAATTGACAAATGGGATCTAATTAAACTAAAGAGCTTCTGCACAGCAAAAGAAACTACCGTCAGAGTGAACAGGCCACCTACAAAATGGGAGAAAATTTTCGCAACCTACTCATCTGACAAAGGGCTAATATCCAGAATCTACAATGAACTCAAACAAATTTACAAGAAAAAAACAAACAACCCCATCAAAAAGTGGGCAAAGGACATGAACAGACACTTCTCAAAAGAAGACATTTATGCAGCCAAAAAACACATGGAAAAATGCTCATCATCATTGGCCATCAGAGAAATGCAAATTAAAACCACAATGAGATACCATCTCACACCAGTTAGAATGGCAATCATTAAAAAGTCAGGAAACAACAGGTGCTGGAGAGGATGTGGAGAAATAGGAACACTTTTACACTGTTGGTGGGACTGTAAACTAGTTCATCCATTGTGGAAGTCAGTGTGGCGATTCCTCAGGGATCTAGAACTAGAAATACCATTTTACCCAGCCATCCCATTACTGGGTATATACCCAAAGCACTATAAATCATGCTGCTATAAAGACACATGCACACGTATGTTTATTGCGGCATTATTCACAATAGCAAAGACTTGGAACCAACCCAAATGTCCAACAATGATAGACTGGATTAAGAAAATGTGGCACATATACACCATGGAATACTATGCAGCCATAAAAAATGATGAGTTCATGTCCTTTGTAGGGACATAGATGAAATTGGAAATCATCATTCTCAGTAAACTATCGCAAGACCAAAAAACCAAACACCGCATATTCTCACTCATAGGTGGGAATTGAACAATGAGATCACATGGACACAGGAAGGGGAATATCACACTCTGGGGACTGTGGTGGGGTGGGGGGAGGGGGGAGGGATAGCACTGCGAGATATACCTAATGCTAGATGACGAGTTAGTGGGTGCAGCGCACCAGCATGGCACATGTATACATATGTAACTAACCTGCACAATGTGCACATGTACCCTAAAACTTAAAGTATAATAAAAAAAAAAAAGTTAAACAATTAAATTCTTAGAATGAAATACTGTAAATTTTCATGACCTTGGATTGGGCAATGGTTTCTTATATAGGACAAAAGAAAAATACATAAATTGGACTTCATCAAAACAAATGCAAATTTAACATGCTTTAAAAGACACCATAAAGAAAGTGAAAAGACCAGGCCAGGTGCGGTGGCTCACGCCTGTAATCCCAGCACTTTGGGAGGCCGAGGTGGGCGGATCACAAGGTCAGGAGATCGAGACCATCCTGGCTAACACAGTGAAATCCCATCTCTACTAAAAATACAAAAAATTAGCAGGGTGTGGTGGCGGGCGCCTGTAGTCCCAGCTACTCGGGAAGCTGAGGCAGGAGAATGGCGTGAACCCAGGAGGCGGAGCTTGCAGTGAGCTGAGATCGCACCACTGCACTCCAGCCTGGGTGACAGAGCGAGACTCCGTCTCAAAAACAAACAAACAAACAAAACAAAACAAAACAAAAAAAAGAAGAAAGTGAAAAGACAATCTAAAGAATGAGGGAACATTTTTTGCAAAAAGATATATCTGATAAGTGACATATCTAGAATATAAAATATTACCACTCAGTATTGAAAAGACAAATAATTTAAAAATGGACAGAGATATACAAATGGCAAATAAGCACATTAAAAATGGTCAGTGTCATTAGCCATCAGGGAAATTCAAATTTCAAAATTACAAAAACTTGTAGCTAAATGTTCATACCCAAGAGAACATATGTCCACTGAAAAACTTGTGCACTAGTGTCCATACAAGCATTATCTACAACAGCCCAAAAGTAGAAACAAACTAAATATCTGTCAACTAACGATCAGATAAAATGTGGCATATGGCTAGGCGCGGTGGCTCACGCCTGTAATCCCAGGACTTTCGGAGGCCAAGGAGGACGGATCATGAGGTCAAGAGATCAAGACCATCCTGGCCCACATGGTGAAACCCTGTCTCTACTAAAAAATATAAAAATTAGCTGGGTGTGGTGGCATGCGCCTGTAATCCCAGCTACTTGAGAGGCTGAGGCAGGAGAATCACTTGAAGCCGGGAGATGGAGGCTGCAGTGAGCCGAGACTGTGCCACAGCACTCCAGCCTGGCGACAGAGCGAGACTCCATCTCAAAAAAACACAAACAACAACAACAATAAAAAAAAAAAAGTGAACATCCTCCCCAGAAAAACACATAAGCATATAAAACATTAAATACCATTTCACAGATGTGTTTAACCATCATACAGCTGATTAAGGACTCTCATAAGGTTTTATGAGTTTTTAGTTTAAAATGAATTTCATGAGTACTGCCATTCTAAGACTCAATGGGTGAGAATTGTGTGCAGAGAATGAAAAAGTCACAAGTTAGTTCACTGCATATATATTCACTGAGTGTCCACTATGATTCCAGCACCAGCACATGCCCTAAAAACATCATAGTAACCTTTTCCATCTTATGGAGAACTCAGAAAAACAAAGATAGGTTTAACTTTTAATGTAAGCTGAACTTAGAACTCACACTAACCTATCAATGAATTCTCATAAATATTACAAACTTGTTTCTTCACATAAAAGCAGAGCTCCTCTTTCAAAACTTAAAGATAATTTTGCATTTTAAAGTAAACTTTGCATTTCCATTTGTTCTATTTGTTATTAATCATTAACATAAATGAAGAACACATTAAAACCAAGAAATAACACTAAGATTATAAGAAATAAGTTTTCTCCTCCAAGTAAAAACAGAGGCCAATGGAACAAGATTGCTTACTGTACACTCCTTTGATCTCTCTGGAGACTTCATATCTACCTTTCAATTTAAGAACACTGAAAATGACTGCTAATGACATCTATCGGTCTTTGTCTTTTGTTTTCCTAATCATACACGGGTTTTGGATTTCCACATCAGACAGCTGCTCAAGGCGACTTTTTCTTTATATCCAAATACAAAGGTGTCTCCTTTCTCATCATATTGGATGCGTTCCATTAACAGTCCTCTATCAGCTCTCTTTACCTGTTCCTTCCACCCTTTGGCACAAATTCCCATGATGCTTGCTCTGATGGACACAGCTGTCTCTACTTATTTTACAGTCCCTTCATTGTATTCACATATAACCAATGCACTAAAAAGGTATTATACAAAACCTTTTCAAACTATTTTAGAAGATAACTGCTTGCATGATCAAAACAACAACCTCATTAAGTGGAGATCTTGTCATTCAACATGGGCTATGGTCCTACCTTAAGAACTAGGTACCAATAAATGTAGAAAAACTATGTGCTACAGGCAAATGAACTACCACAAATGCTATCTCAGTATGCCCTGTCCCACCTGCTCCCTACATCCCAGTATCCTATCCTCCAGTCTCTATATCCTATACCTTTCAGTCTAACAGGCAAAACCAGCTTACAGGCATGGGATTCACCTGACAAAAGTTTCAGTCTGTATAAAGGAACAGGGAGAAGGGGAGAAACTGGAGGAAAATAAGATTCTTTCTACTTATGAAGTGGCACCCTTTGTTCCTTAATTTTAAAAATCTGGTCATGGTAAATTTTGTTCTAAATATTGATATAAATCACTTTAGAGGAAGCTGTAATTTCAAAGAAAATCGGCCAAATTCCTTCATTCAAATATTTACAGAATATCATCAATCTTACCAACCTAAAATCATATGTCATATGCATAAATTTGACCCCTAGGGTTTTCAAGAAAAATAATTTGTAACTAAGAATGACATACTTCCTCACAGAAATATGAAATAAAATACATTACCACTATTGGTAAGGGTATTTGTAGATGAACAGGTAAGGGGGACCTGTGGTGAAATGCTACATCAAACTGTATCCAGAGTATGAAGAAAGAAATCACAAACATATGTTACTGTTGCTTTCTGAACTTTTTCATATTAAGTGCATGTTGAAATATAATATACATGCAGCATTACCCAAATCAACAAAGTGTACACATATTGAACACATAAATAACAACCAGACAAAAAAAGGACATTATAGATTCCCCAAAGCACATTCTTACACTCCCTTTCAGTCCCTATTCTTCCCAAGACATGCACCATCCTACCTTCTGACAACTATATTAAAATTAAGAACATCTTTCCTCAAAGACATTACTGGCCGGGCATGGAGGCTCATGCCTGTAATTCCAGAACTTTAGAAGGCCAAGGCGGGCAGATCACCTGAGCTCAGGAGTTCGAGACCAGCCTGGACAACATGGTAAAACCCCATCTCTACTAAAAATACAAAAATTAGCCGGGCGTGGTGGTGCCTGCCTGTAGTCCCAGCTACTTGGGAAGCTGAGGCAGGAGAACTGCTTGAGCCCAAGAGGTGGAGGCTGCAGTGAGCCAAGAACATGCCACTGCACTCCAGCCTGGGCAAAAGAGTGAGACTCCATCTCAAAAAAAAAAAAAAGAAAAAAAAAGACATTACTGGGCTTATATACATAGTTAATTACACTTATTTCCAACATTTATTCCCAGAAATGACAGAATGTACTTTTATTTACTACTTTTTTCAATATTTTAACCATTTAAGTAACATACATTTCAGATTTTATGAAATCCACACTAAATAGATTTTAAGGAATGCCCAACCCATGACAGCCAGTATGCAAACATTACTCTGAGAGAATAAGTGATAATCTTTGTGGGTCAGGAATTACTAAAAATTCATCACTGTGGACCTCCAGCCACTTGACCAGGACTTAACTAAAAGCTGCATTTCACTTTTAAAGTACCTTCTACAGTACCACAAACACTGTTGATCCCTCTAGATCTCTTCTTCCTGTAGTGAAGAATTCACAGAATACAAAAGAGACTAATGCTTTAACAAAACTTGTTTCATCTATTCAGTGGTCCAGCAATTCAGGTGGAAGTATTCAGGAATACATGGCAAAGATGTCCCAAAAAGACATTAAAGAAAAAGGAAAGCATGAAAGGCATTAAGAAAGAGTGCTAACAACTCAGTCTCCTGTTCACTTTTATCAAATTTGACTTATGTTTTGTGCTTACTAAAAGTCTGCAGAACAGAAGATCCCATTTTCAAAGGGGAAATCCTTTAGAGATAGACAGGAGAGATACTGCAGATACGAGAGAGATACTCAAGAGGTGACGCCTATGAAGACATAATTTTCTAACAAACTCATCCTTTCCAAAATTTCTGGATTTACCCCAATGTGACTTGTAAGATAGAAATTTCATTCATCTATGCATATATATGTATATATGTGTGTGTATATATATATATATATATCATTTCTTAAAATATTCACCACTTACTTTTAATTTCCAACTCAGACCTATAAAGATCTGTACTGATCCTATATAAATAATTTTCTTCATCTGATAACTGTTGACAGAGAAGCACTACATTTTCAGACATACTGTTATCACAAACATTTTCATTAACTAAACATTCTGAAAAAGAACCACTTGTGCTTTGAAACCGAACATAATTTTGATAAATGTATTCATCTTTAGTGAACTGGGTTTTATTATTAAGAGAACAAAAAAAATCATTAATATTTTTATGTTGGCAAGGACATGATAGACACATTATGCCTTCCATGGTAAAACTTTATTTCCTCAATCCAAAACAAACTGAGTAACTTTTCTCTCAATGAGAATACTGTCTAGCGGCAAACAGATAGAAAATGTATACAAGATAGAATGTAAGTGCCTCAAGAGAGGCAGAGATGACATACTACAAAAGCATTCCAAAACGGTGTTGGTTAACAAATGAGGTCTGTTATCAAATAAATATGGGAAATTAAGAAATGTATCAAATAAATTTAAACAGACAAAATACTAATCATCATTGCTAGTCTCAACAGAAGGCAGCATTTCCTAAGCATATTTGACCAGGGCATCCTGATTTGCAAAGTATGTTGAAAATCTAATGTTCTACAAACAGACAGTGGGAAATGTTATCTTTAAGGGATTTAGAAGGAGAAGTTTCTGTAAGCTAAAGGGGTCAAGAAAGATTTCATATAAGAATTACTATCTACACTGGGCCCAGAAAGATATATAGGATTAAAACATCATAAAGAGAAGGGGTATTAGTGAAAAGGCCATTCTGGTCACGAAGACAAAGGAAAAATGTACCTCCAACAGAATGAGAATAATGAGAGGTTCAAATTAAATGGGACATAAGAAGCATGAAAATTAAGTTGTAGAAAAGATTTAGCAAGGACACTAAACTTTCATAAAGAAGGTTTTGGTGTATCAAAAACCTTGGGAGTTTCATTGGTAGTAAATGGACAAGATAACTATATATCTGTGTTCGCTCAGGACTTTACAAGTTTACATATATTGATCAGAGTTAAGTCCAGTATGGCAACTGTGCAAATCAAAAGACTGCAGTTTGGATGATAATTATATAATCACTTGGTAATTTTTCAAAGTTCTTATCTTTCAGACGTAGATAATAAATATGTACAAATTAAATTCTATAATGTCTGCAATATGCTTCAAAATAATTGGGGAAGGGGTATAAATGAAAAAGACTGTCCATTATTTGATAGTTGTTGAAACTAGATAATAAATGCGTGGGTGTTCATCATACTACTACTCTAATTATATATATGTATATATTTCCCAAAATAAAAAGTTATTGTTTATGGCCTTTACAGGAAAAGAAATGGCATGTCTGTGGCACTAGAAATTTAATTAAGATACAATATTTTTGCCACAGCACTATATTATTACATGTTTACATAATAGGCCAAATTATTGAAAATTGAAGACATTTGTATATTTAAGATACATTTAACCATTTTAAGATGACTAAAAACACATTTTTTCTGCAAGAACTTTCAATTTCAAATAGCAATAAAAACTAAGAATACATACACTATTCTCTCTTCTAAGTAAAAGGTTTTTTCACTCTTTTCTCTGTCATATATGGTTTAAATTGAGAAATTATAGTAAAATTGGTAATACGAAACTGCTAAATTGCTTTCTTTGAAAATGTGCCAACTTCTATACTGATTCTGCCAATATATTTTCCAAGGCTTTATGTGTTTACATTTTTTTCCATCATACAGAAAATCTGTAAGTTGACCCAAATGAGGACTTACCACAAATTCTCCTATTAGAAAATCTCAAGCTGCCAAATACTCCCACAGAAAAGCTGCAAATATTATCAATTTACAAAAACAAACAAAAGTTTTAAAGGAAATTGTGCTTACAGCTTTATAAGTACATAAGTTTATTTAACAGTATTGAAGATTTTTGAACACTCTTTTAAAATATAAGTCCTTATTCGAAAAATATATTTTTTTCACCTTTTGGTTAAATGACAGATACTAATGTTAGTAGAAACAAATTTTGCTCATATGTAAAGGTATAATGTATAAAAGTACGGTATGTTAAGCAATTTAACAACTGCTTTGAAAGTATGAAACAGCTATATGAAACTAAATCACAAACTCAAGGATAGTATGTAAGGAGAAAGTGAGGTAACCCACAACAAAGCTTGCTTAGTAATATAAAGAAAATGTGTTGGAAAGTTGAAAATATATATCATACAAGAATATTACTCAATGAGAATAGCCACAGAATCACAAGAAAATCATCAAAATTGAAAACATTAAGTACTGTTGAGAAAATTACAGTTAGTTTGCTGATTGTGTCAAGTAAGTAGTATAAACCCAAAGGCATAAGAAGGGAAAAAAAATTGGTACATACTTGTAACAAAGAATTTCTTCGTGAAAGTACAGCTATCAAAGGCAGCAATTTTCTCCTGCAAGACTACGACAAGGATCCTAAAATTAGAGAGAGAAAAAAAACAGAAAGAAAAAAAGTGAATGTGAAATTCTGTAAGTGGAATCAGAAATGCATTATATCATCTAGATGAAAACAAGTGCCTACTAATACAATTTTAAAATTAAACATTTCCTATAATATTTAGGCTAGAAACTTCTGCCTCTTAAAATGTGTAAAAATATAAACCACAAAATCCTATATATAAATAAGATAGAGATGACTAGAAGAAAAGTGATGGAAGAAAAAACTACCACCTCAAAAAATGTTTGTCTTTTAATAGTTTTGTTTCAGCCAGGCATGGTGGCTCATGCCTACAATCCCAACATTCCTGGAGGCCAAGGCAGAAGGATCACTTGAGCCCAGGAGGTTGAGACCAGCCTGGGCAACAAAGGAAGACCCTGTCTCTATAAGAAATAATACAAATAAACTAGCCAGGTGTGGTGGTGTGAGCCTGTAGTCCTAGTTACTCAGGAGGCTGAGGCAGGAGGATCACTTGAGCCCAGGAGGTCAAGACTGCAGGGAGCTACGATCACACCACTGCACGCCAGCCTGGGCAACAGCAAGATCTTGTCTCTAAAAATATGAATACACAAAGTAAAGTTTTGTTTTCATTTATTTTTGAATCGAATAAGTCTACAGTAAAGATGGATAAGATCAAGCCCAGCACAGTGTTGCACACCCGTAATCCCAGCTACTCAAGAGGCTGAGGCAGGAGAATCACTTGAGCCCAGGAGATTGAGACCAGCCTAGGCAACATAGTGAGATCCTGTCTCAAAAGGAAATGAAAAAAAAAGAATGGAGAAGATAATAAATTGTTGGCTATCTACTAAAGTGTTTTTCCAGTGATGTTTTAGTCATGGTATTAAAGATAAAATGGATTTATGTAACCCATCACTTTAAGTTTAAATGGCGGATGAATTTCCCAACTGCTACTCATAAATATAAGTCATTTCTGATTGACTCAATATAGTAAAATTCACTAACAATCTGTAAAAGCAGTATTTTTCTCAATGCCCAAGATTTACAGATAATTAGAAAATAATTTAGTTATAAACACTTTTTTAAAGCAAAATTCCTAAAATACATCCAAAGCCACCACTTTATATTGTGCTATCCTTGCAGCATATTAATATAAATAGCCAAGCTTAATATTTACTTCAAAAAATCAAATAGAGATTATAATTGTTACTAAATATTTAACAAACTAATAGCTTATTTTTCAAAATTGGAAGCTGGTAAATCTGAGCAACAGATGCTAATATGAGTATAAAAAAAGGAAAATGTATTATTTCATATGCATGCTTTATTAATTTTGTTCATCTTTAAAAACAACAATTTCATTTACTGATGCAGAATAATTCTAATGAGTGACTACTGTTAGATCCTTGCAATTTTTTTTTCTAGCTGGGCCTGTTAAAAACTTTTCTCTATATATTTTACTGGGTTGCTTCTTACTAATAAGTGATAATTTGCTATATATGTGTATGTGTACTCTGAATACACAAAAAGGTAGAGATAATATCCTTATAAAGGTGATAATATCAAATTTTAGAATTACTCAATTGTAAATTCCATTTCTGTTCTGTTACTATACTAAAGCCTCAGACCACCTTGCCTACATGTTATATCAACTTAATACCCTTTTAATGCCCTGATAGAAGAAAAGGCATTTCCATATCTAATTACCAATGTCTGTACTATTCCTCTACACACAGCGTTTGACAGAAAATATCAAATAATGAAACACACACACAGCCACAAAAATGCACCATTATTAAGAGTCAATGGAACCAAAGAGAAAGTACTTATGGGGTGTGTGTGTGTGTATGTGTGTATATACATACAGATATATACATACAGATATACACATACAGATATATATGGGGTGTGTGTGTGTATGTGTGTATATACATACAGATATATATGAGGTATGTGTGTGTATATGTGTATATACATACATAGATATATATGGTGTATGTGTGTGTATGTGTGTATATACATACAGATAGATATCGGGGTGTGTGTGTATGTGTGTATATACATAAAAATAGATATGGGGTGTGTGTCCATGTGTGTATATACATACAGATATATATGGGGGTGTGTGTATATACATACAGATATACACATACAGATATATATGGGGTGTGTATGTGTGTATATATACATACAGATATATACATACAGATATATATGGGGTGTGTGTGTATGTGTATATATACATACAGATATATACATACAGATATATATGGGGTATGTGTGTGTATGTGTGTATATACATACAGATATATACATTCAGATATATATGGGGTGTGTGTATGTGTGCATATACATACAGATATACATATAAGTACATATACACACATACACATGCACATATTATATACACACACTATATACACATACACGCATATAATATTCTCATTCCTTCTCATAATTTATTTTATAAACATAGAATATTTAAAACTAGAAACTGTCAGACTGGATAATGATACCATATTATGTCTACACCAACAAATTCAAACACACAACTAGCTTAAAACTGAAAAATGGAAAAATACATACCATACGTATAGTAACAAAAGAGCTGAAATGGATATATTATTATCAGATAAACATTAAGAACAAGAATATCACTATTAACAAAGGATGGTTCATAAAGGGTCATAATAACCATAAATGTATGTTAACCCAATGACAGAAACTCAAAAGATTTAAGAAAAATAGAATAACAATCCTACACAAATTATCATAGAAAATTCCAAAAAAAGAAATACCTTCCTAAGGGTCTAATGAATGAAACAAAAAAACAGACAAGGCATAATAAGAAAAAGAAAATATACATGAATCTCCCTCATGAACATAGCTGCAAAAATTAAATCCAGGAATATATAAAAAGGATTATAGATAATTACCCCTAGGGTGAAACCCAGGGTGTAAGAATGGTTTAACACTGGGAAATCATCCAATTTAACAAATTGAAAAGGAAAAACATGATCGTCCTCATATTGACTTCACTAAATACAATGCCTGGTTATGCAAAAAAAAAAAAAACAAAAACAAACCAAAAAAAACCCTGGCAAACTAGAAAATAAACTGCTGAACTTGATAATCAACACATACCCCACGCTACTTCCCTATAAATAAACCTACAGCTGGAAATAAAACCAAATCTCTAGGTAGACTGATCAAGAAAATAGAGAGATTGGGCACAGTGGCTCATGCCTCTAATCCCAGCCCAAGGCAGGAGGACCACTTGAACCAGGAGTTCTAGACCAGCCTGGACAACACAGTGGGACCTTGTCTCTACAAAAAAAATGTTAAAAAAAATTAGCCAGGCGTGGTGGCACATGCCTGCAGTTCCAGCTACAGGGAGGCTGAGTCAAGAGGATTGCTTCAGCTTGGGAGTTTAAGGATGCAGTGAGCCGTGATGGTGCCACTGCACTCCAGTCTGGGTGACAGAGTGAGATCCAGTCCTCCCAACTCCCAAAAAAGAAAAGGAAATAGAATTCATAAATTACCTACATCACCAGATAACCTACAGTCATTAAATTAGCAACGTAGGAATATTACAAACAACTAAATTCCAATAAATTAGAAGACTTAATGGACAAATGACTGGGAAGACCATTGTCAAAACTATTGATAAATTATCAAAACTAATAAATGACAAATTATCAAGGCAAATTATCAAAACTTGTGCTAGAAAGAACTTTAAAGTCTTAATAGACTTGTAAATATAAAATAAATTGAATTTGTAATTGAAAATGTTCCTACAAATAAATGGTATTATCTTTCATGGTTAGAGTTAGAATTCACATGGCATCGTTTTTTGTTGTAGGAGTCAAGACTTGAGTTTTTTCTGTATCAATATCTGAGTGCTGGAGCAATATTTATTGAAAAAACTTACCTGCAGCGGAACCTTTATAAGTCACATGTCTATAGAGGTTGTGTGTGTCTAATCTGAGATTCTACTTTGTTGCATTGGTACACTTATCTATATTTTCATTAGCATCAGACTTTATAAATTACTGTTTTATTGGGGGGTTACAATGGAGGAGCGATAAGTGTTCTGAGTCAGTGTTGCTACCTTGTTTCAGTAAGGTTTACATCATATCTTCTCTTTATTACATTTATTTATTTGAAGACTTATTACCCTTAACATTGCCTGCCATACTGCCAGAAGGAATTTTCAAGGATACATCTGTTCCTGCACACTTCCCGAGACCCTTTTGATCCCTTAGTGCTTTAAACTACTAGGTCTCCAACAGAGCCTATGCTTCTGGGAGTGAACCATAGTTTACTTATGTCCCTTCTGCACCAATAAATTCCCACCATAGTCTCCTTTCTGCCATATCATACACTCTTGTCATATCACCTCTTGCTAGGGCTCCCGAATAAGCTCTACCTTCCTCAAATTTAAAATTTCTAGTTGTAGTATTCACTCTTGTGCAGTTATGAATTAAGCATGGGCTACAGGTGATTTTATATGTGCCATTTATTGATACGTACGGTTTCTGGAGAATGAGGAGCAATTCAGATATAGATGACTACATTTATCTGTGGGGGACCTGAAACCTTTAAATAAAGTACCTAAGCAACTGAGCAACCATATTTTGCGATTAATTTTCAGATGATATACAATTACAGTTTTGATTTCCTCTTTAAAATGGAGCAAACATTTTAAATTAAAGAGGAAAGTAAATAAGAGAAAGAGTTTTGTGTTGTTGTTTTTTGACTTCTAGTATATTTATGTAATTGAAATACAAGGAAGCTGTGGTCTAAAAATCTTCTCTGTACTTTTTAGTATGTGTTCACATTATTTTTTGACCAAATAATATGTAATCAAGTTTGTGACAGCACAAAGGACAGTTCAGGGTTAAATATGTCTGCAGGATCTACCCATTCAATAACGTTGTTTAACACTTCTATACCCTT
The DNA here is from genome assembly GCF_000001405.40 of Homo sapiens. Lineage (NCBI taxonomy): Eukaryota > Metazoa > Chordata > Mammalia > Primates > Hominidae > Homo > Homo sapiens. The sequence goes on along the minus strand of NC_000017.11, from coordinate 60,869,722 downwards.
CTGATCAACTTGATGTGTCATAGGACAATCATATTATTCTAGCAATAATATATTGGGTATTTTTCCTACATCCTATAATTTTCATCTTTCTATACTTGAATTCAAATATTTCTCTTATTAGTATCAAAACCCACCTTCCTTTTATTTGTATTTTTTAAGTATGTCTTTGCCCTCCCTTCTACATTCAACCTTACTGAGTCACGTTTCAAAACATCTCTTTAAACTCTAACCTGTGAGTCTTTTGCTTCACTTAAATTTACTGAAATGGCAGAAAACAATTTATTTTCTATATTTCAGGTGTTTTGCTTTTTAATGGCATGGAAGATTTATACGAGGCATGTAAGAGCTAATGATCAAGATATTTACCATCCCAGGGCTTCAGTTTGCTTAAACGGAAAAGGAAAGTGCTGAGTGATAGAAGATTCCTAAGGTTCCTTTCTCCTCTAATGTTCTGTGATTAATTTGTCATTAGCAGTAGAGGTCACATAGAAGTTCAAGATAGATCTGAATATTTTCCCAGCAATTAAATGAAATAAATTTTAAAGGATACAAATTAGTCTAGTCCCTATTTTAGCTCCACTGTGAAGTGTGAAGGAATAAAAATATTTTAAAGCATTTTTTTATAGTTCAGGAACATGCTTTTCAAAAATTTTGGTGGTTTCTCACAGCAAAACTACATTTCACATCATAAATCAGCATACACAAAATACATATAAAAAGCTACATTAAAATATTTCTCAAAACCATACTTAACCTTTTTAAGTTTGCTCAGATACTTTCTATTCATTTCCATTTTGTTTTACAAATGCTTGTTATATCCCACTAAACTGAATTCACAATTCCCTAATGGATCAAGACTAGAAGTCTGAATATATTCATCAAGAAATCTTAGAGTTATTCCACTGAACAGAATTCAGAAGGTGTTTCCTTGAGATTTTTAAAAATAAATCTAAGTTAGTCATTGAAACTGGTAGAGTTCTCCATGCCCAGGAGAGCATGTTTCTTATTTTACACAAGAAACCCATGAAAAAATCCTTACCGTTTATTGCAATGGAGATCATAAATAGGTGTCTTAAATTGAATGGACTTGACCATCTCCCCAGTACGAAGTGAATACAGATCCACACAACAGTACGGTGGGCTTGTGCTAAAAAAGAAAAAAGAAAGAAAAATGTCATTTTTTTAAAAAAGAAAGACCAATAATCTCTATACTTTCTCATTAACATAATATTCAAACCTCTGATTAACAAGATATTAGTAAATTGATTCAAAACTTATCCCAAAAATGATCATAATACATCCCTTATTTTAAGTCAACAAGTTAGGAATGCAAAATTTGGCAAAGAAAAAAATATCACTCACCAAATTAGTACTACACAGAAGAAAAATGATATGATTAGGCTGGTGCAGTTACTCACACCTGTAATCCCAGCACTTTGGGAGGCCGAGGCAGGTGGATCACGAGGTCAGGAGTTTGAGACCAGCCTGGCCAACATGGTGAAACCCTGCCCCCACTAAAAAAATACAAAAATTAGGCAGGCATGGTGGCATGTGCCTGTAGTCCCAGCTTCTCTGGGAGGCTGAGGCAGGAGAATCGCTTGAACCTAGGAGGCGGAGGGTGCGGTGAGCCAAGATCACACCACTACACTCCAGCCTGGGTGACAGAGCAAGAATCCGTCTCAAAAAAAAAAAAAACATGAAAGAAAAGAAAAATTATATGATTACACCAATAGATACATAAAAGAATCTAATAAACTTCAAAGCCTATTCATGATAAGAAACATTTCCTTAATACGATAAAGGGTACCAACCTTAAAACTAACGAACAAAAACTAGCAAACACCCATAAAATATGAAAAGGTCTGACCCTAAAATCAGGATGTAGGAAAAAATGCTTATTATCATAACTTCTATTCAACACAGTATGGAAGGTCTTGTGCATAAGCCAAGAAAAGTAATTACTATAAGGAGAAACTAAAGCTGTCATTATTTGCTAAAAACTTGATTGTATAAAAGCAAAAAATACCAATCTGTGCATAGAAATATAGATCATCTGTGCACACACACACAGAGGCAAATTCATAATAAAGACCAACTGTTAGAATATATGGATTTACCAAGGTCTCTAGATAAAAGTTTAATATACAAACATCAGGTATATTTTTATAAATTGAGAAACAATTAGTAAAATTTTTTTAAAAATCATATAAAATGACATTAAATATCAAAACTATTGACTATCTTGGAACAAATCTAAGGAAAGATTCATAATATATCTACACAAGAAGAATAAAATGGTTTTTTAAAAACCTACGTAGGCCAGGCGTGGTGGCTCACGTCTGTAACCCCAGCACTTTAGGAGGCCAAGACAGGCAGATCACTTGAGGTCAGGAGTTTCAGATCAGCCTGGCCAACACAGCGACACCCCATCTCTATTAAAAATACAAAAATTATCCGGGCATGGTGTCAAGCACCTGTAATCCCAACTACTTGAGAGGCTGAAGCAGGAAAATTGCTTGAACCTGGGAGGCGGAGTTGCAGTGAGCCAAGATTGTGCTACTGCACTCCAGCCTGGACGACAGAGTGAAACTGCCTCAAAAAAAAAAAACAAAAACAAAAAAACCTACCTAAAAGAAAATAACATGGCCTAAAAGACCTCTAAATTGATAGTTTAAAACCTCATCAAAAATATACCAGACATGAGATCTCATTCTAGAATGTATATGGAAATGCATTCCACATAATAAGACTTATTGTAAAGGTACAATAAAGAAAAAACTGTGTTCTAGACAGAGGGACAGAACATATTTTAAGAACAAGAATTTCTTAAAATAAAATGAGTAAGCAAAGGGGGAATCAATAAAACAAAAACTTTGTTATTTTTAAAGATAATAGAATCAATAACTCTGGTCAAAGTGTTCAAAAAAGTAATAAAGAAGGAACAAACAAATAATGAAGGAAACAGGAAATATTCTGATGACACAGACAAATGCCTTAAAATGTACAGAGTGCCAAAACCAATCTACACATAAAGATAATTTGAATAGCTCACGATCTAAAAAGAAATTCAATTCATAACTTCTTGCAAAGAAAATCCTCAAAACAAAAAATTATACCTATCATACATGAACTCTTTCGTAAGGTAGAAGAGTCACTTTCCAACATATTTTATAATGTCAGTAGCACATATCCAAAAACTAAATAAATATATTGCAAGAAAATAAAATATATGCTTGTATATCTATATGTCTCATAAATATACACCCAAAACTCATTAAGAAAATATTAGCAAATAGCTGGGGGCAGTGGCTCATGCCTGTAATCTCAGCACTTTGGGAGGCCGAGGCAGGTGGATCACCTGAGGTTGGGAGTTCAAGACCAGCCTGACCAACATGGAGAAACCCCGTCTCTACTAAAAATACAAAAATTAGCCAGGGGTGGTGGTGCAAGCATGTCTGTAATCCCAGCTACTCAGGAGGCTGAGACAGGAGAATCGCTTGAAACTGATTTCAATCTTGAGCCGAGATTGCATCACTGCACTCCAGCCTAGGCAACAACAGTGAAACTCTGTCTCAAAAAAAAAAAAAAAATTAGCAAATAAAATCCAGCAATACAAAACCAGGTGAACTTTATTGCAGGAATGCAAGGCTGCTTTACTACAAAATATCTATTAATGTAATTCACCATATTCACAGAAAAAAGGGGGGAAACTACCATGATTATCACATTAGAAAGATGCAGATATGGCATTTTTAGGAATAAAAATGCAACACCCTTTTCAAGAGAAAAACACTCAACAAACCATAATTAGAATTTCTTCTACCTTATAAAGTGCACCTATAAAAAAATCTACAGATATAAGAATAAACACCTTCCCCATAAGGTCAAGAACGAGGCAAAATTGTCTGCTTTTATCACTTCTACTCAACATTGTATAAGAAGTCTTACCCAGCGCAATAATTACAGATAAATAAATTTAAAGCATCCAGATTGTCAAGGTAGAAATAAAACCATCACAGATAACATGATCTATTTATAGATAACATTATCTACATAAAAAATCCCAAAGAATCTCTTTAAAAAGCTACTAGAACTTTACCAAGGTTGCAGAATTCATGGTCTACATACACAATCATGTTTGTATAGAAATGAACAATTTGAAACTGAAAGTATTTGCAATAGCATGAAAATATGAAATAATTCTATGTAAGTCTAACAAAATACATGCAAGATTTGTATACTAAAAACTATAACATGCAGATAAAATAAATCAAAGACCTAAATAAATAATAGTAAATACCATGTTCTTGGATTGGGAGTTATAATTTTCTTAAGATGGCAAGTCTCCCCAAACTGATCTATGTATTTAATAATCACAATCAAAATCCTACCAGGCCTTTTTAAAGACGATGACAAGCTAACTTTAAAATCTTTATGCAAATTAACATGATTCTTACATACGAGCATACCTAATTTACTGCACCTCACTTTACTGTGCTTTACAGATATTGCATTTTTTTTTTTTAACAAATTGAAGGTTTGTGGGAAACCTGTGTCAAGCAAGTTGACTGAAGCCATTTTTACAACACTACGTGCTCAACTAGTGTCTCTCCATCACATTTTGGTAATTCTCATAATACTTCAAACTCTTTCATTTATTATTATATCTGTTAGAATGATCTGTGATCAGTGATCTTTGACGTTATTATTGTAATTGTTTTGGGGCACCACATACTGGACCCATAGAAGACGGTAAATTTAATCAATAAATGAGTGTGTTCTGAAAGCTCCACCTACCAGCTATTCTCCTGTCTCTCTCCCTCTCCTCAGGCCTCCTTCATCACTGAGACACAGCAATATTGAAAGTAGACCAATTAATAATCCTACAATAGCCTCTAAGTGTTCATTTGAAATAAAGAGTTGCATATCTCTCATTTCAAATCAAAGGCTAGGAATGATTAAGCTTAGCAAGGAAGACGTACTGAAAGCTGATACAGGCAGAAAACCAGACCTCTTACACCACATCACCAAGTCATGAACACAAAGAAAAAGTTCTTGAAGAAATTAAAAGTGCTACTCCAGTGAACACATGAATGAGAAGAAAGTGAAACAGGCTTATTGCCGATATGGAGAAAGTTTTAGTGGTTTAGATAGAAGACTAAACTAAACACAACATTCCCTTAAGCCAAAGCCTAATCCAGAGCAAGGTCCTAATACTACCCATTGTAGTGCCTAAATGACTTAGCTGGATCCCTACCCCATTTTTGTTGGCCAATGCAATGCCTATGTGATATGGCTAAATTCCTAGTCAGCTTTAACTCCATTTATTTTTAGGAAACAGGATGTCTGTGGTCAGAAGTTCCTTCTTAGGTCTAACCCAGCTAAAGCTGATGAAATCCACAATGGCAGTTTAATCGACCTCTGAAGAACCTCTAGCTTCATTATAATCCAATTTCCATGCTAAGTGACACTCCCATCAGCACCATGACAGTTGACAATCACAATGACAAAGACCAGAAGAGACCAGGAAAGCATAGAAAAGAGGTGGCTCCTTGATTCCAGGAAAATCTCCATCCCTTTCCAAGAAAAACATATTCCTCTCCTGGCTCTTAATGCCCAAACCCTTCATTAAAGATGCCCTATATCTGTAACTTCCAGGTTTCTCAGGAGCTGAGAAGTTAAGCTAAGTTCCCACTTCTCCAATTCCAAGGCTACTGAATAAAGCTGCACTGCCTGATACTCATTTTCAGTTTGATGTGTTGGTTTCATGACGCTGAACAGGAAAGAGCCCCGTAAGGGGTAACCAGGACTCTCCATCAGCAAAAAGATTATGATTCACTGAAGTATCAGAACATCAGTATTTTTTAGCAATAAAGTATTTTTTAATTAAGGTATGCACATTGATTTTTTTTTGACATAATGCCATTATACACTTAAGAGACTATAGTATAGTGTAAACATACCTTTTTTGGTTTTGTTTTTGTTTTAGATACAGGGCCTCACTCTGTCACCTGAAATGGAATTCACTGTAGCCTCTAATTCCTGATCTCAAGCAATCCTCTAGTCACAGCATCCTGAGTAGCTGGGGCTACAGGTGCGCACCACCATATTCAGCTAATTTTTTTATTTTATTTTATTTTTTTAGACAGTGCCTTGCTTTGTTGCCCAAGATGGTCTTAAACTCCTGGCTTCAAGCAAGCCCCCCACCTTACCTCCCCAAAGTGCTGGAATTACAGGAATGAGCCACCGAGCCTAGCCAAACATAACTTTTATATGCACTGGGAAACCAAAAAATTAACGGGACTTGCTTTATTATGGAATTTGCCTTATTGGGGTCATCTTGAACTGAACCTACACTATATAATATCTCTGAGATATGGATGTATACAAATGATATACATGTATAAGACATATAAAGCTGCAATAGTCAGGATAGTATGGTACTGGTATAGGCATACACAAATATTTCAAGGAAACAGAATAGTGAGTCGAGAAATAAACTCACATTTGTATGGCCAACTCATTTTCATCAAAGGTACAATATAACTAAATGATGAAAAGATCATTTTTGGAACAAATGGTGCCAAAAGAATCAGATTTCTATATGAAAAAAATTAAATTGCTCCAAAAACAAACTCAAAATGGATCATAAGTCTAAAAATATAATAGCAAAAACTATGTGTCAAGGACAAACTACAGGAGAAAAATCTTTGTAACCTATTTCTTGAGAAAAATCTTTGTAACCTATTTCTTAAACAGAAAAAGAAATGCATGAAAATAGATATAACTGACAAAACACAATTTATCAAAATGTGAAACTTTAACTGTTTAACAGACAAAAATTAAAAATGAAAAGGCAAGTGCCATGTTATGAAAAAATAAATGCAAAAATATATATCTGACAAAGGTTTGTGTCCAAAATATTTTTTAAATTCTGCATGCACCTGTAGTCTCAGCTACTAGGAAGGCTGAGGCAGGAGCAATTTGAGGATGCAGTGAGTTCTGATCATACCACTACACTCCAGTGTGGGCAACAGAGTGACACCCTGTCTCAAAAAGAAAAGAAAAGAAAATCTTATGACTCAACAGTGATGATGCATGCAACACATTTTTTACCACCTCTATGCACAGAAACTAGAAAACATAGGAGAGATGGATAAATTTCTAGAAACACAACAACCTCCCAAAATTGAATCAGGAAGAAATTAAAACCCTGAACAGAACAATAATGAATTCCAAAATTGTATCTGTCATTTTTTAAAACCTACCAATGAGAAAAAGCCCTGGACCAAATGAATTCACAGCCAAATTCTACTAGATGTATAAAGAAAAGCTGCTACCAATCCTACTGAAATTATTATAAAAAGTCGAGCATGAGAGATTCCCCCTAACTCATTCTATGAAGCCAGCCTCATTCTGTTTTTTGTTTGTTTGTTTGTTTTGAGACAGAGTCTCCCTGTCTCCCAGGCTGGAGTGCAGTGGTGCAATCTAGGCTCACTGCAAGCTCCACCTCCTGGGTTCACGCCATTCTCCTGCCTCAGCCTCTCGAATAGCTGGGACTACAGGCGCTTGCCACCATGCCCGGCTAATTTTTTGTATTTTTAGTAGAGACGAGGTTTCACCATGTTAGCCAGGACGGTCTCAATCTCCTGACCTCATGATCCGCCCTCCTCGGCCTCCCGAAGTGCTGGGATTTCAGGCATGAGCCACCACGCCCGGCCGAAGCCAGCTTCATTCTGATACCAAAACCTGGCAGAGACATTAACAAATAAGGAAAATTTCAGGCCAATATCCCTGATGAACACAGATGCAAAGCTCCTCAACAAAATACCAGCAAATCAAATCCAGCAGCACACAGAAAAGCTAATCCACCATGATCAAGTAAGCTTTATTCCTGGGATGCAAGTTTGGTTCAACATATTCAAAACAATAAATGTGATTCATCATACAAACACAACTAAAAACAAAAAAACAAATGATCATCTCAAGGGATGCAGAAAAGACTTTCAATAAAATTCAATATTCATGTTAAAAACCTTCAACAAACTAGATATTGAAGGAACATACCTCAAAATAATAAGAGCCATCTATGACAAACCCACAGCCAACACGATACCGAACAGGCAAAAACTGGAAACATTCCCCCTGAGAACCAGAACAAGACAAAGACGCCTACTCTCACCAATCCTATTCAACACAGTTCTGGAAGTCCCAGCCAGAGCAATCAGGAAAGAGAAAGAAATAAAAGGCATCCAAATAGTAAGACAGGAAGTTACACTATCTCTAGTCCCAGATGATATGATTCAATACCTAGAAAACTCTTAGTCTCTGTCCAAAGGCTCTTGGATTTGTTAAACAACTCCAGCAAGGTTTCAGGATATAAAATCAATGTATGAAAATCAACAGCATGTCTATACATCGATAATATCCCAGCTGAGAGCCAAATCAAGAAAGTAATCTCATTCACAATAGCCGTAAAAGGAATACAATCCCTAGGAATACTGCTAACCAGAAAGGTAAAAGACCTCTAAAATGAGAATTACAAAATGCTGCTGAAAAAAGTCAGAGATGACACAAGCAAATGGAAAAACATTCCATGCTCATGGATAGGAAGACTCAATATCGTTAAAATGTCCATACTACCCAAAGCAACTTACAGTTTCAATGCTCTTCCTATCAAACTACCAAAGGCATTTTTCACAGAATTAGAAAAAAAAGTATTCTAAAATTCATATGAGACCAAAAAAGAGCCTGAATAGTAAAAGCAATCCTAGGCGAAAAGAATAAAGCTGGAGGCATTACACTACTTGACTTCAACTATACTACAAGGCTACAGTAACCAAAATAGCATGGTACTGATACAAAAACTGACACATAGACCAATGGAACAGGTTGGAGAACCTAGAAATAAAGCCACACACCTACAACCATCTAATCTTTGACAAAGTTGATGATAACAAACAATAGGGAAAAAACTCCCTATTCAATAAATGGTGGTGGGACTACTGGCAAACCATATGCAGGAGATTGAAACTGGGCTCTATATATGAAAATCTTTCCACTGTATACAAAAATCAACTCAAGGTGGATTAAAGACTGAAATGTAAAACATAATGCTATAAAAAGTCTAGAAACAAAAACCTAGCAAATACCATTCTGGACACATGCCCTGGCAAAGATTTTATAAGGAAGACTCCAAAAGCAATCCCAACAATTGCAACAAAAATTGACAAGTGGTACTTAATTAAAGAGCTTCAGCACAGCACAAGAAACTGTCAACAGCAAACAACCTGCAGAAGGACAGAAAAATATTTGTGAACTATGCATCTGACAAAGGTCTAATATACAGAATCTATAAGTCAACAAGCAAGAAATAACCCCATTTAAAAAATGGGCAAAGTACGTGAACAGACACTTCTCAATAGAAGACATACACATGGCCAACAAGCATATGAAAAATATGCTCAACATCACTAATCATTAGAGAGGTGCAAATCAAAATCACAATCAGATGCCTTCTCACACCAGTCAGAATGGCTATTACTAAAAAGCCAAAAAATAATAGATGCTAGCGAGGTTGTGGAGAAAAGGGAATGCTTATACACTGCTGGTGGGAATGTAAATTAGTTCAGCCACCGTGGATAGCAGTTTGGAGATTTCTCAAAGAACTTAGAATTACCATTCAACACAGGACAATCCCATTATTGGATATATATCCAAAGGAATATCAATCATTCTACCATAAAGACACATGCACTCCTATGTTCTTTGCAGCACTAGTCACAATATCAAATTCATGGAATCAACCTAGATGCCCATCAACAGAGGACTGGATTTTAAAAATGTCGTACATAGGCCGGGCGTGGTGGCTCATGCTTGTAATTCTAGCACTTTGGGAGGCCAAGGCAGGTGGATCACCTGAGGTCAGGAGTTTGAGACCAGCTTGGCCAACATGGTGAAACCCCATCTCTACTAAAAATACAAAAATTAGCTGGGCGTGGTCGTGCACACCTGTAATCCCAGCTACTTAGGAGGCTGAGGAAGGAGAATCGCTTGAACCTGGGAGGTGGAGGTTGCAGTGAGCTGAGATCACACCACTGCACTCCAGTCTGTGCGACAGGAGCGAGACTCCATCTCAAAAAAAAAAAAATGTGGTACATATTCACCACAGAATACTACACAGCATAAAAAAGAACAAAATCGTGTCCTTTGCAGCAACATAAATGCAGCTGGAGGCCATTATCCTAAGCGAATTAATGCAAGAACAGAAAACCTAATACAGAATGCTCTCACTTCTAAGTGGGAGCTAAACAATGAATTCACATGGACACAAGGAAGGGGACAACAGACACCGGGGCCTACTTGAGGGAGGAGGGTGGAAGTAGAGTGAGGATCAAAAAACTACCTATCGGGTACTATGCTCACTACCTGGGTGACAAAATAATCTGTACACCAAACTCCAGTGACATACAATTTACTGATGTAACAAACCTGAACACGTACCCCCAGAACCTAAAATAAAAGTTGGAAAAAAAATTATTTATCAAGTTTTTCTTGCTAACTCTCTTGTACATATTAAGTCATATGTTTATTTTCTGTATCAATGTTGTTTTAATGTTTAATTTTAATGTCAGCATTAAAATTAATGTTATAACATTATAATGTGGGCTAAGCTTACATTAGCTCTAAAATAAATGATTTCATGCATGAAAAATAAAAAATAAAGGTGTTCATAATAAATAAAATGACGATAATTCTATGATAACTGTTGTAGAAGCAAAAAGAAGAATACAGTTTTTTAATGGCCCTAATATGTTTAAAGATACTTGATTAAAGAAGATATACAGATAGCAAGTAAGCACATGAAAAGATGTTCAACATATTTAATTATCAGGGAAATGCAAGTTGAAACCACTAATGGATACCACTACACCCAATAGAATGACTAAAATTTTAAAAACTAGTAGTACAAAGTTATGGCAAGAATGCAAACTAATTGAAGCCCTCACACATTACTGCTGGAGACGCAAAATGGTACAGTCACTCTGAAAAATAGTTTACCAGTTTGTAAAAAAATTAAACATACATTTTCCATATGTCACAACTAGGTATTTTATTAGCCATAATAAAAAGCCTAGAAACAATTAAATGTCCATCAATAGGTGAATGGACAGTTACATATTAATGCAATGAAAAGTACTCAGCATTTAAAAAGAACAAATTATCTATAAAACAACAAAAGTGAATCTCAATACCATGACTGTGGGAGTAGGGAAGCTATACATAAAAGTCTACACACTGTATGAGTCCCTTCTATGAAAAGTTAAAAAAAAAAACAACAGCCACAACTATAATAATAGGAAGCAAATCAGTGTTGCAAGAGAGAGGGAAAGGAGGAAGGTATGGAGCACAAAGTGGCACGAGAAACTTTTGGTGTGACAGAAATGTTAGTGTATCATTTTTATGATGGTAGTTACACAAATGCATACAATTGGAACAACTGGAGGTGGGAGAGAATCTTGTATAAGCCTGAACTTCAATCTCTAAAATTGACACAAAGCAAAAATTATTTATGTTCCCTACAAATTAATCCAGTCCTCTGCTGATAAGGAATGAGTTAATAATGAATGAAATCTAACATTTTGCCTGACCAACTAGGAGGGGAAAAAAGCAGCCTGTCGCCTTCAATTAGGAGCTCATGATGGCTACAACACACTAGATACTGGAACTCCGATCACTTCACTGGCATCATCCATACAATGTCACAACTGAGAATCTTCATGCAACAAGCCTTCATTAGAAACAGACAAAACAAATGTTACGAAAGCTCAGTTTATAGATAACTGAACAAAATTTGTCAGAACCATAAACTATTTATATATGAGAAAAACCTCTCATTCAACAACTAATAGGAAAAGATAATTCTTTAAAATAAGGGTCTTCACAAATTCACACATTCACAAAGGAGTCAGCACGTTTCCTGCCAATAACACAGTTGGGTGCACGCCCGACATATTCTTTTGTTCTCTGTTTTCTCTTTTGAAAAGCCTTGACCATTTCCATGGAACATAGCAAGACAATCTTAATTTTCCTCATGGGCAGGCTGATGAGAGTGCTTTCCATAAAATAATCAGTATGCATGCCCCATAAGGTGTTATACTAAAATAGACAGACATGAAACAAGCTTTTATTTTCTATCATACAAGCCAAAAATGGTGTAGAAAACAGTGCCACAAGAAAGTTTTACACAGAATACAGTCTTCATGTGACTTCTACAGAGCTCTAATGGATTATTTTTAAAGGATTGTGTTTGACATTTAAACATGGGGCTATGACCTTAAAGGTAAACCTAATAGCATAAAGTGGGGGGAAGTTCCTAGAAGAAGTTTTTAGAGCCAAGTTTAGAATGTAACTGAATCTACTGTAAGCAAATATCAGAGGCTGTAGGAAAGGCAGGAAGGATGCAATTTTTATTAATAAATGCTTCTTTAAAAATCTGTAATTTGTGCCCAGGATCCCATATATACATATAAAAATGCATAGTAAAGGCATTTTACACTATTCATGATAAATGTAAATAGAAATGAATGCAAATTCTCTTTAACTGACCTTTTCTTTATGTAAGTAACTTGTTTTATAGTGAATTACTGAGCATGTGTGTTGAAATTTTATCAGAACAATCTGTTACCTACTGTACATTTGACCCATACCCATAAAGGAAGTTATTAAGATTTTATTAGGGAGGAAAAGGTCCTCATTTTTATATATTACAACAGCCAAAGGTATGGAATTTACACAGTGAATTCATTACAGTGAAGAGGGTTAATTAAAAGTATTTAAAGAACAAATTTCAAAAAATGCTTCTTTTATTGAAAATTAAAAGGTTAAATTAAGTAATTATGAACTATAAAACAAAATATTTAAACCAGATTTCTTAAAAGGAAAAATATTATAAATATAGAAGACAAAAATCAACAAGAAGTCACTAAACATTTTCATCTAAATGAATCTATAATTTTTTTTTTATTTTTTTGGAGACAGTCTGGCTGTATCGCCCAGGCTGGAGTGCGGTAGCTGGATCTTGGCTCACTGCTACCTCTGCCTCCCAGGTTCAAGCGATTCTCATGCCTCAACCTCCTGTGTAGCTGGAACCACAGATGCACACCACCACACCTGGCTAATTTTTTTGTATTTTCAGTAGAGACAGGGTTTCACAATGTTGGCCAGGCTAGTCTCGAACTACTGGCCTCATGTAATCCACCTGCCTTGGCCCCCGAAAGTGCTGGGAATACAGGCATGAGCCACCACACCCAGCCTCCATCTATAATTTTGGAATGCACTGGACAAACCAAAATAATTATACTTAGCTACAACTTTTTTGGATTTTCATATAATATATGTCTGAAATTCAGGCTCTAATTCTGAAAACCTATCAACCTATTCTCCACAAAATTTCTTACTCCTTCTTCCATTAATAAAAAACTAGGAGGTTGAGTCTTCATTATAACTTAAATCATCAAATATTGAGTCATAGGCATTTGCTTTAAAAGGCAATGGAAAAGATGGTAGTTTTTGCAAATAGCATCATTAAATTACTATCCCAGGAGAATCAGAAATACGTTCAGCTGACCTCGGACATGGCCTTCTTGATGGCCTTCTTTTAACAAAGTAAATAAGCAGAAATACTTCATGAAAGAGATTATATAGATGCATGAATAGCCACAAAGAAAATACAAAACAGCCCAGGCGCGGCGGCTCACACCTGTAATCCCAGCACTGTGCAAGGCCAAGGCAGGCGGGATCACTTGAGCTCAGGAGTTCGAGACCAGCCTTGACAACATGGTGAAACCCTGTTTACAAAAAATACAAAAAGTAGGTAGGCATAGTGGCATGCACCTGTGGTCCCAGCTACTTTGGGGGTTGAGGTGGGAGGATCACTTGAGGCTGGGGGTTGAGGCTGCAGTGGGCAGTGATTGTGCCACTGCACTCCAGGCTGGGTGACAAAGTGAGACCCTGTCTCAAAGGAAAAAAAGAAAGAAAATACAAAATCACTATGAGATACCACTACCCATCTATCAGAACTGATAAAAATTTAAAAATAGTGGCCGGGCGTGGTGGCACACACCTGTAGTCCCAGCTATTCAGGAGGCTGAGGCAGGAGAATGGCGTGAACCTGGGAGGTGGAGCTTGCAGTGAGCCGAGATCTCACCACTGCACTCCAGCCTGGGCGACAGAGCAAGACTCTGCCTCAAAAAAAAAAAAAAAAAAAATTTAAAAATAGTGACAACAAATGCTGGAAAAGATAAAGACAAATGGGATCACTCACACATTGCTGGTGGGAATATAAAATGGAACAGTCGCCTGGACAACAGTCTAGCAGTTTCTTATAAAACTACACATGCAACTAGCACACGAACCACCAGAGTAAGAAGGTAGGTAGACTAAAAAAAAAAAACAACAACAAAACAAAAAACTCTCTGGGCACGGTGGCTCACACCTGAAATCCCAGCATTTTGGGAGGCCAAGGTGGGTAGATCACGAGGTCAGGAGTTCGAGACCAACCTGACCAACATGGTGAAACCCTGTCTCTACTAAAAATACAAAAATTAGCCAGGCGTGGTGGCATGCATCTGTAATCCCAGCTACTCAGGAGGCTGAGGCAGGAGAATCGCTTGAACCTGGGAGGCAGAGGTTGCAGTGAGCTGAGATCGCACCACTGCACTCCAGCCTGGGCAACAGAGCAAGACTCTACAAAAAAAAAAAAAAAAAAAAACCTCACTGAAAATAAATAAGAAAAATAAGAATAATAATCCATTTTATGAATATACCACAGTTTGTTAATCCATTCATCTACTGAAGGGCAACTTGCTGCCAGGTTTTGGCAATTATAAATAAAGCTGCCATGAACATTCATGTGCAGGCTGTGTGGACATAAATTTTCAACTTAATCACAATGGCTGAACTAGTTTACCGTCCCACCAACAGTGTAAAAGTGTTCCTATTTCTCCACATCCTCTCCAGCACCTGTTGTTTCCTGACTTTTTAATGATCGCCATTCTAACTGGTGTGAGATAGTATCTCATTGTGGTTTTGATTTGCATTTCTCTGATGGCCAGTGATAATGAGCATTTTTTCATGGGTCTGTTGGCTGCATAAATGTCTTCTTTTGAGAAGTGTCTGTTCATATCCTTCGCCCACTTTTTGATGGGGTTGTTTTTTTCTTGTAGTTCAACCACTGTGGAAGACAGTGTGCCCATTCCTCAAGGATCTAGAACTAGAAATACCATTTGACCCAGCCATCCCATTACTGGGTATATACCCAAAGGATTATAAATCATACTGCTATAAAGACACATGCACACGTATGTTCATTGCGGCACTATTCACAACAGCAAAGACTTGGAACCAACCCAAATGTGCATCAATGATAGACTGGATTGAGAAAATGTGGCACATATACACCATGGAATACTATGCAGCCATAAAAAAGGATGAGTTCATGTCCTTTGTGGGGACATGGATGAAGCTGGAAACCATCATTCTCAGCAAACTATCACAAGGACAGAAAACCAAACACCGCATGTTCTCACTCAGGTGGGAATTGAACAATGAGAACACTTGGACACAGGAAGGGGAACAACACACACCGGGGCCTGTCGTGGGGTTGGGGGAGGGGGGAAGGATAGCATTAGGAGATAAACCTAATGTAAAAGACGAGTCAATGGGTGCAGCACACCAACATGGCGTGTGTATACGTATGTAACAAACCTGCACATTGTGCACATGTACCCTAGAACTTAAAGTATAAAAAAAAACAACTTACAAACAAAAAAGTGATATATCCATTCAATGGAGTATTATTCAGCAATAAAAAGGAATGAGGTGTTTATACATGCTACAACATGGATGAAAAAAAAGTATGTGATAGACATATACTTAATAAAAAACATTTTATAAGAAAACAGTATGTTTAAAATTGTGTGTAGATTTTTATTTAAGTCTGTTAAATATGCATTCATCCATTCAATTGACCACTTATGGCCTCATGGAACTTACATTTTAGAGGAAATGCATATATCTGACTACATATCTATTTGGAAGGCTAGATATAAAAATGTTACTAGTGACTATCTCGTGATTATCTCAAGCTGAAAGAATGTTTGTCTAAGTTTCCTATTTTTCTCTAGTAAATGTGTAAAAATAAAAAAGGTTATTTTGAATGGCAGTCAATAAATAATAATGACATGGTTCAATTCAGTCAAATTACCAGTTACTAAATAGACTTTTAAACACTAGCATTTGAATTCAAACATATATTTTGAAAGAAGCTTCCATGTACAGTTCACCACTAAATTTATAACTCATTTCACATAATTTTTCTGAGTGAATTAATACTATGACTAAAATGTTTTCCTCTACAAACAAATGTGAATAAAAGGAGAACTAATCAAAAAAGAGATGAGAAGTTAAAAAAAAATTTCAACTTAATGTCTCCACAGTTTCATTATATAGTTAGAATCATACAGTACAATTATCAGATTGACTTCTTTTACGGAGTAATATGCATTCATTCCTCCATGTCTTTTCATGGCTTGATACCTCATTTCTTTTTAGCACTGAATGACATTCCACTCACAGGATGTACCAATGTTTACCCATTTGCATGGTGGAGGACATCTTGGTTGTATTCAAGTTCTGGCCATTATGAATAAAGTTGCTATACGCATCTTTGTGCAGGTTTTTGGGAGGACGTAAGTTTCAACTCATTCGAGTAAACACCAAGGAGGGCAATTGGTTAATCTTATGGTATGAGTATGTTAAGTTTTGTAAGAAACTGCCAAATTGTATTTGAAAGTAGCTGTACAATTTTGCAGTCCCACTAGCAATAAATGAGCATTCCTGTTATTCCACCTCTTCTCAGCATTTGGTATTGTCAATGTTAGAGCTTTTAGCCCTTTAAAACTGTGGTATCCAATTGTTATTTTTAATTTGCAATTCCCCAATCACATACATTATTGAGCATCTTTCATATGCTTATTTGCCATGTGTATCTTCTTTGGTCAGGTTTTTGCTCTTTTTTTCTTTCATAATTGAGATTTTATTGGTTGAGGATCAGTACAGACATTTCAATTTGTACACAATTCTTAACATACATAACAAATATCTAAAAAGCCATGTATCCTAATTCTTTTTTAAAGTTATTCCAGTGACTTTCCAGCTTAAATTTGGAAGCAAATTTTCCTTAAGAGGACATCAAGTACCAGTATCTTCACAATTTGATAAGCTGTTACACACATCCCACCAATTCACAACTGAATAGCATGTATACTACATATTCAATTTTTTAATCTTTCACAGCACAGTAACAAAGTTATTAGGAAAACAGGACAACCACAACCAACGATGTTACAGAGTGGACACAATTCTGACAGGGAGAGCCATAATCAAAGAGTGGTTTTCTTTAGGAAACAATTCTACTAAAAAACAACATGGGTGCAGCACACCAACATGGCACATGTATACATATGTAACTAACCTGCACATTGTGCACACATACCCTAAAACTTAAAGTATAATAAAAAAAAAAACCACGGGAATAGAAGTAATTTAAAATGTTCAAGACATTAAATGCAGGACTGACTCCATATTGCCATTTAATATGCTTTGTATTATAGGATATGAAAACTATCCCCCATCTATGAAATGTTAAGCTGACACCCAAGACAGTCAAAGCTTCCCATAATTCAATATCCCACACTATTTTCTGGTTGTACCAAAAAATAAACAACCAGCAAATGATTTCACCTCTTAAAAAAAAGCATTTACACTTAAAAAATGGGATGAGGTGAGATTCCCTTCTTAAAAATGTTTCTAGAGCTACTAAAAAACTTGCATTTACAAAATAGTTGATAAAAATATTCCTCTGGATTGTACAAGAAGGGAGACAGGGACCACTGATAAGACATGGTATATGGTATTAATCAGACTTGGCTTCTTTCTCTCCTGCTTCATCAGAGGCTGGACTCCCCTCAGTTTTCATTTCCCCCTTTTCTGCAGGTAAATCTTCTTTAGTTTCTTTCAGCCTGTTTTCCCTTTGCTCCCCTTTGCCCTTTTATTTGTACTTCCTCGTTTCAAGCTTTAACCCAAGTTTTGGGTAGAAATTATTCACCCCGTGAAGAACATGTAGAGCTTTACAGATGGTGGTTTCAATGCTTTGCTGCTGCCTTTTTCGGCTTCGCTTCCATTTTTGCAGGAGCAAGTTTAGCTGACAACCGCGGCGATCTCCTCTTGGCCTCTTCCTTGGCGGCCCCTTCGGTGGAGCTGACCTTCCTCTCGGGCATCCTGGTGGCGGGGAGGACGTGTGCCAGGTGCCTGCGGGCCGCAGCATGCCGAGAGCCTTTGCGAAGCTGGGCTGCCTGGCTGCTGCCACTCCTCCTGCAGCCCGAGCTGCTGAGACCCTTTTGCTCATTTTTTAATAGGATTGTTCATTTTCTTACTGTTCAGGTTTAAGAGTTTTTTAGTTCTTTAGTCAGACGTGTCTTTCACCAATATTTCCTCACCATCTGCAGCCCATCTTCTCACTCTCTTAAAATAATCTTTCACGGAGCAAAAGTTTTTAATTTTAATAAAGCCCAACTTACTGATTTTTTCATTTATGATTGCGCTTTCGGTGTTGTACTTAAGAGGTCATCGCCAAAACTCAAGGTCACCTAGATTTTCTATGTTATCTTCTAGGAGCATTGCCTTTCCATACAAACTTTAGAATTACTTAGTACATATCCACAAAATAACTTGCTTGTATTTTTATAGGAATTGCACTGAATGCATAGATCAACTTAGGAAGAGATGACATTTATATTTTTTTATTTCATGTATCAGTATTTTGTTGTTTTACTCATATAGATCTTTTGCTTGTTTTACACTTAAGTATTTCATTCTTTGTTGCTAATAAAAGTATTATTCAGCAACAAAAAGAAATGAGCCATCAAGCCAGAAAAAGAAATGAGGGAACCCTGAATGCATATTGCTAAGTAAAAGAAGCTTGTCAGAAAAGGTCTAAAATTGGCCGGGCGCAGTGGCTCACGCCTCTAATCCCAGCACTTTCAGAAGCCGAGGCAGGCAGATTACCTGAGGTCAGGAGTTCGAGACCAGCCTGACCAATATGATGAAACCCCATCTCTACTAAAAATACAAAAATTAGCTGGGTGTGGTGGCGGGTGCCTGTAATCCCAGCTTCTCAGGAGGCTGAGACAGAAGAATCATTTGAACTGAGGAGGCAGAGGTTGCAGAGAGCCGAGATCACGCCATTGCACTCCAACCTGGGCAACAAGAGCAAAAACTCCATCTCAAAAAAAAAAAAAAAAAAAAAAAAAAAAACAGTGGTGCCAGGAGTTAGGGGGAGGGAAAAAAGGAGTAATAAGCAGAGTACAGGGAATTCTCAGGACAGAGGAACTATCTTTATGATACTGTAATAGTGGGTACAGAGCATCATACATTTCTCAAATGCCACACAATGTACAACTCAAGGGGTGAAACTTAATATAAACTATGGATATTAGTTGTATCAGTATCAGCACACTGACTGAAACAAATGTACTAGCCACACTAATTTAATGTGTTAATGATGGGAGAAAGTGGATGTATCAAAGAATAGGGGAGTCCAGGCACCAAGTGCAGTGGGTTCCGTCTCTAATCCCAGCACTTTTGGAGGCCAAGGTGAGATGATTGCTTGAGCCCAGAAGTTCAAGACCATCCTGGGCAATGTAGCAAGACCCTATCTCTACAAAAAATAAAAAATCAGCGAGGCACGGTAGCACGCCTGTAGTCCCAGCTACTTGGGAGGTTGAGGCAGAAGGATCACTTCAGCCCAGGAGTTCAAGACTACATACAATGTGCTATGATTGTGCCACTGTACTCCAGTGACAGAGTGAGAGCCTGTCAAGAAGAAAGAAGGAACAGGAGGAGGAAAAGGAAGAAGAAAGAAGACCACTGTACTTTTCACTCAATTCTTCTATGCACCTCTGAAAGTGCTGGGATTACAAGCATGAGCCACTGTGCCCGGCCTGATATTTGTTAAAAACCAGTACTAGGCACCACTTGCTGTTGAACCTGAGCTACAAGTTATAATAATAGCTTTCCTTGAGAGAAAATCTCTTTATAAACTTTTTTTAATTGTGGGAGAAAAAATAAGTCTTATTTTCTTCATAAGAATACAGAAAACATACCATCCTCAAGCAAATAATAAACACCCAACCAAGTCCATTACTCTCCTCTGCACACTACCCCTCCACAAAAAAGTAGTAAAAACAGAAAGTGTACATGGAGCTATAAATAGACTAGTTCATGCAGAAAACTGAATTTGTGAAGTACAGTACATTTTCCAGAATTAAAAGGAAATGAATAAAGAGATTTAAAAGACAGCAGATTAAAAAAAAAAAAAAGAACTGAACACAGAGATTCAGTTTGTGAAATTACATGTTATTTCAAAAAAATTCTGTCTCAAGACTGCAGCATCAATCCTTCTCTGACAGTTTTTAGCCTCTCAGCTTGCTAGCCTGGCCTAGTTCTTACTTGCTGTACCCCCAAATTACACAAACCAATTCCTTAAAACGGTTTTGTGTGTATCTATGTGTCTATCTGTGTTTATATACACTGACTAATATACTGGGGAATAAAAACTAAAACACTCATACACAGGGCCAAACATTTGCTCAAAGAAAAACAGCAAGGACTCTCGTTTTGCATCTCTGGCTGAGCCTCTGGCTCATCTCAAGCGGGAAGTGAAGACTAAGGCAGAGTTGTAGATGGCATTACTACACATTCAAGGACTGTCCTGGTTTAAAGCCAATCTGCTAATACAAGAGTACTTTTTTTTTTTTTTTGTAGTCCCAGCTACTTCAGGGGGCTGAAGCCAGAGGACTGCTTGAGCCCTGCAGGTCAAGGCTGCAATGAGCTATGATCATGCCACTGCACTCCAGCCTGGGTGACAGAGCAAGACCCTGACTTAAAAAAAAAATAAAGAAGGAAACTTGAAAACATGATAAATGGCTCATGAAAAACCCACAGCTAACTCCATATTCAATAAAGAAAAACTGAAAGTTTTTCCCCTAACATCAGGAACAAGACAAGGATGCCCACTATTATTCAACACTGTACTGAAAGATCTACGCAAAGCAATTAGGCAATAAAAAGAAATAAAAGGTATCTATTCACAGATAATATATTCTTATATGTCGAAAATTCCAGATAATCTATAAAAGTACCAGAACTGATAAATTCAACAAAGTTGCAGGATCAACACGCAAAATCTAGCAATGAACAATCCAAAAGACAAATGAAGAAAACAGTTCCATTCATAACAGCAATACAATATCTTTCGAAATTCCAGTGGCCTTTTTTGCAGAAATGAGAAATCCAATCCTAAACACAAATGTAATAAGTACAAGGTGCACCAAACAGCCAAAACAAAGTTGGAAAAGAACAAATTTGGAGGACTCACATTTTTAAACTTACAACAAAACTAGGGTTATCAAAATACTGTGAAACTGGCCTAGCATTAGACATTCCAAAAATGAAATAGAATTCAGAGTCCAGAAATAAATTAATGATGAATTAACTTTTGAAAAAGCTGCCAAGTCTATTCAATGGGGGAAAGGACAGTCTCTTCAGTAAATTATGTTGGGACAAGTAGATATTTCTCTGCAAAAGAATGAAGGGAAACCCTAGCCCCCAACTCAAAATAGTTCTAACCCAAATATAAAACTCTTAGGAGCAAACAAATAGGTAAATCTTCCTGACCTTGAATTTGGCAATTGATTCTCAGATATGATACCAAAAGTATAAGCAACAAATGAATGAACAGATAAATCAGATTACATCAATATTTTAAAATTTCTGTGGAACAAAGGACATTATTAAGAAAGTAAAAAGAAAACCACAAAATGTGAGAAAACATTTGTAAATAATATATCAAATAAGGGTCTAATATTCTGAATATATTGTTAATTTTTGTAATTCAACAAGAAGCCAAACATTCCAATGAGAAAAAAAAAGTGGGCAAAGGAATTGAATAGACATTTTTCCAAAGAAGATATACAAATGGTCAACATGTGCACAAAGGATGCTCAACATCATTAGTCATTAGGATAATGCAAATCAAATTCACAATGAAATATAACTTTACAGCCACTAGGTTGGTCATAATTTAAAAATTAAAATCAGAAAATAACAAGTATTGGTAAGAATATGAAGAAATTGGAACTCTGGTCCACTGCTGGTAGGAATATAAAATGGTACATCTCCTGTGGAAAACAGCTTGGCAGTACCTCAAAAAGTTAAACATAGAATTATCATACGACCCAGCAATTCTACTCCTAGGTATATACCCAAGAGGAAGCAAGCATATGTTCACACAAAAACGTCTACATGAATGTTCATAGTAGCATTTTCATCATAACCACAAAGTAGAAACACCCATATGTCTCTCAACAGATGAATGGATAAACAAATTGTAGTGTACAATGTATACAAAATATACAATGTAATATTATTCGGCCATAAAAAGGGATGAAGTACTGACACACACTACAGCATGGATGAACCTCCCAAACATTATGCTAAGTGAGAGAAGTCAGAAACAAAAGGTCACATATTGTGTGAATCCAGTTATATGAAATACCCAGAACAGGTCAATCCACAGAGACAGAAGGCAGATTGTTGGTTGCCAGTGGCTGGAGGAAGGAGGAAACGGGGAGGGACTGTTTAACGGGTATGGGGCTTTCTTTCGATGTGAATAAAATGTTCTGTAACTAGTGGTTGTGGTGATACAACATTGTAAATGTGCTAAATGCTGCTGAATTGTATACTTTAAAATGGTAACTTTTATATTATGTAAAGTCACCTCAACAGAAAGAGAGAAAGAGAGGGAGGGAGGGAAGAAGGAAAGAAGGAATGAAGGGAGGGAGGCAGGGAGGCTGTCAAGATTCATATCAGATAAAGTAGACCTTGGAGCTAAGAAAATAAGCAGAGACAGAGAGGAAAATAAAGATAGAAGGGTCAATACATCAAGAAGACAAAGCAACCCTAAATGTATATATATTGAACAACAGAGCTGGAAGTTATCTGAAGTAAAAATGGGTAGAGCTGAAAGGAAAAATAGACAAATCCACAATTATAATAGGAAAGACTTCAACATACTTCTCTCAACAACTGATAGAAAGACTAGACAAAAAAACCATATAGAACAACTCACAAACGCCATCAGCTAACAGGAACTTGACATTTATATAATACCCAGTAACAGCAGAGTACAGATTATTTCAACATTGAGGTTTTGAGCCAATCTGAATGAGAACTTGGTGATGCTATTAAACAAAACAGGAAGTCAGTGGGGATCCCTGTGTATACATATGCAACCATACTAATAAAAAAGGACTTTTGACATAAGTAATATACCTGATCCTGACTGAAAAAACTGATAAAGAAGTAGAATGGGGCTGGGTGTGGTGGCTCATGCCTGTAATCCCAACACTTTGGGAGATCAAGGCAGGAGGATCACTTGAGCCCAGGAGTTTGAGACCAGTCTGTGCAACAAAGCAAGACCCCCTTTCTACAAAAAAATTTAAAAATTAATTGGGCATGGTGGTACATGTCTACGGTCCCAGCTACTCAGGAGACTGAGGTGGGAGGATTGCTTGAGCCTGGAAGGTTGGGGCTGCAGTGAGCCAAGATGTCACCACTGCACTCCAGCCTGAGTGACAGAGTGAGACTAAGTCTCAAAAAAAAAAAAATTAGCCAGGTACAGTGGTACATACCTGTGGGCCCAGCTTCTCAGAATGCTGAGGTGGGAGAATCACTTGAGCCCAGGAGTTCAAGGTTGCAGTGAGCTATGACAAAGTGAGACTTTGTGAAAGAGAGAGAGAGAGAAAAAAAAAAAAAGGAAAAAGAAAAGAGAAAGAAAGAAGTAGAAAGGGAGTATGTAACCAAGAGAATAGAACACAGGGTGGAACCTCTAGGAACGATAGCATTTTCAAAATTTTTTATACTTTATTTTTAAGTCTCCATCAGATTGTGATCTTCTTTAAGCCAATAATAGTATATTATTCATTTTGCATGCCCAGGCATGTGCTTAGACATAGTTTACCGTCAATAAATGTTTTAGAATGAAGCAGAAACCAGGAGAACTGAAGGGAAAACAAGATGTTTGGAAACAGAGTGTAATGAGCAGTGGCCACTGTTAAGGATCATAAGCAATGGGAATTTATCCCTTGTGGTCTGTTTTATTATATCACACTCAAACATTACAACTTAAAAATCCACCTTGTCACAGTAATCTCCCTAAACAATTCTCTCTAATCATTTGATTCCTGTTTCTAAAGCTTTCAATGACACACCACTGCCATGAAGTTCAAACTTTTATCTAAGCAAATAAAGACCTTCACGAGATGGACTCAGGTTTTTGTTTGTTTGTTGGGGTTATCTATTTATTTATTTAGAGACGGAGTCTCCCTCTTGTTGCCTGGGCTGGAGTGCAATGGCGCAATCTTGGCTCACTGCAACCTCTGCCTCCTGGGTTCAAGCGATTCTCCTGCCTCAGGCTCCTGAGAGCTGAGATTACAGGCATGCGCCACCGGGCCCATCTAATTTTTGTATTTTTAGTAGAGAAGGGGTTTCAACATGTTGGTCAGTCTGGTCTGGAACTCCTGACCTCAGGTGATCCACCTGCCTCGGCCTCCTATAGTGCTGAGATTATAGGCATAAGCCACCGTGCCCAGCCTTGTTGGAGCATTTTTAAACCATTAGTTTACATTCTCCCCTTTCAGACAACTTGTACTGCAGCCTTTAAACCTTTATTAACTTTTTTACTCATGGTATTCTATCTACTTGGCTCTATTCCATCCTCACGTCTACTCACTGACTACAATGATATCCTCCCAGCTTGAGATGCCTGCTTCTTCCTTTGCAATCTTATGATATCCATCAGGTCAATTAAAAGATCTGCCAGCCACAACTGACATAAAGAGAACTGTCCTACTCAGCATCCCATGATAAGCCAGTAGTCTTAGATGGTCATGCTTGATACAAGGGCCCTCCCCCTTAGTTAGACCAACAAAGGTATCTGAACCAAGGGCAAGCAAAATTTACAGGTTGGCATGAAGTGAAAAACTCTACTTCTACAGAGACAGACCACAGCACCTTTAAAAAAAACAAAACAGAAAAACTGAAGTTTTTTTATACAACTATACTGGGAAGACAGGGAATTGTATGTGATGTTGGTATATCCTAACACCTCATCTAAAATGGGTTAGTAAACACCAATGAAATTATTTTGAGCAATATGGAAGTAACAATGAATCTTAAGTCAAAATTAGGCCTCAATCTCAGAATGGTAGAGGGAACTATTGCCTTTTATATTCTCATTAATTTATTCATTCGATAAATTTATATTAGTTGTGGCCAGGTGTGCTGGCTCAGGCCTGTAATCCCAGCATTTTGGGAGGCCGAGACGGGCAGATCAGCTGAGGTCAGGAGTTCGAGACCAGCCTGAGCAACATGAAGAAACCCCATCTCTACTAAAAAAAACAAAATTAGCTGGGTGTGGTGGCGCATGCCTATAATCCCAGCTACTCGGGAGGCTGAGGCAGGAGAATCCCTTGAACCCAGGAGGCAGAGGTTGCGGTGAGCCGAGATCACGCCATTGCATTCCAGACTGGGCAACAAGAGAGAAACTCCGTCTCAAAAAACACAAAAGTATATTAGTTGTATACTTTGTGCCAGGCACTATGAGCGCAAAACAGGGCAAAATCCTTCCCACTGTTGAACATATTCTAGTAGGTAAAGACACCTACTGAACACAAAATAAACACATAAATGAGTAAAATAAATCAAATGTTAGAGATTAATAAGTAATATGCATAAAGAAAAACATAGAGTCGGGAAAAGGGATCAGTGCAGATGATAAAAGGATATGCAACACTGTCCATACAGCCATGTTAAGATTAGAAAGTAAGAATTAGAAATGACCTGGGAGTCCTTGTTTCTTTAAATAGCTAATATAAGCCTGTATGTAAAAAGAATGCAATCTGTCATACTGGTCACAAGGTAGATAAATGGCAGTATGACTGAGTGTAGGGAGAGGAACAAGAGGGCACATCTTGCCAAAAATATGGAGATGGGATATATTCTTAACTTCAACAAATAGTATGGCCGGGTGCAGTGGCTCAATGCCTGTAATTCCAGCACTTTGGGAGGCCGAGTCGGGTGGATCACCTGAGATCAGGAGTTCGAGATCAGCCTGACCAATATGGTGAAACCTTGTCTCTACTAAAAATTGCCAAAATTAGCTCAGGCGTGGTGGTGTGTGCCTGTAATCCCAGCTACTCGGGAGGCTGAGGCAGAAGAATCGCTTGAACACGGGAAGCAGAGGTTGCAGGGAGCCGAGATCGTGCCACTGCACTCCAGCCTGGGTGACAGAGCAAGCCTCTGTCTCAAAAAAAAAAAAAAATTAACAAACAACAACAACAAAATATTAATAGAGACACTATGAAAAGGGCACGTATAAGTTTTTTAGCCAATTTTTAAAAATATATACTAATACTATATAAAATAAGTAACAAAAAAATAAAAAATAAAAATCAGCCTTAGTAGCGTAGCAAGACCCTCTCTCTATAAAAAAATGTTAAAAATTAGCTGGGTGTGGTGTTGTACACCTACATTCCTAGCTGCTTAGGAGGCTGAGGAGAGAGGATACGTTGAGCCCAGGAATTCAAGACTGCAATGAGCTATAATTGGGCCACTGCACTCTAGTCTGGGCAACAGAGCAAGACCCTGTCTATAAAAATAAAAATATAAAAAAAAAAAAGCTAAGAGAATGCAAAACCCAACAAAGTCAGTATTATTAGGAAATAATTATCTTTCAAATGAAAGCCAGCCTGTAAATATGGAGGAATTCATTTTCAGTACAATGGTGGAATCCAAGGAGATAGAAGAAAGAGCTTAGAAACTTAACGTTAGAGTAGAGAAAGAAAAGATAGCACACTCAGGAGTAAGCAAATGTGAGCACTGCTTACTTAGATGAGAATATAAATAAGTGGAGAAAGGAACTATAACCCACAATGTAGAATCACAGAAGATCATGTCCCGTAGAGTATGCAGAATATTGGCAAAAGAAAAGGACATGGAACTAGCTAAAGTCAGGGTTCTAAATAGAAAATTGAAAAAAAAAATTGTTCTAGTATACTTTCTTTTTTTAATCACCACATAGGCAGGTGGTATCTTGGTGCCAGAAGTTAACCTGAGTATAAGGAGTTCATGCCACTATTTTTTGATACGTTATGTAGTAGTAACCTTAGATTTTTAATGATTATAAGTATCCTAATTCACCAAATGTATAAGGTTGTCCACTACCAAAAAAACATAAAGCTGAAATTCCATTGCAATCAAAGATCTCCTATTTTAAAAGGTTATTATCCAATGATCTGGTTAAAGCAGTGGTAGGATATACCTATCATTTACTTTTGTTGAGTCATATTAACTAAAAAATTAGTTCCAAAGCAGAAAAGGATATCAAAAAATCTAAAAGTAACTAGCAGTTATTTATTAAAGTATGTTTTACAATTACTTTTAAATAAAGATATACAGAAGTATAACATACCTAAAAACGAGTATATAAATCTAAAGTGTACACCTTGGTAAATTTTCATAAAGTCCATATATCCCTTATAACTCCACACAGACAGAAAAATACATTTCCAGCACCTCGAAAGGCTACCTCATGCCATCTTCCATTTGCTGGTCCCCAGTCTCCCCAAACACCATCACTAGAGACTCTTTTTGGGAGCCTGATTATGTAAGCAGCCATGTGGGGAAGCCCTATGCCAAGGAACTGCAGACAGCCCTTAAGAACTGCCCTTAGGAAGGCTAGAAGTGGAATCTCCCCTAGTCAAGCCCTCAGATGAGACCTTTACTCCAGCCTGTAAGACCTAAGGTAATGAACCAGTTAAATTGTGCCTGGACTCCTAACCCATAGAAACTATGAGAAGATAGGCCATGCGCAATGGCTCATGCCTGTAATCCCAGCACTTTGGGAGGCCGAGGCGGGCGGATCACGAGGTCAGGAGATCGAGACCACAGTGAAACCCTGTCTCTACTAAAAATACAAAAAAAAAAAAAAAAAAATTAGCCAGGTGTGGTGGCGGGCACCTGTAGTCCCAGCTACTCGGGAGGCTGAGGCAGGAGAATGGCGTGAACCCAGGAGGCAGAGCTTGCAGTAAGCCGAGATTGTGCCACTGCACTCCAGCCTGAGTGACAGAGCGAGACTCGGTCTCAAAAAAAAAAAAAAAAAGTATGAGAAGATAAATGTTGTTCTAATATGCTAAATATGTTCTAATACATTATATACCAGTAGATAACCCATCCAGTCTCTCTTTTGCAACAAAATGATCTTTAGATTTAGTGTGACCTCAAAGACGCAGAAGGGTTTTTTAATAGATACATAATAAAGTTTCAGTCCTTCTGCCATTATACTACTTCAAAATGACATTGATTAAATTTCAGCAGTATAAGTAAAATTATGACTTCATTTATATATGCTACATTTAAATCTACTAAATTAAGTTCCTTACTTAAAGTAGTATATGAAAAATTATTACACAATTTTCATTTATTTAAATAATTTTTAAAATTTTAACAATATAATCTATTCTGAAACAAATTTAACCAAATGAGCCTCCATTGTTCAAGTTCTGTAACACACTAACATTTCTGGAATTCTAACTCACTTTTATTGAGACAATAGGGAGAGTTTTTGAAATGATAAAACAGAGAAGCCTACAAAGCATTAAGCAATTTTAATCAAAAGTTATTTTAATTTTCACAAGTCATATCAGTAATTTGTTCTTAATTAATTGAGGTTAACCTGTCAAAAGATTTGACCAAATGTACATAACCACATCACTTGGTTAAGTAATCATGAGAATTCTCAACCCATAACTTAGGAATCTTTTTATATATAAATACTACCAAACATGTTGTAAACACGGGGAAACCTTCTGACAATCTGTTTCAGATCCAACGGTTTCTACGTAAGACAAAAGTCAAGAATGCAGTGAGGCCTAGTCAAATGAACCACTAAAGGAGCCAAAACATGAAGAGGTCAAAAAACAGGAATTAAATAAGACTTTTAGCTATGTACAACTAAGTATTCTTGTGTAATTATATCTTTATATCATAGGATCAACAATTCATTTTCTTTGTCACAAACTAGGTTTTTTGCATCTATAGAATGAAAAATGAGCTAAGTGCCTTGAGCTTTTTGCAAAGACTAAGTTTGATGTTGAATACTTCAGCTTTTTAAAAATTATAATGCATGAAAGATGGTAGCCTCACACTGTACCTTCTGCATCTTTAAAATTTAAATACCTCCTGAAAATGGTATAGTAGACAGATGCAAAAGGATCTTTTATGCTTGATGAAAAACAAGAATTACAAATAATACAATATTAAATTCAATTCCAAAACTCAAGTTTCATAAATCCCTAACAAAAATATTTAAATTTTGTCTCTCATCTATTTTTTAATTATTTGTAACAGTATGTTTTTTCTTTACATTTGGGTATTTTCTTAGAATCATAGCCATTCTTAACCTGGACAATGTTTTCAAAATAGAGGGTTTTTTTTTTAATGCAATACAATGAACATCACTTTAAAGCAATGTGAAATATGGCTTTTATGATTTCAAAATTCTAAACATTAATACCATTTTCCTTTACAAAGACTTTTATTATTTTCATTCATGATATTTAACAGATTGAAACAAAATTAGGAAAAGCGGAACAAAGTATTTGAGAAAGTGACATTTTCCAAGAATGTGCATGTATAAGTGAAACACAAAATAGCAAAGACATTTAAAATCTACCACAAATTGCAAGAAGCATGGAAACACTTATTTTTAAATGGGAAAAAGCTGCACAACCTTCAACATGTGTTACTGAATCTAATGCTTTAAATTTAAGAGGAAAATTTTTGATAGTATTACATTATTTGTATTCTCATTTGGCTCCTAAAGAACAAAAGCCAGTTGGTCTTGTTTTTAATTAAGTAATTAAAAAGAAAAAGAAAAGAAAATGGAAACGTAACCATATTAAAAGCTAAACCTGTGATGAGCCTAGTTAATAACTTTATTCTGCATTTTTCTTCTGCAGAGTTCTCAATAAACACTGGGTTATGAAACCTTCCGACACTCGCACAACTTATAGAGAGGTAACCAGGCACAAAGGGGTAAGTGACATCTCCACACAAAAACAGGAGGTAATATTACAATTGGGGTTGGAATCAGACATTCTTCTTCAAGAAAGATCTAACAGACAACATAAGACGCAAAGACATAATACATTATGTTGAAAAAAAGAAAGTAAGTTTCCTTTATTTGTGATTAAACACAAAGATGTGTTAGAAAGACTATCTTTAAGGAGGTTTCAAAATAATTAGCTGAGTTTTCTTTTAAGGACTGGAAATTAAGTTATAATACAAAGAAATATGTTTAATGTTCCACAATGGTAAACAAATACAATGAAAATTCAAATTATGAAAGAAATGTTACAAGAAACAGATATGGGCTGCCAGTTTATTTACATATATACATGTAATATACATATAATATAAATACATACATTATCTACTTATACAATACTATTTTCTACTACGCCCACACAGTCTTCCTCCACTAAAAACCATGCATAAGACAGGCACAGTGGCATATGCCTGTAGTGCCAGCTACTCCAGAGGCAGGAGGACCACTTGAGCCCATTTCAAGCCAGGAGTTTGAGGCTGCAGTGTGCCATGAATCATGCCTGTGAATAGCCACTGCACTTCAGCCTGAGCAACATAATGAAACCCTGTCTGTAATAAAAACAACAAAAACCATGCATAAGTACAGCATGATTAATATTTTTTTAGATTTTGTCTAGAAAAACATTTCCAAAATGGCGGTATATAGAAGTCAACAAACTATGCCCAAAATCCTGCCCCACTGCTATTTTTGTAAATAATGTTTTATTGAAACACAGCCGAACCTATTCATTTCTTTATTGTCTATAGTTTAGTTGCCACAGTGAACATATCATCCAATGAACCTAAAATATTTCTTGCAGGAGAAAGTTTGCTGACCTCTAACCTATACCTTTCTATTTCAAGTGAATTTGGGCTGCTTTTCACTATCTTTCTCGGGGGTCTTATAGTATTTGCTCTAGTTGTTGTGGGGAAATATGAGATCAGCCTAATCCCCACTACTCCCTCTTCACTCCCCACACCCACCTCACCACCTCCGAGTTATTAAAGCTCCTGAAATTCAGAAACTTTACAATGATATATATTGGAATTGACCATTCTGAGTCAACTATCCTTGGTACACGCTGTGCTATTTCATTACATCAAATGAAGTCATTTTATTTCCATAAAGTTTTCTTAATTTTTACCTTAAATATTTCCTCAATCACAATGCTTTGCTGTTCTTATTCGGGAACTATGCACATGTTGTGATTTTCTTCCCATTTTGTTCAGTCTCTCATTTAATTCCATTTTCTATCTATTCTCCCTTCCATGCCTTACAATTCATCAATTCTGTGATCAATTTGTGGGGTTTATCTCGCCATGTCTTCCCTGAGTTCTTGTATCACTGTTTTATGGCCTTCCTTCATGGGAAAAATAAGCTTTAAAATTTTTTAATTTAAATGTTAAATTTTAATTTAAAATTGAATTTTTAAAAAGTATTGTGTGGCCAGGCACGGTGGCTCACACCTGTAATCCCAGCACTTTGGGAGGCCAACGGGGTGGATCACCTGAGGTCAGGAGTTTGAAACCAGCCTGGCCAACATGGTGAAACCCCTCCTCTACTAAAAATACAAACATTAGCCAAGCATGGTGGCACGCACCTGTTCCCAGCTACTTGGGAGGCCAAGGCAGGAGAATCACCTGAACCCAGGAGATAGAGGTTGCAGTGAGCCAAGATTGTGCTACTGCACTCCAGCTTGGGCAACAAGAGTGAAACTCCATCTCAAAAAAAAAAAAAAAAAAGTATTGTGAAATATTTGCTTACAATTTTAAACTGCTCCCAGGAAAATTATTCTACTGATTGTTCTTCACTTACCAAAAACTTTCCAATTAGTTAGGTTTTCCATTTCATGTAAGTTAACAAATTTATTGGCATAAAAGTTGTATAATATTACCTTATTATCTTTTATTGATCATAAGATCTGTAGTGATGCCCCTTCTTTCATTCCTGATATCAGTACTTTGTGTCTCCTGTTTCTCTTAGTTAGTCTCATTAAAGGGTTATCAATTTTACTGATGTTACCAAATAATCAGTTTTTGGCTTAACTGAAAGAATCAGGAAATTCCAAATAAATAAAGTTCTAGTGAATTAGGAGGTATGATAATCTGCTGAATATAAAAAGGCTTAAACAAGGTTGTGGATGTTTAGGACAGCTAGTTTGCCATCTTTTGTTACATCTATTTATTGAATATACACCTACTACTATGAGTTTTGACATACAAATCTACAGTTCAACTACTCTGATCTCACCTAAGGAAAGTAAAATTTCTACTAGATATAAGGTTAAAGTGCAATCATTTGACAATGCAGCAAAATCTTCCAAGCCTCCAAGAAATAATCAGGTCCCATTTCCTGATAACACAAAGTACAAGTTTGTCAGTCTTTTAAGTATCATCTTCCCTAAACTGAAATCCAGGATCTGCCTTCACCAAACAGACAAATCAACAAATGTCAAAAAGAATTAGCACATTTTAAAACTTCTAAACTGGTTTTAATCTACTGAGGTGCAAGTGAAACATATTCTAATTACTTTTCTACATAACTTGATCTAACATGAAGTAGTATAAAACTATGTTTAGGTTATTATAACTAAAACACTAACATGGGAAACATTTCACTTTTTCTGCTTGCCTCAAAGGAAATGACTCCATCTAAAAGTACCATATGACAACTCATAATTCAATATACATGTGAGATATCTGTAAATAATATTAATAATCCATATTAATGAAAAATTCCAACATTTCCAAGGCCAATGACAATAGAGTTCAAACCAAACAACAGTTTGTTCTAATAAAGAAAATAATTGCTTACTAAACCTTCCAGGATATTTTCCATTTTTTCTTTTTTTTAACTATGTGGAGATATTAAAACATTATTAAAGAAGGAACGCAAACAACAGAACTAAACACTCTAGTTAATGCCATCTGTACATTTTTCGGACTTACAAGTTCTTTCGCTAAAAAGAACTACCGTATAAGCTTCCGGAGGGCAGAGATTAAGTCTCGCTCACTGTTGTATGTTGAGCATTAGTACTACTTGTTAAAAGAATTAATTAAAAATTAAGAAAAGAATTAAGAGAATTAATGTTAACTATCTGTTAAAAGATTTAATCACTCTGTCTGATACAATTATCCAACCCCACAGAATGTATAACACCAAGAGTGAGCCTTAATGTGAACTATGGAATCTGGGTGATAATGATGTGTCAATGTGTCAATGTAGGTTCATCAACTATAACAAATGTACCACTCTAGTGGGGACTGTTGATAATGGCAGAGGCTATAAATGTATGCGGGCAGGAGATATGTGGGAACTTTCTGTATCTTCCACTCAATTTTGCTGTGACCCTAAAACTCCTCTAAAAATCTCCCAAAAAAGCTGAGAGGATAAAATTTTTTTAGAGAATCCATTTTTTAAAATTCATTTAAAAGTCTAAACAATTAATGACTAAATGAGAAATTCAGGAGACATACTTGGGAAAATTCCATTTCTGAAACAAACATCCTAAAATGTTTGACATTCTACCTTTTGTGAATCTTGCTTTTCTAATAAGGCTAATATCTGTTACTGCTGTATAATATCTATAATTTCATCACGAGAATATGAATATTGTACATTTGATAAATACCACCCATTGTTATAAAGGCTTTACAAGTACTATTTCATTTAACCTTTCCAATAACCCTATGATGTAGGTAAAACTTTATACAGGAAAGCCTCTCTTTCTTTCTTTTATTGCAGCAACCATGGCCTGATAAGAAAAGCTTTTCTTTAAACATTTGATTCAATCTTCAAATTTTAAAAAAGGAACACTTTAATCTTTAATATTCAGCAATAAACTACCAGTGGAAATGTTTCTAACAATAGCAAAGATTTTGGTTGCTAAAACATGTAATATTTAAGTTGCTGATACTCATTTACTGGTTGATTAGGAAATCTATTTATAGATGAAGAAGAGAAGTAAAAGAAGACTGAAGTTTCAACCTTGACTTCAGTAACATCAGGTTTCCAAATAACCAAAGAAAAAACTAACAAATCTGCCTTCGGTATTCATGTAGTAGATAATATAATCAGCCATAATAATAGCATAACTGTTACAGTGTACTGTTTGAAAGTAGTAATTCAGGATACTAAAAATCTCATATTGTAAATCCACATGTAAAAGAAAAATATATTTATAGCTTTAATAGCAAAAATATTAATAAATTGTTCATTATTTTTTAATTTTGGAAGATATATGAATTTAATGTCCATTAGAAGATTCTATTGTACTTTCCTATTTTATCGCTTTCTTCTGATAGATAACAAAAGTGCAGAAACTGCTGGCAGAGGAATACAGAAGAATAGAGAGGCAAAACAGACCAGTTAAAAATTAAACATTAAAATTTTAGTTAATGATAAAGAAATACATCATAAAGTTCCCTAAAAATCATGTACAGTTAGTTTTGAGTCATACTATTATAAGGAACTTTTGAAAACTAAAAGAATATACTAGGGAAAATTTATAAGTTGGTTATAGTAGAAGCACTAACAACCACAAAAAGCAAGATGTTGCCGGGATTTATTTCCCTAAAAGCAATATAACTTAAAACTCCTTATCAGTTATGATAAACAAAAAAATACAGAGTCATTTTTCATATTAACAGATACACACAACCATAGCTAACAAAAAAACATGGGGTACTTGAAATGAGGATACTAAAGTCTAGCTCAACTCATAAAAAGATGTTAATTATACCATCTTCTGCCAAGCAAGCACAGTGAGGCCAAATATACTACTATACTGTGAAAGAGTATGCCCAGTTTTATTACTCTAGTATCATCTTAAAACTTGATAATCTACCAATGTAGATTAGTTTGAGTACACATATGAAATCAATAGAAACCACTTCACTAAACATTTCAAAGTAACCAAAGTTCATCACAGCATTTGAGACATGCTGAGAAATGAAGTAAAGCCAAAATTAATAGATTATGCTTAAAGTCTAATTCTCAAAATCAAGGAACAACCTGTTATATCAAGACAGAACAGGAAACATTTTAGAGAAGGATATGTGTAAAAATTTATAGTCAATTATTTTCCTTGTCAATTCTTAAAATGATAGCAGAAAAATCTAAGCTTTTGCTTATCTTTATTAAGAAGACAATAAAATATCCTGTTCTAAATTAATACTTCTAAGAAATCTGACATATTATTGAAGTACAACAAAATTATTCCTCTTGTACCATAAAATGTTTTGTTTGAAAACTAGTAAGAATATTTACATTCATTTTACATAAATGTTATTATATTACATAATTTGTGATAAAGCCACATTAGTATAATTTCTCTTTCCTGTTATTAGAATCAGAAAAATATCACATGATGATTTAAATCCTTCTAATGATAATATGCAGTTATTTTATAGTGAAATATAACTTAAATTGCACCAAATACCTACAGATATAAATACAGCTTTAAAAAGTAGTTTCACGTTTTGACAGATTACTTTTCATAGTAGACAGAGAAGTAAAATGTTTTCTTATTTGGCTTTTCTTGTAAAGGCAGTTGGAATTGAGCGGAAAATGAAGGGGCGTCAAATGACAAAGCCAAATGTTGCAAAATATATCTATTATATCAAATGTGGATAATTACAGTTTTGAAAGAATACGTGAAGTGAAAATATATAAGTGCCTTACCACTGATTAAAGTTTTTGTAAACATATGTACCGAACGAAATAAAAATAAATTGTTTGTAACATAATTTTGAAACTTGGTAGTTCAAACAAATAGCCCTCATTCACAATTCACAAAACTACTATATGAATGAATGGTCACAGATGCAATGCAAAAGTATAAGTGTGCAAAATGCAAAATACTAAGGTTATAATGAAGCAATCTGTAACCACAGCAACTGTGAGTTTCTGACACAATCTTGAAAGAAATTTGGGATTTCACTACAATTCTTATTGCCTAGGATCAAGAAAACTCACAGCATTCTGCTTTTAAAAATTAAAACTATTTCTTTAGGACATCCAACTAAAAGACTGCCAAAATAAATTTTTGCCAACATAAAAACATGATTTTATTTGCATTATAAAAAAAGTGCTATTAGTGCTTTTCAAGAATTATCTAAAAGGTATTTCAAGAAGATTAGATAAGGGCTGGAGCTGGAGACACAAGACAGCACAGATGCACAAGGGCAGACTATTTGAAAATTGGATTCTTTTAGAATATATAAAATGGGCCAGGTACAGTGGCTCGCACCTGTAATCCCAGCTGTTTGGCAGTCTGAGGTGGGAGGATCGCTTGAGCTCAGGAGTTTGAGACCAGCCTGGGCAATACAGTGAGACCCCTATCTCTATTTTTTAAAAATAGATTATATAAAATGACTTGTCATGGTACTTGTATTTTACATTGTATAGAAACACTGCCTTTAAAGGCAGAAGTTGAAAAGCAGGTGCTTTTAGAGAACTAATTCTTTTTATTTCAAAAATGCATACATGGCCAAACCTTTTGTGACACATAAGTGGAATGATATTAACTTTCACAAAGATTAGAGAAATGTCTTTTAGGTTCTAGTCTCAGATGGAGAACTAATAATGGAAACTGGAAATTCCCACTTTTTCCAGGATTAAGCAATTTAATAGTTATCAGTTTGATACTACAAAAGTTTTTAGAATTCATTTTGAAAAGCACACTTTAAGATCCAAATTCTCCTTAAAAATGCATAGAATGTTTCTTCTCAATTATAAAAAATAACCTCTTTACATTTGGAATCTAAATTTTCAATTAAAGGAGAAACTTTAAAAAACAAAAAAAAATCCTACCTCAGGCAAGCCTCAGTTCACTGGATCTATGTCACATTGATTTATAACAGTTATTTCTTAGGGGATAAAAAAGCACACACAGATGCAAACAATTACTCTATTTTTGTAGGCAACAAGTGAGGTGGGTGGTAACTGAGAAATTTTTTTTAAATCCTGTCACAATATTCTGCTTTTTCTTAAGAAACCCTCCTCACACAACAAACGTTTGCCACATCAGAGAATTTCCAGGGCCTGAAGCACCACTTTGATTCCAGCCCGCTGCAGGCATTAGCAGGAGGTAATTAGGGTAAAAAGTTCAGCCACAGTTCCATGTGTAGAGTCCTGCCAGAAATAAATTTCCTCTCTATTCACTGGTTTCTACTGTACCCTCCCCTAACAATCATACTGAAAACACATTTATCTTTGTAGAGTTTGTTCCTCTTCTAATTAACTTTATGGCATTTACAGTGTTTAATAATTTAAAACGGCACCAATTGCAGCAGTTTTATACTTAATAGTGCAGTGGTGTATTATCATTTTTCCTCTATTGCTGCTTCGTTTGACAAATGACTCTCAGAAGTATGCACTGCAGCTGTTTTCATCATCATAAACGTACATTTTATTTTTTTGTCTGAGAAAGGTGCACGGACAAAACTGACAAACAGATGCATTCAGAATGTTTTCTTCTGAATTTTTCAAGAAAGTGAAAAAGACTAATCAAAAAATTAAAAATGACATTACTTTACAATATACAAATTATTGTATTTTATATTTTCCACAGAGATAAATGTGACTACATCTAAATAACTGATAAGACTTAAACATACCACATATTTGAGGGCTTGTCATTTAAAAAAAAAAACCCACCGCCAAAGAGGCACTCAAAATACTGTCCCTTGCTCTGCATTAGTCTCTCCAAAAGCACATCCACCCACACCCACACACACGTAGGGAGGCTCTAATTAACATGCCAGTCATCTCACAATAACTGTTTTAA
Organism: Homo sapiens; assembly: GCF_000001405.40. Taxonomy (NCBI): domain Eukaryota; kingdom Metazoa; phylum Chordata; class Mammalia; order Primates; family Hominidae; genus Homo; species Homo sapiens. Next base: position 60,831,605 of record NC_000017.11, on the reverse strand, counting down.
CCTTCGTTGTATACTGTGTTTGGTAAACAAGATGTTAATAAAATTATATAAATGAAAAGAAAACCACTTGTCACAACAATTGTTTTCTAACAAAGGATAAAATCAGTTAACATAAGGAAGACATAACATAGGTCGGTGCAGTGGCTCATGCCTGTAATCTCAGCACTTTGGGAGGCTGAGGCGGGAGGATCACCTGAGGTCAGGAGTTCGAGACCAGCCTGGCCAACATGGTGAAATCCTGTCTCTACTAAAAATACAAAAATTAGCTAGGCGTGGTGGCACGCGCCTGTAGTCCCAGCTACTCAGGAGGCTGAGGCAGAAGAATCACTTGAGCCTGGGAGGCAGAGGTTGCAGTAAGCCGAGACCGTGCCACTACACTCCAGCCTGGTTGACAGAATGAGGCTGGGTCTCAAAAAAAAGACATAACATATAACTCAATCAAAAGACATTTATTGGCCAGATGCAGTGGCTCATGCCTGTAATCACAGCACTTAGGGAGGCCAAGGCAGGAGGATCACTTGAGTTCAGGAGTTCGAGACCAGCCTAGGCAATACCACAAAACCCCGTCTAGCCGAGTCTGGTGGGACACACCTGTAGTCCCAGCTACTAGGGAGGCTGAAGTGGGAGAACTGTTTGAGCCCGAGGGTCAAATGTTGCAGTGAGCCAAGACTGTACCACTGCACTCCAGCATGGATCACAGAGTAAGACCTTGTCTTAAAAAAACAAAAGGATGTTTATTTAAAAAAAAAAAAAAACCCAAAAATTAAATCTTGGCTCTAGAATATTATAGTAGTTGTGATAAATACCTTATTGAGCCAGAAAATTTATTTTTAAGATAATAATAATCTATTCATGGACATAAAACAAAACTTCAAAGTTTGTAATTTTTTCAAGTTTTTCAGCCAGCTTTATAATTTAAACTCCTTTTGTGTAAAAGGAGTTTTTCTAAATCTTTCCAAATTCTCTTCAAATATTTGGTCCTCAGTATCCTAAGGTATGATCAACAGCTTTACACAAAGAAATAAAGAAAAAAAGTATAGCCCTTGTACAATCCTGAACAAAACACACCTGAGGGTCATACAGCATTTTAAAAATTTTCCTGTACCATTTCACTTAGCATGACCTTTCCTATAAAGTTAACTATTCAGGACTTCATGTTTGTCCCATTTTTCCCCTTCATGATCTAGATGACATCAAGGATTTCTGCCATTTTCCAGGTAAGTTTTCCAACTATACTTGTGCAACCATCACGTTTTATACTGTTACAGTTAGTTTTACAGTTCTCAAACATAAAGAAACACTATTTAAAAGTGTTCAGGCTGGGCGCAGTGGCTCACGCCTATAATCCCAGGACTTTGGGAGGCTGAGGTGGGCAGATCATGAGGTCAGGAGTTTAACACCAGCCTGGCTAACATGGTGAAACCCCATCTCTACTAAAAATACAAAATTAGCCGGGCGTGGTGGTATTCACCTGTAATCCCAGTTATTCAGGCAGCTGAGGCAGGAGAATCGCTTGAACCCAGGAGGCAGAGGTTGCGGTGAGCTAAGATCGCGCCACTGCACTCCAGCTTGGGTGACAGAGTGAGACTCCATCTCAAAATAAATAAATAAATACAAATTTTTAAAAAGTGCTCAACATTTGAATACTAGGAAGAGAAATTAAGAGACAAAATTATATTTACAATAGCTACCAGTGGAGAAAAAGCACATCCAGAATTTCAAATCCCAATTATTTAAGGCAATCTCATAAGACTCCTGATATCATCAACACAGGAAATGACACACATTTACTACATTGTTCTAATTATATCATTTCATATATTGGCAATAAATAAAGGTTCATGGAACAATAAAAACTGCTTGGAAATATCTAACAAGATATAAGAAGATAATAAGATAGAAGAAGATAGTGAGAACAACTTATGACCCAGCAAGTCCACTCCTAGTTACATATACCAAACAGAAATGTACACCAAAAGCAATATAGAAATGTTCATATCCACACTATTCATCAAACCCTCAATGGCAAACAATCCAAATATCCACCAACAACAAACACCACTGTCCTGTCCAACTTTATCTAACTACCTTCTCTACTTTTTTTTTTTTTTTGAGACACAGTCTTGCTCTATTGTCCACGCTGGAGTGCAGTGGCGTGATCTCAGCTCACTGTAACCTCTGCCTCCTGGGTTCAAGTGATTCTCCTGCCTCAGCCTCCCGAGTAGCTGGGATTACAGGCGCAAACCACCATGCCCAGCTAATTTTTTGTATTTTTAGTAGAGAGAGGGTTTCACCATGTTGGCCAGGCTGGTCTTGAACTCCTGACCTCATGATCCACCCACCTCAGCCTCCCAAAGTGCTGGGATTACAGGTGTGAGCCACCACACCCGACCCTCTACTATTGTTATACATTACATCATCATACTATATATTTTACTTATTTTTTTACTGTTTCACTCTCCTTGCTAGAATGTCAGCTCTAGCAAGAAATGTCTAGCAATGTCAGTTCTAGACATACAGATTTTTATCTTCTTGGATCAGGGTTTCTCAAACTTGACCCTATCGATATTATGAGCTAGATAATTCTTTGCTGTTAAGGGCTGATCTGCAAATTATAGGATGCACAGTATAGCAGGTTCTTTGACTCTACACGCTAGATACCAACAGCACCTTCTACTCCATGATGTGGCAACCAAAAAATGTCCCCCAGACACTGCCAAATATCCCTTGGGGATCAAAATCATCTCTACCTTTTTTCCCTCAGTTAAGAAACGATGTCCTGGATTATTTAACAGTAGCTGACACATAATAGATACCCATAAACATGTCTTGAAAGAACATAAGGAAGCCCCTTCTCAGAATAAAAGAGAAAAAAAATCAAATAAAGCAGTTCTTAAAATTCATATCTAAATGGCAGGAGAGGTGATCTTTAGAAAACATCTTAAAATCATATACACAATGTATGATTAGCCCAGTAGCAGACAAGGATTCCTTACATCTCACTGAGACTGTGTTGTCATTTATAGAATAAATTATATCCATATAGTCTTTGATTATAACCAATTTAAAATCCTTAGTTACAGCAAATTACCTTTTTCAAATCCCAATACTTTGATACCAGAAAATCAAGTAACATAATTAGTGATATTTAGCAAGGTTTTATTCTGGCAAAGTAACATATCACTGTATCAACAAAAGATTTCCCCCCCAAAAAAATGGTTAAAAATACTTGACGTAGAAACTGTCATGGTTCTCCATAATGAATTGCCTAATTATCTACTTCAACTTTTGTCTTTAACATAATCACAACACAACAGTGATCTCTTTTCAGGCTTATTCACTATGCACATGGCCTGTTCCACCAGAAGTAGAGTAAGCATGCCTGTATGGAATTCCACAAAGTCAGAATCTATGCAGATGTTCTTTCCCTTTTGGTTTTCCTCTAATTTGCAAATCTTGTAATCTAAGCCTGAAGTTGACTGGACCAACATTTAAACCAGTATAGCAATATCAGCCAAAAACTCAATCTGTTTTCTATTTATATGTCAAGACTGCATCCTTCTTGGTGGCTGAAAAAAAACTATTGTTTTGAAATGATTACACAGAGAAACTGCAAGCCTTTTAGTTGTTTTATGAACTGGTTCTAGATGGAAAGCTTTACTTTTTGGTTAAGTTGTAGAGCAGAAGAAAAAACAACTTTGAACTCAATACCTTTACCTTTATATTTTTAACTGTATACTAAAGTCACTTTGAACTATGTGACAGCAAAGTATTTCCCAAAAAAACCTCATTACAAAGTGAAGATGGCACTGCTACTCGGGAAGACTTATTACATAGAAACACGCTTCTTCTACAGGGGGAGGAACAGGAAGGGTGCATTACAAAGAAACATGAGAAAACTATTGTGGGTGATGGATATGCTCATTATCTTGATTGGAATGTGATGGCTTCATGGACATATACAGATGTCAAAATTTATCAAACTGTACACTTTAAATATATGCCGTTCATCATATTTCCATATACCTCAATAAAGACACACACAAAAATACACACACATGTAGCTTTATACTATATGAGCTTCTACTGGGAATATGAACACATTACCATTTTCCAATGAAAGTAAAGACCTCTAGATGCAGTACTCGGTTAGGCAATGAAGACTGGCCAATCTGTAGCACAAGCACCAGATAAGCTGGGTACAGCCCTATTTCTCGAACAGTCATAGAGGCAAAACTCCCACTCAAAGAAAGTATATAAATATAAATGAAAAGAAATTCCTGGTGAAGAGTGATATCTAACTATCCTTAATACCTTCCTGACCCAAATAGTATGAGGCACACCTAACATGTATCAGGATGTAATCAATACTTGAAAACAGTGCCTCATTGAATTCACACAAGAACCAATCACAGCAGTTTTATATAAGCACTGCTTTACAAATAAGGAAAGTGAGCCTAAGAACTGTTGAGTAATTTAGTTTACACAGCTAGTAACTCACAGCTAGGTCTATGTGACTCCAAAACCCTTGTTAGTTCCATTATTCTATATTTTCATCCATGGATTCAGGAATATCAATAAATATTATGGAGTATAAACCTTACGTTAAACCTACATATGAAAAAAATTATCAAATACAAAATCATATTTGTATCCATTAAACAGAAATATCACTACAAGCAGAGTTCCTGTTAAATTGCAAAAGCTGCCACTGAAGGCCTAATATCATCCACGTTATCATTATGCCAGTATTTGTTTTGTGGGCTTCTTTCTTCAGATATACATTATAGACTACTATCTTCTGGTGATCTTTCTTTATGTCCCATTTCTAAGTACTCCTGTTAAATTTCCAGGCAAATAGCTCAGGAGAGATGAGAAGAAAGACAAGAATTAGATGTAGCTCATGGAAAACATACCTCTTTGCAACATTGCTACATGAAATATATGGTAGTAAAATGGTTAGGGAGAGAACCCCATTTTAATAAATATGTGGCCAATTTTTATTCTTAAGTTTAGAATCAGACAGTATAGAAGCAAACCTTTCACAAATATTTTCTTCTTTTTTACCTTACCAGCTGCAATGGTCTGAATGTGTCCCCCAAAATTCATATGCTAAATTTTTGAATTGGACCAGCTATAGTGGTGGCTCACGCCTGTAATCCCAGCACTTTGAGAGGCCGACACGAGAGAATCACTTGAGCCCAGGAATTTGAGGCAACATGGCAAAACCCCATCCCTACTAAAAATACAAAAAATTAGCTGCACATGGTGGTGCACTCATGTAACCCCAGCTACTCAGGAGGCTGAGGCTTGAGAATTGCTTGAAACCGGGAGGTGAAGGCCGCAGTAAGACGAGATTACACCGCTGCGCTCCAGCCTGGGCAACAGAGCGACACTCTGTCTCAAAATTAATTAATTAATTAATTAATCAATCAAAAATAAAACTAGCCAGACGAGGTGGCTCATGCCTGTAATCTCAACATTTTGGGAGGCCAAGGAAGGAGGATCACGAGGTCAGAAGTTTGAGACCAGCCTGGCCAACAAAATGAAACCCTGTTTCTACTAAAAATACAAAAAAAAATTAGCCAGGCATGGTGGCGGGCTCCTGTAATCCCAGCTACTTGGGAGGCTGAGGCAGGAGAATTGCTTGAACCTGGGAGGCGGAGGTTACAGTGAGCTGAGGTCACACCACTGCACTCCAGCCTGGGTGACGGTGCGAGACTTCGTCTCAAAAAAAAAAAAAAAAAACTGAATCCCCAGAGATAGTATTAAGAAGTGGGGCCTTTAGGAGGTGATTAAGTCATGAGGGCAGAGCTTTCCCAATCTCATGAATGGGATTAGCAACCTTACAAAAGAGGTTGCAGAGAACACCCTAGGCCCTTTTTTGCCCTTCCACCATGTGAGGACATGGAGTTCAAGGTGCAACCTTGGAAGCAAAGACTGAGCCTTCTTCACCAGACACCAAACCTGCCACTGCCTTGATCACAGACTTTCCAGCATCCAGAACTGTTATTTATAAATTATTATAAATAATAATTATTTATAAATTATTATAAATAATTATTTATAAATTATTATAATATTTATAAATTATTATAAATAATTATTATTTATAAATTACCAAGTTTGTGGTATTTTGTTACAGTGCAAGGAACAAACTAGGACACCAGCATACTCTGACACAAAATCTTATAAAGCCACACATGAGATTCGGAGATGTGGTGAAAGCACAAGGTGGCCTATGTTAAGCTTTAAGCTCTTTTAACCTATTATCTATATTTTCAAAATGTATATTACTAAGATATGTATATAATGAAATAATGTGCATAAGGTAGGATGAATATTCATCATTAAATAAAACCACACTATAATACATTAAAAGAGAAAAGCAAGCAAGGTGCACATAAGTGCAACACAACCTAATTTTTTTTTTTTTTTTTGAGACAGGTTCTCAGTCTGTCATCCAGGCTGCAGTGCAGTGGCGTGATCTCAGCTCACTGCAACCTCTACCTCCTGGGCTCCAGCAATCCTCCCACCTCAGCCTCCCACGTAGCTAGGACTATAGATGCATGCCACCACACCCAGCTCATTTTTGTATTTTTTGTAGAGACAGGGTTTCACCATGTTGCCTAGGATGGTTTCGAACTCCTGGGCTCAAGCGATCCTCCTGCCTTGGTCTCCCAAAGTATTGGGATTATGGGCAAGAGCCACTGCGCCCAGCCCAACCCATGTATTTTTACAAATGTGTTTGTGCATGTGTATATGACCACCTAACTCCAAATATCTTCCAGAAAACAACACATCGGCAAGGGAAACAAATGAAATCACCCCTAAATCACAACACAGCATAACTAGAAAACAGAAACACCACTAACTTTAAATAACAATTATGTAGGGGGATTATAAATATTCAAAATTGGCCAAGATGGCTCCTGAGCTGGCACCAGAGCTGAGCAAGAATTACTTGCAAAACAGAAGAATGGAATGGATCTATTGGTGACAGAACACAGAAAAAAGTCATGTAGGATTCACTCTGAGAAGCAGGGAGTCTCACCCTGAGCAGGGAAATGCTGAAAACAGGCTTAAGACCTGTTGGATCAAAGCCTGGGCTACTAGGGAATCACAAGGAAGGAGACGAGAACATGTGCTGGACAAGAGATACCAGCCAAAGGGAAAGAATCAGAGAAGGAAAGCATCAGAAATGAGATGTGTCCCTTGGGAATGTTGTGATAAAAGCAAGAAAGAAGAAAGGAGCTGAAGGTAAGGGTCTCATCAGAAAATCATCATCATAAAAGATAATAAAAATATCTTCCCGAAATCCCACAAAACAGAAAACTAAAACACAACAGCTCAACATAATTATAAATACATGTATGCCTACTTAGTGACTGTAATTTCTTCCTGAAAACTCTGCCACTAAAAGAAAAGGCATTAAATGGAAAATCATTTCCATTACTTTTAACGGGAAAAACTGTAATGAATTATATACAAACTCATATTTACTCAAGAGAAAGAAAAATGAATTGAATACTAACACATAATGAAAGTTTATTATAGTAGTCAAAGTGAGAAGTGACTTAATTGTAAGGGGCTGTTGATAAGAAAGAGTGCCAGGGAGTCATATTTTGGAAGGTAGTAGTCAGGTGATCCACTTCCAGGGGGACATTCAATATCAGAATCAGACATGCTTAATGAGAATTTTCTTTTCCTCAACACTATGGTACTAAAATTAAAACAAACAAAAACCTGGCATAGTCATAAAAGAAAAATCTCTGTGTGAAAAAAAGCACAAGATGGAAGACTGCCTTCTCTCACAGTTTGACAATATTAATGCACCATTGGCTTTCATTCTCCATGTAGTGTATTACATACAATTTACATTTCTCAAACACCGTGACTATTTTTGGAGATGACGAAACTTCCTAGAACAAAAAACCAGTTCAGTGACTGACCTAACTCTAAAGAGAATTAACTTCTCTTATTCTACATCCATTTTCAATTTTCTCCCTTTCTCTCTCCATTTCGTTTTGTTTTGTTTGTAAGAGACAGAGTCTCACTCTGTTACCCAGGCTAGATCGCGGTGGTACAATCACAACTCACCGCAGCCTTGAACTCCTGGGCTCAAGTGATATTCCTACCTCAGCCTCCCAAAATCTTGGGATTACAGGCATGAGCCACTTTGCCAGCCCTCAATCCTCTCTATAAAGCCATCTTTTGAAAAATGATTAAAGTTTTTTCCCCTTTGCTTCCCTTGTATCTGCACCATTCCCCTCACCCTTTTTTCAACCTTTCTGGGACTCACGATTCCCTTGCTGTAAAATCAAACAACAACTTAGGACTAAATAAAAACTAAAATCAAGGGTGCTCCAAAACACAGGGAAACATGGCAAACTACAGATTAAAGAGTTGTGACAGTACTACCACATCTACCCACTAACTAGGCATATATAAACAAAGCAAAACTTTTTGTTTTAATACAAATATGGTTACTATGGTTCATGTATCTATTGCTGTATGAGAAACCACTAGAAACCATACTGGCTCAAGTGAATAATCACTTTATTTCTCAGATTTTGTGAATTAGATGGGTTGTTCTTCTGCTATTTTCTCTCCTGGGCTCATTCATATAGCTATTTTCTACTTCTGAGTTGGCTGCAAGTTGAGAGAGTAAGGATGGTTGGGTCTCTTTCTCCATGTGGTATTTCACCCACATATGATAATGACTATGGTGGTTTCACAGAGTAAATCCCAATATAAAAACATTTATCAAGCTTGCATTTCTGGTATGTCTACTGACATGTTATTGGTTAAAGCAAGTCTCACAAAGAAGCTCAGATTCAAGTGAGAGGGGACACCGCAAGAACACTGATAGGTCTGACCTGGAAGTGCAATTCCTTAAAAGGGACTTCTGCAGTAATTGGAAACTGTACATTTCAAAGTAGTTTGATACAATATTCTTTGACTAGAGACTGTTGTTTTGACTAAACTGGCAATAGTGTCTCTGCCTGAAATTATACATAGAAATATTACTTCTTAACTTATATTTATTGAAAACTGTGTTTTGTGCAAAAACTGTTATGCCAGAAAAAAAGTGTATGTAAAGTAGCATAGGTATAGCTTTTCAAGAGCTTACGTGAGGTAAGTCTGTAGCAATTGCAGGTAAACAATATTATAAACGAGAAATTCACAAACTCAAAATGGCCAAATAACAGGGAGATATGAATGAAGAGGTAACTGAATTAAGGATTGAAAATGAAGAACAACTTGTAAAAATCCAAATTAATGCCATAATGACACACCACTGCATATTTATTAAAATAGCTAAAATAAAAAAGACTTAATAAAATAGACTGACAATGTCAAGTGTTTCTCAAGTGGCAGAAAAACTGGAAATTTCATACACCACTTGTAGATGTAAAATTGTACAACCACTTTGAAAAGCATGCATCTAACATGTGATCTAACCATTCTACTTGTAGGTATCTGGTCAAGAGAAAAGGAAATATGTATGTCTATACGGACTTGAATACAATGTTCATAGCAGCATTATTTGTAAAGGCCAAAACCTAAAAACAACCAAAATATCCATCAACAGATGAGAGCATAATCATACTCTAGTAAACTAATCCAATATAATAATATTTCACAATAAAAATGAATGTACTACTTTGGCAGGCCAAAGCAGGTGGATTACATGAGCTCAGGAGTTTAAGACCAGCCTGGGCAACATAGTAAAACCCTGTTTCTACAAAAAACACAAAAATTAGTGAGGCACAGTAGGGCTCACCTATAGTCCCAGCTCCCCAGTGGGAGGATCGTTTGGGCCCAGGAGGCAGAGGTTGCAGTGAGCCGAGATTGCACCACAGTACTCCAGCCTGGGTGACAGAAGGAGTCTCTGTCACAAAAAAAAAACTATTGATACATGTAATATCATGGCTGAATCTCAAAATAAATACGCTGAGTAACCAAAGCTAGACAAAAAAAGAGTACATACTATATGATTCCACTTATATAAAACTTTAGAAAACGCAAACTAATCTATAGTAACAGAAAGTAGAACATTGGTTATCTTGAAGAAAAGAGCTGGGAGGGGCCAAAGGAAGAATTACAAAGAGACATGAGGAAACTTTGGGGAATAAGATGTTCATTGTCTTGTTTGTAGAAAGAGTTTCAAAGGTATATACACATCAAACACATAATATTATACACTTTAAATATGTATAGTTCATTGAATTTCAATTATACAATAATTAAATGTATGTATGTATGTATGTATGACCTCACACACTGCAGTCTTTCCTGCTACAATTATGATTCTCAATGAGAAATAATGTCAGTACATCAAAGAAGTTGTATTATGGCCAGGTGAGGTGGCGCATGCCTGTAATCCCAGCGCTTTAGAAGGCTGAGGCAGGTGGATCACCTGAGGTCAGGAGTTCAAGACCATCCTGGCCAACATGGTGAAACCCCATCTCTACTAAAAATACAAATATTAGCCAGGCATGATGGCAAGCACCTGTAATCCCAGCTACTTGGGAGGCTGAGGCAGGAGAATCACTTGAACCCGGGAGGCGGAGGTTGCAGTGAGCCGAGATTGTGCCACTGCCCTCCAGCCTGGGCGACAAGAGCAAAACTCCGTCTCAAAAAAAAAGTTAGTTTTATTAATAAATAAAATTCATACCATTTTACTTTTTTGTACTATAATTTAACAGCAACTGAATACAAAGTACATTAGATCAACTGAATGTAGAAAACCAGGAGAAATCATGTTTTTCATGGCTCAGTTTAACCATGTCCTCTGGTTTGAAAGTGCTTAAAGAGTGTTACTCCCTGGTCTTTGTCCATTTTGTTCTTTTCTCCATAACGTAACAGTCTCAACTCTTTCTTATACCCCCATTCCATCAGGGCATCTTTGTCTTTTTTTAGGTAAAATCTTTTACTTTTTAAATTTTTTTAATTAGCATTAAAACAACTTTTAAATGTTCTAATTTTGTATTCAAATTATTGTTCTGAAAACAATGTTGCATACATTTTCACCAAGCCTATTTCTATCCATTTTAGTGTGAAATTTTGTAGAATGAAGTGTACTGCCCCTCCAAATACACACTGCATTCTCTATATCTTGTTCCTTGCCTTGGGAGACTGAGCCATATCCTATGAATTGCATCAGTGGGCTCTCTGGACCTTCAGAATCCAGCCCCTAGTTTCTGACTGGGATGACCCCATAGGAAGCCTCTGGAGAAATAAGATGCCCCACCGTCGGCTGGGCACGGTGGCTCACGCCTGTAATCCCAGCACTTTGGGAGGCCAAGGCGGGCAGATCACAAGGTCAGGAGATCAAGACCATCCTGGCTACTAAAAATACAAAAAATTAGCCGGGCGTGGTGGCGGGTGCCTGTAGTCCCAGCTACTCGGGAGGCTGAGGCAGAATGGCATGAACCCGGGAGGCAGAGCTTGCAGTGAGCCAAGATCGTGCGACTGCACTCCAGCCTGGGCAACAGAACGAGACTCTGCCTCAGAAAAAAAAAAAAAGAAAAAAAGATGTCCCACTGTCAGGTTACTGAAGATAGGCTAAATCCATCCACCAGAGGCCACAGTTCCTGTTGCTAACCCTCTTCATATCGCTTTCTCTGCAGGCTTTACTAAGGGTTATCTCCTCTTGCTTAGAAATGATAATAAACCAGGCATGGTGGCTCACGCCTGTAGTCCTAGCTATTAAGGAGGCTGAGGTGTGAGGACTGTTTGATTCCATGAGTTTGAGGCTACAGTGAGCTAGGATCAAGCCATTGCCTTCAGTCTGGGTTACAGAGTAAGATCCTGTCTCAGAAAGAGAGTGAGGAAGAAAGGAAGGAGAGGGGGAGGGTAGGAGGGAAGAGAAGGGGAGGGGAAGGGAGGAAGGATAATGAGTCTCAGCTCCCACATGTGTTATTTTATTTAAACTCTCTTTGAATCACCCAATTTGAGTATGCTATCTGTTTCCAGCAAGGGCCCTAACAGCACAGATTTTCAGGAATACACATATCAAACAGCAAGTAAAGCAATTCTGTAAGAAATTAAACCAGCATTCCTTTGGTTTGGTCACCTGCAAATAACCATTTTGGTAAACCATTTGAGATCTGTACCAATTTCAATATCACAAGAAAATATACAAAGTCTGAAATATAATCTCACACAGTCTTTAGATGTGTCCATAGTTTAAATATTATAGTTTAAAATAAATATATAAACAACTAGCCCATGGTTACAATTTTACAATGTAATATGTGTATTCCTTGACACTGACAGACTACTCTTAACCTCCCACTGAGATTTGTTCAGCATGTGTTTTAAAATTGTATTAAGTGTCAGTCAGGTGTGTAATGTTCCGGGCCCTTTGCCTTATCACCAAACAAAAACTAAAAATTTGCTTTAAGTAATTAAGTGAACTGGGGTCATGAAAAATGTACACAATTAGCATTTATACTAGTGACTCCTGTTTATCAAAGACAATGTTAACATTTTAAGACATATTATAAAAAACATCCCTAAGCCACATGAGAAAGAGTAATTAAATAGAAGTAACAGTAAAGTCATCTTATTTCCCTAAGATTTCCTACATCCATAATCAGATAAACAGAGATCATATCTAGCATGCACTGAGGTCTTCGTGGTTCTAAGTTAATACTAAAGCCCAGAGCCCCATAGATCATCTACGTTATTGGATCACCTGGTATGCTAACCCATCCCATTAAAAACGTCTCTATGCCAGTGCGGCAGCTGTCAGCATAAACGGTATACCTAAGATGTAAAGCTCTTTCTTTGAGCAGTAAAGACAGCCACAGAGCCATGGCAGAGAGCTAGAAGAAAACCCAGGTACCCACAGAAAGCCTGAAAAATGCCAGAGAGATGGGCAAATGAAAGACTTGGTGTCTGGATTTGGTGCCAAGGAACTGCTGGAAGAGTCCATGTCTACAAGCAGCAAAGACTGGGAAAACGGCATAAATCTACTTTGCTGCCTATGGAGATAATATCGGTCAGAACTCGCAAACACAACTGACAAAAATCAGTCAAAATTGAAAGCATCAGGTATCATATATAAGGGCTCTGGGATTTTTCATGACAAAAAGAAGAGTCACATACCGACTATCCCAAGCAATATGCTTCTACTTCTAATTATTTAATAACATAACCCTTATTTACATTAGACAAACGTTGAAATAAAGTCACTGCAGTACCACTTCAGGATGGTGACACTGCGCTTCACCTCCACCTAATAACTGCAGCTTTAGGAAACTGGTTTCCACATACCACTCCATGAACTTCTGCCAATCCAAGATGATGCTTTTGCCAGTTTGTAATAATGAGAGGAAAATATTAATATTGTGAATTAACTGTATTCTATTTAATAAACAGTCAATTTTGAAATTAAGTCATTCCTCCTATTTAGCTATTAAGATTATTTTGCTTTTCTCAGCTGGGTGCAATGGCTCACATCTGTAATCCCAGCACCTTGGGAGGCCAAGGCGGATGGATCACTTGAGCCCAGGAGTTCAAGACCAGCCTGGCCAACATGGGGAAACCCTATCTCTACTAAAATTACAAAAATTAGCAGGGCATGGTGGCGCATGTCTGTAGAACTAGCTACCTGGGAGGCTGTGGCAGGAGAATTTCTTGAACCCAGGACGTGGAGGTTGCAGTGAGCCAAGATCACGCCACTGCACTCCAGCCTGGGTGACAGAGTGAGACTCTGCCTCAAAAAAAAAAAAAAAAATTATTTTGCTTTTCTCAAAGTAAATTTAAAGTATTAACTGATAGTCAATTATAATTTTTTCATATGTTCTTGCTTGGCAAAAGACTAATTTTTCTGATTCTTAAAATCCAGTCTTGGAAACAATGGCCATAGAAAGCCTATATAACGAGCGATAAGGGATTCCTAACCAACTGAGATGAAGAAATTTTCACTCACTCTTACAAGAATTTTTTCCCACCACAGTGATGCGTGATGGGAGCCTCTGGACAAACATTTAACCTCTTTTCTTCATCTACAACACAAGGCAGTTAAATGACATAATCTACAAGGTTCTTTCCACTTCCAATAGTCTATGATTCTCTCTACATAAAGGTCATATTTTCACGTAATGTGTGTAATGTGATCATAATATATTGGATTAAACATTCTTCAAGGTCTGCAGTCAGCTCTTGAATAATGTTACTCATTTGCTATTACTCATAGTAGCCAACAAGATCCTAACCATAAATAGCTACATTCTGGGAACTGTTTAGCATATAACACACAATAAACTTTGGTTTCCTCCCTCTCTCACATTATTACACAAGACACTGCCTTAGTTTCTGGATCAGTGGCACAATAAACATTATCCCTTTCCAAGAGCTTAAATGACTTATCTGGAATTATTATGGTATGATCTCTCAAAACACAACGAAACAAAACACTAGAATACCTAAATAAATGGCATTTTAATGACTGTCATCAATGCAGTAAGAGAGAGTATGTTAAATTTTGGGCTGGGGCAATGTATTTATTACTAAAGGATAAAATATGAACAACTGGGATTATTTGGTGAGAGCTAATTATGCAAATTGGGTCATTTTTGTCTTACCCAACTAAATCAGAGTTGAGGGGCCAGTGGGGGAAAGCACTTGGGGCACATAGCACCTGCTCCAAAAATTAGCCGTAAAGCCCAGCTGCTGAAACTGCCTGCTATAACCCTAAGATCAGTTATAACTAGTAACTGCTGAAACGAACCGGCATAACTCCACCATTGTCACTCTAGCGCCAATGAGCTTTCTTCTAAAACAATATGTTGCATTTCTCTAATTTCCCAAGCTTTTCTTTGTTCTTCAGACATAACAAAACCACCCCAAACTGTGTATGTGGCCCCAAATTGCAATTCTGTTTTATGTACATTCTCAAATAAAATGTTTTGCATAGAGATTCATCTCTGTATTTTTATTTTGACTTTGACTGACACTTTCCATAGCAATTCCCCTCTTCTTAGAAAAGGCACTATGAATTTATAAAAATGAAAAGCTGGCCAGCCGCGGTAGTGCACGCCTGTAATCCCAGCATTTTGGGGGGCCGAGGCGGGCGGATCACGAGGTCAGGAGATCGGGACCATCCTGGCCAAAATGGTGAAACCCCATCTCTACTAAAAATACAAAAATTAGCTGGGCGTGGTGGTGCACACCTGTAGTCCCAGCTACTAGGGAGGCTGAGGCAGGAGAATCGCTTGAACCCGGGAGGTGGAGGTTGCCGTGAGCTGAGATCACGCCACTGCACTCCAGTCTGGCGACAGAGCAAGACTCCGTCTCAAAAAAAAAAAAAAGAAAAGAAAAAGAAAGAAAAGTTATACATCAAAAGAAAATCTTAGTGAATTTTCCCAAGAATAATTTAATAGGCAGTATTAGTTGTGAATATAAGCAACTTGACAAAGTCTAAACTACATGGGTGTTCAATAAAGTATGTGCCAGGGAGCTGGAGAGCAACCTGGACATCCCACTCCTCTCCAAATGGAGGGATGTCCTAAGGTTTTGTACCCAACTGGCTACGAAAATGTAAATACCCAGGTACAGTACATATGATTCCTTAGATTAAGAGATATTCTCAGTCATAAAAAAGTGATACTAAAAAATAAAGGATGAGTATAACTACTCGTATAGGAAGCTTCCTAAAATTCACTTAGGCAAAATATATATATATTCGAGGGTCTCCTAGATATAGGGCACTGCGCTTAATACCAAGAAAGAAATAAAGATGGGCAAGATAAAGAAAACATTCTCAAGGTACATGTGAAACTGAAGAATGTCTCTAAGCAGACACTTCATGATTATGTGTGGCTTTCTCCATCTCCATTTGATGCAGTCACTATTCTATTTGCTGTCTTGTAACTATGTATTCTCCTACTCTTTCCATTATTTCAGACTTCATTGGCTCCCTGAATGGTTCCTCGTATCACCTATATTTATGCCTATAAACTGAGTCTCATTAACTTAAATTATTTTGGAAGCATTACATCTTCTGTTCTACATCATCAGTTGCCTGCTGTTTTTTGTTACTTTATTTAAAAAACTGGAAGCAGGTGAAGGAATCTGCCCATTCTTGAAATTACTTTGTATTGGACATAAGTTGGCACTGGACTTTTTTTTTTCCTTTTTTTTTATTATTACACTTTAAGTTCTAGGGTACATGTGCACAACGTGCAGGCTTGTTACATACGTATACACGCGCCATGTTAGTGTGCTGCACCCATTAACTCGTCATTTATATTAGGTATATCTCCTAATGCTATTCCTCTCCCCTCCCCCAACCCCATGACAGGCCCCGGTGTGTGATGTTCCCCTTCCTGTGTCCAAGTGTTCTCATTGTTCAATTCCCACCTATGAGTGAGAACATGCAGTGTTTGGTTTTTTGTCCTTGCAACAGTTTGCTGAGAATGATGGTTTCCAGCTTCATCCATGTCCCTACAAAGGACATGAACTCATCCTTTTTTATGGCTGCATAGTATTCCATGGTGTATATGTGCCACATTTTCTTAATCCAGTCTATCATTGATGGACATTTGGGTTAGTTCCAAGTATTTGCTATTGTAAATAGTGCTGCAATAAACGTGCATGTGTCTTTATAGCAGCATGATTTATAATCCTTTGGGTATATATCCAGTAATGGGATGGCTGGATCAAATGGTATTTCTAGTTCTAGATCCTTGAGGAATCTAGAAGGCACAGGACTTTTAAATAATAGTGTTCCTGAAATTAGTGACCACAATTTTCTAATAGCCATGTCCTTCTTATATTATTGCTATCATGTAAAGGAGACTTCCTTTGAATTCATTAAACAATGTGTTTAAATGAAGAAAAAAATACTAAAATAAAATTGGAGAAGTCCTTTTCCACACTGAAAAATTCTAAGTAACTAAATGGTATACGTCAAACGTACTAAAATAACAAAAGTATCTTTTGCTTATGCAGAAACACTGCATCAAAATATACGCCTAACACAAAGACTCTCTTAAGAAGCTACTGTTTGCCAGAGCAATCAGGCAAGAGAAAGAAATAAAAGGCATTCAAATAGGAAAAAAGAAAAAAGCCAAATTATCTCTCTTCACTGGCAATATGATTATATACCTAGAAGACCCGAAAGACTCCACCAAAAGGCTTCTAGAACTAATAAAAAATTTCAGTAAGTTTCAGGATAAAAAAAAATAAAGGTAGTAAAATCAGTAACATTTCTATATACAAATAACGTCCAAACTGAGAGCTAAATCAAGAATGCAATCCCATTTGCAATGGGCACGCGCGCACACACACACACACACACACACACACACACACACACAAAATACCAAGAAATACATCTAATGAACAAGGTTAAAGATATAAGGAGAACTACAAGACAATGCTGAAAGAAAGCAGAGATGATACAAACAAATGGAAAAACATTCTATGCTCATGGATTGGAAGAATAAATATTGTTAAAATGGTCAAACTACCCAAAGCAATCTATAGATTTAATACTATTCCTATCAAACTACCAATGTCACTTTTCTCAAAATTAGAAAAACAACTACTCTAAAATTCATATAGAACAAAAAAGAGCCTGAAAAGCCAAAGCAATCCCAGGCAAAAAGAACAAAGCTGAGACATTATATTACCTGACTTCAAACTATACTATAAGGCTACAGTAACCAAAACAGCATGGTGCCAGCACAAAAACAGATACAGAGACCAATGGAACAGAAAAGAGAACCCAGAAATAAAGCTGCATATATCTACAACCATCTAATCTTCAACAAAGTCGACAATGACAAGCAATGGGGAAAGGACTCCCTAAACTATAAAAATCCTAGAAGAAAACCTAGGAAATACCATTCTGGACACTGGCCTTGGCAAAGTCCTCAAAAGCAATTGCAACAAAAACAAAATCGACAATTGGGAACTAATTAAAGAGCTTCTGCACAGCAAAAGAGACTATCAACAGAGCAAACAATCTACAGACCTTTGTTGGATGCACAGTTTGTGAATATCTGTAGTGAATATTTTTTGTGAATATTTATAGATTCACAAATATTCACTAACTATGCACCCAACAAATATCTAATATCCAGAATCTATAACGAATTTAAACAATTCAACAAGCAAAAAACAATGCCATTAAAAAGTGGGCAAAAGACATTAACAGACACTTCTCAAAAGAAGACATACAAAGATTAGCCAGGCAAGGTGGCATACACCTGTAGTCCTAGGTACTCTGGCAGGGATAAACAAATTGCTTAATTGCTCCTAACATAACCTCCTTTTTTTTTTTTTAAGAAATCTTTGTTACCTCTGAAAATAACTGGTCAGAAAATTGTAAATATATAAATCTGAGGTTAGGGCACTCTTAATACAGTCTATAGACGGAATATGCCTGTGTATGTATAGAGGAATGCCCTCCATAATGACAAACAGTATGGTTACTGGAAAGAACATAGCTTGAGGGTCAAGCAAAAGCCTGGGTCCATGACTAACTGTGTGACTGAACCTCTATTAGCTTCTGCATGCATAAAATAAGAATAATATGATTGGACCAGATGTGGTGGCTCATACTTGTAATTGCAACATTTTGGCAGGCTGGGATAGGAGGATTGCTTGAAGCCAGGAGTTCAAGACCAGCCTGGGTAACATCGTGGGAACTTATCTCTTAAAAAAAGAAATTTTTTTTAATTAGCCCAACAGTGGCATAACTTATAGTCCCAGCTACTCAGGAGGCTGAGATGGGAGGATCTCTTGAGCCCAGGAGTTCCAGATTATAGTGAGCTATGATTGGACCACTGCACCTGGGCCTGGGTGACCGAGGGAGACTCTGTCTCTAAAATAAATAAATGAACACACAAACTTAATTGTCATAAACTCAACTGTACATATGTATATATGTATGTATGTATGTATGTATTGACTCATGGATTGTTGATAGCACTCAAGTTCCTAGTATACTTTATCTACCTAAAAGCAGAGCAGAGCCCTCCAAAAAACTTCATTTGTCATAAATCTCCTCCCCTGGAGCAACTTAATCTCTTCTAGGACCACTCCCAAACAGATATTGTTACAAAACTATCACATCTCCTGTCTTTTCTCCTAAGGACCACCTTAATTTTCCAAAAAGTCACAAGTGCCCTTCCTTCTGCTCCCATTCTAAGAAGTCATTTGTTCTACAAAATGTGCCCTTCTACAAATTGTGTCCCTCTCCATCCCCATCTCCTACTGAGATGATATATAAGCCACCTTAAGTCACATTTTTTTGCAAACTCCTATATGTACATATGTAATTAAATCTGATTTTTTGTCCTCTTGCTAATCTGCCTTTCGTCAGTTTAAATTGCAGCCCTCTCCCCAAAGAATTTAAGAGAGAAAAGTATTCCTCCCCAACAGTAGCTACTAAAGAGTCTACTCTATTCAACATCACCATATGCTCACCTACTACAAACATTTAGACAAAAACTTAACAACAAGACATATTAGGTCTACATCCATAAAACAACTTATGAAAACAACTTATGAACTTTTTTTTTTTTTTTGAGACTGGGTCTCACTCTGTCACCCAGGCTGGAGTGCAGTGGTGAGATCTGGGCTCACTGCAACCTCTGCCTCCCAGGCTCAAGCAATCCTCCCACCTCAGCCTCCCAAGTAGCTGGGACCACAGGCGTGTGCCATCATGCCCAGCTAATTTTTTTGTATTTTTTTTGGTAGAGACAGGGTTTCACCATGTTGCCCAGGCTGCTCTTGAACTTCTGAGCTCAAGCGATCCGCTGGCCTTGGCCTCCCAAAGTGCTGGGATTATAGGCATGAGCCACTGCATCCAGGCCTATTTCACTTTCTATATCTTTTATATCCTTTCAACAGCAGAAGTTCCATTTGAGTTTTATATAAATTCTAACTCCTTGTTGAGATTATCTATTTGTTGAGTTATTGCTATAACCCTTTCCTTTAATTCTTTATACATAGTTCATTTAGTTCTTAGAACACATTTATAATAGCTGCTTTAAAATCTTTGTAAAATTTAACATCTGGAGACAACCACATAAGATTTCTTTTTTCTTTTTTTTTTTTACCTCTGAACTTTTCATTGGCCTCCTGGCTCCCCAAAGGGTACACTGCTTCTGCTGGCTTAATGTCTCAGAACTTTGATGTCGCTGGTCTCAGACACCACTTTGCCATCCACTATCCTGGGAGAGGTGGTCTTCTGGATGGTTTGCCTGGAGTTGCTGCTGTCTGGGGTATCACCAAGACTGAAGTCCTCACCATCTTCCAGCAGGTGACAGTAGGTGGTGATCTCAGTCTCCAGCTTGACCTTGATGTTCAGCAGGGCCTCCTACTCCTGGGCCTGGCGCTGTCCCTCTGCAGGGTCTGTGCCAGCTCTGACTCTAGGTGCAGCAGGATCCAGTCTACAGGATCTGCCCCATCTGCAGGGTGTAGTGGGCCTCCACCTCCCTCAGGCTGTTCTGCAAGCTGGCCTTCAGATTTCTCATGCAGTCCAGGTCAATATCCAAGAACTGGACTGTACGTCTCAGCTCCATGAGAATCAACGCAGCAGCTCCAACCTCGGCAGACTGCATGGTGACCACTGTGGTGCTCTCTTCAATCTGCTGAGACTAGTACTTGTCCAGCTCCTCTTGGTTCTTCTGAGCCAGTTCGTCATATTGGGCCCAGATGTCTGCCATGATCTTGGTGAGATCCTGAGATTTGGGGGCATCTACCTCCATGGTCAACCCAGAGCTGGCAGTCTGGGCTTGTAGGACTTTTACTTCCTCTTCGAGGTTTTTCTTCAGGAAGAGCAGCTCCTCCTTGAGAGCCTTGATCTCTGTCTCCAGCTGAAGCTGAGTGACATTGGTGTCATCAGTGACCTTGCAGAGCCCATGGATGTCCCTCTCCACAGACTAGGGCATGGCCAGCTCTGTCTCATACTTGACTCTAAAGTCATCAGCAGCAACACAGGCACTGTTGATTTGCAGAACGATGCAGGCACTGTCCACAGTATTTGGGAAGATCTGAGCCCTCAGGTCCTCGATGGTCTTGAAGTAATGGCTCCAGTCTCTGACCTGGGGTCCCTTCTTCTCCAGGTGCTCCTGGGTTTTGCTCTCCAGCTTCTGGTTTCCGGTCTCCACGCTCCTTGCTCTGTCCAGGCAGGAGGCCAGGCAATCGTCCAGGCTTTGCATGGTCTCTTTCTCATTCTGGATGCCTCTCAGTCCTGCCAGACCCCCCGCCATCCCCACAACCAGGCCCCTGGACCCCATGCCACCCCAGAAGTTGGTGGAGTGGGACACGGAGATCCGGGAACCAGAGCCCCTGGTGCCTGCACAGACACTGGCCACACTGCTGACTGGCTGGGTGCCATAGCTGGGCACCTGCACAGAGCCCAGAGACTGGTAGTTTGGTGGAGAACGTGGAGCAAGTGGTGAAGCTCATGCTGTCCAGTGGGGAGAGTGAGAGGACAGGACTCAGGCTTTTCTGAAGACCAGTCAGGTATGATTTCTATTGTCTGCCTTTTTCTCACTGCCACAACTTCCTGTTTCTTGGCATGTGTCATAATTTTATATTTAAAAATAGACATTTTATATAATACAGTATAACATTACTCTGGATTCTATGAAATCTGTCTTCTTCCACAATTTGCAGTTGCTGATTTCTCTGTTCAGTTTTATTATTTCTTTTATTCTTGCATTACTTTAAAGCCTGACTTTCAGGGTCTGGCCATGCATCTATGTATCTTAGTGGGCAGCCAACTACTCAACAGAGGATTCACTCAAATACCCCAGGTCAACAAAAGTTGTTTTCCTTTGCCAAAGGATCTGCACATCTATTCAGATTTTTCTTCCCCCTGGACCCTTTTTCATGGCTCCTCTGCATATGCATGAAGCCTCAGCTAACCATTATCTTAGGCTGAAAGAGCCAATGGCTCTCAAAGCACACATGTCATCAAGACAGTAATTTCTGCAGATAATGCTGGCAGGCATATGCAATACCTGCCACTCAGAGATGAGCGAAAATTTTCCAAGCACAGCAGGTAAGGTACTAGTCCTCAAAACCTTTCTCACCCTGGAAGACACTCTATAACCAACCAACCAACCAACCAACCCTGGAAGAGGGAAAGTGTGGAGTGGGACAGGAGCAGCTGCAGGCATGAATGCCACAGATTCCCACTGTTATTGTGCAAAGATTAGCAGTTTCTCAAGCTTAAACACTTTTCAGATTATTATATGCTTTTGGTTGAGTTTCAGAGTACTGCAATAGTTGTTTTCATCTGTTTTGCAGATGGCATTAAATCTAAGTCACAAACTCTCTCTTTTTTTTTTTTTTTTTGAGACAGAGTCTCACTGTTGCCCAGGCTGGAGTACAGTGGTGCACTGCAACCTCTGCCTCCCAGGTTCAAGCAATTCTCGTGCCTCAGCCTTCCGGGTAGTTGGGGTTATAGGCACATGCCACCACACTGGGCTAATTTTTGTATTTTTAGTAGAGACAGGGTTTCACCTTGTTGGCAAGGCTGGTCTCAATCTCCTGACCTCAAGTGATCTGCCTGCCTCAGCCTCCCAAAGTGCTGGGATTACAGGCGTGAGTCACCATGCCTGGCCCACAAACTCTTACCATTCTTAAATGTATTTATTTCAGTTTCTCTTCCACTACTATATTATAACCTACCCTGGCAGTCCTTCTCATCTGCTGCAATATTTCCCATTCCTTAAGATCTAACCTATGCTGCTCCTTCTCCATGAGGCTTTTTCTCATTAATTCATGCACACTGATCTCTCCCTTCTCTGCATTCCTGTCATACATCATTATTTCATAATTATTTTGCATGTGTTGTACTTTTTCTTTTCAGCCACATTCATAAGTCTCTGGGGAAAGAAATTAGGCTTTCATGATTTTGTATCCTTATCCTACACCCGGCAAAGTGCTGAGTATACAGTAAATTCTCAAAGGCTTTATGTCTTCTTCAATCGAAAAATTTACACTTGAAGAAATTTGTCTTGTAGCCTATGAAGTCAAACAGTACCATTAGGAAACAATAATCAAGACTCCATGACCTAACCATGTTATATTATTAACATGTTCTTCCTTTCTCCAATGCCACATGATCTGAAGTGCACACTATTTACTGAAAGCATGAGGCCAAGACTGCTAGTAGCCAACCTAATATCCATTTTGATAATTTTCCTTACTAACAAAACCATAATCATTCCTAGCTTTCCTTGCAGCCAGAAGTTCAATTTGAGGGAATGCACTAACTGGAAAGATATTTGTATTTGTTCACAGTATTGTGGTAATAAATAAAAAAGAAAATTCACACAACACCTTTAGAACAGTGTCAGGCACATGCTATAGCATCAATAAATGTCATTTACTGTTGGAAACCCTAAATATGTTTTACTTTCTTCTTCTTCTCTCTTATGAGAGCTTAGTCTTATGGTTACAAAGGTTTTATAACATCAAAGTTCTCCCTCTGGAATAATATAAATTTGTAATAGGTGATACAAAGAATTTTTAAAATTTCCTTACCCAGAAGATCCAATGCTCTTACAAACACCAAGGAGGGGTCTTTTTTCAGCAAAGTTATCACATTTTTGAGCACCTGACAGGAAGGATAAAATAAATTGTAAGCTTTGAGGAATATTATTGTATAATTCCCACTATTTTCATGCTTTCAAAATACTTGAAAAGGAGAAGTATTCATTATAAGTTGACATAATTTATACAATTGAATAAAAAGAAGAAAAGCTACTATATAAAATCATCATATATTATATATATGTAATCATTTTAAAAACTGAACCAGCATTTTTTTTTTTTTTTTGAGACAGAGTCTCGCTCTGTCACCCAGGCTGGAGTGCAGTGGCACGATCGCAGCTCACTGCAACCTCTGCCTCCCGGGTTCAAACAATTCTCCTGCCTCAGCCTTCTGAGTAGCTGGGACTACAGGCACGTACCACCATGCCCGGCTAATTTTTGTATTTTTAGTAGAGACAGGGTTTCGCCATGTTGGTCAGCCTGGTCTCACACTCCTGACCTCAAGTGATCCACCCGCCTCAACCTCCCAAAGTGCTGGGATTACAGGCGAGAGCCACAATGGCCAGCCTGAACTGGCATTTTTTTTAAGTTTCAATTGGCACCAATTTCAATCTTATACACCTTCCCCATGAGATCAGAAAACCATCCCATACCCCACCAACTAATTACCTAAAACTAGTAATAATATTGATGTCGAAACTAAATAAAGGTAGTTCAAGACAAGAAAATTATAAAACTATAGGTCATTCCCATTGATATACATAGTTGCAAAAATCCTAAACAAAATATCAGCAAATTAAATAGCAACATATATGAAAAAAATAAACTCTCATAACTGAATTAGATTTACCTAAGCAACAGTAATAGTTTGGCAGTATAAAATCTATTAATGTAATTAATGATATTAATATTTCAGCAGATGCAGAAAAAGCATTCAATTAGACTCTATACCTAATCATATGAACAAAAAAAAATAACAAAAATATCTTTTTTAACCTAATAATGATCATCTACAAAAGATCTACAGCAAATGTCACAGGTAATGGTTCAGAGTATTCCTATTAACAGCAATAATAATACAAGAATATCCAGAGTTGCTGCTCCCATCAAGTCCTAAGTCCACATAATAATAGTAAGTGAACTCAACAATATTACAGGATACAAAACCAATATAATATGAACAAGAAGCAAAAAAAGTAAAGTCAGGAAATATAAATGGTTCTGAATCATATGAAAAGGTGCTCTGTGCCTGCTCACGCCTGTACTCTCAACACTTTGGGAGGCGGAGGCAGGAGGATCACTTGAGACAGGGCAAAACTCTGTATCTACAAACAATAAAAACAAAAAATTAGTTGGGTATGGTGGCACACTCCTGTAGCCCTAGCTACTCAGGAGGCTGAAGTAGGAGGACCCTCTGAGCCCCCAGAGTTGGGGGCTGCAGTGAGCTATAATTGTGCCACTGCATTCCAGCCTGGATGACAGAGCAAGAATCAGTCTCAAAAAAAAAAAAAAGATTAAGAAGAAAAAATGCTCAACCTCACACATGACAGAAATTCCTTAAAACTATATTGATAATGATATTAAGGAGCTCAGGACAAACCACTCCAAAATATGCCTCTTTGGCATATTGATTATTTGGGCTAAAAGCATTTGAAAAACAGCAGATGTAAGAAAGACACGCTGACCGGCTCTTTGATTCCTGAAAGGAAGCCCCCAAGTGAAAGATGACCTTCCTACATACCAAGAAGAAACATTTTAATCACCAGAGATGTGAAGGCAAGGATGAAAGAAATCTGTATAAATGAACATTGTTAAACTAGCCCTTATCTTCCCAGATACCTTTCCATAAATGTCATTCTTTGTTCAACCTAGCATGTAATAATTTAGGCCGAAGCCGGGCACAGTGGCTCACGCCTGTAATCCCAGCACTTTGGGAGGCCGAGGCGGGTGGATCACCTGAGGTCAGGATGCGAGACCAGCCTGGCCAACATGGTGAAACCCCATCTCTAGTTTAAAAAAAAAAAATACAAAAATATAAAAATTAGCGCGAGCATGGAGGCAGGCGCTGTAATCCCAGCTACTTGGGAGGCTGAGGCAGACTAGCTTGAACCCAGGAGGCAGAGGTTACAGTGAGCCAAGATCATGCCAACGCCAGCACTCCATCCTGAGGGACAGAGCAAGGCTCCGTCTCAAAAAAAAAAAAAAAAAAACTTAGGCTGAGTCACTTCTCTTTTTTTTTTACAGATGGAGTCTCACTCTGTCACCCAGGCTGGAGTGCCATGGCAGATCTGGGCTCGCTGCAACCTCCGCCTCCCAGGTTCGAGCTATTCTCCTGCCTCAGCCTTCCAAGTAGCTGGGATTACAGGTGCCCGCCACCATGTCCGGCTAATTTTTTGTATTTTAGTAGAGCCGGGGTTTCACCGTGTTGCCCAGGCTGATCTTGAACTCCTGAGTTCAAGCAGTCCTCCTGCCTCGGCCTCCCAAAGTGCTGGGATTACAGGCGTGAGCCACCGCGCCCAGCCGCCACTTCCTTAAGTCTTCATTTCCCTGTTCGGACACACATGCACATGTAAATTTTATGAAATAAAAATTTGTATGCTTTTCTCCTGTTAATTTATCTTATGTCAGTTTAATTTTTTGGCCCACCCAGAGACCCTGAGAGGTCAGAGAAGTTTTCCTCCCCTACAATACTGTGGTTACATTTTTAAGATACCTTATCTTTTAGAAACAAGTGAGGGAATGTTAACCAATAAACTGATATGATATCTAGGAAGGGTTCAAAATAATCTAGAGGGAGGGAAATAAATGCTAATGAAACAAGAATAGTCATAAAATGATGACTGGTGGGTTCCTTAGGGATCATCGCACTATTCACACTACCTTTAAATAAGTCAGACATTTTCTACTTAAAAATTTTTAACTACATATATTTATATACATATAAATATGTTATTTATATAACGATAACTATATATCTTTAAAATTGTGTGAGTGTGTGTGTGTGTGTGTATTTACTTAAGCATGCTAAGTCAGACTGATGACTGATGCAGCAGTCAGAAGTAAAAGTGCAAGGTAGTGCTTGGGGGAAAAAAAAAAACCCGACACTCAAATTAGTTTACATCACAGGATCTTTAAAAGCCACAATAATTGACAATAGCAGGTACTAAATGTGATAGGAGATGAAGCTAAAATAAAAAGGACTATATAACTAAATTTAACTACATATATTGACACTTATTTAAGAGCTCCTTAAAAAATCCAAAAATTTGATTAAATTTTCTCACATTAATCAAAATTGAAATACAAATACCCCTTAATCCAAGTTCACCCTACACATATACTCAGACATGAGATAAATAACTTGTATATAAGATTATTCACAACAGTATTGTTTATAATAGCAAAAGACTGAAAAAAAATCAAGTTACAATAGAATATTTCCTACCGCTGCAAAACAACACAACGAATTACACTATAAAAACATGGAATGAGATAGAAGATATAAAGTGGAAAAAAGGAATACATACAACCATAGGAAGATACAGAATAATATACTACCTTTTGTTTTTTGTGTGTGTGTTCTTGTTTTTCTTTTGAGATGGAGTCTCCCCAAGGCTGGAGTGCAATGGCATGATCTCGGCACACTGCAACCTCTGTCTCCAAGGTTCAAACGATTCTCCTGCCTCAGCCTCCTGAGTAGGTGGGATTACAGGCACCTGCCACCATGCCCAGCTATTTTTTGTATTTTTAGTAGAGATGGGGTTTCACCATGTTGGCCAGGCTGGTCTCGAACTCCTGACCTTATGATCCACCCGCCTCAGCCTCCCAAAGTGCTGGGATTACAGGTGTGAGCCACCACGCCCAGCCAATATACTACCTTTTTTACAAAGAAGAGAAAAAAAGACCTGCATATATGTATACATACATATACGAACTCCACGAGGACATATAAAAATCATAATAGTGGCCGGGCGCAGTGGCTCACTCCTGTAATCCCAGCACTTTGGGAGGCCGTGGCGGGCAGATCACCTGAGGTCAGGAGTTCGAGACCAGCTTGACCAACATGGAGAAACCCTGTCTCTACTAAAAATACAAAAAATTAGCCGGGCGTGGTGGTGCATGCCTGTAATCCCAGCTACTCAAGAGGCTGAGGCAGGAGAATCGCTCAAACCCGGGAAGCAGAGGTTGTGGTGAGCCGAGATCATGCCATTGCACTCCAGCCTGGGCAACAAGAGTGAAACTCCGTCTCAAAAAAAAAAAAAAAAAAAAAATCGTAATAGTTACTTATGAGAGGGAAAATGAAAAAAAATGAAGGATAGAAGAAACTTTTCATTATATACTTTGTGCTTTTTCATTTTCAAACCATGTGAATATATAAATTTCCCCCAAAATTTTTCCTTTGTTTTTAAATAAGAAGGCAAATGCCAGAAGAAACAAGTAAATGGTTGTTTCAACTTCTGAGTTAAGATGGTAGACTGAAGACATGAATTTCATTTTATACCTTCAGAAAATTCTAGGAAAAAAAATATTAAATTAAATGTACTTTAAAAATATATAACCCCAAGAAATTTTGGAAATAGATGACTGATGACTGACTTAGCAATCTTAAAAGTTCAAGGTTGTGCATGGGGGAAAAAACCTGACGCCCAAATTACTTTACATCGCAGAATCTTTAAAAGGCACAATAACTGATAATACCAGGTACTAGATTTGATGGGAGATGAAGCTAAAATAAAGAAGACTAGATTTGATATCGGCTATCTGAAAAACACATCGATGCTAAGACCTTTACCCTGTTAGGCAACTCATCTTCCCCGTTCCCAGCACAAGGCTGAAAGGTTACTCTCTAGAGACAGACAGAAGGACACTGGGTAAAGGTGAATGCAAAACAAAAAAGTGAAGAAGATTAAATGACAACATTAATACTTAATATTGAAACATCCCTTCATCATCCTTCATGTCGTCTTTCCCATGGGGCTTCCAGGACACTAGCACCAGAACCTTATCCTTTAGGTGGGCACTTGTAAGTCTTTTCTGGGACATGTTAACAAGTCCAAGAGGAAAGACTAAAATATACTATCCATCAGAGGGTTCCAACAAACAAACAACACAACCAAAGCACCTCACAATAAAGTTAAAAGTCGACAAATAGACTGGGCACAGTGGCTCACGCCTGTAATCTCAGCATTTTAGGAGGCCGAGGCGGAGGTCAGGAGTTCAAGACCAGCCTGGCCAATGTGGTGAAACCCCATCTCTACTAAAAATACAAAATTAGCCGGGTGTCTATAATTCCAGCCACTCGGGAGGCTGAGGCAGGAGAATCGCTTGAACCCAGGAGGCAGAGTTTGCAGTGAGCCCAGACGGCACCATTGCACTCCGGCCTGGGCAACAAGAGTGAAACTCCATCTCAAAAAAACAAAGTCGACAAGCAGATATGCAATGTTTTCAATTAGCTTTTCAGTTTGCCACTGACAATCATGTGCAAACAGCCAAGGATTAATAGTCATCTGGAAAGTATCTAATACTACACAGGAAGAACACAATAGAAATTAAAAATTGTCATTAATCATTTCCATTATGTAAGAGAAGATACTGCAGACATGGAACAAAATAAGAATTAAAAAGATAGACGCTTGGAGAATAAAAGAGAGCTCTTGAAGAATGATAAAAACAAGGGGATATATATATATATATATGTATGTATGTATGTATGTGTGTGTATTTGTATTTATATAAATATATGTGTGTGCATATATATATATATATATATATTTTTTTTTTTTTGAGACAGAGTCTCACTCTGTTGCACAGGCTGGAGTGCAGTGGCGTGATTTTGGCTCACTGTAACCTCTGCCTCCCAGATTCAAGCAATTCTCCTGCCTCAGCCTCCCAAGTAGCTGGGACTACAGGCACGTGCCACCATGCCCGGCTAATTTTTGTATTTTTAGTAGAGGCTGGTCTCAAACTCCTGACCTCAGGTGATCTGCTTGCCTTGGCCTCACAAAGTGCTGGGATTACAGGCAGGCATATATTGTTTTTAAACTCAACACAAGAATCAGAGGCAAATTTAAGAAAATTTCCCAGAGAGAAGAACAAAAACACAAGAGAAGAAAAGAGCATTTTTACACACAAGAAATTGAAAAGGATGGGCTCAGACAGTCCAAACAGTCAATACATAGATGACAGAAGTTCCAAAAGAGAGAACAGAGAAAACAGGAGAAAATCACCCATGAAATAATTCAAAAAGTTTCCCCAGAACAAAAAACTACGATTTTATCAGCTTCTTCAGGTTCTAGCACAGTACATGAAACAGACCAATATCAGAGTACATTGTTTCAAGACAGTGATAACACAGAAAAGCTTCTATAAGCTACCAGAGAAGAAACAGATTGTTATAGGATCGGGAATTCAAGTGGTTGCTCCAGGTATTAGATGATATAACTTAACACAAAATCTTTCAGCGAACATCACACAAACTAAATGCTTTTCCTCTGAGGTCAGATATAAAGCAAGAGTGTCCACTCTCACTACTGTTTTTCAATAGAGTACTGGAAGTTCTATCTAGTATAATAAGGCAGCAAACAAAGTAAAAGTCATAGACCAGAAAGGAAGAAATAAAACTCCCTATTTACAGATAACATGATTGGTTACATAAAAATTACAGAGGAATCAACAAAAAAAATTAAAAAAAAACTAGAATCAGTTAGTCCAGCAAGTCACAGGCTATAAGATCAGCATACAAAAGTATATACTATCATGGACACATGAAAATTGAGATTTAAAGTACAGTAGCACTTATACTTGTTCAAAAGAAATCTAAATACTGAACTATAAATTGATTAAACATGTACAGGACTTATGTACTGAAAACTACTAACTGCTGATAAAACAAACAAAAGACAACCTAAATACATGGAGATACATAACTGATATAAAGTTTAATGCAATTCCTACCAAAAATCCAGCAAGATTTTTTTGCAATTATAAACATGAGTATTCTAAAATTTTATGGAAAGGTAAGGGAGCTAGAATAGCTAAAACAAGTTTAACAAAAGAAGAAAATAGAGGAAATCACTCTATCATATTTCAGGAGTTATATAACTATAGTAAATAAGAGTTAGTGGTACTAGCAGAGGAATAGACACATAGATTAAAGGAAAAAAGAAAACACAGAAATAGACCACACAAATATGGCCAAATGATTTTCTTTACAAAGGTGTAAAAGCAATTCAATGGAGGAAGAATAGTCAACAAATGACCCTGGAACAACTGGATGTCCATAAAAAAAAATTAAATCTCACATTTACCCCAAATTAACACAAAATTGATCACAGATTTAAATGTAAAACTATACAACTTTCAGAAGAAAATATGGAAGAAAATCTGCAGGATACAGAGTTTGATGAAGTCCCACACAAGATACTAAAAAGTATGATCCATAAGATAATTTTTAAAATCAATTAATTGGATTTAATTAAAATTATAAATTTTGCTCTATCAAAGACCATGATAGAAGAATGAAAGCACAAGCTACATCCACACTTGAAAAAATACTTGCAAAAAACATATCTGACAAATGACTCAAATCTCAAATATATAATCTCACAACTCAACAGTAAAACAACAATCCAATTAGAAAATGGGCAAAGACATTAAGAGATACTTCACTGGAAAGAAGAGATGGATGGCAAATCAGCACAGGAAAAGTCATTAGGGAAATGTAAATTAAGAGCACAGTGAGACATCACTACATACCTACTAGAGGAGCTCAAACAAAGGATCATGACAATAGTAAATGCTGACAAAGATGAGCAGAAACTAGATGTCTCATACATTGCTAGTGGAAATATAAAATGCCACAGCGGAAATATAAAATGCCGCAATCATCACTCCTTGGTAATTACCAAAATGAACTGAAGACTTTTGTCCAAACAAAAATTAAAAAAACAAAACATCCCAGCAATCACAGTACTTGGCATTTATCCCAGAAAAATAAAAACTTGTGCTCACAGAAAAACTTGTGAACAAATGTTAACAGCAGGTTTAGATGTAAGAGTCAAAATCACCCCTGGATGTCCCTCAACAGATGAATGGTACATCCATACCAGGAAATACTAATCGAAATTAAAAAGGAATTAACTACTGATAGACTAAACAACTTGGATATACCTCAAGAGCACTGTACTAGTAAAAAAGCTAATCTCAGCCAGGCACGGTGTCTCATTGGCTCATGCCTATAATCCCAGCACTTTGGGAGGCCGAGGCAGGCAGATCATTTGAGGTCAGGAATTCAAGACCAGCCTGGCCAACATGGTGAAACCCCAGTTCTACTAAAAAAAAAAAAAAAAAAAAAAAAAAAGAAAAGAAAAAAATTAGCCAGGCGTAGTGGCGCGCACCTGTAATTCCAGCTACTCAGGAGGCTGAGGCACAAGAATTGCTTGACTCCAGGAGGCAGAGGCTGCAGGGAGCCAAGATCAGGCCACTGCACTCCAGCCTGGGTGACAGAGTACGACTCTGTCTCCAAAAAAAAAAAAAAAAAAAAACAAACACTAATCTCAAAAAACTTACATATTGTATAATTCTACTATGTAACAGTCTTGAATGACAAAATAAGGATGGAGAAAAATTGTTCTCAAGGGCTGGGGATGTTGCAGGGAGGTAGCATAAGGGAGATCTTTGTGGTGACGGAACAGTGCTGTATCTTGATTGTGCTGGTGGTGAATGTGATAAAATGGCATGGAATTATGTACACACAAGGATACACTGGACTGCTCTGTAGTATTTTTGCAACTTCCTGTAAGTCTGTAATTGTTTCAAAATAAGATTTTTTTAATGGAAGACAGAATAAAGAGAAAACTTCTTGCTAGAATTGCTTTAAAAATGGTTTTCTTTAATATTAAATAATTTTGGTTTGCTATTTTAAAAAGTACATGTAAAAAGTAAAAGTAAAAAGAATGAGAAGACAAGCTACAGACTAGAAAACATTTGCAAAAAACACATCTGATAAAAGGATTGTTAGCCAACACAAAGGAATCTTAAAATTCAACAATAAGAAAACACTATGGGCAAAAGACCTGAGGTCACCCTCACCCAAGAAGATACACATAAAAACAAGCATATGAAAATATGCTCGAAGTTATATGTTATTATGGAATTATAGACTAAAACAATGAGATACCATTGCACAGCTACCAGAACGACCAAATTCCAGAACACTGACAACACCAAATACTGAAGAGGACGCAAGTGACACTTTTCACATACTGCTAATGGGAATGCCAAAGAGCACAGCCCCATTGGAGGAGTTTGGCAGTTTCTTACAAAACTAAACATACTCTTACCGTACAATGCTGAAATCACACTCCTTGGTAATTACGAAAATGAACTGAAGACGTTTGTCCGCACAAAAACCTGCACACAATGTTTATGACAGCTTTATTTATAATTGCCAAAACTTGGATGCGACCAACATGTTCTTCAGCAGATGAATGGATAAATAAACTGTAATATATCCAAACAACAGACTAAAAAGAAATGAGCTATCAAGCCATAAAACGAAGGAATGTTAAATGCATATTGCTCATTGAAAGAAGCCAATATAAAAAGGCTATATATCATATGTTACCAACTACATGACATTTTGGGAAAGATAAAACTATGGGGACAGTAAAAAGATCAATGGTTGCAGGAATTAGGAGGAAGACATGAATAAGCAGAGCACAGAGGAATTTAAGGACTTCTAAGTTTTAAGTTTTAACTGAAACTTTTCTGTATGATGCTAAAATGGTGGATTATTGTTTCACTATACATTTGTGAAATGCATCATTACACATTTATGAAAATTTCTAGAATGTAGACCAAGAGAATCCTAATGTCAATTAGGGACTTTGGGGAATAATAATGTGTCAGTGTAGGATCATCACTTGTAACAAATGTACCACTATGATACAAAAAGTGGGAAGTGGGAAGAGGTAGTGCCTGGGCAGGGTCAGGGGTATACAGAAACTCTGTGTGTTTTTGTTTGTTTGAGACAGGGTCTCACAATATCGCCCAAGCTGGAGTGCAGTGGCACAATCTCAACTCACTGAAACTTCCACCTTCCAGCTCAAATGATCCTCCCACCTTAGCCTCCTGAGTAGCTGGGACTACAGGCACACATCACCATGCCTGGCTAATTTTTGTATTTTTTTGCAGAAACGGGGTCTCGCCATGTTGCCCAGGCTGGGAAACTCTATTTTCTGCTTAATTTTTCTGTGAATAAGAAATAAAGCTTACTAATTAAAACACCACGTGTTCTCACTGATAAGTGTGAGTTGAACAGTGAGAACACATGCACACAGAGAGAAGAACATCATACACCAGGGCCTGTCGGGAGGTGGGGGGCTAGGAGAGGGATAGCATTAGGAGAAATACCTAATGTAGATGACAGGTTGACAGGTGCAGCAAACCACCATAGCATGTGTATACCTATGTAACAAACATGCACATTCTGCACATGTATCCCAGAACTTAAAGTATAATAAATTAAAAGTAAATAAATAAATAAATAAATGTAGTCAGGTGTGGTGCTACACACCTGTAGTCCCAGCTACTCAGGAGGCCGGACAGGAGAACTGCTTGGGCCCAGGAGCTCAAGGCCAGCCTGGACAACATGGCAAGATCTTGTTTCCCACCCCACAAAAAAATAAATAAATAAATAAATAAATAAAAGTAAAAATAAATGTAGCAAACTCTTGCACAACTATGTTCACTGCAGCATTATTCCAAATAGCCAACAGATGGAAACAACCCAAAAGTCTACTGATAGATGAATGGATAAAGAAAATGTGGTATATTGAAACGGATTATGCAGACTTAAAAAAGAAGGAAAACGGCCAAGCACGGTGGCTTATGCTTGTAATCCCAGCACTCTGGGAGGTCAAGGTGGGTGGATCACTTGAGGCCAGAAGTTCAAGACCAGCCTGGCCAAGGTGGCGAAACCCCATCTCTACTAAAAATACAGAGAATTAGCTGGGCATGGTGGCACACACCTGTAATCCCAGCTACTCAGGAGGCTGAAGCAGGAGAATCGCTTGAACCTGTTGCAGTGAGCCGAGATCACGCCACAGCACTCCAGCATGGGAAACAGAGCGCGACTCTGTCTCAAAAAAGTAAAATAAAAACAAAAACAAAACCTCTGGGATATAGCAAAGGCGGTGCTAAGAGGAAAGTTCACAGCCCTAAATGCCTACATCAAAAAGCCTGAAAGAGCACAAACTGACATTCTAAGGTCACACCTCAAGGAACTAGAGAAACAAGAACAAACCAAACCCAAACCCAGCAGAAGAAAGGAAATAACAAAGATCAGAGCAGAAATAAATGAAATTGGGGAAAAAAATACAAAAGATAAACAAAAAGCTGGTTCTTAGAAAAGATAAATAAAATTGATAGATCATTAGCAAGATTAACCAAGAAAAGAAGAGAGAAAATCCAAATAACCTCACTAGGAAATGAAACAGGAGATATTACAACTGACACAAAATACAAATGATCATCCAAGACTACTATGAACACCTTTATGCACGTAAACTAGAAAACCTAGAAGAGACGGATAAATTCCTGGAAAAATACAACCTAGCTTAAACCAAGAAGAATTAGACACCCTCAACAGGCCAATAACAAGCAGCAAGACTGAAATGGTAATTTTATAAATTACCAACAAAAAAAAGTCCAGGACCAGACGGATTCACAGCAGAATTCCAGTAGACATTCAAAGAATTGGTACCAATCATTCTGACACTATTCCACAAGATAGAGAAAGGAGGAACCCTCCCTAATTCATTCTATGAAGCCAGCATTACCCTAATACCAAAACCAGGGAAGGATAAAACCAAACAAGAAAATTACAGACCCATGCCCTTGATGAACACAGATGCTAAAATCCTTAACAAAATACTAGCTAACCGAATCC
The DNA here is from genome assembly GCF_000001405.40 of Homo sapiens. NCBI lineage: Eukaryota > Metazoa > Chordata > Mammalia > Primates > Hominidae > Homo > Homo sapiens. The sequence continues at coordinate 60,796,117 of NC_000017.11, read as the reverse complement.
AACAACATATCAAAAAGATATTTCACCATGATCAAGTGGGTTTCATATCAGGGATGCAGGGATGGTTTAACATACGTGAGTCAATAAAAGTGACACACCACATAGACCAAATTAAAAACAAAAATCACGGCAGGGAGTGGTGGCTCACACCTGTAATCCCAACACTTTGGGAGGCCGAGGTGGGTGGATCACTTGAGGTCAGGAGTTCGAGAGCAGCCTGGCCAACATGGTGAAACCCTGTCTCTACTAAAAACACAAAAATTAGCCAGGTGTGGTGGCGCATGCCTGTAATCCCAGCTACTCAGGAGGCTGAGGCACAAGAATCTCTTGAACCCAGGAGGCGGAGGCTACAGGGAGCCAAGATTACAGCACTGCACTCCAGCCTGGGCAACACAGCGAGACTCCGCCAAACAAACAAACAAACAAGCAAACAAAATCACATGCTCATCTCAATAGATGCAGAAAAAGCATTCAACAAAATCCAGCACCCCTTTATGATTAGAACTCTTGGCAAAATCATCATACAAGGGACATGCCTTAATGTAATAAAAGCCAACCATAACAAACCCACAGCCAACATAATACTGAATGGGGAAAAGTTGAAAGCATTCCCTCTGAGAACTGGAACAAGATAAGGATGCCCACTTTCACCACTCCTCTTCAACATAGTACTGGAAGTCCTAGCCAGAGCAATCAGACGAGAGAAAAAAATAAAGAGCATCCAAATCAGTGAAGAGGAATCAAACTGTCACTGTTTGCTGACAATATGATCATTTACCTTGAAAACCCTAATGACTCCTACAGAAAGCTCCTAGAACTGATGAAAGAATTCAGCAAAGTTTCCGGATATAAAATTAATATACACAAATCAGTAGTTCTTCTATACACCAACAGCGACCAAGAAGAGAATGAAATCAAGAACTCAAGCCCTTTTATAATAGCTGCAAAAATAAAAATAAAATAAAATACTTAGGAATATACATAACCAAGGACTCAAAAGACCTCTACAAGGAAAACTACAAAACACTGCTGAAAGAAATCACAGATGACAAAAACAAATGGAGACATATCCCATGCTCACGCTCGCAGATGGGTAGAATCAATATTGTGAAAATGACCATACTACCAAAAGCAATCTACAAATTCAATGCAATCCCCATCAAAATACCACCATCACTCTTCACAGAATTAGAAAAAACAATTCTAAAATTCATATGGAACCAAAAAAGAGCCCATATAGCCAAAGCAAGACTAAGCAAAAAGAACCAATCTGGAGGCCTCATACTACCTAATTTCAAACCATATTCTAAGGCCATAGTCACCAAAACAGTGTGGTACTTTATAAAAATAGGTACATAGACCAATGGAACAGAGTAGAGAACCCAGAAATAAACCCAAATACTTACAGTCAACTGATCTTCAACAAAGCAAACAAAAACATAAAGTGGGGAAAGGACACCCTTTTCAACAAATGGTGCTGGGATAATTGGCTAGCCACCTGTAGGAGAATGAAACTGGATCCTCACCTCTCACCTTATGCAAAAATCAACCCAAGATGGACTAAGGACTTAAACCTAAGACCTGAAACTATAAAAATTCTAGGAGATAACATTGGAAAAACCCTTCTAGACATTGCCTTAGGCAAGATATCATGACCAAGAACCCAAAAGCAAATGCAATAAAAACACAGATAAATAGCTAGGACATAATTAAACTAAAGAGCTTTCGCATAGCAAAAGGAACAGTCAGAAAAGCAAATAGACAATCCATAGAGTGGGAGAAAATTTTCACGATCTACACATCTGACAAAGGGCTAATATCCAGAATCTACAACGAACTCAAACCAATTAGTAAGAAAAAAACAATCCCATCAAAAAGTAGGCTAAGGACATGAATAGACAGTTCTCAAAAGAAGATAGACAAGTGACCAAAAAACATATGAAAAAATGCTCAATACCACTAATGATCAGGGAAATGCAAGTCAAAACCACAAAGCAGTATCACCTTACTCCAGCAAGAATGGCCATAATCAAAAAATCAAAAAACAGTAGATGTTGGTGTGGATGCGGCGATCAGGGAACACTTCTACACTGCTGGTGGGAATGTAAACTAGTACAGCCACTAGGGAAAACAGTGTGGAGATTCCTTAAAGAACTAAAAGTAGAACGACCATTTGATCCAGCATCTCACTATGGGTATCTACCCAGAGGAAAAGAAGTCATTATTCAAAAAAGATACTTACACACACATGTTTATAGCAGCACAGTTCACAATTGCAAAATCATGGAGCCAACCCAAATGCCCATCAATCAACAAGTGGATAAGAAACTCTGGTGTGTATATATATATATATGATGGAATATTCCTGAGCCATAAAAAGGAATGAACTAACAGCATTTGCAGTGACCTGGATGAGATTGGAGACTTTTATTCTAAGTGAAGTAACTTAGGAATGGAAAACCAACCATCATATGTTCTCACTAATATGTGGGAGCTAGGCTATGAGGACGCAAAGTCATATGAATGATGCAGTGGACTTTGGGGACTTGGGGGGAAAGTGAGATGGGGGCGATGGATAAAAGACTGCAAATATGGTGTAGTGTATACTGCTCAGGTGATGGGTGCATCAAAATCTCACAAATCACCACCAAAGAACTTACTCATGTAACCAAATACCACCTGTACCCCCAATAACTTATGGAAAAATAAAAAATAAAAATAAAGGCCAGGCACGGTGGCTCACACCTGTAATCCCAGCACTTTGGGAGGCTGAGGCGGGTGGACCAAGAGGTCAGAAGTTCAACACCAGCTTGGCCAAGATGGTGAAACCCCATCTCTACTAAAAACAAAAAAATTAGCAGGGCATGGTGGCAGGTGCCTGTAATCCCAGCTACTCGGGAGGCTGAGGCAGAGAACTGCTTGAACCCAGGAGGCAGAAGTTGCAGTGAGCAGAAATCGTGCCACTGCACTCCAGCCTGGGCGACAGAGTGAGACTCCATCTAAAAATAATTAATTAATTAAAAATTTAAAAATAAAAATAAAGAAGGAAATCCTGTCACATGCTACAACATGGATGAACCTTGAGAACATTATAAGTGAAATACACCAATCATAAAAAGATAAATATTACATGATTCCACTGAGATGAGATATCTAACACAGTCACACTAGGGTGGCAGAGGGGAAAAAATAAAAATAAAAAAATAAAGCAGTCACACTCATTGTTTTAGTCCAATTAGTGTTGCCATAACAGTATACCTGAGACTGGGTAGTCTAAAGAAAAGGGGTTTACTTGGCTCACACTTCTAGTGGCTGGAAAGTTCAATATTGAGCATCTGATGAGGGCTTCAGTCAGCTTCAACTCATAACACAAAGCAGAAGTGAGCCAGCATTTGCAGTGATCACATGCCAAACGGCTGGGGAGGTTCTTTTTAACAGCCAGATCTTCTGGAAACTAGAACTCACTCACTCCCTAGGGAGGGCATTAATCTATTCATGAGGGATCTGTCCCCATGATCCAAGTACCTTCACCAGGCCCCACTGTTACAGAATCCTTGAAGTGTCACTTCGCCAGCCGGAAACCTCTGTGGCCAGTAGCACTGCTGCCCAAGTTTCCCTCGGGGCCCACTGGGCCCACTCAGCCTGGCAGGCTGTGCTCTGCTCACACTACCAGGCTGGATCCCATGCCTGCCAAGGGCAAGCAGAGTGGTGAGGCATGTGTAAGCAAGCGAGCGGGGGGTTCACCCACTGCTGACAGCCAGGCATGCTGGCTATGGCAGGGCGGGCAGCTCGAGGTGCCAGCACGAGGCCCATGCACGAAGCTCCTGCCCTGCCAACTCAGAAGGTGGGGCTTCTGCCTGTTCCTGGCTTCCACCGGCTCCGTGGAGCATGCAGCCCAGGAGCAGCCACTGCCATGGCCACCACTGCCATCACCACCTCCCAACATTTCCAACATTGCCACAACGGGGATTTTTGTTTGTTTGTTTTTTGTTTTTGAGATGGAGTCTAGCTCCGTCGCCCAAGATGGAGTACAGTGGCACGATCTCGGCTCACTGCAACCTCCACCTCCCGGGTTCAAGCAATTCTCCTGCCTCGGCCTCCTGAGTAGCTGGGATAACAGGCGCTTGTCACCATGCCCAGCTAATTTTTGTATTTTTAGTAGAGATGGGGTTTCACTGTGTTGGCCAGGCTGGTCTTGAACTCCTAACCTCGTGATCTGCCCGCCTCAGCCCCCCAAAGTGCTGGGATTACAAGCGTGAGCCACTGCGCCCAGCCAGGGATCATATTTCAACATGACAAATATCCATGGATACATAAATACATAAAAAAGATAAACACTAATTTCAGGATAGGGATTTAACTCTTACGGGTTTAGGAAGAAGAAAATATTTGGAAAGTGTAGCCAGGGGACTTCAAAACTCTTTGTTTTATTTCTTAGGCTGGGTGATAAAAAGCATTTCTTGTGTCTGTTTTTCAGAGATGGGGTCTTGCTCTGTCACCTAGGCTGGACATCATAGCTCACTCCAGCCACTAACTCCTAGGCTCAAATGATACTTCCTCATCAGCCTCCCAGTCAGCTAGTACTACAGACATGCGCCGCCATGCCCAGCTAATTCTTTAATATTTTGTAGAGATAGAGGTCTCTCTCTGTGCCCAGGCTAGTCTTAAACTCCTGGCCTCAAGTGATTATCCCATTTCAGCCTCCCAAAGAGCTGGGATACAGACGTGAGTCACCACACCTGGTCAGTAGAAAGCATTTGTAACATTAACAATCCATGTTAATTGATCCCTCCAAAAATAATGAGGTCTAATCCAAAGAAGGAAAGGTTAATGGTAATATACTGAGATTGTGACTTAACTAATACTTTTTAACTGTGATTATAATAATTAAGACTGAAAATTAAGTTAAGACAAGTTCTATCATTTCTTAGACACCAGACTATAGTATCTACACCGGAGGTTTGAGCCCAGCAGTTTGAGGCTCTAGTGCTCTATGATTATACCTGTGAATAGCCACTGCACTCCAGCCTGGGCAATATAGCAAGATCTTCACCTCTAAAAGAAAAACAAAACTAAGGCCGAGTGCAGTGGCTCATGCCTGTAATCCCAGCACTTTGGGAGGTCGAGGCAGGTGGATCACCTGAGGTCAGGAGTTCAAGACCAGCCTGGCCAACATGGTGAAACCATCTCTAGTAAAAATACAAAAATTAGCCAGGCGTGGTGGTGCACGCCTGTAATCCTGGCTACTTGGGAGGCTGAGGTAGGAGAATTGCTTAAACCGGGGAGGCAGAGGCTGCAGTGAGCTGAGATCACACCACTGCACTCCAACCTGGACAACAGAGCAAGACTCTATCTCAAAAAAAAAAAAAAAAAAAAACCTACAAACACAACTAATGTTTATGAATAAAACTATAGTTATTTAAATATTTTAGAATTATATAATAATCAGTGCCTATATCTTTTAAACAAATCTGTGATAATGTAGTGAGAAAGCATCAAGAATAGGTTTGTTCAAACATAATTTACTGTACATGGTGTGCCATTACTCCTGCTAAACAAATCAGATTTCACAGTTAACAATATTACTTTTGATCCAAGCATAAGTTAAAAATTAACAGGCCCACAGTCCATAATATTTATGTTCCAAATTAATTATAACTGAACTTCCTCTATACAGAGCCAATTCTTCACTCCTACATATTTTGCCTTCACCTTTAACAATGGCTATTTTCCTTCTACTTCCTGGTCTTTCCAAGGTCTTTACAGTTTGTACCTGTATTATGCATATCAATTTGATATTTTGATCAATGAAACATCAAGTTTTTAAAATGCAAATAATACTGGCAAGAATGTTGTGATTGTTTTTCTCAAACCTGAATTGAAGAACTCCAGTAGTTTTCACTAACCTACTGAAGTATATCAGTCCAGCAAACTTTGCTCTCTAGATCAGGCACATAATACTTACTAAAAATTTATAAAGTTTATGGATAATCAAAGAAGCTAAAATTTTAAACTACAAAATAAAAGCCCTATACTGAGAATGGCAATAACTCCCAACACATTTACTAGAAAGTCCATGCAAGTAGAAAACACCACAATCTACAATAAACAAATACTAACTAAACTTCCAACTTTATATAAGGCAGACCATCCAGAAAAAAAAAATATTCTCATTTCAAGGTTAGAAAACAATGTAACAAAATCTTAATTTTCATTTAAATAATTTTATTGTGGATATCTTGAATAAAAGTGTCCACATAAAAATTCTACATCTCATGAACATTGTAGCTATTAACTTGTTTTTTCCTGCAGTATAAATAGCATGTACTCTTCATTCTTCATGATGCCTAATGGAGTCATCACCCTCCCATAACATAATCCTCCAAATTGCAGTGGATTAACTTTTTATATATAAAATTGTGTGTTTATTTGCATGTACAATAGAGAGAATGACGTTACACACACCTGTTCTACAGCATTTAACAGAATGTACCATGATGATTGAAATGAAAAGCGGCTAGCCAAATCCATCAAATATAAAAACTATTGCAATCCTGTTGCAAAGTCCTTTTGTTAAACTCCTTTTATGCTAAATCCTTTTAATTCTGTCCTATAACACTAAAACATTTATAAAAAGCTTAAAATCCTAATAAATCGCACAATTAAAGTAATGAAAATGGGCTTGCCCACCAAGTCACCAACTCCTCTCCCACGCAACAAAATTCAAAAGCGTTTCCTTGTCAGAAAATGTTAAATAATATCCCCCACCACACACACCATTGTAAACTCATTTAAACCAAAGGATTTAAGCTCAGAAATCAGCCTTAAGGATTTTTCAAGACATAAAATAGAAACAGCTTCTGCCTGGGTCCAAAAATAGACCCAGAGGCAAATAAAAATCCAACTGATAATGAAATATCTCAACTCTTCTCTTTTGATGTTAAGGATTATGTCTTCAATGTGAAGATTTTATGCAAAAGTATGCTGAAACTAATCAATTTTCACTGAGAAAAATATTTTCTAGAAGGATTCCATTGAACAACTAAATTTATCATTTAAACCATTTCCAAGTCTTCTGCTTCATTTTTTATTTTACTGAAATCATTTTTAAGATAGATTTGATTCAGTTAGTTTGTCCTTGTTGAGATTAACTTATATATTCACTCAATGTGAGCTTTCAAGGTATAGTCAAATTTTGCAAATCTAAATTTTATCCATAAAGTTTTATTCTATTGCCAATACATTTTATATGTAAATTTTTAGATTCTGTCAAGGTTGTTGTGCGCTACAAAATTCTATTTTCTTACCAAATTTTCTATAAATAATCATTATGAATTGAATAATACTCTCATTTATCTAAACAGGAACTTGTGAGCAATTTTTTGAGACAGAGAAGAGAGATGAAGTGGAAGATGAGATAAAGAGGGAGAAATAGGAAAATAGAGAGGCTCCAGGCACCATCAACAAACCCACAAAAAAGGAAAAACAAGACATAAATCATATTACCTTGAATTGTTTCAACTAAATATGATCACCAAAGACATCTTTGCCATTTCCCTCAAATATCTAAAATATGTGTGCACATTTTAGCCTCCACAGTGACTTCAAAAAGTTTATTAAACTATATTAAAGACAGTATTTTTTGAAGGTTAAATATATGAGGTATCCCTTAACCTTTAATGGTACCTTCTATTTCACTTTGATAATCAGCTCCCTGTGCTCTTTCACAGATTAGACTCATCAGACCTTAAAAAGCACCAAACACAAATCTTCCATTTTATAGAGGAGTAAAGTGATCTTGAGAGGTTAAATAACTTGTCCAAATTCTTGTAGTACTAAATGCCATGTATGAACCTTAAAGCTAGACAAGAATTCTTTTCTGTTACCCTTACTCACTGAAAAAGCTACTGTCAAAAAAAATTAATGATCAACTCATCTGCTGAAAATTGTAAACAAAATTATTGATAAAGGCGTCTGCATTTAATCCCTTAGTGTTTTAATCCTTTCATCTGTAAAATGGGGATAAGTACCAATACGCCACATAGTACTGTTGTAAAAAGATAATATACGCAAAGCACTGAGCATGGTGCTGCAACATATGAGAACTCAAACTTTATATAAATTTTGTTGTTTCTGGCAACTCTACTATGGTGAAACCATTCATCTTTTTTTTTAACTTTTCTAGTTAAAAAAAAAAAAAGGTACTATTCATGTCCTTGACTCCTGTCTTGCTCTTCTTACCATGGTGCCAATATCTCCTTAACATTTCCCCACACTGCTCACTCTGCACCCATACTGGAGTATGTCAAACACACCCCTGCCTCAGTAATGCTGCACTTCCTCCTCTCTGGTTGGAAATACACAGTTTCTCCTAGTGATCTGCATAGTCCACTTGTATACTTTTCTGGGTCTTTACTAAAGTATCTCTTAATCAGGAAGTTGTTTCTGGAAACCATCCTCCCTCCTACTCTATCTCCTTACCCTGATTTGTTTCTTCACAGCACTTAACAGAACCTCATATTGTGCACATTATATACTGTTGATTTACTTATTTGCTCAGCATACTCAAATGTTAACTCTATGATGCAAAAAGACTTGCATGAGAATGTTCATAACAGCTTTACTCATAATAACTCAAAGCAATATCCAACCCAAATTCCATCAGCAGAAAAACTGATAACTTGTTATATTCATATAATGAAATATACTTAGCAATAAAAAGGAAAGATATATTGATGTATGCAACAACATCAAAAGCAGGGAAAACTCTCTGAAACAAAAGAAAACAGAGCAGTAGAAGCTACTGGTAGAGATGAGGGTGACTGGGAAAGTACATGTGAGAACTTCCTGAGGTGACAGAAATGCTATCTTTACAGGGGTATAGATTACAACTGTATACACATTTGTCAAAACTCAAACTACAACACATAATTCTGTGTATTTATCTACCATAAATTATGCTTTCATTTAAAAAATTTAAGCAAATAAGAAATATGTTTAGTGGCAAATAATATAAACTGTTTGCATGACATTAACAGTGGCTGATTAGGGTAGTGAGAAAAAAAGGTGAGCTTTTGTTCCTTTTTATCCAAAATAAAACAAAATATTAATAATCAGTTTAGGTGAAGGATATGTAGGTGTTTATTATCCTATGCTTTCTACCTTTATGAAGGCTTGAACTTTTTGAAAATAAAAAGTTGGAAAACACACACATTAGAATAAAAAGTAATCCAATTCACTCCAAATGTTAATTACTTCAACTTTAAAAGGGATTGTCGATAATAAAACATAGAGCTTTTACCATTTGTAGTCTGGTCTTTCCAGAGAAATGTTAACTGAAAAACAAGTAACCTCAGAATAAGCACTTGGAACAACTGATCTCTTTTTCATTTCAATTGCTGAACTGCAAACATGGGCACAATCATGCAGGCTCCCATACCAAAGTCAATTAACGTTCATGAGTCTTGCCAATAAGCATACTAAAATGTTTACATATTTATAGTAATATACATAGATTTTATACTTCAGATTTCCACTGACACATTTTATATATATATATATATATATATACACATTTGCAGGCAGTGGGGAATGTTGAGATAGAGTCTTGCTCTGTCACTTAGGCTGGAGTGCAGAGGCACAATCTTGGCTCACTGTAGCCTCAACCTCCCAGGCTCAAGCGATCCTCCTACCTTAGCCTCCTGAGTATCTGGGACTACAGATGTGCACCACCATGCCCAGCTAAAACAATACTTTTTTTCTTTCTTTCTTTTTCAAAGGTGGAATCAGAATTAGGTGCTAAAAGCCGAAGGACACACCCAAACAGGGACTTGAACCCTGGACCCTCTGATTAAGTCTGATGCTCTACCAACTGAACTATCCGGGCTCCCTCATACTATATATATTCTCACATTCTACCAATATGTCCAAGTAAACAATATTAATACCCTGAAATTACTGACATAATTTTATCCGTGGTAATTCAATCCTGAATAAAACATAAACAGTTGTCTCTTGGTATCTGTGCGGGATTGGTTCCAGGACCTCCCTCAGATACCAAAATCTGCAGATGCTCAAGTCTCTGGCATAAAATTGCATCATACTTGTATACAACCTATGCACATCCTCCTGTGTACTTTAAATCATCTCTAGGTTATTTATAATATCTAATACAAGGTGAATGCTATGTAAATGGTTATTACACTGTATTGTATAGGCAATAATGAAAAGGGGGAAAGTCTGTACATGCTTAGTTCAGACACAACTTTTTCTCTAAGTATCTTTGATCCATAGTTGGTTGAATCCACAGATGTGGAAACTACAGATACTGAGAGCTGACTGCTGTTAAATACAGCAGAGATTTTTTATTTTTTAGATAACTGTTTTACAAAATGGGATCACAGTGTACACATTGCTCTGTATCTTATTATTCTCACTCAATACTTCATGTAAATTCCTTCAGGTCAACAAATATACACCTAACTCAGTATTTAATCGCTTCATAATATTGCATAATATGGCTGTAACAATTTATTTGACCATTCCTACTGATGTACATTCAGGCTGTCTGACTATAAACATCCTGGTAAAAATACTCTATTCTGGTAATGTACGAGTACTTCTGTTCATATGAAACAGACTTTCAAAAGGGAAACTACTGGCTGGGCGCAGTGGCTCATTCCTGTAATCCCAGCACTTTGGGAGGCCAAGGTAGGTGGATTGCTTAAGGCCAGGGGTTAGAGACCAGCCTGACCAACATGGTGAAACCCGATTTCTACTAAAATTACAAAAATTAGCTGGGCATGGTGGCACACACCTGTAATCCCAGCCACTCAGGAGGATGGAGCACAAGAATCACTTGACCCTGGGAGGTGGAGGCTTCAGTGAGCCGAGATCGCACCACTGCACTCCAGCCTGGGTGACAATGAGACTCTGTCTCAAAAAATAAAAAACTAAGAAAAAAAGTAAAAACTCCTAAGTTAAAAGGGCATGTTTGGGATTGCTAGATACTTTTTTTTTGAGACGGAGTCTCGCTCTGTTGCCCAGGCTGGAGTGCAATGGCACGATCTCAGCTCACTGAAACCTCTGCCTCCCCAGGTTCAAGCAATTGCCTCTGCCTTGGCCTCCCAAGCAGCTGGGATTACAGGCGCCTGCCACCACGCCCAGCTAACTTTTTGTATTTTTAGTAGAGACTGGGTTTTGCCATGTTGGCCAGGCTGGTCTCAAACTCCTCACCTCAGGTGCTCCATCCACGTCAGCCTCCCAAAGTACTGGGATTACAGGCGTGAGCCACTGCGCCTGGCCTAGCTACATTTAATTTACTAAATATTGCTTGCTGAGTTACTTTCCAGAAACGCTTTTAAAATAAACATTCCTCTCATAACCAGGCACAGTAGCATGTATCTGTAATCCCAGTTACTTGAAAGAATGAGGTGGGAGGATTGCAAGCCCAGGAGTTCAAGACCAGCCTGAGCAACACAGTGAGACTCCACCTCATTTAAAAACATTTTTTGTTGGCTGGGCGCAGTGGCTCACGCCTGTAATCCCAGCACTTTGGGAGGCTGAGGTGAGCAGATTACAAAGTCAAGAGATCGAGACCATCCTGGCTAACATGGTAAAACCCCGTCTCTACTAAAAATACAAAAAAAAAAATTATCCGGGCATGGTGGCGGGCACCTGTAGTCCCAGCTACTAGGGAGGCTGAGGCAGGAGAATGGCATGAACCTGGGAGGTGGAGCTTCCAGTGAGCCGAGATTGTGTCACTGCCCTCCTGGGCGACAGAGTGAGACTCCGTCTCAAAAAAAAAAAAAAAAAAAAAAATTTGTTTCATTTTTTTAGAAAGAACACACGCCATCATCACTAAGTATTTTCACCTTTTTTTTTTCAATTTGGTAATTTTACATATAGACCCTTTCTTTCCTGCGTATTCCCAAAGTATAAATGCTGCACTCCTTTAGATAAGATGCCTAACATCTTCAATATAAGAGTTTTTTAACTTAGATACAGTACATGCTTGGACTGCATTATTTAATATAGAATTCTGACCATATTCCAGATGTTTAGATACTTTCCTGGCAGCAGTTCTACAATGGAGTGCTGCTTTATATTATACTTCATTTCTATGTTTGGCCAGCCACATCTCATTTACCTTCCCATATTTAAGGAAACTTTATGTGGCCAATTCTCATTGTTCACTACAGCTGCCCATAAAGAACTCCAGAGAAGTCAAAGAGAATATTACAACATGAGAAACAAACAAAAAGAGTCTCAAATCAAACCTGTAGCATTATCTCATAGTTTATACTAATGTGGAAACTCTGTATATAACTGTGAGGTGGAGTACATTTCATTTAGAACAAATATGCCCAGGAAAAAAAGGCAAATAAGAAGTTAATGATGGGAAAACTGTTATGTAGCTATTATGAGGAATACTGTATTATGAAAAATGTTAAGATGCTTAAAATAGATGTTTTTGTTTGTTTGTTTTTAAAGAATTTATTTTCATCAGGGCAGTTTTAGGTTCACAGCAAAATAAAGAGGAAAGTACAGAGATCTCTCACATAGCCCCTGCCACACACAGACATAGTCTACCACATTATCAGTATTTGTTGATTGTCAGGCGCAGTGGCTCGTGCCTATAATCCCAGCAGTTTGGGAGCCCAAGGCAGGCAGACTGCCTGAGCCCAGGAGTTTGAGACCAGCCTGGGCAACATGACGAAACCCCATCTCTATACAAAATACAAAAATTAACCTGATGTGGTGGTGTGCACCTGTAGTCCCAGCTACTCAGCAGACTGAGGTGGGAGGATCGCTTGAGCCAGGGAGTTCAAGGCTGCAGTGAGCTATGATTGCACCACTGCACTCCAACCTGGGCAAAAGAGCAAGACTGTCTCAAAAATAAGTAAATAAATAAACAAACAAACAAACTGTTGATTGAAAAACTGATGAACCTACATTAACACATCATCACCCAAAGTCCATAGTTTAGGGTTCATTCTTGCAGTTGCATACATTCTGTGGGTTTGAACAAATATATAATGACATGTATCAGCATATCAAATATTTTCACTGCCCGAAAAATCCTGTGTGCTCTGGCTATTCATCCCTTCCAGTCCCTAGAAAGACCTATATTTATGTACACAAATATGTAAATATACGTATGCATGCATTTGGGGCCCCAAATTTAATTGGCATGACAGAGTAAGCCTTAATTTAGAATTTCTAAAGACTGGCTGGGTGCGGTGGCTCATGCCTGTATTCCCAGCACTTTGGGAGGCCAAGCCAGGCAGATCACCTGAGGTCAAGAGATCAAGACCATCCTGGCCAACATGGTGAAGCCCCATCTCTACTAAAAATAAAAAAAAATTAGCTGTGTGCGGTGGTGCGTACCTGTAGCCCCAGCTACTCTGGAGGCTGAGACAGGTGAATTGCTAGAACCTGAGAGGCAGAGGCTGCAGTGAGCCAAGATCACACCACTGCACTCCAGTCTGGCGACAGAGCAAGACTCCATCTCAAAATAATAATAATAATAATAATAATAATAATAATAATAATAACTTATAAAGACCAACTAACATGTTTTCTGGTCACAACATTTGATCTGAACAGAAGTAACATAGAAAATAGAAAGGGCATGGAATTTTAAATCAGATAGGCATGGATTTCCAAACTGGCTTTCATAATTAATTGGTTTGTAATCTACATTCTGAAGGTCAACTGCCACATCTGCAAACTGGAGATGCTACCTACCTCAAGCATACTAAGTCCTCAAAAAATAGTGGCTGTTATCATAAACTAAGATAAAATGAAGGAATTCTTAAAGTGATGTTTAAAAGTTGGTAAAATAACATAAAATCTTTATAAACTCAATACAGCAGGCAATTATTAAGCAACCATTATTAGGTCTCACACTGTGCTGCAAGCTATTTGAAAGAATGCAACAGATAAACAAAAGTAGTTTTTAAAGTCATATCTCCTCAGTAATAACTGGACTCCTCATATGTGGTCATCCTTAATTTTCAGTCTTCAAGGTAAAATGGCTATGTAGCAGGTATAGGTTTCTTTTGCTTTTGTGAAAGTTAATCTGATTTCTAGCTCAGTTGTTCATCTGGTGTGCTGAATTTCTAGGTGGAGGATGGTGAGGACAATGACAGAAGACAGGAAGAATTTAAAACATGATATTCAAAGAGATAAATGACAGAGAATTTTCCAGAATTATAAAAGAAAGAACCAGAAAGCTTGGTAAGTCTCCAGCAGAATAAAATGAAATTCACACCTAGAAATAGGTCTAGAAGCACATAGCAACTGTTATTAACTAACGTAGGAAAAAATGGAATTATGAAAAATAGGTAAAGAAATACACATAATTGTAAAATTCATTTTTATAAAAATGTCTTTTAAAATTTGTTTTAAGGGGTAGAGGAAAAAACATGGAAATAAGACAAAAACAATAAGAAGAAATGTGATCTGAGTAAGTATAAGGCAGTCTAGGATGAAGAAGAAAAACAAGAAGGAGAAGAAAGAAAAGGTCTCACTCTGTCATCCAGGCTGGAGTACAGTGGCACAATCATAGCTCACTGAAACCTCTGCCTCCTGACTTCAAGAGATTCTCGTGCCTCAGCCTCCCGAGTAATAGAGACTACAGGCATGCACCAACATGCCTGGCTAATTTTTGTATTTTTAGTAGAGATGCAGTTTCACCACGTTGGCCAGGCTGGTCTCAAACTCCTAATCTCAAGTGATCCTTCTACCTTGTCCTCTGTAAGTGCTGGGATTACAGGTGTGAACCACCATGGCCAGCTGGAAAATTCTTTCTTTGAGAAAGATGGCAAAAAAAAAAGGAAAAAAAAGCTGGGCGTAGCGGCTCACACCTGTAATCCCAGTACTTTGGGAGGCTGAGGCGGGGGGATCACTTGAGGTCAGGAGTTCGAGACCAGCCTAGCCAACATGGTGAGACCCCATCTCTACTAAAAATACAAAAATTAGCCAGGCATGGTGGCACGCACCTGTAACCCCAACCTACTCCAGAGGCTGGGGCACAAGAATCGCTTGAACCCAGTAGTTGGAGGCTGCAGTGAGCCGAGATGGTGCCACTGCACTCCAGCCTGGGGGACAGAGTGAGACTCCATCTCAAAAAAAAAGATGGCAAAAAAGACAAAAAATAAAACAGAACCATGGTGGCAAATTACTTTAAAGCGTCAAAATTTAAATATCTGTATGTACATCTAACAAAATATCTACAGATATTCTACAATTAACTTAGGAAAATATGTCAAAAAATGTAAGGCTATGTTAGCCATAACTCAAAGAAGGATAAAAAGGACCTCAGCCTGGAAATTAGAAGGAAGAAAGCTGTGATATAATTTATAATAGGAAGCTCTGCAACACAGCTTAGATACAACTATTTTCCAAACAAATTATCAAAAATTCGTATCAAGAGGTCTATCTTTTACACCAATAAATCTCTGTGTACGACAAGTTACCTAAAGTACTAACATGACAAAAAAGCTTTTTAGGGTTGGGTGTGGTGGCTCATGCCTGTAATCCCAGCACTTTGGGGGGCTAAGGCAGGTGGATCACTTGAGGTCAGCAGTCCAAGATCAGCCTGGCCAACATAGTGAAACCCCGTCTCTATTAAAAATAGATAAATTAGCCAGGCATGGTGGCGGGTGCCTATAATCCAAGCTACTGGGGAGGCTGAGGCAGGAGAATCGCTTGAACCCAGGAGGTGGAGTTTGCAGTAAGACAAGATCACGAGATCGCTCCACCGCACCCCAGTCTGGGCAACAGGGTGACACTGTCTCAAAAAATTAAAAAAAAAAAAAAAAATAGGCAGGGCATGGTGGCTCACGCCTGTAATCCAAGCACTTTGGCAGGCCGAGGTGGGCAGATCACAAGGTCAGGAGTTTGAGACCAGCTTGGCCAATATAGTGAAACCTGTCTCTACTAAAAATACAAAAATTAGCTGGGTGTGGTGGCACGTGCCTGTAGTCCCAGCTACTCGGGGGAGCCGAGGCAGAAGAATCGCTTGAATCCAGGAGGCGGAGCTTGCAGTGAGCCGAGATGGCGCCACTGCACTCCAGCCTAGGCAACAGAGCGAGACTCCATCTCAAAAAAAAAAAAAAATTAAAAATAGTAAAGTTTTTTAGATATTTGAATATTTTCCCAAAAATATTGCAATAGACACCAAGCTCCAGTGATCATATCAGAGCCTTATCTCCTGTTTTTCAAAGGTCTATATATCAAATAGCACCAAGAATATTTCTCAAACAGAATCATACCATTCTTGCATGATTTAGAAAAACTCAGAGAATGGTATAGGTTGAGTACCCCTTATCTGACATGCTTGGGAACAGGAGCATTTCAGGTTTCAGACTTCTTTGGCTTTTGGAATATTTACATATACATAATAAGCTATCTTGATAGGAACCAAGTCTAAACATGAAATTCTGCCGGGCGCGATGGCTCACGCCTGTAATCCCAGTACTTTGGGAGGCCAAGGCGGGTGGATCACCTGAGGTCAGGAGTTCGAGACCAGCCTGACCAACATGGAGAAGCCCTGTCTCTACTAAAAATACAAAATTAGCTAGGCGTTGTGGCACATGCCTGTAATCCCAGCTACTTGGAAGGCTGAGGCAGGAGAATCGCTTGAACCTGGGAGGCGGAGGTTGCAGTGAACTGAGATCACGCCATTGCACTCCAGCCTGGGCAATAAGGGCAAAGCTCCGCCTCAAAAAAAAAAAAAAAAGAAAGAAAATAACTTACGTTTCATATGCACCTTACACATATAGCCTGAAGGTAATTTGATACAGTATTTTTGTTAATTTTGTGCATGAAACAGTTTGTGTTATTTATGTGTGGAATTTTCCACTTGTGGCATCATGTCAGCACTCAAAAAGTTCTGAATTTTGTTTTGGGGGTTTTATTTGGGGGTGGGGAGAGCAGGCAGCCTCCAGAGCTAGAGTAAGCTCAAACAGGCTCCAAATTTTAGATTTTGGAGCATTTTGGATTTTGGATTTTCGGATTAGGAATGCTCAACCTGTAATACAATGTGGTTAGAAGCAAGGCTGCATTAAGACAAATTAAGAACACTAATGCCATATTAACCCAAAGTGTACTGCAAAAAAAGATTGTTTAGATGTTTATTCAAATATCTGCCTAGAAAAAATACTTCAGACACAAGGAAATTTTACTATAAAAATGTGTTAATATGTATACAAACTATACTTTTATCATCCCACAAAATCATATGCTACTTATAGCATATGCCCAACACACATGAATAAAACACTCAACCAAAAGAATACTACTACAGGGTCAAACACTAGGGCTGATCTTTTTACATGGTAGATGTATCATCTTATAAAGAGATTTAAAGCCACTTATGCCACTCAGATATCAAATACATCCACTTCTAAATTTTGGGAATCTGTCTAGTTCCTTTAAAGATTTATAGACTGTAGGAAAATAAGTCTTGCTGAGTAACACAAACTGCTTGCTCAGTAAGCACCAATTTCCCAGGAATGACAATATCTAACAAATGAGAATTTAAAAAGACCATCAAAGTTAATAATGTGTGCATGGATTTCCACTACTTTGTGGCAAATCATTCCTGAGGGAATAGTCTTATCTCTATTCTCATTTGAAAATAAGGATTTATTCAATTACAGAAAATAATTTTATTAATTTAAAATTTTGCTGCACCACAAATTGAAACAAGCATATGAATGAATTCCATATAATAGAACCTATTTTAATAATCTCTTATAAAATTAACTAAAAATATATTCTGTTCAGAGGAGATGAAATGAGTTTGAGAAGGGCAGAGAGATATAAACAGGAAAATCACAAATTCTAGACAAGAGACGCTAAAGACCATAGTGTTACAGATTTACTAAGTTCTCAGATATGACATGAAAGGCACAACTGATAAAATAAAAAAAAAAAGATAATTGGACTTCATCCAAACTGAAAGGATGAAAGGATAAGCCATGGATGAAATGAAAATACTTGAAAATCATATATCCAACAAATGACTTGTATCCAGAGTATGTAAAGAACTATCTAAACTCAACAGTAATTAGCAAAAGACATAAGGGACATTTCACCAAAGAAGACATACGGATTTCAAATGAACACATAAAAATATGTTCATTTTTAGGAATTGTGAAAGGAGTGGTACTAAAGAAAACTATGAGATAAAAATCTAATCTCCAAAAACTGAAAGGTAGTAACTAAGAAAGAAAGGCAGCAACAAAGAGAAAGGAAGTAACATTCCAAAAAGAGGATGAGGACATAGGGGATTTTGCAGATGATGGATAATGACTTCCGAGGGGGCCCTGTCAGAAAGTTTCTGGAGTTGGAGTAGGTATTTCAGAGAGTGGGGGAATGAAGAGAGAGATGGAGATTGAAAAGTGAATGCCACATGGAGAGAGGGTGAGAATGAGAAATAACCTGTGAGTTTTTAAGTTTCTTTTTTTCCTTTTCTTTTTGGAGACAGAGTCGCGCTCTGTCACCCAGGCTGGAGTGCACTGGCATGATCTCAGCTCACTACAAACTCCACTTCCTGGATTCAAGCGATTTTCATGCCTCAGCCTCCCGAGTAGCTGGGATTACAGGCGCCCACCACCACACCCGGCCCATTTTTTGTAATTTTAGTAGAGGTGGGGTTTTGCCATGTTGGCCAGGCTGGTCTCCAACTCTTGGCCTCAAGTGATTTGTCTGCCTTGTCCTCCCAAAGTGCTGGGATTACAGGCATGAGGCACCACGCTGGGCCAAGTTTTGAGTT
Source organism: Homo sapiens (assembly GCF_000001405.40). NCBI lineage: Eukaryota > Metazoa > Chordata > Mammalia > Primates > Hominidae > Homo > Homo sapiens. The sequence continues at coordinate 60,777,330 of NC_000017.11, read as the reverse complement.
TGTTGTGGTGATTGAGGTAAACAAGAGTAAAGAACATAAGGAACTTAGTGGCCATAGTCTCATAACAGTAGTGGCAAAGCTTTTTTAAGTATAGTAGTAGAGGAAGAGAATAAGGTGGTGATGGGAAAGACACCAAGAGTTCTGCAGCCATTTTTTCCCTACTGCCAGTGGTAGCATGGAAGTCACGGAGCTGCCTCCTGATACTTGCTGATTTTAGCCATTTCGTCAGTGAAATATATATATACACATATATACACACGCACACACACATATATGTGTATATACTTTACTTCATTTGTTTTTTTTTTTTTTTTGAGATGGAGTTCTCACTCTTGTTGCCCAGCGTGGAGTGCAGTGGCACAATCTCAGCTCACCGCAACCTCCGCCTCCTGGGTTCAAGCAATTCTCCTGCCTAAGCCTCCCGAGTAGCTAGGATTACAGGCATGTAACTCCACGCCCAGCTAATTTTGTATTTTTAGTAGAGATGGGGTTTCTCTGTGTTGGTCAGGCTAATCTGTAACTCCTGACCTCAAGTGATCCACCCACCTCAGCCTCCCAAAGTGTTGGGATTACATGCGTGAGCAACCATGCCTTTTTTTTTTTTTTTTTTTTGAGACGGAGTCTCACTCTATCACCCAGGCTGGAGTACAGTGGTGCGATCTCGGCTCACTGCAATCTCCATCTCCCAGGTTCAAGCGATTCTCCGGCCTCAGCCTCCTGAGTAGCTGGGATTACAGGTGCACGCCACCATGCCTGGCTAATTTTTGTATTTTTAGTAGAGATGGGTTTTCACTATGTTGGTCAGGCTAGTCTCGAACTCCTGACCTTGTGATCCGCCAGCCTCGGTCTCCCAAAGTGCTGGGATTACAGGCGTGAGCCACCGCGCACAGCCATTTGTTCTTATATTGTTATAAGATAGGTTAAAGAAGGACATTAGTTACATTTGGAAAACTAATATTAATGTATAAAGGTTAAACAACTAATGTGAGATATTATACTGGCATTTTCAAAAATATGAATAAAATACCAACAGCTGATATTAGCTCTATATATGGAGTCATTCTGATTAGAGAGTATACATATACATCTATACACACACACACAGATTACTTTAAAAGTACAAAACTGAGTCAATACTGTTATGATGAATTTAAAACATTAACAAACTGTGAAGCACGACTTTATACAAAGAAAATTTCTCAGGGCAAAATACTGTATGTATTTCCCATACAGAGGGAAATAAGTCTCTCTTTAAATTCTTCACTCAAAACTTTGCTTTTAATCTCTAATTCACAATTCTAATTTTTTATTTCCAATCCAATAAAGACTGCATGTTCTGTTTCTCTCATTTGCATCTTTCTCCTCTCCACTTTGAGCACTGAGTACAAAGAATTAGACCATTCATAATTCTTGGTTCATTTCTTCTCAATGAATGCATGGACCTCTTCTTTATACTTTAATAATAAACACCTATGACCCCCTCATCCATAAGAAGTAAAACACTGCCAAAAACTTTCATTTACTTATATAGACTCATACATCCCAAACCCTACTACCCACTGCCAGGTAGTCAGTATCCTATAATTTGTGCGGATCATTCCTTTGCACACACGGTTTTTGTTTTCCTTCTTTTAATATTAGAAGGTTTTTATTAGTGTGTCTGGTTGTTACTGCTAACTATAAATTTACATAAATTCACTTGGCCTCAAATTAGATTATTTCCATGTTCTACAAATGAAAAAAAAAAAGAAATTCTGAAATATTCCCAAGGTAAACCTATATATACATAAAAACTGCAAAGTACAGTAACAACAACAAGAGAAAAAAATTCAGTGAAAACTAGGTTAAACTAAACAGTAGATGCCAAAAAGATAGTTTAAATGATAACATGGAGGCCCACACTTCTTGTTGTTAAGACTAAAAGCATCATGGGGAAAGAAAAAAATGATGCCAGACTCTGAAAGGCAAGAATCATAGTAGTCCCTTGTTGATAGTTAAGAGGAGAAGGAAAGTTTAAGACTCCTTTACCTATTCATGAGATCAAAAGAAATAAAGGAATCCCTTGGTGTTTTTATCACTTTCTTTTGCTACTGCATCTAGCACCCGAGAGAAAAAAAACCCCACAATTAATGCTATGATACCTCCAGAAATTTCTCTATAATGCCTGCATCTTTCAAAGTGTTTGAAACTTAACTTCTCCAAAGATACATTAAAATTTTTAAACTGTCTTACAAATGAAATTCAATTTGAAATTTATTTTTTTCTTTATTTATAAAAACTCACATAGGACTTTTACTACATGCCAAGCGCTATCCTAAGCACTCTTAAGTCATCCAAAACAAGGAACTAAGGCAAAATGCTGAACCTCTGCAGCAGATCAGATTTACCCTCCTGCCAGGAAAACTTAAGAAACAGATAAAATATATAAAAAACAGTTTCAGACATCCAACAACACGCAGCCCAGGACAGTGATCCTTGAGACAAGGGAAACAATTGATGTGAGCCCTGTGAATGCCCCAACTTACCACTCATTCATTTGAGTATTGTCAATGGCTGCTTTTGCCCAATAGGGCAGAGATGAATAGTGGAATAGTCAGGACAGATGGCCCACAAGCCTAAAATACTATCTAGCTCTCTTAAGAAAATGTCTACAGACCCCTGCTCTAGACTAATGGCTATTCTAGGAATACCTAACAAAGAGTAAGAGAAAGTATTGAAAGAATAAAATTATTGCCAAGTAGTTTAACTGTGTCCCAGGACAAAACCAAAAATATTTAAAGGAATACAAAATAGTCCTGAGCAACACAAAATTCAAAATGTGTGGCATCCAAACAAAAATTTTAAGTCATGCAAAGAAGCAGGAATAGATACAACCCATAATAAGGAGAAAAATCAATCAACAGAATCAAATTAGATAACCACATTAAAATTCCTATGATAAACATATTCCATTTATTCAAGGAGAGGAAAGTGAACATGTCTCCAGGCACATGGAAGATCTCTGTCTCTGCACACACACATGCACATGTACACGCAAATTGTAAGTGAAAAATGCAGTGTCTGAGAGAAAAAAATACACTGGATGGGTTAACAACATTAGATACTGCAGAAAAAAAACATGAAGAAACATGAAGAGGCACCAATAGAAACTACTGGAACAAGAGGGGAGGGAAAGACTTCAAAAGTGATCAGAGCATCAGTGAGTTGTGAAACGACATCAAGTGAGCTAAAATCCATGCAGAGGAAGGAAAGAAAATATTTTAATACGGTTTGTAAAAGGCATTGTAAAGAAAATAAGAAGACAAGCCATAGGTAGAAGATATTTCCAAAAGCCTTATCTGATAAAGGACTATTATCTAAAACACACAACGAACATAACAGTAAGGCCGGGCAAAGTGGCTCACACCTGTAAATCCAACATTTTGGGAGACCAAGGCAGGCCAATCACTTAAGTGCAGGTGTTCGAGACCAGCCTGGGAAATACGGTGAGAACCTGTCTCCAAAAAAATACAAAAATTAGCCAGGCATGGTGGCGTGCGCCTGTGGTCCCAACTACTTGGGACACTGAGGCAGGAGGATCACGTGACCCTGGGAGGCAGAGGCAACTGTGAGCCATGATCACGCCACTGCTTTCCAGCCTGGACAACAGGATGAGACCCTGTCTCAAGAATAAATAAAAAAAAACTCAACAATAAGAAAAAAACCTGATGAAAAAATAGGTTAAAGACCTCAACAGTTGGCTGGGTGTGGTGGCTCATGCCTATAATCCCAGTACTTTGTGAGGCTGAGATAGGCAGATGGTTTGAGTCCGAGAGTTTAAGACCACCCTGGGCAACACGGCAAAACCCCATCTCTACAAAAAATACAAAAATCAGCCAGATGTGGCGGTGCTTGCCTATAGTCTCAGCTACTTGGGAAGGCTGAGTTGGGAGGACTGCCCGAGCCTGGGAGGTCAAGGCTGCAGCGAGCCATGATAATACCTCTGCATTTCAGCCCTGGTGACAGAGTGAGACCCTGTCCCAAAAAAAAAAAAAAAAAAAAAAGGACCTGAAGAGTCAGATAATACAAAATAAAGGAGATAATACATGACAAATAAGCATATTTAAAGATATTCCACATCATATGTCATTAGAGAATTGCAAGTTTAAACAACAAGATACTAATGCACAGCTATTAGAATAGTCAAATTTCAGAACACTGACACCACCAAATGGTGGCAAAGATGCAAGCTACACAACTCTTGTTCATTGCTGGTGGAAATACTAAACAATACAGCCACTTTGGAAGATAGCTTTGCAGTATCTTACAAAACTAAACATACTTTTACCATACAATGCCAAAAGCATGCTCCTTGATATTTACCCAAATAAGTTGAAGACTCATTTTCAAATTTGGGTCAGAATCATTAAGCTTACATGAAACTTACTTGCTTCACGTTAAGCCCCCCTTTTTTTTTCTGAGACTGAGTCTCACTCTGTTGCCCAGGCTGGAGTGCAGTGGCGCGATCTCAGCTCACTGCAACTTCCACCTCCCAGGTTCAAGCGATTCTCCTGCCTCAGCCTCCTGAGTAGCTGGAACACACACCACCACACCCAGTTAATTTTTGTATTTTTGCTAGAGACAGGGTTTTGCCATGTTGGCTAGGCTGGTCTCGAACTCCTGACCTCGAGTGATCCACCAACCTCAGCCTCCCAAAGAGCTGGGATTACAGGTGTAAGCCACCATGCCCAGCCTATGTTAAGCCTTTTTAAAGATATCCGTCACTCAAATGGGATCTAATTGGCTTCTGCAAAGCAAAAGAAACTACCATCAGAGTCAACAGGCAACCTACAGAATGGGAGAAAATATTTGCAATCTACCCATCTGACAAAGGGCTAATATCCAGAATCTACAAAGAACTTAAACAAATTTTCAAGAAAAAATCAAACAACCCCATCAAAAAGTGGGCAAAGGATATGAACAGACCCTTCTCAAAAGAAGACATTTATGCAGCCAACAGACACGTGAAAAAATGCTCATCATCACTGGCCATCAGAGAAATGCAAATCAAAACCACAATGAGATACCATCTCACACCAGTTAGAATGGCGATCATTAAAAAGTCAGGAAACAACAGGTGCTGGAGAGGATGTGGAGAAATAGGAACACTTTTACACTGTTGGTGGAAGCATAAACTAGTTCAACCATTGTGGAAGACAGTGTGGCGATTCCTCAAGGATCTAGAACTAGAAATAGCATTTGACCCAGCCATCCCATTACTGGGTATATACCCAAAGGATTATAAATCATGCTGCTATAAAGACACATGCACACGTATGTTTATTGCGGCACTATTCACAAGAGCAAAGACTTGGAACCAACCCAAATGTCCATCAATGATAGACTGGATTAAGAAAACGTGGCACATATATACCATGGAATACTATGCAGCCATAAAAAAGGATGAGCTCATGTCCTTTGTAGGGACATGGATGAAGCTGGAAACCATCATTCTGAGCAAACTATCATCACAAGGACAGAAAACCAAACACTGCATGTTCTCACTCATAGTTGGGAACTGAACAATGAGAACACTTGGACACAGGGTGGGGGACCATCACACACTGGGGCCTGTCGTGGGATAGGGGGACAGGGGAGGGATAGCATTAGGAGATATACCTAATGTAAATGACGAGTTAATGGGTGCAGCACACCAACATGGCACATGTATACATATGTAACAAACCTGCACGTTGTGCACATATACCCTAGAATTTAAAGTATAATTAAAAAAAAAAGATACCCGTCACTAATCCTTTTGATGCACTTTTAATAGTTTATTCCAAGTTTTGTGAAAGGGAACCAACGTTTCTTTTAAAAGTTTGATTTGATTTAAGGTAAAGGAAATTTAAGTAGACTATTGCTGTCTTTGCAACATACTTTATCCTGACAACTTAAAATTAAAATGTAGTAATGTAGGAGAACGGCTTTTCTACGTATTGGTCTCCATACCGGCAATTTCCATTGCATTTCACCCTTAGTCTAGACAACCCAAATATAATAATGACACTGAAATAATTGAAGCTATTTTAGACCTTAAAAATGAAAAAAAAATAGAAACGAAGCTACTTTTTACATCATGTGATGTGGTAAAAGCGTTTCTCAGTTGTAATGTAAAAACCATATACTGGGAGACCATGAGATCTAAGTAAGGTGAGCTTTCAAATACAAATTTCAGTTTGGGGGCTGGGCGTGGTGGTTTACCGCTGTAACCCCAGCACTTTGGGAGGCCAAGGCAGGCAGATCACCTGAAGTCAGGAGTTCAAGAGCAGCCATGGCAAAACCCTGTCTCTACTAAAGATACAAAAATTAGGTAGGCGTGGTGGCACACACCTGTAATCCCAGCTACTTGGGAGGCTGAGGTTGTAGTGAGCCAAGATCGTGCCACTGCCCTCCAGCCTGCGTGACAGAGTGAGACCCTGTCTCAAAAAAAAAAAAAAAAAAAAAAAAAAAAAAACAAATTTCAGTTTTAGGTTCAAGATCGCTGACTACTGCAGATAGTATGCACCTCCTCCACAGAGAGGAACCAAAATAGCAAGTAAATATTCACACTTCAAATAGACCGTCTAAGAGAGAATACTGGGGCCAGGTGCAGTGGCTCATGCCTGTCACTTTGGGAGGCCGAAGCAGGCAGATCACGAGGTCAGGAGATCGAGACCATCCTGGCCAACACAGTGAAACCTTGTCTCTACTAAAAATACAAAAATTAGCTAGGAGTGGTGGCAGATGCCTGTAATCCCAGCTACTCGGGAGGCTGAGGCAAGAAAATCGTTTCAACCAGGGAGTCGGAGGTTGCAGTGAGCCGAGATCACGCCACTGCACTCCAGCCTGGTGACAAGGCAAGACTCTGTCTCAAAAAAAAAAAAAAAAAAAAAAAAAAAAAAAAAAAAAGAGGGAACACTGGGATGAGAGAGGCGATGGCAAGGACTAAAAGCAAGTAACAAGTAAGGAGAGAGAAGCTGGGATGGACTATGAACTGGGGAAAGCTCATGGACAGAGAAAAAGGGTGAGACAGATCCCCAAGGCTCCACGTGCCCACCACAGTGTTTCATGATCCTAATTACACGAGAACCCCTTGACCCATACAGGCCTCAAGACTAACATACGGAACTGACTACAGACTGCACAGAAGCATTGCTGCAGAGAGAGAACTTGAACTCCCACAGGCTTTCAAGCCCTGAACAGCTGCAGCTTGGCACCATTCTAAGAACCAAACTTGGACTGGGAATGGTGGCTCACACCTATAATCCCAGCACTTTGGGAGGCCGAGGTGGGCTTATCCTGAGGTCAGGAGTTCGAGACCAGCCTGGCCAACATGGTGAAACCCTGTCTCTACTAAAAATACAAAAATTAGCTGGGCATGGTGGCGGGCACCTGTAATCCCAGCTACTCAGGAGGCTGAATGGGGAGAATCACTTGAACCTGGGAGATGGAGGTTGCAGTGAGCGGAGATCACACCACTGCACTCCAGCCTGGGCGAAAGGGTGAAACTCCATCTCCAAAAAATAAAAAAAAAATTAAAAAAAATTAAAAACCCAAAGGACTATGTTCTTCCCTGAGGCCACTGGGCCAAGGAGAGAGACAGGAGGCAGGGCACCTTCACACACGCCAAGGACAAATCCCACTGCCACTGCTGCAGGCTGCTGTGGACCAACAGCACAAGCAAACTGCATTCCCCACAACCACCTGCCTAGCTGCTCCTACTGAGGGGGGCCCTCCCCCTTCCCCACGGCAGGCCCACAGCCAGCCTCCAAAGGTCTTTGAACTCCCCTGGGGCTGGAGGTGGGGCTAGGGTTAGGTCTAATGCTGCCTCCAGCACCAGGCCAAGGAGAGAAATGAGGCCAGGCACTTCCATGTGCTTCAAAGACAAAGCCCACCTCCGCTACTGCAGGCTGTTGTATGACCAGAGCACAAGAAAACCACACATCCCACAGCTACCTCCCTACACTGCTCCCACTAAGAGTGGCCTCACTCTCCTCAGTGGCAGGACTGCAGCAAAGACACCACTGCCAACACCTGAGCATTCCACCAGTGGGCTAGGGACCATCCTGCCCCTGCCTATCACAGACATCACCTGAATGCACTACCAAGGGGCCCAAGGACAAGTCTACTCATCCAGCCAGTCTAGTCCCCACAGTAACTGAGCATGTCATCCACGGACTTGGAAATCACCCAGATCAGTACATCACCACTGGCACCTGACCACTCCTCCTGGGGTCTCCAGTTGGGCCAACACAACCTGCCAATACCACCAGAGCTGGCACCCACCACTATGTACCACCATCAAGTCAAAGGACAGACCTGCCTAACTTGTCACAGCCAACACCAGCATAAATCACTTGGGTTCCAGTGCATTGCTCCACCCCTGCTATTGCCACTCATACCAGCTGTCCAGGGGCCTGAGAAGCTGCCCACATGCCTGGCCCACCACTGCTAAACAAGCTATCTGGAGGCCCAAGAATCAGACCACCTAGGCCCGCTGACACTGGTGCCAGTGCAAGCCATCCTGGAGCAGAAAGACAAGCACAATCAGCCTATTACTGCCACCACTGGAACACAAAGAATGACCCACTTGGTGTCCTACTGCCCAGCAAAATTTCACCACAGCCTCCACTAATAACTGCACTCAAAGCTACCATATTAGTCAGGGTTCTCTAGAGGAACAGAATAGGAGATAGATAGATATATAAAAAAGGGGAGTTTACTAAGTGTTAACTCACAGGATCACAAGGTCCCACAATAGGCTGTCTGCAAGGTGAGAAGAAAGGAGAGCCAGTCTGAGTCCCAAAACTGAAGAACCTGGAGTCCGATGTTCGACAGCAGGAAGCATCCAGCATGGGAAAATGATGTAGGCTGGGAGGTTAGGCCAGTCTAGCCTTTTCACGTATTTCTGCCTGCTTTATATTCTAGCTATGCTAGCAGCTAATTAGATGGTGTCCATCCAGATTAAGGGTGGGTCTGCCTTTCCAAGCCCACTGACTCAAATGTTAATCTCCTTTGGCAACACCCTCCCAGACACATCCTTGATCAATACTTCACATCCTTCAATCCAATCAAGTTGACACTCAGTATTAACCATCACAGCTACCAAGGAAATCACAGATACCACTCATATTGTTTACAACCAAAGAAATCATACAGTGCTCACACTAATATATGCACCTAAAATCAAAGTCAAAGCACCCTACCCACAGATGATGGGCACGGTGTCTGACACCTCTCATCTCAGCACTTTGGAAGGCTGAGACAGGATTGCTTGAGGCCAGTAATTTGAGACCAGGCTGGGCAACATAGTGAGATCCTGTTCCTACAAAATATTTAAAACTAGCCAGGTACTGTGGCACATGCCTGTCATTCCAGCTACTCAGAAGGCTGAGGTAGGAGGATCCCTTGAGCCCAAAAGGTCAAAGCTGCAGTGAGCCATGATCACGCCACTGAACTCCAGCCTGGGCAACAGAGTGAGACCCCGTCTCTAAAGAATGTAAATAAATAAATAAATAAATTGGAAGAAGCAACTCGACCATTTAACCAGATGCACAGATATCAATGTAAAGACACTGGACACATGAAAAAGCAAGGAAATAAGAAAGCTCCAAAGGAAAACAATAATTTTCCAGCAACAGAGTCCAATAAAAAAAGATTCATGGCTGGGCACAGTGGCTCACATCTGTAATCCCAGCACTTTGGGAGGCTGAAGAGGGTGGATCACTTGAGGTGAGGAGTTTGACACCAGCCTGGCCAGCATGGTGAAACCCCATTTCTAATAAAAATACAAAAAAATTAGCCGGGAGTGGTGGTGTATGCCTGTAGTCCCAGCTTCCTGAGAGGCTGAGGCAGGAGAATGGCTTGAACACGGGAGGCAGAGGTTGCAGTGAGCCGAGATCACGCCACTGCACTCCAGCCTGGGTGACAGAGCAAGACTCCAACTCAAAAAAAAAAAAAAAAAAAAAAGGACTTCTGAGTTCCAAGATGGCCAAATAGGAACAGGTCCAGTCTGCAGTTCCCAGCATGATCGACGCAGAAGATTGGTGATTTCTGCATTTCCAACTGAGGTACCTGGTTCATCTGGTTGGGACTGGTCAGACAGTGGGTGCAGCCCACGGAGGGCGAGCCGAAGCAGGGTGGGGCATTGCCTCACCCCGGAAGCGCAAAGGGTCGGGGGATTTTTCCTAGCCAAGTGAAGCTGTGACAGACTGCACTGGGAAAATCAGGACACTGCCACCTAAACACTGCGCTTTTCCAACAGTCTTAGCAAACGGCACACCAGGAGGTTATATCCCGTGCCTGGCTCTGCGGGTCCAATGCCCATGGAGCCTTGCTCACTGCTAGAGCAGCAGTCCGAGATCAAACTGCAAGGCAGTAAGCCTGGCTGGGGGAGGGGCATCCGCCATTGCTGAGGCTAGAGTAGGTAAACAAAGCAGCCAGGAAGCTCAAACTGGGTGGAGCCCACCGCAGCTCAACAGGGCCCGCCTGCCTCTGTAGACTCCACCTGTGGGGACAGAGCATAGCTGAACAAAAGGCAGCAGAAACTTCTGCAGACTTAAACGTCCCTGCCCGACAGCTCTCAAGAGAGCAGTGGTTCTCACAGCATGGTGTTTGAGCTCTGAGAAAAGACAGACTGCCTCCTCAAGTGGGTCCCTGACCCCTGTGTAGCCTAACTTGGAGACACCTCCCAGTAGGGGCCGAATGACACCTCATACAGCCGGGTGCCCCTCTGAGACAAAGCTTCCAGAGAAAGGATCAGGCAGCAATATTTGCTGTTCTGCAGCTGCTGCTGGTGGTACCCAGGCAAAGAGGGTCTGGAGTGGACCTCCAGCAAACTCCAACAGACCTGCAGCTGAGGGACCTGACTGTTAGAAGGAAAACTAGCCAACAGAAAGAAATAGCATCAACATCAACAAAAAGGACATCCACATCAAAACCCCATCTGTAGGTCACCATCATCAAAGACCATCAAAGGTAAATAAAACCACAAAGATGGGGAGAAACCAGAGCAGAAAAGCTGAAAATTCTAAAAACCAGAGCGCTTCTTCTCCACCAAAGGATCACAGCTCCTTGCCAGCAACGTAACAAAGCAGGACAGAGAATGACTTTGATGAGCTGACATAAGTAGGCTTCAGAAAGTCGGTAATAATAAACTTCTCCAAGCTAAAGGAGGATGTTCGAACCCATCGCAAGGAAGCTAAAAACCTTGAAAAAAGATTAGACAAATGGCTAACTAGAATAAACAGTGTAAAGAAGACCTTAAATGACCTGATGGAGCTGAAAACCATGGCACGAGAACTACGTGACACATGCACATGCTTCAGTAGCCGATTCGATCTAATGGAAGAAAGGATATCAGTGATTGAAGATCAAATTAATGAAATGAAGTGAGAAGTTTAGAGAAAAAAGAGTAAAATGAAACAAACAAAGCCTCCAAGAAATATAGGACTATGTGAAAAGACCAAATCTACGTTTGATTGGTGTATCTGAAAGCGACAGGAGAATGGAACCAAGCTGGAAAACACTCTTCAGGATATTATCCAGGAGAACTCCCCCAACATAGCAAGGCAGGCCAACATTCAAATTCAGGAAATACAGAGAACACCACAAAGATACTCCTCAAGAAGAGCAACCCCAAGACACATAATTGTCAGATTCACCAAGGATGAAATGAAGGAAAAAATGTTTAGGGCAGCCAGAGAGAAAGGTCAAGTTACCCACAAAGGGAAGCCCATCAGACTAACAGCTGATCTCTCAGCAGAAACTCTACAAGCCAGAAGAGAGTGGGGGCCAATATTCAACATTTTTAAAGAAAAGAATTTTCAACCCAGAATTTCATATCCAGCCAAACTAAGCTTCATAAGTGAAGGAGAAATAAAATCCTTTACAGACAAGCAAATGCTGAGAGATTTTGTCACCACCAGGCCTGCCTTACAAGAGCTCCTGAAGGAATCACTAAACATAGAAAGGAACAACCGGTACCAGCCACTGCAAAAAGATGCCAAATTGTAAAGACTGCCAATGCTAGGAAGAAATGGCATCAACTAATGGGCAAAATAACTAGCTAACATCATAATGACAGGATCATATTCACACATAACAATATTAACCTTAAATGTAAATGGGCTAAATGCCCCCATGAAAAGACACAGACTGGCAAAGTGGATAGAGAGTCAAGACCTATCAGTGTGCTATATTCAGGAGACCCAGCTCACATGCAGAGACGCATATAGGCTCAAAATAACGGGATGGAGGAAGTTCTACCAAGCAAATGGAAAGCAAAAAAAAGCAGGGGTTGCAATCCTAGGCTCTGATAAAACAGACTTTAAACCAACAAATCAAAAGAGACAAGGCCATTACTTAATGGTAAAGGGAACAATTCAACAAGAAGAGCTAACTATTCTAAATATATATGCACCCAATACAGGAGTGCTCAGATTCATAAAGCAAGTCCTTAGAGACCTACAAAGAGACTTAGACTCCCACACAATAATAATGGGAGACTTTAACACCCCGCTGTCAATATTAGACAGATCAATGAGACAGAAGGTTAATAAGGATATGCAGGACTTGAACTCAGCTCTGCACCAAGCAGACCTAATAGACATCTACAGAAATCTCCACCCCAAATCAACAGAATGTACATTGTTCTCAGCACCACATCGCACTTATTCCAAAACTGACCACATAATTGGAAGTAAAGCACTCCTCAGCAAATATAGAAGAACAGAAATCACAACAAACTGTCTCTCAGACCACAGTACAATCCAATTAGAACTCAGGATTAAAAAACTCACTCAAAACTGCACAACTACATGGAAACTGAACAACCTGCTCCTGAATGACTACTGGGTAAATAACTAAATGAAGGCAGAAATAAAGATGTTCTTTGAAACTAGTGAGAACAAAGACACAACATACAAGAATCTCTGGGACACATTTAAAGCAGTGTGTAGAGGAAAATTTATAGCACTAAATGCCCACAAGAGAAAGGAGGAAAGATCTAAAACTGACACCCTAACATCACAATTAAAAGAACTAGAGAAGCAAGAGCAAACACATTCAAAAGCTAGCAGAAGGCAAGAAATAACTAAGATCAGAGCAGAATTGAAGGAGATAGAGACACAAAAAAGTTCAAAAAAAAAAATCAATGAATCCAGGATCTGGTTTTTTGAAAAGATAACAAAATTGATAGACTAGCAAGACTAATAAAGAAGAAAAGAGAGAAGAATCAAATAGACGCAATAAAAAATGATAAAGGGGATCTCACCAGCGATCCCACAGAAATACAAACTACCATCAGAGAATACTATAAACACCTCTATGCAAATAAACTAGAAAATCTAGAAAAAATGGATAAATTCCTGGACACATACACCCTCCCAACACTAAACCAAGAAGAAGTTGAATCTCTGAATAGACCGATAACAGGCTCTGAAATTGAGGCAATAATTAATAGCCTACCAACCAAAAAAAGTCCAGGACCAGATGGCTTCACAGCCAAATTCTACCAGAGGTACAGAGAGGAGCTGGTACCATTCCTTCTGAAGCTATTCCAATCCATAGAAAAAGAGGGAACCCTCCCTAACTCATTTTATGAGGCCAGCATCATCCTGATACCAAAGCCTGGCAGAGACACAACAAAAAAAGAGAATTTTAGACCAATATCCCTGATGAACATCGATGCGAAAATCCTCAATAAAATACTGGCAAACTGAATCCAGCAGCACATCAAAAAGCTTATCCACCAAGATCAAGTTGGCTTCATCCCTGGGATGCAAGGCTGGTTCAACATACACAAATCAGTAAACATAATCCATCACATAAACAGAACCAAAGACAAAAACCACATGATTATCTCAATAGATGCAGAAAAGGCCTTCGACAAAATTCGACAGCACTTCATGCTAAAAACTCTCAATAAACTAGGTAATGATGGAACGTATCTCAAAATAATAAGAGCCATTTAAGACAAACCCACAGCCAGTATCATACTGAATGGGCAAAAACTGGAAGCATTCCCTTTGAAAACTGGCACAAGACAGGGATGCCCTCTCTCACCACTCCTATTCAACATAGTGTTGGAAGTTCTGGCCAGGGCAATCAGGCAAGAGAAAGAAATAAAGGGTATTCAATTAGGAAAAGAGGAAGTCAAATTGTCCCTGCTTGCAGATGACATGATTGCATATTTAGAAAACCCCATCGTCTCAGCCCAAAATCTCCTTAAGCTGATAAGCAACTTCAGCAAAGTCTCAGGATACAAAATCAATGTGCAAAAATCACAAGCATTCTTATACACCAGTAACACATAAACAGCCAAATCATGAGTGAACTCCCATTCACAACTGCTACAAAGAGAATAAAATACCTAGGAATCCAACTAACAAGGGACGTGAAGGACCTCTTCAAGAAGAACTACAAACCACTGCTCAACGGAATAAAAGAGGATACAAACAAATGGAAGAACATTCCATGCTCATGGATAGGAAGAATCAATATCGTGAAAATGGCCATACCGACCAAGGTAATTTACAGATTCAATGCCATCCCCATCAAGCTACCAATGACTTTCTTTACAGAATTGGAAAAAACTACTTTAAAGTTCATATGGAATCAAAAAAGAGCCCGCATTGCCAAGACAATCCTAAGCAAAAAGAACAAAGCTGGAGGCATCACGCTACCTGACTTCAAACTATACTACATGGCTACAGTAATCAAAACAGCATAGTACTGGTACCAAAACAGAGATATAGACCAAAGGAACAGAACAGAGGCCTCAGAATAACAACACACATCTACAACCATCTGATCTTTGACAAACCTGACAAAAACAAGAAATGGGGAAAGGATTCCCTATTTAATAAATGGTGTTGGGAAAACTGGCTAGCCATATGTAGAAAGCTGAAACTGGATCCCTTCCTTACACTTTACACAAAAATTAATTCAAGATGGATTACAGACTTAAATGTTAGACCTAAAACCATAAAAACCCTAGAAGAAAACCTAGGCATTACCATTCAGGACACAGACGTGGGAAAAGACTTCATGACTAAAACACCAAAAGCAATGGCAATAAAAGCCAAAATTGACTAATGGGACCTAATTAAACTAAAGAGCTTATGCACAGCAAAAGAAACTACCATCAGAGTGAACAGGCAACCTACAGAATGGGAGAAAACTTTTGCAATCTGACAAAGGGCTAATATCTAGAACCTACAAAGAACTTAAACAAGTTTACAAGAAAAAAATCAAACAACCCCATCCAAAAGCGGGCAAAGGATATGAACAGACCCTTCTCAAAAGAAGACATTTATGCAGCCAACAGACACGTGAAAAAATGCTCATCATCACTGGCCATCAGAGAAATGCAAATCAAAACCACAATGAGATACCATCTCACACGAATTAGAATGGCAATCATTAAAAAGTCAGGAAACAACAGGTGCTGGAGAGGATGTGGAGAAATAGGAACACTTTTACACTGTTGGTGGAAGCATAAACTAGTTCAACCATTGTGGAAGACAGTGTGGCAATTCCTCAAGGATCTAGAACTAGAAATACCATTTAGCCCAGCAATCCCATTACTGGGTATATACCCAAAGGATTATAAATCATGCTGCTATAAAGACACATGCACACGTATGTTTATTGCGGCACTACTCACAAAAGCAAATACATGGAACCAACCCAAATGTCCATCAATGATAGACTGGATTAAGAAAATGTGGCACATATACACCATGGAATAGTATGCAGCCATAAAAATGATGAGTTCATGTCCTTTGCAGGGACATGGATGAAGCTGGAAACCATCATTCTGAGCAAACTATTGCAAGGACAGAAAACCAAACACTGCATATTCTCACTCATAGGTGGAACAATGAGAACACTTGGACACAGGGCAGGGAACAGCATACACCGGGGCCTGTCGTGGAGTGGGGGCATGGGGGCGGGAGAGCATTAGGAGAAATATCTAATGTCAATGACGAGTTAATGGGTGCAGCAAACCAACACGGCACATGTATACATATGCAACAAACCTGCACTTTGTGCACATGTACCCTAGAACTTAAAGTATAATAATAAAAAAATTCATAAAATCCCAGAGAAATAATTCAAAATACTGATTTTAAAGAAGCTCAATGAGATACAAGAGAGTTCTGAAAAACAATACAGAAAAATCAGAAAAACAATTCAGGATATAACTGAGACATTTACAAAAGAGATAAGTATTTTTAAAAAGAACAAAACAGAAATTCTAGAACAGAAGAATTATATGAATAAAATGCAAAATATATTCAAAAGCAACAATAGATAAGATCAAGCAGAAGGAAGAATCTCAGAACTTGAAGACAGTTCTTTTGAAATAATCCAGTCAGGCAAAAATAAAGAAAAAAGGATGAAAAAGAATGAGCAAAGCCTTTGTGGCATTTGGGACAACAAAAAGTGACCAAATATTTGAAATGCTGGTATCCATAAGGATGAAGATAGAATGAAAGGGTTAGAAAACCTATTTAACAAAATGTTAGATGAAAACTTCCCAAGTCTAGCAAGAGAAAGACCTAGACTTTCACAAATAAGAGGTCCAAAAATCCCCAAATA
Source organism: Homo sapiens (assembly GCF_000001405.40). NCBI lineage: Eukaryota > Metazoa > Chordata > Mammalia > Primates > Hominidae > Homo > Homo sapiens. The sequence goes on along the minus strand of NC_000017.11, from coordinate 60,760,704 downwards.
TAATGCAAAAAGGTCTTCCTCCACGGCACTTTATAGTCAAACTATAGCCAAGCAAAAGAGAAAATATTAAGGTGTAGCAAGTGAAAGCATTTAGTCACCTATAAAGGAGCTCCCATCAAGCCAACAGCGGATTTCTCAGCAGAAAGCTACAGGCCTGGAGAGAATTGAATGACATATTGCAAGTGCTAAAATTTAAAAAAAAAAAAACAAAAAAACCTGTCACCCAAGGATACTATATCCAGCAAAATTATCCTTCATGAATGAAGGAGAAATAAAGTCTTTCCAAGATAACAAAAGCTGGGGGAATTCATCACCACTAGACTAGGCCTACAAGAGATGCTCAAAGGAGTCCTAAACATGAAAGTAAAAGAATAACACATACCCTATCATGAAAATGCACAAAAATATAAAACTCACTGGTAAACCAAACACACAAATAAGGGAGAGAAAGGAACAAAGAATATGCAAAACAAACAGAAAACAAATTATATGACAGTAACAAAATCTCACACATCATTAATAACCTTAAATGTAAATTGATTAAATTATCTGCTTAAAAGAGAGGGACTGGCTGAATGTATAAAAGAAACATGATACAAGTATGATGGCTACAAGAAATGCACTTTGCCTACAGACATACATAGGCTCAAAGTAAAGGGATGGAAAAAAGATACTCCATCCAAATAGAAACTAAATGTGAGCAACACTAGCTATACTGATATCAGATAAAACAGATTTTGGCTTGGCATGGTGGCCACACCTGTAATCCCAGTGTTTTGGGAGGCTAAGGTGGGAGAACCACTTTAAGTCAGGAGTTCAAGACCAGCTTGGGCAACACAGAGAAACCCTCATCTCTACAGTATTTTTTAAAAGTTAGCCAGGCATGGTGGTGCACACCTGTACTCCCAGCTACTCAGGAGGCTGTGGTGGAAGGACTGCTTCAGCTTAGGAGTTCAAGGTGGCAGTGAGCTACAATCACACCTCTGCACTTCAGCCCAGGTGACACAGTGAGACCTTATCTGTAAAAATAAACAAAATGAAACAAAACAAAAACAGTAAAAAAAAAAAAAAAAAGAAGTCACTATGTAATGATAAAGGAGTCAATCCAGCAAGAGAATGTAACAATTCTAAATACATATGCATCCAACACTGGATCATCCAGATTCATAAAGCGAATATTAGTAGATCTAAAGGGAGAGATAAACTGAAATACAGTAACAGTAGGGGGCTTCAACTCCCCACTCTCAGCATTAAACAGATCACTCAGACAGAAAATCAACAATGAAACATTGGATTTAAACTGGACTTCAGACCCAACAGACCTAACAGGCACGTATAGAACATTCTATCCAACAACTACAGAATATACACTCTGCGAATTTTCTTTACAGAGATGGGGACTTGCTATGTTGCCAGGCTGGTTATACATTCTTATCAACACATAGAACATTCTCCATGACAGACTATATAAGGCCATTAAATAAGTTTCAACGAATTTTTAGAAACTGAAATCTTCCAGCCTGGCCAACATGGCAAAACCCCATCTCTACTAAAAATACAAAAATTAGCTGGGTGTGGTGGCATGTGCCTGTAGTCCCAGCTACTCAGGAGGCTAAGGCAGGAGAATCGATAGAACCCGGGAGGCAGAGGTTGCAGTGAGTCGAGATCGTGCCACTGCACTCCAGGCAAAAGAGGGAGACTGTGTCCAAAAAAAAAAAAAAAATCTTCTCAGACTACAGTGGAATAAAACTAAGTATCAACATCAAAATGAATTTTGTAAACTATACAAATACATGGAAATTACATAGGATACTCCTGAACAACCACTGGGTCAATGAAGAAATTATGAGAGAAATCAAAATATTTCTTGAAACAAATTAAAATGGAAACACATCATACCAAAACCATATGGGATACAGCTAAAGCAGTGCTAAAAGAGAAGTTTATAGCAATAAACACATCAAAAAAGTAGAAAACTTTCAAATAAGCAACCTAATGACACACCTCAAGAAACTAGAAAAGCGGCCGGGTGCGGTGGCTCATGCCTGTAACCCCAGCACTTTGGGAAGCCAAGGCAGGTGAATTACCTGAGGTCAGGAGTTTGAGACCAGCCTGGCCAACATGACAAAACTCCGTCTCTACCAAAAAATACAAAAATTAGCCAGGAGTGGTGGTGGGAGCCTGTAATCCCAGCTACTCGGGAGGCTGAGGCAGAAGAACTGTTTGAACCGGAAGGCGGAGGCTGCAGTGAGCCAAGAATAAACCAAACTCAAAATTAGCAGAATAAAAGAAAAAATAAAGAACAGGGCAAACTAAATAAAATAGAGACTCAAAAAACAATACAAAGTATCAATGAAACAAAAAGTTGGTTCTTCAAAAAGATAAACAAAATCAATAAACCTCAAAATACCAATGTCATTTTTTACATAATTAGAAAAAACAATTCTCAAATGTGTATAGAATCAAAAAAGAGCCCAAATAGAGCAATTTTGAGTCAAAAGAAAAGGTGAAGCCATCAAACTATCTGACTTTAAAATATATTACAAGGCTATAGTAACCAGAATAGCATGATATTGGTATAAAAACAGACACATAGACCAATGGAACAGAATAGGAGTCTAGAAATAAATCCATGTATTTATAACCAACTGATTTTTGATAAAGACTCCAAGAATATACACAAGGGAAAAGACCTTCAATAAATGGTGCTGGGGAAATTCAATATCCATATGCATAAAATGAAACTGAACCCCTATCTCTCCCCATATACAAAAATCAACTCGAGATGGATTAAAGACATAAATTTAAGACCTAAAACAGTAAGACTACTAAATATATATATATGGAAAACACTTCAAGACATAGGTCTAGGCAAAACCTTCATGACTAAGACCTCAAAAGCACAGACAACTATAACAAAAATATACATGTAGGACTATATTAAACTAAAAGGCTTCCATACAGCAAAGGAAACAATTAACAGAGTGAACAGACAACTTGCTTAATGAAAGAAAATATTTGCAAACTATTCATCCAATAAGGGACTAATATCCAGAGTATACAAAGAACTCAAAAAATTCAACAATTTTTTAAAATCCCATTAAAATGTGGGGTAACAACATAGACATTTATCAAAAGAAGACATATTAATGGCCAATACGTATACAGGAAAAATGCTCAAAATTACTAAGCATCATGGAAATACAAGAAAAAAACCACAATGAGATATCATCTTACCCCAGTTAGAATGGCTATCATTAAAAGAAAACACACACACACACACACACACACACACACACACACACACACATATACATGCTGGCAAGGATGCAGAGAAACTCATTTATTTATTTATTTATTTATTTATTTATTTATTATTATTATTTTTTTGAGACAGAGTCTTGCTCTGTCGCCCAGGCTGGAATGCAGTGGTGCGATCTCAGCTCACTGCAACCTCTGCCTCCTAGGTTCAAGCAATTCCCTGCCTCAGCCCCCCAAGTGGCTAATTTTTGTATTTAGAAGGGAACTCCTTTTTTTTTTCTTGAGACAGAGTCTCACTCTGTCACTAGGCTGGAGTGCAGTGGTGCGATCTCGGCTCATTGCAACCACCACCTCCTGGGTTCAAGGGATTCAGCTGCCTCAGCCTCCCGAGTAGCTGCGACTACAGGCACGCGCCAACACGCCCAGCTAATTTTTGTATTTTTAGTAGAAACGGGGTTACACCATGTTGGCCAGGATGGTCTTGATCTCTTGACCTCGTGATCCGCTGGGATTACAGACATGAGCCACCGCGCCTGGCCAAGAAGGGAACTCTTACATGCTGTTGGTGGGAATGTAAACTGATATAACCACTGTGGAAAACAATATGGAGGTTCATCAAAAAATTAAAAATAGAACTACCATATGATCCAGCAATCCCATTACTTGGTATTTATCCAAAGGAGAAGAAATCTGTATAACCTGCACTCACATGTTTATCACAGCACTATTTACAGCAGCAAAGATATGGAATCAACCTAAGTGCCCATTGATGGATGAATAAATAAAGAAAATGTGGTATATATACAGAATGAAATATTATGTGGCCATAAAAAAATAATAAAATCATGTCACTGCAGCACAGGGATGGAACTGGAGCTAATTATGTTAGGTCAAATAAGCCAGGCACAGAAATTCAGATGTCACATGTTCTCACTCATATGTGGAAGCTAAAGAAACTGATCTCATGGAGACAGAGAATAGGATGATACATACCAGAGCCTGGGAAGAATGTGTGGATGGAAGGGGGGTGGATAAAGAGAGGTTGGTTAATGGGTACAAACACACAGTTAGAACAGGGGTCCCCAACTCCTGGGCCGCAGACTGGTACCAGTTCATGGCCTGTGGGTGAGCATTAGGAGAGCAAGCATTACTGTCTGTGCTCCACCTCCTGTTAGGTAAGTGGTGGCATTAGATTCTCACAGGAGCACCAACCCCATTATGAACTCTGCATGTAGGGGATCTAAGTTGTGCACTCCTTATGAGAATCTAACTAATGCCTGATGATCTGAGGTGGAACAGTTTCATCCTGAAATAATCCCCCACCACGCCCCCCATCCATGGAAAAACTGGCTTCCACAAAACAGGTCCCTGATGTCAAAAAGGTTGGGGCCACTAAGTTAGAACAAGTAAGCCTCAATATTCAATAGCAGAGTAGGATGACTATAGTTAGCAACAATGTATTATATATTTCAAAGTAGCTACAAGAGAGAACTTGAAATGTTACCAGCACATAGAAATGATAAATACTTCAGGTGATGGATACCTAAAATACCCTAACCTGATCATTACACATTCTATGCACGTAAGAAATATTCACAAGTACCGCATAACATGTAAAATATTTGTATCAATTTTTAAAATTAAAAATTGAAAAAACAGGAGAAAAATGAAAACAAATGTTAAGGTTGCTTAAATAAGTAATCATAAATCCACATGATGAAAATTTATGCAGCTATTGAAAAGCATATTGAAAAGAAGAATATCTAATATCAGGAAAATGCTCAACTAATAATGTTAAATTAATAAAAAGCTACAAAATACATTACATAGTAATCCCAATTTTTAAAACACATCATGTACATGGAGTGTGTGTATAAAGAGGCTTAAATGATATAAAACAAGAGATTAACAGAGAGTATCTTCAGGGAACAGGGTTTTGAAGTACTTCTTTTTTATATTATGTGCTATATAACCAAATAATAATTGATATTACAAGTTTCAGTTTCACCATTTACCAACCGTCAATTTCTTTGAGCATTAAGTCTCCTCACCTGTGAATTAGGATAATGGTACTCACCCTGAAGAATAGTGGAAAAGTGGTAATAATGTATACAAACAACCTAAAATGTTATCTGAAGAGTATCAAGCATTATATAGTTCACTTAATTCACCTCTCTTTTGTGTTCAGTACATTTCTCTCTATACCTCTTATAGAAAAACGCCCTAATAACAGGGTTCAGCTAGGTATAAACTGAGAATCCTCTGAAATCAATTTCCTATACCTAAAACCATGAAATCATCAAACTGAAAAAGCAGCACCTCTAAACCAGACATTCTCCCCTAGAAACACTGTTCTCTGACCCAAATCATTAAAGAAATTTAAGATGAATACAACATATGTTCTCAAGTTACAATTTACCTGAATCACATCACAGGCTTAGCAAAATATTGCAAAAACCTAAATGATCACAAGTAGTAAGACCTCAATAATAAAGACTAGGTGTTATTTTTAAAAATACACAAGGCAAACTGAGCAGTAATTAGAGCGGAAAACATTAGAGAAGCCCTAAATCTCATAGTTTAGCCATTTAAAATGTCAATAAGCCTGTTTCCTCATCTTTGCAATAGACTGGTGAGGAATATCAACAAATGTCAGTTGGCCTACTTTTAGAGGCTTGCTAGTGTTTCGGCTGAACAGACTCTGTGTGTGTGTGTGTGTGTGTGTGTGTGTGTGTGTGTGTGTGTGTGTGTGTGTGTGTGTGTATTTTAAATTTTACATCTGCATTTCTAAGAAATTATTCAAGGCCAAAATGATTGTCTTTCTCCAGGAGCAGGAAGGAAACAGAATATACACCAGACTAACATAATTCTTATGAGTTATAAGCTCTATTAATGTAAAAAACATCAGGCCAGGCACGGAGGATTACACCTGTAGTCCTTGTACTTTGGGAAGCCGAGGCAGGAGGATCACCTGAGGCCAGTGGTTCAAGACCAGCCTGTGCATCACAGTGGGACCCCATCTCCGACCACGCCATTGCACTCCAGCCTGGGTGACAGAGCAAGACTCCGTAATTAGCCAGGTATGGTGGCACACGCCTGTGGTCTCAGCTACTTGGAGGTTGAGGAAGGGGGATCACTTGGGCCCAGGAGGTCAAGACTGCAATGAGCCATGATTGCGTCACTGTTCTCTAGCTTGGGTGACAGAGCAAAATTCTATCCCAGAGAAAGAAAAAAGAAAAAAAGAAGTCAGGTATGGCGGCTCACACTGTAATCCCAGCACTTTGGGAGGCCAAGGCAGGAGGATCACTTGAGCCCAGGAGGTCAAGGCTGCAGTGAGCCATGATTGTGCCACTGCACTCCAGCATGGGCAAGAGAGAGAGAGACCCTGTCTCAAAATAAAATAAATAAAATAAAACACATCATTTGATCACTGATAATTTATAAACAACACTTTATACAAAGTAGCATTCTAGATTATTGTCTACAAAATATTGAATAAATTCATTATGTGGTACCCCTCATATGGTACATATTATTATTATGCAAGTCACTGCATAGAATGCAAATATTAGAAAAACACAGTTCCCATCATTCCAAAAAGCTAAGATTATAGTAACAGAAATTCCATAATAAAACAGAAATTTTGTCCAAAATCTATGAAAATCAGAGACTGGCAAGGAAGAACTACTTCCTGACCATCAACAATATGGAAAATGTAATAAAATAAGAAGACGCGGCAGAGCGTGGTGGCTCATGCCTCTAATCCCAGCACTTTGGGAGGCCGAGGCAGGCAGATCACGAGGTCAGGTGATCGAGACCATCCTGGCTAACATGGTGAAGCCCCGTCCCTACTAAAAATACAAAAAATTAGATGGGCGTGGTGGCAGGCGCCTGTAGTCCCAGCTACTCGGGAGGTTGAGGCAGGAGAATGGCGGGAACCCGGGAGGCAGAGCTTGCAGTGAGTGGAGGTCGAGCCACTGCACTCCAGCCTGGGTGACAGAGCAAGACTCCGTCTCTAAATAAATAAATAAATAAATAAATAAATAAATAAATAAATAAAATAAGAGACAAATAACAACAAAATAAAATTTTAATTAAACTTTCAAGAAAAGTCATGATTTAAAGTTAGGCATAATAAAATACAGAAGGATTTTCTTAGTATGAAACTAAAGATTAATAATAACCTAGTAAAGGGCTCAAATCAATGAGAAAGAATATAAACAAGTGTGATATTAATGAATATAAATAGCAAAAATATGAGGATTTTCTATCTTCCCTAGTAATCAAGGATCAAAAAATTACATATGGGTACAATGGGTCACATCTGTAATCCCAGCACTGGGAGGCTGAGATGGGAGAATTGTTTGAGGCCAGGGGTTCAAGACTAGCCTGGGCAACATGGCAAGACCTCACTCTACAAAAAATTTAAAAATTAGCCAGGCATGCTGACGTGTGCCTGTAGTCCTAGGTATTCAGGAGGCTGTGGTGGGAAGATTGCTTGAGCCTAGGAGTTTGAGGCTTCAGTGAGCTAGGATCACACCACTGCATCCCAGCCTGGGCCACAAAGTGAGACTGTCTCTAAAAATAAACACTTTCAAGTTACATATGAATAGGATTTTCTGCCATCCAGACAGGCAAAGATTGAAAAGATTCATAATAACCAGTATAGGACAGAATAAGGAGAAATGGGATTCTCATGTATAAATGTTGGTAGACTCTCTCTAAGAGGAAATTTTACAGCATGCATCAAAATTGAAATACACAAGGCCGAGGCAGGCGGATCACGCAGTCAGGAGATCAAGACCATCCTGGCTAACATGGTGAAACCCCGTCTCTACTAAAAATACAAAAAATTAGCCAGGCATGGTGGAGGGCGCCTGTAGTCTCAGCTACTCGGGAGGCTGAGGCAGGAGAATGGCATGAACCTAGCAGACGGAGCTTGCAGTGAGCCAAGATCGCGCCACTGCACTCCAGCCTGGGCGACAGAGTGAGACTCTGTCTCAAAAAAAGAAAAAAAAAAATGAAATACACATGTGAGCAATTCCCCATTAGGAGTTACCCTTAAAAAAAAATTCCTTGTATACTTTTTTAAATGTACATATACGGAAGTATATAACAACATAACCAACTGGGAAAAAACAATATAAATACCCATACAATACAATGTTACATAATTTTTAGCAATAATAAAATAAATACCTAAGTTCTGAAATAAAACAATGTTCACTATAAATCGTTATGAAAAATATTACACTTACACACACACACACACACACACACACACACACCCTTCAGCCAATACATGTAATACATATAAACAAACTGAATCAGTCCTGGGACATAATAATATAAGTTAGTGTTATGCATGTGTGAATAGTTAAGGGGAAAAAAACTAGAAATATATGCTGTTAATATGGGCCTTTGGTACAATGCTCAATATCTGAGGAAGGATGAAAAGGAAGAAGCAGTCAGATTTACCTTTGCTAACACAGACTCACATAAATTTTCATTTCCCACATTTGAGTATTACTTGATTTTTTTAATAATCAATATTTTCAGTGGTTAGAATTACATGGTCCTTACTTTAAGAAATTAAAAACAGTCTGGGCGCAGTGGCTCACACCTGTAATCCCAGCACTTTGGAAGGCCGAGGCAGGTGGATCACCTGAGGTCAGGAGTTCGAGACCAGCCTGACAAATATGGAGAAACCCTGTCTCTACTAAAATTACAAAAACTAGTCGGGTGTGGTGGCACATGCCTATAATCCCAGCTACTCGGGAGGCTGAGGCAGGAGAATCGCTTAAACCCAGAAGATGGAGGTTGTGGTGAGCCTAGATTGCACCATTGCACTCCAGCCTGGGCAACAAGAGTGAAACTCCATCTCAAAAAAAAAAAAAAAAAGAAAAAGAAAAAAAAGAAACAAATTAAAAACATATTAAAGGAAGTGAAAGTCTCTTTTTTACTTGTATATTAAAATATACATACTGATACATTTTATTACAAAAGTGAGGTACTAAAAGCCAAAATGGCTACTTAAAGTAATGAATAAGAAAAATTTATTACTTGGAATTAAGTTCTGGAAGGACAGATTTGAAAGATAATTAGTAACAGTTTTTATCTGAGATAATACCAATTAATTAGTCATAGCTTTCTGGAATATTGTATTGAAAAAAATCCTAAAGCAGATCTAGGTTCATTAAGAAAATAATCAATTATTATTGATAGTGGCCATGAAGAAGCAGGGATGCATAAGCTGTGTTGACATGAGTAAATGCCCATTAAATACAATGATGGTCTTCTGTGGGATATGAAGACATCCAAATCCTTCAGTTTCTCACTTTTAGTTAGGGGACAGGCTTTCTACAGAAATACCTTTAGAAAGGGGATTCACTTTTTCTTCCACGTCTTAAATTGCAAAGTATTATACAATCCAGCAACATTCAACAAATATTTATTAATACCTTGTATAAAGCACTCTGTGAGACACTGAATACATAAAAACAGCCTGCAAATGTAGCAAACAAGAGGCAAATGAACAATTAAAGAACATTAAGTCCTATGGGAGCATGCACTACTGACAGTGGATAAGGAACAAGAAGGGTTAGAAGGACATAAGTATTCTAGAAGAGGAAATAACAAAAGCAGACCTGAAAGCAGGAAGATGGGTCTTTTGAGGAAATAAAAGAAATTCAGTACAACTATCACAAGGGAATGTTGTTGTGATGACTAGTGAGGGGGACAGGGTAAGGATGGCAGAATGTGATGCTGGAAAAATGCACAGGAAGGGATTCAGTTCACAAAAGATTTACAGAACCTTCTATGCAGCAGCACTGCTAAATTCACTGATTAATTCTAACTATTTGTTGGTTCTATTGCATTTTCTATGTACACAATCATGTTATCGATGAATAACGACACTTTCATATCCTTCTTTCTAATCTTTATGTCTTTTATTTTTTTTTCTTGCCTTATTGTAATGGCTAGGAACTACAATAAATAGAAGTGGTGACAGAAGTCATCCTGAACTCAGCAGGAAAGCATTCAATATATCAACACTGAGTATGATGCTTGGTATACATTTTTAAAGCAGATAACTTTTATCATATTCAGAAAATTTTTTTTCTATTCCTAGTTTGCTAAAACTTTTCTTTTTTAAATCATAAATGGCTACTGAGATTTGGCAAAGTTTTCTTCTACTTCTATTGAGATGATCATACAGGTTTTCTTCTTCACTCTAATACAGTAAATTACATGGATTAATTTTCTTTTTTTTTTTTGAGATGGAGTCTCACACTGTCACCCTGACTGGAATGCAATGGTGCTACCTCGGCTCACTGCAACCTCTGCCTCCCAAGTTCAAACAATTCTCCTGCTTCACCCTCCCGAGTAGCTGGAATAACAGGCACTGGCCACCATGCTCGGCTAATTTTTTGTATTTTTAGTAGAGACGAGGTTTCACTATGTTGGCCACTCTGGTCTCGAACTCCTGACCTCATGATCCACCTGCCTCAGCCTCCCAAAGTGCTGGGATTACAGGCATGAACCACCGTGCCCATCCCATTGATTAATTTTCAAATGTTAGCCAACATTGTATTCCTGGAATAAATCTTACTTTGTCCTGATGTATAATTCTTTTTATATGTCATTGGATTCTATTTGCTACTTATTTGTATGTAAAGTATACCAAGAAAGAAGAAAGGGAGGGAAAGAAGAAAGAAGGGAGGAGGGTATTAGATATGAGAAGTATAGGATAAGAAAAACATAACAGCAGAAAATAATTGTTCAATAGAAGTAATAGTAAGCCACACTGGAACTATCTCAAAAAAAGAATAAGAAAGAAATTAATTTTAAAAAATTAACCAGTACAAGGGATTTAACACCCAGATAATACAAGTTATAGAAAGAGTGAACAATGAAAACTCAATGGAAGAAATCAACAACAAAAATTGAAGCCATTTCATCAAAATACCAGACTTGCATTTCCAAATTAAAACGGTCCAGGAAAATGTGTGAATCAAGACACAAAGCTGCAAAGTCTCAGAACATTGGGAACAAAGCCAACATTGTATGGATTTCCAGAAAGTAAAACAAGCCACAAAGAAAAAGGTATCAAAATGGCCTCAGACTCTTCAACATAATGTTACACCAATGCCTTCGAAATTCTGAAGTAACATTCTTATAAACACGTATTTGTTATCCAGCCAAACAATCAATCAAGAGTGAAGGAAGAATAAAGACAGACAATATCTCCCACACATCCTTTTTCAGAAAGCTACATATTCCACCATAACGAATTAAAGCAAAATGGGTAAAAGAGAAAAGTGGGTATTACTCTTTTCCATTACAAGTTTTATGTGATCATTTGCACGTATAACTTTGGGGGAAAAAAATCTAAAAGGCTGCTCCGAAGGTAGTGAGTTCTTGATTGTTTACAGTCAGTTACTGATGGAACTCCTTGTTCTACTTTTTCCCCCCTTCTCACTACTGCACTCGACTAGTCTTTTTTAAAAATCTAAAAAATTAATCAAATACAATAAAAGCTACACAAGTAATTTGTTCAAATCATAACAGAAAACTTACCCATATAAAATTACATTTTAAATCTAACAATATGTTTTTAAATAAATACATTATAGTGAAGGAAGGAATCTTTTTTTAAGAGGAAAGTAAATTAAATCTACTTCTAAATAAAATATTAGCAATATTAATTAGATATTTTCAAGACATATTTCTGCCTTAAAAGTTGAGAAAAGATGAACATTGATAATACACATAAACAAAATAACTTCATAAATAACATGAAGAGGGAAAAATCTGCGTCTGTGAATTACACACAGAGAAACAGCAGAGCCCTTTAGTAATAAAGTCCTCCTTGATTCCAGCCATCCAAAGAGAAAGCTGGCTATTCCAAAACCCTTCTAGAAAAGGACGGTCTAGAATCTTCATTATCAAAATATTTCACCAAAGTACAAATGCAACAAAAAACAGAACAAGAGAGAGAGTGACAGAGCATGAGAGAGCGAGAGACAGCACAATCAATTGTGTGAGAAAGAAACAGAGAGACAGCTAAAGAGCTGAAATCAGAATATGCCATAGAGTTGAATAGCAAGGGAGAAAATCTACATGTGACTGCAAGATACTGTTGCTTGTTTCCTCCACCCTCCTCATTTCATTTAGGCAGATTTAGTTGCTAAATTAATCCCTAAATTATTTACACACAATCACAATGTCATAAGTTTTCAAAAACATCTTTCTCACAAATTTAGAGGATTAGCTGCTACAAGAAGTCTTATAAGATTTTTTTCACTTCTGGTAACTTTTTAAAATATAATAGAATTAAAATATTTTAATATCCTCTTTTTAAGAAGATTTTAAAGTATCCAAACATGATTATTATGATTATGTTTTCACTGTACATGCAAAAACATGCTTGAGTGAACACAGGAAAGGTAATGAGAGAATAACACCTTTGGAAAACTCAAAGTATTAAGGAGTCAGGCGTTATTTAGCCATCTAAACAGCAAGTTTAATACAAACACATATTTGAATTTTTTAAATAAATATAAAACATATATATTATTTAAACACAACATTAAGAAGTATTCTCTATTAAAGCAGAATTGCAAGCTTAAAAGCCCAAAACTCCACTTCTGACATAGCTGTAGATGCAGACAGTAGAGTCATCTACAGCCCAGAGAAAAGTGAAAACCAAGCTCTCCATGGCATAAGTATAACTGAGAAGGAGGGCAAAGGCATGAGAACAATAGAGACTTGAGGAATACCCACAGAAGAAAGCTAAGCCAGAAACATAACAAAGGCGGCACAGTCAGCCAGGAAGGGATCTGGGAAGAAGGATGCCATGAAAACCAAGAGAGAAAAAGGGCTTCAAGAAAGAGCCAGCAAAGGCAGAGGCTAAATCGAGATCAAAGAGGATGAAGATAAATCAAAACCACAGCAGAAAGTGAATGGCCATATTGAATTGGTTAAGATTACCTATTTCCATCTCAACTGACAGAACTAAGTTTATCTTTGGGGGAGGTGGGGAAGGGGAATGGACACTTGGAGGAAAACAGACTTTAGTTATCATTCTTGCTGCCTGTAGTCCAAGACCAACAAAAGAGAAACTCTTTTCTGAAAGATTCTTTTCTTAAGGACTACACTCACCAAACTGTGGAGCAGGCAAGATTCTAGCCGCTCGAATTGGGCCATGTCGAACAGAGAAGAGCTCTTGTGCTTCACCACTGATCTGCATAAGAGAAGAAAGAAAATATTTCAGTGGGAAAATGAAGGTCACAACAGTATTATATAAAAACAAGATCTTCTAAATTTTATAACAATATTTTGTCTGAAATATATATACATACACCCACACCCATTTATCATTGGTCATACATGTTAAGTATATTCATATCTTAAATTACTGCAAGTAATTTTAGAAAACTGTAAGAGCACACACTTGATATGAACAGAAAAAAAGGGTCTGTTCTGGAAGTCTATAATTTTTATCTTATTAAACCATTAGAAATCTGTACAGTTCCTGCACAACTGCCTTCTTTGAGAACAAAACAACTGTAATACTACTCTGAAAATCTCACCTTAAATATTATAGCAACTTTAACAAATATGTTGTAAATGAGAAAAAGCAATACTTATTGCAAAGAACACGTAGGTGAAATGTGAATAACTTAGGTATACTTATGGTTAGGCAACTAATTGTCTGTTAACCTTGAGTAAATCATGTAACCTCAATAAGCCTATATTCTTTCACAATCATAAAACGAAAAGGAAAAGCTGCTAAAAAAAGCTGCCAGGATACTTCTAATTTCAATATTCTATGAACAAAAAATTCTATATATATATACAACTTTTAAAAGTCATCATTTTTATTATACACATAAATATACACATAGCTCAAACATTATGAATATCCAAGCACTTTCAGTCATTCATTCTATTAATTCAAAAGGTAAAGGGTATGTTCAGGACATTTTGTGGGGGATAAAAATTTTTTTAAAAGAAGAACAAAAGGTAAAGAGGCATGGTAATATGTGTTGAGTGTGAAAACAACTGCTTTTCAAACTGCTCATTGAAGCACTGAGCAGATTAAATTATAGTTAAGAATAGCTTTCTTATTTCCATCTCAACTGACAGAACTACGAGTTTATCTTTGGAGGAGGTGGGGAAGGGGAATGGACAGATTAAATTACTGTACGTGGTACTGTAGTTCTTAAACCATTTTCATAATTGCCTAGTGTTTGATGAAATATGCACTATCAGAGAAAATGGCAAACATTATAAAACTAGTTCAAGATACAAAAGAACTTACAACCAATGTAATAAAGATATAAATTCAATAGAGGAAACATACTGATGGTATTTTTTTAAATAACTGCCTGCCATACAAGCAGTTTAAAATATCAAAGATGTATACATGATAAAATTAGAAGTGTATAAATCTTACAATATTACTATAAATCTACAGAGCTCTCTTTTAGAGTAACTACTTTTTTAGATTTTCAGCTTCTATCTGAATTTAAGAGCTGCAAACTACAAATATTTTTGTTTCTTAAAATGTTAAGTTGTGATAACGCCTAAATGACTATCACATTCATTTTGCTTATGATAATTACTACAAATTATTTATTAGCAAGAAATCCTTCTGTAGCACTTGGGATGCAGATGTGAAGAATGCTAGGACTAACTGTGCAACAATAGCACCACCTATCACCAATGAAACACGTAAAAGCTATAAACTCATTATTCCAAACTATAAGAACTTATTTACTCTACAAATTCCTTTGTAACTTTTAATTTTCAGAATAAAAACCATGGCCATTATAGTCCACATTTTATTATTATAGAACAAAATTTAAAATTTAGAAAAAGTCTTCAAAGGTTATTTGTTCAACTTCCCCTGCAATGTAGTATCGTACATTCTCTGAAATCTAAAAATTACAGTCTTTTTTATTTTAAGCATATATATGCTAAAAGGTGTAACACTAATGTAATCTAATTATATTACAGATGTGTTATTGGCTATTTCCACCTACCTTTTAAAATTTTAACAATAGCCAAAAGAATAAAAACACTGCCAAGCCATTTACATTTTAAAAATAAATTATTGTAACAGATAAGTGTTACCCAATATACCTGCTATTTCTATTAATAAAATAAAAAATATATTTTAAAATAATACCATAGAACTTACATTGAAATTATATTTCAAGTAATGAAAAATACTTCTCACTTTACACTTATAATAAATTATAGTATTCTAAAACAAAATCCACCACTCTGTACTATTATTTGCATATGCCAGTTCTAGTATTTAGCTTTTGGTCCTATCAAATAAAACCTTTATGTTAAAGAAGTGTAACCATATTTAAATGAGCTGCTGTACTCAATTATTCAAAAAAAAAGAATAAAACAAATCTGTCTTAGCATACTCACAATATAAAAGTTTGCTATCATTGTATTTAATACACAAGAGCTTATTCTGACATCAAAAAACATTTTGAAACCTGAATATACAACACTTTTCAGCAAAACAGCTTTCAAAACAAACCTAAATGCCCTATTCTAAGCTTGTATCTTAAATCCCTCCTTACACATAAGGCAATGGGTGAGGGGAGGAAAAAAACATTTGGACTGATTTTAAAATGCATCCCCACATTCACTGTCCATTCTTCATTACCTCTATGGTCCTAGGATCTGTGTTTAATTATAACTCGGGGGTGGGGGTTGGGGGGAGCAGAGGAAACATTGTGTCACATTTATAGATATTTCTGAATATATTAAAATCAGGATTGTACAACCTACTGAAATTAGAAGCATAATTCTAAACTATCCTATGTGAGTCACAAAATGTCAAACTTCCTCGAGGAGAGAACTCTCCAAATAGTCTGTGGGAATTCTACATTAGAGTACCATTTCAGAACAGAAACAGAGTTAAGGTTTATACAGATATGATCCATACGTTTTAGAAAGGACACACAGAGGATGGTTAGTCTTTACAGATTCTGCTTTAGCTATCTTTCTGAATAATAATTTTATACATTATGTCCACTGATAATTTTGCCTTCAAATAAGTGCCAAAACTGATTTTTTATAAGGCTGTCAAGAGTGATTTTTTAGGTTTTAAGAAAAGAGCTCATTAAAAATGGCAGAGATAAGGATTTTCTAGATCCTGAAAAGAAGTATACTAAACTGTAAGTTCACTTTTAAACCAACAATAGCAATAAATACAAGAGTAGAACTACAAGGAAAGAGAGTCCAAGCAGTATTCCAACTTCCTGGCAACTGTGGTAACTTGGGGAGAAGAGCGAACAGGGAGAAAGCCTCTCCAACAGCTCCTCATGGTCTCTGCCTTTGTTCTTACTGGCATTTTAATTTCTGATGACAGACTTTTGTTGTTTGGGGCATAAACCGGACGTACCAGTTTGGAGGCACAATAAGGAGAACAAAGAATGATTTGTTCACACTGTAGGAAAAAAAATCTTTTCCAACCATAGAAAATAGCTTTCGCATGGTGAAAATATGCAAATTACATACCAAACCAAAAAAGGGGTGGGGGTAGTACAAGTTTAGAATCTCACAACTCGATCTAAGGCAAAAGGAAATTACAACAGCTAAGACAATAATATACACACAGAAAAGGCTACACAAGTTCTGGGAGAGCTGTAGAAGTGCTTTTAGAGAATTCTGAAAGCAAATGAAGGTTATCTTGCCCTCAGAATCAAACTTATTTCTAAACTTCTGATGACTTTTCATAGACCAATTATAATATAGAAAATTCAAATACCAAAAGACAATAAAAATACTGCTTTATAATGCTGCATTATTAGGACAAGAGTACACATTCACAACCCCACTTTCCCCTATAGATACTGGTTAAATGGATGTTTGTGGTCCACAAATGATTTTTTTTTTTTTTAGCAAACTTTATCAAGAGGTAACAAACACAGAAAAAATACATACATCCTAAGTATATGTATAACATGAATTTTAAATGTTAACGTACCTCTGAACCAAAAGACATCAAGAAACAGAATATTATGGATACTCAGAAGGTCCTGCTACATCTCTTTTCAGTCATAATCCCAACTCAAGAGTGGCCATAACTACAATCCTGATTTCTATTACTTTAAGTTCTACTTGTTCATCTTAATGTAAATGGGTTCCCACAATATGTACCCTTGGGAATGGCTTCTTTCACACATTACTATGCTTATGAAATTAATTCATGTTGTTGCATGGAATTGTAGTTTTATATGTATTGCTATATAGATTTCCATTGTATGAAAATATTACAAATTTTTTTTTTTTTTTTTTGAGAAGGAGTCTCGCTCTGTCACCCAGGCTGGAGTGCAGTGGCGCGATCTTGGCTCACTGCAAGCTCCACCTCCTGGGTTCACGCCATTCTCCTGCCTCAGCCTCCCAAGTAGCTGGGACTACAGGCACGTGCCACCATGCCCGGCTAATTTTTTGTATTTTTAGTAGAGACGGGGTTTCACTGTGTTAGCCAGGATGGTCTCAATCTCCTGACCTCATGATCTGCCCACCTCGGCCTCCCAAAGTGCTGGGATTACAGGCGTGAGCCACCGTGCCTGGCCGAAAATATTACAATTTTATCCATTGTACTACTGTTCATGGACCTCTGAGTTGTTTTTACTTTTTTACTTCTAGTTTTTAGCTCTTAAGATGTCAAGGAGGCCAGGCACAGTAGCTCATGCCTTATAATCCCAACACTTTGGGAGGCCAAGGTGGGTGGAACACTTGAGGTCATGAGTTCGAGACCAGCCTGGCCAACATGGTGAAAAGCTGTCTCTACCAAAAATACAAAAATTAGCCGGGCATGGTGGCACACACCTGTAGTCCCAGCTACTCGGGAGGCTGAGGTGGGAAGATTGCTTGAACCCAGGAGGCGGAAGTTGCAGTGAGCTGAGATTGCACCATTGCACTCCAGCCTAGGCAACAGAGCAAGACTCAGTCTCAAAAAAAAAAAAAAAAAAAAAAAAGATGTCAAGGAAAATTGTGAAAGATTTTGAAATGCTGAATAGATTACTTTGTGTTCTGTGTTTTTTCTATGGATTACCAAGAGCTCTCTAGCAGACCCTTTGGGGTTATCTGATTCTATAGGGGATCCACACTTTGTCTTTGACTGGGCTACTGTACAATACTCTGAGCTGTCAAAAACTGATAGTAATGCAATTGATTCTTGTGCACAGAAATGCAAATGAATTTTGTCTGGTAGAGATACAAGTGAATTCCACTCTGTAGAAAAGATTATTCCAAACAGTACATTTTAGTGCCCAACAGAATATTAACCAAGCTTGTATCTATTAGAAAATTTATTTCAGTATTCCTAATTGCTTCTCTGTGATATTCACCTTCTTCTTGGAACCAGCTATAATAACATCCCAAATCCCTAATCAATGAGTTAAAAAAAATGCAGGATATCTGTCCCTTATATAGTTGTATGAGATCACTGTTTTACCATTTTGAAAACAACATAATAAAGAATATTGATGTAAACATTCTCACAAATGTCTTTTAGTAAACATGTATATGTATTTCTCTTGGATATATATCTAGTAGAGTAACTACTTCTGTATATTAGGGCAGGCACATGTGTATCTTTTGTAGATTTAATTTTCCAATGTGATTGTACCAATTTACACTTCCACCAGCAACGTACAAGAGTTCTATCTGCTCCACATCCTAGCCAATATTTAGTGTCAGCCATTCTGGTAGGTGTCCAAAAATTATGGATTTAAATCAATAGATGCATGGTAACTGAAATGCATAAATCAGTCTCCAATGGATATGTAATGCTGCCTCAAAGTAAATATATAAATAATTAGTCTTTATTATAATGGCCCTCCATGAGGGCAGATGATGTAAGACTTTTGTCCTGAAGGACCACAGATAGGTATGATAGTACAGGATATTAATGAGATTCAAGGACTCGATTAAGCAGCTCTTGGAATAAGTAGAGTTTTTTTGTACATAATGAAATTCATATCTTAATTCCAAATACAATAATGACCAATCCTTCCCTCAAACTAAGGTGCAATGATTAGGTTCTAGCAACACAATGTCCTTCGAAGCTGAAATACACTGATTTGTGAACATTCAGACTTTCAGTTTCCAGGCCAACACATGCAGCTCAGAAGACTTCACTTAGATCTGACCACAGGTAAAAAGCTGAACAGCTCTTCTTACATCCGTCAGAAAAATGACGTCATAGAGCAAACTGCTGCCCCAAAAATTGGAGAGACAAACAGGCAGATACAGAGAATCACAATTTACCAGGGCAGAAATCCACAAGCGAGAACCTCAGGACTCAGTACCAAGGTAGGAACACCTAAACTGTGATTGACAAATTTCTAGAGGTTCAATGTGGACAAGACATTGTAAAATGTAAAAATTAAAAATTGTAAAAAGTAAAAATTCCAGGGGAACCCAGACCTAGGGGCCCTCACACTGATGTGTTTTACCTCCAGGAGCTCCACCAGGCTCTAACAGCCAATACTGAATAAAAATCCCCTCGAGCCTCTGGCAGTGGGTGTGAAAATGGAACCATCTTGAAACATGCCAGACCAGATCATTCTGTTCTTAACAAAGCCTGGCCTCGACAGAAACTACTTTATGAGAGCCTAACTTGCTGGGGTTATATCAGAGCTTAACCTACCTGGGGAAAGGTAAATACCCAAATCCAATCTCCTCTTACCTTTCTGTCTCACTCGAGGATGTTAAAAAACACACCACACACTCTCAAAAAAATAATGAGAAACAAAGGACTAAAACTTACCCACAGGACTGTAGAATGGTTTCCCTCCCCACACACCGCCACTCAATTACTAACGTCCCATTTACCATAGTTCCTTTTACCCAATACATCATATCCTCCTTTTTTTTCTTTTTTCTTTTTTTTTTTTTTTTTGAGACAGGGTCTCACCCTGTCACCCAGGCTGGAGTGTAGTACCATGATCTCGGCTCACTGCTGCCTCGGCCCCCCTGGGCTCAAGTGATTCTCCCACCTCAGCCTCTCAAGTAGCTGGGACTACAGGTGCCCACCACCATGCCCAGCTGAATTTTTTTGTATGTTTTTGTAGAGATGAGGTTTCACCATATTGCCCAGGCTAGTCTTGAACTCCTGGCCTCAGTGATCCACCCGCCTCACTCTCCCAAACTGCTAGGATTACAGGTGTGAGCCACCACACATGGACCATATCTTCCTTTTAACAAAAAATTAGAAAGCATACTAAAAGGCAAACAATACAATCTGAAGAGACTCAACAAGCATCAGAACCAGAATCAGAACTGGTAAGCTCAGAAAACAGCATGCGGGATAAATGCCCCAAAAAACCCTACACCAAGGCATACCATTTTCAAATTTCAAACAAATCAAAGATAAAGAAAAAATCTTGAAAGAAGCCAAAGGAAAAATTATCTACTTGTAGAAGAGCAAGGATAAGAATTACATTGCCTTTTCCTCATAAACGATGCAAGCAAGAAGAGAGTGAAGCACTTAGAGTGTTGTGTGGAAAAAAAAAAACAAAAACAAAAAAAACAGCAACCTCTAATTCTGTATCCTGAAAACTCATCCTTCAAAAACAAAAGACAAAAACTTTCTTGGACAAACAGGAACCGAGGGAATTTGTTGCTGGTAGACCTGCCTTGCAAGAAATGTTAAAAGAAGTTCTACAGGGAAAAAGGTAACAATATAGGTCAGAAACTCAGATTTACATAAGGAAAGAAAAACAACAGAGAAGAATAAGTGAAGGTGAAATAAAACTTATTTTTCTTTCCTTTTTTTTTCAGACAGAGTTTTGCTCTTGTCGCCCAGGCTGGAGTACAATGGCGTGATCTCAGCTCACTGCAACCTCTGCCTCCCGAATTCAAGCGATTCTCCTGCCTCAGCCTCCCAAGTAGCAGGTATTACAGGTGCCTGCCCCTACACCTGGCTAATTTTCGTAGTTTTAGTAGAGACAGGGTTTTACCACATTGACCAGGCTGGTCTCGATCTCCTGACCTCAGGTGATCCACCTGCCTCAGCCTCCCAAAGTGCTGGGATTACAGGCATGAGCCACTGCGCCTGACCCAAAACTTATTTTTCTTACTGATTTTTTTACAGATAATAGTTTGTTCAAAATAATAGCAATAATGTACTCAATTATGTATGTGTATGTATATATGTGTGGTATTGTGTGTGTATATATATGCACTTATGCATATGTGAAATAAATGACAGCAATGATACAAGAAACAAGAGAGAATTATGAATAGTTTGTTAATATTAGGTATTGCACTACCCATGAAGCAGTATAGTGTTATTTGAAAGTGGGCATGCATTGGTTATAAATGTATTGCAAACTCCAGGACAATCACTAAAAGAAGTTTAAAATGTAGTAAAAATGATATGCTAAGAAAGGTAAGAAACAACATCATATAAAATGCTCAAACTAAAAAAGCAGCAAAAGTATGAAAGATAAAAAAAGAAAAAAACAAAGCAACAATTAAAAAAAATAAAATTTGCCAGTCATGATGGCTTGCTACATGGAAGGCTGAGGCAGGAGGATCAATTAAGCCCAGGAGTTCGAGGCTACAGTGAGCTATGTTCATGCCACTGCACTGCAGCCTGGGCAGAAGACCAAGACCCTTTCACAAGAAAAAACTTTTAAAAATACAAAAAAATTAAAACAAGGGCAACAAATATGGTAGTTATTTATCCATCTATATCAATAATCACGTTAAACATCAATTAAATATGTCAAACAACAGAGATTGTGAAAACGGATTAAAACACAAGATCCAACTGTATGTTGTATAGAAGAAATCCACTTTAAATATAAAGACAGGGATTAAAAGTAACAGGATGTAGGAAGATATACCATGCTAACACTAATCAAAAGAAGGCAACCACAGCTGTATTAACTTCAGACAGAGCAGATTTCAAGGCAAAGAAACTTGTCAGGGAAAAAGGGGGATATTACATAATGATAAAGGGGTCAATACCCCAAGAAGACTTAATCGGTGCTTACTACATATGTGCTTAACAACACAGCACCAAAATACATGAAGCAAAAATTGACAAAGAGAAAGAGATGAATCCACTATTAGAGTTAGAGACTCTAACACCCCTCTATCTGAAACGAACAGATCCAGCAGCCAGAAAAGCACAAAAGGACATAGTTGAACTCAACAGCACCATCAGTCAACTGGATATAACTGACATCTATAAACTACTTCTTACAACAGTAGCACAATAAACATTCTTCAGGCAGACATGGAACATTCACTAAGATAGGGCATCTTCTGGACCACAAAACACACCTTAACAAATTTAAAAGAACAGGCTGGGCACAGTGGCTCACGCCTGTAATCCCAGCACTTTGGGAGGCCAACAAGCAGATCACCTGAGATCAGGAGTTTGAGACCAGCCTGGCCAACATGGTGAAACCCCATCTCTACTAAAAATGCAAAAAGTAGCCGGGTGTGGTGGCACATGCCTGTAATCCCAGCTACTTGGGAGGCTGAGGCAGGAGAATCGCTTGAACCGAAGAGGCAAGGGTTGTAGTGAGCCAAGATTGCACCACTGCACTCCAGCCCAGGCAACAAGAGTGAGACTCCATCTCAAAAAAAATAATAATAATAATAAAATAAAAAATAAAAGAACAGAAATCATTAAATGACCACAATAGAATTATTAAAGTAGAAATTAAAAATAGAAAGCTGGAAAATAACCAAATATTTGAAGATTAAACAACATAATTCTAAATAGCACATAGGTCAAAGAAGAAAGCTCCAGAGAAATGTTTAAACATGTTTAACTAATGAAAATGAAAATACAACTTAAGAAAATTTGTGAAATGCAGTGAAAGCAGTGCATAGAGGGAAATCTGTAGCACTGACTGAATATATTATAAAACAAGAAAGATCTAAAATTAAAAATCTAACCTTCCACCTTAAAGAAAACTAGAAAAAGAAGAGCAAATTGAATCCAAAGTAAGTGGAAGAAAATAAATAATACAAAATAGAGCAGAAATCAATGAAATTGAAAACAGAAAATCAATAGAGAAGATCAATGAAACCAAAAGCTGGTTCTTTGAAATGATGAATAAAATTAAGACTCTAGCCAAGCTAATTGAAAAAGAAACAGAGAAGGCACAAACTACTAATATTAGAAATGAAAGAGGGGAGGCTGGGCTCAGTGGCTCACACCTGTAATCCCAGCATTTTGGGAGGCCGAGGCAGGTGAATCATCTGAGGTCAGGAGTTCAAGACCAGCCTGGCCAACATGGCGAAACACTGTCTCTACTAAAAATACAAAAATTAGCCAGGCGTGGTGGTGCATGCGTGCAATCCCAGCTACTCAGGAGTCTGAGGCAAGAGAACCGCTTGAACCTGGGAGGCAGCAGTTGCGGTGAGACAAGATCGCGCCATTGCACTCCAGCCTCAGCAAAAGAGCAAGACTCGGTCTCAAAAATAGGAAGGAAGGAAGGAAGGGAGGGAGGAAGGGAGGAAGGGAGGAAGGGAGGAAGGGAGGGAGGGAGGGAGGGAAGGAAAAGAGGGGAGATCACTAAAGATCCCATGGACATTAAAAGGATAATAAAGGAACATTACGAACAACTCTATGCCCACAAGTTTGATAACCTAGATGAAATGGACCAACCCCTTGAAAGACACAATCTGCCAAAACTCACACAACAATAAATAGACAACTTGAATAGGTCTACACCTATTAAAGAAATTGACTCAGTAATTAATAACCTTCCAAAATAGAAAGCACCCAGGACCAGATGAATTCACTGGTGAATTCTACCATACATTTAAGAAAGAAATAATACCAATTCTTTATCATTCTCTTTGGAAGACAGAAGCATATAGAATGCTTCCTAAATCATTTTAGGAGGCCAGTATTACTCTAACACCGGAACCATAAAAAAGACGTTAGGCTGTGTGTGGTGGCTCACTCCTGTAATCCCAGCACTTTGGGAGGCTGACGTGGGTGGATCACTTGAAGCCAGGAGTTTGAGACCACCCTGGCCAACATGGAGAAACACCGTCTCTAATAAAAATACAAAAAAATTAGCTGGGCATGGTGGTACACGCCTGTAAGAAAAAAAAAAGACATTACAAGAAAACCACAGATCAATATCTCTCATGAACATAGATGTGAAAATCCTCAACAAAATACTAGCAAATCAAACCCAACAAAGTATAATAAGAATTATAGGCTGGGCACAGTGGCTCACACCTGTAATCCAAGCACTTTGGGAGGCAAAGGCAGGAGGATCACTTGAGTCCAGGAGTTTGAGGTTAACAGTGAGCTATGATTGCACCACTGCACTCCAGCCTGGGTGACGAAGTGAGACCCTGTCTCTGAAAATAAAATAAAGAACCAAGTGGAATTCACACCAGGTATGCAAAGCTGGTTCAACCTTCAAAAAATGTTGAATGGCTCACTTAATGTAATAGCTCACTTACACTCACTTAATGGCTCACTTAACATAAGCCATCACATCGATAAGCTACACGGTAAAAATCACATGGTCAAATAATAGATGCAGAAAAAGCATATGACAAAATCCAACACCTATTTATGAAAAAAAAGAAAAAAACTCCTCAGAAACTAGGAATAGAAGGGAACTTCCTCAACCTGATTAAAGAACATCTACAAAAAAAAGTCCAGCTAACATCACTTAACCTGTAATCCCAGCACTTTAGGAAGTAGAGGTGAGTGGATCGCTTGAACCCAGGAGTTTGAGACAAGCCTAGGCAACATGGCGAAACCCTGTCTCTATAAAAAACACAAAAATTAGTGCTGCATGGTGGCATGCACCTGTGGTCCCAGCTACTCAGGAGGCTGAGTTGGGAGGATAACCTGAGCTCAGAAAGCAGGGGTTGTAGTGAGCTGAGATCGTGCCACTGCACTCAAGCCTGGGTGACAGAGTGAGACCCTGTCTCAAAAATAAAATAAAATACAATAAAATAATAAATAAAATAAAAAATCATACTGAATGATGAGAAACTCAAAGCAGTTCCACTAAGATCAGGAACAAGGTAAGGATGTCCCCTCTCACCAGGTTTTTTAACATGACCCTAGCTAATACAGTAAGACAAGAAAAGGAAATAAAAGGTATAAAAATGGGAAAGAAAGAAAGAAAACTGGCTTTGTTCACAGAAGACATGATCATCTATGTATAAAATACAAATGATTCAACAAAAAACTGGAATTGATAAGCAATTACAGCAAGGTTGCAGGATACAAGGTTAATACACAAAAGTCACTTTCTTATATACAAGCATTAAACAAGTGGAATTTGAAATTTAAAAATACATTACCATGTACATTAGTGCCACCAAAAATGAAATACGTAGGTATAAATCTAATAAAATATGTATGCAATCTATATGAGGAAAACTATAAAACTGATGAAACATATCAAAAAAGAACTAAATAAATGAAGAGACATTCCATATTCATGGATAGGAAGACTCAATATTGTCAAGATGTCAGTTCTTTCCAACTTAATGTATACATTCAATGTAATCCCAATCAAAATCAAAGCAAGTTATTCTGTAGCTATCAACAAATCAATTCTAAAGTTTCTATGGAGAGGTAAAAAATTCAGAATAGCCAACTAAATACGAAGGAGAAAGCAAAGTCAGAACACTGATGCTATCTGATTTCAAGAC
The DNA here is from genome assembly GCF_000001405.40 of Homo sapiens. NCBI lineage: Eukaryota > Metazoa > Chordata > Mammalia > Primates > Hominidae > Homo > Homo sapiens. The sequence continues at coordinate 60,734,739 of NC_000017.11, read as the reverse complement.
TTACTTTAAAGCTACAGTAACCAAAACAGTGTAGTATTGGTGAAAGACTAGATAATTAGATCAATGGGACAGAACAAAGAGTTCATAGACCCACATAAATACAGTCAATTGATCTTTGACATAATAGCACAGATAATACAATGGAGCCAAGATAGTCTTTTCAACAAATAGTGCTGAAAAAACTGGACACCCACATGCAATAAAATGAATGTAGACACAGACCTTACACCCTTCACAAAAATTAACTCCAAATGGATTACAGACCTAAATGTGAAACACGAAAGTCTAAAACTCAAAAAATAATATAGGAGTCTGGGCACAGTGGTTCACACCTGTAATCCCAGCACTTTGGGAGGCTGAAGTGGGAGGACTGCTTGAGGCCAAGAGTTCAAGACCAGCCTGGGCAACACAGCAAGACTCCATCTCTACTAAAAATCTAAAAATTAACTGGGTGTGGTAGTGTGCACCTGTTGCCCTAGCTACTCAGGAAGCTGAAGCAGGAGGATCACTTGAGCCCAGAGTTTAAAGCTGTAGTGAGCTAGGATCGCATTACTGGGTAATAGAAGCCTGGGTAGTAAAGCAAAACTCTAGCCTGGGGATTAGAGCAACACTTTGTCTCTCAAACTAAATAAATAACAGGAGAAAACCTAGATGATACTGGGTATAGTGATGACTTTTTTGATACACCAATAGCACCATCCATGTAAGAAAAAAATAAGCTAGACTTGGTTAAAATTTAAAACTTCTACACTCCAAAAGACATTGTCAAGAGCATAAGCCGAGCCATAAACTGAGAAAACATTTGCAAAAGACACATCTGATAAAGTACTGTTATCTAAAATATATAAAGAACTTTTAAAACTCAACAATAAGAAAACAATCTGATTTTTTTTGAGACAAGGTCTGGATCTGTCACCCAGGCTGGAGTGCAGTGGCGTGATCAATGCTCACTACAGCCTCAACTTCCTGGGCTCAAGCATTTCTCCCACCTCAGCCTCCCAAGTAGCTGGGACCACGGGTACATGCCACCATGCCCAGCTAACTTTTTAAAAATTTTTTTGTAGAGACTGGGGTCTCACAAAGTTGCCCAGGCTGGTCTCAAGCTCCCGGGCTCAAGCAGTCATCTCACCTCAGTCTCTTAGAAGTGCTAGGATTATAGACGTCAGCTACCACACCCAACCAAACATCCAGTATTTAAAATTGGCCACTAGACATGGAAGATCATAGGAAAAGAATGCCTCATGTTTATCTCCAGTGCATTTTGCCTTTCTGTCAAAAATATCTTTCATGTCAAGAGTCTTCTGAATTAGTAACTGCTCTAATTTCACCTGGGAAGAGAGGGAGCAAGAGCAGCCAATACCTGAGACCCCGGACATTTTGGTCTTATTCCAAAAATCATGTCCTATCACAACAATGCAAAATATGAAAAATACACCAGATCATCTGTTACAAATTTTACAAATCAACAAAATCAATGATTCTAACAGTTTAGTAGAAAAGAAAATGGACTATGCTTATTAGCTATACAAATTTACTAAATCTGAGTTTCGTTTTAAAATAAGGTTAATAACATATTTATCTAACCAGGCAACAATATATAAATTGTATATTTGTTAAATGTATAATTGTATATTTGATAGTATATAATAATTGGCACTCAATAAATGATAGTTAATCCAAAGAGATGCTTGTTGAATGAATAAATTGATGAATGAATGATTCAGTCTATATTGGTCTCACTATTCTACCTTAATGTTATTTAGCATAATGTACCTTAGCTCTCCTGATCTCAAATCATGCTATTAATATTTAATACGTAGAAATTTGTTAAAATACCATATTGAAGAATATATTTTGGTACAGCTCAGTGCTCAGGTCTTTTTTATTTATTTATTTATTTTTGAGACGATGTCTCGCTCTGTCGCCAGGCTGGAGTGCAATGGTGCGATCTTGGCTCACTGCAACCTCCGCCTCCCAGGTTCAAGCGATTCTCCTGCCTCAGCCTCCTGAGTAGCTGGGACTACAGGTGCGCACCACCACGCCCAGCTAATTTTTGTGTTTTTAGTAGACACGGGGTTTCACCATGTTGGCCAGGATGGTCTTGATCTCTTGACCTCGTGATCTGCCCGCCTCAGCCTCCCAAAGTGCTGGGATTACAGGTGTGAGCCACCACACCCAGCCCAGTTCTTGAACTCACTAATACATTACTTCCTATGATTTATAGCCTTGGAGAAAAGAACTACTACCAAGGTGGTAAGCAGCATCTTGTCTATGTAGCAGGTTTTATCACACTAGTCTTCATAATCTCATCCAAGATCAAGCCAGTCTCCACCCTCCCTAAGTTTTATCTATTTATATGTTTTTACTTGCAACTTGTTTTCCTTGCTACCAGCGATCTAAAAATAGCCCATTTAAACATATAAATGCAGAGTTACCAATCTTATCTAATTGTTTCACATGTACTAACCATATGGAGACAAATGAAGATCAGTAGTTAAAAAGATCAGTAGTTTAAAAAGCTAAAAAGTAACACCAATAAAATCCTATTGGGGAGAAAAAGTTAATCTAAGGACTTTAGTTATTAATAATGTGTCAATATAAGCTCATCAATTGTACTAAATGTACTACACTAATGCAAATGTTAATAGTTGAAAATAGGAGGGCTGGCCGGGCGCGGTGGCTCACACCTATAATCCCAGCACTTTGGGAGGCAGAGGCTGGCGGATCACCTGAGGTTAAGAGTTTGAGACCAGCCTGGACAACATCGCGAAACCCCATCTCTACTAAAAATACAAAAATTAGCAGTGGTAGCAAGCACCTATAATCCCAGCTACTTGGGAGGCTGAGATGGGAGAATTGCTTGAACCTGGAAGGCGGTGGTTGCAGTGAGCCGAGATCATGCCACTGCACTCCAGCCTGGGCGACAAAATGAGACTCTGCCTCAAAAAAAAAAAAAAAATAGGAGGGTGATAAGCGGATACATGAGAGGTCTCTGTATTTTCACCTCAATTTTCTGTAAACCTAAAACTACTCAAATAAATAAAGCCTATTAATTTAAACATATATAGAAAATGTTAAAATCCCACAAATAAATGTTAATCTTCCATAATAGGAAGAAAAAAAATCAAGGATAAAAGGTAAAAATATACAGATTAGAGAAAGAAAGTCTTCTACTAAGGAATTCAGTTCCTAAAGCAACAAAAACACCTCACGTAACCCATTTAAATATACACATTAAGGCCAGGATGCCTGTAATCCCAGCACTTTGGGAGGGTGAGGTGGGCAGATCACCTGAGGTCAGGAGTTTGAGACCAGCCTGGCCAACATGGCGAAACCCCATCTCTACTAAAAATACAAAAATTAGCTGGGCGTAATGGCGCACGCCTGTAATCCCAGCTACTTAAGAGGCTGAGGCACGAGAATTACTTGAACTGGGAGGCAGAGGTTGCAGTGAGCCAAGATTATGCCACTGCACTCAGGCCTGGGCGACAAAGCAAGACTTTGTCTCAATAAATAAACAAACAAACAAGCAAAAAAACACGTGTATAGTTATCAATTTGCTAATTACTTCACATGTACTAATCATACAGATACAACTGGAAGGAATGAAGTTCCTTAAAAAGAAGATTTATTCATTATAGTTTTTTTAACTTAAAAATTAATAACAATTTACTTTTAATTAGGGAGAAATTGTAAAAACGTAAAGGAGAATGTGGGAGGCATGGCAGGTATCATCTTATACTAAGGAATTCGGTTAAGAAGCAACAAAAAGAACTCACCTAGCTACATGAGTGGCCACAGTAACTACAGAGCCAGCTCTACTGAAAGCTGACAGTCTCTCCCTCAAAACACCCTGTAAGCCAATTTGATAATATATTTTCATTTTATAGATAAGGAAACAAAGAAAAAGGCTGCCAAAAATAACCAGCCCAAAGAGGCATCAGAATCTCCTATAAATACACTATATTCAAAATAGTTCTTAAACTCAGGCCTTTTTTTCTCTAACAAGTCACTGTTAGTGTATTATTTTATTTTTTACAGCTCTGCCTCCACAATTTTAAAAACTTAAGATAGCATACTTTGAGGAAAGTTTTCCTAATAGTAAAGAGCAGTCCTTTTGAAAGCTCCTAAAATTAGGAGGAAGAGGGGAACAAGTTTTTTGTTTTGTTTTGTTTTTTGCCTGCCTAACCACAAATGATTCAGTTAATATCAGAGTGTCAGTATCTCTGTAACCTACTGTGTATACCATCAAGAAAAAAAATGCAAGCCATAAAAATCGCCTAAAATGCATATTTGTGAGGAGTAACAACTTATAGAACAGATATTTGCTGACCACATAAAGAAAACAGCAACCCGGTCTGTATTTTGGTCTTGACACTAAATTCATAATACAAAACTTCAGGCAGGCAGGAAGTAAATTTCAAGAACAATACGAAAACCACAGAACACAAATAATGAATGGAACTTGTAATCATATTTTCATACTTCCAGATTTTTGCACACATAGAAAGGAGTGTTTTAAGGCAACTTTAACCTTTCCCCTTCAGCCTGATTTTCTAAAGGAAGATCAAACAAAAGCCGTTTGAACTCACATGTTCCTTCAGTTATGCAACACTGATTTAGATATTACACTTCAAAACTCTAGCCATTACTTCAGCATGCACCAATCCAAATATCATTCCAGTCCTTTGAAGCCGCCTTAATGGTATCTTCCATTTGCAACTAACACTTTGGTAGTCAAAAGATCTTACTCAGGGTAGATGTTAATGTAAAACCACTCAGACTACAGTGACACACACGCCTGGAGGCAGACGAGAAGGTGTTCAGAAGTCAATGTAACACCATTATAGAGAGTGTCGGCCTAGCGGCTGTCATAAACACTTCATAATCACTCAGACATACAAACTGGATTCTCTTTATTATTTTATTACAAGCTGATAGGTGTTCAATTGAAAAGTGAAGAGAGAAAGCAGTGCAACAGATAAACCAATTTTGGTTCATCGCCTCTTTCCACTTTTAAAAGACTGAATTTGTTACATTTTAATGGTATTGTAAACCTATCTTGATTTAACCCATTGATTAAAGAAGATAGATTTGCAATAGATAATTAACCAAGGAGAAACTGTTTATATTAAATAGAAGTCTAAAAGTTTTTTCCATAAAATAGCTATCATATTAACTTGTAAGATTAACAAGATGATTTTTTTTAATGACTGACAACATCAATGTAAGCAGTGAGTGGAACAACTGTAACTCCCAGATACTGCAAATGGAAATATACAACAATACAGCCTATTTGGAAAACCTTGGGCAATTTCTTTTTGTTTTGGAGGTGATGGGGCCACAATTTCTAATAGTTAAACATATGCCACCTACCCTGTGACTAAGCAATTTCACTAGGTATCTTAAAAAAAAAAAAAAAAAGAGTCCACATATCTACAAGAATGTTCACAGACACTTTATTCATTATAGGCAAAGGCCAGAAACACAAAGCCCATCAAAAAGAAAATAACTAAACAGATTATGGTATATTTAAATAGTGAAATAAAACACAATAATAAAAACAAACAAAAAATGCAAACTACCATGATATAGCAACAACACAGACGAATCTAAAAAGTATATTTAGCAAAAGAGAACAGATGCAAAAGAGTACATACTGTGTGCCCCTGTTTATATGAAGTTCAATGCATGCAAAACTAATATGGGGTCAGAATAGTGATTATCTTATCCTGGAAGGAGGAGAAATATTGACTGGAAAATTTTATGAGTACAAAAATGTTCTACATTTTCTCCCCAATGGTGGTTTCACGTACTTGTGTATACACACAAGCATGCTTACAGACATACATAAACACACATATATACAAACACATATACACAAGTAAAAATCACCAAAATATAGACCTGAGATTTGTGCATTTCAGAGTATGTATATTATCTTTATTTTTAAAAAGATATTATCGGGTGTGGTGGCTCATGCCTGTAATCCCAGCACTTTGGGAAGCTGAGGCGGTAGATTGCTTGAGGTCAGGAGTCCGAGACCAGCCTGACCAACATGGTGAAACCCCGTCTCTACTAAAAGTACAAAAATTAGCTGGGCATGGCGGCGGGCACCTGTAATCCCAGCTACTTGGGAGGCTGAGGCAGGAGAATCACTTGAACCCAGGAGGTGGAGGTTGCAGTGAGCCAAGATCACCCCACTGTACTCCAGCCTAGGCGACAAAGTGAGACTCCATCTCAAAAATAAAATAAAATAAAATAAAAATAAAAAGGTATCTGTCATAAACAAATTGTGGTATTCCATACAATGAAATATTATTCAGCATCTGAATAAGCTATCAAGTCATGAAAAGACATGAAAGAACCTTATATGCATATTACTAAGTCAAAGAAACCAATCTGAAATGGCTACCTACCATGTAGTGATTCCAACTACATGGAAAAGGCAAAAGAATGGACATGATAAAAAGATCAGGGGTGCCCAGGGCTTATCAGGGATGGAGGGATGAATAGATAGAGAACAGAGGATGTGTAGGGCAGTGAGAGTATTCTGTGTGATATTACAATGGTGGATACCTGTCATTATATTATCTGTCAAAACACATAGAAAGTATACCACCAAAAACCAGGCCGGGTACGGTGGCTCACACCTGTAATCCCAGCACTTTGGGAGGCCGAGGTGGGCAGATCACTTGAGGTCAGGAGTTCCAGAACAGCCTGGGTAACATGGCGAAACCCCATCTCTACAAAAAAATAGAAAAATTAGCCAGGCATGGTGGCATGCACCTGTAGTCCCAGCTACCCAGGAGGCTGAGGTGGGAGGATCACTTGAGCCTAGAAGGCAGAGGCTACAGTGAGCCAAGATCGCACCACTGTACTCCAGCATGGCCAACAGAGCAAGACCCTGTGTCAAAAAAAAAAAAAAAGGAAAAAAGTATACCACCAAAAATGAATCCTACTGTAAGCTATGGACTGTGGGTAACAATAATATATCAATGTATGTTCATGGATTGTAACAATTTTACCACTGTGGTGCTGGGGGTGTTGACAGTTGGGGAGGTTGTGCACGATGTGGAGGCAGGAGGTATACGGGACCTCCGTATACTTTCTACTCAGTTTTGCCGTGAACCTAAAACTGCCCTTAAAAATAAAGTCTGTTTTTTCCTTTCCTGTCAGGCGAGAGCTTTGCGAGGCGAGAGTCTCAGATGCCATTTCTCGTTTTCATCACATAGACGGAACAGCCCTGCTGCAAAGATGGTCAACGTACCTAAAACCCGAAGAACCTTCTGTAAGAAGTGTGGCAAGCATCAGCCTCACAAAGTGACACAGTATAAGAGCAAGGATTCCTTGTATGCCCAGGGAAAGAGGCGCTATGATCGGAAGCAGAGTGGCTATGGTGGGCAGAGAAGGCCAGTTTTCCTGAAGAAGGCTAAGACCACAAAGAAGACTGTGCTAAGGCCAGAATGTGTTGAGCCTAACTGCAGATCCAAGAGGATGGTGGTCATTCAGAGATGTAAGCATTTTGAACCGGGAGGAGATAAGAAGAGAAAGGGCCAAGAGATCCAGTTCTAAACTTTGGGATATTTTTCTTTTAATTTTGAAGAGAAAATGTTGAAGCCATAGAAAAATTACCTGAGAGAAAATAAATACAGTGATATGTTTAAAAAATAAATAAATAATTTTTTTTTAAAGTCTGTTTTTTAAAAGGTATCTGTTAAAGAACTTGACCTAGTTAAATATAGCCCTTAATTTTTTCAAGTGTAAAATAAGACTAACACTAACTAGTAAAATTGACAGGATAATAAATAATATATGCAATATGCCTAAAACAATGTATGGTGCATTCTGAATATTCCAGTTATAACAATTTTTTTTCATATTCTACGAAATTTTACTAGGCAGCACAAGTGTTAAAACTCCTCCCTCTTGGCCAGTAGCAGTGGCTCACGCCTGTAATTCCAGCACTCTGGGAGGCCGAGGCAGGCAGATCACGAGGTCAGGAGATCAAGACCATCCTAGCTAACATGGTGAAACCCCATGTCTACTAAAAATACAAAAAATTAGCCTGGCGTGATGGCGGGCATCTGTAGTCCCAGCTACTCGGGAGGCTGAGGCAGGAGAATGGCGTGAACCTGCGAGGCGGAGCTTGCAGTGAGCTGAGATCGCACCATTGCACTCCAGCCTGGGCAACAGAGTGAGACTCTGTCTCAAAAAAAAAAAAAAAAATTCCTCCCTCTGGCTGGGCGCAGTGGCTCATGCCTATAATCCCAGCACTTTGGGAGGCCAAGGCGGGCAGATCACCTGAGGTCAGGAGTTCGAGACCAGCCTGACCAACATGGAGAAACCCTGTCTCCACTAAAAATACAAAATTAGCCAAGAGTGGTGGTGCATGCCTGTAATCCCAGCTACTCGGGAGGCTAAGGCAGGAGAATCACTTGAACTCGGGAGGTGGAGGCTGCAGTGAGCCGAGATCGTGCCACTGCACTCCAGCCTGGGCAACAGAGTGAGACTCTGTCTCAAAAAAAAAAAAAATCCTCCCTCTGGCCGGGAGCAGTGGCTCACGCCTGTAATCCCAGCACTTTGGGAGGCCAAGGCGGTCTTATCACCTGAGGTCAGGAGTTCGAGACCAGCCTGACCAACATGGAGAAACCCTGTCTCCACTAAAAGTACAAAATTAGCCAAGTGTGGTGGTGCATGCCTGTAATCCCAGCTACTCGGGAGGCTGAGGCAGGAGAATCGCTTGAACTCAGGAGGTGGAGGCTGCAGTGAGCCAAGATCACACCATTGCACTCCAGGCTGGGCAACAAGAGCGAAACTCCGTCTCAAAAACAACAACAATGACAACAACAACAAAACTCCCTCAGGTCTGATCCTGGATTAAAAAACAAAAAGAAAAAAAAACCCTCCCCCAGGCATCCTGTCATTCTTTGGGGGCTCTACAGCACTGTATTCATACCTCTATCCTAATACTGATCACACAGACCAAGGTTTTTCAACCTCAGCACTACTGATGTTTTGGACTGAACAATTCTTTGTTCGAGGAGTCTGTCCTGTATATTATAGGATGTGTAGCAGTATCTCTGGCTTCTACCTACCACATGCCAGCAGCAATCCCCAATCATGACAATGAAAAAAATAGCCAAATGGCCCCTTGGAGAACAAAATCACTCCTGGTCGGGAACCACTGACACAGACTGCAAATATTTAGTGACCTTTCCCCCAAGTAGGAAATTATCGCCTCAAGACAATGCTCACATCTTACTTTATTTGTATCTCGTAATACTTGACATAGACCCGAACATTTCAGTGTGGCTGAATGGAAAAATTATGGTACTATTCTAATAAAAATATAGATGTTAGCAAGAAGGGCTAGAGTGGAAATAAAATAGATTTAAAGCAAAGAGCAAGAAATTGGGAAGTTTATTTTGGGACTTTCTCAGATTGAGTTTCTAGCATATTTAGAATTCAAAAGCAGACAATTAAACCAATGAAAAAATAGAGTATAAGAATTACTACACATCTATGGTATTATTCCAATTAATTGGGTAAAGAATGGTCTTTTCAGGAAATGGTGCTGAATCAATTGAGTATCACTATTCTAAAAATAGAGATAAATAAGAAATAAGGCTTAGGCAGATGGACTGCTTTGGGCCAGGAGTTCAAGGCCAGCCTGCGTAACATAATGAGAGCCCCTCTCTACAAAAAAAACTTTTTTTAAGTAGCTGGGCATGGTGGCACATGCTTATAGTACTAGTTGCTCAGGAGTCTGAGGCAGGAAGATCACCTGAGCCCAGGACTTGGAGGCTGCAGTGAGCTATAATGGCACCACTGCACTCCAGCCTGGGCAACAGAGTGAGACTCTGTCTCTACAAAAAAGGAAATGAAACAAAAAAGAAATAACCCTGACCCCATCTCATACCACACATATACAAAGCTGTTTTTTTTTTTTTAATGAATCTTAAACCTAAAGGTAAAAACAACAACCCACTAAAAGAAAATGAATTTTTTTTTTTTTTAGAGGAAGTCTCACTCTGTTGTCAGGCTAGAGTGCAGTGGCAATCTTGGCTCACTGCAACCTCCCACTCCTGGATTCAAGCAATTCTCCTGCCTCAGCCTCCCAAGTAGCTGGGCTTACAGGTGCATTCCACCACACCCGGCTAATTTTTGTATTTTTAGTAGAGACGGGGTTTCACCGTGTTGGCCAAGATGGTCTCGAACTCCTGACCTCAGGTGATAAGACCGCCTCCGCCTCCCAAAGTGCTGGGATTACGGGCATGAGCCACCGCATCCGGCCTTTTTTTTTTTTTTTTTTTTTTGAGACAGTCTCACTCTGTCACCCAGGCTGGAGTGCAGTGGCGCGATCTCAGCTCACTGCAACCTGTGCCTCCCGGGTTCAAGCAATTCCCACGCCTCAGCTACCCAAGCAGCTGGGATTACAGGCACACACCATCATGCCCAGCTAATTTTTGTATTTTCAGTAGCGAACTGTTTCACCATGTTGGCCAGGCTAGTCTTGAACTCCTGACCTCAAGGGGCCCGCCTGCCTTGGCCTCTCAAAGTGCTGGGATTACAGTCATGAGCCACCACACCCAGCCTAGAAGAATATTTGCATGTCCTTAGAGTAAACAAAGATACAAAAATAATAATAGAGTAAAAGATAAAAAATCGGAACCAGATTTTTTTCATCAAAAGAAAATTTTAAGAAAGTGAAAAAGTAGGCCGGGCACGGTGGCTCACGCCTGTAATCTCAGCACTTTGGGAGGCCAAGGCAGGTGGATCACAAGATCAGGAGTTCAAGACCAGCCTGGCCAATATGGTGAAACCCCGTCTCTACTAAAAATACAAAAAAAATTGGCCAGGCATGGTGGCGGGTGCCTGTAGTCCTAGCTACTCAGAAGGCTGAGGCAGGAGAATCACTTGAACCTGGGAGGCAGAGGTTGCAATGAGCCGAGATCGCACCACTGCACTCCAGCCTGGGCAACAGAGCGAGACTTCATCTCAAAAAAAAAAAAAAAAAAAAAAAAAGAAAGAAAGTGAAAAAGTAACAATAGCTATAAAGTAGACTATTGGGACAATGGATGAAATTTGAATATGAACAATAGTTTCCACAATACTACTGCATCAAATTTAAATGTCCTGGGCTTGATGACAGTGCTATGGCTATATATTTATTTGTAGGAAATTATACTAAATAATTTATGAAAACAGGCAAGGCACAATGAATGGCTCATGTCTGTAATCCTAGCACTTTGGGAGGCCGAGGCGGCTGGATCACTTGAGGCCAGGAGTTTGAGAAGAGCCTGGCCAACATGCCAAAACCCCGTCTCTACTAAAAATACAAAAAATTACCTTGGCATGGTGGTGCATGCCTGTAGTCCCAGCTACTCAGGAGGCTGAGGCAGAAGAATTGCTTGAACTCGGGAGGCAGAGGTTGCAGTGGGCGAAATCACGCCACTGCACTCCAGCCTGGGCAACAGAGCAAGACTCCATCTCAAAAATAATAATAATAATTTATGGAAATTATGGTTCAGAAAATATATGCATAGATACAGAGACTGAAAGAATGACAAAGCAAATAAGGCAAAATCCGTAATTGGTGAATCTCCACAATGAGTAACAGGAATACCTTATATACATTATAAAATTTTCTGGAAGTTTGAAATTTATTGCAAAATAAAAAGCATTTTTTGAAATAGGGTCTTGCTGTGTCCTGTGTCGCCCAGGCTGGAGGGCAGTAACGTGATCATAGCTCACCACAGCCTTGATCTCCTAGACTCAAGTGATCCTCTCCCCTCAACCTCCTGAGTTGCTGGAACCACAGGCACATGCCACATTTTTGGTCAAGACAGGGTCTATGTTGCCCAGGGTGGTCTCAAACTTCTAATCTCAAAGGATCCTCCCACCTCCTCCCAAAGTGCCAGGATTACAGGCATGAGCCACTGTGCCCAGCCTAAAAAGCATTTTTTTTTTTTTTTTTGAGACAGAGTCTCGCTCTGTCACCAGGCTGGAGTGCAGTGGCGCAATCTCGGCTCACTGCAACCTCCACCTCCCAGGTTCAAGTGATTCTCCTGCCTCAGCCTCCAAAATAGCTGGGACTACAGGTGCCCACCACCATGCCTGCCTACTTTTTGTATTTTTAATAGAGACGGGGTTTCACCATGTTGGCCAGGATGGTCTTGATCTCTTGACGTCGTGATCTACCCACCTCAGCCTCCCCAAGTGCTGGGATTACAGGCATGAGCCACCGCACCCAGCCCCCTAAAAAGCATTTTTAAAACCTCACAGAAGATATCAACACATCCGCAACAGAATGGCCAAAATCAAAAAGACTGACAATACCAAGTGCTGCTGAGGATGCAGGACAAACAGAACTTCCACATAATTCTGGTGAGAGTACAAAGTTGGCAAAAACACTTTTGAAAACTATTTGGCAGTACCTACTGAAGGTAAACATGTACTTATCCTATGACACAATAAATCTACGCCTAGGTCAACACCCAAGACAAATGAGTGTTTACGTACACCAAAAATTACCATTTTTTGTTTACATCCATGAAAAATTACCATATATAAGAATTTTCAGAGCAACTTTATTAATAATACTCAAAAACTGGGAACAAAAATGTCTATCAGTCATATAATGGATTTTTCAAAATTTATTGTATTCATATGATAGATACAACACAGCAAAATTAATGTTACACACAATAGCATAAAAACAAATCTTACAGTCATAATGTTAAGAGACAAGCCAGAACATAAGAGCATACCTTTTAAATCTATGACCATATTTCTTAGACATTCAAGAATAGAAAAAAAGAATCTATGGTGATAGAAGTCAGAATAGCAGAATAATGGTTACTTGGAGGTGGAAAGAGGGTAGTACTGCCAAGGAAGTGGCACAAGGGATTCTTTTGAGGTACTGGAAATATTCTAGATCTTAATCCAGGATGATGGTTAGAAGGTTATATATATATATATTTTCAGTCTGTACACTTCAGATTTGTGCATTTTACTGTATGTATATTCAATAACATTTATCAGAAAAAAATTGCATTCCACAGACTTATAAATCAGCTTAGGTCCAAATAATATATTGTTTTAGAGTAGAAAATCATCAAAAAGATCTCAAGTAAGAAAGAGTCCAACTTACAATGATAAATTTCAAACTCACAGTAATGTCTACTGCCTATGTCAAATCAACAAGAGTCACGCCACTATTCGCACACAGGGAAAAATTAAGTTTCAGATGCAAGAGTTCTCTGGAGTGATACTTTAAGAAACATACTACAGGAAAAGATATTTTAATCCACCAATATGGTTAAATTCCAGAAATTACTTCAGTATTACTCTTCATTTCTGCTTTTATTCATCCATAACAACCAATGTCCTCCCACTGTATCTACAGTCTAAGGATCCACCTATTCTCTTTCCAGGAAGAAGAGAATGCACCAAACAAAATAAGGTCCTATTCTCAACAAAGGCAATTTTTTTCACTGGACTTCATCCATATTCAACCTCTCTCTGCTTGCCAGTGTACCCAAATCACTAACTTTATATTACTCCCAAATGAAACCCATAAAAACTGTTTCCTGGCTAACAATCTTAACATGGCAAGGTCTATTGGCACCCAACCTCTAATAAATAGTAGACTAATTGGCATTTACCTCAAGAATGCCCTTGCATATTTGCTCTAAAGCTTTTAGTGTATAAAAACTACACAAAAAGCTTTAGGGCAAAAATTTCCTTTCAAGGAGCAGCCGCACTTTTCTTAGCTCAATGTGGTAGCGACACCTAGTGTTAGGTCATTGAAGTACCGCATATACACAGCTCCAAGAAAACACTACAAATACTAACTTTTGAAAAGAAAATACAGTCATCTCTCTGTATTCACATGGGGTTGGTTCCAGAATCCCTGTGGACACCAAAACCTCCAATGCTTAAGTCCCTTTTATAAAATGGCATGGTATCTGCACATAACCTATGCATATAAAACCTATGCACATCCTCCTATATACTTTAAATCATCTCTAAATTACTTACAATACCTAATACAATGTGCTATGTAAATAGCTATACTGTCATTTTTATTTGTGTTATTTTTTATTGTTGAATTATTTTTTACTTTTTTCCCAAATATTTTCTATCCATATTGACTGAATGCACGTATTCAGAATCCATGGATATCCAGGGCCAACTGTATACTGTTTCACACAATACAACTGCCATATTTTAGGTGATGTAATAAATATATTCTCCATTTTTTAAGAAAAAAATAAGCATTTCAAAAGAAGATAAGACGCTGGGCGCAGTGGCTCATGCCTGTAATCCCAGCACTGTGGGAGGCCAAGGCAGGAGGATCACTTGAGCTCAAGAGTTCAAGATCAGACTGGGCAAGATGGCAAAACCCCATCTCTACAAAAAAATATATATATACAAAAATCAGTTGGGCATGGTGGTGCACACCTGTGGTCCCAGCTACTCGGGAGGCTGAGGTGAGGGAATCGCTTGAGCCCAGGAAGCGAAGCCGTGATTGCACCACTGCACTCCAGCCTGGGTGACAGAGCAAGACTATGTCTCAAAAAGAAAAGAAAAGAAAAGAAAACTAAGTTGCCATTTAAACAGATAGCAAAAAGTATGCGAAAATATCAGAAGACTTTTACCACTGAAACTTTAAGTGAGAACCCTTTATTACTTATAAGACAATATGCTATACAATTTTTGCTTTACATGATTTTTAACATAGTGTAAGTCTAATAATCAAATTCTATTTCTGCTAAAATGATGCCATCTTTCATACTAAGCAGCACTGGTCCCCAGGTCAAGACTCTGGAAACATCTTTAACTTTCTTCTCTTCTAAACGTCTAACCACTTACCATGGTTTTTGGTAATCCTCTCACAACAACAAACTTAGTTCAGGCTCTCAACATCTAACATTTAGACAGTGTTGAAATTCACTCCTAACTAGCCTTATAACCTTTTCTTTTCTCCTGCTATTCATCCCACTGCAACCACAAAATCAATATTACAGACAGCTTTTGGAATGTATGTTACCAAAAGATTCTCAACGAGTCCAAATTATTATGGCTGAAAGAATAAGTTCAACTCCTCATCCTGCAATTCAAATCTCCTCCTTGAAAATTCTGTATCTTATTCTCATGACTACAAAGAATGTATAATGCTAAAATGAATGTTAATAATCACAGAAATGTTATTTGTGTGAAATAAAATAATACATGATTGCATGTCTAAACATACTCATCAAAAACTCCTTCTCCAACTGGATGTCTTGATGATAGTGTTTTTCAAACTGTTTGTCATAAAAGACGAATTATTTTTTGATTTTTCTAAAAGTTGGCACAAATGATACTTCTGTAAACTATATACATATGTTTGGATAGTGTGCACTGGCGAATACTATAGGTTTTGAAAGGCTTACTCTCATTTTCTGCACTTTACCTTTTTGCTGCCAATAACAAACGATTCGCTATCACCAGTTTATGGACCAGCAACAGTCTATGGTTCACACATTTAAAACCAAACTCACTACCTTTCCACCCAAATCTGCTCTTCACATACCTTTCTTATTTTTAAAAGTGATATTACCTCTATTCAAAAATCCTCCAATGGCTTCTACAACTAAGTTTTTTTGTTTGTTTGTTTTTGTTTTTTTTGAGACAGAGCCTCGCTCTGTCGCCCAGGCTGGAGTGCAATGGCGCGATCTTGGCTCACTGCAAACTCCGCTTCCTGGGATCACGCCATTCTCCTGCTTCAGCCTCCCAAGTAGCTGGGACTACAGGCACCTGTCACCATGCCTGGCTAATTTTTTTGTATTTTTAGTAGAGACTGCGTTTCACCATGTTAGCCAGGATGGTCTCGATCTCCTGGCCTCGTGATCTGCCCACCTCGGCCTCCCAAAGTGCTGAGATTACAGGCGTGAGCCACAGCACCCAGCCTACAACTAAATTTTTTAATGGGCAAAAAAATTATACAAATAATTGCTAAAATATATATAAATGGCCAAGAAACATGAAAAAGTACTCCACATTATTAGTCATCAGGGAAATGGTAATGCTAAATGAATCCTCAAGGTATCACCTACCAAAATAGCTAAAATTTAAAAGATCACAAAAATTCGCCAGGCATGGTGGCATGTGCCAGTAATCCCAACTACTCAGGAGGCTGAGGCATGAGAATCAACTGAACCCATGAGGTAGAGGCTGCAGTGAGCAAAGATAGCATCACTGCCCTCCAGCCTGGGCAACAGAGCAAGACTCTGTCTAAAAAAATTTAAAAACTAACCAAATATTGAACTCTAGTTAATTATATGCATGCAAAAGTAGTTAGGGGAAAGCATGTTGATGTTTGCATTTCCTCTGAAATGCAATGAATAAGATGGATGTGAGACAAAGTACAGTAGGCAGCTGTATGAACCCCTTCTGGTTCTGAGGGTTGCCTGAAAAAAAAACTGGAAAAAAAAAAGTATAGTAAAATTTTAAGGGTATATTCTAGTTGAGGGGTCCCCCAATCCCTGGGCCAGGTACTGGTTACAAACCAGGCCTCACAGCAGGAGGTGAGAAGCAGGCAAGCAAAAGCGAAGCTTCAACTGTATTTACAGCTGCTCTCCATCGCGCACATTACTGCCTAAGCTCTGCCTCTTGTCAGGTCAGCAGCAGCATTAGATTATCATAGGCGCGCGAACCCTAACGTGAACCGCGCATGTGAAGTGTCTAGATTGTGTGCTCCTTATGAGAATCTAATGTCTGATGATCTGTCACTGTTTCCCATCACCCACACATGGGACCATCTAGCTGTGGGAAAGCAAGCTCAGGGCTCCCACTGATTCTACATTATGGTGAGTTGTATAATTATTTCATTATATATTACAATGCAATTATAATAGAAGTAAAGTGAACAATAAATTTACTGTGCTTGAATCATACTGAAACTATCCCCACCCTGTGGAAAAACTGTCTTCCACAAAACCGGTCCCTGGTGCCAAAAAGGTTGGGGACTGCTGCTCTAGATGGCGGGTATAAGTAATTTCACCGTAAAAGTCCAACTTTGCTGTATATTTGAAATTTTAGATGTCCTTACAAGGGCGAAAACAAAGCCCTAGCCAACTGCTAACTCTTGGACATAATCTCTTATTCTTTGCTTTGCTCTCCTAACTCCAGCTAAACTGCCTCCTTGCTGTTCTTAAATATAAGAAACATATTCTGCCGGGCATGGTGGCTCACGCCTGTAATCCCAGCACTTTGGGAGGCCCGGGAAGGCAGATCACTTGAGGTCAGGGGTTCAAGACCAGCCTGGACAACATGGCGAAACCCCGTCTCTACTAAAAATACAAAAAGTACCCAGGCGTGGTGGCGCATCCCTGTAGTCCCAGCTACTAGGGAGGCTGAGGCAGGAGAATCGCTTGAACCTGGGAGGTGGAGGTTGCAGTGAGCCAAAACCACGCCACTGCACTCCAGCCTGGGTGACACAGAGAGACTCTGTCTCACAAAAAAAAAAAAAAGAAGAAGAAGAAGAAGAAAAGAAAAAGAAAGAAACATATTCTGCACCTCAGAATGTTTGTACTGGCTTGGAGTGTTCCTCCCTCAAATACCCATATGGATAACTTCACACCACTATGTCACTGGGTCTTTGAGAGGCTTTCCCAGACCATCGTATATAAAAGAGCAACCCACAGCAACAACAACCACCCTATCTATCACCATCTAACATGATACATATTTATTATCTATCTTCCCCACCTACCAGAATGGAAATTCCACAAAGAGAATGACTTTGTTTTGTTCAGTGTTGTCCCAGCACCTTCAACACAGTCTGGCATGTAATAGACAATTAATAAATCTTTGCTGAGTGAAAGAATTAATAAATATATGGGGTAAGTATAACTGACATGGCTGGAAAAGAATGTAATTTGGAAAATCTATTAGGAGCCTTACTTTTATTGATCTCTCCAAATTATATGACCATAAAGATATTTATCTCAATATTATTATTATTTTTTTTTTTTTGAGAGGGTCTTGCTCTGTCACCCAGGCTGGCGTGCAGTGGTGCACAGGTCACTGCAGCCTTGACCTCCTAGGTTCAACTGATCCCCCTGTTTCAGCCCTAATTTTTGTGGTTTTGGTGAGATGGGGTCTCACCCAAGCTGCTCTTAAACTCCTGGCCTCAAGCGATACACCACCCTCAGCCTCCCAAAGTGTTGGGAGTATAGGCGTGAGCCACCATGCCCAGCTACAATGCTCTTTAAAGAGAAAAAATTTAAGAAATCTAAATCAATTTCTAACTATGGAGAAAAGAATGCTTTCATCTCAGAGCCTCTGTTTAGTGTTTATTGTTCCAGTCTTACCCTAAGTATTTTTTAGCTTATATGTCACTTCCTTGTCCTAACATGTCATGCTTTTTTTCATATTACAACTTAAGTTGTATATCCATTTATTTTTATTTAAATCTCTCTCTCCTACTAGCTCCATGACAGCAAAGACCACATCTATTGTGCTTACCCCTGTATATCCCAGACATGTGCTGAATAAATGAACACCGTTTAAATCTTCATAGTTCGTGGCTGTGCGCGGTGGCTCACGCCTGTAATCCCAGCACTTTGGGAGGCCGAGGCGGGCACAGCACAAGGTCAGGAGCTCGAGACCAGCTTGACCAACATGGTGAAACCCCGTCTCTACTAAAAATATAAAAATTAGCTGGGTGTGGTGGCGCATGCCCGTAATTCAAGCTACTCAGGAGGCTGAGGCAGGAGAACTGCTTGAAACTGGGAGGCAGAGGCTGCAGTGAGCCGAGATCACACCACTGCACTCCAGCCTGGGTGACAGAGCAAGACTCCATCTCAAAAAAATAAAATAAAATAAAAAATAACTTCATAGTTCATGGCACCAATCAATCTTAACACTGGGAGAAAAAAAACTTCAAGAAGTATGATATTTTGAGGTGGGGTGTGGTGGCTCACACCTGTAATCCCAGCACTTTGGGAGGCTGAGGCAGGCAGATCACTTGAGGTTAGGAGTTCAAGACTGGCCAATATGGTGAAACCCCATCTCTACTAAAAATACAAAAATTAACCGGACATGGGGCGTGC
The DNA here is from genome assembly GCF_000001405.40 of Homo sapiens. Taxonomy (NCBI): domain Eukaryota; kingdom Metazoa; phylum Chordata; class Mammalia; order Primates; family Hominidae; genus Homo; species Homo sapiens. Next base: position 60,715,633 of record NC_000017.11, on the reverse strand, counting down.
ACCTGTAATCCCAGCTACTCATGAGGCTGAGGCAGGAGAATTGCTTGAACCCAGGAGGCGGAGGTTGCAGTGAGCTGAGATTGCGCTACTGCACTCTAGCCTGAGTGTCACAGAGAGACTCCATCTCAAAATAAAAAATAAATAAGAAGTATGATATTTTGAAATAATTGAAATAAATACTAAAATGACAATAACTAGTAGATTTGAAAGAGTGATGAAAGAAAGAGTATACACGTTGGGAGGTCTAGGCAGGCAGATCACTTGAAGTCAGGAGTTTGAAACCAGCCTGGCCAACATGGTGAAACCCCGTCTCTACTAAAAATTACAAAACAATTAGCCGAGTGTGGTGGCGCACACCTGTAATCCCAGTTACTTGGGAGGCTGAGGCAGGAGAACTACTTGAACCCCAGAGGTGGAGGCTGCAGTGAGCCAGGATCATGCCACTGCACTCCAGTCTGAGCCACAGAGCAAGACTCTGTCTCAAAAAAAAAAAAAAAAAAAGAAAGAGAAAGAGTACAGAACTTCATTTGTTTCATATTTGAATCTCACGAAACTATTTGGTTTTTAAAATATATACAAAGATAATTTTGATTTTTTTAATTAAGAATTTTAAGCAAGAAAGCCTATATTTACCTCACCAAAAAAGAGTCAATAACATTGTTAGGGATGGTTGAGAAAAGGGGTTGTTTATCTGGAACGCCCACATAACAATCATTCTATGTTACATCTGGTGTGTTGAAAGAAGGGCTCTGACAGCTCAGGAAAGCTAGGAAAGCTGGTGTCATGTACAAAGCAGTAGAGATTGGGCAGTAAACTACTGCACAGTTCTGCTTTTGAGCTGACTCTAATTAATAATATTCCTAGACATCATCTAAGTTCCATTCACATCTACACACTTCAATAGACAATTTTTTAAAATGTTTAACCAGGATATGCTTATTTTCTTAACCTGAGACTCCCAGGTGGGACAGTTTTGTCTTTATGAGACAGTCTCACTCTGTCACCCAGGCAAGAGTACCGTGGTGCAATCTCAGCTCACTGCAACCTCCGCCTCCTGGGTTCAAGCAATTCTCCTGCCTCAGCCTCCAAAGTAGCTGGGATTACAGGTGGCCACCACCATTTTTGTATTTTTAGTAGAGACGGAGTTTCACCATGTTGGCTAGGATGGTCTCAAACTCTTGACCTCAAGTAACTTGCTTGCCTTGGCCTCCAAAGTGCTGGGATTACAGACATGAGCCACCGCGGGACAGTTATATTAAACTCAACAAGAGGGAGTCCTGAGCATATACTAGAAGCAAAAACTAAGCTAAGGTTTGGACAGGGGTTGATTTTCTGCCCACCTACACTTACTCAAAAGCAAATATATGGCCAGGCATGATGGCTTACATCTGTAATCCCAGTGGTTTGGGAGGCCACGGCAGGAGGACTGCCTGAGGCCAGGAGTTCAAGACCAATCTGGGCGACATAGTGAGATTTCATCTCTATTTTTAAAAAGCAGGCCAGGCACGGTAGCTCACGCCTGTAATCCCAGCACTTTGGGAGGCCAAGGCAGGTAGATCACTTGAGGTCAGGAGTTCGAAACCAGCCTGGCCAACATGGTGAAACCCCATCTCTACTAAAAAAAATACAAAAATTAGCCTGGCATGGTGGCTCACACCTGTAGTTCCAGCTACTCAGGAGGCTGAGACATGAAAATCACTTGAACCCAGGAGGCAGAGGTTGCAGTGAGCCGAGATCACCCCTCTGCACTCCAGCCTGGGCAACAGCGTGAGACTCAGTCTCAAAAACAAACAACAAACAAAAAAAGCAAATGCAAATGCAATTGTCCATCAGCATCTGTGCTGACTGGTTCCACAAACCACCCATGAATACCAAAGTCCATCATGCTCAAGTCCTTTACATAAAATGGCATAGTATTTGCATATAACCTTTACACATTCTCTCATATACTTTAAGTCATCTCTTAATTACCTATAATACCTAGTACAATGTAAATGCTATGTAAATAATTGTTATACTGCATTGTTTAGGAAATAATGACAAGAAAGAAAACTCTATACGTGTTCAGTACAGACACAACCATCCTTTTTTTAATTCCAAATATTTTCAATCCACAGTTGGTTGAATCTGCAGATGCGCAACACACGTATATAGAGGGCCAATCGTATTAATTACAGACTATAAAGATCCATGAGAGTCATTTTTTTCTAGGTTGGCCAACATAGGCTCCCCACTGTCTAGCATATATGCTCATGTAATGAATAATGGTTATAAGTTTCAGAAGGGTTCTGACAGAGTAATGGCTAACAAAGTAAAATGTAAAAGATAACTATGAGTATTTGAAGGTACATACTAATCTTTTACAAATGAAAACACTGGGGCTCAGAAAACGATATTCCAAATTCTGGCATTTTGGCATGCTGAGCATTTTGAGCTAAAGGAAATTAAAAGGCCTCAGAAGTCCTCAGAACCAAGGACTTTCTGGTGTTCTCCTGCTTCTCCCTCACAAGCACAAGGAGGGACTCTCTCAAGTTCCCTTTCCTGAAGCTCTTCTAGAAGGAACACAATTGCCTCCCTCTCCCCTTTCTGAAATTTCTTCAACCAGAGAAGATTAATCTCAAATTACAGGATGGAAAACCGAGAAATGACACCACACCTAGACAGACTTTGTCACAGGCTATCATCTCTGCTCAGGTCCCACTTCCCAAGTGAATCACTTAGAAACAATTTTCTGCTCTTTGGGCCCATTCAACTTTCCTGAGAATGATTTACTAACTCTCAAAACTGACGACATTCCTCCATCTCCTTCTCCCCTATGAAGAGAGCACTATGTAAGCTTCAGCCATTTGGCCCTTCTTTGAGTCTCATATTTTATGTGGCTCTCATGCATGTGTATGCTTTTTCTCCCATTAGTCTATTGTCAATTTATTTCAGAGGGAGAGGGGATAATTCCCTTCACCTCTACAAAAACTAAACCTTAACTACAAAACTACTCACATGTCATATCTTTAGCAATCACATTTGAAAAGTGATGAAGTATAGCTCTTAGATCATGGGCTTTGAATTTGAATTCAGACAGAACTAGGTTTAAATTCTAGTTCCACCTCTTAAAAGCAGTGTGACCTTACCACCTGTAAAACAAGGTAACTTCTACATTAGATGAGATAATATGTATATAAACCTCTTTGACCATAATGAGAGCTCAATGAAATATAAGAAGCTTATTTTCCCAGATTGTCTTTTTTTTTTTTCCTTCCCAAGACAAGATCTCACTCTGTCACCCAGGCTGGAGTGCAGTGGCATAATCATGGCTCACTGCAGCCTCAACTTCCCAGGCTCAGGCAATCCCCCTGCCTCATCCTCCCGAGTAGCTGGAACCACAGGCGCATGCCACTACGCCTGGTTAATTTTTAAAAATTTTTTGTAGAGACAAGGTCTCACTATGTGTTTTTGTTTTTGTTTTTGTTTTGAGACAGAGTCTCACTCTGTCACCCAGGCTGGAGTGCAGTGGCGCAATCTTGGCTCACTGTAACCACCGCCTCCCGGGTTCAAGCGATTCTCCTGCCTCAGCCTCCAGAGTAGCTGGGACTACAGACATGTGCCATCATGCCCGGCTAATTTTTTTTTTATTTTTAGTAGAGATGGGGTTTCACCATGTTGGTCAGGCTGGTCTCGAATTCCTGACCTCAAATGATCTGCCTGCCTTGGCCTCCCAAAGTACTGGGATTACAGGCATGAGCCACCGCACCCGGCTGGTCTCACTGTGCTGCCCAGGTTAGTCTCAAACTGCTGACCTCAAGTGATCCTCCTGCCTCAGCCTCCCAAAGTGCTGGGATTACAAGCGTCAGCCTCTACACCAGGCCCTAATTCATGAAATAGTGGTACTACAACAATATACACTTGGCCAAAGAAAATTCTATCAAAAAAAAAATTATTCAAGTCTCTCAAAATATAATCTAGGCATAAGGAGAAATAAAGACCTTAATTACTCAAAGATAAACAGAAATTAACTTTAAACTATTAAAATTAATATCCCCAATTATAACCAAAACAAGTGGGCAGTTAAAACAACCTGAATACCACCAAAGGAATGTGTTCAATCCAGTCAACACCCCTAATCACACAGGCTCAACCCTCTTGTTAAAGGTATAACTTCCTCTGTCTTCAGTACTGTCAACAAACAGCATAATGAAGCAAAATGTAGTCTCTATTAATAAGAAAAAGTTACATTTACAAAACCCTTTTGTTTTATCACAACCTAGAAATATTTCTCTCCGTAAGAAAAAAAAACACTGCCAAATTTTAAGTACTTTCTCCACGCCTTTGGAACAATACCAAAATTACAAAGAACATTGAGGGACCTTGAAAAATGTCAACTACACTTCCCAAAAGTCAAAAGAAAAAGAATACTTCTAATTTCATGACATACCAGCACGATTCTTCTATCTCCGCAAAGTAAAGCCAAGTTAAAAAAAAAAAAAAAATCCCACATCTTAGATACTTAATAATATGATAATTATAAGAATAGAATTGGCCAGGCACAGTGGCTCATGCCTGTAATGCCCACACTTTAGGAGGCCAAGTAGGAGGATCACTGGAGCCCAGGAGTTCGAGACCAGCCTGGGCAACACAGTAGGACCCTGTCTCCATTAAAGTGTTAAAAATTAACTGGGTGTGGTGGCACGTGCCTGTAGTCCCAGCTACTCCAGAGGCTGATGTGGGAGGATCGCTTGAGTCCAGGAGGTGGAGGATAGAGTGAATTACAATCATGCCACTGCCCTCGAGCCTGGGTGACAAAGTGAGACCCTGTCTCAAAAAAAAAAAAAAAGAACAGAATGGAACACCAAACTTCATCAGAAGTGACTTATCAAAAAATAAACATTTTTTTAACTTAAAAAATGTTGGCCAGGCATGGTGGCTCACACCTGTAATCCCAGCACTTTGGGAGGCCAAGGCGGGCGGATCACGAGGTCAGCAGATCAAGATCATCCTGGCTAACGTGGTGAAACCCCATCTGTACTAAAAATACAAAAAATTAGCCAGGCGTGGTGGCGGGCGCCTATAGTCCCAGCTACTTGAGAGGCTGAGGCAGGAGAATGGCGTTAACCCGGGAGGCAGAGCTTGCAGTGAGCCGAGATTGCGCCACTGCACTCCAGCCTGGGCAACAGAGTGAAACTCTGTCTCAAAAAAAAAAAAAAAAAATGTTAAAGAATTGAAAGGTGAATGTGCTTGTTCCTTAGTAATTCTTAGACTACTGAGGTCAAATTCTGTACTTGAGAATATCCTGACTTCCATTAAATCTGAGGTAATACATGTTTGCTTATACATCATTCAAGGAGCAACAATATCACCCAAAAGAAAAAGAGAAAAAAATTCTGGCTGAAACACACATACACACATACTCATGGGGCTTCAAACAAGTTTCCTGAATACAATTATTAAAGGTATAAATTCAACTTCTACTGGCCCAGAGCCTCCGACTGCAAAAGAATCACACAACAGAAGTCCTGTCATCTCAGCTGGGTGCAGTGGCTCATGCCTGTAATCCCAGCATTTTGGGAGGCCAAGGTGGGAGGACTGCTTTAGTCCAGGACTTCAAGACCATCCTGAGCAATACAGCCAGACCCCATCTCAATTAAAAATAATAAGCCCACTCATCTACTGGAAGATAATTATTTAGATTATGCCAAATAATGAAATATAAGTGAAATAAGCCAAAATATGCAGTATTTACTACATCTCAACAAATGCACTGCTCCCATGCCTCTTCTTCATTTAGGACATTTTATGTTTGGTCACCCAAAAAAGGCACATGTAGGAGTCCAAATGCAAAATAAGACCAATATTATGCAATGTAAAACATATATCAAAATTACAAATGCACTTAGCCTTTGACTCAGTAACTCCATTGAAAGGAATTTATCCTATAAAGATACACAGACATATGCTGGGTGCAGTGGCTCACGCCTGTAATCCCAACACTTTGGGAGGCTGAGGCAGATGGATCACCTGAGGTCAGGAGTTTGAGACCAGCCTGGCCAACATGGCAAAACCCATCTCTACTAAAAGTACAAAAATTACCTGGGTGTGGTGACACATGCCTGTAATCTCAGCTACTCGGGAGGTTGAGGCAGGAGAATCGCTTGAAGCTGGGAGGCAGAGGTTGCAGTGAGCCGAGATCGCACCACTGCATTCCAGCCTGGGCGAAGAGTGAGACTCTGTCTCAAAAAAAAAAAGTATCTACAGATTTCACATAAGCTAACATGCTGGGAAGTATGTTTTAGGTATTCAACCACATGTGTACTTACAGGGATGCTCCAGACCTGCATTCCATCACTGTAGCCAATCATAATCAACAAAGGCGGTTCATTCCCAGTACTATGTATTTCATGAAATTCCAGATTTCTTGATGTATCTGCATTAGAATTAAGTAACAAAGAAGCAAATTTAAAAGACATAATGGCAATCAAGAAAACAACTGTATTTCTTTAATGCCTGATTCAATCTTTACACCTGTCTAGCAACCATCCTCTCTTCTCTTCATAGCCAGAATTCTCAAAGTTGTCCATCCTGGCTATCTATTTCCTTATATATCTGTCATTCCTTGGCCCATTTCAACATAGCTTCTAGCCACACCATTTAAATAATATCAAACATTTAAGGAAAAAAAAACAGGGCTGGGCATGGTGGCTTACACCTATAATCCCAGTATTTTGAGAGGACGAAGTAGAAGGATCACCTGAGGCCAGGAGTTCAAGACCAGCCTAGGCAACACAGCAAGATCCTGTCTCTATTTCAAATAAATAGGCTGGGCCCGGTGGCTCACATCTGTGATCCCAGCACTTTGGGAGGCTGGGGCAGGCAGATCATGAGGTCAGGAGTTCAAGACCAACCTGGCCAATGTGGTGAAACCCCATCTCCACTAAAAACTACAAAAATTAGTCGGGTGTGGTGCCGCACCTGTAATCCCAGCTAATGGGGAGGCTGAGGCACAAGAATCTCTTGAACCCAGGAGGCAGAGGTTGCAGTGAGCCAAGATTGCACCACTGCACTCTAGCCTGGGTGACACAGCAAGACTCCGTCTCGAAAATAGTAATTATTATTATTATTAGCTGGGCTTGGTGGCACACACTTACAGTACTAGATACTCTGGAGACTGAAGTGGAAGGAGCCTTTAAGCAAAATAATTCAAGGCTGTGGTGAGCTATGATGGCACCACTGTACTCCAGCTTGGGTGACAGAGTAAGGCCCTGGCTCTAAAAATAATAATAACATCAATTCTCCACAAACTTTTTTTTTTTTTTTTTTTGAGACAGAATCTCACTCCTTCATCCAGGCTGGAGTACAGTGGTGCCATCATAGCTCACTGCAGCCTCAACCTTCTATGCTCAGGTGATCCTCCCACCTCAGCCTCCCAAGCAGCTGGGACTACGGGCATATGCCATAATGCCCAGCTAATTTTTTGTAAATGTTTGTAGAGACAGGGTTTCGCCATGTTGCCAGGCTGGTCTCAAACTCCTGAGCTCAAGCAATCCACCTGCCTCGGCTTCCCAAAGTGCTGGGATTGCAGGTATAAGCCATCACTTCCGGCCTTACACACTTTTCTAAAAAACAGAAGAGAAGGGAATAAGCACCAAATCGTTCTGAGGCAACCAAAACCAGACTAAGAAATTACAAGAAAACTATAAATCAATCCACCTCATGAATGTATATATAAAAATACTTTACAAAGACTAGCAAATTGAATCCCACAATATAGAAAGGATAATCAATCACTAAAATATAGGGTTTATCCCACAAATGTAAGATGGTTTAACATCGGAAAAATCAATTATCATTTGCCAACATTAACAGAATAAAGGCAAAAAATCATATGATCATTTCAATATATGTTAAAAAAGCATTTGCTAAAATGCAATAGTTATTTTATTTTTAAAAACTCAGCAAATCAAGAATAAAGGATGTCTATGAAAATACTAAGCTAACACCATATTTATGGTAAAAGACTGAATGCTTCCTCCCTATGAGGCAGAACAAGACAAAGATGCCTAAACTTAAAACTTATATTCAACACTGTACTAGAGGCCCTAGACAGTGCAATTAGGAAAGAAAAATAAATGATGTAAAGATTGGAAGGGGAAAAGTACACTTGACCCTTGAACAATGTGGAGGGTAGGGGTGCTAAGTACCCCCCATCCCCCAATGCAGTCAAAATCCACGTATAGACTGAGTAATCCCGGCACTTTGGGAGGCCAAGGTGGGCATACCGCTTGAGCCCAGGAGTCTGAGACCAGCCTGGGCAACATGGCGAAACCCCATCTCTACAAAAAATACAAAAATTGGCCGGGCGTGGTGGCTCACACCTGTAATCCCAGCACTTTGGGAGGCGGAGACAGGCAGATCACCTGAGGTCGGGAATTCGAGACCAGCCTGACCAACATGGAGAAACCCGGTCTCTACTGAGAATACAAAATTAGCCGGGCATGGTGGTGCGTATGCCTGTAATCCCAGCTACACGGGAGGCTGCAGCAGGAGAATGGCTTGAACCCAGGAGGCAGAGGTTGAGGTAAGCCGAGATCAAGCCATTGCACTCCAGCCTGGGCAACAAGAGCAAAACTCTGTCTCAAAAAAATAATAATAATAATACAAAAATTAGCTGGGCTTGGTGAAAAGCACCTGCAGTCTCAGTTGCTGGGGAGACTGAAATGGGAAGATAGCTTGAGCCCGGGAGGTCAAGGATGCAGTATGGTGTGATCATACCACTGCACTCCACTCCAGCCTGGGTGACAGAGTGAGACCCTGTCTCCACCAAAAAAAAAAAAAAAAAAAAGTATAGTGTAAGTTTTTGGGGTTGTTTTGTTTTGTTTTGTTTTTTGAGACAGAGTCTTGCTCTGTTGTCCAGGCTGGAATACAGTGGCACAATCTCAGCTCACTGTAGTCTCCACCACGCCTGGCTAATTTTTGTATATTTAGTAGAGATGGGGTTTTGTCATGTTGTCCCAGCTGGTCTTGAGTGCCTGGCCTCAAGAGATCCATCCGCCTCGGCCTTCCAAATTGCTGGGAGGGAATAAAGGCATGAGCCACCATGTATAACTTTTGACTCACCCAAAAACTTAACTGCTAATAGCTTACTGCTGGCCAGAAGGCTTACTGTTAAAATAAAGTCAATTAACATATATTTTGTATATGTTTTATATACTGTATTCTTCGAATATACAGAAGAGAAAATATCCATTAATGGAAGTGGATCATCAAAAAAAGTCTGCATCCTGCTGGGTGCGGTAGCTCAGGCCTGTAATCCCAGCACTTTAGGAGGCTGAGGAGGGTAGATCACCTGAGTTCAGGAGTTCCAGACCAGCCTGGCCAGCATGGTGAAACCCCATCTCTACTAAAAATACAAAAAATTAGCCGGGCGTGGTGGTGGGTGCCTGTAATCCCAGCTACTCGGGAGGCTGAAGCAGAAGAATTGCTTGAACCCAAGAGGTGGAGGTTACAGTGAGCCGAGATCACACCACTGCACTCCAGCCTGGGCAACAACAGCGAAACTCCATCTCCATAAAAAAAAAGTCTTCATCCTTGTCTTCACAGTGAGTAGGCTGAGGAAGAGGAAGAACAGGAGGGGTCGGTCATCTCCCTCAGGGGTAACAGAGGCAGAGGAGATGGAGGAGGTGGAAGGGAGGGCAATAGAGGCAGGCACACTCAGTATAACTTTATGGAAATATACTGTACTTCCTCTCTGACATTTTTGCAAATTTCTCTAAAAATGTTTCTATACAGTACCAATCCTTCTTCCATCATTTGCTTTCATTTCAGTGCCAGTATTATAGAAAGATCTATGTCTAAAAGAAGCCAAAAGCAGTCTTAAATAATTGGAAGCTTTCTGGCAGACTGTCTAACATCAGTCTTCTGGCACTGTTTCCTCTACATCTTCTTCCTCATCATCTGGCACTGGTTTGGAAGCACTGAGCTCCATCAAGCTGTCTTCTCTTAACTTCTCTGGTGTGGTGTCTTAGTTCTTGAATTTCTCCAAAACAGATATCTTGAAATGCTTCACATCTCATCTTTTTTGCCATATCTACAACTTCTTTCATGATTTTCTTTTCTTTTTTTTTTTTTTTTTTGAGACAAGTCTCACTCTGTCACCCAAGCTGGAATACAGTGGCATGATCTCAGCTCACTGAAACTCCGCCTCCCAGGCTCAAGCGATTCTCATGCCTCAGCCTCCCAAGTAGCTGGGATTACAGGCGCCACCACATCTGGATAATTTTTGTATTTTTAGTAGAGACAGGGTTTCGCCATGTTGGCCAGGCTGGTCTCGAACTCCTGACCTAAGGTGATCTGCCGTCCTGGGTCTCCCAAAGTGCTGGGATTACAGGGATGAGCCACCATGCCCGGCCCTCTTTCATGACTTTCTTGATGGTATCTATCGTAAATCCTGTAAGTCATGCAAAACATTTGGACAGTTTTCCCCAGCAGGAATTTATTGTTTCAAGCTTGCTGACTTTCATGGTTATTTCTGTAACATTGATGGCACCTTCAATGGTGTGATCCTTCCACACTTTCCTGATGTTCTATCAGGGTTCTCTTTCACAGAGTTGACAATCCTTTCCATAGAGTATCATGTGTGGTGAGCCTTAAAAGGTCCATGTGGCCCTTTGATCTAGAGGCCCAACAACAAGATAGAGACACCGTGTCTGGGGGCAAGTAGACCACTTCCATACTTTTGGGGTTGAATTCATGACATTTCTGGTGGCCATGGGCACTGTGCAATATCAATAAAACTTTTTTTTTTTTTTGAGACTGAGTCTCACTCTGTCTCCCAGGCTGGAGTGCAGTGGCACAATCTCAGCTAACTGTAACCTCTGCCTCCCTGGTCCAAGCGATTCTCCTGCCTCAGCCTCCTGAGTAGCTGGGATTATAGGCACGCACCACCATGCCCGGCTAATTTTTGTACTAGTAGAGATGGGGTATCACCATGTTGGCCAGGCTGGTCTCGAACTCCTGACCTCAAGTGATCCACCCACCTCGGCCCCCCAAAGTGCTGGGATTACAGGCGTGAAGCACTGCACCCAGCCTCAAAAAAAACTTTAAAAGGCAGTCTCTTACTGGCCAGGTACTTCCTGACTTTGGGAACAAGCATCAATGGAGTCAATCCAGAAAAAGGGTTCCCACTGTCTAGGTCTTCTTGTTATACAATGAAAAGACTAGCAGCTGCTGTTTATCTTTTCCCTCCAAGGCTCAGGGGTTAGCAGCATTATAGATAAGGACAGTCCTGATTATAAACTTGACTGTATTTGCACAAAACAATAGAGTTAGTCTATCCCTTCCTGGCGTTAATTCCGGGTGTGCACTTCTCTTCCTTACTAATAAATGTCTTTTGTGGCATTTTTTTCCCAGAATAGGGCACTTCTCTCAGCATTAAAAAACTCGTTCAGGCAGATAACCTTTCTCCTCAATGATTTTCTTAATGGTATCTGGGAACTCCCCTGCTGCCTCTTGGTCGGCAGAAGTTGCTTCTTTTTATCTTGACATTTTTTAAACCAAACTTCTTTCTACAATTATCAAACCACCCTTTTCTGGCATTAAATTCTCCAGTTTTAGATTTTTCACCTTCCTTTTGCTTTAAGTTGTCATATAATGACTTCGCTTTTTCTCAAATCATATTAGAGTCTATAGTAAGTCTTTCTTTTTTTTTTCTTTTTTTCTTTTTTTTTTTTGAGACGGTGTCTGTCTTCGTTGCCCAGGCGGCTGGAGTGCAGCGGCATGATCTCGGCTCACTACAAGCTCCGCCTCTCGGGTTCACGCCATTCTCCTGCCTCAGCCTCCCGAGTAGCTGGGACTACAGGCGCCCACCACCGCGCCCGGCTAATTTTTTGTATTTTTAGTAGAAACGGGGTTTCACCATGTTAGCCAGGATGGTCTCGATCTCCTGACCTCGTGATCCACCCGCCTCGGCCTCCCAAAGTGCTGGGATTACAGGCGTGAGCCACCGCGCCCGGCTAGGTAAGTCTTTCTTACAGCATCCTGCACCCATGTAAAAGCTGCATTTATTTTAATTAATTTTTTTTTTTTGAGACAAGGTTTCACTCCCATTGCCCAGGCTGAAGTGCAATGTGCTATCTCAGCTCACTGCAACCTCTGCCTCCCAAGCTCAAGCGATCTCCTGCCTGGGAATACAAGCATACGCCACCACATTCAGCTAATTTTCATAAAGACGGGGTTTTGCCATGTTGCCCAGACTAGTCTTGAACTCCTGAGCTCAAGTGATCTGCCCGCCTCAGTCTCCCAAAGTGCTGGGATTACAAGGGTGAGCCACCGCGCCTGGCCTAAAAGCTGCATTTTCTTTTTTTCTGTTTTTTGAGACAGAGTCTCACTCTGTCGCTCAGGCTGGAGTGCAGTGGCACGATCTCAGCTCACTGCAACCTCCACCTCCCGGGTTCAAATGATTCTCCTGCCTCAGCCTCCCAAGTAGCTGGGATTAGAGGCACCTGCCACAACACCCAGCTAATTTTTGTATTTTTAGTATAGACGGTGTTTCACCATGTTGGCCAGGCTGGTCTCAAACTCCTGGCCTCAGGTGATCCACCCACCTTGGCCTCCCAAAGTGCTGGGATTACAGCCATGAGCCACCGCGCCCAGCCTGCATTTTCAATATGAGATAAAAAAGTATTAAGCAAAATGTGCAAGGTTTTGGTGCCTGCTGGTGTCACTGCAATGACAGCATCAAGAATTTCCTTTCCTTGGACTGAGCATGGTGGCTCACGCCTGTAATCTCAGCACTTTGGGAGATGAAGGTGGGCGGATCACTTGAGCTCAGGAGTTTGAGACCAGCCTGGGCAACATGGCAAAACCCCATCTCTACAAAAAAATACAAAAATTAGCCAGGCGCTGTGGCACACGCCTACAGTCCCAGTTACTTCGGAGGCTGAGGTGGGAAGATTGCTTGAGCCCCAGAGGTGGAGGCTGCACTGAGCTGAGACTGTACCACTGCACTCCAGCCTAGGTGACAGAGGAAGACGCTGTCTCAAAGAAAAAAAAAATTCCTTTTCTTTTTTAACAATAGTCCTTAGGCCAGATTCCTTTACCTTGAAATGGTGGGCAATCACAGCTGCAGACTTCAATCTACAGTACATATCAATCAATTCAACTTTTTATCATGATGTCATGACTTCTCTCTGATTCTTGGGAGAATCTCCAGCATCACTAGTGGGCACTTCATATGGGTCCCATCGTGGTATTCAAGGTTTATAGTTTTACAATTAACATGATGCAAAATAGGTGAGAATCTAAAGAGATCACTTTTTACTTTGACACAGCAATTTACTAGAAAGATAAACTGCTCACCAGAGATGATTTTAAGCGAATACTCGCAATTCTTGAGCTCCCTGCAACAGCGGCAGGAGGTCACTACAAAATTATTACAGTAGTACAGTATGTACTACAGGTAATTTTATGCAGTTAAAATTCAATTGCATTCAATTCAACTACATCTATACGTTTACATGATTACAGATGGCACCATGTACTGTCTGTTAAGTGTGTGTGTACATTTTGATAAATCTTAACTTTTTATAATAGATTTGTGTGTGTGTGTGTATCTATACATACATATATACATAGAGAGAGAGAGACATACTTTTCTTTCTTTTTTTATTTTTTTGACACAGAGTCTCACTCTGTCACCCAGGCTGGAGTGCACTGGCACAATCTTGGCTCACTGCAACCTCCACCTCCTGGGCTCTAGCGCATCTCCTGCCTCAGTCTCCCAAGAAGCTGGGATTACAGGCGTGTGCCACCACGCCTGGCTTTTTCTTTTTTTTTTTTTTTTGTATTTTTAGTAGAGATGGAGTGTCACCACATTGGCCAGGCTAGTCCTGAACTCCTGACCTCAAATGATCCACCTGCCTCGGCCTCCCAAAGTACTGGGATTACAGGCGTGAGCCACCGTGCCTGGCCTAGATTTGTGTATATTTTATAGTAAATGATAAAATAGGTTAGTATCTATACATCTTATGCATTCATGACATATCTTTTTCTTAATTTTTTTGATGTTTCTAGGCTATGTGGTTCATCTGCAAGTTTTGTCAAAGTGTCACACAAATCTCCAAAAAATTTTCCAATGTATTTATTCCAAAAAGTTTGGGTATAACTAAAGTGGACCCGCACAGTTCAAACCCACATTATTAAAGGGTCAACTATATTCTATTTTTTTGGTGTTGGTTACATAAGCATTGGATTTGTAAAAACTCATTCACTAATCTATACTTTTGTGTTATTTGCCATATTTTGTACAATAAATGTTTTCCAAAATCATAAAGCAATAAACATTCCTCTTCCTCGACTTGATTTCATCGCTCTCCTCTCCGACTTTTATTTATTTATTTTTTTTTTGGAGACAGACTCACTCCATCACCCAGGCTGGAGTGCAGTGGTGTGATCTCGGCTCACTGCAACCTCCGCCTCCCCAGTTAAAGCGATTCTAGTGCCTCAGCCTCCTGAGTAGCTGGAATTACAGATGTGCGTCACCACGCCTGGCTAATTTTTGTATTTTTAGTAGAGGCGGGGTCTTGCCATGTTAGCCAGGCTGGTCTCAAACTCCTGACCTCAAGTGATCTGCCCACCTCAGCCTCCCAAAGTGCTGGGATTACAGATGTCAGCCACCACACCCAGCCTCCCCTCTCCTTCTAGAAGCTAAATTCCTTAATTGGGTTATTCACAACTGTCATTATTTTTCATCTAACATTTACCCCAAACCCACTTCAGAATGTCCCTAACACTCCTCCCATTTCTGGTCACCACTAATGGTCACCAATAATCTCTAAGTTGTTCAATCCAATAGATAATTTTCAAGCACATCTTTTTAGACTGCGCAGCAACTAGAACCAATGGTCACCATTTATTCCTTAAAATACTCTCCCTTGGTCTTTCAGGGATAATCCTCTAACTTTTCTTCACTTTCTCTAGTCACTCCTTCACCATTCTCTCTGCTGGAGCATTCTTTTCTACCTAGTCTCTAAATATTGGAGTTACTCAAAACCAATTTCTAAATTTCCATTTCTTACCATATATCCTCTCCTAGGTTAACTCATTCCACCCATTACTTCAACTAGTATCTGCTAGTGACTTCCTCAATATAGAGTTTGGATGTCTCCACAGGAGTGCAAACTCCACTCAAAGATCATGACTTCCTCACCAAGCCTGATTTTCCTCCAGGGTCCCTTATTTTGGTGAAAAGCATCATTACCCCATTGGCAAAGCCAGGAACCACTTTCTTCCTCACCTATACCAGTAAATCTATCCCAAGTCCCTGTGTCTTCCTAAACAGTTCTCTTCATTCCTCTTACACCACCACCACCCTGTCTAAGCTACAACAGCTACTCCAAAAGCATACATGGCTTCCTGCTTCCACCACTGCTCACCAAACTTCACGTAAGAGTTGAACTGCTTCTTTTTTTTTTTTGAGACAGGGTCTCACTCTGTTGTCCAAACTGGAGTACAATGACACAAACATGACTCACTACAGCCTCAACCTCCTGGGCTCGAGGAATCCTCTTGCCTCAGCCTCCCATGTAGCTGGGACCATAGGGACGTGCCACCATGCCTGGCTACTTTTTTAATTTTTTTGTAGAGATGGGATTTCACTCTGTTGCCCAGGCTGGTCTCAAACTTCTGACCTCAAACAGTCCTCCACCTTGGCCTTCCAAAGTGCTGAGATTACAGGTGTGAACCACCAAGCCCAGCCAAAACTGCTCTTTTTTTTTTTTTTTTTTTGAGACGGAGTCTTGCTCTGTCGCCCAGGCTGGAGTGCAGTGGCTCGATCTCGGCTCACTGCAATCCCTACCTCCCAGCCAACTGCTCTTTTTAAAACACCAATAATGACATACCTCTTTACCTCCATCTCCCGTATTAATGACTTCCTATTCTCAAAGATAAAAATCAAAATTATTAAATGGCTAATACATCAGTAATTCTTTAATGCCCATTTTCTTTTGACAGGAATTCACTGTTGCCATGTTAATAGTACATGATTCCATATCCAGCAAAATTCAGAATTATAAACTTATGTACCTAGGGCATAATTATTTTTACACCTGACATTCAAATGGTGTTTTTGGCTGGGCGTGGTGGCTCACGCCTGTAATCCCAACACTTTGGGAGGCTGAGGTGGGCAGATCACTTGAGGTCAGAAGTTCAAGACCAGCCAGGCCAAAATGCTGAAACTAAAATACAAAAATTACTAAAAATACAAAAATTAGCTGGGCGTGATGGTGCATGCTTGTAATCCTAGCTACTGGAGAGGCTGAGGCAAGAGGACTGCTTGAACCCAGGAGGCGGATGTTGCAGTGAGTCAAGATTGTGTCACTATACTCCAGCCTAAGGGACAGAGTGAGACTCTGTCTCATAAATAAATAAATAAGTAAATAAATAAATAAACAAATGGTGTTTTATAAGTTTCTATGTGCTTTTGTGTACATCATCAAATCTGACATATCAATTCTGTTTTATTTATTTTTGAGACGGAATCCTGTTTTTTTGTTGTTCTTGTTTTGTTTTTTGTTCTGTTTTTGTTTTCTTTGAGACGGAGTCTCGCTCTGTCACTAAGGTTAGAGTGTAGTGATGCAGTCTTGGCTCACTGCAACCTCTGCCTCCCAGGTTCAAGCAATTCTCTCCACCTCAGTCTCCCAAGCAGCTGGGATTACAGATGCCCACCACCACACCCAGCTAATTTTTGTATTACTTAGTAAAGATGGGGTTTCACCATGTTGGCCAGGCTGGTCTTGAACTCCTGACCTCAGGTGATCCACCTGCCTCAGCCTCCCAAAGTGCTGGGATTACAGGCGTGAGCCACTGTGCCTGGCCCTGGAATCCTTTTTTATATGCAGAGAGGTCAACTTCATTTTATCATTGGCAAAAACAAGTTAGGTATACTTTACTCATAACTGAATGAGAAATCTTAGGGCTTTTTGATACTCAATCCAATCATCTTTCTACCACAAGTACCATCTTGATCCCAGGTTCAAATGCCACACATAAAACCCCTGAGGTCATAATATATACAAAATCTCCTTTTTCTTATTTTAGATTTCACTTAGTCACTTTCTCTGGATGGTGGTGATACAGCAGATTTCTTTTATTATTATTTCTTTTTGTAAATACAGACAGAGTTTCACTGTGTTGCCCAGACTGGTCTCGAACTCCTGGGCTCAAGCAGTACTCTTGCCTCAACCTCCCAAAGTGCTGGATTACAGGCATAAGCCACCAGGCCTGGCCAGACTTTATTGTTCTTGAACAAAAACCTTAATTTTGTAGAAATGTTATATTATTCCTCAAAGTTATTATACATTTAAGTAAATCCTTTTTCCTTGGCTTTCCTTTCATTTTATATCCTCTATCATAGAATCACTATTTATTTTCTCCACTGCTGCTCTTTTTTTTTTTTTTTTTTTTTTGTGAGACGGAGTCTCGCTCTGTCACCCAGGCCAGTGCAGCGGTGCAATCTCGGCTCAGCTCACTGCAAGCTCTGCCTCCCAGGTTCACACCATTCTTCTGCCTCAGCCTCCCGAGTAGCTGGGACTACAGGCGCCCGTCACCACGCCTGGCTAATTTTTTGTATTTTTAGTAGAGACGGGGTTTTACCGTGTTAGCCAGGATGGTCTCAATCTCCTGACCTCGTGATCTGCCTGCCCCAGCCTCCCAAAGTGCTGGGATTACAGGCGTGAGCCATCGTACCCGGCCTATTTTCTTTACTGGCTTCTTTTTTCTTATTCTACCTCTAAATCTGAACTTTACGGTCTTTCCTATAGAGACATCTAGCATTCTTGCATGGTTTCAGCCAACTACAATGTCCTCCCTTCCTTTGATTCACCCATCCTTCAAAACCTTGTCCAGTCTTAACTTATCTGTGAATCTTCCATGACTGCACTCAGTATACTCTCCCTCCTTAGAAGACTGTTTGCAACTGGTGGGAGGATAGGGATACTGGATTTCTATTCACACCTCAAAAGTCAAGGTGTAAAGTGAAACCGAATCTTTTTTTTTTTTTTTTTTTTTGAGACAGAGTCTCACTCTGTCACCCAGGCTGGAGTGCAGTGGTGCAATCTCAGCTCACTGCAACCTCCACCTCCTGGCTTCAAGCAATTCTCTTGCCTCAGCCTCCCAAGTAGCTGGGATTACGGGCACCTGCCACCATGCCCAGCTTATTTTTTAGTTATTTATTTATTTATTTTGTATTTTTAGTAGAGACGGGGTTTCACCATGTTGGCCAGGCTGGTCTTGAACTCTTGACCTCAGGAGATCCACCTGCCTCGGCCTCCCAAAGCACTGGGATTACAGGCATGAGCCACCACGCCCAGCCAAAACTGAATCTTTCTTCCCAAACCTGCTTCTTTCTTTTCCTTCCTCCCTTCCCTCCTTCCCTCCCTCATTTATTCATTCATTCATTCAGAGGTAGGGTCTTGCCCTGTCACCCAGTCTGAAGCGCAGTGACACAAACACAGCCTGCTGAAGCCTCGACCTCCTGGGCTGAAGCAATCCTCCCACCTCAGCCTCTCGAGTAGGTAGGACTACAGGGACATACCACCATACCCAGCTAATTTTTTAATATTTTTTTGTAGAGATGGGGTTTTGCCATGTTGCCCAGGCTGGTCTTGAACTCCTGGGCTCAAGTGATCTACCCGTCTTGGCCTCCCAAAGTCCTGGGATTACAGGCATGAGCCACCGCGCCCAGCCTTTCAAGTCATTTTTGTACACTCTAAAAGGTAAATAATGATAGGGGCAGAAAATAACATTTCACCTAGAGGGTCCCCTTTGCAAAGATCCTGAGGCATGAAAAGTTCTGTGGCTTTAATGACCTGAAAGGTAAATAGGGTCAGTGCACAGCTGCTAAGGAGAGACAATTAGATGGGAAAAGAAATCAGAGTTTGAGGCATCTGTGGGACATCTATGTGAGGATGTCTAGGAGGCATCTTCAGGTAGCTAAGGGACCCAAGCTTCTAAAGCAATAGAAGCTGATAGCAGCATTTTCTTTTAGAGATGGGGTCTCACTATGTTGCCCAGGCTGGACTGCAGTGGCTGTTCACTGATGCAGTTTCACTACTCATCAGCATGGGAGTTTTAACTGTTTCTGAACTGGGCTGGTTCACCCCTCCTTAGGCAACCTGGTAGTTCCCCACTCCTGGGAAGTCACCATATTGATGCTGAACTTAGTGCAGACACCCAATCGGCATAGCACATTATAGCTCAGAACTCCTGGACTCGAGCGATTCTCCTACCTCAGCCTCCTGAGCAGCTGGGACTACAGGTGCATGCAACTGTGCCCAGCTGTAGCAGCTATTACCTTTGTGTACCTCACACACTTTCTACTCTGTAACTCCCTCTATTCTGGTAACTAATCTTATCCTCCATCAAGCACAGGGATAGGCACATGACCAGCTGAGCAATTCTAGTACTACATCCTTGGCCACAGCAACTATTCCAATAATGGGAGAGTGACTCAGACTGAGCCATCTGGATCTCCTAATGAATACTTTTTCCTCTTTGATTGTATCATATAATCATAAAGGTATGAATAAAGAGCTTTGAGTAACCACTGCACCAACTGTCTCTTTGTTAAAGAAGTCAAAGAAGAGATGCAAACATTCAGAAAGAAGTAGTGACAAGAAGTGGACAAAGATTAAAAGTATGAAGCCCCAATCTTTCCCAGATCCATGAGTAGATTATTTTTAAATCCCCTATGAGCCCAAGTACAGTGGCTCATGCCTGTATCCCAGCACTTTAGGAGGCTGAGGCAGGAGGATTCCTTGAGGCCAGTAGTTCAAGATCAGCCTGGGCAACATAGCAAGACCTCATCTCTACAAAAAATTTAAAAATAAGCTGGGCATGGTGGCATGTGCCTATAGTGCTAGCTACTTGGGAGGCTAAGGCAGGAGGATCATATGAGCCCAGCAGTTCAAAGTTGCAGTGAGCTGTGATCATTTCACTGCATTCCACCCTGAATGACACAGCAAGACTTGTCTCTAAAAATAAAATTTTAAATCTTCTATGGAAAACAGTATGGTGGTTCCTCAAAAAATTTAAAAAAGAATTACCATATGATACAACAATTCCACTAGAAGAGATATTTGTACACCCATGTTCATTACAGCATTGTTCCCAAAGCCAAAAGGTAGAAGCAACACAAATGTCTTTCAATAAATGAATGAATAAAATAAAATGTGGTACAGGGCTGGGCGCGGTGGCTCACACCTGCAATCCCAACACTTTGGGAGGCCGAGGTGGGCAGATCACGAGGTCAAGAGACCATCCTGGCCAACATGATGAAACCCCGTCTCTACAAAAATACAAAAATTAGCTAGGTGTGATGGCGCACGCCTGTAGTCCCAGATGCTAAGGAGGCCGAGGCAGGAGAATCGCTTGAACCTGGGAGATGGAGGTTTCAGTGAGCTGAGATCACGCCACTGCACTCCAGCCTGGGTGACAGAGCGAGACTCCATCTCAAAAAAAAAAAAAAAAAAATGTGGTATATACATACAATGAAGCATGATTCAGCCTTAAAAAGGAAGAAAATTCTGACACATGCTACAACATGAATGAACCTTGAGAACATTATGTTAAGTGAAATAGGTAATCACAAAAAGGCAAATAATCTATCATTCTACCCATGTGAGGTCCCTAAAGTAGTTAAAAATCATAGAAACAGAAAGTAGAGTGGTGGTTGCCAGGGGCTGGGAGGAGGTAGAGACTGTGGAGTTGTTGTGCAATGGGTACAGAGTTTCAGTTTTGCACAATGAAGAATTCTGAAGACTGGTTGTACGACAATGTAAATTATTTAACAATACTGACAATATACTTTAAAATGATGATGGCCATTGTTGCCCACACATGCAATCCCAGCACTTTGGGACACCGAGGTGGGAGGATCACTTGAGTTTAAGATCAGCCTGGGCAACACAGCAACACCTCATCTCTACCAAAAAAAAAAAAAAAATTAAGACCATGCATGGTGGCTCACGCCTAAAATCCCAACACTTTCGGAGGCTGAGACAGAAGGATGGCTTGAGCCCAGAAGTTCGACACCTAGGCAACACAGTGAGACCTTGTCTCAATTTTTAATGATCAATAAATTTTTTTTTTTTGAGATGGAATCTCACTCTGTCACCAGGCTGGAGTGCAGTGGCACAGTCTCGGCTTGTTGCATCCTCCACCTCCTGTGTTCAAGCAATTCTCCTGCCTCAGCCTCCCAAGTAGCTGTGACTACAGGCGCATGCCACCACGCCCAGCTAATTTTTGTTTTTTTAGTAAAGATGGGGTTTCACCATGTTGGTCAGGATGATCCTGATCTCTTGACCTTGTGATCTGCTCACCTCAGCCTCCCAAAGTGTTGGGATTACAAGCATGAGCCACCACGCCCAGCCAATAATCAATAATTTTTTTAAAAATTAAAATGTTTGGCCGGGCGCGGTGGCTCACGCCTGTAATCCCAGCACTTTGGAAGGCCGAAGCGGGCAGATCATGAGGTCAGGAGATCGAGACCATCCTGGCTAACATGGTGAAACCCCGTCTCTACTAAAAAATACAAAAAATTAGCCGGGCATGGTGGCAGGTGCCTGTAGTCCCAGCTACTCGAGAGGCTGAGGCAGGAGAATGACATGAACCCAGGAGGTGGAGCTTGCAGTGAGCCAAGATCACGCCACTGCACTCCAGCCTGGGAGACAGAGCAAGACTCCATCTCAAAAAAAAAAAAAAAAAATTAAAATTTTTAATGGTTAAAATGGTAAATTTTATGCTATATTTTTCCAAAATTAAAAAAAAATAATTCCCTTTTTTACTTAAAACAATTACTTGCAACTGAAAAAAAGGGCCTGTTGAACATGAAATCCAACACTCAAATATAGTACTAGACCTTGATATTAGAACTGGCCATGCCGGGCATAGTAGCTCACACCTGCAATCCCAGTACTTTATGAGGTAAAGGTAGGAGGACTGCTTGAGCCCAGGAGTTTGAGACCAGTTTAGGGAACATGGTGAGACCCCAACTACAAAAAGTCAAAAAATTAGCCAGGCATAGTGGTACATGCCTGTGGTCCAAGCTACTAAGGAGGCTGAGGTGGGAGGATTGCTTGAGCCCAGAAGGTCGGGGCTGCAGTGAGCCAAGTTCAAGTTCAGGCCACTGCACTCCAGCCTGGGTGAAAAAGTGAGACTCTGTCAAAAAAAAAAATACAAAAACTGGCCAAGTATGAAGTATGGGATTAGGGGATAGTAAGAATTTCACTGCACAGGCTAGAAAGCAATTCCCATTATACTAGAGTAAACCAGCATCAATTTGATCTGATGTAGTCTGGGATTCAAACTATATTCTCACCTTTAGAGAATTTGACAGAAAAATGTCAGAATATTAAACTGCTTTGGCTACTTATACCTTTCTCAGTGTAGTGTCTTGAGAGAAACAAGCCTGGGTATAAATCAAGTCAGTGGCTCATGCCTGTAATCCCAGCACTTTGGGAGGCCAAAGCGGGCAGATGACCTGAGGTCAGGAGTTCAAGATCAGCCTGGCCAACATGGTGAAACCCTGTTTCTCCTAAAAATACAAAAAATTAGCCGGGCAACCTCCACCTCCTGCGTTCAAGCGATTCTCCTTGGGAAATTGGCTGTTATGTCTCTTTTCTGATTTCTCCTAAGGTCAGATAACAACTTAGTTTCAGTTTGGTGACATGGAACTTTTCTTTCTTTTTTCTTTTTTTGAGAAAGGATATCTCTCTGTCGCCCAGGCTGGAGTGCAGTGGCGCGATCTTGGTTCATTGTAACCTCCACCTCCTGGGTTCAAACGATTCTCCTCCTCAGCCTCCCGAATAGCTGGGATTACAGGTACATGCCACCACTCCAGCTAATTTTTTTTTTTTTTGAGATGGAGTCTCGCTCTGTTGCCCAGGCTGAAGTGCAGTGGTGACATCTCAGCCCACTACAACCTCCGCCTCCTGGGTTCAAGTGATTCTCCTGCCTCAGCCTCCTGAGTAGCTGGGACTACAGGTGAGCACCTGGCCAAGGAGTCCTGTTTCAATATTCAACATGCATGATAATAAAGTTCCCTCTGTTTCACCAGGCATGGTAGCTCACGCCTGTAATCCCAGCACTTTGGGAGGCCAAGACGGGCGGATCACGAGGTCAGGAGATCGAGACCATCCTGGCTAACATGATGAAACCCCGTCTCTACTAAAATACAAAAAAAATTAGTCGGGCATGGTGGCGGGTGCCTGTCGTCCCAGCTACTTGGGAGGCTGAGGCAGAAGAATGGTGTGAACCCAGGAGGCGAAGCTTGCAGTGAGCTGAGATCGCGCCTGGGTGCACTCCAGCCTGGGTGACAGAGAGAGACTCCATCTCAAAAATAAATAAATATATCAATAAAATAAAATAAAGTTCCCTCTGTTTTAATCTTTAGAACAAAAGATAACCTGAAGTAACCTGATGTTAACCAATCAGTTATTTCTCTATTGTTTTGTTTCTTTGTTGACAGCTGGTAAGGGAAATAACTTTGAAATGACCAATCCACTTTTTCTTCTGTGTTTCTCCATTTTTTTTTTTTTTTGAGACAGAGTTTCACTCTTGTTGCCCCCAAGCTGGAGTGCAATGGCATGTTCTCGGCTCACTGCAAACTCTGGGTGGGGCTTTACTGCTTCTACTTCTAATTTCAGTCACTGTAATGTTCCAAAATGAAAAAAATTTCAAAAAATATTTGTCATGGATATCATAAACAATCACCCTTAAAAACTAATGTTTTACTCTCCATAAAGAGGACCCAACAAATTGTTATTATTTGAAAGAATAAGCTAATAGAGAGTCCAAAATTCAAATGAAACCAATCTGTAAAAGCGACACTCAGACTTTCTCATCGTGGATGGTGGCTCTAAAAAAAAAAAAAGGCTTCATATTTGAAAAGTCTTTAAGGAAAAGGCAACTCACAGGATAGGAGAAAATATTGTTAAATCATATATCTAATAAGGAATTAATACCCAGGATATTTAGAAAACTCCTAAAACTAAATAAACAAACAAAAACAATTAAAAAATGGGCAATGGACATGAAGAGCCATTTCTCCAAAGAAGCTAAATGAATGGCCAATAAGCACATAAAAAGATGCTAAACATTACTAATCATCAGGAAAATCCAAATCAAAACCACAACCCAGTCCCATTAGGATGGCTACTACCAAAAAGAGAGAGAGAGAGAGAGAGGAAACTAACAAGTGTTGGAAAGGGTGTGGAGAAGTTGGGACCCTTGTACATTGTTGGTGGGAATGAAAAATGGTACGTTCACTGAGGAAAACCATGGTGGTTCCTCAAAACATTAAAAACAGCATTACTATATAAGCCAGCAATTCTCAAAAGTAGAGTCTCAAAGAGATAGGAGGCTGGGCGCAGTGGCTCACACCTGTAATCCCAGCACTTTGGGAGGCCGAGGCAGGTGAATTACCTGAGGTCAGGAGATTGAGACCAGCCTAACCAACATGGTGAAACCTCGTCTCTACTAAAAATACAAAAATTAGCTGGGCGTGATGGCGAGCACCTGTAATCCCAGCTACTCAGGGGGCTGAGACAGGAGAATCACCTGAACCCAGGAGGCGCAGGTTGCAGTAAGCCAAGATCATTCCACTGCACTCCAGCCTGGGCGACAGAGTGAGACTCCCTTTTGTTTTGTTTTTGTTTTTGTTTTTGTTTTTTTGAGACAAAGTCTCGCTCTGTCGCCCAGGCTGGAATGCAGTGGCACAATCTCGGCTCACTGCAGCCTCCACCTCCTGGGTTCAAGCGATTCTCCTGCCTCAGCTTCCTGAGCAGCTAGGGCTGCAGGAGTGTGCCACTATGCCCGACTAATTTTGTATTTTTAGTAGAGACGAGGTTTCACCATGTTGGCCAGGCTGGTCTTGAACTCCTGACCTCATGTGATCCTCCCACCTCAGCCTCCCAAAGTGCTGGGACTGCAAGCATGAGCCAAAGTGCTCAGCCCATCCAGCCTTTTATAAATGATTTTTTTTTATTTACTTACTTATTTAACTGTATTTATTTATTTATTTTTAGACAGGGTTGCACTCCATCACCCAGGCTGGAGTGCAGTGGCACGATCTCGGCTCACTGCAGCCTAGACCTCCCAGGCTCAAGCAATCCTCCCACCTCAGCCTCCCAAGTAGCTGAAACTACAGGCACACACCACCAAGCCTAGTTAATTTTTTAAGTTTTTGTAGAGACAAGGTCGCGCTATGTTGCCCAGGCAGGTCTTGAACTCCTAAGATCAAGCGATCCTCCTGCCTCAACCTCCCAAAGTGCTGGGATTACTGGTGTGAGCCACTATGCCCTGCCTCATTCAGCCTTTAAAAGGAAGGAAATTCTGACCTATGCTACAATGTAGATGAACGTTGAGGACACTATGCTAAGTGAAATAAGCCAGTTACAAAAAGGCAAATACTGTACGATTCCACTTATATGAGGTACTTGGACTAGCATAAAATTCTGTTCAGAAAAAAACAATTTTCAAGCCAAGAAAGTTCAACACTAATGATTATTTTGCAGTTATAAATCTTATATAACTGACCAAACTTGAATAACTCCTTTTTTAAGAAAACCATTTTTCTGCCTAAGAAAATTTTAACTCACTTTAACTTCATCAAAGTTTAACACTTACACACTGTGTTATAGTTACTTTAAGGCTTATTACACAATATTAGTTCTAAAGTTTCTGTACTGCGGTTATGCTACCTTTTATTTTGAAAACTGAAAAATTACTATAAGAGAAAGTAATCTGACTAAAGTAGAGGCTCTCTTTTTGGAATCAGGTACTCCAAACAAACAATTAATTCACACGTCCCAAAAAAAGTTAAAACCATACCATTTAAATCTGCATTTTCAAATCTGACCCAGACTATTTTCTCCTTTTCTTCTGTTAGAGGTGTTCCACTGTAAGCCTGCATAGTAAACAGAAACATTTGAATAAACATATTTTACAGCTTTAATATTACTGATGTTCAAAACAAAGTGACTTAAAGCCAACA
The DNA here is from genome assembly GCF_000001405.40 of Homo sapiens. Classification (NCBI taxonomy): domain Eukaryota; kingdom Metazoa; phylum Chordata; class Mammalia; order Primates; family Hominidae; genus Homo; species Homo sapiens. Next base: position 60,689,598 of record NC_000017.11, on the reverse strand, counting down.
CTATACCTCTCCAACTTCACCAACCCTACATCTTGGTAACTAGAATATTTTAGAACATTATTACCCCCAAAGAATATTATCCATGAGTCTCATAACCTTGGTCAAAAGAGTTTTTAACTTATTAAAAGAACTGCAGGCTAGGCACCTGTAATCTCAGCACTTTGGGAGGCCAAGGCAGGCAGACCACTTGAGGCCAGGAGTTCAAGACCAGCCTGGCCAACATGGCGAAACTCTGTCTCTACTAAAAACACAAAAATTAGCTGGGTGAGGTGTGGCACATGCCTGTAATTCCAGCTACTGGGGAGGCTGAGACACGAGAATCACTTAAACCTGGAAGGCAGAGATTGCAATGAACAGAGATCGTGCCACCGCACTCCAGCCTAGGCGACTGAGCAAGACTCTGTCCCCCACAAAAAAAAGAACTGCAGAAACCTAAAATACAATGATCACAATCTATTTTGAAGCATTACTATAATTCAAAGGCAAATGAAAGACTAACCATCCGCTATACTGGTCAACAAATAAGGCTTAGAAAACAAACACAACTACTACCTTTAACTATTAAGTGCTAGGTGTTTGTGGCAATTATACTGGTGTGAGTATTACTGTACTTTTTTAGTCTCTTATCAAGCTTCTAGACCCAACCTATCAGCTGCTTCCTGGAAGCCTGCAAGGATCAAAAGACAAGCATTAATGGCATGAAGTATCAACAGTATTCAACAGTATTCAAAAGGAGGCATCTCTCCATAAAGCATGTTTTTTTCTTTCTTTTTTTTTTTTTTTGAGACAGAGTCTCACTCTATCACCCAGGCTGGAGTGCAGTGGCATGATTTTGGCTCACTGTACCCTCCACCTCCCGGGTTCAAGTGATTCTCCTGCCTCAGCCTCCCAAGTAGCTGGAACTATAGGCGTGTGCCACCACGCCCAGCTAATTTTTTGTCTTTTTGGTGGAGACGGGGTTTCACCATGTTGGCCAGGCTGGTCTTGAACTCCTGACCTCAGGTGATCCGCCCCGCCTCGGCATCCCAAAGTGCTGGGATTACACAGGTGAGCCACCATGCCCTGCCTAACATACCTTTTTTAAAAAACACCAGCTTGGGCAACATGGAGAAACCTCATCTCTACAGAAAAAAAATCTGGGCATGGTGGCATGCACCTGTAGTCCCAGCTACCAGGGAGGCTGAGATGGGAGGATCACCTGAATCTGGGAAATTGAGGCCGCAGTGAGCCATGATAGTGCCACTGTACTCCAGCCTGGGTGAGAGCAAGACCCTGTCTCAAAAAAAAAATTCTCCCCTAATATTATCTAATCTAATCAAATCTAACATTTGCATTTCTCGAAACTACAAAAGTAACACTGGTGCATTACTATTAAACCCCAGACATTATTTGGATTTCACAACCTTTCTCACTAATGTCCTTTCTCTGCTCCAGGATCCAAACCAGGATGCTATCCTGCATTTAGGACAACTTCCTTTTTTCCTGTATCAGGCTTTCCTTTCCTTTAACGTGGTGAAGCAATAACATTTTCAAATTCTTCTTCAGCTTAGCAGACTTATTCCTTTGCGACATTTGATTTCTGAGTGATATGCAGAACAAAACAAGGTCAAAGAAGGTCTTTCAGTGTATTGGGATTCTTGAACCTCTTTTTGCTTTCCCTGTGAGGGGGAAATAAGTCTTACAAAATGAGGCTTATATGCTTTCACTATGTCTTCAAGTTTCCTCTCTCCTTAGTGGACATGGTGTTTTTTACTCAGAATTTTTGAGAAAATTCTGGGAAGACAACTGAAGCACCTGAGCTCTGCTTCGTGTGTTCCTTACTACAGCTTTGCACAAAGGTGAATCACGTCATTTTTTGCCTCTTATGATCTCCTTTTCCCATGCTTAGATATTTTATTCTCAGTAAGACACAGACTCACCTATTGCCCTTCTACCTTTCACCTGATGTCTTTAAAAAAAAAAAGTTGTTTTTGGGTTTCTGTTTTTGTATTTCTCGAGACAGGGTCTGGTTCTGTCACCCCGGCTGGAGTGCAGTGGTATGATCTCAGCTCACTGCAACCTCCGCCTCCTGGGCTCAAACGGTCCACCCATGTCAGCCTCCCAAATAGCTGGGACTACAGGTGTGCACCACCACACCCAGCTAATTTTTGTATTTTCTGTAGAGATGGGGTTTCACCATGTTGCTCAGGCTGGTCTGGTACTCCTGGGCACAAGCAATCTGCCCGCCTAGGCCTCCCAAAGTGCTGGGATTACAGGTGTGAGCCACCACACCCAGGATCACCTGATGTCTTTATAGAGGTCAGTGTACTGCCACACTTTTCCTTTTCCCCCAGCACTGATTAAAAGCCCTTCTTCAAACAAGAGCAACCGATTTAGCCCTCTTATTTAAAGTCAAAACTTTCACCTCACTACTGAAAAGATTTATTTACTTCTTTTATATTTCAACACTGGTTTCTAACACACTACACACACTGATAAGTACAAAGTTATTTTTGAATTTTATATAACATAGCTATAATCATTGTAGGTGTCATTCTGTATGTTGTCTTATTTGCTCACTATAGAGAAAATAATTTCCATAGTGTACTATTGCCATAATTTTTATTTATAGCAAATTATTCTATAGGGACCATGATATATCATCATTTGCTTATTAATTGACATTTAAGCTGGTTACAAGTTTTTACACTGAAAATGTAAAAATTTCATATATACTGAAAAGTTCTAAGCTTCAACTTTTTCTTTGTTGAATTATTTTTTAAAATAAATTTTCGGCCAGGTGCAGTGGCTCACGCCTGTAATCCCAGAACTTTGCGAGGCCAAGGCAGGAGGATCACCTGAGGTCAGGAATTCAAGACCAGCCTGGCTAACATGGTGAAACCCCGTTTCTACTAAAAATACAAAAATTGGCCGGGCGTGTTGGCACATGCCTGCAATCCCAGCTACTCAGGAGGCTGAGGCAGGAGAATCGCTTGAAACTCGTAGGCAGAGGTTGCAGTGAGCCGAGATTATGCCATTGCACTCCAGCCTGGGCGACAAGAGTGAAACTCCATCTCAAAAAAAAAAAATTAAATAAATAAATTTTCATAAGTGAAATTATTAGATCAAGACACAGCCAAGGGCAACTACCATCCATCAATGTTATCACAACTAGAATTCAATGAGTGATAACTAAAGAAGCTGCTACCAGTCCAACAACACATGTTCTCTCTTTAGGAGGATATTTGCAGACCCAGAGAATACCTAGGCTCCATGAATTTGATGATTCCCAGAATAGAGCAGGAGGTAGAACACAATATTGGCAGAAAACATTATTTTTTAATGTCTGACCACAAAGTACCAACGCAGGACTCTGAATTAAATGTGGGAAAAAAAATGTTAGAAAGCACTGTTCTCATGTCAACCAAACAGTAGAAAAAATGTCTAACATAGGCCGGGTGCGGTGGCTCACACCTGTAATCCCAGCACTTTGGGAGGCCGAGGCAGGCAGATCACAAGGTCAGGAGATGGAGACCATCCTAGCTAACACAGTGAAACCCCGTCTCTACTAAAAATACAAAAATTAGACAGGTGTGGCGGTGGGCGCCTGTAGTCCCAGCTACTCGGGAGGCTGAGGCA